>NC_000013.11:65908106-68408106 GCF_000001405.40 Homo sapiens | reverse complement strand
ACGAGATGTATAATGTAGTTTGTGTTATTTGATGTATAAGATTAATCTACAGCTGCTAGAGTTTCTACACAAATAAGGTTCAGTTTTAGGTATTAAGCACTAAGCTTATTAACGATTTCTGCAGTAATATAAATAAAATTGCTCCCCTCACAAAAGTTCAAACATAAAACAAATAAATGAAAAAGAAAAATACACAGAATGGGAAAATACATATTTGAATGTAAACTTCTTTCTGTAATTGTGTATTTGAGAGTGTGTGTCTGTGTGAATATTATCTTTTGCCATTATTCCCCTGCGGCAAATAAACCATAAATGAATGTGAATTAAAGGTTTGTGAGTCACATTATAGGTGAAATCAAGGGCTAATAATGTTATAAATATATTTACTATGATAACTCTGAAGAAGAAAAAATTGGGGGTTTAAAAATATTACAGTTAATTTATCTATCATGCTCATGCTTTATCTTTTGTTTATGTTTTTGTTTTTTTTTCTTTCCTTTGTCCATAACCTCAGGGCTTTATATAGTTTCCTTAGCTATGAGTTTAAACATCTGATCTATTTTTCTTCCAAATGTTTTGCTTTCCTGTGTTAACATTTTATCCATCCATATTTAGCTTCGTCTATAAATAGTAAAAGTGCCAAGTAAACTATCTCAAAGAAGAATGAAGAAAAGTAGACCTGAAAATTGGGGAGAAAAGAAAAGAATTTTAACTGTTTGTAGTTATTCCTCAAATATAGTATTTTAGTAACAAAATAGATAAGCTGTTCTCTGAAAGGACAGCATATAGAAATATCACCCACAGAAACTAATAGATCTTTGACTACTGTCATGGATTTATAGTCTAGATTATTTTTTTTAAATATTTATAAGAAAATAAAAACTCATGTTCAGTTACCTGAAGGTCACATAACATGTTACTTGTTTTTAAATATCAAAAAGTTATTCTCCTTTCCATGGAAGCATTATAAGGTTTGGCTGTGCCCCCACTCAAATCTCATCTTGTATTGTAGTTTCCATAATCCACACATGTTGTGGGAGGGACATGGTGGAAAGTGATTGGATCATTGGGGAGGTTTGCCCCATGTTGTTCTTGTGATTGTGAGTTCTCACGAGATCTGATGGTTTTATCAGCATCTGGCATTTTCCCTGCTGCTGGCATTTCTCTTTCCTGCTGCCTTGTGAAGAAAAATGTGTTTGCTTCCCCTTCCACCATGATTGTAAGTTTCCTGAGGCCTCCCTAGTTACATGGAACTATAAGGCAATTAAACTTTTTTTTCTTTACAAATTACCCAGTCTTAGATATTTCTTCATAGCAGCTGAGAAGGGACTAATACAGAAAACTGGTACCAAGGTGGTGGGGAGCTGATGTAAAGACCTGAAAATGTGGAAGCAACTTTGGAAGTAACAGGCAGAGGTTGGAACAGCTTGGAGGGCTCAGAAGACAGGAAAACGTAGGAAAGTTTGAAACTCCCTAGAGATTTGGAGGACTCAGAAGAAGAGAGGAAGACGTGGGAAAGTTTGAAACTTCCTAGAGACTCGTTGAATGGCTTTGACCAAACTGCTGATAGTGATATGGACAATTAAATCCAGGTGGAGGTGGTCTCGGATGGAGATGAGGAAACTGTTGGGAGCTGGAGTAAAGGTAACTCTTGGTATACGTTAGCAAAGAGACTGGCCACATTTTGCCACTGCCCTAGAGATCTGTGGAACTTTGAACTTGATAGGGATGATTTAGGGTATCTGGCAAAAGAAATTTCTAAGCTGCAAAGCATTCAAGAGGAATCAAAAGGACAAATGTTTGAAAAATTTGCAGGCTCACAATGCAATAGAAAAGAGAGCCATATTTTCTGGAGACAAATTTAACCCCGCTGCAGAAATGTGCATAAATAATGAGGAGCCAAATGTTAATCACCAAGACAATGGGCCAAATGTCTACAGGGCACGTCAGAGACCTTCACAGCAACCCCTCCCATCACAGGCCTAGAGGCCTAGGAGGGGAAAATGGTGGGACAAGGACAGGGACAGGGAACCGTACTCTGTGCAACCTCAGGATGTGGTGCCCTGCATCCCAGCTGCTTCAGCTTCAGCTTCAGCTGTGGCTAAAATGGGCCAAAGTCCAGCTTGGGCCATTGCTTCAGAAGGTGCAGGCCCCTAGCCTTGGTGGCTTACACCTGGTGTTGGGCCTGCAGGTGCACAGAAGTCAAGAACTGAGGTTTGGAAACCTCTGCCTAGATTTCAGAGGATGTATGGAAATGCCTGGATGTCCAGGCAGAAGTCTGCTGCAGGGGTAGAGACCTCATGGAGAACCTCTGCTAGGGCAGTACAGAAGGGGAATATGGGGTTGGAGCACCCACACAGAGTCCCCTTTGGGACACTGCTTAGTGGAGCTTTGAGGAGAAGACTACCATGCTACAGACCCCAGAATGGTAGATCCACTGACAGTTTGTACTGTGCACATGGAAGAGCCACAGACATTGAATGCCAGCTCATGGAAACAGCTAGGAGTGGGGCTGTACCCTGCAAAATGTAGGGGTGGAGCTTCTCAAGGCTGTGGGAGCTCACCTCTTGCATCAGCATGACCTGGATGTGGGACATGAAGTCAAAGGAGATTATTTTGGAACTTTAAGGTTTAATGACTGCCCTATTGGATTTCGTACTTGCATGGGGCCTGCAGCCCCTTTGTTTTTCAAATTTCTCCCATTTGGAATGGGTGTATGATATGGGATTGGCTTTTTCTCCACCCAAATCTAATCTGGAATTGTAGTTTCCATTATCCCCACATGTTGTGGGAGGGATCTGGTGGGATGTAAATGAATAATGGGGACAGTTCCCCAATGCTATTCTTGTTACAGTGAGTAAGTTCTCAGAAAATCTTTTGGTTTCATAAGGGGCTTCCTGCTTTGCTCATTTCTCCTCCTTTCTGCTGCCATGTGAAGGACTGGTTTGCTTCCCCTTCCACCATGATTGTAAGTTTCCTGAAGCTCTTCCAGCCATGCTGAACTGTGAGTCAATTAAACGTCTTTCCTTTATAAATTACCATCTCTGGCATGCCTTTACTAGCAGCATGAGAATGAACTAATACAATGTATTTATCTAATGCCTGTACCCCCATTGTATCTAAGAAATAACTAATTTCCTTTTGATTTACAGGCTCCTGGATGGAAGGGACTTGCCTTGTCTCAGATAAGACTTTGGACTTGGACTTCTGACTTAATGTTGAAATGAGTTAGGACTTTGGAGGACTGTTGGGAATGCATGATTTTGTTTTGAAATGTTTGGATATGAGATTTGGGAGGGGCCACGGGTGGAATTACATGGTTTGGCCATGCACCCACCCAAATCTCATCTTGCATTTTAGTTCCCATAATCTCCACATGTCGTGGGAGGGATCTGGTGGCAAGTGACTGGACTGTGGAGGCAATTTCCCCCATGCTGTTCTCATGATACTCAGTGACTTCTCATGAGATCTAATGGTTTTAGAAGGGGCTTTTCCCCCTTTTCCTCAGCACTTCTCCTTGCTGCTGCCATGTGAGGAAGGACATGTTTGATTCCCCTTCTGCTATAATTGTAAGTTTCCTGAGGGCTCCCCAGCCATGTGGAACTGTGAGTCAATTAAACCTCTTTTCTGTATAAATTACCTAGTCTTGGGTATTTATTCATGCAGTTTGAGAATAGACTAATACATGTTATTTTCAATGTAGATATACCTCTTGTTCATTCAGGTATTCTTAAGAAAAACTTGACTAAACATTTACAATAACATTCTGCAATATTAACTGATTTCATTCACTTTTTAGTGTTTACTAAGGATACAGGACGATTTTAAAGTAATTTATAATACTTTCATTTTTATTTTGATGTCAGCTAACTTCCTGTTTCTAGTCAGACATGTAACAAACTTGGAAGTCATCAGTTGTGTCCCCATCACAAGAAACAAAATGCTGAATAAACTAAAAAATCAACTCATTTTAGAACTATTGAGAATTGAGGCCACAGCACTAACTACTGCTCTCAAAACTATACAAACAGATACATATAGAGAACCACAGCTCACAAAGACCACAAGCTGTTGCTGGAGCAGGCAACTGGTAGGTACATGTAAAAGGTTAAGTGAATAATTTTTAGAGACATGTATGGCCCACCTTGAGAAACAAAAACTTCCAGGGTGCTCAACATTATAGAGATCCCCACACTTTTGTGAGTTTTACCAGCAGGATTCTCACTGAGTTCTTAAGGTGAAGATCGGGGAAAAAAATCTCTTTGCAATTCCAATAGAGGGAGTAAAGAAGTAACATTTTCTAGTAAGCCCAGAGCACTATGTTCTCCTCAATAAAGGTCTTCCCTAAAGGGAAATTATGTTACCAGAACCTAACTGACTTGAGTTTTACCAGAGCCTAGTCAACCTGGGGAAGAGAAATAACCAGCTACTACCTGCATGTTAATAATTATGACAGTTTTGTTCTTAATTGACAAAAATTAAAAGCAACTAAAATGCCCTTCAATAGTTGAACAGATGAACCAACATGATACATTTAAATAAAGACATATTATTCTGTGAAAAAAAGTGATTGAGTCATGAAAAGACATGAAGAAACTATAAATGTATACTGCAAAGTAAAAGAAGCAAGTCTAAAAGACCACATTATATGATTCTGTCAATATAACAATTGCAAGGGACAAAGGTAATAGGCAAAAAAGACTCTATTCACAATGATTTCAACAGAGTAGAGAGACTGAATTCAACTCTGCTAAAACAAAAGTCAAAAGGATTTGTAAACAAAGGGGTGGTCTGATGGAAAAGTATTGGAAGACAATAGCAAGGAGGTTGATCAAAGAGATGTCTTCAGCACATTGAGTTATACTTGAGTTTGCAAAGGATTTTTGCTGTGATTAGGCCCAACTGTGTTTGCTAATCGGTAGGCCCCTTACCCTCCCAAAGAGACTGAGAGATAGAGGTGCAATCCTCTTCCATGTTTATATTTGAAAGGGATGATTCTCAGGTTCTCAATAAAGACATTTCCTGGATTGTTAAACTGAGGCTGGAAGAAGATTTAAATCTACTCAAAAGGACAGAGAGACAATTTACAATTACCAGGTTTCTAAAGTAAATGCGCTAACAAAAAGAAAGTCAAGGGGCTCATAGTAAGGAAAAAATCTGTCTAAGGTTTAGTTAACTGAGAGGTCTCTGTTGGTCAAGTCCAATTATATAAAACTCTAGAAAAGGCAAAACTATTGAAACAGTAGAAAAATCACTGGTTGCCAAAAATGTGGGAGGATATGTGAAGACCAGGGATGTATGGTGGTGGGAGTCGGGGAGTACAGGAAAATTTTAGGGCAGTGAAACAATTCTGTTTTATACCATAATGTTGGATACATGACGTTATGCATTTGTGAAAACACATAGAAGTGTACAACAGAAGGAACGAACCCTAATTTAAACTGGGGCTTTTAGTTAATTACATATCAATATTGGTTCATCAATCACACAATGGATTATGCTGATAATAGGGGAAACTGGGAGGTGAGAAGAAAGAATATACAGGAACTCTACTTGCGGCTCAATTTTTCTGTTAGCTTAAAACTGTTTAAAAATAAATTCAATTAATTATTTTTAAAAATGTCATCACAATTTTTTACATTACTCAGTTGCTTCATGTTGTTATTCTTACATTGTTTTCCTCAAAGCACTATCAGGAGTATTCTCAATGTTCACCATATATCATTTGGGATTAAATTATACTTAGATAAAATATAGATTGCATAAAATACTATTAAAATACTACCTTTGGAAACACTTTAAAAGTTTTATTTCATACTTTTTATGCTAGTAATTTAATACAGTCATTTCTTATATTCTATTTAGGAAGTTCCCTTCTAAATCTCGTCTTATATAAATTAACTTATTTTTAAATCAAAATTACCTATCGTTTCATCAGTTTTAAAAGAAACTATATCATCTTCAGTGTGCTTCTGTCTACAAATTATGAATTGATAAAATCAGAATTATTTTTTTCAAGGACAACCTGAAAATCTTCTCTTCTACTAAACTGTAATATAAAATGGCAATCTGGAAAAATCCTTGATTCTTTTAAATTGTTCTGTTGCATTCACATACCTACTTATATGTAATAATTACAAAATGTGCTCCACACAAGTCTTCTAGGACATGCATTCCCCAAGATCACAATAAAATTTTAAAAATTCTAATACCCAGATAGACACAAAACAGACTTGAAAATTATGTTTGATGACTGACAGCAAAAACAATGTTGTCATGTCCCCACAGCTGTTTTGTGAGAAAAACTACCCATATGAAGATTACCAGCAAGATTACGTAGATGACATTCTGAAGCTCATGGGCTACAAAGACAGTTCCACAAGGTATTATAAATTTATTGTTAGAGCTTGTTCACACTTGCTGAAACCAAATACACGTATATCTCCAGAAAGTAAAAATAATAGGCTAAACAATGCACAGTGGTGTTTTCTCTGAACTAGGCTTTTCATTTGGGGTATCCATTCAGTGTCTCGTTAGAGAAGTGAGTTTCTTCACTCATAACTATCTCAAGTACAGGTGCATTTAGGAATTGGGGGGAAAAAACTATGCTAAGAAACTCCTTTCTCATTTTCCTAGCTTAGTGTTTATTGATTTTTCCAAATTATCTTTATGTAGGGCTAAGTGAGATTTCAAAAATCATTTTAGAAAATGCCTATAATTAGTAAAATTTCCACATATGGATGTCTTTTATCCTAAGATTCATACAAGCTTGCATATATTTTTCTTGATTCTCAGCTAATCTCCAATGAAGAAATATATATATATGTCACACACAAATATAAATACCTATGACATGGGATGGATATAGGGCAGTGTAACTCAAAGATGGGTTTCTAGAGTGGTGCTAATTTGCAAATTATTGTTGCAAGTCCTTGACAAGATATTTTAAAAATTTATTATCAATTTGAAAAATGAAGATAAATTATGATTCAATTTTTAGTTTTTTGATAAAGTATTTCTGTTAAATATAATAATAAAAAGGTAGATTTCTACTTTACATCTTTTAAAGTTTATTTTTCTAGTGTTTTTACTTTTATTTTAATATTACTAAACTAACTACTGGTCATTAGCAACTGATAAATTTAGAAAAAGAAAACCTTGCTGTCAGGGACATGGTTGTTTATTGGTTAATTTACCTCTTTCAGTCTTGCAGAGTTTTGAAGAACTGAGAGCCTGAAGTTAATTTCCAAAGTTCAGATCCCAAATGTCCTCTTCCTTTCTATGAGACACTGGGTGGTTATTAACCTGTGTGTCTTTCATGATGTATGTGTGGCATTTAGCTCTGTGCCTGACATATGCTAAGTGATTAACAAATGTCAGTAACATTTATTATTGTTACTCACTGAGACAAAGAAAATCTCTTATTCTACTTTCTCCCTATAATCCTCCAATTCAGTTCTTCATCCTTCTCTGAGAAAAAAAATAAAAACAAAACAACAACAACAACAAAACTCATAAGATTTGTCTATAGTTAATTGAGAGAATTGTGAGGAGAGGCAAAATTATAAGTTAAGACATCAGCCTAGGGAGGAATAACTTTGAAACTCCTAACTCCATGTAAAAATAAAACCTCAGACATGCAATAATCATGCATTAAATAATTAAACACATATAGTTATCAGACCTTTACATACAAAATTAAAACTTGTCTTTCTCATTATATTTAAATGGAAATGAAAGCTTTCTGATTTTGTTTACTAATTTATATCCCCGGCACCACACAGAGTGCATGGTAGGTAGAAGCATCTCAATAAAGGCTTATTAAGTAGATAAATAAAAATAAAGTAAAGAGAGACGATAGGTTTATAGATATCTCCTTTTTAAATTTTCCCATAGCAGCTCATCTAACAGCAGAAAAAGAAGGGCAAAGGCTGAAATCAGAATTCTCTTATTCTGGCATTTGTTTTCTTCATACTTTTTAGACTATCATAACAATTTGTACAAAATTATTATAACACATCTTCTGGTCAATTAATCATACCAGATTATAACAAAGCAAACTTCTGTGGCTCTAAAACAGTACACTTAAAGTGTGTTCTACAAACAACCTAAATAATTATAACTGGAGAATAAATTAAACATGAGTATTCTAAGCCCTTAACATTTGTTAAGTGGTGGTGAGCAGAACTTTATTTTAGAAATGACTTGGCCTCATCTTTTTGTAGTTAAATGTTGTCTCATATTAGCAACCAGTGTTTCAAATACTGCATTTATAGCAATCCTTATTTTCCTTTGTTATGTTGCAATACTTAAAACAATCTGACAAAAGCTCTGGATTCACACTCAAAAATAAATAAATGAATGCACTTATAAGTATAAACATATCTTTTATACTAGTATTTAATTTCAAGGGATTCATGGAGTCCCTGAGAGGAAAATGGACCCAAAGTTTTACAATTCTTGTTTACAGGGCTTTTCCAACTTCCGACTCACACACAAAATCATTTTTCTTTTGGAAGTGATTTCAATTTATTTTTTCCCATATAATCAGACTTGTACTTAACAACATCAAATTATTTTTTAAAAAAACATATTTATGAAATAATTTGAGACAAAATATTATTTTATCTTTGAATAGTAAGTTTCATACTGTGATTACTAACATAATTTGATATATGTGTCTATATGTTTTGAATACTTTGTGTTATTTTTCTTTGCTTCAGTCTTCTTCCTTCTTTTCTTCTATTATATTTTGGGACTTTAGTTCTTCTTTTCTTCTATGTTTTCTCTGCACTGGGTTTGAATTTGACATTCTACTGTTTTTCTTTTCATTACCATGAAAGTTTCACACCTATTCTAAACATGTATAAAATAATTCAGTCATTTTATATTTCAAAAATTGAATATTTTAATTCCAACTTCTATCCTCCCATATTTCATGTTTATTAAATAGATTTTATTGTGTGTATTTGAAGTTTATGACATGATATTATGGAACTCATATAGATAGCAAAATGATTACTACAAGTGAAGTAGATTAACGTATCTATCATCTAGTTACATTTTTGTGACAAGAGCAGCTAAACTCTACTTAATTGACAAAACTCTCTAATACAATGCAACTTTATTAACTTTAGTATTCATGTTGTATATCAGATCTCTAGATTTTTTTCATCCTATATATATGTTATTTTGTATCCTTTGACCCACATCTTCCCATTTTCTCTTCCCTCACTCCCACCTCCACCCCACTATCTCTGAGTATTTGAGCTGTTATAAAACATATACTCCACATATAAGTGGAATTATGCATCATGCAATATTTTTCTTTCTGTGTCTGGCTTATTTTACTTAGCATAAATTCCTCCAAGTCCACCCATGTTGTGGCAAATAATGGAATTTGCTTCTTTTTTTAAACTGTGAATATTATTCCATATCATTCCACATATATATGTGTGTGTGTGTGTGTGTGTGTGTTGTATATATACGTATATATGTAGTACATATATACATATATATACATATATACACATATATGTGGTACATATATACGTATATATGCATATATATACACACCACATTTTCTTTATCCATTTGTCTGTCAATGAACATTTAGATTTTTAGGTGGTTCTCATATCTTGCCTATTGTGAACAATGCTGCAATGGACATGAAGGTGCAAATATCTTTACATGGTGATGATTTTATCTTCTTTAGGGGGTAGCCAGAAAGAGATTGCTGGATCACATAGTAGCTCTATTTTCATTTCTTTACAAACCTTTATACTATTTTCTATCATATTCCATATTATTGTTGGTATTTTAAACTTCACTGATTAATCATTGATATATGATTTTAAGTCAATATTTATAGATGAAAATTTTTATAATTTAATTTCACCAACATCACGGGTCTGCCATAGGTTTACTGAGATCTGTATTTTATTATAGATTTTGGAAAGTAAAAGTTCTCCCACTCCACCTCACCTCCAGGTTCCAGTCAGTAAGCTTATTTGCAACCTCTGAAGAATAGAGGATAAAGAATTTATAATCTCTGTTTCACAGATTTGACAGAAGTTTTCACATCTACTTCACACAGTTACCTTTCTATTTTGGCAGGAGGCTAGGAATTATCTCTTATCATCTCATTGTAATAAAACCTCAACTCCCTAATCATTGTCTTACATACCATTTGATATCTCATGAGCTAGGTAGCTCCAACTTGTGCTCATCTGATCTGAGTTTTGGCAGCTGGAATGTTCATAGTAATTTATTTTACTTCCACATTTTTTAAAACTTGAAATTATCCAGCATTTTTTTTTTTTTTTTGAGACAGAGTTTCGTTCTTGTTGCCCAGGCTGGAGTGCAATGGTGCAATCTTGGTTCAGTGCAACCTCCGCCTCCTGGATTCAAGCAATTCTCCTGCATCAGCCCCCCGAGTAGCTGGGATTACAGGCACCCACCACCACACCCAGCTAATTTTTTGTATTTTAAGTAGAAATGGGGTTTGATCATGTTGGCCAGGCTGGTCTCAAACTCCAGACCTCAGGTGATCCACCCGCCTCGGCCTCCCAAAGTGCTGGGATTATAGGCATGAGCCACTGCGTCCGGCCAGTATTTTTTGTTTCTTTAATGAAACAGCTATTTCTTCTAATTTAGCTCACCCTGCCATCGTAACCAGAAGTCCTCATTAGCACTATTATACACGACACATCTCTTGGAGTGTAAAATTGTTTCTCCAATTTATCGGTAAATATGGAAAACTTGGCATTATCCAAAGTTTTACAATTAATTTAAATTTTAACTGTTTGGCATATTAATTGTTACTATCTTCTTTTAAAAAAATTGAATGTTATAATTAAATACTGCCTAGAATCATTTTCAAAGATTTAATACATTTAAAATTTAGTGTGCTTTATATTGCTTACATAAAAATAAAACTCTTGTTTAAATCTGCTATGGCATGTATCTTGTGTGGAATTTGTGATCACAAAAACTGAAGAATTAAAGAGTTGCAAGCAGTTCCTTGTCAAAATGTAAACTTGTTGTTTTTACTAATAATATTATACACTTTAGTTTTGTGTTTAAATGGAAAGAAAATACTAAAGTCCTATAAAAATTTATGTTTCTTTTATTTAATGCTCATGGCTGTAGTTTCATGGAATCTCAAAATGGCAATGTATAAACTCTTGCCATTTGACCTATAAATCGGAATATAAAAACAAGTTTCACATATTTTAAGTAACATTGAAAGAATATTTTCTTTTCTGTCAGCCAAATGATATTGTTATACGCATTAAATAATGTTTTAAATACATCAGAGCATAGTAGGAATTAATATCCTATTAAAAATTATTTGATAAATTTAAGTACAGTAAATAATCTGTGAATTATATAATGTTAGCTTGAAGAGTAGAGTAAGACAAATCATATTTATGTTAATATCACAAAGATGTATGTCTATCATAACTTCATGAATATATATCATTTACTTTTTTTTTACTAATATACAATTGAATTCATTTTGAATTATGTGCTAAATTACATTTATTTTTGCTTATAGACAGGACCATATTTATTTCCCACAGCATACTGATATTTAATTTTGTTTTGCTGAAAAATAATAAATTACTCAGGTAAACAAAGATGAGGCCCATTAACAAGAAGATTTTGAGGAGAAGTTGGTTAGTTGTGTCAAAGAATGGATGGCTAGCCATAACGTATGATATACTTTTATTCACAATTGCTTATCCTCCCACTTTCATGGAGCATGGATCTTTCATCACCCCAGAGGGTTACATGATCAAGCCCCTGAAGCTCGCCCCATGAGTGCTCCGAACAGCAAAGTTCATGTTTTCATCAGATTTTCTAGGTGATCTGAAAATAGAAATATCTCTAAACCCACTTACAGATCTAGCTAATAAGTACAAGCTTTACTTTCTCTGTGATTATCTAACCTAATAAAATATAAGAGTATTTTATGTTACATGGCTGGGGAAATAGAGCATCATAGTTCTCATTTGGATTTAGTTAGGCATTGGATTTAGTTAAATTTGGATTTAGTTGGGTGGAATTGATGTGTATTCAATTGGGAAGAACATTTGAAGCTACATGGATTTACATATTTATAAACAATATATGACCCTAATTTTAGTATATTGTTTTCTATAAGCACATCTGCAGTCTGTCATAAAATCTTTCATTAATTTCATCATTGCTATCACTTTTTTCATCGCATGTAATTGAATCTAGACTGTCTGAAAAAGTTAGGGAAGACACTCATGGACCAAAAGAACATCTAAGCTTCTTAATTTATATTTCAGAGTTAAAGATTAAATAAATTACCAATAATGTGAAACTAGAGACAAAAAAAAAGAAGTCAAAATGTAAACAAAAATAGAAGTCAGTCTTCTGCTTTCGGTTTTGTCTTTACATCTCACTATCTTAACTTGCATAAAATAATAACAAAAATATCCCCAGGGAAGCATTCGCAGGTTAACTGAACCGTTACTTAATATTTGCCTTTAGCATTACCAATGGTTCCCAAGGTAAGAGATAAAACGGGGACCTATTTCCTAATATATCTAGAGCAGCATTAAAACAAAGCTGGCCTTAGGCAAAATCCCAAGCTAGGATATATCCCAGGAGGCTTTAATTTATTTTGCCAGGGGTGTTTTTCCACTGCTCATTATCTTCTCTCAACAACCACATTAGAGTCCAGGAATTGTTGATAAGGGTTTTACCCCCTAGGTCCAGTCTTCCAGTAATTTAAGTCAGTAGTCATTTCAGAATGTGAAAATCACTAACAACTATTGTAAACTTGTGGCCCAAAATTTTTCATATTTTACTTCCAGAAGTGTATTAATCTGCACTATATTTCTGGGGAAATTATATGGAGTGGGAAGCCTTTGTATTTGCTGTTGAAAGATATCTTAGATGGTGACTGTCAGTGGGAAGGAAATGGAATAAAAAATAATTGGGGGAATGAGGAAAACTCTATGGGGGGATAGAGCCTTTTGGAATGGGGCTTTGAGGTGATGTGGGAAAGTACTTCTATAGAACAAGAAACCTCTTTAAATGTGAAGCATTGGTTTTTATAATTTATATATATATATTTATATACATACATATTTTATATACATATGTTTAATAATAATAAATACCATTTACTGACTGTTATAATTTATCAAGCACTTTTGGCTGCTTTGAATATATAAAATTAATGCTGATAATATTTCCATTTATCCATTTTATGGTGGACACTAGAACAAAAATTGAAATTACCTTAAAAGTGAAAGCATCATTTTGGTTAGGACTTCAGAAACAGATTTTCAGAAATGATTGTACTTTTAGAATTTCCTTTTAGGAAAAGCAGTGAATATGTAAGTGAAAAGTTGACGTTGGAGAAAAGGAGATAGAAAAAGAAGGAAAAACATTCTAGATAGATTTAATCCGCACAAAGGCACTGATTTGCAAGCAACAAATATATTAATTCTTCATAATTACTATGTTACAAAATGAGAAATTAAAAAGTAAAACTAGGCTAAGATGGGGAGACATTCTATATGCAGCATGATGACAGTTATTGATAATGATTATGGATTTGTTAAGGAGAAAATAGAATTGGGAGGATATAGAAAAGCTCACAGAATAAAGAGATAGCCTGAAGAATTAGCCTCAAAAATAAATGTGCATAGCTGAAGGAATAGACAATGGACAGCATAGTTATTCATGGGCCTGGCCTGCCTGCCCTGCCTGGATGATTCCATTGGGTTCTTGTTAACAGTGTCATTGCCTCCAAAAACTTCACAGTCCTCAATGCACAGTCTCTATGGCTATTGGTCAACAGCACGACCACTCTGCATCATCTCCAAATGATTTGAATCTTTGAGTCATTTCCTCTAATTACAAATCTTGCTTTAGAGCATCTGTGTGGCCAAGCTTGGTTCACCCATCTATGTCTCAGCTGTCAACATCCCAGGTGAGGTATTTACTGTCTGGTCACATTCAGCTCTCTACTAAAGGAGGATCCCTGGATCTATTTCCCACAAAACTCACACAATGGAGGCATTCCACAAATGGACAGGAGAATATTTTTTGGACAGCAGCCAATTGAAGAAATAATTATAAAATTTTGCTTACATTTTAGATGCAAGCAGTTCTCATTTTGCAAGATCCTGTTATGCTCAAATTTCAGTTTTCATAGTTTAGTTAAATAACAACAGTTTCCTAAAAAGAAGTTCACATTTTAGTTGGTATATTAACTATGAGTAAAGGTGTAAAGTACAATCCTTGCTGCTAGTTTTTCAGTCCACAAATCACCACATAAAAACAGATGAACATCATAATCAGTGACTAACTACACCTTTTTTTTTCAAATTCTGTTGGTGATTGGTCACTTCACATCTGTTATTAGGTTCATGCACAGACAGCAAAGCATGTATTTGCAACTTCTCTGTCTCCTGGTAATGTATCATTTTATAAAAATAAAAATAAAAAAACAGAAAGAGGGAATTGGCCAATAAAGATGAAAATGCCACAAAGAATCAAAAAGTGGTAACGCTGCAAGTGAAATTTGAATGTACTTATAGAACAAAGAGCTAATTTTAAGAATATTGACACTGCTGCTGTTCAAGAGACTCTAGATATGTAGTTACGGGCACTCAATGAAGGTGAACTTATTCACATATGTAAAAAAATTATTTGTGACAACTAAGACAATGTCTCAGAAGAAGTAATGCTGGCAAAAAAATTCAAATGAAAGAAAATTTCATAGATATTTCATGAAATTGATAAATGTGTTTCTTTATTTACCATATTAAAACCAATTATTTACCATATTAAAATCAATTAACTTTACAGAAAATAAAACTCACAGATGGTGTCTGTGAGTTTTATTTTCTGTAAAGTTAGTATCTTTGCCCTTTATAAAGAATGTTAAGATAATACATTGTGAAAGTATAAAATCTGACGCCTCTTGAAATGAATACCTATTATGTTGTTATCCACTAATAAGAATACTCTCAAAAAAATTTGTGGTGAATACAAAATCATGATTTTCTAATTCCATCATTCCTCCTGCATTTTTTTTTTTTTGCCATTCTACAAGGAAGAGATTTCCCTTCCCTCATTTTATTTATTTGTGGATTTGTTTGTTTAGATGTATTCTTATTTCATTCTATGAGCTATAATCAATTACTCTCATTCGGACAGTGGGAGCAACTTTAAGCTGACTCCTGGCACAGTAATTTGTCCTTTAGACACGGCCCCATCATTTTTTGAGTACATCCCACCTTCCTATCATGGCATATTTTTTCTTATATTTCCAAGCCTAATCTTAACTCTACCTACAAATTCTCCAAGTAACCTTCATTCCTTTTCATGAAGATTTATATTTAAAAATTAAGATTTAGTCTCTAATTATTCTCATTGCTCCTGAGTGTCACTGTCATTGGTTCTAGACTCTTCTGAGTGTACAGAGCTAGAAATCAGATTTAAGTAGGACTACATATGTAAAAACATGCATGATGTTGATCTGTATCTATTATTGATATATCTCTTTATCTAAAGCTATGGATTTATATTGATATGGGTTCACTAAGCAGAGATTCTATATTTAACATTACAGCTCAGTGAGTTATAAAAAACTCCAGTAGTTTCGTTCGTTTACAGAAACATGGACCAAAAAGCAGCCCACAGTGAGTTACTTGGAAATGCCGGACCTATTTTGGTTTTATGTAGAATTCATAGGCTTAGGTAAATTGGAAATCCATATTAATCAAGTTGCTCCAGAGAAACCGAGCCAATAGTTTTGTGTGTGTGTGTGTGTGTGTGTGTGTGTGTATTTATATATATATGTTTATGTATCTATGTGTATGTGTGTGTGTGTATTTATATATATATGTATTTATGTATCTATGTGTATGTGTGTGTGTGTATTTATATATATATGTATTTATGTATCTATGTGTATGTGTGTGTGTGTGTGTGTTTGTTTATATGATTCATAATACAGAATTGGCTCACATGATTATGGAGGCTGAAATATCCCAAGACCTATAGTCAGCAAGTAGAGACCCATGGGAGAACTAATATGTAGTTGTAGTTCCAGTCCAAGTCCAAAAACCTAAGAACCAGGAGAACCAATGGTGTAAATTCCAGTTTGAACACCTGCAGGTTAGAGACCCAAGAAGAGCTAATGTTTCTGTTTGATTCTGAAGATTGGAAAAAGGCCAGTGTCCCAGCTCAAAGCAGTCAGACAGGAGGAGTTCCCTGTATCCCTGTATCATTCCACCTGGGTGAGAGTCTTACTTAGAGTCATTCAGTCATAATACTACAGATGGTAGCTTTGCCCCATTAGTTCCTCAGTCACCTCCACTTCATATCCAACAGCAGACAAAAGATCCTAGACTTTTCTCTTTGCAGATACGTAGCACCATTTTTCAACAGTAATGACCGTGGTTATCATTCTTATGAATGCATTAACTTATTCCTTAATGCTACAATATGCAGACAGTATTAATAGTTACACAATCGCTAGTCAACATCTTCGATAAAAATAAATTACTAACTACAGTTTAATGTTTGCTTATTTTTTGTCTTTAACTTGAAAGTATATAGTCAGATTACTCTGTTCAAGAGTTTTGAGTTAATTCCCCTATCTTGCCTATGTGATTGTATCTTTTCTTTAATGCACGGTTAGGTACATTTGTCTCTGTATTCCACTTTCTACCATGTTTGATATTGTTACATATATATTTTTTGATTATGTAAAACATAACTTGGTTCTAAAAGTTAAACTAATATAAGTGTTATACTCAGAGAAATATTATTCCCTTATCTCTTTTACCGTATTTGTTTTGACCCTCTCTCATCCACACATTCCAACTTCCCTCTGAAGGCGACCGATTGCATCAGCTTCTGTTTTATCCTTCATGAGTGTGTATGTGTGTGTTTGTTTTGTTTTGCACAAATTAGCAAATATGTGTATTCTTTATTTGTTCCCTTTATTTCATGCATAAAAGCTAGCAGACCATAGACACTGTTTTGCATTTTGCTTTTTGCACTACGTCATCTGTTAAGAAATTATTCCACGTTAATTCTATTAATTCATATCTATTTTTATTACAGCTCACATTACACCATTTTAAAAATGTGCCACAATGTGTTCTTTAAATCTCATATGTGTTGGTTTTTTTAAGTCATTTTACTGTATATTCTAATTTCAAATACTGTCACAATGCATAGACTTGTTAATATGATTTTTCATACAGATGGACAGTTATTTTTCGGGTAAGGTACTGAAAGAGGGATGCCTGATCTAAAGGTAACATTTGTGTTTGTATTAGATATTGTCAATTTCTCCTTCATATTATTATACCAATTTGCATTCTCATCAGCAATGTGTAAGTGGTACTTCATTATCTTACTAACAGACTATGTTGCCATTGTTTTCTTTTACCTGTTGCCATTTCAATCAGTGAGAAGACATCTGAATGTTGTCTATATTTTTGTTTGTCTGAATGACTTTCAAAATGCTTTATATTATAAAAGCTGTGTTTGTTTTAGTGAATTTTTCACATCTTGTACCCATTTTTCTAAACCAGTTTTTGCCTCTTTCCTTTAATTTTTAAGAATTTTAAATTATACTGATATTTGCTGTCTACATATTGCACATATTTTCCTCCTAGTTTGTCAGTTGATTTCTATTTTATGGTTTATTTTTATCATGTTAAAGTTTTATTTTATGTGCATTGGTTCAGTTTTATCAGTTATAACCTTTCTTTCTCACTTCATTTTTTCCCTTGAATGTACATTTTAGAAAACACTTCCCAATTGAGTAATCCCACTATTGGGTATGTATCCAAAGGAAATAAAATCAGTATGTCAAAGAGATCTCTACACCCCCATGTTCATTGCAGCATTATTCATAATAGCAAAGATAAGGAATAAACCTATGTGTTCATCAAGATGAATGGATCAAGAAAATATGGTATATATGCACAATGGAATACTATTCAGCTTTAAAAAAGAAAGAAATTCTGTCAGTTGTGACAATATGGATGAACCTGGAGAATATTATGTTAAGTGTAATAAGCCAGGTCCAGAAAGACAAATAATGCATGATCTCATTCATATGTGAACACTAAAATAGTTGATCTCATAGAAGTACAGAGTAGAATGGTGTTTACCAGGAGCTCATGGTGGGAGGGGCGGGAGGCTAAGAAGATGTTAGTCAAAGGATACAAAATTTCAGTTAGATAGGAGAAAGAAATTCAAGAGCTCTTTTGTAAAACATGGTGGCTATAACTCATAACAATGTATTATATTCTTGAAAATTGTTAAGAGAATGTTAAGTGTTCTCCTCACACACAAAAAGTAAGAATATGAAGTAATACATATATTAACAAGCTCAATTATCTATTCCATAATATATACATATTTCAGAACATCATGCTATACATGATAAATACATATAATTTTTATTTGTTAATTAAATAAATAACAAAACAAAAACAATACCCTATGTTCAGATTATAAATGCATTCATGTTAACTTCTAGTTACATACATGGTGTAATTTTTTACAATTAGAAACATAATCAATTGGGGGTTAGTTCTTGTATGTGATGTGAACTCTGTGTCTAATTTTAGCTTTTTAAAATGTACTTAGTCTTTGATTTTTAACTCATCTATTTAATAATAATTTAAAGTTTATTGTTTGGAAATAAATTGAAAACAAATTTTTGTAATAAACTATTTGTAATATAAAATGAAGTAAAGTTTCATGTATAATTATGCAATCAGTGGAA
This sequence comes from Homo sapiens, assembly GCF_000001405.40. Classification (NCBI taxonomy): domain Eukaryota; kingdom Metazoa; phylum Chordata; class Mammalia; order Primates; family Hominidae; genus Homo; species Homo sapiens. The sequence continues at coordinate 68,389,298 of NC_000013.11, read as the reverse complement.
AATAATATAATTCATATCACACATTTATTATGTGGTTTTTAATTGAATTCTAATGTAATAAAACTCATGGTATATTACTCTTTGAAGAAGTTCCATTAAATTTATTCTATCAATATTAAAAGATACATTCCTATAAATAAATGTGGTCAAAATTAATATCATGAATCTTAAATTAATTTTGTAGTTCTCTTTCTGTTATACTGGAGAACATAAATCATTTGACAATTCCAGAGAGTATATGTTTTGGAAAAATACAAGTTTTAAATCTAAATGTATCCAATATTTCCTAAATAACACTAAGAACTTCCAACTTATCTTCATACAGGATAATAAAGATATATAATATACAAGTGATTAAAAATATTAAGGTCACTACAGAAATATATTATAAAATGTTGATTTTATGATATAAAGATTTACAAATGGTGATAACCATATTCCAACCTTAATGAACAAAACAAATAAGGCCATATTTCAATGTAAGAAGTATGGATTAGATATACTGGGTAATTAATGTACTAAATTATTCAAAAGTATTTGAGTGTCTGTTGTAAACCATGCCTTGATCTTGACAAAAGAGATGCAGAAATGAATTTCTGCCTAGAAAAGATTAAGGGCCTTTTTTTCTGATAATAGGCATCTTATTTTCTTGAATATTAACTGACTGCTCAAGCCATAACTATGGTATTGTTTGTAGTACAATTCCTTAAAATATTTTGTAAATAATATTCCTCCTTGTTTCTTCATTTTACCTTGTCTAATGCTTTGTTTCTTACATCCACTTTTCAGGCAAAATTGAAAAGGTTTGCCTACAGTACAGCAAAATGACTATAGTTAATGTACACTGGAAATTCACTAAGAGAGTAAACTTCAGGTGTTCTAACTACGAAACAGAAAAGATAACTATATGAGGAGACAAATATGTGGATTATCTTGACTATAGTAATTATTTTACTTATTATATGTATATAAAAATAATAGTAATTTTTTTTTTTTTCTTCTTGAGACAGAGTCTCGCTCTTTCGTCCAGGCCGGACTGCAGTGGCGCTATCTCGGCTCACTGCAAACCCTGCCTCCCGGGTTCACGCCATTCTCCTGCCTCAGCCTCCCGAGTAGCTGGGACTACAGGCGCCCGCCACCACGCCCGGATAAGTTTTTATTTTTATTTTTAGTAGAGAGACGGGGTTTCACCGTGTTAGCCAGGATGGTCTTGATCTCCTGACCTCGTGATCCGCCCGCCTCGGCCTCCCAAAGTGCTGAGATTACAGGTGTGAGCCACTGCGCCTGGCCAGTAATCTTAAATATATTCAATTTTTATTAAAATTATTTTAAATAAATAATAAAAGCTTGGCCGGACGCCTTGGCTCACGCCTGTAATACCAGCACTCTGGGAGGCCAAGGCGGGAGGATCATGAGGTCAGGAAATCGAGACCATCCTGGCTAACACAGTGAAATCCCATCTCTACTAAAAATACAAAAAATTAGCCGGGCGCAGTGGCGGGCGCCTGTAGTCCCAGCTACTCGGGAGGCTGAGGCAGGAGAATGGCGTGAACCTGGGAGGCGGAGCTTGCAGTGCGCCGAGATCGCGCCACTCACTGCACTCCAGCCTGGGCGACAGCGGAAGACTCGGTTTCAAAAAAAAAAAAAGCTTTGCCTACATAAGCCATGCCTGCCTTCTCACCACTCATTCTATTATCTTTTCCACTCTTATCACTTCATTAATTTGTTCTTCTTAAGGATATTATTGACCATTATGTTGATAACATAATAGAAGTTTTCAGTTCTCATTTTATTTAATGTTTTTGTATATGCCCTTGATCATGAGTTCCCACTCAAGGCCTACTCACTTATTTTCTTCAACTGTGTTATAGAGAGGAAATTTTATAGCAAGACTTTTTATTTCTTATGAACTGTAGTGTATGAGAAGGAAGGAGGAAAATACTTTTTGAATAAGCCAGAATCAGGGGACGAGCCTCACTGATTTCTTAACACATCAAACTTTGGGACGATCAAAGGCCTGCTCAAAAAACTGTCTTGAGATCAGAAGAGGATGGGTTTCAGTCCATTCAGATGATGAAGATGAAACCTCGTGGGACTCAGCAGGAGAGGAAAGGTGGACTATAGGACTGTAAGGTAGTAAACTTCAAAAGGGTTATTTGAAAGCGTATTCTGATAACTTAGATTTTTAAAGGGATCTCAATTCAGATGATACAGTGATGTCTTGGGAAATTTGAAATTCTTTTTTACGGTTTTAACTTTTAGAATAGAGAGCATGTAATTATGCTGACTAGTAGAATGTGTTCCTTTTCAAATACAACTATACTGGTTTAATCCTTCCAGTTCTCTTTTGTTTCTTTTATCATTTCCTTGTCATATTCTACCAAAATTCACTCATCTCTGTCTTCTAAATACATACTAAATCCATTATTTTATCTCTCAATGTAAAGAAGCTAATTCAAGTCATCTTACATTTTGCGTGGACTATTGTGATAACCTCCTTCCTTGTATCTATCTGTGCTTACTCTCCATCTAACCATTTTCCAGTCAGAGCACAAAGGAATAATTCAGACCTTGTTATTCCTAGACAGGAACTCTCCTCACCACTCTTGGAAAACACTTATGGTCTGCAAGATTTTGTACAATTTGGCCTATAGCTTCCTCTTCCAATTCGTCTTCTCATACATTTTCGTTACCAATAATATTACAGGCATTTTGGCATTATTTAGTTCTTGCAACGCAATCCTGAGCCTTTGGGGATGCTTCTTTTTTCAACCTGCAATACCATCTACCCTTATCCTTACGTATATTTACTTCAGACATAGGGTGTACCAGGTTAGGTAAACTAAAATGATTTATTGCAACAAACATTAGAATAAATATAATCTTTATTATTGAAAGTTTAATATACCAGCATTCACTCTTATAAGGATAATACTAACTACCATCAATATAATCCTCTGGATTGCATATTATAAATGGTATATTATTTTATACAATTTAATGTTAAAAGTTTTAACTGTTTGTATTTTAGCTGCTTTAATTTCCTCAACATTCTCTGGTGATATTATTAAGAGACCATGTTAAATTACCATCATGGCCAGGTGTGGTGGCTCACACCTGTAATCCCAGCACTTTGGGAGCCCAAGGCAGGCAGATCACCTGAGGTCACGAGTTTGGGATCAGCCTGTACAACATGGCAAAACTCCATCTCTAGTAAAAAAAGAAAAAAATTAGCTGGGTATGGTGGCAGGCACCTGTAATTTCAGCTACTTGGGAGGCTGAAGCATAAGAGTCACTTGAACCTGGGAGATGGAGGTTGTAATGAGCTGAGATCACACCACGGCACTCCAGCCTGGGTGACAGAGTGAGACTCTGTCTCAAAAAAAATAAAAAATAAAACAAAATTAAAATAAAATAAAATTACTATCATGACTAAGTTTTAACAGAAATAAAAACTTTTTATTCACAAATATATGTATATCTTTTACTGTATGTATGATCATGTGCCGCTTATCAATGGGGATAAATTCTGAGGAATGCATCCTTAGGTAATTTTGTTATGCAAATATCATAGTGTACTTACACCAACAGATGATATAGCCTACCTAGGCAATGTGGTATAACCTATTGATCCTAGGCCACAAACCTGTATCACATGTTCCTATGCTGAATACTATAGGTAACTGTCACACAGTGATAAATATTTATATATTTAACTACATCTAAACACAGAAAAGTACAGTAAAAATATGGTATAGAAGATTAAAAAATGGCACTCTTGTATAAAGCATTTACCATGAATGGAGCAACTGGAATTTGTTCTGGTTGAGTCAGTGAGTGACAAGTGAATGTAAAGGCCTAGGACATTATGCTACTGTAGAATTTATAAATACTATACCAGTAGGCTACATTAAATTTATTTTTAAAATGTTTATTTCTTTAATAATAAATTAACTTTAACTTACTGAAACTTTTTTACTTTAAACTTTAAACATTTTTAAACTTTTTGACTCATAAGACAAAACACACATGGTACAGTTATAAAAAATATTTTCTTTCTTTATATTTTTAATAAGCTTTTTATATTTAATGTAAACTTTTTTAACTTTTAAAACTTTTTTTGTGAAAAACTAAGACATAAACACACACATTAGCCTAGGCCTGCAGAGTGTAAGGATCATCGATATCACTGTCTTCCACTTCCACATTTTGTCCCACTGGGAGGTCTTTAGAGGCAATAACATGCATGGAGCTTTTATGATAACAATGCCTGCATATGATAACAGTAACTTCTGGAATACTTCCTGAAGAACCTGTATGATGCTGTTTTATAGTCAACTTTTTTGTAAGTAGAAGAATTACACTCTAAAATCATAATAAAACTGCAGTATAATGTATACATAAACAAGGAATATAGTCATTTACTATCATTATCAAGTATTGGGTACTTCACATAATTTCAAGTGCCATACTTTTATACTACTGGCAGCACATTAGGTTTGTTTACACCAGCATCACCACAAACATGTGCATTGTATTACCATGTCACAAGGCAATAGAAACTGTTTAGCTCCATTATAATCTACTCGGATTGGCTTCATATTATGTGGTCCATTACTGACTGAAATGTCATTATGCAGCGCATAACCTATATAAGTGCTACTGTGTAGTCACTAGTATTTTCTGAATTATATAAATATGACCCAAAAAAGAAAATATGGCAGAATCTAAAAATAGGATTCCAAGAATAAGATTAAAAACTATGGATGTATTTACATAAATTGATGCATAAAATTTGTATACAATTTTAAATACAAAACCTTTGTAAGATTAGTCGTAATTTACTATGTTAACTCACTTTATGTGAATATTAAGTTAAAGCCAACCTAAGATTATTAAAATAACATATTTTTAATTTTCACATATTTTATTTTTAAAAAAAGATTTTCATTAAACTTACAGGATTATCAAATGGACACTTAACTCATTATCAAATAACTACCATGATTATATTTATGGTAGTTAGTATTACTCTAATAATAATATATGCTGGAATGTTGACCTTTCAATAAGGAAGATTATATTTACTGTGATTTTAGCTGCAGCAAATCATTTTAGTTTATCTAAATTAGTGCACCCTACGTCTTGAGCAAATAAACATGAGAAAAAAGGGTAGATAATATTACAAGTTGAGGAAAGAGGCATCTCTATCCTATTATGTTTACATGTATTCTCTATTACATAATTTTTTCTTTCTGTTTTTTGCTTGTTTGTTTGTTTTTGGCAGCTTAATTTAAACTCAGTAGTGACTCAGACTTAAGCGTTAGCAATTGCCCTGCTGAAATCTGACACACACACACACACACACACACACACACACACACACACACATCTGACAAATATATGTATTTGGACAGTTAGGGGAAATGCTTATTTTATACAAAGAAAAAAATATTGTAATGACCACTAATCTTGCAAGACTAGAAACAAAATACTTTGTGCACTGTCAAAAAAATAAAAAAGAAAACAAGATATTTTGAAGAGACCAACTTATTTTTTGCCCAAGTCTTCATTCTGTATTATTTTAAAATATATGCAATGCCTACATTACTCAGCCCCTAGACATTTTAGAGACAAGAAATGGATATGGCATATGAGGTGGAAGAAAAGAGAGTAGAAAGTCTGTGTCTGCAACAAAAGAAAATGGATAGGAATAAAGTTAAAATGTTTGCTTTGAAGGAATTATTTGTCCTTTTTCTGACATTACACAGGTAGATTTCAAAAAGCTCTGCTTAGAGGGCAAAGAAGAACATTTCTGATTTTAGCCAACTGGAAAGGGAAGGTCACTTTATTTTGCTGAGGAAGTCACAGAACAGAAGCCAAAATTGTGAGGTGCTAATACAAGCTAATTCTTTAAACACTAGGTTGGAAAACTGGACTCATTTCTCATTCACATATTAAAATAAAAATACCAAGGATGCTGAGGTCTTAATTGGCTAGTCCAGTTTAAGCCACGTGTAAGAATAGAGTTATCTTGCAGGTGGAACTGAGACAGCACTACGCTTATATCTCTCTGGATGTGCTTGGAGGGTGGATTCTGACCCCTGAGCAAGATAAGGATGAAATGTGCTAGCTAGTGACTTAGAATGCACTGTTTAAAGTTTGAAACTCAGCTAGAGTTTAAATTGATGGTTTGTACCTGGTTCAACCACTTATAGAGCCCAGGTTGTCTTGACCAATGGGGATATAAAATATTCAGTAAACTCAAGCCTGACCTTCTTGAGACTGAAATATGTTACAGATATCTTGATTCTTCATATCCAAAGATGAGGTGTATATAATGTGACTGCGAAATGACACTGATGCCTGTACCTACAGACATCTCCAACTGTTTGTGCTTGCTTTCTTTCATGTGTCTCATCTTTTACATTGATTAAATCTTTGTACAAGCATACTGTGAATCTTCGTGAGGCATTTTAATTATCTAATCCCGTGTAAATCAACACAAGCATTAAGTAAATCATAAAAAGAAACATAACTCATTTCTTTTTAATACGCATATTTTATCAATTATGTTTGTGATAATTAACATATGTGTAATTCAATTTTAAAACACATTATAAATGTAAGCTTTTATGAATGATTGATTCATTATGATGAAATGTGTCATTTTTCTCGAAATTATAAAAATAATAGCATACTTAGGCTAAGTAAATTACTGAACTATATCCTGAAGAAATGTAAAATAATCAATACATGCTAAATGCATTATTTATTTATTTCTTGAAATGTAGGCCTAAATATATTTAGCAGTACTTTTTGATAAAATAGTTCATTAATTTGGATTTTAAATATGATATAGAAAAAAATGGGTTAACCTGCAAAATCTTCAGAGCAAAAATTATTTCCGAAGTATTTATTATTATAGCAACTGTACTAATTTAGAAAACAGTTATAGCAGGTCTTCAAATAATATTGTCTCATTCATTGTTGTTTTGTTATAAAGTTGATGGAAAAAAATTGGTTTTTGGCCAGGGCCACTGTCTGCGTGGAGCTTGCCCATTCTCCCCATGTCTGCTTGGGCTCTCTCTGGGAACTGGGTTTTCCTCTCACATCACAAAGTTGTGCACATTAGGGTGAACTGGCGTGTCTACATTGTCCCAGTATGAGTGAGTGTGGGTGTGGATGTGGGTGTGTGAGTGGGCCCTGTAAGACAATGGCAGCATGGGTTCCTGCCTTGCACCCTGAGCTACTGGGATAGGCTATACAGCCACCAGTGACCCCGAACTGGACTAAATGGGTAAATAATAGTCTTATTGTTACAATTAATCTTTCTTAAATGGGAAAGTGGGTTGAAAAATAAATGAATACAAATTATTATATAAATAAAATAAACATTTGCAAAATCTTAGTCACACAAATGGATGACAATAAACAATGCTTTTGAAAGCATTAAGGGAGAGCCATATTTGTTATTTGTTTTGGAATCACATGGAAGGAGGTGCTCTTTACCATTTTTGCTCTGCAAACAATTATTCCTTGACTTAGTCTACCGTCATTACCATTGCCATCACATATTGATCTAACAAAAATTGGATATATAATTTTCTTACTTGTGTTTATTGATCTTTCTTAAATGAATGTATAACTCACATTCATTTCATGTTTAATATTAGAATGGCTTTGGGTCTTTATTTAGAAGTTGATGGTGTTTTGTGATCCAAAATATGGCATATGAACTTAACTCTTGTTTATATCCATTAGCCTATAGTGAAACTGGTTTCATTGTGTGTCATTTTGCTTAAAGTTCAGTTTCCAGGAACCTATTGTTGAAAGTAAGAAAGAAGTTACTGTATACTACTTTTAATGACTCAAAATGTAGGATCGTTAGATTTTTTGGAAACACTGTTTTTGACATAAATAGTAAAACATTTCCTTTAATGACTGAAAAGGATGCCAGGTATAGAGAATAGTTATGAGCTGACTAAATCATAATTACTCTGAACTTAAAATATCAAAACACTTGATTTAATTAGACATCTATGTCTACAAAGTTAAAACTCATTATATTTTACCAATTATTTAGAGATTTTATAATTTTTTTCTAAAACTTTTCTTACTACATAAGACAATGCAGTAAGTTAACCATGATTACCCAAAAATATCTAGAATTAAATTAATATTTTATGAAGCATATTAGTAGCAAAAACCAAGTAACTGTAATACTATACATAGTTCTGATGTTACAAAAATATGTATGAAATAATAAAGATTTGTAAATACATGAATTAATGAATAAATCAAAACTTGGAGAAAGGAAAAGGTTTATTATCTGCCAAAATAATACAAAACTTTAGTTTTTGCAATCATTGTTGAAAGTGGTGTTATAATCAAAATTTAAAAGAATGCCAAGAAAGACCAAGAACAAAGTTCCTAACAGATAAATTCCTAAACAAATGCTCACCGCAAAGATGAAAGCACTCCAAAGGACATTAGCAAATAGTATACCCTCTTATTGTGAACATTAGGTAAAAGTTCAACTTCTCTGTTCAACTCATTTTATTTGCTATTCCTAGAGCTTGTGTGTCTTTTTTCCTATAATAACAACCATCAGTTATCCACTTAATATACAATTCTACCTTGAGGTCATGTCTAACTCAATGCAATTGAAAGTAATTCCAGGTTTATTGGAAATTTCAGGCCAGACAACAATTGCATCCTATGAAGAAGAATCCAATTCCCCCAGGGTGAAGCCCTGAGCAGCCTGAGGCTTAAATACAATGAAGGTTATTTTTTTCTCCCTTTCGTATTGTTTCTTGCTAAAATAACATGCTTGTCAAACCCGTCTAAATGTGTAGATCGATAGACAAGCAGAAAGCTTTCAGCTTGATGTGTGAGAGAGGTAGACGCATCAGCCCAAGTCACAGTTCCCTACTTTGGCATATTTGGTTTCAGAGGTATCAAAGCTCACTCGCTTTTTATTGACACAAGCAGGAACAAGGGAATTTAAGGCTTATAGGAAAAAATAAAAGACTACAAGAAAGTAGGGTTTGCATGTGAAAAGAGTCTTGTTCTGCTCTATCCAGAATTATAGAACTAATTATCCAATTCATGAATTTGAGGTCTATAGATAAAGAAAAAGAAAAGCTTCAAATGTCACATATCACAAAATGAATGAGACATTATTAACAATGGCACCTAGTGGTGAAAGGGCATTGCCACAAAAGCTTTATTAAAACTGTAGTCTCAATTAATCTGATCCTATCTTGGTTTAACATGCATGGCCTGTTTCACTTTATGCTTCAGTGGAGTCCTGCATATATTAAAATGTTTAGTGTAAGCCACAAATTTCTTCTAGAAGTGTTATATGTGGATTATCTGCATCACAATAAAAGGGTGCCTGTTCAAAATGAACAAATGAATCTCTCAAGGTGGAGGCCAAAAATATCCATGTTAAAAACATCTGCAGATAATTCTCATATGTATTAATGTTTGAGAACAATAGAATTAGGAAAATGACAGAACAAATTGTGCCATGCATATAGTAAAACAGTTTATGTGCCACATAGATAGAACGTGATGTGTAATTCTTACTTTTATTCCAAAGTATCATATTGCTTACATATGTGTGTATATAATTCTGTTGCCATATATCAAGGAAAATAAAGATAATTTTTTTTGTCATTCCAGACCTTGAAAGTTATGTTCATATAGGACAGGTAATAGTATAAACAGTTAAATGATACTATTTACATAAACAGAACATAGACAAAGAAAGGAATGACAATATCTGTATGTAACATGAGAAATCTTCGTATGGTTACATGACTGATCAGGAGTTTGTCAAGTGATGATGCAAGTCGGGAAGAAAATAACACCTAGAAGAAAAAGCATAAACCTGTCAGCAGGCATGGCAGATCCACTGAATAACAGATCTTGAAAAGGGGCAGAATGTGGTCTAAAGGAACTGTGGAGTGCCGAAGAAGAGGCATGAAGTTGCAGGAAGCAACGTGGTTCCACCCTTCTGAACTACTCTTGCTTGGTTTGCCAAATCTGATGGCAAACTTTCTCAAAATGCAAAGGAAACATTTTACTTGGATGGATGAATGGATAGACAGATAGATAGATAGATAGATAAATAGATAGATAGATAGGGTGTTGGAATCTCAAATACATAGTTTTGTCCTCAATATATTCCTCTTTTCCTTGTAGTCTTTTAGGAAATTACTCTGAAAAGGGATCAAAAGAAGACTCTTTAATCATTATCAGATATCCTACATTTTGGAAAATTACTGTTCTTTATCCTGGAAGTCACTAGGCCTTAATTTTGCACCCAAATTAATAATAGGTAACTAATGCTATGATCTGGAAGTGTCCTTCCAAAATTCATGTGTTGAAATTTAATTGCCAATGCGATAATATTAAGAGGTAAAGCCTTTAGGAGATGATTAAGTAATGAGGGTGAAGCCCTTATAAATGGGATTAATGACCTTATAAAAGAAGTGTGAGGGAGCTGTTTTCTCCTTCTGCCATGTGAGTACACAGCATTCAGCCCTTGCACCATGTAAGAGTGCAGCAAGGAGTGCCATCTACAAAGCAGAGAATGAGCCTTGATCAGAAACAGAATCTGCTTGGTACTATGATCCTGGACTTTCCAACCTTTAAAATTGTGATAATTAAATTTCTATTATTTGTAAATTACCCAGTCTAAAGTACTTTGTTATAGCAGCCAAAACAAACTAAGCCATCCATTAACTAGTTTAAATATTTGAAATCCCCCAGATAACTGAACATTTGGAAATAATTCACTCAAGAGAGCACAGCCCTTACTTTTCAGATCAAAGAAAGTACAAGTGTGTTGTGCTTTTAAGAATGAGGTACCAGCAAATAAAACAAGGTTAAAGTATAAAGATGAAGCTGGAGTCGTATAATAATATACATGCACTTGGTAAAATCTAAACACAAAAATAAAAATAAATAAAAAGTTGTTTATCTATTAGGAGATTCTCAACAGAATTTTTGTTATTGAAGTCATGAAAATTTTCCAAGAATAAATACATTGTAATCTAAACCCATCAAAATAACTTGATTTTTTTTTTTTTTTTTTTTTTTTTTTTGAGACAGAGTCTTGCTGTGTCACCCAGGCTGGAGTGCAGTAGCGCGATCTTGGCTCACATTAGCCTCTGCCTCCCAGGTTCAAGCAATTCTGCTGCCTCAGCTTCCTGAGTAGCTGGGACTACAGGTGCACACCACCACGCACGGCTAATTTTTGTATTTTCAGTAAAGATGGGGTTTCACCGTGTTGGCCAGGATGGTCTCGCTCTGCTGACCTCATGATCTGCCCGCCTTGGCCTCCCAAAGTGTTGGGATTACAGGCGTAAGCCATTGTGCCCAGCCAATAACTTGAAATTTTAAACAATCGATACATTTTACATATTACAACAAAATACACAACAGGAGTAAAAGAGGAAGAGAATAATATTAATTATTAACATTAATAATAAAATCTTAAAATCCTAAGAAAATGCTCAAGGCTGTAATTCAATGAGATTTGAATAAAATTCACCATAAATCAATGTCTATGCCCCAACAACTCCAAATAAAATATTTAATATCTCTAAAACTTTTAATAAAGTAGATAACATTAATGTATAAAGAAAACAAACAACGTAAGCTTCTCAATAGATGCTGGAAAACATTTGATAAAAATTTGGTATTTATTCTTGCAGAAAGAAACAAGAAATCTTGTGAAATGAAAGTAAGTTTTAAATCTGTAGATATTTGTGAGATAAGGAAGAAGAATGAATGAATAATGGAGAGAAAGACATGAACATTATACAAGGAGGGAGAAAGAGAATCACATCTGAGTACCAGAATAGAACATTACCAGTAGGAGAAAAACAGGCAGAAAAAATGGAAGAGATTACTGTGTGAAGAAAAGGCTTGAAGAATTTATTCTGAATCTACTCATTCTCTCTTTCTCTTTTTCTTTATATATAAAGATATATGTGTGTATCTGTGTGTAAAACATATGTATGTGTATGTGTGTATACATAACCTTATATTTTAAACTAAAAGATTTATTTCATTTAGATTAAATGAATTAATTTAAACTAAATTGTTTCTATATTTTCTTATATTTTGAGCTAATATTTAAAAGCTGACAAATATTACTTATGAAAATAGGATATAGAAAACTAATGTTTTAAGACATTCTACTAATACTTAATGAGTACCTATTGCATGTCCTATAATATTCTGAGTTAGACACAGCTATGCACAAAATGGTCTGGATCCTCTGACAGATAATCAAGAGAACTGAAAGGTAGTGTGAGTTCAGAGGAATACCAGAAGAATTTGTAACTCTATTATGAAAAGATTATTAAGAGAATGCAAAGCAACTTCATTAGATGGTAAATATTTAATACATTTTTCTAAGAAGGAGAATTATTTTTTTTAATACAAGCACCATGTTGTAGTCCCTTAATAACACTTAGTAACAAGCCACTATTCTAGTATTTCTGATTGTTTAAAATTTTTTTTTTACTGTTTTTGTTTTTAAATAAGGTCATCATGTTCATTAGGTGGTAACTATTAATAAAATGTATTACATATATGCACAATACGAGATCTAAAGAGAAATAATTCTGAAATATTTCCTCAAATGCAAAAGAAGATAAATAAAAGATTATTTCTTTCAAGTTTTGTTCAAAGTCAAAGTCAGGCTTAAAGATATGAAAGTCACTGGTAATGTTGTCAAGTGATGGGTTGAAAGTGAGTTGGAAAGAGAATAAAAAAGGGAGAAAATGGGACCATTGACTAAGTTGAAGCCGTTTGAGATATTTTCTTAAAGGAGAAAGACAAAAAGGTATTTTATAGAGTCAAGGGAGTTTGTTTTCTTTTGCATTTTTTTTTTTGTTTTTGAGTGAAATATATTAGGACATTTTGAGTGAAATATATTGAGGTAAAGGGAATCTGCAATAAAGAGAAAAGCTCTGATGAAAAAGAAAGAGGAGCGCTTTCAGAAAAAAAATGTCCTTTCTTAAGTTACAAGATATGGGATACAATATGCAAGGGAATGACATAGCTCAGACAGTTTAGGCAATTAAATTAGCGTGCAGTCTGGTTGGGTGGCCACTATTACAACACTGTAGAGAGATCTGTGTAGTAAAAGCAATGGAAACATCTTCTGCTACTTTCTACTTTTTCAGTGAATTAAAAATTAAAGTCAACAACTTCAATGATATTTGGAAGAAGAAATGCTCAGTGTTTGAGAATTAGAGAGTAAATACGGCAGAAAAAATAAGGTATGACTGACAAGGAGAAGAAAGGCATATTTGAACTTCCTGGCCAAAACTGTGAAGTGTGTGTGTTTTGTTTAGTTATATTCAGATACTTGGTTGAATGCAGGGGCGAGTAGTAAAATGAAATGAGAGTGATGAAAGAATATTTTATGTCATCAAAGAAGTGATTATATTAACAAATTAAGTAATCTAATTTGATACGAAAGAAAATGAGAACCTGACAGGAATGAGGCATAATGCAAAGGCGGTGGAATCAAGGGACTGTGTTTTCTAAAAAGACCAGGGTAATCTTAGGTGTCTAGAACTACAGAGAGTAAGCTGGAAAGAGAGTGTCTTTAAAACTGATTTCACTGCCATGAGCAGAATTAAAATAAATACAATGTTACAAAAAATTTACCCATATACTAGCAGCACTGAAGGGCATATATTTTTTAAACTCTTTCTAAATTTTAAACATTATAGTTAACACCAAAGTGGGATAAGTATTGGACCCTGAGGGAGTCTTGTCTACATGTATTACCCCCTGGAGTGGAGAATCACTTGCATTTCTATGATAGGTAGGACAGCAATATCTCCAATATTTTCAGAGTAGAAACAGTCATTGAACTTATTACACACTGCTGCCACCAGAGTGAGATGTATGAGGCACCATGAGATTAAACAAAGTGGGGAGAAGGCTAGGAAAAATCTTGCCAAAGGTTTAAAATGGTGAGCTTATCATGAGAATGTAGACTGACAGCGTTGACAGCTCCAGATCTTGTATGGGAAATCTATTTACTTCAACCTCAGCTGTCATTGCCCGCTCAACCACTTCTCTGCTGCTATAAACTCTCACTTTCTGTGAGACATCTAGACTGGCAGGTGAAAAAATGGGTTATAGATTTTTCAATGAAATAATGAAAGTTCAAAGGATTGCATTGGCAGTTTTGTTTCTGAAGACATTTTATGCTGCCTGATTTGGGTGCAGAAGTAAGCTCATAACAAAACTGGTGAGAAAAACACTTAGAAAAGTATTTCTGCAGGTGTCAGGACACACACACACATGAACACACACACACACACAGACATGCACACATATATTGCAAATGATTTCTGTGACCAGTCATTAAACTCATTTTCTCATATCTAGTGGAATTAGGTATAATAATTGGTCTTTGGCATTTAATGACTCTCCATGTACCTCTACGGCAACTCAAGCATAAGTTTTAATATAAAGATATGTGTATTGCAATCTCAAAGAGGAGGATGGAAATTGCAAGAAATAATTATTTACAGACTTCTTAGCAATTTCACTGAAATAAGGATATGAATGAACACATACATGAAACTTGAGATTACATTTGATCTGAAAACAAAAGCTATTTTAGTAGCAAGGTGAAAGGAGAGAACCGTTATAAAGTTATTATTTTCCAGCCTCTAGCTAAAGAGACTGGAATCTTACTTTTCCAAAGCCATAACATGTTCATCTTTCAAAAAGAAACTGCATGATAAAGTAACAATACAGAAAGTAAGTTATAAATATATAAATCTATAAACATTTTACCCTTTTTTTTAGTTAAATGGTACTCTTGAAAATTGTCAATTTGCAAATTAAGTGAGGAATAAAGGAGATTAGGAGGAAGCTCAGGAACATTTATTATTAGAAAAACTAGGTTAAAATTAAAATATTAACAGTTAATTAACAAAAGTTTTACCTGGAATTCAAAAAATATTAATTATAACCAGGAGAAAACAGGATTTATAATAAATATAAAACTTACTCAAGATCCTCGAGTGATATTTTAAATATGCAGAAAGAATGACAAAAGAGTCAAAATGATTTGTCTGCTAGACATATCAAAATAACTTCCCTCCTACCTCCCTCTCTTTTCCTTTTTTTCTTTTTTATGTTCTTTTAGGGTTACAAAATGAATAGTACTAAAATATAGGCAGTTTCAAGAGTGAGCACCAGTGATCTGTATTTGCTTCGACTGTCTGTTCACTGACACTAATCGATACCTCTATGTGACTTCCTTATAGTAAAATGTCAATACTAGCCTCTGTTTATACACAGATAGGAAAGCTAGTCCGCTTCATAAGAACTGCTGCAGTATTTTCTGGAGAAATCTCCTCAGTTATGTCATGTTGTTAGACATATTTTTGACATAGCATAGAAATGATGGGCCTGCTGACTGACAGATACATGGGCAAAGGCACTTTTTAGTGTATCCACAATACCCAGCACAAGCACTTGCATGCCTATGGAAAGCCAACACTCCAATTGGATGAACAAATGAATGAATGAAGAAATAAACCTATTCATCACTAAACTAATGTATGTGCACCAAAGTACTTACTGACCCAATACCTCATCTGGTTTTTCAACACCAGAAATCTGCTTCCTGAAAGAGCTGCAGAAATTTGGAAAACATATCTGGTTTATTTTGCCTCATAATTAATTTGTTTGCTTGTTGGTCTTTATCATTCCCTGTTAGATCACAGCTATATCTATTGGGTCTTACAATGAACAGTACTGTAAAATTGCCTGAGGCCTAATCTAATTAACATGGTTATCAGGACCTCTTTCAATCTGGGACTAAACTAGACTACCCACTCATACTATCATAGACACTGCTGGAGGTGTTGCTATCTCCCTACTACTAAATTATCACCTAACAATTGATATTGCAAAATATGACAATGATTATGCTGTGGGATCAGTTGGGTTGTAAAGGTTGTTTTGTAAACTTTGTGGGTTTCAGTTAACATATTTCTCATCATGTAAATTAGTGGTTTTGATTCTTTCTATGTGGCAACTATTGACCCCCATTCTTGCAATGGAAAATATAATACACACATATCTATGTGTGTATATCTCAATACTCCTTTTCTAATGTGCAGTCTTCACTCTCTAGAAATAATTAAGCTCTAAAATTAAAATAGCCATGTGGCATCAACAAAGTTAAAAAATAAGTAAAATGGAGATAAATGCCTCCTCCATTCATTATGTTAAATATTTTATGTACAATCAGTCACGAAATGTTAACAATGGAAATGTGCGTACCACCTTTGAAAAACAATATCAGAAAAATACGTCTTTCAAAAAGATACTTAAGGCATAACTTGAGCAAATAAACTTCGATTTTTAACATAAATATTCAAAAGTAAAATAAGACACATATATGCAAAAACTATTTTCTCAGCCTTTGAATGTGATAGATTTGTCTTGTTAAATATTTCTTAAGCAATTTTTAATTGACAACATATGTTAAACAACACAGAGAAATGTGTGTGAAGCACTTTGCATCTGTCAGAGCTTCTTAAAGTTAATTCCACTTTAGTATGTTTGCTTCTTTTTTATTGCAGTGTACTATCTTTCTGTGTGTCAGATTCCAATATTGACATATTGTAGGAAAAAGATAAATATAATCTTGGCAACTCTAAAAGAACTGATTCTAAATGTATCTTATTTTAATAATCATAAATCAACAATTATTAGAATTGGGAATAAAATATTGATTTTACACACATGTTGCCTTTACACAAGATCCTTTTACATAACATCCTCAGTTGCTTATATGGAATCCAAATGAAGATTTATATGAGATGCATGTAGACTCCTACTGAAACTTGTGCCAGCCCACACATAAGGAATAATTTCACAGGGGCAAACTCCATGATTTGTATTAGTTTTATTTCCATTAACTTTCAGCAAAAGAAGTTAAAAACTGTATGTCCCATATGTCCTATGTGTAATAATATTCTGTTAGATCTCCAAAGACACATTATAAAATTTTCCATTAATTAAAGATGCACAAATCCATTAATTTATTAGAAATCAATTTGCCTTTTCTTATTATCTTCCCTAGTTTGGCATCCATGTCACATAATTCTTTTTCTTGCCACACATATAATTTTATAGAACAGGAGAATTAGATTGAATTGAAGAATTGAAGTAGAATTGAAGTCTAAGTGTGTTAGTGAAAGGAAGTATCACTAAAAGACATTCCATATGTACTACATTTCCCTAAAAGGTGTTTTGTTTTTCTCCAGCATAGAAATGTTTTGCTTACATCAAGACTGTAAGAAGTTTTCTGTCTTTGGTCCTAAATTCCTAACTCATCAGTCAATTTCTGTTTCATCACCGGTGCATTGAGGTTTCTTTCTAGGCCACTGCCATTATTTGAAAATTATGTAAAACAAAGTATGCTGTTTCTCTCTGTTTCTCTCTCTCATAGTTATACCAATTCAACTGTCTCTGTCCAACTGCCCATTTGTCCCCTTCGCATCTCATCATTTTTTCTTGCCCGTGTCTCCTCTCATCCTCAGTAAGATTTTGGTTTGGACACATCCCAGTAGTTATGTCAAATATAACTGCTGCAGCTAAGATGGTATATGGAGCATAATGAATGAGTGCCTTCAATTCTAGAAGGCTGCAATAGGAACAGCCAGTCTCTTTAAAGAACTTTCACATTTTCATTAGAGCCAGAAGCAATGCATTTCATGAAGAGATTGGGCATAAAGAAAGGTTGGTGGGCCAGGTGCCGTGGCTCACGCCTCTAACTCCAACACTTTGGGAGGCCGAGGTGTGAATCACTTGAGGTCAGGAATTCAAAGCCAGCCTGGCCAACATGGTGAAACCCTGTTTCTAATAAAAATTAAAAAAAAAATTAGCTGGGCATTTTGGCGGGAGTCTGTAATTCCAGCTACTTGGGAGGCTAAGTCAGGAGAATCGCTTGAGCCCAGGAGGCAGAGGTTGAGGTGGGCTGAGATTATGCCACTGCACTCCAGCCTGGGTGACAGAACGAGACTCTGTCTCAAAAAACAAAATCAAACAAACAAACAACAAAAAAGAAATGTTGGTGTTTTCATGGGAGCACAATTGGAGGGTTGGGGAAATACTCAGCTATAAATGAATCTACTGGGGACAATATAACAGAAATAAAGGGATGAAGTCATAGGAACAGAGAGCAGAATTCTACTAATAAACATGGAGAAAAAATGGATATATCATAAGTTTTCTGAAGCACTTTTTGAACTTCACTGTCTGATATTAGCTCTAATATTTATTTTAATTGGTAATCAATTAATTTGAGACTGGCCCAGGGAAGTCTAACCATTCATTAATAGGGCATTGCTTGTTAGCCGAATAGACATATATAAGTTATTTCAACATTTTCTTTCACTCATAAATTAATATTTAAAAAATACTGGATATTAAATGTCAGTTCTTATCTAAAACATTGCAGTTGTATTGCATATTTCAATTACACTTTAATTATTTGCAAACAAAACATTAGTCCTAAGAACAAATGACTTGAAAATTAAATATTAGCTTTACTTTAAAGAAAACTGCCATTTTAATTGAGTGCTGAAACTAAAATTTAGATCAAGTAGAAATTTTATATTTTTTCTTACAAGAAAAATAAATTTTGATCTGGCCATTCAGAATTTGCTCTTTCTTTGCAAATGAGGATAGATGTCCCCACTGTCTAGTTTATCTCTAGAGTCCCACCTAGTGTGAATATCCTACAGGTGAGTAGCATAGTGTATTTCATAACAGCCTAGCTAATGCTTTCCTCAGAGAAACATTACAATTCAGCAAAATAAACAGAATTAATAGAAGAAATTAACATCCATAATACTAAAGGTTAATTTTGACCAAACCTTCTGTAATATATTCTACAATTTTAGATCTTATATATTACACCATTACATTCCATGAAATATTATATCCTAGAATGACTGAAAAAGCAAAAATTCTTCTTCAATGAAAAGTGAACTTACTATCTTTTATGTAAGAAACTTTAGGGTTTTCCTGAAATATAGAACAATTTAGGAAGGGATATATTATTAAGAAACACATTCAAATATAGAAAAGTGAAACAATCAAACATTGTGGCTTTAAAAATTCATAAAGAGCTATAGAACCTAGAGCCATGGATGAGAGAAGAGTGACACAGGCTTCCACACCTACAGCTAATCAAAACAGAGCAAGCTCTACCGCAGAGGATAACTCGCCACTTACAAACAATGACTCAGCCACTCTTCATGCTTGCTGCCACCTCTTAGCTACTTTATTCTCATTCTCTCTTCTGCCTGGCAACCGCTCATCCATAGTTCATTTTATGCACTTGTAATCCAAACATACAGAAGCCATCTCAAGGCCAGTTTCGCATTACATGACATTTAAAGAAGCATAAATTTAATGTTAAACCTCTGAAAAGTAATGAAGTAGTTTAATGTAGGTTTCCGACAGGAGATGAACAATGAACCATCACCTTAAAAAAAAGAAAGTCTTTAATGTTCTCTTCCTCATATGTTCCACTTTTGCTAACAATTGTTTACTCACTCAGCTTCCTTTTCCTCTCTCTTCCTCTATGCATTCCAATTTTACAATTTATCCTTTTTCGCCCCTTTGAATCCTTCATCCCTTCTCATATTGATATATGGTCTGTTCCATCACTGGCCTGTTTACTAAAGGGTGTTTTACTTAGGTTAGTGGTCAAACAGGAAAATGGTTTTTCCTCTTTAGAAGTTGAGGGAAGAAATGGATCTCAAATATTTAAAATCTGTCTTTTACTGTAACATTCTCTTAATATAACAGCACTGGCATACATCCAAAAAGAGCACTACAATGTTGACTTTTCAGACCTAGTTCCCTCTCAAACCAACAATGTAATAATTTTATTTTATATTATTTTATCTTATTTTGTAATTGAGCTAAACCTATTTTTTATTTTATTTTTGTAATTCCTCTGAACACAGTGTCATCAGACTTGTTCTGATTATTCTCCAACTTCTCTCCCCTGGGAAACTTCAGTGTTAGAAAATTTGCAGAAGTCCTAGAGAAAACAAATGCTAATTGTTCAGTGCCCTTTGCACCAATTTCTAGTGTGTATATAGGAATTTATGAAGCAGTACTGTTGTGTGAAGCAGTGCTATAAACTTACTCACCAAAAAACTTGGTAGATCGTTTATTTCTTTATCTTGTATACAGCAAACTGCCTAATGGGAATTCAAACTGAGTTAGACTAAGAGAACCTTGTGTGATCTATAAAATTCGCTTAACCATTCAGTTAACCAATAAAGTTTTTAAAAATATTAATATTTTTTCTCTCTAATCTACTAATAATTTCTCTGCTGACTTGTTGCATTATAATTACCAAAAATGTAATCCACCAAATTTTTTAGACTCCCACAATGTGCCCTCCAGACTGAATATACATGCAAATAAATCATTGATTTTTGAAGGGAAAGAGTTTATGTGCTAGACTTGTAATGGGAGGCAAAATTCAACCTACTGTGTGGATTTTCTAGAGATTCAAAATGTTCCAGAATCAAAATATAAGTTATTGATGCTGTCATTCAATGAACAAGTCCTAATGTTATAGCATCCAAATATTTACCTACCTTTTATCAGTTCTCAATCTTTTAAGCCTATCATCCTTACGGCATTTTAGAAGCATGTTCATATTACAGAAGAACAATGAATGCAGATATTAATTTGGACTTTTTTCTTGCTTTATCCATCCCCATTTTTTTTGTCTTAACCATTAAATGTTCTATTTTTGAAAGGATTTCTCTGATTTTATGTTTTCTTATTTTGAGAAGATTGTGCTGCAAAGAACAAAGAAAAAAACTTCATCATGACAAATGCCTTTAGTAGCATTTGATTTTGAAAAGTTAAGGAATTCTGTTTGTTTGTTTCATTGTGCTAATGTGATAGACAAGGCCTGCTAGTAGAACCTCAGAGATGAAGTGCTCAATGGTGCACCTTGGGATGCCAGGCCATAGACACCAGGCTCTAAGCTTCTATGTCTATTACCAGGCATAACTCCAAGGTGCAAGGCTCCTATCTTCAAGGATCAATGAAAATATTACCAATAATTGTTATGGACCAAAGATCAGAAGGATCTCACTAAGTGCTCTGATGTGTTTAAGAATCCCAACTTCCTTTGCCTGACCTTGGGAGCCCCAGTCATAACTAAGATGAATTTTCTGCTAATGTAGAATGATGGAGGTTCAGTGTAATTTTATTTAAAGAAAATGTTAATGTGGGTATGTCTTATATAACTAATTTAGTAGAACAGGATTCGGGACCACAAAATAAACATGTCTCAAAGCCTCTTCTCCTATCCCTGGTAAATACTCTTCACATGCTTTTTATGATCTATGGGAACAAGAGTCTTTAACTAGAAGTTTGAAGTCTTTTTAAATTTATTTCCTATGGTAGCAACACAGTCACTGGTAAATCTGGCCCTAGACAATGTAACTGATCAAGAGTCCTGAACCATTTCACTTTGATCTGCACACACTCTTTCTCCCATAAGTGAAATACTCCAATTGCTTAAGTGTTGGGTGTCCATGAATTTGATATTTATTTTTAGCCTGCAAACTCATGAGAAGTTTCTGAAAAATGCTTAATCTAGATTACTCATGAAGTCCTAGTGAGGTCTAATTTCCTTACTAATACAGAGTCTAGATACATTAATCCAGAGTGGCTTCTGCAATTTCCCTCCCAAGCTTATCCTGTAACCAGAGGATGATATTAACTTCTTGGTATAATAAATCTAACAACAGAAGCGTTAACCATTATTTATAGTTATTTATCTTTGACAATTTTTTTTAGGATGTAGCTAAAGCATGTTACACAGTAGGCTCAAATTTGGGGATAACAGCATCATCCTTCTCTGTCTCACAAAGTAACCCAAATTTTCTACAGCCACCTTCTGGCCAGTATCACCAGACATCTCAAGGGAAATACCAAAATGACTCCAAAATCCTTACTGAATATTATGGACTGATAGCTGTCTCCTTCAAATCACCATGTTTTAGTCCTAATTCTCATTGTTACCGTATTTGAAGATAAGACTTTTTTTTTTGAGATGAAGTCTCACTCTGTCGCCCAGGCTGGAGTGCAGTGGCGCGATCTCGGCTCACTGCAAGCTCCGCCTCCCGGGTTCACGCCATTCTCCTGCCTCAGCCTCCCAAGTAGCTGGGACTACAGGCGCCCACCACCATGCCGGGATAATTTTTTTATATTTTTAGTAGAGACAGGGTTTCACCGTGTTAGCCAGGACATTCTCAATCTCCTGACCTCGTGATCCGCCCGCCTCGGCCTCCCAAAGTGCTGGGATTACAGGCATGAGCCACCCCGCCCGGCAGAAGATAAGACTTTTAAAAAGACAATTAGGGCCCTATCCCAATGACATCATTGGGATGGCACCTTAATCCAACAGGGCTGGTGTCCTTGTAACAAAAGGAAGTGAGTCGAGAAGGTACTTACACAGGGGAAAGGTCAGGTGAGAACACAGTGAGAAGGCAGTCTTCCGCAAACCAAGAAGAGACCTCAGCAGAACCAGCTCTGTTGGCACCTTGATCTCAGTCTTCAAGTCTCTAAAACTGTGAAAAACAAATTTCTATTGTTTAAGGCATTCTGTCTGTCATATTTTGTTAGGGCAGCCCTATCAGACTAATACAGATTTTGGTACAGAGTATGAGGTGTTGGCGTAACAAACACCTAAAAATATGGAAGTGGCTTTGGCACTGGGGAATAGGAAGAGGCCCAAAGTGTTTTGAGGCAGGTGTTAGAAATAGCCTAGATTGCCTAGAAGGAATGGTTGGTAGGAACAAAGATGCTAAGTGATTCTGGGGAGGTCTTGAATAAAGATGAAGAACATGTTCTTGGAAACTGGAAGGCAATCTTTGTTATTAAATGACAAAGAACTTGGCAGAATTGTGTTCTAGTGTTTTGTGGACGATAGAACTTGTTAGTGCCTACCTGGGATATTTAGCAGATGTGATTTTTAAGCAAAGTGTTTATGGTACAGCCTGGGCTCCCAGTACTGTTTAAAGCAGGGGTGTCCAATCTTTCAGCTTCCCTGGGCCACAGTGGAAGAATTGTGTTGCTCTACACATAAAATACGCTGACACTAACAATAGGTGATGAGCTAAAAAAAAAAAAAAAAAAAAATTGCCAAAAAAGGTCTCATAATGTCTTAAGAAGGTTTATGAATTTGTGTTGGGCCACATGCAAAGCTGTTCTGGGCTGTGTGTGGCCCATGGGCTGTGGGTTGGACAAGTTTGGCTTAAAGTAAAATGTGAAAGGATAGAGATGAATTGAGGAAAAAATTGTTAACCAAAAAGGAACCAGAACTCAAAGAGCACACACACCAAGGTACCAAGGTTGTCTCCTCAGTTTCAAAGGGTTGGCCTATTGCACTGCCTAGGGCTAACGACATAGATGGGACTGTCACCCCAGTGGGAGTGGGCCCAGAGACCAGAGCATCCATCCAGTCTATTGTTCTCAAGCATTAAGGTCGAATAAAATTTGCCTTGCTTAGTTTTAGGCTTGATTGAGACCTGTTACCCCCACCTTGTTTTCAACATTTCTCTCTTTTTCAATGGGAATGTCCATCCTATGCCTGTGCTACTATTTTCTTTTAGAAGCACATAGCTTGTCTAGTTTCATAGGTTCACAGCTGAAGAAGAATATTGCCTCACGATAAATCACACTTTAAGTCTCAACCATACCTAGCTTAGGTGGTATTTGGGAGACTCTGGACTTGGAGTTAGTTGATGCTGGAATGAGTTAAGTCTTTTGAGTATTTGGGGAAGGGGGGAATGTATTTTGAATTCAAAAAGGTCATGGAATTTGGATAGCCAGAGGGTAGAAAGTTATGAACTGAATTGTGTCTCCTCCTCCAATCCACATGTTGAAGCCCTGAGTCTCAATGTGACTGTATTTGGAGATAGGACCTTTAAGGAAGTAATGAAGATTAAACGAGGTCCTAATGGTTGCACTCTAATTCAACAGGACTTTTGCCCTTATAAGAAAAAGAGGCCAGGCACCGTGGCTCACGCCTGTAATCCCAGCACTTAGGGAGGCCGAGGCGAGCGTATCACGAGGTCAGGAGATGGAGACCATCCTGCCTAACACGGTGAAACCCCATCTCTACTATCTACTAAAAATACAAAAAATTAGCCGGGCGTGGTGGTGGGCGCCTGTAGTCCCAGCTACTCGGGAGGCTGAGGCAGGAGAATGGCATGAACCCGGGAGGCGGAGCCTGCAGTGAGCAGGGATCGCGCCCCTGCACTCCAGCCTGGGAGACAGCGAGACTCCGTCTCAAAAAAAAAGAAAGAAAAAGAGACACCAAGATCATATGCACACAGAGAAAAGACCAAGACCAAGTTAGGACACGCGAGAAGGCAGCCCTAGCCAACTAACACATGGTATAATGTATAATGGCATTCACTAATGTCAGTTGCTTCAGGCATTTTAAATAACTTTATGTATGCTAGAAAACCAATTTAGACTTTACCAAAACCTCCATTAGATATTCAGTGTTGTTTCTTTTTAACACTGTGATTTATGTTCTCCATCTACTCCCTTTTCTTTTATAGACTCTGTCGTCAGACACTTCAAATTGCAATGAGGATATAATCCATAGTTCCTTCCGAAATTCTCACAACTAAGTAGCACAACTAGCAAAACTTAGATATGAGCAATTAAGCAAAAATTTGTTCTTTTTCAAAAGAAGGGTAAGGGTTGAAACAGACAAAACAGACTTCAAAAGGGTGCAAACGAAATGTCTAACAAGAAGGGATTTTTTTTTAATTACATAGTAGTCACCTAGTAGGACAATCACTTCAATAACCCAGTAAATATTTCATAATACACTTACTAGGAGCCTTGAAGAATGCTAAGTATTCGCATAAAAATTGTTATTTTATAATCACAAAACCTACAAAAAAAGTACTACTTCTGTTCCTATCTTGCTTATAAGAAAACAGACTTGGTAATTTTAAATAAAGTGCTGTATTGGTCTGTTTTTACAGTGCTATAAAACGTACCCAAGACTGGGAAATTTATAAAGGGAAGAGGTTTAGTCAATTCCGTATGGCTAAGAACACCTTAGGAAACTTACAATTATGGAGGAAGATGAATGGGAAGCAAGCACCTCTTCACAAGGTGGCAAGAGAGAGAAAGAGAGAGCAAAGACGGAAGAACCCCTTATAAAACCATCAGATCTGGTGAGAACTCACTATCAGGAGATGAGGATGGAGGAGACCACCCAATATGCAATCACCTCTCACCAGGTTCCTCCCTCAACACCTGGAGATTACAATTTGAGATGTGATATGGGTGAGGACACAAAGCCAAGCCATATCATGTTCCCATTGCTTTATGTAAGGGTGTGTGTGTGACTGATAAATTATAAACATATATTTTCAGTGGTTATGTCTGGGAGTGAAACTGCATTGTGTCGCTCATTATGTTGTTCTTACTGTTCTCTTGTTCTTCTTCTTCCCCTTCTTTGTCTTTTCCTTTTCCCCTTCCTCCTCCTCTGGATTTTTAAATCATTTAATAATAATATGCTCTTATTTTATAATTTAGCACTTTTAAATAAAAGGATTATATATATAATACAATTTATTTTAGTAATTCAAATCAGAAAAATGACTAATTCTTTTAAAAAATTAATAATTATTATAAAAAATAAGAAGGTTAATTAACATATTAAGATTTTTGAGGCCAGGTGTGGTGGCTCATGCCTATAATTCCAGCACTTTAAGATGTCGAGGCAGGCCAAAAAAAAAGAAAAAAAATGTCTAACTCCATTAGACACAAGTTATATTTATGTTTTGTCAAATTTGTTGTAAAATAATTGTATTTTATATTTATTGAAATTTGTATAGTAATGAGGTTCAAAATCTTTTTTTGTTGTGTGAGACAGAATCTCGCTTTGTTGCCCAGGCTGAAATGCAGTAGCATGATCTTGGCTCACTTCAGCCTCGACTTCCCGGGCTCCAGCAATCCTCCTACCTCAGTCTCCTGAGTAGCTGGGATCATATCAGCTACTTTTTGTATTTTTGTAGAGACAAGATTTTGCCCTGTTGCCAGGCTGGTGTAGATCTCGTGAGCTCAAGCAACCTGCCCACATCAGCCTCCCAAACTGCTGGGATTATGAGGGCATTCTTAAATACTGCTAATCAAAAGATTGATTATTGCAAACATGTTAGAAACCAACATAGGAATATGTTGTGAGGTACCTTACAATGTTAATATTTTAGTGCATTACAGT
This sequence comes from Homo sapiens, assembly GCF_000001405.40. Lineage (NCBI taxonomy): Eukaryota > Metazoa > Chordata > Mammalia > Primates > Hominidae > Homo > Homo sapiens. The sequence goes on along the minus strand of NC_000013.11, from coordinate 68,362,927 downwards.
TCTACATTTTGGACCCTCTCATAAGATAAATAAAGGAAAATATTGACAAACAAAAAAATCTTTTACATATTTATTTATAATTGCTGAATATTAGAGATAATATAATCACCTACTTTACGTAAGTAACAAACTAAACTATAATATATTCATATAAAAAGTTATTATGTAGGCACTAAGGTAAGATATCCAAAGATTGTTATGAATATTATGGGAAAAATATTAAAGAATACAAAATTTGAGACATGATATTATAACATTTAAAATTTATATAGAATAATTTCAACAATAGTTTCATGTCTTGATCAGATTTTAGGTGATGTTTATTTACTTTTGGTATATTTTCTTTGATTCTTACCCATGGGATACATACCAGAAAAGAAAGTGATGATTGCACTGATGCAAACTTTCTGACCTCAGATACAAATATATTTTTCATTGAAAAAATAATATAGTGGAACTCAAGTTTTATTCATTCATGTTCTAGGCCCTGTAGAACTTAATTCATGTACCTCTAATAATTGGATCTAGTCTCTTGGGTTTTTTAACCAAAACAAACTACTGAGCCTGTGAGGACAAAACTGGAGCTTCAGCCTTAATAAGTTCAAAAGATTATACAAGACCCATAAGGACAATGGAAACATCAGTCACATACCATATTTGGGTAATGTGGCCAACTTCACCAGGTAATTATTTCTAAAAATAAATTTGTGCATGTTTGTTGCATGTGTATGTTGCATAATGGTGAGGATTAGGCTTCTAGTGAACTCATCAACCAAATACTGAACATTGTATTCAATAGGTAATTTTTCAACTTTTCTCACCCTCTCTCCTTTTGGATTACCCAGTGTCTATTATTTCCATCTTTATGTTCATGTGAAGTCACTGTTCAGCTCTCACTTAGAAGTGAGAACATGCAATATTTCATTTTCTGTTTCTGGTTTAGTACACCTACAATAATGGCCTCCAGCTCTATCCATGTTGCTGCAATCAAAATTGTGATTTGATTCAATTCTATGGTGTATATGCACCATATTTTCTTTATCCAATGAACCATTGATGGACACTTAGTTTGGTTCCATGACTGAATCTTAAATAAATAAAAGAAAAATAAATAAGTAGAAATAAATATATCTATGTTTCACTCTAAAAACACATATTAAGAAACACAGACAATAAAATTGAGGAGAGAATACCTATTTTATAGTGTGTGTTCCTTTCTTTTAGAGTACTAGAAAAGCATATGTAATTTAATATTATTCTCAATGTTCGCTATTTTCTCCAACGCTAAATCAGGATGAAGAGGCATAGAATTGAATGCCAACAATGTTGCCAGGATAAAAAATGTTTGGATTGACCTTCACACACAAATTGTTTTATTTAAGTAGCATTGGCCTTTTTTCTCCAAACATCATTTTGACTTTTGATGAATCTTTTAAAATCTGCATTGTGGTTTACAGAATATTGTCAATTCAAAAAAATCCATTTTTCTGTAGCATAAAATTGAATTATAAATCTTTAGAATATTTCTATGTGTGAACTATACGTATGTCAAAGGCTTGTTCATTACACTGTGAATAGAAGACTTTAGACAACTGTGAATCAATACATTACTAGTGTGAATGTGTGATAGGAAACTCTCTTAAGTATTTTATACCAGTAATATTATGCAACATCCAATAGTGCTCTTAGGCTCATTTACTTTCTCTCCAGCAATAACATTTGTCATTAATTATATGACTGCTTTTACAAACTTCTCAGTAGTAATATGCTATTTTCTGCTTTCATAATAATTTATTCAACTTCAAATGATATCTCTTTAGTTTTCTGACAAATTGTATCAAAACAGATTTAAAAATTAAAAGAGTCTACACAATTTGCTGAATAAACAAATGGCTTAATAGTTGGGACACCGTGCTTTCCTTGCAAAGTCATGCAAAAATATTTTACAAATATTTTTTACTGTTTGATAATCTTTTTAAATAATATATGACACAGAAATAGGAATAAAATGATTCACTGGTAAATCCAGTTTCAGGCTATCCTTTGGTTTTTGAATTTTCCCTATTATCTGCTTGTCCAAAAGCATCACTTCTTTCATTCATTTGTGCCAGTAGATTTCAATCTATAATCCCCATGAAAATCTGTTCACTATTTATATTTTCAATTCTATTTAGTTATAGCAATTGCATCAGTAATTTACTCACTATATCAAATGGTAGTCAGTCACACAATTATAACGACAAAAAAGCAAATTTAACAAATGCAAAATCTATTAGCCTGTATAATAGATTCTCCACCCTGGCTGTATCTTGGAATCTCTAGACAATTTTGAAAAATACCAAAGGCCCAGAGATAAGTTTGGGGCTATTGTTTAAATTAACAGAATGATGCAATACTAGTGTAACTCCTAACATCATTATTATTATTAAGAATGTGAAGGTGTACCAGTAAATTTAAATATTATATATTTCTGTTAATGTGATATTTTTCACCATATTTCACCTAAATACACCACGCTACTTATCAATCACCTGACATCCTGAAAAATAAACATTCATCATTCACAAAAACTGATTTATATGATAGAATTTGAACATATGATTTGAAAACATAACCCATTGCTTCGTTTAGTTATATACTATATAATTTACTTATTGTTTTGTAAAATGCATGTTAATAAAGGATTTTAAACCACAGAAGAGATAAAGCAAGACAACGTATGTGAAGACATGTTTATGCTAATCAATAATTAAAGAAGAGCAAATTGAAGCAAATTAGAATATACGATTAAGAAATAATACCTTATATCTGCAAAAATGCAGAGCCATAGAAAGCTCATAAAGAATGATTTTAGTATAAAGCAGTACAACTCTTATCAATAAATTTATTAATAAATTAACATAATCGTCTATAATTCTGTGCATTTTTTCTTTCAAAAATTATAACTTGAGATTTAGGATAAGAAAACCCTAAAAACGTGGAATTTTTAAAAAGTAAAAAAATTCTTATAAACAAACATATTGATAGCAATATTATTTATTATATCTAAAGCTTGTAAGCAAATTAAATGTCCAAGGACAAAATAATAAATGAACATTGGTATGTTTACTCAAAGGATTAAGATGTACTGATTTCTAGTAATCTTAATAATACAAAGCTTTGGTTGTAATCTTGGAGAAAAAACTAAAATCAGGACATTGTATATATAATTGGATACATATGTAAAGACAACATGACTATTCATAGATACAATAAAGAAAATATTAAAAATTGCTTTACAAAATTTTACCCCTAGGCAGCATCATCAGTAGTTTCTGGTTGTTTTTTATTACCTAATAAGTTTGTCAAGAGTTGTAAAATGCTCATGCTTACCTTTATAATAAGATAAAAAGTAAAATGCAATTACATTCTTATGGAGAAATGATGGTAAGTGTGAAGTTGCATTTCCTTAAAAATCTTAATTCTCCATAGATGCTGTTTCTGTTGAAACTTTTGCAATGGTAGTGTTAATCCTCAAACATGCCATAAAATGTTTACAGGAATGACTGATAAAGTGACGAGCCAAAGAAAGAATGGGTACTTCTTGAAATATATCCCATAAAAATGTGACTATATAATTTATCATCCAAATCTCCAGTTTAGAGTAAAATGGGTAATATCCATAATGATGCTGAGACTCAGGCTTAAATTGGGACTGTCTCAGACAAACCAAGCTGAATGCTCACCTTATACATAAACCAAGTTATGGCAGAAAGATAGAAACAGAAATATTAAAAATGCTGTAAGTTAAGAATCTTAATTTTTTTCCAAACTTCATTTTCAACCATACTTTTTAAAAAAAATCTCATCATAATAAAAAGCATTGTTTTAATAAATGTGTATTTTTTTAAAAACGATTTCTCTGTTAATTCACAGCAAAGAATTATTTTTTTAAATCCTAGTGGCTCTCTTCTCATTACATTACTTTGTCATTTTGTATTGTTTACCAGATAAACCTGACCATACTTATCACCATTCAATCACAAAATCTTTAATGAAAAATAATATTTTTAAATATTATTATACCTTTTGGAATTTATGTTAGATGTATCTGAAAATCTCCGTAAGAATGAGAAAAAAACACTTTTATATTTCATAGAGGATGTGGAATATTGAAACACTTGGAAATGTTCTGAAAGATGAATTATATTATAGTCAGGTGGACGGGAAAGCAGTATAATTCTGACCTTGTCTTTGGTTTTTGAAACTGAATGTTTAACTTGCATGGTGAAAACATCAAGCAGGATGCCAACTTAACAAGCGTTATTGCCACTGATTTCCTCAGGAATGGAAATACAACAAATGGAAAACCTAACTCACATTGTTTTTCAATAAATTTTAGGTTTCTTGTAAAATGTGTTCTCTGAGGGCATCTTAGTCAGTTTAAATTATAACAGTTTGACTGCTGACTATTACTGCAGCAACTTTTAAAACTGTATGCGTTGCTATAAATTGCCTATGAGTCAGATTCATTGCAAGGTGAAGAAGGGCATTCTAAATGCCTATCTGTTTTTCTCATCTAATCCAAACCTAAAATAAAATAAGCAGTCATGCATTTTACTTGCTGTATCCAGCTTTAAAAAGAAAAATACCTACCACTACTTTCTTTAAGAAATAAAAGCAAGAGAAAAACATGCCTCTACAAAAAAAGTGAAGTTTTCAGGATTAGCTAGCATTTTATATAACCTTGTGAAAAGTGTTCTGATTAGCATTGACCTTCCTTTTCACAGGGTGAGAATTGTGCTAGCCAGGTAGGAAATGAAGTCTCAAAGGTAAAGTAACAGGTCAGTAAAGTCAAGCGTTTAATCAGATAATGGAAGCCTATGTCATTAATAAGTGTGTCATTTGCTTCAATAAAGGCATCACTTTGAGAAATCAAATCAGTATTTTAATACCCAACATAACTCCCAAAACTCAATCCCACAAACTTTTTCCTGAACATCTGTTCCCTTTATTCGCTCCTTTTTCTGAACTCTTATATCACTATTGTCTGAATTCTTCATTTCGATTTTAAATAGAAAACTCTGTTATACACCATGTATGTATATTACATATGCTTATTTTGCCTAGCCAGATTATAAGTCCCTTAGGAATGTAAATATTTCTTACTGCCAAGTCTCAGGAAAACAGAGGTTTCTAAGTTGCCCAATAGCATTATTAGTAGGTAATGAAGCTAAATTGCTGTGATTAACAAAAGAAACTTTAAAATGAATATGGACAATATATAATATGGCTGAAAATGATGTAATTATAGTGCACGTATATTTTGTCAACCAGTTATTAAATTTGGTAGTTGTTCATACAGATATTGGTGCGTGAATGAATGGCATAAATAATAATTTAACTGGCTTTTATAATGATCAGGAATGATCAAACAAAAGTGAACAAGTACAAATTCTAAATGCTCTGATACTCAGTGTTCCCCTGTTTATCCTTCTACATTTTACAAGATTTAGCACAGCATGTTATATGTAAGGGTAGCTTGGTGAAAGAAAAAAACACTAAACTAAAGACAAAATATATTGATCTTTGTTTCCATTTAGTGATCTGTTCTAGGATAGGTCATGTTATATGTCATATTTTTAAAATAACTTAAACAATTTTTTCTTAATATTATTTTAGCTCTCAATACTATAGACTTTTTAAGAAATTTCTTTACAATTGCAAGTTAATTTTCTTTACATCAAATAACACATTTAGTTCTATTTTAATGGAACATAACATTAAAGTTAAGCTACATCTGCTCAAAACTGACAGTCACACAACAATATGTTTGAAACTATAAATATATGCAGTTTTTTTCCTACTCTTCTATGACTTACCTCTAATAGTGACTCATCCTATCTTTTTGTATTCCTGTTATGAAAATAATTTTTCAGGCTGTGTTCATCAATTACTAGCCAGCTTTGTTACTAAAATGTACATGTAAAGCATGCTTACTCTTCTGAGTGAAGTCCCACAAATCAACTCTTTCATAGATAGCAGAATTTTATATTATTTCTGTACAATAGTGTTGACCTCCTGTAAACTTTATTCTGGGAAGCATGTATTTATTTTTAAGTAAAATGTTTATGTGCTAAATGAAGTACCACTGGTATTGAACTATCCCATGTCCCTACCATTTTAGAGCTTTCACCAAATGACTATCTTAGTGGTCACCCAAAACTCCAAAAGCTAGTAAAATCCTTCCATCCAAATATATCTTTTTCATCAAAATAATGACAATATATCTATGGATCTACATCTATTGATTGAGATTAATCAACAATAGGAAGAAAATCAAAAAATTCACAAATGTGTAAAATTTAATGCACTTCTAATCAACCAATGCGTAAAAGAAGAAATCAAAAGGGAAACCAAACAAAAGCTTGAGACAAATTAAAATGGAAGCATAACATACCATAGCCTATGGGATGCAGCAAAAGCGGTTCTAAGAGAAAAGTTTACAGCGATTAAATGCCTGCATTAAGAAAAAAGAAAGATCTTCAGAAAACAACCTAACTTTACCCTTCAAGGGATAGGAAAAGGAATAAAATAAGCTTAAAGTTAGTAGAAGAAAGAATATACTAAAGATCAGAACAGAAATAGAGACCAGAAAAGCAATAGAAAAGATCAACAAAATTACGAATTTGTTTCTTGCAAAGATAAACAATACTAACAAACCATTAGCTAGATTAACTATAAAAAAGAGAGAAGACTTAAATTAATAAAATCAGAAATTAAAGAATAAACTGTTGTCAAAGAAATCTTAAGAGAGTACTATGAACAACCCCAATGACCTGCATAACCTAGAATAAATAAATAAATTTTTACAAGCATGCCACCCACTGGGACTGAACTCTAAAGAAATAAAAAGTTTAAACTAACCTATAACTAGTAAGGAGACTTAATCAGTAATCTCAGACCTCTTAGGAACAACAACAAAAACGCAGAACCAGATGGCTTCACTGGTTAATTCTACCAAATATTTAAATAATAATGAAAGCCAATTCTTCTCAAATGAAGAGAAAATAATACTTTCAAATGCATTTTATAAGGCCAACATTACTGTGATATCAACTCCAGACTAAGACATCATGAGAAAAGAAAAGTACAGGCCAGTATCCCTAATCACCACAGATGCAAAAATCCACAATAAGATACTCACAAACTGAATTCAACAGTACATTAAAAGGGCCAGAAGCTATGACCAAGTAGAGATTATGCCAGGGATACAAGGATGGTTCAATAAATGAAATCAATTAATGCAATACATCACATTAACAGAATTAGTGTTAAAAATTACATGATCATCTTAATAAATTCAGTATAAGCATTTAACAAAATTCCACACTCTCTCATGATAAAATCTCTCAGCAAACTAGATATAGAGTTAAATTACCTGTACATAATAAAAGCCATGTATGAAAAGCCCATAACTAACATTATTCTCTACAATGAAAAACTGACAGATTTTCCACTATGGAAAGAAAAAAGATGCCCACTGTTCCCAATTCCCTTCAACATAGTAACAAAAGTCCTGGCCAAAGAAATAAGGCAAGAATAAAAATGAAAGCATCCTATTTGGAACAAAAAAGTAAAATTATTCCTCTTTCCAGATGACATGATTTTATATTTAAAGATGTCTAAGGGCCACACACACACACACAAACACACACACACAGAGCTATCCCAATAATTGTTAAAACTAATAAATATATTCAGTAAAGTTGTGGGGTAGAAAATCCACATATAAAAATCAATTATATCATCCACATATAAAAATCAATCTGAAAAGAGAATTAGGAAAATTGTTTCATTTACAATAGCATCAGAAATAATAAGTTACTTAGAAATAAACTTAACTAAGTATGTGAAAGACGTATATACTCAAAGCATAAAATATTAATGAAAGTAACTAAAGAAGACATTAACAAATAAAAGACATCCATGTTCATGCATGGCAAGACTTAATGTTGTTAAACTGTCCAGAACACTCAGTGAGATCTACTGATTCAATGCAATCCCTATCAAAATCCCAATAATATTTTTATATGATAGTAAAAACAATTTTAAAATTTATATAGAACTACAAAAGACCCCGAATAGCCAAATCAGGATTGAAAAAACAAACAAACAAAGCTGAGGAGTCACACTTTCTGATTTCACAATACTGATGACAAAGCTACAGTAATTAAAACAGTATGATACTGATACAAAGACACACAAACAAACCATAGAACAAACAGATAATCTATAAATAAATCCACATCTATGTGGTCTAATGACCTTTGATAATAGTGCTAAGAATGTACAATGGAAAGAAGACAGTGTCTTCAACAAATAATTTTTGAAAAAACAGATATCCACATACAAATGTATGAAATGGACTCTTATATTTAAGCCTTTAATACATTTTGAGTTGGTATTGGCAATATTTGATACTGATATTTGATATTGAGCCAATATCAACTCAAAATGTATTAAAGACTTAAATATAAGACCCAAAGTTGTAAAAGTTTTAAAAGACAAGAAAGGAAAATCTTCATGATTTTGATCTTGGCAATGATTTAATGAATATGACACCAAATGCACAGGCAAAAGTAATAAAGAATGAGTGAGGCTACATCCAACTAAGAAGCTTTTACACAGCAAATAAACAATCAACAGAGTGAAAAGGCAACTTTCAGAATTGAATACAATACTGGAAAACCATATATCCAAAGCTTATAAGGTACTCATATTACTCAATAGCAAAAAGACTAACATATGTCTGTTTTCTTTGAAGAAATGTCTGTGCAGTTTTTGCCTAGGGACCAAGGACTTGAATAGACATTTCTTCAAAGAAGACATACAAATGGCCAACCAATGTAAAAAGATGCTCAATATCACTATCATAAAGAAATGCAAATCAAAACCACAACAAACAATAAGAAGTGTTGGCTAGGATGTGAAGAAATTGGAATATTTGTTTGTATACTGATAGGTCAGAATGTAAAATGGTACTGCCTCTACAGAAAAGAGTATGGATGCTACTCAAAAAATTAAAAATGGAGCTACCAGGTGATACAGAAAATCCATTTCTATATACTTGTCCCAATAATTGAAATCAAGGTCTCAAAAAGATATTAGCACTTCCATATAATTTTAGCATGATTAATAATAGCTAACAGGTGGGAAAATCTAAATGGCATTGACAGATGAATGGATAAGAAAATAATGTCATGTATACATACATTACTAGCATTTAAAAAGAAGATAATCTTTCAATGTAAAAACATAGATAAACTTTGAGGACACATGTACTAGTCTGTTTTGCATTGCTATAAAGGAATACCTGAGACTGGGTAATTTATTTTTAAAAGGGGAGGATTTATTTAGCTGATGGTTATGAAAACTGTACAGGAACCAGGACACCAGCATCTGCTTTTGGTAAGGGCTTCCAAAAGCTTCCAATCATTGTGGAAGGTAAAGGGGGAGCAGGTGTGTCACAGGGCGAGAAAGACGGCAAGAGACAGAGTAGAATGTATCAGGCTCCTTTAAAAAACCAGCTCTTACATGAACTAACAGAGCAAGAACCTACTCATTACTACGGACAGGGCACCAAGCCATTCAGGAGGGATCCTTCACAATTACCCAAACAACTCCCACCAGACCCCACCTCCAATACTGAGCGTCACAATTCAACATAAGATTTGGAGGGGACAAACATTCAAGCTATATCATACACTAGATGAAATAAACCGTCACAAAAGGTCAAATGCTTTTCAATTCCACTTATATAAGACGTCTCAAGTAGTGAAACTCTCAGCAGCAAGGAACAGAATTGTGGCGGCCAGGAAAAGAGAAAATGGTGATATGGGGATTTTCTAATCAATGAGTATAAAATTCAGTTATCTAAGATGAATAAATAGGTTCTAGAGAGCCGTTGTACAACAGTGTGCCAGAGATAACAATATTGTATGGTACACTTAAAAATCTAAGAGGGTAGATTTCATGTTGTGTCCTTATCATAACTAAATAAAATAAAATTTAAAAACCATTACATGGTAGTAAGTGGTTGAGATAAGATGGCATAATATTACTTTATCATTGGAAACATGTAAGAGGTCAAGAAATTAAGCAATCAGGCTTTTGGAAAAACCAATTATATAGATAGTAAAATTTAAAAAAATATAGCAGTGATGTTAGAATAAGCAAGAGTTAAAGAAGTCCTAAAATCTTGGAGTTATGTTTGTGGGCGTGAACTGGGGATTAATGATGTCTACATTTAAGGAGTGACCATTTTTGATAGTGTGTGAAGAATATTATTGAATGAGTAACATTAGATATAAACTTCTAGTTTTAAAGGAGAAAGAAATGATATGTTTTACAAACAATAATGAGGAAACAGTCTCCATTTCCACAACCAGTTTTATGAAGGCTATCCAAGAGGAAAAGTCATTTTTAGAGAAAGCTACAATTTTTTTTCCTTCAGAGATTTAGGGTGAATTAAATCAGGTAGAACAATTCATAACAGATGAATTCTAAAGAGCAGGCTTAACATTTTAATCTTACTAAGTTCTCATACCCCTTCTTAACATTGTTAGCAAGGGACTTGGATTTCTTCTGTCACTTGGATACTTCCATTGCATAACACAATCATTTTCAAAATATACTTACTAAGTTCACCTTCAGAGAGAGAATGAGAATCACTGAGGGAGGTTATTTGAAGTCCAGGCACAGAAGTGCTATACATTACTTAAGTCCACATTATATTGGTCAGAAAGATCCAGTGAAATCCTCTCTGTGGTATGGTTCATAATTTGATTGGGGATTGATATTGAATAATTTAAAAAATTATCTTCAATTTTGACAACCAGTGGATTTGAATATTTCAATAGAAGGTTGAGGTTTGGAAATAAGGAAGGGGCTTGGTATTAAGATAAGAAAAGATACAAAAGAAAGGAGTGCAGGAAGCTCACTCATTTCTTAAAGAAAAGAAAGGAAGATTACTCGAGGTAAAGAAAGATGAAGGTATAAACAATTTTTTACCACATATTGTACAACAAAAGGAGGAAACCCTAAGGAAGGCTCAATTAAACAATTTATAGAAGGCTAATGTAGAAATATACTGAATGAAGATAATATTTAAAAGTTGAATACTTGATAAGAATTAAATATATTACACCTGACATTGTATAAATAAGAATGCTTATCAAATTATGTCATCTCACTATGAATTTGAGATCCATTTGTTTTGTTCAAGTGTATTTCATTAGAAGTTATGAAATTAAATTCTGAAACAAATGCTATTTTCAATATTTTATGTTACTATATAAATACTATGCATCTATTTCGAATGACTAGATATTGTGAAATAATCGGAGTGTAATAAACTAAAGCAATTTCTGATCAAATATATGTTTTAATAGAAGGAATGGAACTAATTTATTAATGGTTGGGTCATTCAGTCTTGGAAACACTTAAAATGACTAGTGTTAGGGCAGTTTTTGAAGTATTTTTAATTTCAGTTTTGAGATGATCTATGAAATAAGGTGTTTTGATATGTCCTTAGTAAATTTATAGAAACATACTAAATGGCTCCTCTCACATAAATGTGTCAGCCCTTTCCAAGGCAAAAGGTTAACTGTTTTTCCATCAATGTACTTTCAATTCAATTATTTTATATTTTAGAAAGATGCAGGTGGGAAGATGTCTTCATAACCTCCAGAAATAAATCAAGAAGTTCAGGCTTGAAGAGTTCACAATTATATTGAATACATTGACATCCGGGAAAGACTAATGGGATAAAATAATGAAAGCTATAACAATTATAATGGAGAAGGCAGTGTAAATTAATAATTATCATAGCATGTTCACAGGAATAATTCAATAACAGCTTCTTTTTTAAACTATGAAAATATATCATATATCTATTATCTAAAATTGTTTACATATGTGTATATAGAAAGACAGAGAAGAATGCCATATCTTGATCGAATTTAGAAAAAAAATTCTCTTTTCAAAACTCAACTTCAGCTGAGCAATTTGAAGGATAAATATATAAATTTTATAATGAAAACTTTGGACTTATAAAACCCAAATGCTCACTCCTTTGTGCAATAAATATGTGGCTTTATATTACAGGCAAGGAAATGTGCTAAGGTATATGAATCATATAAGGAAGAATAAAAGCTCCAAATTACTGCAATAAAGCAACACATTTTCAGAAAATAGTAAGACCTGTAGTTTGGCAGTTTTACCAGTAGAATCACATGTATGCACTTGTGAATGTGTGAATGTGTGTGCAAAAATAGATATACACAAGCACATACAAACATATATATGCACGCATACAAACATGTAGATAAGTATAAATACAAGCACACATTCACACATGTATGTGTATGTTTGTTAACACAGTCACACACACGTACAAGTTGTTCTTCTTTCAGCACACATAGGCTTTGCTACTCTTATCAAAGACTGCTGCTAAAGATATGGAATTAAAATTGAAGATAAATTAAGAGGGATATTAGAGAACATGAAATCTGCCAAGAAGTAAGATACTTGAGTGGAAAGACCATGCCCAATTCCCAAAACTTCACGTTAATGGTCAAAAGATAGCTATTAATTGAATAAAGAAATTCTTAAAAAAGTAAAAAAGGTAGGGCGAGGGCATACAGTGAAGAACTGCTAATTCTGTATTAAAATTTGAATTCTCTTGACCCAAAAGACAGTTTACTATTAAAGATTTGCAAATATACTTCTTTCACTACCTGCACATGGAGTGCTATTCTCTCCTTAGCCCTTTTCACATGATTTCCCTTGCTAAACCTCAACTGATTATTTCAAGATTCACTTTGCCCCAATGCATTTCCTGTGCTACATTTACCAAAAATATTTTGCAAGAAATATTACCAAGAAATATTTTATATGTCTTTATTTGCCAAGTGGAACTTATCACCCAGTGTGAGGTGTATGCAATTAATTACCTTAAATTAAAATAGTCAAATTAACTCTGGTGAGAAAAGCTGAACTATCTTGTGCACTGCATGGGTAGATGAGTTCAGACACCTGGCTTTATTCCCAGTTTCTGTCATTAAGACAGTATGAACTTGTATTCGTTAATAAACTGCTTTTTCATGTGCAAAGTTATTGTTTTAAGCATTGATATTTAAATGCATTTGAAATATAATGAAATTCTTTTATTTATTTTTTTTTTTTTGAGACGGAGTTTCGCTCTTTGCCCAGGCTGGAATACAATGGCGGGATTTCGGTTCACTGAAACATCTGCCTCCTGGGTTCAAGCGATTCTCCTGCCTCAGCCTCCTCAGTAGCTGGGATTACAGGCACCCGCTACCATGCCTGGGAAATTTTTTTGTATTTTTAGTAGAAATGAGGTTTCATCATATTGGCCAGGCTGGTCTCGAACTCCTGACTTCAGATGATCCGCCTGCCTTGGCCAGTATCACATAATTTGTCAATAAAATTGGTGTAATTTAAGATGGAATGTGGGCACTCTTACTAATTATTCTTGGGCAATAGGTATAAACTGGGACCATCTTGGGGAAACTAGGATATATGATTAATCTAAATAAGTGTTTAATAAACATTAGATAAATTGATGATGACAATGATAGTGCTGATGATGTTGATGTTTCACTTTACAGTGTTCGACTTGAAAAATATTTGAGAAATATAAATTAAGTAATGTTTATTGTTCTGTATGGAGGCATTAGTGATAATTAAATACAGTTTTTGTTTTATTTCTTAATATGTATATGTAACTTTTGGCCAAGCAAACATTTTCTCCCATTATTTTGGATAATTCATCTGTAATGTAGAAGTTAACTTCTCTATGTCTTATGGATAAAAGGAGAATTAAATGTGAACATTATATAGATACATAGAGATATATTTACATTCTCTCTGTCTCTCTCAATACTTGATAAGTTTAACTTGACATGCTAAAAAAAGAAGTCCTTGTTAATTATAACTTTTGATTTGGTATAAAATCTACATTTATTATACTGAAGAATTCATTTCAGCATGAGTATATACAACGAACCACAAATAACATACAAGAGGTCTCGTATATTAATGTCAAGTAATTTTTAAGTGGAGAAGGAATAAAAACCTTAGGTCTATATAGCTTAGTAAACACGACAGTGGGGCAAATGTACCCCATTCATTCCTACTTCAAATAGGTATGTTACCTATTTGAAGATTTGTGATAAAAATAGCAAAGTGATAAATATAAGCATTTAAATATGTATGTAAAATATTTTAATTATTTAAATTCTTTTAACTTAAATTCTGGCTTGTATTTTGATACCATTTACATAATTATTCCCTGTTTGTAAGAATACTGTAGGTTTTACATTCTATATTTTATTTCTATGCTTAACCAGGAAGCTTATTATATATACTTAAATGAATTTTTTAACTTTTCATTTTCTAGTTTATTATCAGTTCATAATTAGCTGAAAATTAATGTAGTATTAGACTATACTATGCTTTTTCTAACTTTTTGTATTAACCTTGTAATCCAATAAATACAGTGTGGGAATTAGTCTCTCTAATTTTTTTATACATTAGAATTTCTAGGTATGCTTAATTTTACCAAAAAAACCCACAATTTTTAGTTCACATAAGTAAATTCCCTAAAATTCTTCTAGTTGTTAAATAAAACACCTTGGATGAAACTGATCAGCTTACATCTTATATGAAGTTTAACCTAAATTTCAAGGTAGTGTATTATATATTATCTTAACCAAAAGTATAATCCAGGTATGGGAAGAAAATTTCTAAATTAAAAAATTAGTAAATGAATCATTTACTTGCTCTAATGTCATAAATGTGTTCAATTGACTTCTTGTGGTATTTATGTCCTTTTATAAAAAATAATTACCATTTTTAGGGTTATAAATAGCTTACATACTTTATTTTCAGTTATACTTTTCCATGTAAAAATAAGACTAAAAAACACTTAAAGTAAATTATAATTGATTGTGAAGAGGTTAAAAAAAGTCACTGATTCAGTAACGCATGACTGTGTTGTAAATGGCTAAAAATTGTGGGGAAAACAACAGTGGTTTACTTAGGACTAGAGCTCAATCATCTGTTTCATAGTAACAAAAATATAGAGACATACATATAATTGTAAAGCTATAGCTTATTTTTCTTATCTCAACTCCAGTAACTGTGATGACAGCTTTGATGTCCTGCCATCTATAGCAGCATTTGTATGATTGTCTAATGTTAATGTCTTGTGTTAAACATTTATAGCAGGAGTGTCCAATCTTTTGGCTCCCCTGGACCACAATGGAAGAAGAATAGTCTTGGGTCACACATAAAATACACTAACACTAATGACAGCTGATGAGCTTTAAAAGATTGCAAAAAAAAATCTCATAACGTTTTAAGAAAGTTTATGGATTTGTGTTGGGCTGCATTCAAAGCCATCCCAGGCCAATGCAGCCAGTGGGCCACGAGTTAGACAAGCTTGATTTATGGCATCTAGAATAAATGAAAGCTTCAAACGGAGTAGATTTGTCATTTAACATTTATGGAAGTTAATATACTATTCAGAATATCTTTACTATTTAGACATTGCCTTATACTATTTGTTTTTCTTTAAGTTGCTGACTTACATGTTCTGTAAATATAAATAATTATTGACTTTAAATACTCTGATAGCTTTAAAGACTTACTGGAGACTTGAAGAGGGCTTTATTGATCAACACTACAGTGACGGCAGACTACAAAGTGACACACTCCTGTTATTCCGATAATTAAGGTGAACTAAAGCAAATTGACAAAACTACAGGTTGGAGAGTGCTAAAAAGGAAAAAAAAATCACATCTCTTGCCTGAAGAAACTTTAGTACTATTAGGCTAGGTTTGCAAATGCCAAAAGATTTACAGGCAGCTTATTATAATCTCTGAGAGCTACAAAATCCAGTGCAAAGCTGTTTTATTCTTCCAAGACACCCTGGACTGATTATAAAACATAATCACAATATCTTGATGTTATATTCTAGAAATTCATCTATCTTCTTTCTTGCAATCCTTGTAGAAAATAAAAGGCAACACTCTCTCTTTTCTTGTCTTTCTCTTCTTTTCTCAAACTCAATGCTTAATAGACTGTTTCAGAAAAATTAAGCTGCAAAAATGAATTAAAAATTAAAAAACCAAATATGTTGATTAAAAAGAACTATTTTAACTTATATTGTTTTAAAAATTAAAACAGGAAGCAATGTGTTTTACAATGAACAACCAAATAGAGGATAAATGTGCATACAAAACTACATATGCAGATGCAATGAACAACCAAATATAGGCTAAATGTGCATATATAACCATATATGCAGATGCAACCATATGTTCGTATAATCTTACACATTATGTTACTTATTAATGATATTTTCTCACATTTCTTTCTTTCCAGCTTAAATTTCCTTATCTTTCATGAATAACACTCCTATATATATCTCTTCAACTGTTTTGTTCTTCTTTAATAGTGGTAAACTGCAATCCTAGGGAAAGTCAGCTCTCACCCTGTTCCATGTCTATCTACATACATCTGAATAGCACTGGAGAATAGGCTTCTGTACTGACTTGCCTTATTTTAATTTCATGATCACTATTCTCCAGTGAGCCTTTAATGCTGCCAGGTAATCACACTACATTTTTTCTGTTTGAGCCAGTCTTCTCCTTTCCTAGACTGTGGCACCATACTTCCCTCTACCTCTTTACACCTTCTCTATTCTCCTCACAGTTGATGACCTAGCTTTCTCTTTTACAGAGTAATAAAAGCAGTTTCCTGAATCATGCTGCTATTTATATATTCTTCAAAGGAAAAACAAAGGAAAAAAGCCTTTTTAAAACCACTTTACTTATATCAAATGTTAAAATTAACAAGGACATTCATATCGAAAAATCTGATGGCCAATATTTGCTCTTATCTCATATTACCGGTGGCATGTGATACAGTTGATCACATTCTCCTTTTGAAACTTCTTTATTTACCTTTCAGGACATCATATCCTCCTGGGTAAGCCTCATTACACATTGATTCAAATATGGGGGTTTTTTTTTTTGGTATGTTTTTGTTTTTGAGACAGAATTTTGCTCTTGTCGCCTAGGCTGGAGTGCAGTGGTGCGATCTCAGCTCACTGCAATCTCTGCCTCCTGGGTTCAAGCGATTCTCCTGCCTCAGCCCCTGGGGAGCTGGGATTACAGGCGGCTGCCACCACACCCAGCTAATTTTTGTATTTTTATTAGAGACGGGGTTTTGCCATGTTGGCCAGGCTGGTCTTGAACTCCTGACCTCAGGTTATCCACCTGCCTCGGTCTCCTAAAGTGCCAGGATTACAGGCATGAGCCAGTGCGCCTGGCCTCAAATATGTTTTCCAATTATTTTTAATTTGCTTGAACTGTTAATGGTGCCAACTGAAGGACTAAATCTATGAACATTTCGAAAAATGTATTTTCACTTCATGTGATACTTAATTTCATGTGGCAACATGACTGAACTATGGGGTGCTCAGAAATCTGGTTAAACATTATTCTAGGTGTGTCTGTGAGAGTGTTTCTGGATCAGTTTAACATGTGTTTGGGTAGACTGAATAAAACCGATTGCCCTGTTTAAAGTGGGTAGACCTCAACCAGTCTGGTTCACCAGAGAATTTGGTTGAAGGACTGAGTGAAACCAAGTGGATGAGTTGGGAAGAAATTACTCTGTGTCTCTTTGTGCTGGAACATCAGTCTTCTGCTTTTGACTCAGATTCAGACTGCAATTTACGTCGTTGTCTCTCCGGGCTCTCAGGCCTTTTTACCTGTACTGGAACTACCTTTCTGCAGGTCTCTACTGGGTATCCAGTTTTCCAACAACAGATCTTGGAAATTCTCATCCATGTGAGACAATTACTTAGAATATCTGTCTATATATCTATCTAACTATCTATTTATCTACCTACCTACTGATATTATATTGGTTATGTTTCTCTAGAGAACTCAGACTAACATACTTTCTTAATGATTTTATAGCGTTACCCAACGAAGTATCATTTGTCCACTGATAGTTCCCTGGATTATATTCAGACAAGGCCTCTCTTCTAAAGTGCAAATTCTTATTTGTCTAGTTCACATCCTCACTTTGGTGTTCTAATAAATATCTCAGTCTTAACATGTTCAAAACCAGAGCAAACAGATCTTTTTTTCTGTATGACTGTTTGTCCTAAAACTTGCTCCATTTTTCTTCCAGTTCCTCAAGCCAAAAGTTATCAATGGAGTTGTCCCTTTCTCTTATAAACTCATGTCTAAGCACTTAAGCAAACACTTTTACTATAAATTCTAAATACGCCTGGAATTGAGAACCTTTTTAACCTCCTCTAATTTATCCTTGTGTAGAAAACATTTGTTTTCTATATTATATAGAATATTATCTATATTATTGCAAAAATTTCCTAAATTTCTATGCTTTTCTGTTCTTGCCCCATAGAATCTACTCTTAATGTGGCAGTCAGATCTATACTGTTTAATATTTGTAAGATCAAGCTTTCTCTCAATTAAAAAATCCCAGTAGCTATTGATGGTCAACTAGGCAATTTTTATCAACTTTTTATCTATTTCCACATTTTTTTCTAGCTTACTTCATAACATTTAAAACATTAATTATGTAAGTTGAGACTATACTACATAAAACTTGTTTCTTAACCCAGTAACAGAAATAACAAACCAAAAACTGAAAGAAAAATTAGGTAAGTGAAAAATACATTTGTTAGATAACCAACAATAAAAATGGTATATGGAATATAAGAGACCCCTTCAAGTAAGCAGGAGAAACACAATGAATATAATACATGCAAAAAAGGTAATGTATAGATCTGCAAATGGGGAAACCTAATATCTAAAAAGCATATGAAGTTCCCATCTGCTATAGTTTGGCTTGTTCCCATCCAAATCTCATCTTGAATTCCCACATGTTATGGGAGGGACCTGGGGGGAGGTGATTGAATTATGGGGTTGGGTCTTTCCTGCCCTGTTCTCATGCTTGTGAATGAATCTCATGAGATCTGATGGTCTTAAAAAAATGGGAGTTTCCTTGCACAAACTCTCTTTTTGCCTGCTGCCATCCACGTAAGATGTGACTTGCTCCTACTTGCCTTCTGCCATGATTGTGAAGCCTCCTTAGCCATACAGAACTTTAAGTCTAATTAAACCTCTTTCTTTTGTAAATTGCCTAGTCTCAAGTATGTCTTTATCATCAACATGAAAATGGACTAATACAGTAAACTGGTACCAGGAGTGGGGAGCTACTGAAAAGACACCTTAAAATTTCGAAGCGACATTGGAACTGGATAACAGGCAAAGGTTGGAACAACTTGGAGGGCTCAGAAGAAGACAGAAAAATGTAGGAAAGTTTGGAACTGCCTAGGATCTTGTTGAATGGCTTTGACGAAATTGCTGATAGAAATATGGACAATAAAATCCAGTCTAAGGTGATCTCAGATGGAAATGAGGAACTTGTTGGGAAGTGGAGCAAAGGTGAACTTGTTATGTTTTAGCAAAGAGACTGGTGGCATTTTGGCTCTGCTCTAGAGATATTTGTAACTTTGAACTTAGAGAGATGATTCTGGGTATCTGGTGGAAGAAATTTCTAAGCAGCAAAGTGATAAAGGCATTCAAGTTTATAAGGGAAGCAGAGCATAAAAGTTTGGAAAATTTGCAGCTTGACAATGCAATAGAAAAGTAAATGCCATTTTCTGAGGAGAAATTCAAGCCGGTTGCATAAATTTGCAGGTTGCATAAATTTGCATAAGTAACGAGGAGCTGAATGTTATTCCCTAAGACAATGGGGGAAATGTCTCCAGGGCATGTCAGAGGTCTTCAGAACAGCAACTCCCAACACAGGCCCAGAGGCCTAGGACAAAAATGTAGTTTTGTGGGCTGGGCCCAGGGTCCCTGTGCTATGTGCAGTCTAGGTACTTGGTGCACTGTGTCCCAGCTGCTCCAGCTGTGACTAAAAGGGGCCAAGGTACAGTTCGGGCTGTTGCTTCAGAGGGCAGAAGCCCCAAACCTTGGCAGCTTCCACATGTTGTTGAGCCTGAGGGTGGACAGAAGTAAAGAATTGAGGTTTGGGAATCTCCACCTAGATTTCAAATGAGGTAAGGAAATTCCTGAATGCCCAGGAAGAAGTTTCCTGCAGGGGCAGGGTGCTCATGGAAAACTTCTGCTAGGGAAGTGCACACGGGAAATGTGGGGTCGGAGCAGCCACACAGAGTCCCGTCTGGGGCACTGCCTAGTAGAGTTGTGAGAAGAGGACCACCGTTCTCCAGACTCCAGAATGGTAGATCCACTGACAGCTTGCACTGCACACCCGAAAAAGCCACAAACACTCAATGCCAGTCCTTGAAAGCAGCCAGGAGAAAGCCTGTACCCTGCAAAGCCACAGGGGCGGAGCTGCCCAAGACTATGGGAACCTAACTCTTGCATCGGTGTGACTGGATGTGAGGCATGGAGTCAAAGGAGATCATTTTGGAGCTTTAAGATTTGACTGTCGTGCTGGATTTCGGATTTGCATGGGGCCTGTAGATCCTTTGTTTTGGCCAATTTCTCCCTTTTGGAATGGCTGTATTACCCAAAACCTGTACCCCCATTATATCTAGAAGTAACTAACCTGCTTTTGATTTTACAGGCTTATAGATGGAGGGGACTTGCCTCCATTCAGATGAGGCTTTGGCCTGTGGACTTTTGAGTTAATGCTGAAATGAGTTAAGACGTTGAGGGACTGCTGGGAAGGCATGATTTGGCTTTGAAAATGTGAGGACATGAGATTTGGGAGGGGATGGGGCAGAATGATATGGTTTGGCTTTGTCCTCACCCAAATCTCACCTTGAATTCTCTCGTGTTGTGGGAGGGACCTTGTGGGAAGTGACTGAATTATGGGGGCAGGTCTTTCCTACATTGTTTTTGTTATTGTGAATGAGTCTCATGAGATCTGATGGTTTTAAAAAAAAATGGGAGTTTCCCTGTACAAACTGTCTTTTTGCCTGCCACCAAACATGTAAGATGTGACTCGCTTCTCCTTGCCTTCTGCCATGACTGTGAAGCCTCCTTAGCCATATGGAACTGTAAGTCCAATTAAACCTCTTTCTTTTGTAAATTGTCCAGTCTCGGGTATGTCTTTATCAGCAGCATGAAAAGGGACTAATACACCATCTTTATTACTAACTGGAGACATGCTAATTTAAACGAGACATCATTTAGTTTCTACCAACAATACAAAATTTAAAGGAAATGGGAAAAGATAAACCATTAAATACTAATATGATTATTTCAGTGGTATCAATTTGGAGAGGTAAAGTGATACTATCTACCAAAATAAAGTGTGCCCTTAGTGCAGTAATTACAAAACCCCAGCAAAACCTGGATATATTTAAATTTAGAATAACTTTTATAACTGAACACAAAGATGTATAAATGAGTTTGTCTATAGCAATATTATCTGGTATAATTTCAATGTACATAAATGTAGAAATAGGTATATGAATGTTTTCTATGTATCTAATGAAAATATATACATAGAATATTTAAAAAGGATGAGTGAGGTTTTCATTTTTTTTTATATTAGTGGATGTAGATTTATCTCATTCTTTTTTTTAAAATTATTATTATACTTTAAGTTTTAGGGTACATGTGCACAATGTGCAGGTTAGTTACATATGTATACGTGTGCCATGCTGGTGTGCTGCACCCATTAACTCGCCATCTAGCATTACGTATATCTCCTAATGCTATCCCTCCCCCCTCCCCCCACCCCACAACAGTCCCCAGAGTGTGATGTTCCCCTTCCTGGGTCCATGTGTTCTCATTGTTCAATTCCCACCTATGAGTGAGAACACGTGGTGTTTGGTTTTTTGTCCTTGTGATAGTTTACTGAGAATGATGATTTCCAATTTCATCCATGTCCCTACAAAGGACATGAAGTCATCACTTTTAATGGCTGCATAGTATTCCATGGTGTATATGGGCCACATTTTCTTAATCCAGTCTATCACTGTTGGACATTTGGGTTGGTTCCAAGTCTTTGCTATTGTGAATAGTGCCGCAACAAACATACGTGTGCATGTGTCTTTATAGCAGCATGATTTATAGTCCTTTGGGTATATACCCAGTAATGGGATGGCTGGGTCAAATGGTATTTCTAGTTCTAGATCCCTGAGGAATTGCCACACTGACTTCCACAATGGTTGAAATAGTTTACAGTCCCACCAACTGTGTAAAAGGGTTCCTATTTCTCCACATCCCCTCCAGCACCTGTTGTTTCCTGACTTTTTAATGATTGCCATTCCAACTGGTGTGAGATGGTATCTCATTGTGGTTTTGATTTGCATTTCTCCGATGGCCAGTGATGGTGAGCATTTTTTTCATGTGTTTTTTGGCTGCATAAATGTCTTCTTTTCAGAAGTGTCTGTTCATGTCCTTTGCCCACTTTTTGATGGGGTTGTTTGTTTTTTTCTTGTATATTTGTTTGAGTTCATTGTAGATTCTGGATATTAGCCCTTTGTCAGATGAGTAGGTTGCAAAAATTTTCTCCCATTCTGTAGGTTGCCTGTTCACTCTGATGGTAGTTTCTTTTGCTGTGCAGAAGCTCTTTAGTTTAATTAGATCCCATTTGTCAATTTTGGCTTTTGTTGCCATTGCTTTTGGTGTTTTAGACATGAAGTCCTTGCCCACGCCTATGTCCTGAATGGTATTGCCTAGGTTTTCTTCTGGGTTTTTATGGTTTTAGGTCTAACGTTTAAGTCTTTAATCCATCTTGAATTAATTTTTGTATAAGGTGTAAGGAAGGGATCCAGTTTCAGCTTTCTACATATGGCTAGCTAGTTTTCCCAGCACCGTTTATTAAATAGGGAATTATTTCCCCATTGCTCATTTTTCTCAGGTTTGTCAAAGATCAGATAGTTGTAGATATGCAGCGCTATTTCTGAGGGCTCTGTTCTGTTCCATTGATCTATATCTCTGTTTTGGTACCAATACCATGCTGTTTTGGTTACTGTAGCCTTGTAGTATAGTTTGAAGTCAGGTAGCATGATGCCTCCAGCTTTGTTCTTTTGGCTTAGGATTGACTTGGCGATGCGGGCTCTTTTTTGGTTCCATATGAACTTTAAAGTAGTTTATTCCAATTCTGTGAAGAAAGTCACTGGTAGCTTGATGGGGATGGCATTGAATCTATAAATTATCTTGGGCAGTATGGCCATTTTCACGATACTGATTCTTCCTACCCATGAGCATGGAATATAATTCCATTTGTTTGTATCCTCTTTTATTTCATTGAGCAGTGGTTTGTAGTTCTCCTTGAAGAGGTCCTTCACGTCCCTTGTAAGTTGGATTCCTAGGTATTTTATTCTCTTTGAAGCAACTATGAATGGGAGTTCACTCATGATTTGGCTCTCTGTCTGTTATTGGTGTATAAGAATGCTTGTGATTTTTGTACATTGATTTTGTATCCTGAGACCTTTGCTGAAGTTGCTTATCAGCTTAAGGGGATTTTGGGCTGAGACAATGGGGTTTTCTAGATATACTATCATGTCATCTGCAAACAGGGATAATTTGACTTCCTCTTTTCCTAATTGCAAACCCTTTATTTCCTTCTCCTGCCTAATTGCCCTGGCCAGAACTTCCAACACTATGTTGAATAGGAGTGGTGAGAGAGGGCATCCCTGTCTTGTGCCAGTTTTCAAAGGGAATGCTTCCAGTTTTTGCCCATTCAGTGTGGTATTGGCTGTGGGTTTGTCATAGATAGCTTTTATTATTTTGAGATACGTCCCATCGATACCTAATTTATTGAGAGTTTTTAGCATGAAGGGTTGTTGAATTTTGTCAAAGGCCTTTTCTGCATCTATTGAGATAATCATGTGGTTTTTGTCTTTGGTTCTGTTTATATGCTGGATTACATTTATTGATTTGCGTATATTGAACCAGCCTTGCATCCCAGGGATGAAGCCCACTTGATCATGGTGGATAAGCTTTTTGATGTGCTGCTGGATTCGGTTTGCCAGTATTTTATTGAGGATTTTTGCATCAATGTTCATCAAGGATATTGGTCTAAAATTCTCTTTTTTGGTTGTGTCTCTGCCCGGCTTTGGTATCAGGATGAGGTTTTCATATTTATCTCTGGACAGATCACAAAACTTAACATTGAGTGAAAAAAGTAAGAAGAAAGATACATAACACAAAATTGTTCATGAGCATTTAAAGATATGCAAAGCAATAGTTTATCTTTCCTATGGATATGTATCTCAATAAAGATATAAAACATTAGTTGCACAAACCCAAGTCAAAATTATCAGAGTATTTCATTGTTGCTCTTGTTGTTTTTTATCCATCCAAGGGATGAATAAAATTACATTTAAAAAACAGTTTTTGGTCGGGCATGGTGGTTCATGCCTGTAATCCCAGTACTTTGGGAGGCCAAGGCGGGTGGATCATGAAGTCAGATCGAGACCATCTTGGCTAACATGGAGAAACCCCGTCTCTACTAAAAAAAAAAAAAAATTACAAAAAAAGAATTAGCTGGGCGTAGTGGCAGGCACCTGTAGTCCCACCTACTTGGGAGGCTGAGGCAGGAGAATGGTGTGAACTCGGGAGGTGGAGCTTGCAGTGAGCTGGGATCGCACCACTGCACTCCAGCCTGGGCAACTGAGCAAGACTCTGTCTCTATTATTATTATACTTTAAGTTTTAGGGTACATGTGCACAACATGCAGGTTTGTTACATATGTAAACATGTGCCATGTTGGTGTGCTGCACTCATTAACTCGTCATTTAGCATTAGATATATCTCCTAATGCTATCCCTCCCTGCTCCCCCCATCCCACAACAGTCCCTGGTGTATGATGTTCCCCTTCCTGTGTCCATGTGTTCTCGTTGTTCAATTCCCACCTATGAGTGAGAACATGCAGTGTTTGGTTTTTTGTCCTTGCGATAACAGAACCAAGACAAAAACCACATGATTATCTCATTAGATGCAGAAAAGGCCTTTGACAAAATTCAACAACCCTTCATGCTAAAAACTCTCAATAAATTAGGTATCGATGGGACGTATCTCAAAATAATAAAAGCTATCTATGACAAACCCACAGCCAATATCATACTGAATGGGCAAAAAGTGGAAGCATTCCCTTTGAAAACTGGCACAAGACAGGGATGCCCTCTCTCACCACTCCTATTCAACATAGTGTTGGAAGTTCTGGCCAGGGCAATCAGGCAGGAGAAGGAAATAAAGGGTATTCAGTTAGGAAAAGAGGAAGTCAAATTGTCCCTGTTTGCAGACTACATGATTGTATATCTAGAAAATCCCATCGTCTCAGCCCAAAATCCCCTTAAGCTGATAAGCAACTTCAGCAAAGTCTCAGGATACAAAATCAATGTATAAAAATCACAAGCATTCTTATACACCAATAACAGACAAACAGAGAGCCAAATCATGAGTGAACTCCCATTCATAGTTGCTTCAAAGAGAATAAAATACCTAGGAATCCAACTTACAAGGGATGTGAAGGACCTCTTCAAGGAGAACTACAAACCACTGCTCAATGAAATAAAAGAGGATACAAAGAAATGGAAGAACATTCCATGCTCATGGGTAGGAAGAATCAATATCATGAAAATGGCCATACTGCCCAAGATAATTTATAGATTCAATGCCATCCCCATCAAGCTACCAATGACTTTCTTCACAGAATTGGAAAAAACTACTTTGAAGTTCATATGGAACCAAAAAAGAGCCCGCATCGCCAAGTCAATCCTAAGCCAAGAGAACAAAGCTGGAGGCATCACGCTACCTGACTTCAAACTATACTACAAGTCTACAGTAACAAAAACAGCATAGTACTGGTACCAAAACAGAGATATAGACCAACGGAACAGAACAGAGCCCTCAGAAATAATGCCGCATATCTACAACTATCTGATCTTTGACAAACCTGAGAAAAATGAGCAATGGGGAAAGAATTCCCCACTTAATAAATGGTGTTGGGAAAACTAGCTAGCCATATGTAGAAAGCTGAAACTGGATCCCTTTCTTACACCTTATACAAAAATTAATTCAAGATGGATTAAAGACTTAAACGTTAGACCTAAAACCATAAAAACCCTAGAAGAAAACCTAGGCAATACCATTCAGGACACAGGCGTGGGCAAGGACTTCATGTCTAAAACACCAAAAGCAATGGCAACAAAAGCCAAAATTGACAAATGGGATCTAAATAAACTAAAGAGCTTCTGCACAGCAAAAGGAACTACCATCAGAGTGAACAGGCAACCTACAGAATGGGAGAAAATTTTTGCAACCTTCTCATCTGACAAAGGGCTAATATCCAGAATCTACAATGAACTCAAACAGAAAAAAGTTTTTAAATGTTCAGTTGTGGTAAAATACACATCTATTTCTAAATGTACATTCAGTGGTGTTAAGTACATTCACATTGTTGTGCAACTATCATCATCATCCATCCACGAAATCTTTAACTTGCAAAATTGAAATCCTGTTACCCATTAAAAATTCTGTACTCAAACCCCTGGCAAACAGCACTCTACTTCTGCCTCTATGGATTTGACTTCCCCAGGGACCTTATATAAGTAGAATAATCAATTTTTATCATTTTGTGACAACTTAGTTCACTTAGGGTAATATTCACATGGTTTATATATGTAGCATGTAAAAGAATATCCTTCATTTTTAAGACTGAATGATATTCCATTGTATGTATATGCCACATTTTGTTCATCTATTCATCTATCAATGGACACTTGGGTTGCTTCCATGTTTTGTCCATTATAAATAGTGCTTCTATTATCATATTTTCTTATTTTTTCCCATCTTTATTTTTTCTCTTATATTTGGGAAATTCAAAACTGTCCTTGGCATCAGTTTTTTTAATGTTCCTTAGTGCCATTTCCATTTTAATACCATATATCCAAGTAAATTTTGTATTTCTAATTCACTTTTAATTCTAGCTCTTATCTTTTTTTGTATCTTAACTGTGAGTCTCTTTATTTCAACTTATTTTTTATTAGCTGGGTCTGTTTTACTGGATCTTATTTCTGATTCATAAATACCATGTTTTGTAGCCTATGTAAGTCAATAAATATTTAATCTAGAACTGCTAGCAACCATAGTTATCACTATGTTAAGAGAGCCAGTCTAACTATGAAACCAAAAGGTGGGAGATAAGAAGAAATGAAATGCCAGAAAAAGAAAACAAAGATTCCCTTCTGGTTCAGTAGTAAATACTTTTCAAATAATACACTTTTTTAAAAAACATTCAAGATATGTTTTGATTCCATGTTTAAATATATATATACAGATATATAATATATATACATATATGTGTATATATACATATATAGCATTAACTGAAATTTATGAAAATCTTTGTTTTAGGAATAAAGCATGCTAATAATTTTCCCTAATCCATATTTGTGCATTGTCCAGCCATTGGTACATATTTTAGCACAATTTATTTTGTAATAGATATTCATCTGGTTTATGCTCTTCTGCTATTAAAAGGAATCTTTTACTTTTACTACCAGGCTCTACGGTAATCTGAGCAGATAGGATATATGAGCAGAAATCCTAAATA
Source organism: Homo sapiens (assembly GCF_000001405.40). Taxonomy (NCBI): domain Eukaryota; kingdom Metazoa; phylum Chordata; class Mammalia; order Primates; family Hominidae; genus Homo; species Homo sapiens. The sequence goes on along the minus strand of NC_000013.11, from coordinate 68,335,273 downwards.
CACACACACATATCATGACCAGATATTATCTCATCCCCTTCACTAAACACAGAAAATTTTCATTATTCATGGATTTTATATTTGAGGTTCTATTAGCTAAAATTCATTGTAATCCCCAAATTAATAATTATGGTGATTTCACAGTCATTCGTGGATATATGCGGAGTGGCGAAAATTTGAGTCAGCAACCTGTACATTCCTAGCTGTGGTCAAACGACAATACTCTGCCTTCTTGTTTCAGCTCTCTCACTGTAAATAAATGCCATTATTTTCCAATTATTGAGTACATTGTTTTATGATTTTTTTGTTTTGCTTTTTCTTGGTGATTTTACTGTGTAAAGTGGCCCCAAGTATAGTACTCAATGTTGTCTAGTGTTCCTAGGCACAAAAAAACTGTTGTGCCTTATGGATAAAATATATGTATTAGATAAGATTCTTTCAAGCATGAGTTATAGCGCTGTTGGCCATAAGTTCAATGTCAATGAATCAAAAAATATATATTACAAGGTGTCTTCTAACAGAAACACACATAAAACAAGGTTATATGTTGATTGGTTGACAGAAATGTTGAACCAGATGCTCGCAGAAATTTAACTCTGTATTTCTCCTGGGGGCAATGATTCGGTCTATACAGGCCCTGAATTATGGTGGTTGTACTTACAATTTTTTGATTTTACAATTGAAAGCCATAAGCATTGAATAATAACTATACTTCAAGTACTCATACAATCACTGTTTTTCACTTTCAGTACAGTATGCAATAAATTACATGTCATATTCAAGAATTTATTATAAAATAGGCTTTGTTTTAGATATTGCTCACTTGTACACTAATGTGTGTTATGAACACATTTAAGGTAGGTTAGGCTAAGCTACAATGTTTGGTAGATTAGATATTTTAAATGCATTTTCAACATAGGACATTTTCAATTTATGATATGTTTATCAACACGAAACCCCATTATAAGCCAAGGATCATCTACTTTCGAATTCAGTGTTCACAACAATTTTGTAGAACTTACCCACGTCAAATAAATAGATTCACTTGTATTTTGCTTTATTTGTAAATGCTGTATCCCCTGAGATATAACAGAACGCCACTTTTGACTAGTTATTATTATTATTATTATTGTTATTTTTATTTATTTTTTTCTGAGATGGAGTCTCGCTCTGTCACCCAGGCTGGAGTGCAGTGGCCCAATCTCGGCTCGCTGCAAGCTCCGCCTCCCGGGATCGGGCCGTTCTCCTGCCTCAGCCTCCCGAATAGCTGGGACTACAGGCGCCCGCCACCACGCCTGGCTAATTTTTCATATTTTCTTTTAGTAGAGATGGGGTTTCACCGTGTTAGCCAGGATGGTCTCGATCTCCTGACCTTGTGATCCTCCCGCCTCAGCCTCCCAAAATTCTGGGAATGACTAGTTATTTTTCTTGCATGGAGGGAGGTTGAAGGTAAGTTGCTTTCCTCAGCTAAAGATAGAAAGATAGAAATATCTTCAGCTAAAGATAGAATGGTCAGATGACAGAAGTAAAATGACGTTTTCATGCTCTCTTTGAAAAAAAGAAAACACCAAAATAAGGGTAACTATGCAGTCTTCTGGCCATTAAAAATTTTCTGTGAAGCAATGGTAAACAAATACATTTTTTTGATGTCAGGTGAATAGCCTGGATAAACTTCTGACAGTATTCTAAGAGTGAGCCACCACATGTGTGTTTCAAGTCAATTTAATTGCCTTTGTTCTTAGATGGTGTTATAGATTGTCCACTGCATATTTTATTATTATTGTCACATTTCATTATCTTTTTATGAATATTCATTATATTTACTGAAAATGTGACAACTTATTTCAAAAGTAATATGTTAGAAAGGTAAAATTTTATGCCAAATTTCCTATTTTATGTATTAAAAGCTGGTATCTTCTGAAGATCGGAAGCAGTACACATAATTTATTAGAAAAAATAATTTTGTATTTTGAGACATGGCATACCATATTCTGGCTCTGAAATATAAATTTTAAAAAATCTTAAATAAAAACACATTGCTTCATCACAGCTTAAAGATATAGAGTACACATACAGATATACTGTATCTGGATGTATTAATATACTATTTTGTGTGTTTTCTTTATGATATTGACTAGGATATAACAGTCAATATTATAACACTGACTTATAACATAATATTGACGAATAACATAATGTTATAATGTGATGTCTCTGAAGGGCAGTGTGAAAAGATATTTCACTCAACAGGTAAAGGATTACTGGAATACTGGAAGAAAAACTGCTTATTTCAGGTTTTTTTTTTTAATTGGCAAACAAGCGATTTATGTAAGCTAGAAAAATAAGACATAAAGTAAGTAAAAAAAAAAAAAGTTACCATTATTAAGTTGGTATTTAAATAACCATCAAAAGGAATGGCCTATTTTAAGCACAGGCAAAATGACTCAAAGCAATTGAAATTGCCAAATCTGTTCGAATAGACCCATAATAGATTTTTCAAGACTTCAAGATTTTGATGTTCAAAAGAAGATGATGTTTCAAATAAAGATTTTCAATAATACAGAAAGATTATGGCATACATATTTTTATCGCTAAAATAAATAAATAAATAAATACCAGATGGCTTTCAAGAGGAACTGTTTAAAACATGAAAAAAAGCAATCCAACTAAGGAAAACAAATGGAGATATCAGTGCAATACTATAAGATAAAGTCCTACCTTTCACTTTATTTCAATTTTACCTCACAGTTTGCCTCTGAAAATTTTAAATTCTTCCTACCTTATGATGAAAATTATTATTTCTTGGTACACTACCACAGTGTATTTCTTTTGATAAAGAAAAATAATCTTATAATTTTCACAGACAATTTTGGTAATCACAACATATTTCTATAAAATAAGCCAATCATCTAGGGAAGAATAAATCCAAAATCTGGAAAACTAGAAGATGCAGTTAGTTTTATTATTACTATTATTATTATTGCAGGAACACTTAACATCAGATCTACCAGCTCTTAAAAAGTTTTAAGTGTACAATACCATATTGTTAACTCTAGGCAAGATGATGTACAAATCTCTAGAAAACCTGAGCTTTGTTCCAGTCGAATGGCAACTTCCTATTTTCCCCTCTCCCAAGCCCTTAGTCACAATCATTCCGGTCTCTGAATTTTCTGTTTGACAATTTTATATACCACATATAAATGTACTACATATAAATTATTATTTTAAAAGATATATTTTTCATCCTCATTAGTTTTCTTTCACCTGTTTTCCTAAACAAAACTTACTATACTAATATACTCAGGGATATTAAACATATCCTATTTTAGTAAATGACTAAATTACAATGTCCTTGAGCTATTTTGGTGCTACAAGGCAAATGTTTTCTACCCAGTCTTTCAAGAACAACTCAAATTCAGAAGTAAGTCCATTTGGAATATTCTAAATTTCAAATATCACTCTGTGGCTCATTCAGCACATAATTTAAAAAGAAAAATATATACATATCATTAAAACATTGTTGTATTAATTATTTTTATCTGAAGATGGCAGTTACAGAAAAATCTAACCATTATATAATCCACATAGATGTCCATGCTTGTAACAAAAATATTTTAAAAAGAAAAAAACCTAGTTTTTTGGCCTGGGCTATGAGATGAGATGACAAAGGGAACATCAATATTTAGAATGTGTCACAAGAAAACAGGCATGTTGTGTTGCCATTATGGTTTTAATGGTTTCCACCTGTTAAAATGAGGTTAACCTGCTAACCACAAACAAAAGTATTAATGTAACTGCAATATGAAGGCTAAACAACAAAATGCTATCGGTACTGGCTGAATAAAGCACCTAAAATTTGTGTATCGCAGATTCAGGCACAGGTGCTCTGCAGGAACAACATAATGCCAAGAGGCAGCTGTTGCAGCACCCAGTTCATATTAAATATTTCAGAGACTAAGTAAAATTGACAGTTAAAAAATATTTTTTAAATGTGTGTGTGTGTGTATCTTCAAAGTACTCTGAAATGATTTCTTACCTTCCACTTATATATGACATATTAACTTAGAGCATCAGACTCATATTGGAATAAAAATACATTAAAATTTGATGTCTAAATCCTGTTAAAATTTATCTGCCATTTTTATTTAAATTCAAAGACCTAAGTGATCATAAACGATTATCATTATCATTAAACAGATTTTTATTTGTTTACTATTCTTCATGGTCAGAATAATATTGTATATATTTATTCTGAGATGTAAGTACAGTTTTAAAGTTCTCTTTAGAAAATTGTAAATAACACATTATTTTCCCTTAAACTTCTTTAACATATTTAAGATACTATCAGTTAAATTGCTCAGAGAACATCATCCCATGTTAGTATCAGTTTAAGATAAGACAATTAAACAAGTAAATCTCAACAGATATCAATTAATGCATTCCAAAGCACATATTGGTAATTCTATGACCATATTGCTCGAGCACGTTTGCTTTGTTTGTTCATTTCTCAGTTCTATTATAACATCGCTTATAATGTTATTTCATAATTTCATTGGTTATGTGTCACCTGATGAAGCTTCGTAGTCTTCTTCCTTTGGAGAGGCATACAAGTAATAGAATAAGTGTGGGGCAGCTAGTTATTATACAGATCTTAGAACAAGTGACCCATAAACTGAGCAACATGTCAACCACTTATTAGTTTAAAATTCCTCAAGAGTGTCCTATCATCTCATTTTAAATTTTTCTCACTTCCATTTAATAGAGTTCTTTAGGTTCTGATAATGGAAAATTCTTTCATACAAATTTTAGGCATAAAAACTGAAAAAAGAAAAATAATCCACTAGGTTCACCGACTCTTTGGAAGCTCATTAGGAAATGCTTTCATTCTTATTATTTCTTATTATTTTGTTCTCAAGTCAAAATCTACAAAGCATTTAATATAAGTGATACATATTAATATGTCAATATACTGTCTGTGGTATTTGAGACCTAGTTAGCATTTTTATTGAACTTCTGTGTTAACATTTTCAGAAACTGACTGTTATTAATTACCAATTTAAATCCATATTTTGATACCATGGTCACTATTAAATGGGTCATTTCAGCGGTAATAGCCATTCCTAAGAGCAATACTTGAATTTCAGCAGATTTCAGTGTTAATAATTAAAGTGTGCATGTACCACAACCTATTTGTCATGGTAACTAGACAGCCTAAGACATTAACATGATTCTGCTCTGATGAAAGACACCATTCCATTCCATTGCTATTTTCAAAGCAATTCACTTTTCTTAATTTAGTCTAATTAAAGGATACTGGTTATTTACCTGGCATATAAAAGTAATAATTCCATATCTTAACAGTAATCTGGGGAGGTATGATTGCTAAATGTGCTTGTTCACTCTGTAGGAAATATCACATCTAATTTATTGTAGTTGTTTTGTTAGTTCTGCAAAATCTACTATCACTGGCATCATTAAAGGACTAACAGCATTCCTCTGTGCATATTCATCTTCAAGGACTTTCAAATGTAAAATCTGCAAATTTCTTCTCTCCATCTCTTAATTTCCTACAGTTTACATTGTATCTCAAAGAGATAACTAACACACTTGAGCAGCATGTTATGAGTTAGCAGCTCTGAGATCATAGTTCTGTCTTGATTATTCTGGCTATGGGATCTAAAAAAACTTACTTATCCTCCCTGAACCATAGTTTTCTCTCAAGTATTATATAAACTGTTCTCCTTCTGGCTTTGAAATTCTGTAAGGCTACTCCTATAATAAAAGATAGAATTAAATAAAAAGTGTCTAACTCTAGAAAATGTACTTTGAAGTCATACGATACACATCATTATATTAATATATTAATATAATATGTTTTCTTTGAGATATGTTACTATTGAGGCACTGACATATAAAAGTAATAGGCACTATGGCATTATTGAGGGCAGACATTGTGAAATTTTTAATCAGATCCCTGAAAGTAGAAAGCCATATCTCTACTGAAAAGAACATGTTGGATTGTAAAATTGTGCCTGTTACTACTAGTGAGTGAAGGGAATGGCATTGTTGTCTATCTGGCTTCATGACCCTGGCCTCCTCCTGAGGGAATTAAAATTTTGTTAATGTATAAATTCCTCACTCATCCATATGCTTCATTAGAAGCTGATGTCAACCCTACCATAAGGGGTGGTCTTGAATGGGTTAAGACACAGTTTGAGACATGGTTTGAGACCTTGGCACTATTAATATTTTCCATCTGGGTATTTATTCATTGTGGGCAGGAGCTGATCCGTATTTTATAGAATTTTTAGCGCCATCCCTGGCCTCTGTCCACTGGATGCCAGTAGTGGTGTCATAATTGTGATAACCAAAAAAAAAAGGCTCCAGATATTGTCAAATGTCCCTTCCATGGCAAAATCATTCCCAATGGAGAACCAGTTTAAGGATATGGAACCAAAAAAGAGACCACATTGCCAAGAAAATCATAAGCCAAAAGAACAAAGCTGGAGGCATCACACTACCTGACTTCAAACTGTATTACAAGGCTACAGTAACAAAAATAGCACGGTACTGGTACCAAAACAGAGATATAGACCAATGGAACAGAACAGAGCCCTCAGAAATAATACCACACATCTACAACCATCTGATCTTTGACAAACCTGACAAAAACAAGAAATGGGGAAAGAATTCCTTATTTAATAAATGGTGCTGGGAAAACTGGCTAGCCATATGTAGAAAGCTGAAACTGGATCCCTTCCTTACACCTTATACAAAAATTAATTCAAGATGGATTAAAGACTTAAATGTTAGACTTAAAACCATAAAAACCCTAGAAGAAAACATAGGCAATACCATTCAGGACATAGGCATGGGCAAGGACTTCAGGTCTAGAACACCAAAAGCAACGGCACTAAAGCAAAAATTGACAAATGGGATCTAATTAAACTAAAGAGCTTCTGCACAGCAAAAGAAACTACCATCAGAGTGAACAGGCAACCTACAGAATGAGAGAAAATTTTTGCAATCTACTCATCTGACAAAGGGCTAATATCCAGAATCTACAAAGAACTCAAACAAATTTACAAGAAAAAAACAACCCCATCAAAAAGTGGGCAAAGGATATGAACAGACACTTCTCAAAAGAAGACATTTATGCACCCAACAGACACATGAAAGAATGTTCATCATCACTGGCCATCAGAGAAATGCAAATCAAAACCACAATGAGATACCATCTCACACCAGTTGGAATGGCAATCATTAAAAAGTCAGGAAACAACAGGTGCTGGAGAGGATGTGGAGAAATAGGAACACTTTGACACTGTGGGTGGGACTGTAAACTAGTTCAACCATTGTGGAAGACAGTGTGGCAATTCCTCAAGGATCTAGAACTAGAAATACCATTTGACCCAGCCATCCCATTACTGGGTATATACCCAAAGGATTATAAATCAAACTGCTATAAAGACACATGCACATGTATGTTTATTGTGGCACTATTCACAATAGCAAAGACTTGGAACCAAGCCAAATGTCCATCAATGATAGACTGGACTAAGAAAATGTGGCACATACACACCATGGAATACTATGCAGCCATAAAAAAGCATGAGTTGATGTCCTTTGTAGGGACATAGATGAAGCTGGAAACCAGCATTCTCAGCAAACTATCGCAGGGACTAAAAACCAAACATCACATGTTCTCACTCATAGGTGGGAGCTGAACAATGAGAACACTTGGACACAGGAAGGGGAACATGGCACACTGGGGCCTGTTGTGGGGTGGGGGGAGGGGGGAGGGATGGCATTGGGAGATATACCTTTATGAGTTGGTGGGTGCAGCACACCAACATGGCACATGTATACATATGTAACAAACCTGCACGTTGTGCACATGTACCCTAGAACTTAAAGTATTTAAAAAAAAAAAAGTGGTGTCAGAGATAGGCTGCTGGGGACACACAACTAAGGAAATCGGAGAATTAGAAACATTAAATCTTGACTGGGCATGGTGGCTCACCCCTGTAATCCCAGCACTTTGGGAGGCCGAGGTGGGCAGATCACCTTAGGTCAGGAGTTGAAGACCAGCCTGGCCAACAAGGCGAAACCCTGTCTCTACTAAAAATATAAAGGTTAGTTGGGCATGGTGTTGGGCACCTGTAATCTCAGTTACTCGGGAGGCTGAGGCAGGAGAATTGCTTGAACCCTGGAGGTGGAGGTTGCAGTGAGCCAAGATTGCACCACTGCACTCCAACCTGGGTGACAAGAGCAAGACTCTGTCTCAAAAAAAATAAATAAATAAAATAAGAAAAACATTAAATCTTATTATTGTCACAAATATTTTCTAATCCTTTCTCTCAGTTGGACAAGTCTATGCTAATGATGCTGTGATTGTGGATGAAATCTTCATGTGCACCAGTAGGTTTTCGCATTTTAAGCCAAGGATAAATGCTGCCTGTGCAGATCACAGACTGATAGCTGTTGCTAGATCAGCACTAAATAGTCTCTCCTACAATTAAAATAATATCTCAAAGCACATGTCTTATTGATAGTACATGGGTAGTGGTGCCTTCATCTATGAAAGACTGTTTTGCATACTAAGGTTGTTTTCAATAAAAAAAAAAAAAAGGATATTCTAACTCTCTTTGTCAATGTTTGACTCCAAATGGTCAAAGAATCATATTAATATAAGAAGTCCTTGGGAAAGATTCTAGGGAGAATTTCAGCACTTCCAAGAAAGGGTAATGGGGAAAAGCTACTTCTCTTCTTCCTCTGACTATTGTAATATCTGGATATGATATCCAGAACTGCTGCAGCCAATATTCTGTAAATCTTAGGATAAAGCCAATGTGATGGATGCTGAGGTAAAAGCCAGAAAGACTATACCAAAACTACTTATTTTATTTTTATTTTATTTATTTTTCTTTGGACTTTGCAAAATAAAAGAAATACTATTTAGTTACCAAAAGTCAATTGAATTAACATTAACTTGAAAATCCATGACTTATATATATGACTAATTCTGAAACATATTTTATCTCTATAAAGTCCGAGAACTAGCAAATGCTATAGGTTGGTGCAAAGTAATTGCGGTTTTCACAATTCCTTTTAATGGCAAAAAATAGTTTGAGCTAAGTCTAATTAAGCTTTCAGTATTAACTTATGATGTAGAGATGATTTTTTTCCCACAGCTTTGATAGTTGATTTTTTTCCCTCAGATAACAGCTGTTTTCAATCTGACTTCACGGTTTGTAACTTACTTTTCTGTATTAGTTCTAACATGTATTGTTCAAATTCAGATATATCACAAGTCAGTCTACCATAACAACATGAATCATAACTTTTCATGGTCTCTAGGCTTAAAAAATGAATTTTAAGGAAGAAGAAATTCCCTTGTCTATTGAGTAAATTGTGACCTTTAACTTAAAAGAAGTACTTACTCCCCAGAAGATGATATTTTTCATCTTTTTTATTCCAAGTGAATGAAGAATATAAAAATTTACTTTTCCTGTTCCTAAAAAGATTATCCTTTTTGTTTTTAAATAATACAATTTATTTCATTGTCTCATAAAATGATCCCTTGTTAAGAAATTTCTGGCTCATCACCTAGTTGATGCAGAAGTCTAACATGAAATCTCAGGAATGTGCAAATTCAGATGCACAATCCCTTCTTCCTCAAACCTTACCTTCATCCAATGTGTGTGACAACTCAGACATGTTCATGAATTTGTTGCAGAAGACCTCAAAATTATATTTTTAACTTCATTATTACCGTTTTGCTTGAAAACCTCTTACATAGGATAATCATTTTCAAAAACTAGCATGGATGTTAGATTTGAAATTCCAGTCGTATTAAATGTTTACATCTGTTCTGATCCCATCTTATTCTTCCCTTTAGTGCCCCAACACCAACAATTTTTTTGTCATGCAGGACTTCCGTGCAATGATGCTACTTTTCATATCTTTTCCTTCTTTGATAACCTCTCTTCTTTCCTATATACAATAAATATTATGATCACTGATTATAACTCCTTACTAAATACTATTAGATTCCTTGCTCCATCTCACTTTGCCATACCTGCTTGACAAAATCAGCGTTTTAGTTACATCTAAATGTAGGCTACTCTGACTCTGCACTAATGCAGCAAAATGTGAATACCACCCATAAATAATTTCATTTGGTTTCACTTTATTGTATTTCATAAATATTGTTGTTTTGTAAGTTGAAAGTTTGTAACACACCTCTGCTAAGCAAATAACTCAGTGACATTTTTCAAATAGCATGTGCTTGCTTTGTATCTCTGTGTCACATTTTGGCAATTTTTACAATATTCAAACTTTTCATTCTTGTAATATATGTTATGTTGATCTGTAATGGTGATCTTTGATGATACCATTATAATTATATTGGGCCACCATGAACTGTGCACCAATAAGACTGCAAACCTAGTTCATAAATATTGCATGTGTTCTGACTGCTCCACCAACCTGCTTTTCACCTCTCTCCCTCTCCTCAGGCCTCCATATTTCCTGAAACACACAACAGTATTGAGATTAGGCCAATTAATCACACTGCAATGGCTGCTAAGTGTTCAAGTGAAAGGAAAAATCACACATCTCTCACTTTAAGTCAAAAGCTAGAAAGGTCACCGACATCTAACCTGGTTATAGGTTATTGGTGAAGAAGGGAGTTAGGGCCCTGCCTGAAGGCAGAAACCCAGTTGAGTGGCAGAGCACCAAGGTCCTACTGCTCGATCTATTGAGTGATGACCCCATAAAGGTCACTTCTCTGATAGCTTCAGTTTTCTCACAACTGAATTGTACAGATTAAAAGTTGGTCTTTCAGCTCTGACATCCTATGGCTGATATGGTCTGGCTCTGTGTCTCCACCCAAATCTCACCTTGAATTGTAACAATCCCTACATGTTGTAAGAGGGACCTGGTGGGAGGTAATTGAAGCATGGGTGTGGATTTTTCCCATGCTGTTCTTGTGATGTGAATAAATCTCACTAGATCTAATGGTTTCATAAAGGGGAGTTCCCCTGCACATGCCCTCTTGCCTGCCACCTTGTAAGATGTCTTTTTGCTCCTCCTTTGACTTCTGCCATGATTGTGAGGCCTCCCCAGCCATGTGGAACTGTGAGTCAGTTAAAACCCTTTCCTTTACAAATTACCCAGTCTCAGGTATGTCTTTACTGGCAGCATGAGAACAGACCAATACAGTAAATTGGTACCAGGTAGTGAGGCGCTGATGTAAAGATATCCAAAAACATGGAAACAACTTTGGAACTGGATAACACGCAGAGGTTGGAAGAGTTTGGAGGCCTCAGAAGAAAACAGGAAGATGTGGGAAAGTTTGGAACTTCCTAGAGACTTGTTGAATGGCTGATCACAAAGTGCTGATAGTGATATGAGCAAGAAGTTCCAGGCTGAGGTGGTCTCAGCAAAAGATGAGGAATTTGTTGGGAACTAGAGCAAAGGTGACACTTGTTATACTCTAGCAAAGAGACTGATGACATTTTTTCCCTGTCCTAGAGACGTGTGGAACTTCGAACTTGACAGAGATGATTTAGGGCATCTGGCAGAATAAATTTCTAAGCAGCAAAGTGCTCAAGAGATTACTTGGGTGCTATTAAAAGCATTCAGTTTTATTTATTCACAATGGTAAGGTTGAAATTGGAACTTATGTTTAAAATGGAAGGAGAGAGTAAAAGTTCAGAAAATATGCAGCCTGAGGATGCAATAGAAAAGAAAAACCCATTTTATGATTAGAAATAAAAGCTGGCTGCAGAAATTTGCGTAAGTAACAAGGAGCCAAATGTTAATCCCCATGACAGTAGGGAAAATGTCTTCAGGGCATGTCAGGGACCTTCCCGGCAGCCCCTCCCATCACAGGACTAGAGGCCTAGGAGGAAAACATGGTTTTGTGGGCTGGGCCCAGGGCCCCCTCCTGCAGCCTAGGGACCTGGTGCTGTACATTCCAGTCACTCCAGTTATGGCTTAAAGGGGCCAAGGTACAGCTGGAGCTGTGGCTTCAGAGAGCCCCAAGCCTTGGCAGTTTCCTTGTGATGTTGAGCCTGTGGGTGCACAGATGTCAAGAACTGAGGTTTGGAAACCTCTGCCTAGATTTCAGAGGATGTATGGAAACAGCTGGATGTCCAGGAATGCTTTTGCTATAGGGATGGGGCCCTCATGGGGAACCTCTGCAAGGGCAGGGAAACTGTGGGGTCAGAGCCCCCACACAGAGTCTCCACTGGGGCACTGCATAGTGGAACTGTGAGAAGAGGGCCACCGTCTTCCAGACACCAGAATGGTAGATCCACTGACAGCTTGCATCGTGCACCTGTCAGAAAAGCTGCAGATACTCAATGCCAGCCCATGAAGGCAGGCAGAAGGGGGGCTGTACCCTGCAAAGCCACAGAGGCAGAGGTGCCTGAGGTCATGGGAGCCCAAATCTTGCACCAGCATAACCTGGATGTAAGACATGGAGTCAAAGAAGGTCATTTCAGAGTTTTAAGATTTGGCTGCCCCATTGAACTTTGGACTTGCATGGGGCCTGCAACCTCTTTGCTTTGGACAATTTATCTCATTTGGAACAAATGGATTTACCCAATGCCTATACCCTCATTATATCTAGGAAGTAACCAACTTGCTTTTGATTTTACAGGCTTGTAGCCAGAAGGTACTTGCGTTGTCTCAGATGAGGTTTCGGACTTTTTGGTTAATGCTGGAATGAGTTAGTTAAGACTTTGTGGGACTGTTAGAAGGCATGATTGGTTTTGAAATCTAAGGACATGATATCTGGGAGGAGCTACGGGCAGAATGATATAGTTTGGCTCTATGTCCTGACCCAAATCTCACCTTGAATCGTAATAATCCCCATGTAGTGGGAGGGACCCAGGGGGAGGTAATTGGCTCATGGGGGCAGGTTTTTCCCCTGCTGTCCTCATGATGTGAATAAGTCTCATGAGATCTGATGGTTTTATAAACGGGAGTTCCCCTGCACATGCCCTCTTGCTTGGCACCTTATAAGACATGACTTTGCTTTTCCTTTGCATTCCATCATGATTGTGAGGCTTTTCTAGCCATGCAGAACTGTGGTCAATTAAACCGCCTCCCTTTATAAATTACCCCATCTCAGGTATGTCTTTATTAGCAGTGTGAGAACAGACAAATACAGTGGCTGACTATAGACATCAGATTTCAGTTCTTCTCTAAAAAAATGATCAAAGTTACTGGTGAATGGGAAAGTTCTGAAAAAAAAAAAAAAAAAAAACTGAAGGAAGACAGCCAGAAACTGTAGGACTGCCCATGGGAAAAAGCTGGGGCAAAGAAGAGAAAAGCCAAAACAGTCTGCCAGAGATCAAAACCAGAGAAACTCAGATCCTCATGGAAAGGATAGGTAGGAATGCTTTTCTGCTGCCTTCACCACTGTGAAAATCTGATGACCATTAAACTGGTCGGACCCCCTGTGTCCTTTTGACCCAGGGCATTAACACTGATGGTGCAACTTGAGAAATTCCCGAGAACAAACCAGGTAGCCAGTTGTGTGCCCACACTCCTCTCAGACCCAAACTGAGATAGTTGGTGCTATACTGGTTATGCCCTCATAGTAGGGTACTGCTCTGCCCAGGGTTTATCTGCCTTTGAGTCATCACACCACCAGATCTCCCACAAATATACCCCACAACTCACTCTCACCTTGGAAAGCACAGAGGACCAGTGGGTACCTGAGAAACTCCCTCTGTGTAAGCTGCCCCTAAGGGAGGGGAAAACAAAGCCTGCCAAAGCCCCCTTAGGGACAAAGAAAATGTGTGCATACCACCAATCTACAAAGGAAAAAGCACCAACTCCTAGGAACAAACATGGAGAGAGTAGACATCTTGCACCTCCTCCCTATACCCTGATACAGATACAACAGTGGTTTTTCTTGCTGGGGGCTGGCACATTTACACTTCGAGAAAGCATTTTTCATACTTTTTGTGGTGGCTTCACCCCTGCTGAAAGTGAGTCCATGCTGCTTGGGCTTATATGAAGGGTGTGGCCCAATTCCCCTTCTCTACACAAAGCAGCAGCATCCCTGCAATGGAGGATGGATACCTCACAGAGCTGCCTGCTCTGGACTGGAGGAAGAGGCTCTGTCCCATGCGCATTTTAGTGGTAGCCATAAAAGAAGAATATCTATTACCCTCACCTGCACTGTGGCTGGGAAATAAAGGAATAATTCTTTATAAACTGGTTGTCACAAGCCCTGCGATGGGACACAATAGGGAAGCAGATTGCATTTCTGCTGGCTCAGGAAAAGAAGCCAGCTCCTGGCTTCTTCCCTTGAGAGCTCAGAGCAACCCAAAATTATCTTTTTCTGCCACCCTCCCAATGGTGCTTCCATTTATCATCAGCCTAAGGGTGAGCCAGCTCTTAGTCCAAAGCACCATCAACTGTACTGCAGCCTGAACTGTACCCCCAAATAAAAACCCTACTGCCAGAAAAGCTTAGTGCTACTCCATGAATAAGCTTCTTGAGACTTCTATACATTCAGCCCTATAGGAGTTTGTATATCCGTGCATATGTCCAATATGTTGCTGCAATAAGCAACATCTGAGAAAACACTGTACAAAAGCTATCCACAACCCACAGAACATGTACAGATCCTTAGCCAACTAAACATATCCAAACATGAAGACAAATAATCATATGCAACATATATCACAGTTACAACCTCAAAGGAAGAAAGAATTTTAAAATATATAAAAGTTACATCCAAATGATAGCAAATTCAAAAATAAGAAGCAACATTTTCCTCAGATGAGAAGGAATAGCATAAGAACTCTGGCAGTACAAAGAGCCAGAGTATGTTGACACCCCCAGATGATCACACTAGTTTTATAGCAATGTATCCTAACTAACCTGAAAAGTCTGAAATGACAGACAGGAAATTCAAAATATGGATTGTGAAGATACTCAATGAGATCCAACATAAAGTTGAAATCTAACATAAAGAAACAAGAAAAGTGATTCAGAATGTGAAGGACAAGATAGCTATATTTGACCAAAAAAATAGAAATTCTGATATTGAACACTTCCTTAAATTTTTTTCAAAATAGAGCTGGAAGCTTTAACAATAGGCTGGACCAAAAAGAATGAATTTCAGAGCTTGAAGACCACTCTTACAAATTAACTCCATCAGAAAAATTAAAAAATAAAAAATAAAAAATAAACAAGACTTGGAGGAATATGGGATTATATAAAATGACCAACTCTATGGTTTATTGGTGTTCCTGAATGAGAAGAAAAAATAGTAAGCAATTTGGAAAACATATTTGAGGAAATAAGTCAGTAAAACATCCCTAACCTTGCTAGACAGGTTAACATCCCAACAGAAGAAATTCAGAGAACATCCGCAAGATACTATATAAAATGACCATCCTCAAGGCATATAATCATCAGACTATCCAAGATGTGTGTGAGACAAACATCTCTTAAAGGCTAGAGAAAAGAGCCAAATTGCCTTTAAAGGAAATACCATCAGACAAACAGCATATTTCTCAGCAGAAACTTTGCAAGCCAAAACAGATTGTGGATCTATTTTTAGCCCTTTTAAGGAAAAAAACTTGCCAGCAAAAAATGTCATATGCTGCCAAACTAAATTTCAAAAGCAAAGGAGAAATAAAATCTTTCCCAGACAAGCAAATGCTAAAAGAATTTGTCACCACCGGACCAGCCTTACAAGAAGGGCTCAAAGCAGTTCTAAACATGGAAACAATAGAATAACACCACATAAGAACATAAGAGCACGTAAATACAAAGCTTACAAATCCTATATAGCAATTACACAATTCAGATCACAAAGCAACTAACAACACTCTGAAAGGTACAAGATCTCACATATAAATATTAATATTGAATGTAAATGGGCTAAATATTCTACTTAAAGCCATAGAGTGGTGAATTAGTTTTTTTTTTGTTGTTTGTTTTGTTTGTTTGTTTGATTTTAAATGGCCCGACCTTCTGCTGCATTTGAAAGACCCATC
Source organism: Homo sapiens (assembly GCF_000001405.40). Taxonomy (NCBI): domain Eukaryota; kingdom Metazoa; phylum Chordata; class Mammalia; order Primates; family Hominidae; genus Homo; species Homo sapiens. Next base: position 68,319,239 of record NC_000013.11, on the reverse strand, counting down.
TCATGTGTAATGATAGCCACAGGCTCAAAGGAAAGGGATGGATAAAGATCTATTATACAAATGGAAAACAAAAAAGAGCAGCTGTAGCTATTTGCTGTATTAGATAAAACAGACTTTAAAACAACAACAGTAAAAAGAAAAAACGAAGACAAAGAAGGGCATTTACAATGATAAAGGTTTGAATTGAACAAGATTTAATCAACTTAAAAATATACATGACCAACATTGGAGTACAAAGATTTCTAAAACAAATACTATTAGAACTAAGAAAAGAGATACACATCCATACAATAATAGTGAGGAACTTCAACACTCTGCTGATGTCTCTAGACACATCATCAAGGCAGAAAACTAACAAACTCTGGATTTAACTGGACTCTTGACCAGTTGGATCTAATAGGCATCTACAGAATACTCCACCCAATTACCACAGAACATACATTTTTCTCATCTGCACAAGAAACACTCTAAAATAGATCACATGCTTGGTCATAGAGCAAGTCTCAATAAATTTAAAAAAATCACAAACATAGCAAGCATATTCTTGGACCACAGCAGAATAAAATTAGAAATCAATACCTAGAAGAACTCTCAAAACCTCAACTATATGGAAACTAAATAACTTGCTACTGAATGATTTTTGAGTAAATGACAAAATTAAGATAGAAATAAAAAACGCTTTTGAAACAAATAAAAATAGAACATGTCAAAACTACTGAAACACAGCAAAAGCAGTGTTAATGTAGCATTAATGCCTACATTAAAAATATAGAAATATCTCAAATTAACAACCTAACATTGCACCTAAAGGAACTAGAAAAACAAGAACAAACCAAACCCAAAGGTAGCAGAAGAAAATACAAATTCAGAGCTGAACAAAGTAAAATTGAGACCAAAAATAAAACTTCCAAAAAATCAACAGAATGAAAAGTTTGTTCATTGAAAGAATAAACAAAATTGATATACTGCTAGTTAGATTAACCAAGAAAATACTGAGAAGATTTAAATAAGCAGAATTAGGAATGACAAAGTTAAAATTATAACTGATAGCACAGAAATACACAAAAAATCCTCAAAGACTACTATGAATATTTCTAGGCATAAAAACTAGAAAACCCAAAGAAATGACGACATTTCAGGGAATATGCCACTCTTAACATTGAACCAAGAAGAAACGGAAATCCTGAGAAGATCAATAATGAGTTACTAAATTGAAACAATAATAACCATTTACCAACCCCCAAAAAAAGCCCTGGACTAGACAAATTCAGAGCAAAATTCTACCAGATGCATAAAGAGCTGGTATCAATCTTGCTGAAACTATTCCAAAAAATCAAGGGATTGCTCCTTAAATCATTCAACAAAACCAGTATCATCCTGATACTAACATCTGCCAAGGAGAAAACAAAAGAGGAATGCTACAGGCTAATATCCCTGATGAACATAGACACAAAAATTCTCAACAAAATACTACCAAGCCAAATCCAGTAGCACATGAAAAAAGATAATTTATCATGAGCAAGTGGGATGCAAGGGTGATTCAACATACACAAATCAGTAAATGTGATTCACCACATAAACATAATTCAAAACAAAAACCATGTGATGATCAAACTATCCACAACATCCCCTTTACCTAAAGCCTAATATAGAGACAGTACCTAACTCTCTTCAATTTCATGAAGGCCAAGGGAGGTGAAGAAACTACAGAACACAAGTTTGAAGCTAGAAGAGGTTATTTCATGAGGCTTAAAGAAACAAGCCATCTCCATAACATAAAATGCAACGTTAAGCAGCAAGTGCTTATGGAAAAACTACAGCAAATTATTCAGAAGAATTAGTTAAGATAATTGATGAAGGTGGCTAAACTAATCAACAGGTTTTCAATACAGACAAAACAGCCTTCTATTGGAAGCAAACAGCATCTAGGACATTCATGGCTAAAAGGAAGTCACTGCCTCATTTCAAATCTCCAAAGACAGGCGAATTCTCTTGTTTGGAGCTAATGAAACTGGTGACATTACCAATGCTCCTTTACCATTCTGAAAATCTTCAGGCCCTTAAACATGCTAAATCTACTCTGCCTGTGCTCTGTAAATAGTACAACAAAACATAGATGAAAACATACCTGTTTACAGCATGGTTTACTGAAATTTTAAGCCCACTGTTGAGCTCTACCGCTCAGACAGAAATGTTCCTTTCAAAATATTACTGTTCATTGACAATGCACCTGGTTACCAGGAGCTCTGATGCAGATGTATAAGGAGATTAATGTCGTTTTCATGCCTGCCAACACAACATCCATTCTGTAGGCCATGGGTCAAGAAGTAATTTTGACTTTTGCATCTTAATATTTAAGAAATAGAGTTTGTAAGTCTATACCTTCCATAGACAGTGATTCCTCTGACAGATCTCAGCAAAGTGAATTGAAAAACTTTTGGAAATAATTCACCATTCTAGATAACATTAGGAATATTTGTGATTCATAGAAATGTTAACAGGAGTTTAGAAGAAGTTGATTACAATCCTCATGGATGACTTTAGGGGTTCAAAATTAAAGTGAAGAAAATAACTGCAGAGGTAGTGGAAATAGTGAGAGAACTAGAATTAGAATTGAAACCTGAAGATGTGACTGAATTGCTGTAATCTCATGATCAAACTTGAATGGATAAAAGTTACTTCTAATCAATGAGCAAAGAAAGTAGTTTCTTGAATTGAAATCTACTCCTGGTGAAGATGCTGTGAACATTGTTGAAGTGACAAGACATAATTCAGAATATTATATACATTTTATTGATAAAGCATTTGCACAGTATGAAATGATTGACTCCAATTTTGAAAAAGTGCTACTGTGCATAATATGTTATCCAACAGCATTGCATCCTACAGAGAAATCTTTCAGGAAAGGAAGAATCAATTCAAGTGACAAACTTCATTATTTTCTTATTTTAGGAAATTGTCACAGGCATTCCAAACTTAAGCAACTACGACCCTAATCAGTCTGCAGCTATTAACACTGAGGCAAGATCTTCCAACAGCGATAATATTACTACTCACTGAAGGCTCAGATAATTGTTATCACTTTCTAGATATAAGGTATATTTTAATTAAGTTATATACATTGATTTTTTAGACATAATGTTATTGCACTTAACAGATGAGGTTATAGTGTAAACATATTTTTCTATGCACTGGGAAACCAAAACGTTCATGTAACTTGCTTTATTGTGATATTAACTTCATCACAGTGGTCTGGAACCAAACCCACAATATCTCTAAGGTATGCCTGTGTATAAAACACTCAACCACCTTATCTGTTCTTTCTTTAATTGTATTATCGTGAACGTCAAGTGAACACTGAATGCTGCACACTTGCCACACTGCATTTGTTTATTCCATTCTCTTCTCTACCATATTTGAAAAAGATTTTATATTATTTCCCCAAACATTAATCACCTCCTCCTCTATCCTGCTCTCAGGTGGCAACTTTGTTTCCTACTTTCCCAAGATAATGAAATAGAAGATTTAAAAAAAAAATGTCCACTACCACTTTTGTCCACCATCTAACATCATCAATTATCCATCCCCTTCAAAATTGTTCATTTGGCATTCTTGTACATCTAAAGTAATGGGTGCTATGGCTTTTATTTGTTCCCCAAAGTTCATGTATTGGAAACTTAATCTCCAGTGCAACTGTGTTGAGAGGTGATGCCTAATAAGAGATTACTGGTCATCAAGGCTCTGTTTAATGTCATTATTATGGCATCACGTAAGTTATAGTGAGGGTGTGTAGTTATAAAGCAAGTCCATCCCCTGGTACCTCTCTGTCTTATGCGATCACTTTCACTTTCTACCCTTTCATCATAAGACAAAACTCGCCAGATGCTTGCACTATGCTCTTGGACTTTCCAGCCTCCAGAATAGTGAGCTGTATAAACTTCTGTTCTTTATATATTACCCGATCTGTAGTACTCTGTTATAAAAGCAGAAATGAAATGAATACAATGGCAAATCCATACTGTCTGTTGATTAGTCTCAAAACCCTGAAGTCATTTGACAGTTCCTTTCTTTCTCACACCTTGCATTGCCTTCTTCAGGATTTCTTATTTTCAAAACACATACAGATTCTGATCCCTAATTATCATCTCAACGTCCAGCAGCTCATTTTCTCACTGTATTACTGAAATAACATCCAGCATACTTTCATGCTTCTATCCTCCTTCTAGGTATTTTATTTTCAAATCAGCTTCTATAGATGTTCTTATATAAATCTCCCTTGGACTCTATGAACTGCTCCAATTTCTGCCCAATAAATTCTTTTTGCATACTTTATCTTTTCTTTTCATGAATTGAAATAAGTTATTTCTTTCAAACAACTGTCTTACTGAGCTCTTTTAGTGTTTATTCAAAAGATTTTTCTATTTTTATTTCTCTAGTTCTAATTCGCCTGCACACATTTCTAGGAAAAATATTTTATTATGTGTTTTACAACATTGCAGGCCTTCAGCTATGTTTTCATAATTAGTAGAAAGTATTTTCTTTTTTAATATTCACCAATATCAAGTAAAATTTGTATACAAATAAAAACTTCATTTAATTTCACTTGGATAAGATTTGTTTTTATTATTTTACTTTTATTTTAGTTTTGGGGGTATGTGTGATTTGTTACATGGGTAAATTGTGTGTTGTTGGGTTTTGCTGTATGAATGATCTTGTCACCTAGACAGGGAGCACATTACCCAACATTTTTTCAACCATTTCCCCACTTCTTCCCCGCTCCAGTAAGTAGTCCCCAGTGTCTGTTGTTCTCATTGTTGTGCTCATATGTACTCAATGTTTAGCTCCATTTATTTATAAGTGAGAACATACAGTATTTGGTTTTCTGTTCCTGCATTAATTGACTTAGGATGATGTCCTCCAGCTGCTTCCATGTTGCTGCAAAGGACATAATTTTGCTCTTTTTTATGACTCCATAGTATTCCATGTTGTATTTCTACCATATTTTTCTTATTCAGTCCATAAATGATGGGTATCTAGGTTGATTCAATGCATTTGCTATTATGAATAATGAGACCATGAACATATGAGTGCATGCGTCTTTTTGGTAGAATGATTTACTTTCCTGTGGGTATATACCCAATAATGGAGTTGCTGGGTCAAATGGTAGTTATAAGTTCTTTGAGAAATTTTCAAACAGCTTTTCACAGTTGAACTAATTTACATTCCCACTAATAGTGTATAAGCATTCCCTTTTCTTTGAAACTTTGCCAACATCTACTATTTTTTGACATTTTAATAATGGCTCTTCTAACTAATATGAAATGGTTTTGATTTCCATTTCTCTTATGATTAGTGGTATGGAGCATTTTTTCATATATTTTTTGGCTGCATGCATGTCTTCTTTTGAGAAGTGTCTGTTTATGTCCTTTGTCCTTCATATAATGAGGTCAATTGGTTTTTGCTATTGTATTCTTTACATTCCTACAGATTTGAGATTTTAGACCTCTGTCAGATGCAGTTTGCAAATATTTTCTCCCATTCTGTAGGTTGTCTGTTTACTCTGTTGAAAGGTTCTTTTTCTGTGCAGAAGCTCTTTCATTTATTTAGTTCCCATTGTTTTGGGGGACTTAATCATAAATTCTTTATCAAGGCTAATGTCCAGAAAGGTATTTCCTAGACTTCCTTCTAAGATTTTTATAGTTTTATGACTTACAGTTAAGTCTTTAATCCATCTTGAGTTTATTCTTGTATAATGGTAAGTTTCTTTTCAGCATATGGCTAGCCAGTTATCTCAGCACCATTTTCTGAATAGGGTATCCTTTCTTCATTGTTCATTTTTGTCAACTTTGTCAAAAATCAGTTGGTTGTTGATATGTGACTTTATTTATGAGTTCTCTGTCATGTTCCATTGGTTTGTTTGTTTTTGTATCAGTACCATGCCATTTTGCTTACTGTAGCCTTGTAGTATAGTTTGAAGTTGGGTAGTGTGAAGCCTCTGACTTTGTTCTTTGTGCTTAGGATTCTTTGGCCATTTGGGCTATTTTTTGGTTCCATATGAATTTTAGAATAGTTTCTTTTTTTCTAATTCTGTGAAAAATGATGCTGGTAGTCTGACAGAAATAGCATCGAATCTGTAACTTGCTTTCAGTTGTATGACCATTTTAACAATATTGATTCTTCCTATCCATGAGCAGGTTTTCCCATTTGCTTGTGTTGTCCCTGATTTCTTTCAGCAGTGTTTAGTAATTCTTATTGTAGAAGTCTTTCACATCCCTGGTTGGCTCTATTCGTAGTTATTTTATTCTTTGTGTGGCTAGTGTAAGTGACATTATGTTCTTGATTTGGCTCTCAGCTCGAATGTTATTGATGTGTAGAAATGCTACTGCTTTTTGTATCCTAAACTTTACTGAAGTCATTAATCAGTTCTAGGAGACTTTTGGGAAAATCTTTAGGGTTTTATAGGTATTCTACCATATTGTCTGCAAAAAAAAAAAAAAAGATAATTTAACTTTCTCCCTTCCTATCTGGATGCATTTTATTCTTTCTTTTGTCTGATTACTCTGGCTAGGACTTTCTGTACTATGTTGAAGAGGAGTGGTCAGAATGGACATCCTTATCTGGTTCTAGTTATCCAGGGTAATGCTTCCAGTTTTTGCCCATTCAGTGTGATATTGGCTGTGGGTTTTTCATAGATGGCTCTTATTATTTTGAGGTATGTGCTTTCAATGCCTAATTTGCTGAATGTTTTTAACATGAAGGGATATTGAATTTTATTAAAAGCATTTTATGTGTCTATCATCACGATTATATGGTTTTTAAATATTCTGTTTATGTGGTGAATCATATTTATTGATTTGTGTATGTTGAACCAACCTTGCATCATAGAAATAAAGCTTACTTAACCATGGTAAAATAACTTTTTGATGTGCTGCTGGATATGGTTTGCTAGTATTTTGTTGAGGATTTTTGTGTCTATGTTCAACAAGAATACTGACCTAAAGTTTTCTTTTTTGTTGTGTCTCTACCAGGTTTTGGCACTAAAATGATGCTGGCTTTGTACAATTAGTTAGACAGGAGTCGCTCTTCCTCAAATTTTTGGAATAATTTTAGTAGTATTGGTAATAACTCTCCTTTGTACATCTGGTAGAATTCGAGTGTGAAACTATCTGGCCAAGGGTCTTTTTGCTCATTTGTTTGTTTGTTTGATTTGGTTGGTAGGCTATTTATTACTGATTCAATTTTGAAACTCATTATTGGTTCAGGATTTCAATTTCTTCCTGATTTAATATTGGAAGGTTGTGTGTTTCCAACAATTTATCCATTTCTTCTAGGTTCTCTAGTCTCTGGGCATAGAGGTATTCCAATGTCATAAAATGTGACAAATATTTATCTTTTCCTTACTAAATATTTAGTGAATACTTAGCCTGTGCCAGTACTGTGCTAGATTCTTGGAATATATTGGATATGTTGGTTTCAGTGTTTGATCATGTGATTTTTCTATTTTCATTTCTCTAGTTCTAATTCTAGAGAATGTATTCACTTACAGTGGGACAGTTTTATAAGTAAGATGTTTTACTAATTACAGTAGATTATATAATAAATATTAAGATTCATGTATTTCAGAGAATACTACAGTATCATGAAAGCTAATTTTTTAAAAGATGCCTTTTGAATTCCACGCTAAAAAGTGAATAGGACTTCATTAGCTACCGAGAGGAAGAACAGGAGGAAGGTCATTACGGGCAGGGAACAAATAAATGACACTATATCAGAAAGATGGCAAAGTTTGTAGGGAGATGGCAAGTGATTGAATGTGAGAGGCCAGCTATTCTATCTCATATCTGTTCTCTAGCAGCTATTCAAAGCTAAGTAGCATAATGAAAACTCTTTTTTTTGTTTCCTATCTAATTTCTTTATTGTTTTCAGAGATAACAGCCTGCATTTCTTCTCTGAATATTTTTTGTTATCTATTCCATGTTATATTCATTTATTATTTCAGATTATAGCTTTAACACAACAGTTTTCTGCATTCACAATGAAACACATGGCACTTCCCATAATCTTTACTGTTAATGCTCATAATTAGTCACTTTCCCTTTAATGGATTCACTAAAATTTAGCACTTTAATCACTGCAAAAGGACTGCCTACAAATAGCACAAAGCAAAATGGAAAAGTTGTAAGGCACAACCATTTTAACTGATGAAGGGGACAAAGGGAAATAAAATTCTCATAAGTTATGAACAAGTTGTTTTTTCATATCTCATTGACTTTATTATCATTAAATTTAAAAAACATTAATATTTAAGCTGCTATTTTATATCATATTATAATTGCATTGTATATCATTATGTCATATCATCCCAAAATATAGGTAAAACACCTACTTAGCATCTGAGAGAGTAAAACTACCAATTCCCCCAGTAAAAGAAATCTGTAAAAAGAAAAACTGTACCATAAAGTTTGTCTGTTCTGCATCTTCTGAAATTTGAGTTTCAGATTATTGTAGTCCTCCTGATAAATGTATAAAATGTACACTAAGATAAGAAACAAGAGGCAGAACTATACAATGTTAATTAGAAAGTAACCAAAAATATTGGGCTCAATCTCTGGCTCTAAATCTTACTATAAGTATAATCTTTGGTAATCACTTAATATTTCTACGTGTTTTGAATGTGTAAAAATAATGATAAACTTCCTCTTCATCATAATCATCACTATAATTATATCATAGAATTTTATACAGTAAACATTTTACATTGTGGCACCCATTATTTTTCTCCTTTATGCATATGGTCCTTTTCTACTCTTTCACCCATACTTCTCTTCACCAAAATAAATAGATGAAGTTAAATCAATTAACACAAATATATCAGTAATCAATTAGTATTTTTTAAAGATAGAATATATTCTGTTCATATTCAAAGATATAACATCCATTATTGTATCTCTTATAAAGGAAATTAAATACTTCGATATTTTTCTTTCCAGTGCACATTTTAACATGTCATAATATATGTTTTATTATTCAACATGTCTATTACTTGGTGGGAAAAAATATCTGTGAAACAACTAGATTCTGGTTAAAAAATAACCTAGCTTCTGGTTTAAAATATATATATATATAGATAACATTTACATAGATATGTACATCTAGTTATATAGAAAAAATACATAAAAGATTAGCAAAGGCAAAATGCATTTGCTTATTTAATATGACTCAATTCAAAATGATGTGTTATTTTTCAAATATTCAATACTATTTAAGTCCTAAATTTCTAATGAAGTGGTTTGAACATGATAGTCAAGAAGCATTTATTTTTAAACCTTTTGTAAAACATACTTTTGTTCATCATGTTGCAAATCTCAGAAGTTTTTAACCAATTGGAATACCAAAAATTATTGGGGTATTTCTAGATATAGTCTTTAATTTTGTTACCCTTTCCAGATTAATGTGGATTCTTTTTTTTTTTTTCTGTTATATTTCTTTAATGTACTCTATTTGTGAGTTACATTAAAAACTTGGTGTACCACTGGAGTAATAAAAAATAATACTGAGAAATTAGATATATTTTACTGTGGAGTCTCTTAAATATCATCCTTAAAGTCCCTATAGCATTAGCACTTTAATCATTAACATTTTTTTAAAAAATTACACAAGAAGTCCGGGCATGGTGGCTCACGTCTGTAATCCCAACACTTTGGGAGGCCAAGGTGGTCAGATTTCTTGAGCCCAGGAGTTCAAGGCCAGCCTGGGCAACATGACAAAAACTCATCTCTACAAAAATTAACAAATTATCTGGGTGAGGTGGCATGTGCCAGTAGTTCCAGCTACTCAGGAGGCTGAGGTAGGAGGATGGCTTATGCGTGGGAGGTTAAGGCAGCAGTGGGCCGCGATTGTGCCACTACACTCCAGCCTGGGTGACAGTGTAAGATCCTGTTTAAAAACAAACAAACAAAGCTACCAGAAAATGAATTTAAAAAATTAGAAAATGTATCGTATTAATACATAAATTTTAGGTAGTACAAAGTCCAATTCTTGTTATAAGGTGTAACCAAAGTAGAAAAATTTAAGACATGATAAGTTTGAGGGCCTATCTAGCTGTATGAAAAACATGTTTGTTGTTTTAATTATCAATTAACTGAAGTAAAACTGCTAGTGTTTGAAGGTATGCTTGTTTAAAGTAATGTTGTCTTGAAAAGTACAGCAAAAACAAAAATAAACAACTAAAAACAACAATAAAAATTCTTTTGTGTATTATACATTGTGACATATATGCAGTGCTTTACTCTTTTTTTTGTCAAATATATTATAGAGACGTAGTGAAATGACACTTCAGTATTTTCCTTTTTTCTATGACTGTTCTTCCACCCTTATTCCTTTAGAAGTCTTCCATGAATCTGTTAGAGATAAAGGTGAAAATCAAACTTAACTGATAGGCACTATTAGCATCTCAAAACTCCATCCCTCCTTAGAGGACACTAAGTGTTCTATGATTAGGTCATGCCAATTATGTCTGTCTTCATAATTATCCCAAGAGACATCTTAGCACTTATACAGTGAACAGTAATGCACCTCATAATGTTTTTTTGTTTGTTTGTTTGGCATAAAAACATCAGACTGTAAATTAGTTATCAGGTGAAACTACTAAAATAATCAGATCAATGGTGCTGAAATAAATCTATATATTTCTGTTTTCTTCTTGCATCATGCATATTCACTCATAAACTTTTGTGTTCTTGAACATATACACAAAGATACAAACTGCATACTCCTTAAAACCAAATGTACCTAAAAAAAAGAGTTATATTGAAAATAATGCATACATTTTATACATTTTCCAGCTCACTAATATAACTCAGTGATAGGTTATATCTATCTAAGTGAAATATTTGTATATTTTTCAGAGCTTTATAAAATTAATAACTTTTCACATGACTGAAAATAATCAGATATAATTCATATTGCCTGTTTCTAAAGAGGTACTTAAGTTGCTTATAACATTGGTTTGTACCATAGTATAATTGGATTCTGTTTAAAAAATTTAGAAAATTATAATTTAAACACAATTATTATGTCATATAATGATTCCTGCTATTTGCAATAAAGATTTTTATTACATGCATGGTTAATCTTTATTTTTAACATAAGCTTAGAGTCCACAATGTAAAACAATTAATAACTAATACATTCTGGGACCTTTATCTCATATTTAGACTTCCCAAATGTGTTGACTTTTCTCCAAGGCTGATTAGAAATAATTATATGGCTTGTAATAATTAATTGAGAATCAAATTTTTCTTTCAGAAAACATTTCCTCTGGAATTAGCTATCTTCAAATTACCTATGACTTTTTATATTTGCATAAAAATACTTTTACTTTTCATTAGATTTAAGAAAACAATTCAGTAACTTGCGGATATCTGAATGATATAAAAGCCCATGAATTAAAATGACAGTGCCTGTATTTTATACAGTAAAAAACATGCATTTCTTTAAGTATAATTAAGTGTGCCAATTTGGAACTTATGTTTCCTTATGAGTGCACAGATAATTTAATATACAACACTATATGTTTATTTTTGCTACTATCCTATAACAATATTTTAGTATAGTTTTACTATAAAGTGATTATCTACAATATTAATATGAAATATGAAGCATAACAGAATTAAAAGTGAAAAGAAAATAATTTCTCAAAACAACAACTAAAATATTATCAATTTAATCATAACTACTGATTATGAAATATTAGTAATAAAACAAGCATAATATATTCACTATGCCTGTATACATTCAAGAATTTTGTTCATAAGTAAAATGTGCAATTCTGTAGCATTTAATTTGTGAAGAAAAGCAACTAAAATATTTTTGTTTGTTGTATCCCCTTATGTGTTTACATATCCCATTTGTTCCGCAAACGTCTATTGGCAGCCACTTCGTGCCAGAAATTGCAAATTGATACAGTATTATCTGATGAGAAAAATATCAATAAAATTTCAAGTGAATTATTATTTTTAAAAATCTGTTATACATTCCTTTATTCTAGCCAGTCTCTCCCACTAACCATGAGTCCCTACATGATCCTCTGCCTTTCGTCTCCTGATATTGGGACTTAGATCACTTCTTTAAATATTTAAAAAGGAAAGATTGCCAAGGGATTATTAGTTCATTGGGCAAATAATTGATATGTATACTCTCAAGCTCGTGGCTCTCTCAAAGTGATTTTCTATGTGTGACAACTTTATCAACAATTTTTATTTTGAAGGCTAATGACTCTACACACATATTAAGAATACCTAATGAGACTCCTTTTGTGAAAATAAGTCTTCACGTTATAAAGATGAAATATAGGGACAAGCTTCTACATTTGCTGAACTGTTGATGACCTTTAATAATCGTGGTTACTCTCCTCATTTTATTCTAGGTTCATTAAGCTCAGTATGCTTTTAATGCATCACTCTAGTGTTTAGCAATTCATTTGTTCAACAAGGATTTGAGTGCTACTCCAAGCTCTAGTTGAGTGACTAACCAGCATAAGCTATTTTCTTTAGTTGAGGCCAGGAATTGAAATGTGTACTGACTTACAAAATAGACTAATATCGTTAAAGAATAAGTAGAGTATAAAAGAAAAGAAAAACCCATGTTTCAAAATTAATGAAAGTGTCAGGTAGTATGCTTAAAAATCTTTTTGAATAAAATTAATGTTGTTATAAACTTTCATATACTGTATCTAATTTTAAAAATAAAAACAATTTTAAAATTCAATAAATCTGAAAAAGCAATCAAAACAGTGCAGAGATCATTAGATAATGTCTACACATTTATCTCTGTAGATTTTTCAAATGTATTGACTTTTCTCCTGAGCTGATTAGAAATAATTTCAATTACATTGCTTCACAATAAATAACTGAGAATAAAATTTTTCTTATAGAAAACATTTCCTCTAGAATGACCTATTTTTCAATTACCCATGTTTCTTTATATTTACATAAAAATACTTTTAATTTTCATGAGATTTAAGAAAACGAATTCAATGTGCCAGGCATCCTTCCTAGAACTACAGATATATTAGTGAACAAAACAGCAAAACGCTTGCTTCTTGATGCTTACATTTCAGTTATAGTAGTCAGTGGATAATAAATACAATAATTAAGTTATATTCTATTAAGAAGTTGATGAATACCATAGGAAAAAAATAAAGAAGATAGTTGTAGACAAGAAAATAAAGCTGTGCCTGGAATCCCAGCACTTTGGCAGGCCGAGGCAGGCAGATCACCTGAAGTCTGGAGTTTGAGACCAGCCTGGTCAACACGGCAAAACCCCGTCTCTACTAAAAATACCAAAATTAGCCTGGCGGGGTGGCAGGCACCTGTAATCCCAGCTACTCGGGAGGCTGAGGCAGGAGAATGGCTTGAACCTGGGAGGTGGAGGTTGCAGTGAGGTGAGATCGCGCCACTGCCCTCAAGCCTGGGCAACAGAGCAAGACGCCATCTCAAAATAAATAAATAAATTAATTAATTAATAAACAAATAAATAAATAAGGCTGCTATGGAAAGAGGGTTTCAACAGCATACGATGGACAATATCAACTAAGACAAATATATCTATAGGTACCCTAAACATCAGTGTGAACTGACTTGTTTTTATTTTCTTCCCTTAATTCATTTTCCACCTCATTCTTTCTGGATTCTCCAGAAATTCATTTTCCTTCATGTATACGCCTATATACTCCTTATTAAAGCACCTGATTTGGACCTACATACCCCAGGAAGTATATCTGTGCATCCTTTTCCACCTGATAACCCCCACCAGCATTAGCTCAGACTCATTTGAATTTTTAATAAAATTAAATAATAATAATTTGTATCTTGACTCTAAGCGAATGCTTCCCCTTCACTTCCTTTCCCTATTTTGGGGGGGGTTTTCTTTCTCCATCACTCAGTATGTTTACATTATAAATTGACTATTAAAATTTTACCCATGCTGGCCGGACGCGGTGGCTCACGCCTGTAAGCCCAGCACTTTGGGAGGCCGAGGCAAGCGGATCACCTGAAGTCGGGAGTTCGAGACCAGCCTGACCAACATGAAGAAACCCCATCTCTACTAAAAATACAAAAATTAGCCAGGCATGGTGGTGCATGCCTGTAATCCCAGCTACTCGGGAGGTTGACGCAGGAGAATCGCTTGAACCCGGGAAGCGGAGGTTGCCATGAGCCGAGATCGCGCCATTGCACTCCAGCCTGGGCAACTAGAGTAAAACTCCAACTCAAAAAAAAAAAAAAAAAAAAAAAAAAAATTATCCATGCCAATACAGCACTCTTTGAGGCCTTTTCTCCTCTAGAAAAAACAGAAGAATCTCTGAATACCAAAGACTAATAGATAAATCACATCTTTTTTCTCTATCAGTTATTCACTGACTAACAAATGAAATTATAATTTCAAGTTTTGTGTTGTAGAAATGCTCATGTATATGGTGTGTGGGAAATAAGGATGCTTATTCATGTAATGCATATAATTGTTATGTATACAATATGTCACAGTATTATCTAAGCTATTTTATGTTAATGAGGGGTAATAAAACATTTCATAATTCCAGATCCATGCTTTCAGCTATTAAATTTTTTTTAAATTGTGAATTTCTTAGACCTCACTGAAAAAAAGCCATTTTTTATGACTGAAACAATTTGAAATCTTCCCTAATGTATAAAGGGTTAGTGGGAATTCATACTCCACAGTCACACTGCCACCTAATGGAGGAGGATAAAATGGAAATCAGACACTTGTTTCCCTTCCTTCAGTTCTTTATAAGTTTTTGGTTTTTCATTTTTGTTTTTGGATTTTGGTTTTGAGGATTTCTGTTTGTTTGTTCTCTGTTTTGATAAAAGAAGGACTGTCCTGCTTCCGAGTTAATGATTATCAGTTAAAGGGTCCAATTACAACAGCTCAGCAGTTTATTGACCTACACTTTAGATATCTTAAGGCCTTAATGGAGAGTTAAAATCTTCCAGGTGGTAAGGTTCCAATTATCTGAGATTTCTGGTCATAGATTTGCAAATTGGAGATGAAAGTTGCTCTGGGCAACTTTCTATATTATCCTTTTATCCTTGCATTTTCAGCAAACTGAATTTAGAAATGCTATATTTGGTTGCACTAAAATAATAGTAATTACATTTAGTTACATGAATAACAAGATTTATGAGATTATTTTTAAAGTAATAAATACTAATAGTCCATTGTCATTAAAAACGCTTCACTAAAATCCTACTACACATTTTACATTAATTATATCATCTAATTGTCAAAACACTCTGATTTTGTAATACTACTATCCCGTTTTTTTAGATTAAGCACTAAGGCTTAAAAGAATCAAGGAAAGCTATCAAACTCATACAACTAGTAAATATTTGATTCCCAACTACGGATCATAATATTTCCCATAGTTCAACTTGATAGCAATTATGATATTACTAAATATGTTAATTTCAGATTTTAAAGTAGAGTCTTACATTTATATTCTAACTTCCAATTCAACCTTTGTAACTAGCTTCCCAATCTTTCTATCTATCCAATCTATAAGAAGACAAATAGACCATAAACATTCAATTTAACATAAATGTCTAAAAGCCTCTCAAGATAATTTTTAATTAATAAAGATAATAGCATCTAAAAGAAAATATATGCCAGAGGAATATCCTGTAACTGTGGTATTATGAGATAGAATTTTTTAAATCAAAAATAATAAATTATTGCTAATACGTGGTTCACCTTTAAAAAATGGTAACCTGCCTAGTTGGAAAATATGATAGGAACTGATCCCCTTAGTATATAAAACCAAGATCCAAAAGGTATGACCAAAAAGTTAAACCTTTTGTAACATCCTTTCTGCCTGTGGACGCCACCAGGAAAGCATCGTTGTCTCTTTTCCACTGCTGTCATGTCTAAGTCAGAGTCTCCTAAAGAGCCTGGACAGCTATGGAAGCTCTACATGAGATAGTTTGAGGAGCCATTTTGAGCAAGGCAGAATGCTCACAGACTAGTATAAGAGTCAAACACCAAGAATTCCAGGGGCTTTGGGTTTGTCACATATGCCACTGTGGAAGAGGCAGAAGCAGCCATGAATGCAAGGACAGAAAAAGTGGATAGAAGAGTTGTGCAGCCAAAGACAGCTGCTGCCCTAAGACAAAATTCTCAAAGACCAGGTGTCCACTTAACTGTGAAAAAAGATCTTTGTGATCTTGAAGCAGAAATACCATTCAACCCAGCAATTCCATTACTGGGTATGTACCCAAAGGAATATGTCATTCTATTATAATGATACATGCATCCATATGTTCACTGCAGCACTATTCACAATAGCAAAGACATGGAATCAACCCAAATGCTCATCAATGATAGAATGGATGAGGAAAATGTGGTACATATACAACATGGAATACTATGCAGCCATAAAAAGGAAAGAGATCATGTCCTTTGCGGGGACATGGATGGAGCTGGAAGCCATTATTCTCAAGCAAACTAACACAGGAACAGAAAACCAAATACCGAATGTTCTCACTCATATGTGGGAGCTGAAGAATGAGAACACATGGACACATGGACGGGAACAACACACACTGGGGCCTGTTGGGGGTGAGGAGAACATCAGCAAGAATAGCTAATGGATGCTGCGGTTAATACGTAGGTGATGGGTTGATCTATGCAGCAAACCACCATGGCAAATGTTTACCTGTGAAACAAACTTGCACATCCTCTATATGTACCCCAGAACTTAAAATAAAAGTTGAAGCAAAAAAGATTCAATATGCAAAAACAAAACAAACAAACAAACAAAATAAACACCTAGAAATATTAGACCTTTATGAAAACATAAGTAGACTGAAAGACAATAAATGAGACAATAATTAGAAAAATCTATTGTGCTTATAAATGGGAAGATTCACTATCATAAATATTTCATTTCTCTTCATTTTGATAAATTTTATTTAAAAAGAAGATCTTTGTTGGTGGACATTGAAGAACATCACCTAAGAGATTACTTTGAATAGGATGGGAAAAATTGAAGTGACTGAAATCATAACTGACCGAGGTAGTGGCAAGAAAAGGGGTTTGCATTTGTTCATTTTGATGATCATAACTCCTTGGATAAGACTGTTATTCAGAAATACCATCCTGTGAATTGTCACAACTGTGAAGCAAGGAAAGCCCTGTGGAACCAAGAGGTGGCTGGTGTTTTACCCAGCCAAAGAGGTCGAAGTGGCTCTTAAAACTTTTCTTGAAGTGGCCGTGGAGGTGGTTTTGGTGGGTATGACAACTTTGGTTATCGAGAAAACCTCAGTGGTCCAGGTGGCTTTGGTGGCAGCCATGGTGATGGTGGATATAGTGACAGCAGGCTTGGCTATAACAGATTTAGTAATGGTGAGAGTAGTTTTGGAGGTGGTGGATGCTATAATGACTTTGGCAATTATAATAACCGATCTTCAAATTTTGGACACATGAAGGGCAGAAACTTCAGAGGCAGAAGCTCTGACCTCTATGATGGTGGAGGGTAATATTATACTTTGCCAAACTATGAGCCTAGGGTGGCTATGATGGTTTCAGTAGCATCAGTAGCTATGGCAGTGACAGAAGATTTTAATTACTGTCAGGAAACAAAGTTTAGCAGGAGAGGAGGGCCAGAGAAGTGACGGGGAAGCTACAAGTTACAAGATTTGTGGAGTCAGCCAAGCCCAGTGGTGGCAGGACCTCACTGCTACAAAGAAGACATGTTTTAGACAATACTCATGTGTATGGGAAAAAAAAAACTCAAGGAACTGTATTTGTGACTAATTGTATAACAAGTTATTTTAGTTTCTGTTCTATAGAAAGTGTAAAGCATTCCAACAAAGGGTTCTCATATATAATTTTTTTTGTCCCATGTTGTTGATTGCTAAACACAAAAGTCTGATCATGATGCTGAATATATGTATCTTGTTTTATAAGAAAGGTAAGACTTTCTTTTCTACTTTCAAACATAAACTATTTTTTAGTATCAATTCAGAACATACAACTTCCAGAACTTAGGAAGGACAAAGAAAAATATAATGTGATAACATTGAACCTGGTAGAATAGAAAACAGGTTAAACATCTCGCATTAGTAATCAAGCTGACGTTATCTTGGTGAAATCTAGACATTTCAAGAAAGAAAACAGTTTCAATAACCATTATAAATAAAAATGCAAATTATTTTAAAAAGCAGAAAACTCAAGGCTTGCTCCTTTCCACAAAAATAAGTGCCAGACATTAAGGATGCGATCTGAGACCTGAGAATTGTAATTATTGATAAAATGTAACTGAAGCAACAGAAAGCTATTTTTAAATATCTGAGGGCTCATAAATTAATGATACATGAAATATTGGGTGATGGGGACCTCCTCTGCTTTGCCTGTGTTCTAAAGGAAGTAGCATGTTTTAGGAAGAGCCGATTTTTGAAGCTAAGTTGGTAGAAGATATAAGAAAAGTAATGTTCTATACAACAATGGTTCCAAGAAACAGCGAAAATATTATGAAATGACATATAATATGGTTATTCCATTAAGTATGATGTTAGTCGTAATTTTCTTTGATGTACCTTATGAGGTTGAGGAACCTCCGTTCTATTCTATATTGGCCGGGAGTTGTGTTTTTTTTTTTTTTTTTAATCAGTAGTGGGCATTAAATTTTGTCAACAGTTTTCTCAACAACTATTGAGATGCTTTTCTGATTTTTAAAAGTCAGTTTGTTATTGCTTAGACAGTCCTTATTATATCCAAAAAATCTGATATTCTAGGTGAAGAATATGGGATAAAAGCTTCATTAATCAGGCCAATGGCACTGTCTAGCACATTTTCAGATTAGCTTTGTGAAAATATTATTTAAGTTTTTCCCCTTATATCTCAAATCCATTGGTGCCTACCAAATACATATGAATGCACATACTTTTAATGTTTTTTTTTTCCTTCCTGTTAGAGAGAGGCAATTTCTCAAATACGCCAGAGTGGTTCTTAACTCCAACTGTGATCAGGGTTTAATTTCTGAATTACACACCTGGATTCAAGGATTCATGTTGCCAGTTGTATAATAGTTAAAAATTTAGCAATTATTGATTAAATATTTTTTAGGACATTTAGGGCTACAGGAAACTCTGTTTAAAGAAAGAGTATTGCTTTAATAGAACTATTTTCCCATTTTAAATCAAAACTTCTCTCAACCTATTATATACATAAGTTTTTCTTGGAGAATGTATCTATGATGTACCTAGAAGCAAAGACTCTGTGGGGACAAAATATGTATGCTGCTGATCTGTAAGGATAGTTAGAAGAGGCAAGGCAAATTCATTCCCTATGCAATCCATTTCAGGTTTGGGAAGGAAAAATTTAAACACACATGCAAGAAAACTGCACTTGAAATATTCAGTTGTGTCTGTTATACTAATGATACCAAGTTTTATATATATATGTATATATATACACACACATTTCTAAAACTTTTTTGCCTTTTTCTTAATAATGTTGATATTTTTCTGTGTGTGAATTTCTATTTTTCCAAAATTTTTAAAACATAATTTCAAATATTCAAGGGAAATTTTTAAAACACACTGAATTCTTATCTGTCTGAAAGTGTCCCTTACTGTCAATGATTTATAGTCATCATAATTCTAGAATAATTTCATTTTAACGCAAGTTTTTCACCAAAAGAAGTGAAGTGAATGATGTCATTTAAAAATTGAGTTTCGGAATATTTTATTGAGAATTCTACATGAAAAATTAGTTATTTCTGCCTCCACTAAATAACTCAGCAATATATAATAAGCATTTCTGCTTAGCATTTTTGTTGTTGTTACTAAAAGCTAAGGTATTAAAATTTATGTCATGTAAGAATGTATAATCATTTAAATGGGAAAAACTGTTGTCTTTAGATAGATTATATTTTATTTTTAAACTATAAGGTACTTTGAAATCTACCATCATATTTAAGGTCTGTTACAGCATGTGGACAACAAGACCAGAATCTTTTCATATATATTATCCAATTAAAGTAACCACAGAATATTAGTCAGATATAACAAGTTCCCAGTATTCACAGCTATTGATGCAAATGTGACATTAGTAAGTGTGGAAAAAACTGATGAAGCAATCTGTGAAGATGCAAGAAATATTGTGGTAACAAGTTTTTTTCTTTGACTAAGGCTGCACTTTTTTTTAGTGCATAGAAACATTAAACTATTAATTATTTCTTAAACATTTAAAACTTTAACATATATACGTTTAAAAATCGAAACAAAAATTGGAAAATTATTGTCTAAGCATATGTACTCTGCTTTGTTAAGGGTTACAGATAGAGTTTTCTGGAAGGGATGATTTTATGTTTTCTTTACATGGCTTGTGGTCAGAGACTTCAGTATAAAATCATAACGTTCTATTCTAGAAAAATAAAATATCTGCAATCACTAAACCATGTCCATGTTTATATAGATTTTACTTCATGGCTTGAAAATATCCCTAGGAGGCAGTGCAATTTTTATCATTTACTTTTATAGCACCTCACCTTCTATTAAAAAAAAAAAAAACAGAGAAGAAAGTAATGATGAAATTGAGGACCAAGAATTTAAGATGTTGCTGATAAAATTTAGGTATCTCTACCATTCCTCAAATGTAATTATTCTCTACTATCTTTTAAGCAGTATTTTTCAATCTTTAATGCATGCTCCTCAGGTTTTCCACAAATGTTGCATTAATATTTTATATAATTATATAAAATATAAAAGTCATTTTTAAGCTTTTATTAAAGGATGTTTACTTCATAAACTGCTAATACTCTACTCTCCAAAGGTCAATTAATAGAACCTGACAGGTTAGTAAGTTTTGTTAAGTGTTCATATTCAAATTGTAAATCTGTGTGCCTCTGAACTTTACTGTAGATCCAAATTTGTTTGTTTGCTATGACGTCTGGCTGCCACACAATGTTTGGCAATATTGCAAGCCCACACATGTCCATACAATCAGGATGAAATTCCTTTAAATTTGGTATAGGATCCTAAGTTGTCTTGGGTTAGACATAGTTTTATAATCTTGCTTTAATTAGAAAATAAATTTATTAGAAAGTTATTGAGCTCATGAAATCATCAGGCAACATGGAGAACCAGGCATAAAAAAGGACAGAGCCAAATTATCTCTTATAAAAGACAGGAAATATTGTCAGTTTAAGCAAAGTGTTGCCACTGAAATGACCATCTTCAATTATTGTCCCTCTAATTTCATACTCAATAGCTCTTCTTTTATTCTTAGTAATAGGCTCTTACTTTTTGTGTTGAGATTCTTCACCTAAAAAAATTAAACATTTCCCATCCTTCTTTGTTTTTATTGTAATCACTAAACCATGTGTTGTAACTATGTTCTAGCTAATTCCACAACAATGGAAATGCTATAAAGAAAATCTTGGAAAACTTCTTAAAGGTTACTGTCTCAGCTATCTAGCACTTATCTGTTGTCCTCCTCGCCTTTTTCTGTGCTACTACCTGAAAGGCAAATGGGATGCCTGGGGCTCTATCCCTGATCCTGAAACATTATTGGGAAAGGAAGCCATGTGCTGGAGAGAGCATAGGAGAAGGAGAAAGAATCTGATTCCTGGGGTTTATAGAACCACCATGCCAGGCCCATTGTCTACCCCCAAACTGTTTTGATTTGAAATATATATCATTATGTCTTTAAGCCTTCTTTCCTTCGAGTTTCCTTTTCTAATTTTTTTTTCTTTAAGATACGTGTGCAGGTTTGTTACATGGATATACAGGGCAGGTTTTCTGATACATATTTAAACCTATATCGTGGTCAGGACTCCAGATTTCAAGAGACAAAGTCCAATTGTTACAGATTTTGTTAAGTGTCATTTCTTTATCTTGCTTATAATAAAAACTCCTTTCTTTAGAGTCCCACTTAAAGCAAACATAATTGGGGAGAGATAACATGTCAAATGAAGTTGATGAAGTTGTCAGGCTCTTAACATAAGATGGGAATGGATGCTTCATAGGCCAAATAATAATCAACATCCACTACACACACACACACACACACACACACACACACACACGCACACCCACACAGGCACACATGTCTTTTTCAGGGAAACTAAAACTTACACACTGTCATTTGAGTGTTACCTCTAAGTTATTTTTAAATGAAAGACAGGGAATTGATCAAATGAGACAGCCTTAGCATAATTTGATTGCCTAAGTGGTTGTTAGTCAAATACTTTGAAAGGAAACATATAAGAATGTCTTGATTATGAGCAATGGTCTAGAATCAAATGGAGCTGGTTTCACATCACAGTTCAACTATTCACTCAGTATTTACATAATTGGTAAGCTATGTAAGTATCTTTGAAATTATAATTTCTACAAATAAGCTCCTATTTGTTAGAGTTGTTATGAGGATTAAATAAGATGATGATATATTATTGTCAGTTAGGTAACTATTTGCAAGTAAGAGAACCCCACTTGAGTTATATTATGAAATATATAACAAAAAGTATTTTACTGTATATTAGAAAATTCACAAAAATTTGGAGGACAAAAGATTTAGGACCACAGACTACAGATTGTAAGGACAAATAAAGACTTAAAATAAGAGGCTTACTTCTCTCTTTTGAAAATAACAAAAGACACTTTTTTCCCTCCATTTTTCTGAGAGCATTTACCTTAGAAAACTTTTAATTAAGTACATTTTCCTCTCTCTGAAACACGCATAATTCCATTTGAAAATTACAAGGACTCAGAAACAGAAATGTAAATATCAGGGAAGATAGCAAACTTATCTCCCAGTCTCTGTGGCAGGATAGGAGCCTAACTTTAAGGGAAGACTTGCTCTAAGTTGCAAAATTACTTCGTTTTATCAAGATATAACAACTTAGTTTTTCCTCTGTATAAAGCCAATTAGCTAACACAGATGAACACCCAAATTACCAGGTGAATCTAGGATAAATGACATAGGGCCAATGGCGTGTTCAAGTCCTCCTCCTTAAAGACTAGTAATAGTTTATCTTGACAACAAGTATGTGATGGGTTTTATCTGCTTATTTATGTAAAAGGATGAGATTTCTTTCTGTTTTTGCAATCTCTTAGCGATTATCTGTTATGGGCAACACATTCTGGTTGAAGGATTATTTAATAATAAAACTGCTTTCTTTCTTTACTACCTTTATCAAGAGGTTTTCTGGTTAGTAGAACATTTTGTTTTAATTATATTTCCCCAATGATTTACAGAAATAAAAATATACATGATGAGATTCAGCTGACAGTGCTAGTGAGCCAAGAGTCTCAGTTTGCACCATTGATACTGGGTATGAGCTAATTCTGCTACCACCTCGGGCATCACTGCCTCAAAAGAAGAATACTTCTGTCATACTTTGCTACACTCACAAGAGGGAAATGATTGAGTATCTGCTGTTGTAACTATTCTATACAAGCATCTTGAACAAATACATCTAACTAGAGAAGTATAATTTGCATTGCTGAGCTGTAGATGCAAGGAAAACTGGAAAAATGAGTTTTAGCTTCTTAACTTGAGGAAGCCACAGAAAATGTAGCAGATAAAGGTGCTGTCTTTCCGAAAAAAAAAAAAAAGTGTCTTCTAATGCTCACTCCTTGATTGTAAAATAAAAATATCTGCCATTCTTTGCATTTACACTTTCAGGCAACAATAACGACAAAAATAACTACAAAAATTAAACCAGGCTAAAAATTGAGCTAATACATATCTACAAATTATATTGACAATTCAGTGCCACCTTTAGGCCACTTCTTCCTTTATTTGTACTGGCAGGGAAATGTCAACAAGTGAAACAACCTTGGGAATTAGGTACTGGGAGTAGAATGACCACCCCATTAGGCCTGGACTACTAACTCTAGACTGTTACATGTAAGAGAAACTTTAACTTCTTGTAAGGCCATTATAGATTAAGTTATTTTTATTGCAACAGCATAACACATATTCCAACCAATAGTTTGTTGTTGCTGTAATGAAAACCGTAAAATGTGTAACATTTAGTTAGTGTTTAAGCACTAGTGTTGTGATGTAGCAGATATCATAGCCTGAAAACGCAGCAAACAAAATTGGAAATTTTGCAGGTTAGAATTATGTCCAGAAAGGATCTTTGTGTATTTATTCTTTCACATGATTTATTGAAACAAATAATTCAAGAGTTATTTATTTATCTATTTTTAGGAAAGCACGTTGTTAAAGAAACCACAGTATAGAAAACAGAAGCATACAATTATTTAATTCTTAAAGTATGCCTCAGTCATCCAAACCTACAGCAGCAGGAAGTGTGTTATGAATATTATGAAGTTCCAGGAAAAGCACACTTTTTAACACCCACTTTAAATATGATCATGAAGGACAATAGGTAAGAAAGACCCAAACAGTGGAAAAAAATCCAGGTACCGTAAATGATAAAATGCACAGAGAAGTTATTATAAAGCATTACTCTGGGCTGCCTATGGGGCCACCAAGAAGCAACTCCACTACTTGTGAATTGCACTCTTAGATCCAATCATGGAGGGCACTGCCCGGATCCCTGGGCTTCAGAAGCCCTATGTATTGATCTCTCTCTCTCTCTCCTCAACACAAGATGTAAAAAAATATAATGAAACACTCACATAAAAAGGAAACTTTAGCCAATGACAAATATCAAAGTTGATTTTGAATATTCAAGTTATGTCTTTGAACTCTTGCTTATTGTGAATATTACTAGCAAAAGATTACAAAATAGATTTATGTTTCGCTATTCTACTTTTAAATACTATTTAATAATTTAGAAAAAATAGTTTGGCTAAATCAAAAGAAAGCATATGTAAAGTATTCAACAAGCGTGATGGCTCAATATAATATCTCTAAGAGAGCTTAAAACAAGGAAATAAAAATATGAAAGTGAAAAGATTCATATGCAAATAAACCTTTAAAAGTTATATAAAGATTATTTGTAGGACCACAATAATTCAAGATGCAGTCTTCATTGAAGAGGGCATAAAAGTAATTAAGCAACATATTATTATTTTCATTTTTCTTTAAAATATCCTAGCAGTGAATATTTTGAATGAAAAATAATATAAGAAATATAGCATGGCTCTCAATGTTCATTTAAGAATCATTATATAAGAAAAAGTAATTTATATGATAGATTCAAATATTTTTGAAATTTTTCTGCAATGTTGAGACATAATTTAAACACATGGAAAAGTCATGTTACAGTTCTGTATATAAATATGGTTCTATAAATTTTATTAATAATTTCAGTTGCTACTGACTCAGCAAAGAGACATTTTTTCCCAACTTGATTTTAATCCAAAACTGCAATCTGAAGTGTTTCAAGAAGAGTTGTCTAACAAAGCACACTGCCAACAGAAAACATTTATGAAATTAGATTGTCATCCAAACATCAGTGATCCATTAACAGAACACCCAAACTTGTACATTAATACTGTACTTACACTTTGTAGTTCTAATAAGTAACTGACCTTCAACATTACAAAGGTTATTGATTTGCATTTTTAAACATTTTGTTGTGTATTTTTCAAGTTAGGGCCATGGGACATATTTTATTTAACAATTAGCACTATATATAACTTTTAAATAATTGCACAGCAAAACTATATATAACAGCACAGCATATATAAAATAATTATATATGATTAGATATGTGGTCTTCCTTTTGTACTCGTGTCCTAGACCCAACAAATTTTCAGGTTCTGTTTAACCATTTCAGGCATTATTCAAAATCCCTGACAAGCAATATTTTATAAATGGCTGTGTGTTTCCATTTTCTAGTTTATAATGAGAGCATTCATTGCAGTTATCCTGTTCCTACTTCTTTTTAAATATTGAGTTAGAAAAGAAGCAAGATAACTTAGTAAGTTACAGTAGCTGGATTTCAAAAAGCCACATCCACGTGCAAGAGAGACAACTTAGCCTTGTGCAGATATCCCAGACTTCCAACCAAATGCATTAGCTGAATGAGATTTCGGACTGTCTCCCTTAGAGAAAGAATAAGTGTGCTCAAGGTGAGGGAGATGTGGAATGAAGTAAAAGCTGATTAACAGCCTCCCAGTATCCATTCTCCAATTCATTCTTTTAGTTATAGAATCCTGGATCTTTCCTCACACCTTTGGGTACCCAGTTAGAATTTCATTCCTTTGGACCACTGGCTAAATATGCACCGGGGGAAGTGAGTGAAGAACATTGCCATCTTGTCTTTATAGATTATAACCCTAGATGCTCTCTTTCTCCCTTCCCTGCTGCAGATAATACTTGAGTGATTTGCTGGGATTGGTGATGTCTGGAGAAATCACAACAGCCTTGTGTTGAGAATGACAGAGCTGGCCTGTCGGCCCTGGACTGCTTCCCTCTACATCAAGTCGGCAAACTACAGCCTGCAAGCATAATCTTGCCTGCTGCCTGTTTTTGTAAATAAAGTGTTATTGGAATACAGCCATGTTCATTTATTTACTTATTGTCTACTGCTATTTTCATGCTACAACAGCAGAGCTGAATATCTGTAGCAGAAACCATATGTCCTTTAGAGAAAAACTTTGCTGGCCTCTGCTCTATATTATTAAATAAAAAGAAATACATTTTGTACACATCATTATATCCTGAGTATCTTTGTCTAATGATTATTTAGCATTTATCCAAATTAATGCAGTCACTACACATGAAAAAAAATTATGTCATAACTGAAGAGTATCTAATAAACTAGTTTTCCCAAAAAAAGCACAGAATTGGAACATAATTTAATGGAAGTTTTAAAATACTCTGGGAAGGCTAGAAGGTTAGAAGCCATGAAGGCTACTGTGTGATAGGTGCTATTTGTTGCAAGAAATATGCCACTGTTTAATAGCTGTTATAATTCTGGATACTAGCACTGTGAGAAAGTTTTCTCATAGAATTTGTTTATGCAACTAAAAAAATGAAAGTGTATTAAGCTTAATATCTGAAATACTCCAGAAATGGAATATTGCCTAATATCACTGCTAAATCAAATCAGAAAAATTAAAGACAATGGTATCAACAATGTATGCCTGTCTAGCAAAGTTTATCAGAGTTCTTAGGAATTTGCTACAATTATTCAAAAAATGATTTAAGATAAATAATTTAAAGAAAAGGAACTTATTATAGAGTAACACTTAAGTGAATTTCTGCTTGATAGTTCAGGTAGAGTGTATGACATGAATATTTCTCAATAACCATTCTTGTTATGTACAAATTTATATTTTCTAATATGACTTAGGTTGTTCAAAAGATTTATGGATTATAGTCCTCCAGCGATCAACTAGAATTATATTTATTTTATTTTGGAGACAAGGTCTTGCTCTGTCACCCAGGCTGGCCTGCAGTAGTGAGATCTTGGCTCGCTGCCACCTCCACCTCCTGGACTCAAGTGATCCTCCCACCTCAGCTTCCCGAGTAGCTGGGACTACTGGCATGTGCCACCATATCCCGCTAAGTTGTATATTTGTTGTAGAGATGGGATTTTGCCATGTTGCCCAGGCTGGTCTTGAACTCCTGGACACAAATGATCCACCTGTCTTGGCCTCCCAAGGAGCTGGGATTACAGGTGTGAGCCAGCACACCCAGCCTAGAACTGTTTCTTTAAATATATTCAGGTTCATTGACTCAAAAAGAAAACATCTATTGATTAAGAAAGATTTAGATTATTTCTAGAAAGAATTGTTAAAACAATTGCCATGTATAAATATTTGTGCCTTTTTAAATATCTGTGTACTCTAGAAGGAAACTATCTTGAAGTTGTTGAGGTTTGTTTGCTTGTTTTCTTTCTCAAAATTAACCAAACCAGCAGCACACCAGCTGTAGCTGTGGCAGTAGCTGGAAAAGCCACAATGGAGCTGGAGCAGGTAGGGCTGGAGAATTT
The DNA here is from genome assembly GCF_000001405.40 of Homo sapiens. Classification (NCBI taxonomy): domain Eukaryota; kingdom Metazoa; phylum Chordata; class Mammalia; order Primates; family Hominidae; genus Homo; species Homo sapiens. Next base: position 68,291,299 of record NC_000013.11, on the reverse strand, counting down.
AGATGATGACAATGAGGTGAGGTGGGGAGCCTGTGGGAGGAGTAGTGCCACAGGTGACAGCCATGACATCTCCACTTTGCATGTGAAGCTCATCCAAATGGTGACCCCAGCATAGGAAACTCATCAGAGCCACAAGAATTTAATTCCAAGCAGGAAGACTTTAATTCATAAGAACTGACTTGAGATTCAGTTAGAAGAAGGAAAAGTGGTTGAAAAAAGGGTGAAATTTTGGAGAACCTATTCTAAATACAGTGCCTAAGAGTAAAATATTTTCATCCATGAACCCTGCAAATACAATTCAGAACACATGTGAACAGCAGTCCTTGTCAGCAGCTATCCAGAAGGGGATGCACTTACACACTGCAGGCCAGCAAGACATCTGAGCTCCTTGCTCCACTGCAGAGAACAGCACCATTCCAAAAGACAAGATCCTCCTCAGAACAATTCTATAACAAATAGCCAGCTGGAATTCTAAGGATCTTTCATATACTTTAAGATGTTATGTTTGTTTTTAAAGAGATTCAAAGAGACTAGCCTGGATACAATAACAAAGACAGTCATAGGAGTTTCTGATCTCTAGAAAACTAAATGTGTCTCAGGGTGATGAGACAGCAGCCATTCAGAAGCCCTTACATGTTCTAGTAGAGATGCTGTATATATATATGTTCCTCCTCAGAAATGGCTTTTGGATTCAGATTTAATTCATTCTTTAAGAAATGAAAAAGTTTAATTACTTCACTTCAAATTGAGAATACAATTAATATTAAATGGTCATTTAAATCTTACTAGTGAAAACTTTGCTGCAGGTCTCTCTGCTCCTCACAGCTGCTGACATTCCCATGCCTCCATCTGTATCTTCAACCCACCTGTCCATCTCAAAGCTTCCTCTGATTGTAAATTTTAACTCCAATTCCCTCACCACTATAAAAGGCCAGAGGACACAAAGCCTACCTGCTAACAGTTTTAATCAAAATGATATCATCTCTGAGGACCAGCAAGACATACTTCTAGAACTTCACTGAAAATTTACTTTCTGATTCAATCCTACTAAAGCATCCAAAGCCTCTATGAGAAAACCATTTAACGTCTCACATAAATTCTAAAACAAAATCTAAAAAGATTTAAAAAAAAAAACCTAAGGAAAGAAATCAAATAAAAAAGGCTGATCTTGAAACTACTGAGGAAAAGGAGGAGGTCTTTAAAAGGGAAGAAAAAGTTGCAAATGAAATACTTGCAGTCTGAATTCCAATGAAACATTTGCTTCCATGGAGACTTCATTAAAAATTGAAATCCCAGATTATTTGATAAAATATATTGCCATGGTCTCCCATGAGCAACATCAGAATTACAAGGATGACTTCAGTGCTGAGTTTGATAAGTGTGAGTCCTTGCATACCAGGGTGGAGACTACAGCTGGAAGATTTATTATTCTTGCCACACAAGGAAAGCACCTTCCTCCAGTTCAAAAGAGTGTCAGACTGTTCATGAAGTCTTACAAGAACATGAAAAGATCAAGCAGCCTAGTCACAATTATGATGAAGAAAAATACATGTATCTTCATAACAAAGTGGCTCAGACTACAAGACAAATACATTGATTTGAACAAACAACAAGCAGGTCATAGCCATGGCAATCTTCGGCTTTTCCTAGAAGATGTGAATACATTCAAGCTTATTTATTTCATATTAAAAAAACTTGAAATGCTAAGCAAAATTACATAAACCAAATTCATGTGTTTCAAAATATTATTTTATAAATCTGTTGACACAAGTGGATTTTATGTTTAAATAAATTTTACAAACAAAATATCAACTGGCTCTACTTTTATGGCTGAATAGCTGAGATGCAAAACATCTCAGACATCATCTATGTAAAATAATCAAAATAAGCTCGAGATAAACACTTTGGAGATTATTCAAAGATATATGGCAAAAAAGGATTCTACCAGGAAAATAGTTCATTGAGAATAGCATATGTCTTATTTATAAAAAAATTCATATGAATTCTTCACTAACAAGATAGTATAATAACATTGCATCAGATATAAATGTATCAATAGAAACACATAGATATACAACTTATTTTTACTTTTAGGCTGAATCACAAAAAGATTGAAAATATCCTGGCAGAGATACAATAATAGCAGGATTATTTTAGATAATTTGAATTAGCTGTTAATGCCTAGTGTGACAATAATCTAATAATCTTATTTCTCCTATCAGAAGTTTTCAACTATATATATATATATACACACATATATATATATTAATCTTCATTATTTTGGCAATATTTATTTCTTACTCCATTACTTTAAAATTTTATGAGAAGCATTAAAACATTCTTTTAGTAAAGGGAGTTATGGAATCCAGAGATGTTTTCATAGGACAGTGATCTCTCTTACACTTAAAACACTTTTACCAATGTTTAGAGCAGCACGGAAATCCTTTTCCGAAGCATGAAAAAAAGTATTATTAATGAAACAAGTTCATACAGGAGGTTATTTCTGCACAATGATCCATACTAGCATAAGGCCGTTGGCACAGCTAAGTAACCCCTAAAAGATTACTAAACGGCACATACTTTATAAAAATAGTTTAAAATGTAGAAAAATTTTAAGATGGAATATTATAATTAGAACACAATGTTTTTATACATGATACAGCTGCATTATATGCATAGCAGGATAGTCATGAGTGAGAATAAAAGAGGTTTTCAGAAACAGTTTATGATAAAAGAAATGAGAAGTGACAACACAATTTTTGATTTTCAAAATTCTAAAAATTAGACTATAAATGGCCTTTATCTTTGGTTTGGAAAAAATAACTGGTTGGCCTTCATGAATATAAAAATAAAACTAAAAATACCATTATTAATGAAAAGTTTGCCTCAAATAGTTAAATGTTTCTGCATGACATATAAAATTATAATAACTATAGGCAGAGTTTCATCTCAACAAATCGTATTCCAAAATATTTATTTTAAAATTAAAATTAAAATAATGTTGTAACTTTTTTTTACAATTTAAGCAAATTTTCACAAACCAAAAGCACAGACCCCTAATGATTGAAGTAATATATGAAGCTCCTTCACTTTTTGCTGAACAAGATATTGAAAATGAACTCAAATGAGCTGGAGGCAGATGAAGGGAGAAATGATTTATATGCCCCACAGGTTGTGCGATCTCAGATGAAGTAATCCAGCCCCTGGATCACACTGAAAGTGCTTCAAGATGTTCTTTTGTTTTTAAGGGGTTAAAGGAAAACCACACTCTTCAAGAATGAGGGAAATGTCTCTGCCATGCTGGGTATAGGTCATAAGATGGAAGAGGGTTCTTATCTCCGGAAAAGTGAGACTAGGCTGAGACACCGGCAAAGGCTAACTTTGTGTAGCTCATGAAGATTATCAACAGCAGAGGCAGAAGCAGGGTATCAGGATGAGAATGTTTAACTTTTAAGCTACTATTCTGACCAAGCATAACCTAAAACATACAGTAGTTTTCTTAAATGCCTGACAAATACATAGAGTGATTATTTTCCAGCAATTAAGGGATGCGTCTCTGCACATCGAGTATTTGAAAATTATATTGCAATGTGACCTTCATTTATTCAGAAGGCTAGTGACCAAGGCACTGATTGTCCTGTCTCACAAATTTCATCTCAGCATTATCCCTTTCCAATCTAGGGGCTCACCTGTTTTTCTGTTTGTGTTCCAGGAAAGTTTTAAAAATGGATGTCACTATTGTTGACAGAAAAAACAATGACTATGAGTATCATAGTGGCATAAGAAAGATTTATTATAAGAATTAGGGGTGGCAGATATGATACAAGATGCCCAGCAAGAACAAGTAAGTTTGCTTGTATTAATATGTCCCACCTGTTGCATGAGACATGCTACACTTATACAAAAAAAATTTGGTCTTTTTCTAAATTTTAATTTGATATTTTGTGTTTTTACTTGATACATCTGGAAATCCTAATAAACATGCCTCAGAAATACTTTCCCATAAGTATAACATAGTGTCTTCCAAATATTTTCACAACGTGACATACAGAATATAGTATACATCCAGCACATTTTGGAAATGGGAGAAGATGCCTGTCTATAGAGATAGCAAGCATGGAGCTCTAGCTATTCCAGCACTGAAGCACACCTATAAGACATCACAGTCCATTGTACACAGGTAAGACTCTGCTCTCATGGATACAGAATACATTACTGGCGTAAAGAAATATGACTTGTTTTACATACCTAATAACTTATTTTCAATTCATGGAACGTCAACTCTGAGAGCTTACATATTTAGACTACATTTGTAGACTCACATATTTTCAGATATTTTTCTCTCATCACCTCATGAAAAACTTAGTGATATGGTTTGGCTGTGTCCCACCCAAATCTCATCTTGAACTGTAATCCTCATAATCCCCACAAGTCGAGGGAGGGACCTGGTGGGGGGTGATTGGATCATGGGGGTGGTTCCCCCATGCTGTTCTCATGATAGTGAATGAGTTCTTACAAGATCTAATGGTTTTATAAGCATTTGGCAAGTTCCTGCTTCGCTCACTCTTCTCTCTCCTGCCACCATGTGAGACAGTCCAAGCTTGCTTCTCCTTCGCCTTCTGCCATGATTTTAAGTTTCCTGAGACCTCCCCAGCCATGCAGAACTTTGAGTTAGTTAAACTTCTTTCCTTGATAAATTACCTAGTCTTGGGAAATTCTTTATACCAGTGTGGAAACAGACTAATACACTTAGGAAGGTATTTTAATAAAGGGAATGTAATTTTTGTAATCAAACACATTGAAGCTGGAATTTTAATTCTTTTACCTACCAACTGTGTCACCTGGGAGAAATACATGTAACCTATTTTGGACTGTTCCTTTATCTTCAGCAGTACATAATAATAACCTAATATGGAAATATTCAAAATATATGTAAAATCACACATGTAATGGCTAATGCAGGCACTCAAAATTGAATGATATTTTCACTACATTCTGTGGCATGGCTTTCTAAGTAGAGGTAGCTTTGTTTGAAAGGTTTTATGCCACGATAGAATGACTCCTTTCCTGATGTTGGGCACAGAATATAAATTCAAACTCTTAGATTAAAAATATTCATATGAATTTCCTGATGAAGATGGGTCCTGTAAAGTCTTCACTGGATTAAAACAATTTCTCAGATTTCCCTCTTTGGGCATATTATACTACTATCTCCCTAGAGTTACTTTTACTGAAAGTACTTGGGATAATGCCATTGGCTTTCAGTGAGGGCTAGTATCAGAAGCAGATTGTTAAATGCATGAAAGCTTTTGCGAATCCTATTTATTATATAAACTCCACTCTGTGAGGACCCTTGAGGGATATCTATCTACCTATCAAATATATAGATATATGTGTGCATATATATATATATAGATATATGCTGTAGATATATGGCATATGTAGTATATATGTATACATTGTTTGCACATATTTAGTTTTTATGTGTGTATGTGTATATATATGTGGGGTAATTATGTTCAATGAAAACACTTGTTCAGTGGGGTGTAGTGGCTCATGCCTGTAATCCCAGCACTTTGGAAGGCTAAGGTGGGAAGAGTGTCTGAGCTCAGGAGTTCGAGACCAGCCTGGGCAACACGGCAAAACCCCATCTCTAATAAAAATATAAAAAATTAGCCAAGCAGCGGTGGCACATGCCTGTAATCCCAGCTACTAGAGAAGCTGAGGCATGAGAATCGCTTGAACCCAGGCGGCGGAGATTGCAGTGAGCAGAGATCATGCCATTTCACTACTTCAACCTGGGCAACAGAGCAAGTTCTGTGTCCTAAAAACAAAACAAAAAAAAAAAAAAAAAGAAAGAAAAAGAAAACACTTGTTTTACCTTAGTCTACATTTCCTTTATAGATAGTGTAAATCACATAACTAATTATGTCCTCAAGTTTGTGTCGGCATTTAGAAAGCATGGGGCATATACATGAAGATTGTGAGAGTAATTTAGAGTTGTGTTCCAATATATGTCATCTTTCATCTGTAATGATGGGATATTTTTCTGGACACATAGGCTACCAGAATAAATATTATATTATTTTTCCTAGCCTCACTGAAAGTTAGATGTGGCCATGTAACTGGAGCTAATGTCATCATGTAGTTTATGTGGACATTTTTGGAAGGGAAGAACCCTGAGGACTCTTGCTGCTTCTATCACTGCTCATAAAATGGATGCTGCTACCTTGGCTTATGAAAATGAGGTATGTAACCTGAAGATTATGGAATAATAAAAGAAAATGAGCCTGAGCCTAGGTCCCTGACTACTTTGTAGCATAGAGTTGCGGTATAAGCTCTGGACTGCATCCATCCCAATGACTGTGTGAGTAAGAACAAAACTTTCATCTTCTTTAAGCTACTGTTATTGCAGAGTTTTTTCCTGATAAAAAAATCAACTTATAATTATGATCCTAAATAACTCTATAGAGATCTGGCTCTGTCTCTTTTCCAACGAACACATTGAAACATTTGCCTTTAAAGAATTCTAGTTCAGATAAGATTGCAATACTTTTTAAAAAATCTTTTAATTTTAAAACTTAGGAGTTATCTAAAATATGTGAAATGAATTAGTATTATAATAGTATTTGTGCACACGTAAATGACAAAACCTAGACAGGCAGTTAAAAAAGCTCTTCAAAGAGGAGCATTTTTTTTTGACCCAACCATACCATGCCAACCTGCTTTTTTTTATTATTATTTGTTATTATACTTCAAGTACTGAGGTACATGTGCACAACGTGCGGGCTTGTTACATATGCACACATGTGCCATGTGGTGTGCTGCATGCATCAACTCGTTCACATTAGGCATATCATCCAATGCTATCCCTCCCCCCTCCCCACCCCAAGACAAGCCCCGGTGTGCGATGTCCCCCACAACGCGTCCGAGTACTCTCACCGTTCAACCCCCACCCATGAGTGAGAACATGAGATGCTTGGTTCTCTGTACTTGTGATCGTTTGCTCAGAATGATGGTTTCCAGATCCATGTCCCCACAAAGGACATGAACTCATCCTTTTCTATGGCTGCATAGCACTCCATGGTGTATATACGCCACACTCTCCTAATGCAGTCCATCACTGATGGACATCTGGTTTGGCTCCAAGTCCCCGCCACTGTGAACAGTGCTGCAACAAACATACGTGTGCATGTGTCTCCATAGCAGCAGGATTTACAATCCTTTGGGTATATACCCAGCAATGGGATGGCTGGGTCAAATGGTACCTCTAGTTCTAGATCCTGCAGAAAATCTGACAAAAGAGGAACATTTAAAGCCAGCATGTCTGATTTCAAGTTCTGCCTCCCCGTCTAATTGGAATGTGATGTCAACCAAGTGGTTAACATCTCTATACCTCAATATTCTTCACCTATAAAGTGAGAAAAATGATAAATGTTACTCAAAAGTTTGCTGTGAAGACTAAAAGAGCTAATATCTGTAAAGTTTTTATGACAGCAGCTGACATTCATATTAAACACTCTTTAAGTATTAGTGATATGATTAGTTTTCTTTTCCAATCAATAAAATAATTACATGATTTGGTACAAATGATTGCTAAGGAATTTTAAATATTATACCATTCAAGTCTCTTAAGATTCTATGAGATCAGTTATTATTTACACTAAGACTGTGAAAGAATAATTCCTTCACCCAATGTTATTCAGTGACAGAGACAAATTTTGATTCTCATAGTTATATAAGTTTAATTCATATACCTCAAGGTTTGTGCTATTTGCTACAATGTTTGAATACCTGCAAATACGCATTCACCTTACATTTTCATCATGAGAGGCAGGTGCTTTTTCACTAAATTACACAGAAGACAGAGACTTGAAATAGTCAAAATTTCTAGAACATCTGGAATCATCTAGATCACAGTGTCTTAGGATTGCTTGGTAATGATGTATTAATGACAGTTATTAATTGTAAAATATAGATTGGTCAAGCCCTTATTTTATCACTCTTACTGATATTATTTTGAATGTTGTAGTTTTGAACCATTCAATAGGTTATTCATTTGACAAATTTGGCTTTTTAAAGTAATTAAAATATACTAAAAAAAATACAACTCCTCATCCATACTAGAAACATTTGATAAACTTGATATATTATTCTTAGCTAAAATCCATAGTTTACATTAGGTTACATTCTTTGTGTTGTATATTTCTATAGGTTTTGGTGATTCCATAATGACATTCATCCATTATTATGCGATCATACAGAATAGTTCTATTGCCCTAAAAATACCCTGTGCTCCATCTATTCATCCATCTGCTTCACATTTCCCAGAACCCCTGGCAATCATTGATCTTTTTCCTGTCTCTATAGTTTTACCTTTTTAATAACACCTTACAGTTGAAATTACAGTATATGGCCTTTAGAGATGGACTCCTTTCATTTAGTAGTGAACCACTCGAAAGCTAGATGTTTATAATAGAAGAAATGTGGAGGGGCGGGTATATGGGATCTAGGTACTTTTTGCACAAATTTTCTATAAACCTAAAACTGTTCTAAAAATAGTATACACACACACACACACACACACACACACACACATATATACTATATAATGTTTTTTGAAATGGAATATCTCACTGTCACCCAGACTGCAGTAATCATGGCTCACTACAGCCTCGAACTCCTGGGCTCAAGCTATCCTCCCAGATCAGCCTCCCAAATAGCTGAACTATAGATGCATGCCACCACACCTGCCTAATTTTTTAATTTTTATTTTTTGTAGAGAAGAATTCTCCCTTTTTTGCCCAGGCTAGTCCTGAAATACTGGGCTTAAGAGATCCTGCCACCTCAGCCTCCCAAAGGGCTGGGATTTACAGGCATGAGCTACCATGGCCAGACCTATAAAGATTTTTAAAATGCAATTTATTGAGATTAGAGTTTTTTATTATTTAATGCAGCATATGGTCATTCTTGGTGACCATACCATGTACTGGACAAAATTGTGTGATGCATTTGTCTTCTGTAATAAGATTTGATAGTATTTATAATAGTCAGTGTTCTCTAGAGAAACAGAATCAAAATGATGTGCATGTACATGGAGATTTATTGTAAGGAACTGGATCACATGATTATGGCAGCTAGCAAGTCCAAACTGCACTGTGGGCTGTCTGCTTGGAGAACAGGAAAGATCAGATGTCTCAGTTCAAGTATAGCTGCTGGTAGAATTCTTCCTTGCTCAGTGGAGCAATCCTTCCTTGCTTTTGTTCTATGGGTCTTAAACTGGTTGGATAGAGGTATTCAAAGAGCAGAGATTTAAATGTTAATCTCTTCCAAAAACAGTCACAGAAAAATCCTGAAAAATGTTTCACCAAATATCTGCACACCATGGCCCAGCCAAATTAACATGTAAAATTAACTACCACAGTGTTGCTCCAATTTTCTATGGTTTTAGTCCTTTTGAGAGGTGAAGCCAGCTGGGTTTCTGGATCGGGTTGGGACTTGGAGAACTTTTCCAACTAAAGGATTGTAAATGCACCAATCAGCATTCTGTGTCTAGCTAAAGGTTTGTAAATGCACCCATCAGCACTCTGTCAAAACAGACCAATCAGCACTCTGTAAAACGGACCAATCAGCACTCTGTAAAATGGACCAATCAGCTCTCTGTAAAATGAACCAATCAGCAGGATATGGGTGGGGCCAAATAAGGGAATAAAAGCTGCCCCCCTGAGCCACCAGCGGGCAACTCACTTGCGATTCCCTTTCATCCTGTGGAAGCTTTGTTCACTCTTCCCAATAAATCTTGCTGCTGTTCACTCTTTGGGTCCGCGCCACCTTTAAAAGCTGTAACACTCACTGAGAATGTCTGTGGCTTCACCCCTGAAGTCAGCGAGACCACAAACCCACTGTGAGGAACAAACAACTCTGGACATGCCACCTTTAATAGCTGTAACACTTGCTGCGAAGGTCTGTGGCTTCACTCCTAAAGTCAAGTGAGACCACGAACCCACCAGAAGGAAGAAACTCTGAACGTCTGAAGGAACAAACTCTGGACACACCATCTTTAAGAACTGTAACACTCACGGGGACGGTCTGTAGCTTCATTCTTGAAGTCAGCAAGACTAAGAACCCAACGGAAGGAACCAATTCCAGACACACTTTTATCCAGGTATATATCAATTGCTGGGAGTGTAGTGTTAAAATTCTCACACGTATTTGTGAAATTGTCCAGTTTGGTCTTTTATTCTATCAGATTTGTCCCATGCATTTTGTGGCAGATTATTAGGTACATAGATGTTTATGATTGTTATGTATTCCTGATGAATTGATTCTTTGTTATTATTGAAATATTTTTTATTTTTATAATACTCTTTGCTTTGCTGTCAATTTTCTCCCATTTTATTATAAGTACTCTAAACATTTTCTGGCTATTGTTTAGATTGCATTATCTTTTTCCATTAATTTACTTTCAGCCTTTCTATTTTTGTAGTGTCTGTTTGTTAGCACATATTTGAGTACTATATTATAACCACTCTGATCATCTCTGACTTAAAATTAGAGATATATGTCCCTTTCCATTTAATAAAATTAGTGATTAAATTTGTCTCCCAGAGTTTTTTTGTTCTATTTCTCCTTCCACTGTTTCTTTCCTATATTCTTGTCCTTTCCTTTATACCTTGTATTATTTAAATTTTGTTTTAGAATTCTATTTTATCTGTGTTTTTTAGGTATACCTCTTTGCATTATTTCAGTAGATGAACAATTTTAATAGGTATATACTTTACGGTTTATTTTGTTTAAAGTTATACATTTTCTTGTAAACTTCATATATGTTACAATCATGTATGCCCACGTATGCCCCACTTACCATTTTGTCTGTTTCAGTTAGCATATATAACACAACTACCTACAAAAGCATCATAAAACAATGTTATGTATTTTTGCTTTGAAGAGTCATATGCATTTCAAACAAATTAAGATGTGATACAATGTTTCATATTTATGCAGACAAACATCATTCTCTTTTAAAATTAAGTTTAGGATGAACAGAAGAAAAAAAATAATGGTTTGAAAGAAAAGAAGTTTTCCTTATTTAAATGACTTGTCAGTAGGTGTTCCCTATCTTCAAGAGAGTTTACAAATTATGAGTATTACCAAGAGACTTTGGTAAGGCTGTTGGATCATAAAATCAATGTATAAAAATTATATTCATGCTTATATAGCCCCACAAAAAATAGCAAATGTAATTATAAAAAAAACTATTTACAGAAGTATGAAAAATATGAAGCATTTGAAAATAAATAGAAAACAAGTGTCAAGAGTATTGTGAATATAAGATTATTGAAAGGCATTTAAAAATCTAACAAAATGAAAGGATATATACAATGTTGTTTAGGAAGACTTAATAGAATAGAGATATCAATACTTGTAAAATTATCAATACAGTTTAGTTCCATTAAAAATACTACCAGCACTTTTTATTGTTGTGAAAATTTGTCAAATATTAAAACTACCAAGATATTTTTGATGAAGAAGATATCGGTATTTCAACAAGGCTAGAACTGACAATTGAGCACAATAGAGGACCCAAATAGACACAAATCTATATGAAACTTTGCATATGACAAAGATGACATTACCAATAAAAAAGTAATATGAGAACCAGGGAAATATCATTGGTGTTACTAATTCTATACTTATTGGTCTCCTTTTAAAAAATTAATTGAAAAGAAGGAAACTATATTGCAAATAGTTGAGAGTTGGAAATGAGGGAACAGAGAGAGGCAAGAGATTTCATTTCTTTTCTTACTATGCCAAGTATTGCTCCAAAGGCTTTCTAAAACATGATGCTGTGTGATATGGTTTGGCTGTGCCCACCCAAATTTCACCTTGAATTTTAGGGACCAGGTGGAGATATTGAATCATGTGGCTGGTTTCCACCGTGCTGTTCTCATTATAGTGAGTGAATCCTCATGAGATCTGAAGATTTTACAAGGAGTTTCTTCCTTCTCTCGGCACTCACATCTCTTTCTGACACCATGTGTAGAAGGACGTGTTTGCTTCCCCTTCTGGCATGATTGTAAGTTTCCTGCGGCCTCCCAAGCCATGCTGTAGTGTCAGTCAATTAAACCTCTTTCCTTTATAAATTACCCCATCTCAGGTACATCTTTATTAGCAGCACAAGAATGGACTAATAAATTGGGTTTCAACATACGGTACCCTACAGAGTATTATTTTATAATTCATAACTATTTCCTACACAGCAACTGATCCCAACACCCTGATCAAAATGAACTTTCTATATTGTAGATATTTTTCTTATCACTGAACGGAGATCTGCCACCTAAAACCTAAACAATCCCAGCAAATTTGTAAGTAAATGTATCTTAGGGATTTTAAATGTATGTCTCTTAGCAGATGGTTTCATCAGGTGGATTCTAATCTCTTTATCCACATCGCTTTATTTCTGCCAAATTCCTCACAATAAAACTAATAGAAGTAAAGCTAATACTTTTCAATGATGACAGAAATTCAAACAGAAAAAAACTGCCTAAGCCAATGAGTTTTTCTGAACGTTGTTTTTTCTTCTCCACAAATACTTCAAAATTGTTAGCTGCAAGAGAAAACAGTGTCCTTCAAATGGCTCTGCAGTATTAAAATTCTTACAACCTAATGTGACAACTCTTCCAGAGCTGTTATTTCTCACATGTAAATAGGAAAACAGCAATAAAAGAGCAGTTCAACCAAAAAATACAACAAAGAAAGAAAAGATTTTTTATGAACAAAAGTAACAAAACATTGCACACTCATGTTACACATAACAATGGTCAATTAAACCATTTCTCTATATTTAATAATGTTATAATTTGCAACTAACCAGCTCTCATTAATACAACAAATCCTTTTACATCTCAAGCATTCTGTAAGTGCAATAATTTACCTGCCTACATGGAAATCATTGCCTAGTGAGTGAAAGAGACTAAACTGGACAAAGAAATTACATATAACTAATGCCTCCTTAAAATATAAGGTTTTCTATGGTTGAAGATAAAAAGATTGGAGCCTTGTGGTAAGAATAGAAGAATGTCAGGCATCTATTATACACCCACATATGCACACACACACACATACACAAAAGTAAAAACAAGTGTAAATGAGTTAGTGATATTTACAGAATGGTAGAAATTTAGTTTAACATTGTTTTGAATATGCATATAGAAAGAATGATGAGGAAGTTAATAAGTAAAGATAGCATTATACTTTTCTAGGTAAAACTTACATAGTATTAGATGTAAGGCATTATTTAAAAGTTTACATATATTAACTCATTTAATTCTCACAATAATTCTCTAAAGTATGTAATATAAAAAGTGTCCCAAACAAATAGGCAGTGAAGACTATTCGAGACTATTGCAATAGAGGAAACAGATTTAACTCGACTCTACTGGAACAAAAGACAGGAGAGATTTTAGGGGCTTGGGTGATCTAGTGGAAAACTATAGGAAGTAGTGGGGTTGGGGGATTGGTCAATATGAATAGGTCGTCTGTATTTATTAATTGACATTAATGGAAGTTAGGTTTCTATCTTCCCACAAAGACAAGGATATAGGGGCACTATTTTTTATGATGATTACATTTCAAAGAGATTTTACTAGGGGCCCTGAGAAAAAGCATTTCCAAGTTGTAAAACTGGCCGGAGGCTGGGTGATTTTTATCTCAAATGAGCAAAGAAAGAAAATTCTGTGGAAAAGAGAGATAAGGGAACTATAGTCAGGAAGAAACCTGTCTAAAGTTTAGTCAAGCAGTGGAAAATATTAAGGTCATATTGATCAGATCAGTGCTACTGTTGTTCCCATTTTATCAATGAGAAAACTACGACACAAAGAAAAACAGATTGCCAAACATTGTTGATTAATTATTCAGAATTAAAACTCAAGAGTGTCTGGTGCTAGAATTCAAGGTCATATTTTGAGACACCACAATAACTAATGTATGCTATTGGGTGCATTATTAATCGTTTCATTAACCATTTTAGTTTATGTTTTAGGAAGATATCTCTGGAGTTTTGGATGCAAGTGGAAAACAGAAATTCATAATTCTATCATAAGAAATTGTGAATCATTTTTATAAATGTAGGCCAAGTATGGGGATAAAAGCTCTAAAAAATATGAATTAAGATGCTGGAAACAATCCTCCATGATATGTAAGTGTTTAGCTTGAAAGTACAAGTAAAAGATGAGCATGTCTTTAAAAAGAAATAATCAAAATCCATCATAATTCATTCACTGTGTTTGAAATTCACATGGAAGGAAGAGAAATAAAGACAGGGAGAAAGGAAAAAAAAGAGCAAAATGAGGTGATGTTCTTGAACACTCCTACATGGTCAGAAACAATGAAGCTGCTTCTGCTTTACAGCATTACTACCTCACTCATAATTGGTTTTGAAACCTGATTGGGGCTGAATCTGTGGTGGAGAATAATCTTAACCCACTCTAATCTCCTTCCTTACTGATAGAATAGGAATTGTGCTCCTTGTCCAATTTAAAGCCAGTTCCTCTACCTATTATTTAACTTTCATTCTCTCTACCTCTTTGGATTCTTACGCCCTAGATTTTCCTCTTTTTCCCTCTTCCGTTTTACCTAATTCTTATACTTGAATTTTTGCTATTGGAAAATGAATATGTTTAAGGATGTCCTTCCTCCCTGCCCCTAAAAATACATAAAGAAAAAAAAACAGCAAAACCAACAAGAAATTATATTAGGACCAATTTATTTGCAAAATATTTTAGTCTTAATATACTTGGCCTATTCCTTTGCATGAAGTGCAGCAAGAACAATTATTGGCCATTTAGGCTATTTTAAAATTGGCTCTGCTAGAACTTTTTCATAAGGAATCTCAGAATAAACTTTTAAAAGCCTTTATATCCCAGCCAAGGAATTATCTGTGCCTGCACATACCTGTATGAATTGATGACTTCTACTCTTCTCAATGTCTCAAAGTAACTTGAGGTTCCTGGGCCTATCAGAAAAGAGACATTCTTTACTTACCACATGTCTGGAACCTGTAAAGGAACTGCATAGACAGGGTATGAAGCCAGTGTTTCCAAGGGGCCTTTATTGGCTCTATAAAGTTAACCTCTATTTCTCAAAGCAGTCTGCTCATATCTAACAATATCCTATTCCAGTCAAAAAGCCTTGATAAGGTAACCAGTGTCTCCAATTGTGTCCCGATACAAAGGAAAATAGGCTCTTATTGAACTTATGTGAATAACTACATTGCAATAAATTAAGCATACTGACAAATAGTTCCCAAATTCTGGAGAAATCAAGTTGAGAGAAGAAATGTGGTTCAAATTTTCTTCAAAATTGTATACTTTACTCAATGGTTGAAAGCTATAAATAGATCAATAATAATAATAAAAACAACCTTTTGTTAACTCTAAAAAATAAAACCAAAAAAACACCAAGACTTCAAACAAAAAAGTTAAAAGAAATTATTTCAGTGCTCTATCTGTTTAGTCTATGCAATTAATTCCTGTTTGGGGCCAACAAACCTCATGAGCACATTAGCTGTCCAAGTAGCTTCCTGAAAGTTTTTTATCTATTCCAATAACATAATCTCCAAGGTTTTCAGAAAGCTGCATTCAACAGCACCTGTCAGAGTTCTTTCCACGAACTTCCCTAAAAAATCAAGTTTTAGACTTCAGCTGATAGCAAACTGCTCTTTGAGAAGGATCACAGTAAAACAATAATTGTCTAAGGATTGCAAAAGTCTTAGGACAGCCATAGATAAACACACAATTGACAAGGAAATTCAGTTATTTCTGTGGCATACAACAATTCAGCATAATGGTCATTATTACTGATAACATATACTAAGACAAAGGAAAATTATAGGCATCTCATACAATTTTGAAACACATATAATATGGTTTGGCTTTATGTCCCACCCAGCTTGCATGTTAAATTGTAATTCCCATGTTTTGAAAAATGAGCCTGATGGGAGGTGATTGAATCATGCTCATTTTTAGATATGAGCAAACTGCTTTGATAAATAGAGGTTAACTTTATAAGGCAAATAAAACTCTTTGGCAAGACTGGATTCATACTCTATGCAGTTCCTTTACAGGTTCCTGACCTGTGGTAAGTAAGAAATGTCACTTTTCTGAAAGTATCAAACTTTCTTTTTGCTGTTCTCATGATAAAGAGTTCTTATAAGATCTGGTTACTTGAAAGTGTGTAGCACTTGCCCCTTCATGCATGCTCTGTGTGTGTGTGTGTGTGTGTGTGTGTGTGTGTGTGTGTGTCTCTTTGTCTCTCTCTCCATCTCCCCTGTTCCACCAGGGTAAGATATGTGTGTGCGCCTATGACTTCTGCCATTAATAAGTTTTCTGAGGCCTCTCAGCCATGCTTCCTCTACAGCCTGTGGAACTGTGAGTCAATAAAACCTCTTTTCTTCACAACTTACTCAGTCTCAGGTAGTCCTTTATAGCAGAGTGAGAATGGATTAATATAACATATTTATAACACATTTAAATACAACCCAAAGAAAGTTAAACATCCTTTCATATTTGACAATGTTTCCTGTATGATTATAACATATCAAATAAGCAGAATAGGTCTCTCTTGGACTACAGGTGCCCTAATATCCAAAAAGTTAGTTTGAGATCAAAATATTTTATTTTTAACTTGAAATTTGGATTTTGGAAAGTTTGTCAAATATCAAATGTTTAAAACACTTGACATCATGAAACAGAATTACAGATCACTGTAACATAAGTCATTCACTTAGTCAAACTGCTAATTCAATGATTTAAATAAGCAGAATTTTAACTTTTTGATAGAGAGGAAATTCAATTCTCCAAAAAATAAGATTGAATAAAGACAGCATGAGGTCAGCTGAATCTGTCTCTCTTCCCTCTTTTTATGTTGTAATTTACTCAAAAGGTAAACAAAAATCTTATATTAACTTTTTATTAGTATTACATGTGAATCTTATTCAAAAGCAAAAACAAAATTTTACCTTTGTATCAGTGTACTATTAATGTTAAAGCTAATTTCTGTAAGCAAAACTTTTTAATTTTTAATCAGTTTTGCCATGTTATTATTTCCATAAGGCTTTTATAAACTTTCATAATTTTTAAAATTCTCTTTTCCAACTTTCTGTATCCATTCAGTTTTATCTATCATTCTTTTCACTTTCAATTAAAAACAAAACAAACAAAACTCTACACTATGCAAAATTATATTCCCTTTAACAAAAACCACATTCTCATGCATTTTTATGACATTTTTACTAAACTAATTCTATTTTTCTTATGCATTTTGCATATAGAATTGTTTCTCTTATATCTGGTAGTTTTAATCACATACATTAGTTCCAGAGTCAGTTCTTAGTAACCCTTATCTTTACTGAAAAACTTACAAAATAAACCATTTTAATTATGTGTTCAGATGCAGAGCCCAGGACAAAGCACAAAGCTGTGCAAATAATGCCGATCCTTCCCAGGAAAGGCAAGAGGCAGAGGTGGGCCAAGGCTATTTGTTTAGAGCCTAGGATCTAATGGCTATAAGACAGACAAGCCAAAGTGTTGGTGTAGGTATTTAGGCAGACATAAGCAGGGCAGGAAAGAACTTTCTCAACCCCCACCATCAGGTGATGATCAGGTGGTTGTTAAACTGTCTCTCTAAAATAATCATTAGTCACAGCTGCTGCCATGAAAGGCCGTCTCCCAGTAGGTAGAAAACATTTGAAGCTGACAATGAGTAATTTCCCAATAAGATCTCAGGAGTTGGGTGATGTACTCAAGCATGAGCACTAAAAGGCAAAATGACAAAGTTTAACTGGTATATGACATTCTTCTGGGAACTCCTGACTGGTAAGATTAAAATGCCTTAAATGAGCACGTGCACAACTTCAGTGAACACAGTGCACATGCCGCCCCTCCTAAGCGCTGACAGGCCACTGCCCATGGGGGCAGCCTGCCCCAACAAAACATCAAGGGAGAAGAAATGCAAAACCCTGGCCGCATGCCAGCAAATAAAACCCCAAGTCAAAGGTCAAACCGGGCACTTGACTCTCTCAAGTGGCCCACTTGACCCCCTTCTGAGTGTAGTTTACGTCATTTCATCCCTGCTCCAAAACTTTTTAGTAAACTTTCACTCCTACTCTAAATCTTACCTTGGTCTCTCTCACTCTGCCTCATGCCCCTTGGATGAATTATTTCCTCTGAGGAGGCAAGAATCGAGTTGCCGCAGATCCATACAGATTTGCCACTACTAACAAACAATTATCAAAAATATCATAGAAGCAGTTTATGCCTTTAAAATATCCAACTGTAAGCCTTGCACAGAGCCCGCTCCTGTGCCAGTGCTTGGAAGGGCCGGTGGATCCCGCACTTCTTGCTCACACACCGGCTCCTGCCAGGGGCTGAGCGCATAGTCACAACGGCCACAGGATCCGCACTGGAGTGCCGGTCAGGCACAGCCCCGTGGGCCGAGTGGACTGGGCATCTCCTGCAGTGAACCTAGGCCCAATCAAGGCCTGGGCAGAGGAGTCGCTGGCCAAAGGTACCCGGCTGGCAAAGTGGCCTAGAAATATCCCATGTCACAACCTACATTTCTGTTCACCCGTGTTCTCCAAGGCTTCAGCTTCTCAGCTGACCACTATATACAAAGACCAAAGCCCTGTATGCCCCACAGACAGAAGACAGGAACTCAAAAGCTGTGCATGGTAGGGAAAGGAATCAATAAATGGCAAAGTCACACAAATATCTACCAAAAAGGATTTGCTCCCTGACTGGGAATGAATGCCAGGTTGCTGTGGTAAAACAGCAGAACCTTAGCTACTGGAGCAGACTCCATTGCTCTTCCCAGAAGGAATCTGAATAGGCATTTTGAGTTTGCAAAGGATTTTAACTTTTTTTTTAGGGCAGATTTTTGCTCGTTAATTTAGTCAAGAGAATTCGCAAAGATAGCCATGATACTATTATGTATCCTTCTTTTAATTGGAAGTGTCCATCATTTTTTTAGAATAAGAGCTCTCTAAAATCTTTTTAAATTAGAAGTATCTATCTTTTGGCCATTGACAGATAGAATTTTCAATGGTCTACTAAATTCCAGTAGTGACTCAATCCAAACGCCTCTTCCATTAAGCCCAGGTGGTAATTGTCCAGGTTTTTAGCTTATAAGCAAGAGGTATTCTTGGAGAGGACATAGTGGAGGCAGTTCCTACGACCCTGAAAAATTCATTCCCAGAAATAAACTTAAGATAGCAAAAGATCACAAAAATCCCTGTAAGTATGAGACTTTTTAACATAAAACTCTAAGAGCTTGACACGTTTGGAATGAAAAGTGTGCTGCTTAAAAACTTACATGTCTCGCCAGGCGTGGTAGCTCACACATCTGTAATCTCAGCACTTTGGGAAGCCGAGGCGAGTGCATCACCTGAGGTCAGAGTTTGAGACCAGCCTGGCCAACATGGTGAAATCCCATCTCTACTAAAAAAAAAAAATAAAGTACAAAAAAAAAAAAATAACCAGGTGTAGTGGCGGGAACCTGTAATCCCAGTTACTCAGGAGGCTGAGGCAGGAGAATTGCTTGAACCCGGGAAGTGGAGGTTGCAGTGAGCTGAGATCATGCCATTGTACTCCAGCCTGGGTGACAAGAGCAAGACTCTTTCTCAAGAAAACAAACAAACAAAAAAACCACCTGTCTCACACTCCCAATCTTTTCAGACTGGTCACCTGACATGACCCAAAATATCACACCCTCCAGATGGTGGAAACAAAAAGCGAGTTACCTCCACACAGCCACAAGTCAAGGTCCCCAGGGCATAAAACAAGATGAGAGGGAAAACTCATTTGGTTGGTATTGCAAGTACCCACAGCAAAGTTTGTCTTAACTGATGCTCATCTAGTCAGAGGTGCGAAACTGATTAGTCAGCTGGGCTGCCCCTAACAGCAGTCTTATAAGGGTTCTAGGCCCATGTTCTACTCTACAGTACCCCTCTTTATGACAGAACAACACGGAAAGACAAAGACAAAAACAACAACAAGCTATTTCTGCAAGGAAAGGGGTCAAACAATATGAATATTCACATCACAAAGTACCAGAAGCATATTAGGGTCTCTATACTCTAAGACTAGTCACATAAATCCTTTTTTCCCATTATTTATAACCTTGAAGCAAAAGAGTGATTTTTATTATGTAATCAACATTATTGCACAGAGATTTGAGCCTGGCAGCCTAACTGGTAAGAAGTTCTTATGCCTTTTCTTGGTTGTCAGTTTCCTGGTTGCTCTTCACTGTGGTTTAGAGAAAAGCAGAGTGGCTTTGGGGATCCCGCTCACTTTGCCAAAACTGTGGGTCAGGGCTCTTGGCTCTCTAAGCGTTTGCTGAAAATCACTGACATGAGGCAGACTGACTAACAGGAGAAAAGGCATACAAATATATTTAATATATATATACGAGAGCCTTCAGAATGAAGACCCAACTTCCCAGTGAGTTACAGGAGCTTATATACTACCTTGAGGTTACTGAAATAATGGGGACTTGGTTCCTGGTAAAATAGGGAGGGGGAGAAGAGGACTTCTATTGAGAGGCAACACATGACTGCTGGGGAGAATGACTGGAACAGGGAACTTGTAAATAGTCTCTTTGGAATTTACATAATGCATTATTTATATAATTTAAACAATGAGAAGGTAATTATCTTAAAAAAATTATCTGTTGAGGTGTGGTTACATTTTTGGTCTTACATGGAGAATAAGAAAACTATTGTTCTCCATGTTGGGTCTGGATCTTAGGCAGATAAAGGAACTTCAGCTCCTTTGGGAGAGATAATGCGGGTGTCAAAAGACATGGAGACTTTTTCTTCAGTTCAGCAAGTCAAATGCCATATTTTTAGGTATTGGTTTGTGAACCCCAACATAATCAGAATCAGGCCCAACTAACTCTCCAATCCATTCTAACCTAGCTGTTGTCCCTATGACATTGGCAATTTCCTTTATATCCAAGATAATGAATGATCTCTAAGTTCCTAGGTTAATGAAAATGTGTAAATCCTCTCCTAACTTCACCTCCTAGCAGTACTTAATCATTGTGATCACTTCCAAATATTTTGTACGTTCTCTTTCCTTGTGTTTTTATGACACAACATTCTCGTTTTTTTTCAGTTTCCTCTGCAAGCTTAATTTTTTTTTCCATCTGTCAAATGATGGAAATTACTTATGTTTTCAAAAAGGAGCTCTTTTCTCACTCTGTACTTTTATCCCTAGGAGACACAAAATAGATTTAGAGTTTAATAGCAGTCATGAACAAAAACATCAGAAATTTACATCTCCAGAAAAATTCTCCCTTGACCTGCAGACTCACATACTCCACTGATAATTTGACACCTCAGCTCAGACTTGTCAGAAAGTGAACTCTAAATTTTCTGCAGCAAAATCTTGGACTTTAATATTATTTACAATTCAATGATACACAATCTATTTGAATGTAAAATTTAGCTGTCATCCTTGACCTATGTGTTCCCTACTTCTCCACATAGAAGACATCCTCATCTCCCGTTATGTTACCTTAAATATGAAAATAACAATAACTTGGGTCACACCAATTGCTAGTAAAAGGAGATAATGAACTTTGTTTTTAGTCTTCGTATCTAGATATAAAATGCATAATTTTAATTCTTTGAGGGTCATTCTTTTCCTATCATCAGTCAATTCAGTGAATTGAATCTGTGTTCTGCAAGAAAAAGGGATGATTTTTTAAGTCAGACATAAAAATATGTTGTGGCCTGATCTATTCCTACGCAGACACATCCACCTTGGTGTTGATATTTCTTTGATTTCAATATAAGTAAGTTTAGTCCAACATTTTATTCAAATGTTGAATAATCTGTGGTGACAAGTTAATACCAGCTCCCAAGTTGACACTCCAAACTCTTGCACAAATCCAAGAGGGGTGAAGAATGAAAACTTAAGAAATCCTGGCTAGTACTTAATTACCAGCATCTCACTGGACTCTTTAGGGACTTGGACCTATAGTAATAAGAGAAGTCAATAAAACATTTTTCAGATAGAACTTCATAGCTAATTATTTTTCTTAAAAACATAATTATTTATTTTCATTGTTATATATTTTATTTTAAGGGCATGAACTTAAAGTTGAGTAAAAATAGTTTCTGTCCACACAAGTCTTTCTTTTCTCACCTCAACTTTCAGGGTTAATAACATGTATTATAGGTTTCTTTTGATCATATGAAAGAATGTCAAAATATTAGCAAACAGGCTATCAGTGAATTTAAGAGTTTAGTTATTTTTTTATTACTGTTTTAAGGATACATTGTTCAGGAAAAAAAGTTATTTAATTAAAATTTTCAGGTTTATATACAAGGTAATCATGAATAAGATGAAATAAACCAAACTGTTTTAAAAGGTTGTTTAAAACATTACTAATTGTTTTGGTATACTTATATGCCTATACCTCAGAATAATGTAATATGTAATTAAATATCAAGACTGTTTTTCATGGCTGAGAGTAGGCAGGAAATAAAAAGATCCTCTTCTCTTTGGGGAAAAAGTCCCTGCCCTGGTCTCTGAGTAGTAAGGAAGCACGGCAATATTTTGGCTGAGAGGAAGAAGTATCTTTGGCTATGCAGAATAAAGCTAGGAATAAGCAGAGGTCTAGTCTAGTAAACTCACATCTGACTGTCAGGTATTTCCCTTCCGTATCTCTGAAACTGTATTAAATACAAACTCTTGAGGCAAAGACAATCGAGGCAAAGACAATCAATTATCCTCCACAAGCAATTTGGGAAACATAAAAATATTACTAAAGTTTTGTAGTATGACAGAAATTGATTAAATAACAGTTTAAAACAGTTTAGATATGACTATTCTGGTTGGATTGGCTGAGGATACTGATGTCAGAGACATTAAATAAATTGATCAAGATCACACAGCTACAAAATAGAGAATCCTTGATTAAAACCATACCCATCTGACTCATCTATATTGATTTCAGAAAGCACCACAGGTTTTCTTCCAGAAAATTTTTTTAACCAGAAAAGGCTCCCTACTCATAGGCCAGTCAAACACTTAAACTTTGCTTTTTTCCCTGATATTCTGTGTTGTTATCTCTGGAATCATTGCTAATAGGGTGAAACAGAAAATATTTCCATGTGAAATAGTTTTGTTAAATTCTAGTTTTCTTTCTCCCACTCTGCAGTGTTGTAGTTTCAGGACTTTGGGTCCAATCTACCAAATCTACTATGAATAAGTGACAACTATCATTCTAACCACACTTACAAATATAACTTGTTAAAAGTAAGACCTGGATAAATTTAGCCACTTTTTAAAACTTAAAGACTGCATTTCAAAACTTTTAACTACTAAGGAAAAGTCAGGGGTCTGGCACATTTCATGTTGTTTTAGATTATGGCATTGGTTTGGATTTTAGATAGTAAACTTAAAGACGTGTCTCTGATTTTTAAAAATCAATCACATATGGTTTCCACTTAATGACTATTTTCGGCCTTGTTGAGAAGCAACATTGGGTTATCCTTTATTACAATACTGAGTTTGTTAATTTAGCCAATTGCATTTTGAGGTTTTTAGACCATGAATTCCTAGTCATGACTCTTGGCGGTCAGCCTCACAGTAAAAACAACAGTTCTAAAAGCCATAGCTAAGGTCATGGATATTTATTTATTTATTTATTCATTTATTTTCTTAAACTGAAGATGTGCTTAAGTGAGCTTTATCACACAACAGTTGTATTTTAGGTTTGCCTTTGGCTCACATACACGTGTCTTTAAGTATAAGTGAGACCTAAGCACCAATAATAGAGGTGGCCCTCTATAACAGAGAAAAAACTCTCATATAAAATATCGTATGCTATTCTCATTCTGTTTATGGAAACAAGGGCTTTTATTTCACTTGCTTGCTTCTAAGTTAATATCTACTCACTTTAAACCTTTCCATCAATCACTTAGTTACAGTTTCCTAATCCCTTATTTTCAATTTCTAAATGTGAACATCTCTGAAACATTCTTTAAGTTTGAGGTATATGCATTGATAGAAAAACATGGACTAAAAAAAACTCAGTCTGTATTTATATATTCATTGTGAATTCTCAAACATTTTATCACAGAAAAATCAATGTGTTTGAAGAGTGTTGCCCAGACCTCAGACACATTATGGTGCACTTATGGTTCATATATAGTTCATTACTATATATGCATATTACCTTTCTAAGATCTGAAAACTTCAGAATTTCAAATGACATCTGGGACAGAGGGTAAAAATAACTGGAGGACAGTAACAATTTCTAAATGTATTTTACATTAAATATAAAATATGTGTGTTTGGTATTTTAATGCTAATGAGAATAATTTCAAAAAAAAAGTCCTAAAGCAGCAAACAGAGGTGTTTCTTCATGAAAGCATTTTCCTTGCTGTCTGAATATCCATAGAAATGTAGGAATAATAAAATCAGCCAAATAATTTTATTTTTATCATAGCCTAAAAAATAATATGTATGGCATATTAGCTCAAATGTCACTTCTTTGGAAAAGACTTTCCTAGCTATTTGCTCTGCTCAAGGCATAATTCATGCTGTCTTACCTGGGCTCTCATGCTTCATGCTTTTCTCTTATAGGACTCACCACTTTGCATGTGAAATATGTGCTTTTGGAACTGTGTGCATCCTCTCTAGTCTAAGAGTGTCTCCACGTCCCATATGTAGCTATTTTCATGTTTGGAATCTCAGCATCAATGGATTCAATGGTTTAATTACAGGAATATTAAAATGGTTTCTTCAAAATGAACTATCTTCATAAAATGTAAATTCAAACTACAACTTGACTTCTGAAAAAATTACTTGAATATTTTTGTTTCTATACATACATATACATACTTATTCTTGCTCTGTGGCTTACAAAACTAATTTTAGTCAGAGTCTTACGTTTTGCATAGAATTCCAAGAAAAAGAGAAGGATGGGAAGCATTGAGAAAAAATCTTTGCTATTCACATCCTATTCTAAAAGCACACCTCTACAAAAAGAGTTTCTGTGAATTGTTAGTTACAAAATATTAAGTGTAAGTCATTAGAAGCAATATTCTAGGATGATACAAAAAAGATAGGTTTACATAAAATAGAATAAATGTGAAATACCTATCATTGCTTTAATCCTCGTGATTGTAAAACAAAATAATTGTTCGATTATTGTTATTCTCAGTGCCCCTCTTAATACATTAATTTAGATTACATCACTGGTATGCAGCAAACCTCAAATAACTTCCAGTAAAAATAGAAAAATAATACATGCTGTTAACTGGTCTCTAAGAAATTTGTGATGTATGGTGACCTAGAAATTTTAAAAGGAAGGAAAGCCACTGCTCTTGGAAGTGTTTTTTACTTAATATTATCTGTCTTTTTATTTTATTACAACATAACAGAATATGATGACAAATATTTTTAGTTAATTGTTATATAATCTATTGGGGTAGGCATCTTTAAAAGAATTATTGTGACTTTATATCCCATCTCTGGAGAATGTTGATATATCACACTTTGAAATTGGAGCAATTTATTGATCCGTTTTTATTCATGTATGCTTTTTAAATTTCATATTGACACCATACTTTTGTTTAGTTTGCACTTTGCAGGTAGCAATACTGATTAAGACTTTTTTCTACCGTGTGAGACAGATTTTGTTTTCTATTTGTGTATAGATGGATAATAGAAAAACATTGATTTAAATCAGTAATCTTAAAAATTGAACACAATTAATACTGGAGCACAGTGAAAACAGATCATCAATATGGGGCATAATAAGTAAAATAAGTGCAATGGCAATGCTCTTTGTCATTTTGAATATGAAGAATAGTACATATTTCTAGTTCTATTTTGACTTTCAATATTTTCGTGGAACAGACACTGCTCACCCTTGCCAGTCTGAGTTGGGTGGTGATTCTCCATACTCTCACAGTACTGTAAGCATAGTTTTTCATAGCTCTCTTCCTATCACTTGGAATCAAATATTTAATTTGTGTTATTTCTCAGTACATAGAACTTAGTATAACCTGATCTTTTTAGCTCTTTATAGTTGTCATTAAATAACTTGCACATACTTAAGTGTCTAATTTGATTATTTCTGGCATATTTCCATAAAAAGATACTGACAATTAAGATTATGAATACACTCCTCACTCTCCAAGAGTTTCTGCATGCCTATTTTAAATTCAACTCTTCTAACAGCCTCTCCTCAGGCACCCACTGACTTTCATTTTTCATAGACTAGGTTGCGTTTTCCAGAAATAATATAAATGGAGTCACACAGTTAAGTACTCTGTTTTATCTGATTCCTTTCCTTCAGCCTAATTATGCTGTGTGTGCATGTCAACATAATTTATTTTTATTGGTAAGTAGTATTCCACTCAACGGATTTGACAGTTGATCTGTTCTTTCACTGAAGGGCATTTGGTTGTTTTCATTTTCTACTAATTACAAATAAAGTTGCTATGAAGGCTTAGGTAAAATTCTTCATTCAAACATACACTTTGATTTCTCTTTGGCAAATAAATGTGACATCTCTGAGTCATATGTTTGGTGTATGTGCAACTTCTACAGATGTTGCTAAACTGCTTTCCAAAGTCGTAGTACTATTTCACATTTTAATCAACAACGTAGGAGAATTTCAGTTGCTGCATATCCTTGGTAACATTTAGAATGGTCTTTTAAATTTTAGCCACTTTAGTAGGTATGTATTAAACATTCTTTGTAGTTTAATTTGAATTTCCTGAATGATATTGAATGTCATTGCCTGTGCTTCTTTGCCATTTTTGTGTCTTCTGTGAAGTGTCTGTTCAAATATTTTGCCTACTTTCCTACTTGATAGTTTGTCTTCTTAATGTTGAGTCATAATATCAATATGTTCTTTAATATTCATGATGCAATTTTTGTCTAAATAGAAGCTTGATATTTTCTTATTGTCTGTGGCTTGCCTTTTTAATTTCATATCAGTGTTATCTGAATAGTAAACTTTTCAAATTTTATAAAGTCAAATTTAATTTATATTTTTAGTTCATGCTTTCTGTATAATTTCAAAATGTAGAAATTGTCAAAGTGTAGGTTACCAAAAAATTATTCCGTGTTTTCTTCTAGCAACTGTACAATTTCAACTTACACAGTTAGCTATATGGTCTATTTCAAGTTAAGTTATGTATATACTAAGGGTTACATTTCATTATTTATTTAATTTTTACATACAGATAGCCAGTTGTTTCAATATCATTTGCTGAAAAGGATAACCTTTCCCTATTGAATTGCCATGGAACTTTGTCAAACATCAGTTGACCATATATATGGGCCTATAGCTAGTTTCTGTATTCTAATTTATCTTGGTGTGTATTTTTATGCCAATATCATACTTTCCTAATTTATTCAGCTCTAAAATAAATCCTAAAATCTGGTTGTACACGTCCTTCAAGTATGGTCTTTTTCAAACTTGTTTTGGCTACTCTGGGTCTTTTGCATTTTTAGATAAATTTGACTTTGCATTTCCAAATAAAATTCAGCAGACGAAAGCCTGCTGGCTTATCACTGGAATTGGTTTCAGTATACAGAACATTTGGAGATAATTGGCATGTTAACAATATTGAGCCTTCTAATTTGTAAATATTGTATACCATTCTGTTATTTATGCCTTCTTTGGTTTATCTTGGCAATGTTTTGTAGTTTTCAGTTTACAGGTCTGGTATATCTATCATTTATAAAATTTGTCCCTCACTTATTTATTTATGCTATTATAAATAGTATCGCTTTTTTAAAATTTCAGTTTCAAATTGTCTATTTCTAGTATATAGAAATATAACTGACTGGTAGACAATTACGTCACCCTCAGATAAAGACAGTTATTTCTCATTTTCAAAGTGGATGCTCTATTGCTTTATTGCACTCATCAGAACCTTCAGTGTTATGTTTACTACAAGTGTTTACTCTAAGTGTTGAGACCAGATATTCCTGCCTCATTTTTAATTTAGCAGTAAGGCATTCAAATTCTCACCATTAAATACGATGCTACCTGTAGATTTTTGGAGACGTACTTTATCATTTTGAGAAAGATCTTTTCTATTCTTACTTTGCTGGGAGTTTTTATCAAGACAGGATGTTATATTTTAGACAAATGTATTTTTTAATCTCTTAAGATAATCACATGGTTTTTATTTGTATTTTTATATATGAAGAATATCATTAATTTCTAATTGCTGAGCCAATCTTAAATACATAGGATAAATCCTGCTTGGTTAGGAGAAATTACTATTTTATATCTTGTTCAATTTGATTTGTTAAAATCTTGTTATGAAAGTTTATGCCTGTTATGGGCTGAAATGAGCCCTTCCACCCCAAAATTTTATATATTGACATCTTAACCTCCAGAATGTGACTGCATTTGAAAATAAAGTCTTAGAACAGATAAATAAAGTTAAGTAAGATTATTGAGGGTGGGTGTTAATCCAGTATGACCGGTGTTTTTATAAGAAGAGACTAGAACACTGATATGCAAAGAAGAAAGACTACGTGAAGACCTAGGGAGAAAATGGCCTTTTACAAACCAAGGAGACACGTCTCCAAAGAGACAAAGACACTGCCAACACCTTGATCTCAGACTTCTAGTTTTCAGAACTGTGAGAAAATAAATTCCTGTTGTATATGCCACTCAATCGTTTTGTAAGGCTTCCCTAATAAATTGCTGTAGTAAATTGTTTGTTTTAGAGTTAGGATGAAGGATACTGGTATACAGTTTTATTTTCTTACAATGTTTTTGTACTAGCTTTTTATATGCCTAAAAAGTTACCAGGAATGGAGCAACTTAAAACAACATGCATTTATTACCTCACAATTTCCATTAGTCAGAAGTGAGCATGGCTTAGCTGCATCTTCTGCAATCTATAATTGTCAACCATTATTGGTCTTTTATTTGAAGGCTTAAATGGACAAGGGTTCTCTTCTAAGGTCATT
Organism: Homo sapiens; assembly: GCF_000001405.40. Lineage (NCBI taxonomy): Eukaryota > Metazoa > Chordata > Mammalia > Primates > Hominidae > Homo > Homo sapiens. The sequence continues at coordinate 68,262,278 of NC_000013.11, read as the reverse complement.
CAGGCTGCTGGTAAAATTCATTTTCTTGTAGTTGCTAGACACATTACTTTTGTCTTATTCTTTGATAAGAAGCAAGTCACTGGTCCTTTCCACACACAAAGGCAGTAAATGAAAATCATGAGAACCACCTTAAAGTCTGTTCACCACTACATTTTTTGGATTTTGGTATTAGAGTAATCCTGGCCTTACAGAATAAAACAGAAACTGCTTCCTCCTTTAAAACATTTTTTTGCAAACATTTGTATGAAACCAGTGTTAATCTTCCTTAAATGTTTGCTACACTTCACTACTGATAGCATCTCGATCTGATGTTTTGTTTTATAATTTTTGTAGTTACAAAATTCATTTTCCTTAGTGGATCTAGATTTATTTAGGTTATCTATTTCATGGTAAGTATAAGCAGTTTGCACATTTTAAAAATACATTCATTTTAACAAATTTGTTTAATTCATTGTTATAGTGTTTTCCGATTATGAGTTTAATATCTGTCATATGTGAAGTAATGTATTCTATCTCATTTCTGATATTGATAATTCATATTGTTGCAGGACTTTCCTTAGTCCAGCTAAAGACGGGGTTTTTGTCCATCCTACGGCCATGAAAATTCAGGCTCGCAGACAATTTGAATGGTGAGTAAGACAGGGTTTTATTGGGTGAAAAGGAAAAATGGGGGAAACAGGCACTCTCACTAGGCCAAGGTCCCTGTTAGAGCACTACATGCCTCGCTGTCTGAATCCTGGGTTCCACACAGGAAGAAAAGGGGCCAGGCTCCTCCCTGCTGCAAACGGCGCAAACTTCTGTGTTTCCACCCCAGTGCACATTCCAGTGCGCAGGCTGGTTGGAGATTCTCTGGGGACCCCCTCTCACCTGGCTGTCTACTTCCCACTCTAAAGAAGTACATCTAACTGCCACTAGAATAAGGATAAGGTTGAAGATCCATCTTAACTGCTCCTTCTGACAGGGGGCGCTGTTTTAGGGAAACAGCAGTCAGAGCTCCCTCCTGGGCCTATTTAAGGGTTCCCAGCAGATGGGGCCATCATCAGAGGCTCTGGTTGCATGATTGTTTGGAGTTTGACGGGTTGAAGGCAAGAACAGACAAAATGGGCTATTAGAAAACACGTATCAAAATAAAACAAGGGGAAGGGTAAGGAAATCTCAAAAATTCCAAGGCCTTTCACCAGTTTGCACAGGAAGGCCAAAAGCCTGATTGGTAAGAAACTCTACCCTTTTGCCGGCATGTTGGGCTTCTGGGTTCCCTTCCCCTGAGCCCAATCCTAAGTCAACCATTTTAAGGTTTGAATAATTAACTCTTTCCAATTTGGAGGATGCATCTGAGAGGAGTGTCCTGTAGTACAGAGACACAATTACCTATTAGGGAAGAGAGAACCGAAGAAGAGAGAAGAAAAAAGAAAGCATTTTTTAAAGGAGTTCCAGGGGTTCAGGATGCATTTGAAAGGGGTACAGGCTGAAGATGAATGGCTACCCATCTAGAAAGAGGGGGGCAGGCATCCCTGGGTTCCTTCTCTTCCCAGCAGATACCGGGCTACATGAGGGAGAGAGGAAAGAGCATCCACTTTCCCTTTTCCATCCTTGCATCCCTGAGTTCCAGCGACCTTGGCAGGTCCCACCATGAGTGCCAAAGCGGCTTGCACCCATGAAGCACGGAAGGCCTAGAGAATAGGAATTATCCCCTCTCACCTATGCTTCTATCCCCGCTACCATCAGAGTAGCCTTGGAGATTCCTAGACCTCATTTATGCCATGGATACTAATACGGCCTTTATCCATTAAAGGGGAAGCTTGGCCTTGGCTTAACCAGCAGGAATCAGCTATGCTCACCTGCACTGTGCCTTTTAACTTCTGTTGCCATCTGCCTCTGGATCTTTTAGATCCAGTTTTCTTTCCTAGGGCTGTGACTCAAAGCTTGGAAGTGAGTTTGGAACAAAAATGTGTCTCAGGGGGTTGCACGGACTCCCTATTGTAAGCCAAATGCTAAGGTAAAACTGTGGAACTGAGTCCTCCTCCAACAAGGGAGATAAAAGGATGTCTTGTGACACACCCAGATAACTGGTAGCTATAGTTATGCTTGCTAAGATTTGGGTGCATGGTGCTTGACTTTGGTTAGCTCCCTTGGTCTTACTTTATGGAAAGGAAACTTCTGAGTGATGGACATCCTATTTATTCCAATTGCCTGACAGGATTTGCAGGATAATTGCTCAGAACTAGAATATCAATCCAGGTTTCCGCATTACCCATCCCTTTTGTTCTTTCTCAGCTGCAATCAGAGATTGCTGGTTGGTTTACAGGAACAAGCAGGGTTAATCTAAATGTAGGTGAAAACTTAAAACATCTAGTAAGTTTAGAATTTAATAACAAATATATGATAAATTTTGAAACAGGATTTCTCTCTCTCCAGTCCTCATTTTTGTTAAGAAACAAATAATCATAGGACAGACTGGTTTGCTAAATAGACTTTAGTCTTATAATTGACCTGATTATGTGCATAAAGTGCAGCAAGAATACTTATTTTTACATAGGCCTTTTGGATTGGCTTTGATGGAACTCTGTTCCCCAAGGAATCTCAGATAAAACCTTTTAAATCCAAGCCCACCCATGGTTTTATCCTCAAACACCTATGAGTTGGGTGATCCTTTCCTCTTAAGGTCCCAAGATAAACTTGGAGCTCCTGGACCTGTTAGAAAGTGACATTCTTTACTGAACACAGGTTAGGAACCCTGTACAGGGACTGCATAGACAAGGGTATGACGCCAACCTCCCCACAGGGCTTTTATCAGCTCTGCAAGTCAAGATCGACTCTTTAAAGGGAAGCATACGCTTGCAGTCAAAGCCTTGGTAAAATACCTAGTTTTTCCAATTGTGTCCTGTTGCAAAAGAAAAAAATGAATTCTTATTGCACTGATGCAAACAACTGTATTGCCATAAGTTAAGAATACCCACAGATAGTTTCCAAACTCTAGAGGAACCAAGCAGAGAGAAATAATCTTGCTCCAAATTTGGTTCATAGGAGTATACCTTAATTATTAAAGTCCATAAATAGTTTAAAATAAGTTTCCTTGACTCTGAAAAACAAAACAAGGATAAGCAATATTCCAAGCAAAAGTCCAAAAGGCTGCTTCAGCTTCTTGAGTTCAGTCCACTTAGTTAATTCTTGTTTCGCTTGATATTTGTGAACATTTCATCTCTTCACGAGTCCTGTATATTTTCCTTTATTCCAATGTTACATTCTCCAAAGTTATCAGGAACCTGATTGTCTCAAATACCTTAGAAATTGTATTTGAGAACACCTATCAGAGTTCTACAGCTTATTATAAGCCATCTTTTGAAAAGCATACATCAAGACAATTGTCTGTGAATAGCAAAATGTTCAGGGTAGTTAAAGTGAGAAACACAACTGACAAAGAAGTTTGGTTATCTTTGTGTTTTACAATTACTTAACAAAACAACCTTAATTGTGATTGATAGCATGTACTCAGGAATTAGAATTTTAGAAATCCCATACAATTTTGGAACAAATATTAGCATTATATCAGATAATCCTGTTTACCTTTCTTTTCTGGACATTCCAGGGGCCCTTGGAAGTATCCAAAAAGCCAGGTGTCAGGAAAGACAATTTTGTAACTTAAGTTTGATTTGGGGAAGCCTTTAAAATATGTTTAAAGCATTTGATGTTATGAAACAGAATTCCAGGTAACCATAAATTATTTATTTTGCCAAAATGATGACTCAGAAATTTTAAAGAAGCAAAAACCTTTTATAACCCTTTATAAATTTTGCCAAAGAGCAGAATAGTGTTTTAAGAATACCTTGTGTGTTTACTTCAATTGTCAATTGATAGAAAAACCATATAATACCCTTCTGAATTTAGCTAATACGTTCATATAGAGACCCTCTTCTGCAAGATTAATTTCCACAATTCTTCCACCACTTCTTTGAACCTTCAGAATTTTCCTAATTTAAAACAATCCTTTAACCCTAGGCAAAAGTTCACATTTCCATGCCTTCTTATAACCTTTTACAAAAAAACAAAAACAAACAAAAACACATTTTACTGTTCTCACGTACCTTGCATGTAAGTATGTAAATCTATTTAATGCTGTGCTAGCTGCAGCCAAGGTTTACCTTCTTAGTTAAGGGCATGGTTAGTTCCAAAATTCCCTGGGCCTTATCAGTTGTGAAGCCGGCAAATCAAATACTTTTCAAAACCCAAAAACCAGTTTGCAACCTCAAAACACTTAGCAAACCTTACATCTGACCTGCATAGTTTAGTTCACCCATTTACATTTTAATGACACCTGCATTTTACCAATAATCTTTAAGGCTGTTTTTATTTCTCAAACATTACAAACACGTGAAGCGGAAGGTACCACAACTTTTAACTTTCCTTTTAAAAATATTAGATCCAAGCGCTTGCCTTTCTTCAGACCAAATTAATCAGAGCTCTTTTGACTGACATCACGCACAGTACACACACAGACAGACAGAAGAAAACTCAGTCACTGTGTGGGGCCCTTTAAGAGGCAGGGCTAAGACAGCAGGCATATATCAAACCAGAAAGAATCTTATTCCCTAGGGCAGGATTGCTAAACAAAGCCCTGCGGGGGGAGTTACAAGCCATGCCCTCAGGATGTAATACAAGATGGAGGCTTGATTTCACAACCAAAACTTTCCAGAGAATATAGTGATAGATGTTGGAGGTCCCTAGTCTAGCACAACATCTTCTAAAAGAAAATGAAACTTTTAAAAGTTAACTACCGACAGGGTAGAGAGAAAAGAAAAGAAACAGTTTAAAAATACCTGAGGAAGAGCCTCTCATTCCTATGCAACTGATTCGTCCACCATGGAGATTAGTTCAATTATTGTCCAATGGAGTAGAACCCCTTGGCTGGGGTAGGGGAAGGAGAAGACCGCAAGCTGGCTCTGCGAAGACCCTTGAGCCACGCGTCCCAGCCCCAGCATGAAGCAGGTAAGGACAGGGAGCTGCTGCTGGTTGGTCGGTCCCCAGTAAGGGCCTTTCTCCCAACTCCCAGCCGCAACGGGAGTTGGGGGCCTGGTTCCTCTAACCTCGGAAGTCCGAGGATGGAAAGGCTTAGAACCCACAGTGAGAGGTTTTGAGTCCCCATTTCACTCACTGCTTCTCAAGCCCCGACGTTGCACGCCAAAAATGTTGTAGGACTTTACTTAGTTCGGCTAAGGATGGGGTCCTTGTCCATCCCATGGCCCCAGAAATTCAGGCTTGCAGACAATTTTAATGGTGACTGAGACTCCACTAGGCCAGAGTTCCTGCTAGAGTGCTTCCTGCCTAGGCCTGTGAATCCCAGGTTCCGCACAGGTGAAGGAAGGGCCGGCTCCTCTCTACTGCAAAGGGCACGAACTTGTGTTTCCACCCCAGTGCTCATTCCCATTGCGCAGGCTCCTTGGAGATTCTCTGAGGACCCTCTCCCTCCTACCTGTCTCAATATCATATGTCTTTTTTATTTTTTATTTTTTTAGTAGTCTGACTAGAAGTGTAAAGATTTTACTAATCTTGTCAAAAGTCCAATTTTTTTATTTCATTGTTTTATTATAAAATTTGTTTTCAAGTCCATTGTTTCCTTTGTTCATCTTTTTATCATTTCCTGTCTTCTGCTTCGAGTTTAATTAACCCTTTATTACAATAAAATGACTTTATCCCTGAAAATATTCTTTCTGAAACTGTTTAAAATCAGATATTCATTGGCCACTCAGCTGTTATTGGTTTAGAATTAACACTTTATATCTTTTGCCATTCTATCACTTTTAAACTATTTGTGGTTTTATATTCAAAGTGTTTTTTGTGGCCACCATGTAATTGGATACTTATGTTTTAATCCAGTGTAACAATCTCTGACTCTTATTGAGAAGATTAGACATTTTAAATTTAATTTTATTATTGATAAGTCTGTGGTCAATTTATCGTTGGTAAGTATTCGTTTTATATTTATTCCATCCATTTTTAACCACTTTTTTCTCCTTATCTTAGTGCATTATTTATATATGATTCAATTCTGTCCTATTTTTATTAATTATGTTAAGTATATAAAATATATTTTTCACTTACACAAGCAATCTTCTACCACTTAACATATAGTCCATTTTGGAATAGTGTACAACTTTACCCTACAACCAAACATGTCCATTTTCTCTTGCCTATCTTATGCACTGCTGTTTTATTTATACCTATGTAATAAATCTTACAGTACATTGTCATTACGTTTACTTTAGTTAATTATCATTGAAAGTGATGTAAAAAATAATAGCAAAAGTATCTTGATTTACCCACATTTTTACCTTTTTTTGAATCCTTATATTGGAAATATATTTTTGCTAGAAATGGAATTTTATATTAACTTCACACTCCACCCCCATTTCAGGACTTTAATTGTGTTGTTTCAGTTTCTTGCTCACAGTATTTTCATTACAAGTCTGCTGTAGTTGATAATCTTTTTCCATTATAGGTAATATAACTTAATTTATCTGGCTGCTTTTTTTTTTTTCTTTCTGAGATGGGGTTTAGCTCTTGTTGACCAGGCTGGAGTGCAGTGGCAGGATCTCAGCTCATTGCAGCATCTCCCTCCCAGGTTCAAGGGATTCTGACTCAGCCTCCCAAGTAGCTGGGATTACAGGCACCTGCCACTATGCCTGGCTAATTTTTGTATTTTTAGTAGAGACGTAGTTTCACTCTATGGCTGCTTTTAAAGCTTTCTCTTTTTTACTTTACTTTTCTTTTTTTTTTAATTGAATTGTAATGGACCTTGGTATAGCTTTCTCTATTTATTTTCATTTGTAATTGTTATGTTTCTTAGATACAAAGATTTTTATTTTTACCACATTTGAAAACATTTATTATTCCAGTATTTTGTCCCCTTTCCTATTTCAGTGATGATAATTTTACATAAAATAGTGCACTTGAAATTGGACCACAGTTCACTGATGATTTGCTCTTATTTTCAGTCTTTTCTCTCCTTTCCTGGGCAGTTTCTACTGTGTCTTCAAGTTCATTAATCTTCATTTTTGTAGTAATCTCCTCTGATGTATAATAATCCTATTAAATGTATATTTCCTGCCAGAAATTGTTTTTTTCATCTTAACAAGTTTGATGTATTTTATCTACTTAAAAACATAATCAAACTTAAGTTTGATTTTTTCTTCTTAATGTATAAATGATTATATCTTTTTTGAACACATAGAATATAGTCATATTAACTCTTTTATTGTCCTTGTTCACTAAATCTATTGTTTTTGTCATTTCTGTGTTTGTTTCTATTGACATATTTGTATTATCATTACAGATTGTATTTTCTTCTTCTTTGTATTCATGATAAACTTGGGGGGGATGCTAGATAGGTGAATTTTACCTTGTTTGTAGCTGGATCTTTTTGTGTTCTCTCAAATATACTTGAGCTTTATTTCAGGAAGCAGTTAAGTTACACGGAATCAATTTTATCCTTTTTAAGCTTGCATCTAGTTATTGCTAGGCAAGACCAGAGCAGTCTTTACTGTTAAATTTTACTTTATACAGAGGAAAAGTCCTTCTGAATATTCTACCTGATGCCTGATGTATTATGAGATTTTTTTCACTCTGGCTGGTGGGAACATGAAATATTGTTCACCTTCTGCTATGATTTGAATGTCCCCTTCAAAACTCATGTTCAAATTTAATTGCCATTGTAACAATGCTTGGGAGGTGGGATCTTTAAGAGGTGATTAAGTCATGAGAAGTCTGTCCTAATGAATGTATTAATTCCCTCACAGGGAAAGAGGGCCCCTGATAAAACAATACTTTTGGCCTCATTTCTCTCTCTGTTTCCCATGCTCACTTGCGCTTCTGTCATGTTATGATGCAACGAGAAGGCCCTTTGATCTTAGATTTTCCAGCCTGTAGAACGATGAGCTAAATGAATCTTTTGTCTATAAACAACCCAGTTTGTGGTATGTTGTCATAGCAGCAGAAAACACTCTAAGACATCTTCTTTGTTCTCTAATAATTATTCTGATGTTTCATTACCAGTGGTTGTTTCCTTGGCTTCAAGTGATTTCCTCTTACAGGTACTAATCAGGACTCAATTTAAATATCAAATGAGTCGTGTGCAGATCTCTGGACCTCTGTCTTTGCAATTCTTGCCTCAGAGTGATGCTTTATTTTCTTCTCTAGTCTGTTCTGTAAATTCTAACTGACTTAGCCTCCCTGAATTCTGAACTCTGTCCTCAACTCAGGGAGCCTTCTGGACTCTGTTGGATACCCTCTAGGAGGTAACATGGAATAACACTAGGATTTTCTCTTGTTAAGGATCAATGCTAACGATTTTTAATAAAAGAACATGACATATTTTGTTTTCTTATGTTTTCTCATGCTTAAAATGGGAAGGTACACCTAGTAGTTCATGTCATTCCATCATGATCAGCAGTAAATTCAACAGATAATTAATAATTGTTGATGTTTTGAATCATTCCATATTGCAAATGTAAAATAAAGACCTGGAATTAAGAGAGTTCATATAAACCTGATGATTCAGTAAAATTAAACATATCAGTGTAAGTACAAAAAATTACTGGAAAGTGACAATCAAGGATAAAACCAACTACAGGGTAAAAAGTTAAAAGCCATAATAAGGCTGTTAGTTCTAACACAGTAAGAAAATAACAGAGTAGAACCAGAGAAAAGTCTACATAAGCAGTAGGTCAGTAGACAGAACAATGTCAAAGACATGACTTACAAAAAAGAGCATTGCCAGACTCACTTCTTTCCAAAGTCCAGCTGAAATGTCAAAGATATATAAAGAGAAAGATATATAATACAAGGTCAAGTATTAAAGCAAAATAACCAGGCAAGTTCATGTGAAGCAATAGCACAAAATTCAGAGAGTCAAGACTTTTATATGACACCTGTGGAAGCAAGAATAATTCCAGAGTGACAAGTTGTGACAATGTAGATTTTATGAACATCTGGTTGAGGTGAGACTAGGTGAACAGTGTCAAAAATCTGCAACTGAAAAGTAGCACCTGACTTATTAGGAAATTGGTTTGGTTAATTTTAATGTTCATATTCAGTTTTTGGTTTTGTCATGTTTAGATCATTTTAAAAAATAATGATGCAAAAATAAATAACATATGTGGAAAGTAACTAAAAAAAAACACTTGACTTTTATTTTCCATTTATTAGGAAGCAAAATTAGTTACCTAAAATTTTTCATCTATAAAAATATTCAGCAAATTTCACATCTTTTCACATAATTTTAGTTACTACATTTAACTGAATATGTTTGAATATATGTCATTATTTATTAGGAATAAAACATGCAATGAATTTGTTTTATTCCATTTACTTTTGCTGATGTGAAATTGCAGAATTAGAAGTTATCCTGAAAATGATAGGAAAATAAAAGTTGGATATGAACCAGTGTGGTATATTTTAATAAGAAAGCAAAATTAGGTTAAAATGCTCTAACATTTTCAGTAATTAGGGCTATAGAAGTCAGATTTCAAAGGAAAGTGAATGTCTTGAATGAGAGAGGAAAGGAAAGTTTATGGGCACAGAAAATATATAGGCTTTTGTTTTCTTATAACTATTAAGAGTACAACTCTTAGCAAAACAGCAAAGTATATTTTAATATTTAAATAATTTTGAAATAGTTTTATTTTTATTCTTTTTTTGTATTTAATCAACACATTTTTATTAATATCCTACTATATGCTATGAATCATCCTGAGTCCTGGGGATATACAGGGAACGATTAAAACATCCAGATCAATCAGGAGGGAGCTCTGGGAACTCTTAGGCAGCAGGGAGTCCAGTCAAATCCCTCCCAGCTCTCAGGCCACACTTGGTGAATGGGCTTAGTTTGGGTGATTCTCACATTGCCAGTAAGACTGCAACTTTTTCTTCTAGTTCCCTATTTTAAGGCCTTGTGCAGGCTTATCTTAGGGAAGCCTGGATAATCCTAAATCATCTTTCACCTGTAGCCATATTCTTTCTTAAACTTGTATTTAAGGAATACAAGATGATGTTTTAATATATGTGCACACAGTGAAATGATTACTACAGTGAAGCCAATTAACATATCCATCATCTCACATAGTTATCTTTTTTGTGTATGTGTGATGGGAGCACCTAAAATCTACTCTCTTAACAAATTCCAAGTGCATAATACAATGTTATAAACTATAGACTTTATGATGTAAGAATAATTTTTTTTTTTGAGATGGAATCTCACTCTGTCACCCAGGCTGAAGTGCAGTGGCATGATCTCCGCTCACTGCAACCTCCGCCTCTCAGGTTCAAATGATTCTCCTGCCTCAGCCTCTCAAATAGCTGGGATTTGAGAACGTGCCACCATGCCCAGCTAATTTTTGTATTTTTAGTAGAGATGGGTTTTCACCATGTTGGTCAGGATGGTCTCGAACTCCTGACCTCATGATCCACCCACCTTGGCCTCCCAAAGTGCTGGGATTACAGGCGTGAAAAGAATACTTTTAAAAATAAACAATATGCACTGAAATGTTGTGTATTCCATGGTTTGACAAGAAACAATTTCAAGTTTTACTGCATTTTATATTTGATAGATCAGATATGGTGAAGGAAAATTACTGCCAGTGATAAATGTATTTTAGAAGAAAAATTACATATAAATACTTGAGAATATAACCAAATATTTTACTTTGAGAGATGCAGTTTGATTAGGAAAAACTTTAATATTTTTAATATTGCTATGTGATAGCATTACTTTAAAATTGTGTAAATTATCCCTTAAGCCGGTATTTCCACTTTTAGTCATGGTAAAGATAGAATATACACTTGGATTAAGAAAATATTAGACTCCACCTACAGCTGGACCAAATAATATAATAAATAAATACTATAACCCTTTTTTCTATAAGAAACAGCCTGCCAAATCTTAATAATATTTTTTCATTATCCATTACACTTCTAAGTAGCAAAAATTATTTTTCAGATCTATAAATATTGACATTTGGACAAATAAAACTGCAGTTCTTCTAATAAAACTGTGCTAATATATTATCTTGAAACACATTTATTGTCTAATTACTCACTTTTAATACCTTAAAAACCTTGATTTTTTTCTGCAAAACATTTTACATTAAACACATTAAAATAAATGACTGATGCTTTTTTCCTCTCAAAATAAAAAAATAGAATAAACTATTATACAACTCAAAGACTTTTTGAAAGACAATAAGAACTTAATATTATTGAATTCTGCTGAAAGTGTAATGCTTTATAATTTTTATTATTTCACAAAATAAAATAATGGCAGAAAGCATGGCATATCCAGTGGTATACAATGTAACAGTGGTTGCAGAGGGAGGTGGAACATGTTAAAGTTGTTTTCTGGCCTCTAGAATTTGAAATGGATAATGCATTTGACCCTCTCAACACAGTAGACTCACTGTCCCCAGAGAGCACTTTCACTGGCTTGTTAATCTCTGCCTAAGTAGTAACCTGTACACCAATATAATAAAGATCAAGTTGGTTAAAAAGTATCTCTGGTCCTAGGTTAAAGCATAAATACTCCTGCCAACAAAGAGAAACCCAGGAAATACACTGAGGTGTCTAAGAAACTGCAGAGTGAAGATAAAATTATTCAACTTAGTGGAATTGCTGAATTTAAGGCCAGTATAGAAATTTTATTAGTTTACACTGAAAGAAATTGGAAAATGTATTACTTCATATAATATATGGTAGAAGATGAAGTGCTTAACTTACAGTTATGGGTGTAGCTGTCTGTGAACTTACTCCTGCATGACTCAAGAAAAAAAGAAAGTAAATGATGAATCTTTTAGAGATATGACTGCAATTCTTCCCAACTACCTTGAAAGAAAGTCATTGTTTACTGCCTATTTAGTATTTAGAAAGATTGCCAGCTATCAAAGTATTAACTATTGTAAAGGCAAAAATTAGGCTTATTGAGGTATAGATGTGTTGTAAATATAGATGCCAATATTCAGATTCATTCCATGTGGAACTCCAGAGTTTAATAATGCCAAGATAATTATTACCAAAAAGTGAATTGTTCAATTCACTGAACCTTAAGAAAATGCATAATCACTTTGGGGTACACGGTAACTATGAAATCAGAGATACGATCCATGCATATAATTAAAATTATTTCTTACTACTTTATTAATATATCTTTTTCTGTCATTTGACTTTAGTCTGGCATATAAGTCCATCATCCAAATGTAGACATGATTCTGTCAAACTTATTTATAATAATGATGCATCAATAGAGGTGTATAATTCTTTTTAACTTTTTAAAATAATGTATTATTTTGACACAAATGTACGTGTTAAGTACAGCAATGTAAAATAGATATGACAGCACTTATCATCCCTATTTTAGAGATAAAAATACAAAGGACAGGAAGAGGTAATTGAAATATTCCTAGGTTCCTAGAATTACTCAATGATACAATGAAAACTGATCATTGATCATGTGCACTGGCTCACACCTGTAATCCCAACACTTTGGGAGGCCTAGGAGGGAGTGTTTCTTGAGGCCAGGAGTTCAAGACCAGCATGAGCAAAATGGCAAGACACTATCTCTACAACAAACTTAAAAATCTTCATTTCAGCCTGGGCAACACAATGAGAACCTATCTCCTCTAAAAAATAAATTAATAAACATTAAAAAAGACTAACAATCTTTGCATTGTATTACACTTCCATTTGATAATATCTAACTAGAATAGTGTGCTTTCCTGTAAGGAGAAAAATATTTTTATTAAAGTGGTGGTTTAGGATCCTAAACTCATGCTTTTTTACACTCCTTAATGATTACTCAGTCAAAAAATTTGAGATAGAATTATAGTCCCCTTTTCATTTTTATTTTAAAAAGTAACTTGACTGTTGAACAGCCTATAAATAAAATGTAGTGTATTCTCTCTTTTTGGTTGTATGATGTAACTAAGTATTCTGTAGTCAATCAGTGCCACAGAAATGGGCTTATAAATTTTAATGGATCTGAAACTGCTGCAAAACTCAGACAGCCAGACTTTTCTATAGAAGTTAAAAAGAGAGGGCCAGGCACAGTGACTCACACCTGTAATCTCAGCACTTTGGGAGGCCGAGGCAGGCAAATCACAAGTTTAAGAGATTGAGACCATCCTGGCCAACGTGGTGAAACCCCGTCTCTACTAAAAATACAAAAATTAGCTGGGCATGGTGGTACGTGCCTGTAGTCCCAGCTAATCAGGAGGCTGAGGCAGGAGAATCGCTTGAAGACTGGAGGTGGAGGTTGCAATGAGACAAGATTGTGCCACTGCACTCCAGCCTGGTGACAGAGCGAGACTGTCTCGAAAAAAAGAAGAGAGGTAAAAGCATTGTCGTGCTTCACCCAGACACTCCCAGATCCCATTTTCTGTTTATGTGTGCCCCCTCCTCTAACTTTGGAGGGCATTTACTTCTAACAGTGCATTCCTATGGCTCACTGTGGAGAACTGCCTATGAACCTTTAGAGTGTCCGTCCCTCACCCACAAATGCAGAGAGCTAGAAGTTTCTAGTTGTTTTTGTCCCTGAGAATATGAAAGCCAGCTCCCTTTACTCAGTGCAAGACAACTCTAAAGCATAAATTTCTGCAGCTAAAGTCACACTGAAACCAGACTCATCTTGTCATTTCACTCTATCCTAACTTCTCTCTCATCCTTAACAGCATCTTCCCACTCTCTTACCAGATTCTTGTAATATATCACTTGTACATGAGTCCCTGTCTCAGGATCTGCTTTTGTAGCATTCAGCCTAAGTCAGTAAAAAATTCTAACCACATCGTTATTGGTGTAGACCTAAGGAGTTGTTCCTAAGCCGGGGCATATTCTCCCCTGGGCAGTGCCTAAGACAATGTTAACATTTTTCTTTTTGCTTCTCCATTGTCCTATGCTTTAAAGGTGACCTAATCACTGCTATTTACAGAGAAAAAAAAGTTTTTTCCTGAAGAAGTTAACAGATTTCATCATTTATAGTCAAGTTTTACTGGTTTGGTAGTCACTCTACTCAAATTGAATTTAATATATTTGCTTTCAACCACATATTACTTTCAAATTTTCTAGATGAGACTCCATAGAATCCTTTAAACAAAGAACAAAAAGTAATGACATGGATGTAATTTTATATAAATCAGTAATCTTGGCCATTATTACAATTAGAGGTGTTTAATAAGAAAAATTGCTACATAGGTAGCAATTAGTGATTTGAGATACTTTAATAAATCTTTAAACTGATTAATGAAAATATTTCACAAAATATCTTGAAAGATAATATGCTGACTTGAAGATTTATTGGATTGAGGACTCTTGTTTTGGATAAGACTATAAAAACACTTCTAAAAAATCGAGGTGACTTTTAAATTATTGTCCTAGACATTTCTAATAAGTTAGGTACTGTTATTCACATTTTTAAAGAAGTAACTAAAACCCAAAAAATTCCAGGTTATTGAAGGTTAAGTGATAGTAAAGAAACTAATGAAGTCTTAAGTATATGAATTTGGTACCTAAAGTCAATGCTGTTTCCACAGCAGCAAAATTTAAAAATTTCTTAAGCAAAAACCTAAGCAACATAGATAAAACATTTTACTTGTAATGTCCAGATAATTGAGAGAAAAATCAACATTATATTTTCTTCCAATAATCTAGATAATTTTACATTTGCATCAGGTATGCATCTCAATGACAACATCAAGGGCATGTGGCATAGCGTATTTTAAAATGCTTATACTTAAATAAAATATAAATCCAAGTATTCAACTTCAAAGTTGTAAAGTCTAATATCCAGCACCTATAAGGAAGTTAAACAAATTTATAAGATAAAAACAACATCATTAAAAAGTGGGCAAAGGACATGAACAGACACCTTTCAAAATAAGACATCCATACAGCCAACGAGCATATGAAAAAAAAAAAAAACAACTCAGTATCACTGATCATTAGAGAAATGCAAATTGAAAGATACCCACTTCACACCAGTCAGAATGACTATTATTAAAAAGTCAAAAAATAACAGGTGCTAGTGAGGTTGTGGGGAAAAGGGAATACTTATACACTGTTGGTGGGAGTGTAAAATAGTTAAACCATTGTGGAAGACAATGTGGCAATTCCTCAAAGACCTGAGGTCAGAAATATCATTCAACCCAGCAATACCATTACTCGGTATATATCCAGAGTGATTTAAATCATTCTACCATAAAGACAGATGGATGTAAATGTTCGTTGCAGCACTACTCACAATAGCAAAGATATGGAATCAACCTAAATGTGCATCAGTGACAGATTGGGTAAAGAAAATGTGGTACATATACAATACAGAATACTATGCAGCCGTAAAAATGAATGTGATTATGTCTTTTGTGGGAACATGGATGGAGCTGGAGGCTATTATCTTCAGCAAACTATTACAGGAACAGACAACCAAATACCACATGTTCTCACATACAAGTGGAAGCTAAATGATGGGAACTCATGAACATAAAGAAGAAAACAACAGACACTGGGGACTACTTGTGGGTGGAGGGTGGGAAGAGGGAGAGAAGCAGAAAAGACAAAAATTGGGTACTAGGCTTAATACCTGGGTGATAAAATAATTTGTATAACAAACCCCAGTTACATGAGTTTACCTGTATAACAAACCTTCACATGTACTCCCAAAACTGAAATAAAAGTTTTAAAAAAAGAAAATAATTTACACCATTACAAAGGGATTTTTAAATTCTCTCTCTACTCCATAGATTTTCAAAGCAGTAAGGTTATAGTTAGAGTCAAACTCTAGGAGGCCCATCAGTCAATCATTTGTTCACTGAAGTTTTATCAGGAAACTTACCATCTCACCTTTAGGATACAAGCAGGTAAAGTATCCCTGCTGCTCACGTGCCATACTAAGTAACCAGATTGTTGCTGGTGAGACTTGGTGGTTAGTGTCTAGAATATAACTTACTTGACTAGACATCCACTCCCTTTGTTCTCTTGGTATCTAACAAGTATAATGACACATATTGAATTTCTTTTTGGACATGCCAACTCTATTAGATTCCTAGGCTTGCCATAACAAAATACCACGTGTAGGGTGGCTTAGAACAATAGAAATTTATTTTCTCACAGTTCTGGAAGCTAGAAGTCTGAAATCATGCTGTCAGAATGTTTGGTTCCTTCTGAATGTTCAGAATCTGTTCCATCCCTCTCTTAGCATCTGGTGACAGTTGCCAATCCCTGCTGTTCCTTGGCTTGTAGATACATCATTCCAATCTTGTCTCCATTTTCACACGGTCTTCTTTACCTATGCTTCTTCTCCTCTTCTACTAAAGACAGAAATCATGGATGGTGGATTGGGCTGATATTGGATTACGGGCTAACCCTAATGACCTTTTCTTAATATGATTACATCTGCAAAGACTCTATTTCCAAATTAGGTCATATTTACAGATACTGGGGATTAGAACTTCAATATGTCACTCTAGGGCACACAATTCAACCCCTAATTTCAACTTTCAGAGTTCTTCTCATTTGTAAATCAGACATCTTTCTCTTTTTCCTTTTCTCTAAAGCACTTCTATCTACACTCCCCCTCCTCTTCAATGGATACTTGCATTATTGTTTCAACAAACTCAGATTTTGCAAAAACAAAAAACAGTATATAGAAGTCACAAATTTAGACAGGTAATGAGGATAAGAAAAGAATTTTAAGATTTTTTTGATAATTTTGCGTAAGGGATTATTCTAACTGCCAAGATTATCGAAGTCTTAAAAAAAGACTAAATAATTTCCACAAAGAACCCATGATATAGCTGCTAATATTTAAGTAAAAATGGAAATTATATGAAATAATAATTAAGGGGGAAAACAGAGACATATAAGCCATACCATGGGGCAGGGAATTGCAAATTTAAGGAAGAAGGTGACATTTGAGCCAAGTCCTAAGAGATAGGGGAAACATCTTTGTGGATATCTGGAGGAAGTATAAAGGTCTTGAGGATGGAATGTGCCGACAGAGTTTTTGGGACATCACAGGGCCAATGTGGACTGAGCGAAGTGAGTTAGAGAGGACATGAGGTAAAATAGGAGGTAAAGAGTTATCTAGGTAACTGTAACTTGATTTTGTCCATGAGTTAGGAAGCCAACAGGGGTCTTTGATCACAGTAGTAATAGATCTTTATTTTTTATTTGTTCTTTTTTTTTTTTTTTTTTGAGATGGAGTCTTGTTCTGTCACCCAGGCTGAAGTGCAGTGATGCCGTCTCAGCTCACTGCAACGTCTGCCTCCCAGGTTCAGTGATTCTCCTGCCTCAGCCTCCCGAGTAGCTGGGATTACAGGTTCGTGCCACTACGCCCAGTTAAATTTTTTTTGTATTTTTTGGTAGATACCGGCTTTCACCATGTTGGTCAGGCTTGTCTGGAACTCCTGACCTCGTGATACGCTCACCTTGGCCTCCCAAAGTACTTGGATTACAGGCGTGAGCCACCGCGCCTGGCCAATAGATTATTTTATAGAAAAGGAGGTTTTCTCTGACTATTGTGATAAGGATAAACATTGGTGAGAGGAGTAGAAGCATTGAGATCTGTTAGAAGGCTATTGCAGTGATACCTATGAGAGATTATGGAGGTTTACATCTGGTATAGCAGTAGAGATAATAAGAGGTTATAAGGTCTAAACTGCCCTGAAGGAGAGACAAAGGGATTTGTGAAAGATTAGATTTCTGATGTGAGAAGAAGAGAGAAGTGAAGGAAAATGTTAATGTTCTTGGCTTGAACAACCTAAAGATGTGGTTGACATTATACAGAATTAAAGGTTGTGAAAGGGATAGGCTTAGAGGAGAAAAAAAGTAGTTTCATTTTAGACATGTTAAGTTTGCTATGACAATTTTACTTTCAAGTGAATGTGTCAAGCAGTTGGATATGAGTGTGAAGTTAAAAGAGAAAGTTCTGGGATGTACATGTAAATGCACTACTGTCAGTGTCTATAGATAATTAAAGTCATATTACTAAGAGAAATAGTCAAAGGAGTATAGGTAGAAAGCAATGGGAAATGTTTCAATGCCAACCTTTTTAATCTGAAGGGCTGGACTCTCAGCAGACTGCAAAGATGAGGAGAAATCTGCAAAAGATACTGAGAAGAAACATCCAGTGTGGGAGAACAAAAATCATCATGGCATTGTTTTAGAAACTGAGCAAAGAAAGAGCTTCCAAATAATGGAATAGGTGATCAAAAGCATCAAATATTGGCTATAGATAATGTAAAATGAGACCTATGAATTGACTATTGAGTTAAGCACATTTACAGTCAAACTTTAACGGAAGCAGAGGAGTGACAATCAGAATAGAATGGGAGAAGTGCAATTAGAGGTAATAAATATAGACAACATTTTCCAGGAGTCTTGCTGCAAAGAATTGTGTAGCAGAAAAATGGGATTGATGTCAGTAAAGGGTCTATTTTCATTATAATCTAACAATTTGGCTTGCTTTTTAATTTAACAATTTAGTTTACTGTAGTTTCATGAATGCTGGTAGAAAACTCAAGACAACTGGGTCAGAGATGGAAGTTTATTATTTACAGCACTAGCCAGAAGTAGCCAGAGTTTTAGCATTTTAATGTCTTTTCTGTGAGCCCCATCTTCCATATGCAGTGGGGTGAGTTACAGAAAAATATACCTCAGTTTAGGAAACTTTTCATCTACCCTTAGCCTGAAAAGCCAAGGATAGAGAAAGGTTAATGGAAACTATAATGAAGAATGTCCTGTCTTAAGAGGAGCAATGGCTTTCATTTAAGTGATGAGGCCACCAAAGAGGCCCCTGAGGGAGAAGTACTCTGTGGAATAAATACCCTGACACTCACTTGAGTTTTTTGTACTGGGATGAAAGAAAGTTCTTCCTTAGCTTAGCAGGAGACACTAATTCTATTGTCTTTGGCTGATTCCTATACAAATATCCTATACAAATATCATTGGAAAGATCATCTGAAACCAAGAATAGTTAGTACTTCTCTTTGCAAGATGTGTGCAAATGTAATAGACCCATGGAGAATATCTCCCTACAATTGGTAGAGGATTTTTCTTAATTAACAATTTAGCTGTATCTTAGTATGTCAGTGAAAAGGATTAAATATGAGGTAAAATTTATGATGCATGAAAAAAGTATGATTTTTAGAGTGATATGCTTGAGTAGACACTAATACTGTATATGAAATCTAATGTACAAATGAATAATTTGTCTTTAGTTTATCAATGGTGATTTTAAAAAGGCAGAGCATACACATTTATGCTGGTAGTGGGATATTTGTGAGACTGGAAGCTAGGGAAAGTTCTCTTTGATTGCCCATATTTTCTCAGTGAAACTAGGTAAACAGCTGAAAATGAGGATTGGACATAAGGCATAAGAAATTTTGGAGAAAAGAGAAGATATAAAAGGTTTATCCAGAAAATGCAGAGATAAAGTAAGAGAATCTAATAGCATTTGGAGAAGACATGGCTGTGGCTGAAAGAGTTACTGGGTTAAATACCTTTCATTTGTCTTCTGGGTTCCTCTGCACTTTAATCATGCTTTTTGCCTATATAGATTATATCCCTTGCTTTAGACTTCCAGTTGGTTTCCACCAATGGGAAGCCACTGAAGGAGAATGGAGGAACAGAGGAAAGTTAGACTGTTTATTCCACAGAGTACATCTCCCTCAGGGGCCACTTTGGTGGCCTTGTCACTTAAATAAAAGCCACTGTTCCTCTTAAGACAGACTTTTCTTCATATAGTTTCCATTAACCTTTCTATACTCTTGAGTTTTCAAGCTTAGAGTTGGTGAAAAGTTTGCTATCACTAGTCCTAAACTACTGCATGGTCCCTCGTGGGTACCATACACTCTGTATAAATCTTTGAAAGTTTTATTTTGGCTGAAAAATTAATGATATACAGCATCCTTATATATCAATGTGTGATCTCTTTCCTACTGGAGTCTGAATAATAAAATTATAGATGCTATTTACTTGACATTTTATGTATCAAGTGCATTTATAGAGATTCTTTAAAGGTGGAGTAAGTCCAATTATGTTAGACTTAGTAGACCCGTAATGTCAAATCAGGTTAATCTGCCATGCTCCCTGTTGACTTGCCCTATTCTTTCTAGTAGTTCTATATGTCCTAACATGTTTAGTGTCCTCTTCAGACAACTGCTCCTTCAAACTCATTACAGAATTTATGTTAGGAATAGCCTGGTAGCCGAAGTCCCCTGAGAAATTTGATAATTTCACCAACTGTCTTCTCACCCTATCTAAGTCATGACAACTTCCTTTGATTCTAACTAAAACAGATTTATTTTTCTTATAACTCTCAAGAGTTATATTTAAAACTTTTGTCATGTGAAAATATTTTAATCAAATTTAACTTTTTCTATCTAATGTCTTAAATCTCTTCTTGCATCCCTATTAATTGATCCTTTTTCTTGTAGTTTCCAATCTTACTCTTTTTATTCTTCATCATTATCCTTCAAGATTCTATCTGGAAGTCATACTAAGTTTCAAAATGGGAATTTCTTTGATTTGTATTCTGGAACCAAATCTTCCTAATCCTGTTTATATGCATGTATAGTCAACTTCTAGATACCTTTGTTTTCCTTCTCCATTAACATATATAGTATTTTTTAAAACATTTTTGTAAAAATTAAATATAATAATATATGTAAAAGAAATATTACTGTATTAGCCCATTTACACACTGCTTTAGAAATACCCCGAGACTGGGCAATTTATAAAGAAAAGAGGTTTGATTGACTCACAGTTCCACATTGCTAGGGAAGCCTCAGGAAACTT
Source organism: Homo sapiens (assembly GCF_000001405.40). Classification (NCBI taxonomy): domain Eukaryota; kingdom Metazoa; phylum Chordata; class Mammalia; order Primates; family Hominidae; genus Homo; species Homo sapiens. Next base: position 68,241,452 of record NC_000013.11, on the reverse strand, counting down.
AGAATCATGGTGGAAGGGGAAGCAGGCATGTCTTACATGGTGGTGGGCAAGAGAGAGCATATGAAGAAGGAACTGTCAAACACTTATAAAACCATCAGATCTCATGAGAACTCACTCACTATCATGAGAACAGCATGGGGGAGCCGCCCCCATGATCCAATAACCTCACTTCCTCAACACATGGAAATTACAATTCAAGATGAGATTTGGGTGGGGACACAGAGCCAAACCATACCAATTACCAAACAAGAATTCAATATATAATACATTAGCCTCTTTTACTGTTCTGTCTATTCCTCTTTTCATGGTGATCTATGCAACTATACTTCTAACACCAGTATAATTTAAGAAGAACATTTATAAGATTTAGCATATTTTTACAAATACTATAAATGCATCACCACAGAGTTTTAAAAAATTTTAAAGAAGCCATGTTTATAATTAAAATATTATATTTATATTTTGTTACTAAAATTTTAAAATTTGTTCATATGTGCTGGTGAGAGAGGAATAAGAGGATATTCTTGCAACTAAGTCAGCATCTTAAGATGGTGGATATTTTAACTTCAAACCAGATATAGTGCTAGATTAAATTAAGAAGAATGATTTTTGATGAGATGAGAAACAAAGCATTGTCAAAGATATGATTAAAGTATAATTTTATTCATGAGAAAGAATACATTGCTTTGAGTCGAATATGTATAAAAGATAAACCAACAAATCTTTTTTGTCTATCAGTGTTTAAGATAGCGTGTCGTGATTTCTTTTTAATACTATTCTATGCCAGATCATCCCACTGGACAAGCACCAGCTGAGCTTTTTCTGAAATAACACAGCACCACAAGCCTTGAGTTCAAAAAACACTAGATCTCATTCTGTACAAGGGGAAAAAAATCCTAAAGTATGGGATTCTATGCTGGTTTTCATACATTAAAAAATACTTCAAAATGAATACTTCTATTTATTACTGACACACAATGTGAGATGGACTCAAAATAAAGCTATCTTATATGGATTATATGCGTAAATTGAATCTGTGTGCTGAAATGGTCAGATTTAAAATGAAGACATTACTTTTTCTCCACAATACTTTCAGAGGAAAAGCTTTTAGTATCTCAGACTCTAAAAAACAAAGCATTTATACTGTACAAATAAAATGATAATACTCTTTGGTTTATGTCCTTTCATAATATTAGAAGGGCTTAAGGAAATAGTCATAAAATGGAATCAAACATGTTTAATTCAGTTAACATTATTGATTTACCATTAATCTTACAGTTCTATTTCAGAAACTAGTAAGTTATTACTGATTGAAAATTTTGGAAAGGATGTAGAAAGTTATATATGATGCCACAAAGGGAGTTCTTTGGAACTTAGAGATAATAATTCCAAAATATTCATAAAAAGGTGCAAATTCACAGTAAATATAAAAATAATTTTTAAAATATTTTATTAAAGCTATAAAGCTTTATAAAGCCATGTATATTAATATTAACCACTTAACAATTTCTGTGATGTTCACTTTATCACATCAGAATATAATCTATGATCCTGACTTTCTATTATTTATTGAAATGATTTTTGAATTCTTACAATATGAAAGACATTACTTGTTTCTGTCTTTACCTGATCTTCAAATGGACAAACTTATTAGGTGCCATTGATTTTCAAGGAAAGTAGATTGTCTATGTTTAAATATTTAATTAAGCTTAAAATACAAGACTCTAATTTTATACTTTTTTTTTTTTTTTTTTTTTGTGATGGAGTTTCGCTTTTGTTGCCCAGGCTGGAGTGCAATGGTGCAATCTCGGCTCATGGCAACCTCTGCCTCCCGGGTTCAATCAATTCTCCTGCCTCAGCCTCCTGAGTAGCTGGGATTACAGGCATGCGCCACTACGCCCGGCTAATTTTTGTGTTTTTAGTAGAGATGGGGTTTCTCCATGTTGGCATGGCCGGTCTCGAACTCCCAACCTCAGGTGATCCACCCCCTGCCCCCCCGGCCTCCCAAAGTGCTGGGATTACAGGCATGAGCCACCGCACCCGGCCTACAGCTTTTTAAAGTTGAGGCATTCTACTGCTTTTATCTGGCTGTGTGACAATGTGCATGACCCTCAATTAGAAAAGCTTTAATTCATTTATTTATAAAATTGGAGGAGTGCTTTACATTATCTCTAAAGTCTATTTGAATTAAAGAAGATTAAAAAAAACAGAGAGGAAACTAGTTAAACTGTTTTGTAGAAACTTATAGTCGTAATATGGATTTTGACAAAGGCACACTGCAGGTATCATAGATTTTCTTATTGATGGACAATTTTTGACAAAGTAATCACAAGCCAATGAAAAAGCTACTCAAAAACTTTTACCCTCAAATTTTTGGAAAGGTTGTTGATTTTCCAACGTTAATTCAGTAAAACATAAATGTTTTTTACAAGAAATTTGTTAAGTGCTGAAACAGGAAGAAATAAATTATTACAAAATACATTCCATTGAAATATTGTATGAAAACTTTTAAATGCCATTGATGTGTATAATTTTGTCTGTATATTTACTTTGAAAATTATCCTACCCCATGTTCATTAACAGAAAGGTATTAAAGACATGGTCGGTTCTCTAGAGATGAATGAGAGTTATTATTCCCTATGCAAAGGCGATTATCATTGATTTCCAAAAGACATTATTTGAACATGACATTTATGAATTCCTATTATTTTGATAGCACTCTCTCTTCTCCAAACACAATGAGTTGCTTTCAGTCATTCTGAGTTAAAATATTAAATCACTTATTTTATCTTAATATGTATACTCTTAATTTTATAATGTATATCAATTTTATAGTATAATTTTATAATATATCAGTATAAACTATATGAATATAAAACAACTTTCTCAATTGGCTATGATTTTCATATTTAGATAATTAAGGAATAAATTTAACAGATATGGAGAAAATATTTTTGTAAAATAGTAGTTAGCATATGACCCAAATATAAAATGCACTGGGAGATGTGCGTGTATACACATCATCATATGTATGCTGTGACTGCATAAAATGCTTTGTTTACTCACTCACTATTTGATAAGTTTCTGAATGTGACGTGTCTGTGAGCCCATTTCTCTAAAATGAAGTGATTGTCAGAGAGGAAGGGACAGCTTTGCCCTCCAGGGGATTTTTGGCAATGGCTGGAGGTACTTTTTGTTGTTACAGCTAGAGAGGGGTCAGATGATACTGGAATGCAGTGAGAATAGGCCAAGGATGCTATTATATAAAACACCAGACAGTGATCAGGACAGCACCCACATAAGAAGCCTATGGCCCAGCATGTCAAGAGTGCTGAGGTTGACAATCACTGCTATAACCTAAAGGCCACAAATTTTCTTGTGCTTTCAGAAAAAAATGTTGTTCAATGAGAATTTATGTTAAATCCAAATTATTTTTCAAATTTAGGATATACAAAGACTTTCTTTTACATGTAATTTTAGCACCACATTTGCTTTTGCAGACAAAATACTGAAAGAAAATTGGAACATACTTTCAAATGTAATCTAGCAAAATATGTTAAGATAATCAGAGTGTTTTTATCCTTTAAGGAAAAGCATTATATTTCTAAAAGTTGACGTTAATAAAATAATCAGAAATGTGTGAAAACATTATATATTTAATAATTTGATATTTATAATAGAAAATAATTCAGGTATTTTAATGACTCAATAACAGGAAATTATTAAATTATAACATGGAGAACTGTAGAGAAGGGAAATGCTTTCTCTTTATGCTCTGAGGTTCAGTAACTAGGTCTATGAAATAAACTGACAAAAGGCAGATTAGCAGGAGAAAAGGTAGAAACATTTTTTATGGGCAGAGGGGAATCACAGGGAAAAAAAGTAAATTCTCAAAACAATGGCGAGATTTGGGAGTTCACATACCACTTCACAGGGAAAATGAGGAGGAGAAGATATAGGCAACTTAGGAGGAATTAAATAATTTTAGAAAAAAATGAATGGGCCTTTATCAGGAAGTAATAATACAACATAAAGCTATCTCTTTATGTTGTTTATAATAAAACAACAAAATGATAATTAAACTTCAATGTCCAAATTTCAATGTGCTTCTCAAATTGACATATATTTGATATTTTGAGTGTGACAAATTTGATCCACTACCTAGTATTTAGAAAAATTTTAGTGTAACAAAGTAGTATTCTAAAGTATTATTCACTATTTTGCATGAAACAACTTTTCTTTTACTATTTTACTTCTATATTTCAGAGCTTATTATAGTCATATATTTAATTTCTAGACTTAAAATTTTGATTAGGTAGTACAAGGTGACCTCCAACTCCCTGGTTCAAGGGATTCTCCTGCCTTAGCCTCTCCAGTAGCTGGGATTACATGCGCCACCACGCCCAGCTAATTTTTTTATTTTTAGTAGGGACGAGGTTTCACCATGTTGGCCAGGATGGTCTCGATTTCCTGACCTCTTGATCCACCCACCTCAGCCTCCCAAAGTGATGGGATTACAGGCGTGAGCCCCCGCGCCGGCAGAGAGATTTTTAAGATGTATTCCATAATATCTCAGCATCCAATAAAAGAATGTAATTAGCATACAGTTTCTATTAAACATATATTGTGGAAAAAATTGAAAGGCAAACAACAATCTAGGAAATTATTTTTTAGATATATGAAATAAAAACTGAAGGTGAAAAAGCCAATAAAAATGAAACATGGATAAAATACTTAAAAAGGAAACTCACAAAGGAGACATTTATATTAGTATAAAAATATCAAAAGCAAGCTAATTCATGGAAAAATATTCAACTTAATGGTAATTAAATAAAAAGTAAATCATTTATCTCCCACGATATTATAAAACATATAGGTAGATATAAGTGTCAGTGTTTATGAGAATTTAAGAAAAGTTGGCATATGAAAATATAAACAGCAGTTCTGATAGTTGTAACAACATACAAAAAAGTGTGTATTTTAACAGAACAAACTTTCCTCTTGAGATTTATCAATTGCAGTGATAAATTAGATCAAAAGATATACAGGTGATATAAAAATATAAAGTAATTTTTATTATGTAAATGCCATTGGTAGATGACATAAGCTTGCTAACATTGTATAATTTTCTATGAGGAAGAAGCCTTTTTTTTATTCACTAGCTGGTTTTATTTTTGTGGTTGCATATTGTTAGCACAGATATAATTTGTATGATTTGGAATGATTTTTCTTATTTTCTTGCTATTCTGTGGTACTTAAATATGTAACAGTTAACAAATAATCAGTAGAAAACTAGTAATTCTAGTATTTTTTAGAAATAATGATGGTTTTGATTTTGTAGCTATCAGTTTTAATCAAATGACTAACTAAATCTGGTATTATTGACTACTTGGCTTTATTGTTTATGTTGTTCTCAAAGATGTAAGTCTGATTAAATTTTTAAGATGAGATAAACGTATTTTGATTCACTCAAATTTATGCATTGGAAAAAAAAACTCCACCCAAGTTTCTCGATTAAAATTTAAAAAGAAAATACAAAATTGTTGCCAAAGTCTTCTCTATATAATTTAAGCAATAGTGATAGTGTTGTAAGCTTTATTCTATTTACTTATTTATTTAGACAGAGTTTTACCCTTCCACCCAGGCTGGAGTGCAGTGTTGCAATCATGGCTGACTGCAGCCTTGACCTTCCTGGCTCAAGCCATTCTCCTGCCTCAGCCTCCCAAGAAGCTGGGACTACATGTAGGGCATACCAAACTATGCCCAACTAATTTTTTAATTTTTTGTATAGACGAGGTCTTCTTATGTTGCACAGGCTGGTGTTGAACTCCTGGGCTCGAGCGATCCTTCTGTCTCAGTCTCCCAAAATGTTGGAATTAGAGGCATAAACCCCCACACCTAGCCTGTAAGCTTTATTAAAAAAAATACAATGTATTTATTATTTGCATTTTCTAGCTGAAAAATGTTTTACATGTCCAAAATAAATATTACAAATATTTTGAGGAACTGAGATTTTTTTTCTATTTTTAACCTTCCATCAAAATGTCAGAACTATTTCATTAAGATATAATTACTGAATATTTTCCTAGCTAGCAGACTAAGAAAAATATAAAATGATTAAAAATTAAAATAATTGTTGAATAACCAACTTCTTAATCTGTACCTATTCTTATTCATATTTAGACCATTATTTCAGCATCAAAGGGATTCCTGCAGTATTTTATTTATTATTTTAATTTTATTAATATTATTATTATTTTTGAGATGGAGTCTCACTCTGTCGCCCAGGCTGAATGCAGTGGCACGATCTCAGCTCACTGCAATGTCCCAGGTTCAAGCAATTGTCCTGCCTCAGCCTCCTGAGTAGCTGGGACTACAGGCACATGCCAGCACGCCCGGGTAATTTTTGTATTTTTAGTGGAGACAAGGTTTCACCATGTTGGCTAGGCTGGTCTCCAACTCCTGACCACAGGTTATCTGCCTGCCTTGACCTCCCAAAACATTGGGATTACAGGCATGAGCCACTGCGCCTGGCCTCCTGCAGTAGTTTAAATGACACTTTTTAGTGCACACTATTGACAATTTTAAGATGAAAAGATTTGTTTGAAAGCCTACTGACCAAAGATTTCATATTTAATGATTTGTCAACTGATGCACTGTGGCAAACACAAGAGTAACAACAATAGCAACAATAAGAGTATCAAAGTAACACAAATGTATGGACTATTATACACTTTGTAATCTTTGTGGAGAATAAAAATGTACAATGAATCTTCATTATTCACAGATTCTATATTTGCAAATTTGCCTACTTGCTAAAATGTATTTGTAACCCCAGAACCAATTCTGGTGACACTTTCACAGCTATTTGCAGACATACAAAGTGGAAGGAGAGGAGGTAGATAAATTTGAAGCTTGCCTTTCTGTTTTATTTCTTATGCAGAGATGACCAGAGGATAAAGACAGTAGGGGACACTGCAGTGTAGTACAATAGGCTTCTGCTCTGGGGCCAGGAAGAGAGAATCTGAATCTCTATTCTGGCAGCTGTTAGTGGGAGGCCTCAGGCCAGTCTCTTAAAACTTTTACATTTTGTTTTCTTTTTTGTAAAATAAAGAAAATTGAATCTACCAGGGTAAGTTGCTTTTAGGATTTATAAGTATAATCTATGTGAAATATGTATAAGTATATGAATAGACAGTAATTCCCCAGGAGCAATGGCTCAGTATTTATTAATTCACTATTTTCAGTGACTTTACAAAACATAACTACCATACATAATGAGAATTCACCGTATATTAAAGTCGCTTAAGGTAAACTGAAATATTAAATCACATTTAAAAATGTTTTCAAACAATTTTTAATTCAGTTTTTTTCATGAAAATTCTTCAATTTATGATTAAATGCAGTAAAGACATTTATCTGAGACTGAAGCCAGGATAATTTATTGTAACTCTTTTATAAGGAACACTAGACCTCAGAACCATTTCCCCACTACCCTCCCAGGACAGCCAGAATACTGTCCTTGGCTCTTGCTAGTAGGTGACAGGAGAGCTTTCTCTGGAGAGATGGAATAGAGAAACTTTGATGTGCCCAGCATCAGGTTCTGGTCAACATAGGGATTACAGTAATGCATTGCTTAAGATGGGGATATGTTCTGAGAAATGCGTCCTCAGGTGATTTTGTTGTTATGCAAACATCATAGAGTATACTTACACAAATCAAGATGGTATATATATATATATATATATATATATATATATATATATATATACACACACATATATATGTGTGTATATATACACGTATATATATCTGTATATATACACATATATATATCTGTATATATATACACATATATATGTATATATATACACGTATATATATGTGTATATATATATATGTGAAAAACAAAGTGTCCCAGCACCATTACTGAATATCAGTTATTTCTCCTACTTAATTTGTAATACCAATATCAAGTGCCATATAGCATGTTTCTATATATGTTATGTTATAATCTTATGGGATTGAAAAGTCACTATACGGTACATGACTATATCTGACAGTCTGCATACTGAATAATGAGAAGTCTGCCCACAGCTTGTTTCCCTCACAGCTGGCTTCATACGTGAGCAACATGTGTAGTCACACAGGGCTCATACTTAGAAAAATCCCAGTCTTGGTTTAGTATTCTGTTCTCACTGTCTTGACATTTGTAATTTTTGAACAAGGGGTTCCCCAAATTATATAGTTGATCATGACTCACCTGCTTTTCTCTCAAATCTTCTTAGCTACTTTTGCAATTTCTGGGCAGGTGATTGCAGAACTTCTTTCTGGGGGAATTTATGATAGCGTCAGGAGACAGCCAAGGATCCCTGGTGAAACCCTGCCTTCAAGCCTAAAACAGCCTGAAGGCTGAAAAACTGGACTGCTCGTCCTAGATGAAGCCCACCCTTTCCTGACTAATTCTCTCTGAACAATGCCCACCTGTGCACTGGGAGGATGGGGTGGAGCCTCAGGAAGTTCATGCCATTCACAGCGGGAGGAGGCTGACCTCTTCAGTTCCTGGGTGGTGACCTGGAATTCAATCTGTGAGATGGAAAACCTACTAGCAAGACTCTCTCTAGCTTTGCTGAGAGTTATTTTTCCTTTATCCTTTTTGCCCCAAAAATTTCACTCCTCACCCTTCTATGTGTCTGTGAGCCTAATCTTTCCTGGTTGTGTGACAAGAACCTAGATTTAGATGAACTAAGAAGAAAGTTTTGCAACAATTATATTTTTCTAGGAAAAAAAAAAAAAACGCTCCGGGTACTAAACCTTGAGGGTCCTCTGAGAAATGTCCAGGACTCTGCCCAGTCAGCCTAGACCGAGGGCCACACATTAAACAAGTCCTGTCTCCACCCAGACACACAGAACTTCAAATATGTTAAATGCCTCACTCTCATATCTGAACAATGAGCCATCAGTCATGAAATACTGGAGAAAAATCTTAGATACGGAAAAAGAAAGCAAAAGAAGAACTTGGAACCAACAGTGTGATAGAAAAGCTTTTAAAAGTCACAGCAGACATTGGAATGTAAAATTGATTATATTTACCCAATAATAGAATTAGAAAAACACAGAGACAAGTAACAAAAGAGATTCGATAGGGAATATTAATCATTACAAGGAGTATAATATCCAAATAACAAGTTCAATAAAGAAAAAATATGAACAGGAGAAAAATAATAAGAAAAATGTCTCAGAAATGAAGAAGAAAATTATCCAGATTAATAAACCACAGTCAGCATCCAGAATAATTTTAAAATATAAATATTTTTAAATGTTTAATTCCAAGATGTATCGAGATAAATTTCAAAATAATTAATGATTAATAAAATTCCCTAAATAAGCTTATAGAGAGAAATAAGGAAAATGATCAGAAATCAAAATGTTACAGAATTTATTGAGAGCAAAAATAGAAAATAGAAGGCAATAAGGTAAAGCATTGAATATTCTAAGGAAATATGATCCTTGTACAAAAGAAAAATATCATGCAAGACTGAAGATAGAATAAAGACATTTCTAAATGTATAATACCAAAATGCATTATTGTCCTGTGCACCCTTTCTAAGGGATATCTTGGAGAGGATGTTCCACACGAATTGAAGTGGTTCATCACGTCACACCCATAGGCACAGATAAGAAGGAGATTACCAGGAGGACAATGATGGAAAGACCAAGGGTGAAAGTTCTGAGACATAGATGGGGCATTTTTATTTTCCTGGCAAAAAGTTTAGGATTTAATTAATCATAGTACAAAAAATAACAATATGACTAAATGAAAAAAATATATGAACCAATAAAAACAAACTAAAATTTGCCAAAACGAAAATGAAATCCTCATGCGCTATGTAGAAGAGCTGTGAATTAAAATTGTAAGTCATAATAACACAAAAAATAAATATGGATTTACGTACAAATTCTAATCTGATTATATTAGGAGTATAGCAGAAGGGAAACAACAATTTGGGACTGAGTATGAGAAAAGGTATTTAATATCAATCTTCTAATATAAACACGCTTTAGACACAGACGATAGACAATGCCTAGAATTGAAAACGAAGAGTTGGCAGGAAGAGAAGGAGAGAGGGGAGAGATAATGGAGGGAGAAGGTGAAGTATAATCAATCATGTTCTTTAGAAATATAAAGTTAAATAACTGAAAACACCGTGAAATATCTGTGATTGATTCCCTAGGGAGAATGAGACTTAGGATTGGAAAATATTTTTACCTATTTTTAATTAGCTTTCTCTTTTAAACGATATATAAGTACAAATTTAAAAAAAAAAGCAAAAAAAACTTCTATTAGTATTTGGCTTACTTCTCATTTTTTTCTGTCTGTTTAAATTCCACAGAAATTAAATTTAACATTTTTTCAAATATAGCTTTTATATAGTATTTATATTTATCACTCTAACACAATACCAAATTGTTAGTCAGAGGAGCTTGGATTTTCAAATTCTTGTCAAACCAATAGACATGCATGTTTGAGTATCTAAAAACTTGAATCATTTAAATTTATTGTGACACAGAAAATTCACATGAAGAAAATGTAAAGCACAACAATAGCTATTCTATGAACTATTCTAATGTGAGTGCTTATTTTTCCTAATTTCACAGATCAGAATCACTACCTTAAAGTCAAAACATCTAAGCAGGCTATGTTTAGTGTATTAATATTTTGATGTATCTTGGAGAACAGTATACCGAAGATTTCCTTTAAAATATTCCGGATGTTGCACAATCATTTCAAAACTAAAGATATAAAAATGAACAATTCATTTGATGATGCCAGATTGAATCAAACGATAAGCTGTTGCCTTACTATGTTATGTTAATGTAGATCTGCTGTTACAAAATCAATCTGAGGAGGTCTACACTAAATTTAGAAAACAAAAAAAAAGAAAGAACAGAATAAGAAATAAACAAGGGAAAGAACCAAGGGCAAGGAAAAAGGTGAGGAACTGAGCAGACAGGGCAAATAAGTTCCCTAACATGTGGGAGAGAGAACTTTCATTGTCTGGGAGCCAGAACTCGTCTCTTGCATGGAGAGAAGTAGTCTTTCATTGGTGAGCCTCTTAGACTGATCTATCATGGGGGCTTCTGCACGGAGGTGCAGTCAGCATCAAAATTAACTGGACTCTTAATAAAAAGAGACATTTTTCTCTTTTTCCTATTTTAATAGCACCTCTGAGTGAAGACAGCACAAACACCAACACTTAGTTCTGCAGAGGCAGTTCGGTGGTGGGGATGGGATTCAGGTGGTGTGCTTCAGGTATATCATTTCCAGTGAGCTAACTTAATACAAGCATGCATCTTGGAAATTTTTGAGCATCAAGAACAAACCCATTCATGCACTTCCTCTCAGAAGTCAGCTGCATCAGCAGACTTTTGAAAGGACTTGAATAGCAGAGAAATCAAATTTGATATCATTAGCAAGAAACTGAATAGCATATAGTCTATATGTTTCGCATTAAAAGAAGAACTATGCAGTCTAAAATTCATATAGCTGACGGCATAGCTAATGCTAAATTTTTTTAAAAACCTGTCCTGATTGTATTATTATATTAATGAGAATTGTGCTGCTTCTGCATGAAATTTAGCTATGAGCATTTATTTGCAGGACACATAATAATAATAATGCAGCACTTTATTTGGGGTTTAATCAGTTGTTCAATCAAAAATGTACTCAGTTGAGGTTCCACATTTTTCATCATGAACTGGAAATAAACTAATACTATTGGGAAGGTATTCTAAGTGATGAGGCTTATTAGGTGTTTTCCATACTCCTCAGTGTTCCAACTTTCAGCTTAATCAAAACAGCAAATTCATGGTGCTCCATTAGAAAAGCATTTTCTTGACTCTTCATCTACAAGCTCTCCTTATTCTCGTCTTTATCTATGTTAGATTTCAGATTAATTATTGTAAATACTCAAATCTGTGTTTTCCTCTCTCTTTTGTCCTCTCCTCTTGTAAGTGCAGGTTCTTTCTCCATGCAGGCATACATTACTTGAAAAATAAATACATGATTTGTTCAAAACTGTCCAGTGCTATCGCTGGTTTTCTTTACTAATCCTACTTGTCCACTCTCCTCAGCATTGGCTTAACACTTTTGCTCAGTTCTTTTCTCCCCCTATAATTGCTTTCCCACTTTTATCCCAAAATTTTGCTTTTTCTCATAATTTATTAAAAACAAACTAACAAACAGGATGTCTCAGTGGGGGCTTTCTTATCTTCCCTGGTGTATTCAACTTGGTCTTTTGATAAAATGAAGGCATTGTCCTCTGTGGTTGCTCAGGATGCCATCTTCTCTCATTGCCAAGGACAAAACGGCCCCTCTGGTCATTGCTCCCTGCTCCATTACTGTCTGCCTGTTCTTCTCTGAATCTGTCTAAAAAGAAAATGGCAACTGTGCTAAAGCCATTAAGTTTTTATCCAAGCAAATGCCAAGGACTTTCTGAAACACATATCACATACTACTTTCTCTCACTATTTTTCAAACTGACATTTCTCTGATTGTATCTTTGGCCTTTGACTGACTTTAGTTCTGCTTCTGTAGCTGTAGGAATGTGTCTCAGACTGAATGGCCCCCTGTGGTCAGTTGAGTTTTGTTAGGTCTCTGGATACTTTATGGTTTCTTGGAAAATTATATATATATATATATATTTGTTGTTGTTGTTGTTGTTTTGTTTTGTTTTGTTTTGTTTTTGTTTTTTTGCTGTGTACCCTTTCAACATTTGGCCATCAATAAACAGCCTTTATTGTATAACCTTCTTAGGGCAAGAACATAATTTGTCTAGCCCTCCTGGAGATAGTCTGTTTTCTTAATTTTATTTTTTAATTATTATTTTTTCTCAGTGTTTGCCTCTAGGGCATGAATCTCACTTTCATTCATACAACCTGGCTAGGCCCAGATTTTTCTATATCAACACTGAATCTTTGGAATGACCTTAAAACTAAGTTGGGCTCCATAATTAACCCCTATTCTTTTCTGATTATGAGATGGAAATTTGATTGCTAAAGTCTAAAGCAGACACTTATGCAAGATCTCACCACTTAGGCTTTGTAGTCCCATTGAATTCTAATTTTCCACAAAACTGTATACTCATGCTCTTTAATATAAAAAGTACTATATAAAATACTACAACATTCAAATAATTCCTCATATATTTCTCTTTTCTCTAATTATAAAAGTAACATGTTGTCATTGCATTAAGTTAAAATGCCATAGAAAAATAAATGAAAAATTGCCCTATTCTACTTTTAGTTAACTTGCTAAGGAAAAAGATAAAAGATTATAAGGCACAACATAATATTCTTATATTTATAAAGACTTTCATTTGCATTTATCTATTTTAAAATTATATACTTTATAATTATGCTATAGCACAGTTTAACAAGGTGCTGATTATCTCTCAGATATCAATAAAGATTAGAATGACTGCTCAATTAGGTTTTACAAGGTACAAACCATTTAAGGTGGGTCAGCATAATGTATATTGGCCTTTCCAGACCAATCATGCTATTCTTTTTTGAAGGGTGATGACTCTCCAGGAACACATATTTCAGTATGGAATATGGTATAATTTTTATGTCAGATCAGCCTGCCAAGTAGACAGTTTCGAAGTTACCAGCCTGCATAGTGGCACATTCCCCCTTATGTGGTGAGGCAAACCACTGGCTTACTACTAATTTTAAAATTTCAAGTTAAATATTAGAGAAAGTCAAAGAACCCAGAAGGTAGACTCTCTCAAAACACTGATTTGAGCATTATCACATATTACACTATACAATTATACCAAAATTTTTGTTTCCTGACTCAGAATTTATTTTATTTTATTTTATTTTATTTTACATTTAGGGGTAAAAGTGCAATTGTGTTTCGTGAATATATTTTGCAGTAGTGAAGTATGGCCTTTTAATGTACCTTTAACCAAATTGTGTACATTGTACCCAGTAGGTAATATTTCATCCCTTATTTCCCTTCCACCTCTCACCTTTTGGAGTCTCCAGTGTCTATTATTCCACTCTGCATGTCCATGTGTACCCATTGTTTGGTTCCCCTTTATAGGTTGCACATGCAGTTTTGGTTTTTAACTTTGTTTCTGAGTCAGTTCCCCTAGGATAGTGGCCTCCTGCTTCATCCACGTTGCTGCAAAAGCCATGATTTAATTCGTTTTTATGGCTAAGTAGTATTCCATTATATATTATATAAATATTATTTAAGAAGAATTAAATCATGAATTTTTAAAATCCAATTATCTGTTGATGGACACAGGTTGATTTCATGAGTTTGCTATTGTGAACAGTGCTGCAATAACATACAAGTGCAAGTGTCTTTTTGATATAATGATTTCTTTTTTTCTGGGTAGATACTCAGTAGTGGGATTGCTAAATCAAATGGTAGTTCTTATTTTAGTTCTTCAAGAAATTTCCATATTCTTTTCCACAGAGAATATATTGATTAAAAATCCCACCAACAGTGTGCAAGTGTTTTCTTTATACCACATCCTTGCCAACATCTCTTGACTTTTGACATTTAATAATGGCTATTCTGACTGGTGTACAATGGCATCTCAGATGGCATCTGACTGGTGCAAGGTGGTTTTAATTTGCATTTCTCTATTAATGGTGTTGAGTATTTTTTATACATTTGTTGGCTTCAATTTTTTTTTTTTTTTTTTTGAGATGGAGTTTCACTCTTGTTGCCCAGGCTGGAGTGCGATGGCACAGTCTCGGCTCACTGCTACCTCCACCTCCTGGGTTCAAGTGATTCTCCTGCCTCAGCCTCCCAAGTAGCTGGGATTACAGGTGTGCACCACCACACCTGGCTAATTTTTTGTATTTGTAGTAGAGACAGGGTTTCTCCATGTTGGTCAGGCTGGTCTCGAACTCCTGACCTCAGGTGATCCGCCTGCCTCAGCATCCCAAAGTGCTGGGATTACAGGCATGAGCCACCTCACCCAGCCAGCTTCTTATTTTGAAAAATGTCCATTTATACCCTCTGACTCAGAATTTTTGTTTTGAAATTACTTGATTTGTTGGGACACAGCTAATACCTCACTTTATATATTTATCACAACATTTCAAGATTATTTGTAATTGTGCTTATATTTTAATTTTTTTAAACCCAAATGTCCTTATACTTTGGCTTTAGGGAAATACCACCACACTTGTGTTTTAGGATTTAAATGTGCAAATTCAATTAATGTTAATTACATATTTGATATGGTTTGGCTGAGTCCCCACTCAATCTCATCTTAAATTCCTATGTGTTATGGGAGGGACCTGATGAGAGGTAACTGAATCATAGGGGCAAGCCTTTCCCTTGCTATTCTCATGATAGTGAATAAGGCTCCTGAGGTATGATGTTTTTATAAAGAGGAGTTCCCCTGCACAAGCTCTCCCTCTTTGCCTGCTGCCATCCATGTAAGACATGACTTGCTCCTCCTTGCCTTCTGCCATGATTGTGAGGCCTCCCCAGTTATGTGAAACTGTAAGTCCATTAAAACTCTTTCTTTTGTAAATTACCCAGTCTCGGGTTTGTCTTTATTAGCAGCATGAAAATGGACTAATACAGTAAATTGGTACCAGTAGAGGGGGGCACTACTGAAAAGATACCAGAAAATGTGGAAGCAACTTTGGAACTGGGTAACAGGCAGAGGTTGGAACAGTTTAGAGGGCTCAGAGCAAGATAGAAAAATGTGTGAGAGTTTGGAACTCTCTAGAGACTCATTGAATGGCTTTCACCAAAATGTTCATAATGATACAGACAATGAAATCCAGGCTGAGGTGGTCTGAGATGGAGATGAGGAACTTGTTGGGAACTGGAGAAAAGGTGGTTTTGTTATGTTTTAACAGAGAGACTGGCAGCATTTTGCCCCTGCCCTAGAGATTTGTGGAACTTTGAACTTGAGGGAGATGATATAGGGTATCTGACAGAAGAAATTTCTAAGCAGCAAAGCATTCAAGAAGTGACTTGGGTGATGTTAAAGGTATTCAGTTTTATAAGAGAAGCAGAGCATAAAAGTGCAGACAATTTGCATCATGACAATGCAATAGAAAAGAGAATCTCATTTTCTGAGGAGAAATTCAAGCTGACTGCAGAAGTTTGCATAAGTAGTGAGAAGCCAAATGTTAATCATCAAGCAAAGGAGGAAAATGTCTCCAGGGCAAGTCAGTGACCTTTGCAGCAGCCCCTCCCATCACAGGCCTGGAGACCTAGAGGAAAAAGTGGTTTCATGAGCTGGTCCCAGGGTCCCCAGGCTGTGTGCAGCCTGGGGACTTGGTGTCCTGCGTTCCAACTGCTCCAACCATGGGTGAAAGTGGCCAATGTAGAGCTTGCCCTGGGGATTCAGAGGGTGCAAGCTCCAATCCTTGGCAGCTTCCATGTAGTGTTGAGCCTGCAAGTGTGCAGAAGTCAAGAATTGAGGTTTGCAAACCTCTGCCTAGATTTCAGAAGATGTATGGAAATACCTGGATGTCCAGGCAGAATTTTGCTGCAGGGGTGAGGCCCTCATGGAGAACATCTGCTAGGGCAGTACAGAAGAGAAATATGGGGTGGGAGCCCCCACACAGAGACACTACTGGGGCACTGCCTAGTGGAGCTTTGAGAAGAGGGCCACTATCCTTCAAACCCCAGAATGGTAGATCTACTGACAGCTTGTACTGTGTATCTGAAAATGCCCCAGACAGTTAACTCCAGCCCATGAAAGCAGCCAGAAGAGGAGCTATACCCTGGGAAGCCACAGGGGCGGAGCTGCTCCAAACCTTGGGAACCCACCTCTTGCGTTACCGTGACCTGAATGTGAGACATGGAGTCAAAGGAGATCGTTTTTGAGCTTTAGGATTTGATCACCCTACTGGATTTTGGACTTGCATAGGACCTGCAGCCTCTTTGTTTTGCCCAATTTCTCTCCCATTTGGAATGGCTGTATTTACCCAATGCCTACACTAGACACAATGACCCCCTGCCTTGTGTCTTCCTAGATACAATGCCCGCCATTTTATCTAGGAAGTAACTAACTTACTTTTGATTTTATAGGCTCATAGGTGGAAGGGACTTGCCTTGTCTCAGATATACTTTGGACTGTGAACTTCTGAGTTAATTGCAAAATAAGTTAAGACTTTGGGGGACTGTTGGGAAGGTATTACTGGTTTTGAAATGTGAGGACATGAGATTTGGGAGGGGACAGGGGTTAAATGATATGGTTTGCCTCTGTCCCCTCAAAATCTTATCTTGAATTCCAACATATTGTGGGAGGGACCCGGAGGGAGGTAATTGAATCATGGGAGCAAGTCTTTCCCATGCTGTTCTTGTGATAGTGAATAAGTCTTATGAGATATGATGGTTTTATAAAGAGGATTTCCCCTGCACAAGCTCTCTCTCTTTGTCTACTACCATCCATGTAAGACATGACTTGTTCCTCCTTGCCTTCTGCCATAATTGTGAGTCCTCCTCAGCCATGTGGAATTGTAAGTTCGTTAAACCTCTTTCTTTCGTAAATTGCCCAGTCTCGGGTATGTCTTTATCAGCAGTGTGAAAACAGACTAATAGAATAATTAAAGTAAATCCCCTTACATTTTCCCTTTGTTACAACTAACTTAATGTTCTAATTAAGAACTTGAAGTTCCTAATGTTCATAGCTTCAAAAACACTTTCAGTTTTCAAGTAATCACCAAGGCAAGTGAACAAAATAATGAGCAGCACATCAAAAAATTAAATTCATTAAAGATAATAATTTAGATACAGTTTCCAAATGGCTCAATTTTTTAGAACCCCAAAGTCAATTTTACAATAGAACAACCAGCGGACTGATATCAGTTTCTTAGCTTATACATTCATACTGTAAGTGATGATATGGCACATCATAACAGAGGGAAATACTCTTCAGTGTGTAACTGTATTCATTAAGCAAAATGAGAATCCCATAAAATTACTGTTAGGGGCCATATGTATGAGATTTTAAGGAACCATAATAGTTATCTTCATATTATGATTTAGAAAGGAAATACATTCAATCTTTGATAACTTAAACTGCTCTGGAAAAAGTATTGCCAAAGCTAATTCAAGTGGTAGATAATCTAAACAAGGCTATCTTTTGTCTTTGGTATTATAGCAGCTACATTAGGGAAATCAGACTGAAAGACTTTGGGAGCACACCCAGGATTATTCTAGGTTTGAAGATATTGCAAAATGACATTTCTTCTGTTGGTTTCTAATCACTCCATTTCTATCATATATCATTTCTCAAAAGTAACATGCTATCACTAGCAAAACAATTTTTTTTACAAAATTTAACATAATCAAGGATTAAATAGTCCAAAGAAAAACCTTCTTCATAGGATACAAAGACAGCTGTGGAAAAGACTTGATATTTTGGGCAAATAATATCTGAAATGAGCTAACTATGTATTGACAAATGATTTTTTAATCATTATGAAACACGCAACAAGTTGAGTGTAAAAGGTTTGTAAAAACTGCAATGCAGGTGAGACATTTGCCACATCTCCTCTGTTAAAAGGACTCCTGGGGAAAGAAGAGATAACTGTGTGATAAATATGCAATTTGTAACTGGAACTTTCTAGTCTTTTTTCAATGTCTACAGTGATGGTTACAAGATTTTCACATATTCTGACTATTTCTTGAACTGTCCTTATAGAATTTTTTTTTTTTAGTCTAAAAAATATGACCTGGCCAAGCAAGGTAGTTTACACCTATAACCCAGAGCTTTGAGAGATGGAGGTGGTAGAAGGATTGCTTGAAGCTAAGAGTTTGAGACAAGACTGGGCAACATAGATGAGACAACAGCTCTACAAAAAAAAAATTAAAATTTAGCTAGGCGTGGTGGCCCATGCCTGCAGTCCCAGCTATTCAGTGAGGCTCAGTGGGAAGATCCCTTGAGTACAGGTGTTCAAGGTTAGAGTGAGCTATGATCACAGCATTAGACTCCACCCTGGGGAATAGAGCAAGACCCCTAATCAAAAAGCAACAACAAAAAATGACCTATAGTTTCTGCACTATACACAGAACTAGGATGAATTTCAAAATGTATTTAATTCAGGATGATAGCATAAGGTGACCTTAGAAATAACCTTTCTACTTATGTCCCTTACCTTTTCCAATTAGCTGAGGCAACGATTTTTGATGTTATAAAATTCCACCTACAGTCATTCATATATTTTTCTGTAGGAAGAATATCATAGTTTCCAGGATCTCTATTTAATAGAACCCCTATCTGTATCTCTTCAATATATTGGATAGTATATTTCTTTTTATATAAACAGTTATAAGTTATGTTACTATTTAAAATGTAGATAATAATAGCTGCAATATTGGGCAATATTTTATTTGGCATATACATTATCTTATTATCCTGTGTTAAAAATAATGAGAATTTTTATTTTATACATTCATTTAAATAAAGGCATACTATTATTTAATTACCCATGGGCAATGGGTTCTCTATGTATGTAACAGTTAAATACAACAGATAAGCCATTTGTAAGGTAATGGAGATGCATACTCACTTTTGTTCTTGATAGTCTTTGAAATATGTATGTATGTGAACATAAACATGCATTGCTTTTTGAGGGAAAATAAAACTAAAAACAAAGTCTTCTACCTCAGAAAACCTCTCCACAACCTCTATAGAGAAAGAAAACAGTTTTATTATTGAGTAAGTATTCAACATGAATGTTACTGTGATGTAACATTCATCACAGGTAAAACCCTAAAAGCTTGCAATGAAAATAATCTCCTCCTAATCCTTCTGTACCACCAAACAGATACAACCCATTACATACATGTTGTCAAGATAAACAATGACTAGTCCTCATGTAAAAGAACTCAATGGCATCATTTGTCACACATAGTTTATCCTAAATTCACCCAGTAATTGTGGTGACCATCTGTGTTAGCTAATAGGCTTCCTGCAGAGGAAAAATAAATTTCTTATATCTTTATGAAAGGAGGTAGTTTTGCAGCTTGGAGCAAGGTGCCCACTGAAGTTAGACTCCCACTCTCACTGGGACATGGAAACAAGGTGCTATCTTCCTTGATGTTTACCTTTCAAAGAGATGGAGCCTAGGTCATTGAGAAAAACATTCCTAGGTCATAAAGCTAACAAAAGCTCAATCTAGTCTTCAAAAGAATTTATATACATTTCAAAAAGAGGAGAGAGTACTAATAATTACAAATTTTCTAAGTGCTCTAAAAGATAAGGTGGGGAGAAAAATCTCTTCCCTAATTTTTCAATAGCAAGAAGTAGTCTCATTTTAAAGTTTTATTTGTCCTTACACTCTTCTAATGCACTGTTTTTTATTTTCCTTTTGGTTTTATTTTGGAATTGAATATGCAAGGTTTTCTAATTTTAGATTTTACTTTAGTCAAATTAGGTTGAAGTAAAACACTCTCTAACACCTTAATCAAGGCTACATGACCAATACCAAAAACTGTTCCCACGTTCAGTACTCTTTTTCATACACAACCCATTAAATTCAACCTGTTAAAATTAAAACAAATTTATTGAAAACAATAATAGTTTAGAAATGCCCTCTAAAATTGGTGTGCTTTACTTCAACATTCAATGAAATTTTACATGAAAGGTAACATAGCATCATAATATAGACATGCCCCACCCAATAAAGATACAGAATTATCTAGTATAACTTGGCTTTTAGGCATGTTATCTGTTACATGCTACCAAATAGCAAGTGAACTTTAAGGCATATGTAATTTGCATTATATTTCCTTGTTTTTCTATTTTGTTTTAGTAATTAAGAATAGCACGTGCAGGTGCCTAGTGAAAATATTATAAATATTATCAATTTTCATGCATCCCTCACAGAAAACTAAGGTCAAAATGCATTGGTCCCTGTTGTAGAGAATTAATTGAAATTAAATGAGAGCAATTTGCTACAGACAAATTGCTGCTAAAGATCAAAGTGCAGCAGGGCAGTATTGATCAGTTCTCCATAACTTCACAATATACAGCAGAAATATGATCATTGTGTGGTGAATTTAGTTTTAACCACAGATCTTAAAACCTATTATATATTTTTAATGTCAGCCTCTGAAGAATCTGCCAATGGTGTACAATATGCCATTTGCTGGAACTTACTTTTCTAAATGCCCTTCTCTATTAAAACCTAGCTAAGAAGACAGAGAGAGAGAAAGAGAAATTTAGAAACTAGTGTGCCTCCCTTATTTTACAAATTTACACCATTATAGCAAAGTTATATTCTTCCAAATTATAATACTAAGGTCAAATCTTTTTTTCTCTCTTAAAGCTGACAAACAGGCAAAAATGATTTGTTAAAGATAATATATGATGGAGGAAACTAAATGGAACACAACAAAGGAGGAATAAAATTGCCTAAGATAAAAGTTGACAGTGGACAGTGTGATTAGTATGGGTCAGAAGGATGCTGTCTATCAGATGCCATACCCAGGGAAGAAACTGCATCAGTCAGTCCTGTAAGCCCCTTCTAAATCTGTGATTACTTGGTTGTAAGCCGAGAGGAGCATAGAACAGTTAAAGGAACACAGACTTTGGTATAAGACTAAACTCTAGTCTTAACCACAGAGCATTCTATTATCCTGTACTCAGGCAAGTAATTTATGACATCTAAAATAAAATTGCTTGTGAGAAAGTACTGTTGTTGTTCTTTTAAATCCATAACATAATATGGTTGAATAGTTTGGTGGTTATACATATGGGCTTTAGATTTTGAAAAGTATGGATATGAATCCCAGCTCTATCACTTGCTAACTGTGAGCTTTACTGAGGGAATTTAAACTCTCTGGGTCTCAAATTCCTTATCTGCAAAATAAGGATAAAAACGATCATCTCAAATGTCATTTTTAACAATCAATTAGCAAATGTTCATAAAGAATTAATAGCAATGTGTGATGCTTATATATGTTCAATAAGTATTGGCTTTTAAAAAAATCTTCTTTAATTCCTAGTGCTTAAAACATAGCAATGCCCAGTAGTTATTTATTGTGGGATCAAGTCTTTCCCAAGTCTTAGGTATTTTTCAGCTATTTGTCTTGCCTTTCAGTATCCTTTCCTATTATTTCTGTTCCTCTTGTTTTAGTTAGTAATTATTTTTATTATTTTATTTTAGTGATGGAAGGAAAATGTCTGGGAAGCCCCGGTGGAATGCAACAGGTAAACAGGGAGGGCTTTCTATGAAATGTGATTTAGGGGTTTTATCATTATATAATTTGAAAGGGTAATTAGTAACCTGGGTAATGAAGAGATGATTTAGTTTAACGTTATAGTCTCCTACAGAGGCAGATGGGTCCTACTCAAAGGGCTGCTTGGATGTCTAGACTGATAATGCCATATACACACTAAAAATTGCAGAGAAGCCAGCAACAATTTTAGTGTAGTTTGTAAATGAACCAATCAACAACAAATTCACGAACAAAGCCACTCTTCTGCTTAGATAAGGCCTGGATTCTACCATCAGTGTTATTTTTAGGTTCAGTGCTTTGATAGCTGTTTTTAAAATGTGAGTAGTCCTGTTAAATTAGTATAAGTTATCTTAACTTTGAAAAAAAAATCAGAGAAAGGGTGAGGAGCCATATCAGTTTAGAGCATGAGAAAACAATTCAGAAGCTCAAGGAAACCAAAACAATTTGGCTAGCTAAAAAACATATAATATCAGCTAGTCAAGCAGACTTGGATGAATCAGTGATCTTAGTATTAAATCTTTATTAAATATTTTCAAATATGAAGAAGATCAACAATGAGCTCAGCTGAAGTAGACGAAGGTCAGGAACATCAAGAATAGTTCTTCAGGTTTTCTCTTTCTGCCTTGAACATTCCTCTCTGGCACAGGATAGATGAGATCTCTAAGCGGAGTCTTGAGGTCCCTCACATAGCAGGGAGCATTTCTATTACCGAACATCTCTGGTTTATATCCCATTCTGTTGAAAAGCTTATGTGACATTCTCCAGAAAACCAGCTTCATAGACTCTGGGTTCTCTTTACGATAATTCATCTATACAGAGAAATCTTGCCAAGGACATTTTATAGACAAGTTCTCTTTCTCCAAGGAAATATCATTTGTCTATTTACCAGGAGGGCCTGTTTACAAGGAGACTAAAATTGCCTTCTTTTCTCCTTTTATTTTCTCTGTGGCATCCTCCTGGTGAAGGGAGTGGTAAGTTAATGGATCATTGAACAGGTGATTTAACTTCTTTCCCTTACTAATGCATCACAATTTTGCCTTCTTTTGGTCTCTGTGCTTGAAGTTGCAAAGACAAAGAAAAAAGCGAGACCTATGTCAAGTTCGGAGACAAAAAGGAGCCATAAAAATGGAAGTAAAGAAATTTTATTTGCTGTGTCTAGAAACTCTAAGTATTCTGTCCTGTTTACCTTTATTCTCCCTTCCTCTGCTTTCATGTCCTCAATTCTATCTACAACATCTAAAGAGAAAGGTTAATAACTTGCTTAAGATAACCCGGTTATTTATGTTATTTAATAGCTGGACAAGGATAAAATCCAAGGTCCTCTAAATTGGAAACAATTGATTTTTTTCAGTCTTTCTCCTTCATTGCACTACCTTTATATGTTATTGATCTCTTGCAAAACAATTTATTACATGACTTAGTCAAATAAATTAATCCAGTTCCTAACACACCCATTACCATATTGGATACTAAGGACACAATGTTGAATAAACTACATCCTCTGATGCAAATGGCTGTCATTTAGTCAGATTAAAAGATTAAAAAAATACAGTTGTAAACAAATAATATTATGGGGGCACAGAGAAGGCAATTGTACTCTAAAACTGGGGTTTAAAGTAGGATTCTTAAGAAGTGAAGGTAGTCAGGCAAACTATGGAAAGAATATTCTGTGCCGATGAATCAGCAAATATATAGGCTTAGATGTGAGAAGAAATGTCAGTGTATTAACATTTGCTCAATATAGATTGAACAAACAATGCAAAAAAGAAGAAAATGTGAAGTGTTGCTAGACACTAAGTGATGAGTTAAACACTAAAGAGCCTTGAATAAAATGGCAAGAAGTTGGAAATTTATTCTGCTGTCAACTAGTAGTCTTTGAGGTATTGTAAACATCACAGTTTCATGACCAAATTTATTTTCTAGAGCATAAAGCAAGTATCTGTCATTAGATACATAAATGAGCCACTGGGTTAAATATAATTAAATGAAATTTTAAAATTCATAACATGGTGATGTTATTACTGTGCTGTCATTCATTACCAATGCCACAGACTGCGATTTAGTATTCAATATTTTCCAAACTCGTTTCACCATAGACTTCCCCACAGGCTTCTCAGTTTACTCTTGCCAAGGATTAGTTTTTTCCAGTTTAATCTTTAAGAATACTGGTGGTGGCCGGGCTCAGTGGCTCACGCCTGTAATCCCAACACTATGGGAGGCCGAGGCGGGCAGATCATGAGGTCAGGAGATCAAGACCATCCTGGCTAACATGGTGAAAACCCGTCTCTACTAAAAAAAAAAAAAAAAAAAAAAATTAGCCGGGCGTGGTGGCGGGCGCCTGTAGTCCCAGCTCCTGGGGAGGTTGAGGCAGGAGAATGGCGTGAACCCGGAAGTCGGAGGTGGCAGTGAGCCGAGATTGCACCACTGCACTCTAGCCTGGGCGACAGAGCGAGACTCCGTCTCAAAAAAAAAAAAAAAAAAAAAGAATACTGCTGGTTACCATAATATATAAAAGAGATTGAATAGAAGCATAACTAGAATCAAGAAAATTAAGAAGCAGTGTGTTGCTATAAGCCAGCTGAGAGATTTTAAAGGAATGAACTAAGATATTAGGAGAAGGGTAGAAAATATAAATGGCTTTGAAAGATAGTAAGGATGTGGAATTTATAGGAACAGAGTAGTCTCCAAACAGAATTGGCATAGGACCTTTGAAACATCTTCCCAGATAATTTGATAACATTTCCAAGAATCATTCTTCAAGGACTGATACAACTTTATAGGCACCAGGTTGCGACCCTGACTTCTTATCTTGTGGTTCACCTCAAGATAAAAAGAAACATCCAATAACCCAGTGACATCTAGACACATTGTCACCTTCTAAATCTAGACAAAGAAGGCCTTATTCTCATTCTGTCACCCATTTCTGTTTTCCAATTGCAGTTCCTTATCTGAGATGCTTAACACTTCCCTTTCTTCTTTACGAAAAACTGACTTGGCTTTAACTTTGCAATCCCTTCGCAATCCCGTCTGCCATAACGTAGTGCAGCAATCATAAAACCACTGTAGCCAAATAACAAATAGTAACAAAAAGTATTAATCATGCACTGTGCACAGTGGCTTTAAATAACTTAGTCGTGCTGGTTTTAGTGTCAAAATGATTTTTGTGGGGGAGGATGGTGGTGTAATATTAAATCATTTCTTATTCACTTTATCTTGGATTGCAGCACCGTGTCTGGCCTTGATAGGTTGCTGATGTAAAAGACATAAGTCAAAAATTTAATGAATCAATGGAGTGGGTACGACTAAATTGTGAAATTGTGATCCCCCCACCCCAACTAATTCACACTTCTGATTTTCCTTCTTGCCATACATGGCCTTGCTAGGATACAGGTAAACTGAGGAAATAAAGATACTTTTCATGCTGATAAATATTTAGAAACCTATTTTGAGGTTAATGTGTTGTAATTGCTATTAAAATTTAAAGCATGGTGCATTTTAAAAAGTAATTCAGATTCTGAAAGAAAGAAAACAAGTGACTGAATTTCTAAAGTGAGCACAAAATGAAAGAAATGGGTCATTTTGAGGCAAAACTGTAATAATAGCTTCAATGTTTATAAAATTACTTTTTCCAGTATTGAAGAGATAGGTCATATTAGAGAGAAGAAAAGAGAATGAGAAAGAGAGAAGCGGCTTCCAGCCATATATTTATTTTGTTTTATAAATACCTTTATTTAAAACTGTATTTCATTTTAAAGTGCTCTTCAGAGTACTATTCCCTGGGAGAAATTATTCATAAATGGCACTAATTAGTGTCAAGCTGCATTTCAAGGCATTTTGAAAATTGTCCTATTAATTAATGGTGTAATTAAGCTTTTGTCAGTGACATATCATATTTCTGACAGGAATAGATGGCCTGTGTAAGTCAGTGCCAGGCAGCTATCCAGGCAGCCACTGTGTGTAATGGATGGTAGCAATTTAGCGCAGGTTTACAGAGATGGGCCCACCTACGTGAGGGAGACTGGCAACTTGCATACATAAACAGCGCTTTGCACTGTACTTTGGGAAATAACTGTAGCTGAGATTGATGTGACCTCCTCCCTTGGATGACACATTAGCCTTTTACCATGAAACCATAAATAGTGTTTCTCTGAGCTTTTGTGACAAAAATGTCAATTAGCTTCCAAATTTCATTTTCGTTTAATTTTGTATTCTAATGCCATTTGCATATTAATGTGAACATGGTGCAGAACTGTTAGATTAGAATACTGGCTAAGGCTAATAGGATGTAATACACACTTATTGGGGGGGTAATAGTTATACACATTTAAATGTTGTCCCCACAATCATAGATCTATTTGTGTGAGAGATGTGCCACTGCTTAATGCCTCTTGAATATCAGTGTGTCACACAGCAAGATTTAAATGTGGGTACAGAGAAATAAAAGCCCTAAAATTGAAAGAGAAAAAAGATCCAAGTATACTCACGTCAACACA
The DNA here is from genome assembly GCF_000001405.40 of Homo sapiens. Lineage (NCBI taxonomy): Eukaryota > Metazoa > Chordata > Mammalia > Primates > Hominidae > Homo > Homo sapiens. Next base: position 68,214,716 of record NC_000013.11, on the reverse strand, counting down.
GTTAAATATAAATCATTTTTTTCTGGTCATCCCTTTGCAACAGATCTCTATTAATTCTAGTATTAATAATTTACACTCTGGTTCCAGCTATCAAGGTCTTAAAATTGTATAAAAATCAAACACAAGAATGAAATTTCCTTGGTAGAAACATTTCACATCAATGAAGCTCACAGGCTTCGAATGACTTTTCTAGAGAAATAATTGTTTTTCTCATATATTTTTAGGCTTTCTGGTTTTAATAATCAACTTATTTTATTTTTAAAATACCTATTTTCATAAAAATATAAACTTGTATTTTATAAGATTTATATTTAGGCTTTAGTTTTCCAAATATTTTTAATGGTTTAGATAGAATTATAAAAGTTCTAATTGGCACTGGTCTAGAAATCAGTGTTACTATACTTAGGTTTGGATATTTTTAAAGCAGAAAAAGACATTAAAGATCACCTAGTTCAACCCACTTCATTTTACAGATGAAGAAACGGAGCCTGAGAGATTATATAATTTGCCCAAGGTCATGTGTCTAGTAAGTGTCAGAGTGAGGACTAGGACCTGACAGGTTCAGCTTCTTATTTTCAGAGTCTTTTTTTTTAATTGATAGCAGTTTAGATTTAAACAGAAATAGAAAGATGAAATAAGCAAGAAGACAGTAAGTGAAAGACAAACAAACCAAAAAAGGGAAAAGGAAAGGAGAAAAGGAAGAACAAAGTGGGGAGGAAGGGAGGAGGGAAGAAAGAAAGGAAGAGGAAAATTGTATGATGTGAGAATTTTATTTCAATTATTTAAGATGTCTCAGTGATTTGATAAAGTGCATTGTTTATCTTTTGAGACATGGATTGATTGCCTTACATTGTACAGTAAATCCCCAATTTGCAAATGAGGTGTGTTCCAGAATTTCATTGTGTAACTTATTTTTTTAAACCATTTTTGTCATGGCAACAAGGTCTATGTCTATTCACGATAGTTTATTTAAACTAGTGAATCTTAAGTCATTTTGTAAGAGATTTTTTTTGTGTGTGTGAGAAATGCTAAGGTTGTAGGAATAAGAATCATTTTGAGAGCTTGCAGTGCAGGTAAGAGGAAGTTACGGAAGGCTGAGGAATGTATAGTGCTGGATGCATGAATAGATTAGTAATTCACAAAGAAATAGTCTGTAAAAATGTGTCCTAAACCTAGTTAGAAAAAAGATTGAGCAATGTATGAGAAAAGGCAGAAAGGAAGGACTGTGGATGGCCGCTTTTGTCCACCTATTGGTCAGGATGCTTCAGCTTTGTCCTGAAAGGTGCATATTTTACTCAGAAAATTAAAGCCCTCTTTTGAAACTATCCATCACCTGATACAGGTGAGCAAAGTCTTGTCTTCCACTCAGAGAAGTTACCAGCAATGGCTTTAACATTCTTTATTGCAATGATGAATATGTAGGTGGTGCTGTGCTAGATACAATCCTAATTTTTTTTCACACATGGATTCATTTAATTCTCCCAGCAACCCTATGTGGTAGGTATTGATATTATCCTTATTTTATAAATGAAGAAAGTGAGGCACAGACATTAAGCAAGTCGACGAAAGTTACACAGGTAACAAATAATGAAGATGGAATTCAAACACATAGTGCTAAGATGGCTTTAGCCAGGAAGTTTCATTATGCTAAATTTTTTTAAAAAGTAGAAATCTAAAATCCTGAAATCTAGTCACTCATTTAGCCTAGTTTTACCACTTCTTACTCAAACTATATTTGTCATTTTTTAGTACAAATTTTTCTCTGACACTCACACCCATATATACTGGGTATAAATTTTAGTCTACATTTGGGAGTGTGACAGAGATCTTAGTGCTTTAGTTATTTTTTTAAGCAATTTAAGTGAGACTGGAGGCTCATCCCACATGAATCTTAGAGTGCTGTTTGCATGATGGGGTACAGGGATCATCTTTCTGAGGACTCACAAAAATGTGAGATATTTATTTGGAAACAGAGAAAGAACTCCTAGTAGTTAGTTGTTGATACGTATATTTTCTGAGCCCAAATAGTTCTTTGAATCAGGAGGTTAAATGGCCTATTTGCCACTCTTGAGAAATGCAAATTTTACAGAATGTGACAGAGCTGGTAACTAATTCTAGCCTCCTAGGGAACATATATTATTATTTCCCTCTGATGTCCTGGCAGCTCCCAGAGTAATACCAGAAGACAGACCTGCACTAAGATCTGAGAACAGCTGACTTTTCCTATCTTGAGGATCCTTCTCTTGATCTAGATTCTTCCACCAAACCTCATCTCACGCTTAGCATAATCCTCTCACCTTGCTATTTTCCTTTAGACTCCGAAAGCAATCTTTCCTGAAGCAAGGGAATTACTTTGCCCTGGAAGGGGGTTGGGGATTATTTTATTTTATTTTATTTTATTTTATTTTATTTTATTTTATTTATTTATTCATTTTTGAGATGGAGTTTCACTCTTGTTGCCCAGGCTGGAGTGCAATGGCTCAATCTCTGCTCACCGCAACCTCTGCCTCCTGGGTTCAAGCGATTCTCCTGCCTCAGCCTTGGGAGTAGCTGGGATTACAGGCATGCGCAACCACGCCCAGCAATTTTTTTTGTATTTTTAGTAGAGACAGGGTTTCTCCTGTTGGTCAGGCTGGTCTCAAATTCCTGACTTCAGGTGATCCACCTGCCGTGGCCTCCCAAAGTGCTGGGATTACAGGCATGAGCCACTGCGCCCAGCCGGGGTGGGGGATTCTTAAGATGAGAAACATAAAGTGATAACACAACACAAATGAAATATCCCGCCACACATGTGCTATTCTCTGCTGAATGTTTCCACTTCTAAGACCTAAGGATTCATTAAAAATCCGTATAACCTAAAAGAACTCCTCATACTATACCAATGCCACTTACCAAGGCAATGCCAATTTGTTCTCATCTCATGATGGACACTATTCTACACCCAGTTGCCTAAGGCAGACTCATTTGTTATTTTGATTCTTCTTCTAACTAATCCCCACATCCAAGCAACAGTCATATCCTCTTTCTTCTGCCTCCTTTATAAACTATCTTAATTCCAGCAATTGCCACTATCATAATCATAGGGAATAATCATGCTTGATTTTTTCCTACATTGTGTGAACCAATCAACAGGTGAACTCATCGATAACATCATTCAATCTGTTGCAACGTCCTCATGTTAATCTCTATGCCTTAAATGTTACCTCTGCAATCCATTCTCCATCTTTTGTTCCTTTAAAAGTCTCAAATCTTGTCAGAGCATTACTTTGTTTAGAAACCCACAGTGGCTTTCATAATTTTTAGGGTGATGTCTGAACTCTTTATGATGTCATTCAAGGCCTTTCAACATCTGGTTTGGGGTTACTTTTATAGTGTTCTATCTCACCACTATTTTTCTCCCTCCCTTACTTATGTATTTCATAACTCATGTCTCAGACTTACTGAACTATTTTTGTTATAAATATTTTCCTGAATTTCTGTTGATTCTAAGCCTTAGAAAACTTTCTTTTTTTTTTTTTTTTTGGGAGAGTTTCCCACTACCCCTACTTACCTCTCTACATAATTTCATCTCCTTACCTTATTAACTGCATAACATCCTTCAAAAATCAATGAAAGCATCATTTCTTTTGGAAGTTTTCCCTGAATTTCTAACACTCTGGGTTAGAAGAACCTCTTATGTGCTCATATAGCCCTGTGGCTTCTCATTACTGCATCACACTATGTTATAATTATCTGTTCACTTGTCTGTCTTCCTAGTTACATTAAAAACCCTTGAAGAAAAGCAATGATGTCTTATTAATCATCGCATCCCTAGTACCTTATAGAGTTTTGTCATTTAGCAAATGCTAAGTGTTGAACAAATGAACGAATACCCAAAAGGCATAAGTGAGTGTTACACAGGTAATTTAGGAACTGCCTGTTAAACTTACTTTATTACCAAAATCTTATCATCTCTTCATAAGAATCTTAATATCACTTTATTCTCATCAAAAATAGTTGAAATAAATGATTTTTTTTCCTAAGAATTAAAAAAAGGAAAGGAGATAAAACAATCTAGTATGAAGTGTTTGCCATCCTTGATTTTTCTTCTTCTGGTTTAAGACCCAAACTAACTTTATGAGGCTAAAAATAAAAAGTCTTGTAGAATGACTTTTTAAGTATTCAGCAATGATCAGTTCTGCACTAAATGCACAAAAAGAGCTCAGTATCCATTTTGTGAATATCTAATATATTTAAATTAAATTGGCAACTCATTATAGTGACTAAGACATAGAATTACTTTGTCATAAATTATAGGTAATCTGTAGTTTCACATTAACTCTATTACCAGTAATAGAGTTTTAATGTGGTACTTACACTTTGATAAAAGAGAAATCATCTTGTCACTAGAAATATGTAAGACGTGAATAGAGAAAAAATGGGAAAGTTGGGGGGAAAATAATGCAAGATGTGGGTAAGAATGAGGAATTATAGGAAAAATTAGAATGACTAGGAAAATAGCAACAAGGAAAGAAAGAGAAAAAATAAGGATGGACAGAAAAAAGTAACAGTATGGGCTGAGGAGATTGTAGGAAAGGAAAAACCAGTAAGAAAAGATGAAATAGAAAAATACAGAATCAAAAAAAGAGCAGAATAATATGAAATATATATGGATCACTGCTACATTGAGAAAATGAACTAGTGCCAATAGAAATGCATATATTATATGCCTAAGTTTAAACAGGAAGTTTTCATATGAGTAGTAAACAGAAATAAACATAGATAATATTACATTTTTAAACAATTTGATAATGATTACCTAAGAAGCTTATTTTATAGCTTGAAATTACTCTACAAATCAGAATTATATTGGTTGTGCAATGGGGGAAATTTATTTTCTTTTCTCAAGGATGTGTGCAGGCAGAACACCACTAGGTAAAGCTGTCAGGTTTATGTTTCTCAAAGTGAATTCCATGTACCTTCTATAAGTTGTGCTGGGTTCTGCAGTAGAAATATATATCCAGAGAAGGGAATATGTGCAACATACTCATTATTTTAAACATTAACAAAAAGACGCGCTGTGGTCCCATTTTACAGAGGTATACTTTTTTTTTACTTCAAGAAGACAGTATTTTATTTTCCCAGTAGATTTTCTTTAAACCCACTTTATGTGTCTGCTGTAGTACCTTTGCAATTCACTATTTGATATCTAGTTAGAGAATTAAGAAAAAAGCTTCCATAGTGAATTTGAAAAACGGGACGTTTTGGAGGATCATTTTGAGAAGAATAAAGAAAAGGGATTTTCTGACTCATCCCTGTTTTTCTCATGTGATTAATTTTTATTCTGTAGTACAGAAAAATGTAAAATGAGAGTTTTAGCTTAGAGCACACATAATTAATCACAATATTGTGAGAAGAAAACTTCTGTATAAATAACAGTGGAACTTAGTGAATAGTCCAATGTCTTAGTCCTTTTAGTGTTGCTGTAACAGAATACCCAAGACTGGGTAGTTTATTTTAAAAAAGAGTTTTATTTGTCTCACAATTCAGTCTGCTAGAAAGTTCAAGATTGGACATCGGCATCTGATGAGGGCCTCAGGCTGCTTCAACTCACTGTGAAAAGTGGAAAGGAAACCAGCCCTTGCAAAGAGATCATGTGATGACAGAGGAAGTAAGAGGGAGAGAAGGGAGCTGGCAAGCTGTTCTTAAAAACCAGCTATCCTGGGAACTAATAGAGCTACAGCTTACTCACCTGTGAGTGAACATTAATCTATTCACTGAGGGCATTAATCTATTCAAAGGATCTATTTCCATAACCCAAACACCCCGCACTAGGCTCCATTTCCCAACATTGCCAAATTGGGAATCAAATTTCAATATTAGGTTTAGAGAGGACAAAAATCCAAACAATAGCATCCAGTATACCACAAATTCAGAAAAAATCGTGATAAATTGGATTTCTATAAATATGGGTGATGGCTCAAGACCTTATGAGCATAATTGTGATAGAAGATGGTCATAGTCTATAACTTCAAATTTTCTCTATTAGCTCCATTTACATTTTTAAAAATCATATGCATAAGAAGGGGACCAATTTGAATTAGATGAGTAAAATAACATTTGGAAAACTGGCCCTATTCTAAGATGAATAACTGTCAATATGTCTATGCATTATTCATTGGTAATTAATTTTTTACTGTAAATGTTTGTGTAAGAAAATTACATACATATATATATATATGTATATATATAAAATTTTTTTTTTTTTGAGATGGAGTCTCCCTCCATCACCAGGCTGGAGTGCAGTGGTGTGATCTCGGCTCACTGCAACCTGTGACCTCTGCCTCCCTGGTTCAAGCAATTCTCCTGCCTCAGCCTCCCGAGTTGCTAGACTACAGGTGTGCACGACTACGCCCAGCTAATTTTTTGTATTTTCAGTAGAGACAGGGTTTCACCATATTGGCCAGGATGGTCTCGATCTCTTGACCTTGTGATCCACCCACCTTGGCCTCAAAGTGCTGGTATTACAGGCGTGAGCTACTGTGCCCAGCCAATACATATATATTATATATGCATTATATATGTACTATATAATATATATTACATATTATATATTATACATGTATTATATAATATATAATATAATATATTATATATAATATGATATAATATATATTATATATTATATGTAACATTTATTATATATTATATATAATATGTGCTATAGATAATATATATTTTATATAATACATTATATATTATATAATATGTATGATCTATATATTATATATTATATAATACGTGTTACATATAAATATATAATACATATATATCGAGTTCATGTCTCTTGTTTTCATGAGGAGACACACTTGATATGTGTCTTGTGGGTGGAAGTAGATCAGGTGGAGTTTTTGGAGGGATACATGTAAGATTATATATAGATATTTGCCCACTGTTCTCTGATGTTTCTTCCATGTTCTTTTCATTCACTAAAATTTAGGCTTTTGAAAAGGAAAACTGCTTGCAATAAACATTATACTGTAAACAATGGTCTCCCCATGTTTAGCTCCTTAAAATAGCCTATCCTTTTCCATTCTAAGGGAAGAACTAGGCTAAAGAGTATGGCAATATATTAAAAATTATCCTATCCTCTTGAGGAAGGATGAACATTAATACATCAGCAGACGATTCATTTGGGAAAGTTTTGTGGCCATAAATATTCAGCTAAAGATTAATTCTCTGACCATTCACCTATTTGTCATAGCTTCCTTAATTAAGGTCCTTAATTGAGAAAAAAATATATCGTGATATTGAGCAGATTCGTTTTCTAAAGATTTTTCTTCAACCTAACCAACTCTAACTTTTAAAATATCATGCCATTAAAAGCTTTCCACAGAAAATTAGAAAAGTAATCTTTCATCATACTTACAGTTTCTTGGAAATAATTTCATATTTGCATTCATAGTCATCTTAAACTTTTCCAGTCCTTTACTCATTTCTATTTTGTCAATCACCATTATCCTTACTAACAGACTGTCATAAGTTACATACAAATTCACCTAATTCACTATATTGAGAGTACTGTGAATATTAGAAACATTTCTTATTCATTTTTCATTTATTAATCTTTTTACACACATGCTTTTTATACATTATATTTACAAAAAATGCTTGCTGACTTAATGTACTTAAATATAATGTGAACATAAGATACATTCACTAGGTAAAAATGGTTAATTCTAGTCTAAATAAAATTATTAAATTATATTCTAAAGACACTAATTTTTAAAATAAAATGCAATTTATTTTTTCAACCATAAACTTTGTTTAAGACATAGGGAAATTTCTATTTCTAAGTCAATGGAAAAAGGAGAACTATTTAAAAATATTACTTTTTAAGTAATAGGTTTCCATAAGATTCTGAAATGGATCAATAGATGGCAGTGATACTGGAAAGTGAACAATGATTTCTGTGATTAATATATACATGCACAGCTTTACATCTTTACTATCTCCTTTACCAAAATTGCACTTTGTATTATTGGCAAACTGATAAGAGTGCATATTATTTAAGGCCTTCCAAGAAGCAGACACCAATATGGAATTAAACATTCAAGCAATGTATTAGTCCATTTTCACACTGCTATGAAGAAATACCTGAGACCAGGTAATTTATAAAGGAAAAGAGGTTTAATGGACTCACAGTTCCACATGTCTGGGGAGTCCTAACAATCATGGGAGAAGGTGAAGGAGAAGCAAAGGCACATCTTACATGGTGCAAGCAAGGAAGCCTGTGGAGGGGAACTGCCCTTTATAAAACCATCAGATCTCGTGAGACTTATTGCTATCATAAGAACAGCACAGGAAAAACCCACTCCATGATTTAATTACCTCCTACTGGGTCCCTACCACAACACATGGGGATTATGGGAGTTACAATTCAGGATGAGACTTGGGTGGGGACACAACTAAACCATATCAAGCAATTTATTAAGAAAAATATCTGTAGGAAAATGGGGAGGGAACCCAAGGAGACTAAAAGAGGTGTCAGACCAGAATGAAGGCCTTACCCTTATGAAGAAAAGAGGAAATAAATGTTGAATGAAAGAGTCAGACTGAAGTGCAATCACACAGAATTTTGATAAAGTCAATTGGGGATCTTTGAACCAAAACTGTCCATTAGAGGAGTCTAACTCCCTCAGAATCAAGCCTGCCTTGGTATCCCAGCTAAGCTTAGTCATTGGTTGGGAGCCCATGGGAAGCACGGCCTCAAAGCATACTAGGTTATAGACTTCAGAAAGCAGTAGCAGAGACATTTGTTTGGTCAATTATGATCCCCAAAGTTGAAGATCTGAGACCAACAATTTGTCGGCTCTCACCAAAGGAATTAAGACAATGGCTGCAATTAATTGACAATGTTTTTCAAATCTAACATGTGGTATTGAAGAGGAATAACAACAATGATTGATTGATAAATAGACAGACATTAGAATAGTGGTGTGGTCTGAGTGGAAGAAAGCATTGTCTAGATTGGTGATTTCTGGATGGACCCTGGAATTTAGTTCTTGGATTCAAATCTTAACTCCAAACTTTCTAGCTGTAAGCAAATTAATCAAGCTTACTTTTTCTCAACTGCTTCATCTGTAAAACGAGGTTAACTGTTGTACCTTTCTTACAGAAAGCACTATTATTCTCTTAGATTGTTAACATCAGAGGGCACTTTAAAGGTAATATCATTCAACAACATAGATTCCTATGGCTTAAACTCATTCTACTATGAACACTCCAAAAGTTGAGTGTTTTAATTTATTTGTGAGTTAGGAAATGAGGAATGGACAAGGAAATCAGCTCTGCTTTAATGAGAAAGGCAAAAAAATCCAAAGATGAAGTCATCAAAAGCTTTGCTTCAAAATACATTTAGGTGATATTTAGTAGAGGCCAGGGGTGAGGAGCCTGGGAAGATGTTGATCAAATAACATAAAATTTTAGTTAGATTGGAAGAATAAGTTCAAGAGATCTGTTGTATATCATGGTGACTATGGTTAATAACAATATATTGTCTACTTAAATACAATAATAACAATCTATTGTCTTAAAAACAATATATTATCTGCTTAAAAATTGCTAAAAGAGTAGATAAAAGTGCTCTCTTGACAAAAAAAAAATTCTCCACAAAGCAACAATTTAAAATCCATATAGCTATTCTAAAAATTTATATTGATATTATGTTAAAAACTCATCATAACTATGGGAGCACAATTCGCTTGACAACTATTGTATCTTAGTTATGCATTTTCATTTTTTAGTGTCTAAATCAAAATGCTGTGTATATTCCCAATCTACACTGTAGAATTTCAGTTTATTAGGTCATGCATTTGCTCAGCAAACAAAGATACTCATGCTTAAGATGTCTTTACACAAGTTAATTTTTGGATTTTAGAACAGTATTATTTTAATCTGCTTGCCTTGCCCCCAGAAAAGCATTGGTCTTCCTATAGGAAATTTATAAATTGAAATATACAATGAATTTAATTTGTGCTTTTATTCATTTTCAAATTTATATTGACGAGTGGCCTTGAATTTTTGGTCACTGCTAGCTATTTTTTGGTTTTACCATGAATAAGGTACATATATATGTACCTTATTCAATATTAAGTATTTTATATAATATATAAAGTTACAAACAAACCAAAGTTACAAACATCTGTCCTCTTATCCTGTTAAAATTACATCCCAATTTCTTATTATTAGAATAAAGATTACTTAGTTTGTAGTCACATAATCTATTCAAAATACAATAGTTTCTTACAAGGCAATTTAAGATATTTGATGCAATTGTTCATCACTGTTTTCCTTTAATTTAAGATAAAGCTGTGATAGGGAAGTGAATATTAAATATGGTATAAAATATATTATGTTTTCAAACATGCTGCTCTAATGAAACAGCTGCTCATAATGCTGTTTCTTCCATGAAGAAGCAAATTGAGACAACTAATCATATTAAAAATACAGCTACTTTGAGAACAAGACTAGCCCATTTTTTTCCTTCTGCAAATCGGAAAAGATTGGAATTGTTTTACATATTTCACAGGGCTCTTAGTTGTAAGCATTTGCACTTGGGCAAATACCACATTTAAAAAATTAGACTGGCAAAATAAACACACTTATTTTATCAACACCTTGTTACATGTGTGAAAGACAATTAATCTATGAAGTGCTTCCTTGTTATACTCTGGAATCCTATGGATTAATCAGTGTTAAAAAGTTCTATTCCACATTATTAACGGTTTGTGTGTAGCTGCTAAAGAGCTTCATTTGTCATGAAGGAATAAGTGCCAAGGTTTCAGCATATTTACCATTTTAAATTGAGCAGTTTAACACATGCTTAAATTGGTAATCTGACTTATAAAAATATTTAAGGAAATATTACATTAATGCTAAATGTATTTATAAGGCATAAGCTGTGGTAAGTTTGCCACAATTGTCTGGTAATGAGAGCAATATAGTACTACAGTTAATTTGTGGGATCAAAACATAATGAATACCAGGATTCAAATGTAACAATGCAAAGTTATTTAAAAGAAATAGAGTAGCCTCACCATTTCCTCTGCTTAACTGAGCAGTTAACTAGTACAGATACTTATGTATATATTATTGATTATGTGTAGATTAATATACATTTTTAAAACACTGTGTAAACTGGGAGAATTATTCATTGGCCTTCAAAACGGGGTAAAAGTCAGAGACAGTCTGGCCAGTGGTCTTCTTCACATGTGACAAATGAACATGCCAATCCAATATAGCACAGGAAGAAAGTATTAAAACCATTACTAATATGTAATAATTATATTCTCTTAATCATGTTTTAGAATATTTTTGCATACTATGTAATACTTAAGTATATGAGTAAAATGTACTAATATTGATCTAAACATTGAAAAGTGATCTTTAGTAATAGAAGGATAAGATAAAAATATGTAGACACCACTCATTTAGACAAGGCTATACCCAAGTCATCTCTGTTCATGGATTTAAAGAGGCTTAGTGAATAAAATATACATGCTCAGATTCCATAAAAAATGTTACCTTTGGCCGGGCGCTGTGGTTCACGCCTGTAATCCCAGCACTTTGGGAGGCCGAGGCAGGCAGATCGCGAGGTCAAGAGATCGACACCATCCTGGCCAACATGGTGAAAGCCCATCTCTACTAAAAATACAAAAATTATCTGGGCATGGTGGTGGGAGCCTGAAATCCCAGCTTCTCGGGAAGCTGAGGCAGGAGAATCTCTTGAACTCGAGAGGAGGAGGTTGCAGGGAGCCGAGATCGCGCCACTGCACTCCAGCCTGCTAACTGAGCGAGAATCCGTATCAAAAAAAAAAAAAAAAATTATGGAATGGGTGATGTTAACCTGATGTCATGCCAGTTTAAACCATAGTTATTACTCTCCATGTACACAGCCAAAGATACCCTCTAGTTTTATATATTAATTAAATGATTTTGGTAACTATGTGCCAGCCCAGAAAAAAATATAACCTCACTCAATGCCTCAGTGTTTTCACAATACCATTTGTCTGGAGAACACCAAAAGGAAGATGTGAGACCTTGTTAAATTCTCCAAAAGTTAGGCATTTTCAACAAATCGTGTTGGAAAAATTAATAGCCTCGTGCAAGAGAATGAAATTGAAACTTACACCATACGCAAAAATCAACTCAAAATGGATTAAAGATTTAAATGTAAGACTTGAAACTGTAAAACTACTAGAAGAAAACATAGAGGACAAGTTTCATGACAATGGTCTTGGCAATAATTTCTTGGATATGACAAAAGCACAAGCAAAAAACAAAACAAAACAACAAAGTAGTCAACTGGGACTACTACTTCTAACTAAAAAGCTTCTGCATGGTAAAGGAAACAATCAACAACGTGAGAAAGCAAAGTGGGAAATGGGGAAAATATTTGCAATCCATATATCTGAAAATGGATTACTATAAAAATATACAAAAGTCCTATATAACTCAATAGCAAAAAGAAAACAAATAGTCCAGTTAAAAACTGGGCAAAGTACCTGAATAGACATTTCTCCAAAGAAAATATACAAATGGTCAACAAGTATATGAACAAATGTGCAACATCACTAATCACTACCATAATGTGATATCACCTCACACCTGTTAGTGTGTTTTATTGTTTGAATGATTGTTTCCCCTCCAAAATTCATGTTGAAACTTTATCCCAATGCAACAGCATTAAGAGATGTGGCCTTTGAGAGCCTCTGCCCCTACAAATGGGATTAGTAGTCTTATAAAGGGCTTTAGGTTGAAGGGAGCACTTGTTTGTCTTTCCATATCTTCCACAATGTGAGGACATGGCAACAAGGCCTCATTTTGTAAACAGAGAACATCTTTCACAAGATGTCAATGCCAGTGCACTAATCTTGGATATTCCAGCCTCCAGAACTATAAGAAAGGGTCCCCACTAGGGCAGTGGCTGGCAGAGCCATGGGAGTCCACCTCAGAATGTTCCTACTAGGGTAATGTCTGGTCAAGCCATAGGATGGGACTGTCCCTGAGACCTTGAACTGTAGTGTCATTGGAGTGCTATCCCTGCCTGGGAAAGCCACAGGCATTCAAAGTCATCCATGGGAGCTGTAGCATGGGTTGCTTCCAGAAACTCTGTGGGAATAAGACTCCTCCACATGCCTTTGGGACCCAATTCTCATCCTCATGTGTCTGGAAGCATGAAGCCAAAGGAGATTATCCTAAGACCTTATTATTTAATATCATTTGCCCCCCCCCCTTTTTTTTTAGATGGAGCCCCACTCTGTCACCCAGGCTGGAGTGCAGTGGTGCGATCTCAGCTCACTGCAACCTCCACCTCACGAGTTCAAGCGATTCTCCTGCCTCGGCCTCCTGAGTAGCTGGGACTACATGTGTGCACCACCACACCTGGCTAATTTTTTTTGGTATTTTTGGCAGAAATGAGGTTTCACTATGTTGGCTGGGATGGTCTTGATCTCTTGACCTGGTGATCTTCATGACTGGGCCTCCCAAAGTGCTGGGATTATAGGCATGAGCCACCGCGCCCAGCCTCCCTGTTGAGTTTTAGGCTTACTTGGGAGCTATTACCCCTTTCTTCTTGTCTATTTCTTACTTTTGAAATGAGAACATCTATGCTTGTCCCACGATTATATTTTAGAAGCACATAATTTTTTTGATTGTGCAGACTCACAATGGGAGAGAAATTACCTCAGGATGAATCACACTTTGAGGCTCACCCATATCTGATTTAGATTATATTTAGATGAGACTTTGGACTTAGGCTTTAAAGTTGATGCTGGAATAGGTGAAGACTTTTTGGAGTTATTGGGATAAAATCAATGCATTTTGTATATAAGAAAGATATAAATGTTGGTGTTTTAGGTATAGAATGCTATGGCTTGAATGTTGGTGTCTCCTCTAAAGTTCATGTTGAAACTTAATCCCTAATGCAACGGTATTGAGAAATGTGGCCTTTCCAAGGCTCTGCCTCATGACTTAAAAGGCCTTAAGTTAAAGGCAGTGCTTTCATGTCTCTCCATCCCTTCCACCATGTAAGGAGAGTGTCCTTTCCCTATGAAAGATGCAGCAACAAGGTGCTATCTTAGAAGCAGAGAAAATCCCTCACGAGATGCTGCTCCAGCTGGTGCCTTGATTTGGCAGTCTCCAGTCTCCAGAACAATGAAAAATATTTTTTCATTTTTCATAAATTATTCAGTCTGTGGTATTTTGTTATGCCAATACAAACAGACTAAGACAGGGTGGTTATTAACAACCACAAAAACAAAAAGATAAGTATTACTGATGATGTAGATAAATTGGAAATCTTCTACACTGTTGGTAGAAATGCAGTGGTACATCCACTATGGAAAATAGTATATGTGTTTTGGATTTTTGTAAAATCCAAAAATTTTTTAAATATAGTTATCACGTGCTCCAGCATCCCACTTTTAGATATGCATCCAAATCATTAAAATCAGTATCTCAAAGAGATACTTGCCAGTGCAGCATCTTCACAATCGCCAAAATCTGGAAACAACCTACAGTAGAATATTATTCTGCCTTAAAAAGTAGGAAACTCTGGCATTTGTGACAACATAGATGTATCTGGAGAACATTATGCTAAGTAAAATGAACCAGTCACAGAAAAAGTGATACCTAATAAATCCACTTATATGAAGCATCTATAATAGTCAAATTTATAGAAACTGATAGCAGAATGGCAATTGCCAGGGGCTGGGTTAAGGGGGAATTGAGGAGTTGTTCTTCAGGAGGTGTATACTTTCAGCTATACAAGATGAATAATTTCTGGGTATCTGCTATACAAAACTGTGCCTATAATTTACAATACTATATTATGCATTTAAAAATATATTGAGAGGGAAATTAATAAACACCTGCTTATGGCTGCATGATGGTTTCACCTTAAATAATGTGAATTTGTGAAAGCATAAGGCAAACTGATAAGCTAATGAACTGTAATAGATAACGCTTCCTTGTACCCCTGTCCTTGTATAGTCTCCTCCCACATGGTCACCTGACTTGGCTTTATTATATGCTTTGATCAACTAGACATTACCAATCATAATGCAAGCTGAGATTTGAAACATACTTACACATTGGGGTGATCCCTCCTCTGCTGCTGGCTGGATCTCTTTCACCAACATGCGAGGAAGTTGTGCTAGCCTGCTGAAGTATGTAGCCCAGACCACACCCAAGACCAACCCAGACATGTGTGAGCTCATATCAAGTCATTCATCCTAGTTCAAGCCACCAGAGCATCACAGCCACACAAGTTATCCTAAGTGCGACCATCAGAACAAATGCCAAACCAAGTTCAGCCTAAAGTACTGACTCACAAAATAATGATCAAACAGGAGGATTATATTTTTAAGCTTTGGCATACTTTGTTACACATCCATATAAAACTGAGATAAGTATTCTAGAAGTTTACCAAAGTGGGCAATGCTACTTTCAATCTTAAGGTCAAGAGTATAGTTGAAACAATCTTCTAAGAGATAACACTCCTCTCCTCAGCTAGTAAATAATGTCAGAAAATTTAATGTGTGTATGAAACTGTAATTATATGATTCTGGACTGAAATGTTTTACAAGAGTTGCTGAGGAATGTCCCTGGGGAAAAGGGTGACATGGCACCTGTCATTCAGTATTCACGCATTTGCCCAAAAAATGAACACAGGACTTTCCTTTAGACAGGAAACAGAAGTTCGGCAGTAAACTCAAAAGGTCAGTGGTATCAAAACAATAGGTGAGTTCTACTTCTGATTATCAGAGGGAAGTCTTATGAGCCAGTCAGGATCTTGAGAGGAAATAGAGAGCCCCACAGACAGCTCACTCCTTGGATGACAATGTTACCAAGAGAGTAAGAATAGAGAGATTAAACAATAGTTGAATACAGCAAGGGTTTGAAACAGCCAATCAGAGAAAGAGATGATGGCAGTATTTCCAGTGGCATATACTTCATTGTAATCAATTGTGTTTACCCATATAAAGACATTATTTAAAATGGAAGCATTATCTAAATGTTTTTGTATCGATACATCATGATCACAAGATTCTTCTACTTATATGCTCTTAGCTCTTTAGGAGCTGATATAAATGAAAGGCTAACCATATAATTATTTGCAGCTGTGTGTAACTGACTATGATCAATTCTTGTAATTGTGATCTTTTAAATATTTGCACCTGCAAACATTTGGAGCATAACATCATGTCTTCCAGAAATCAATTGAACAAATGAATTTGCATGCATATGAGACTACTTTTGAACACACACACATACATATGTAATTTCTGAAACAAATAATTTTAATCATAACTAGGCACATAGTCATTTAAGATGCGAATGAAAATCTCCATTTAATCTGAAGATATATATGGGGAAAAAAATCTTTGTAGAAACCAATGAAAATGTATATTTAACTATAATAGGCTAAATGTGTAAATTCCAGAGGATATGGTCAAACCCCACTTTGGAAATTATTAAGAAAGTTTGAATTTCTGAACTAAAAGCTGGAACATTACCCACATACAAATGATAATCTAGACAGATATAAATAGATTGTAGACAATTCTGTTATTAGTAATTTTCTACTTTTGAGCATGACTTGTTTCTGATATGTTTAGAAATAAAATGCTTATAAATTTATGGAGTAGTATTTTTATGTTCAGTGAATTGAAATTATTATTTTTTTTAAGATGGAGTTTTCACTCTTGTCGCCCAGGCTGGAGTGCAGTGGCGCGATCTCGGCTCGCTGCAACCTCCGCCTCCTGGGTTCAAGCAATTCTCCAGCCTCAGCCTCCCGAGCAGGCATGCACCACCACGCCCGGCTAATTTTTTTTTTTCTATTTTTAGTAGAGTCGGGGTTTCGCCATGTTGCCCAGGCTGGTCTCAAACTCTTGACTTCAAGTGATCTGCCTGCCTCGGCCTCCCAAAGTTCTGGGATTACAGGCATGCACCACCGCACCTGGCCAAATTGAAATATTAATAACATAAATGACAGTTCTATACGTTACCAGAAAAAAAATCCTGAAAAAAATATAAACACAGACATATATAAAATATACTTGGATCAGGAAACCGAGCCCAGTATTTTCTTTCCCTAAGCCACTGCACAGGTAAATTAACATTTAAATACCATCGTGTAAAAACAACATGAAGATTTGAATAGGGTGCTTTGTGCATTTTTTGAAGTATGTAAAGCTCTTTATAACACTGGAATCAGAGACAGCTGAAAAAGGTTTATCCAGCATCTGTCCCTTATTCACTACTACCTGGGGAAGGAAAAGAGAACCAATCTTTAATGGAGCAATCTGCATGACTGTCAATGACCAGGGTGGTTTACATATATTTTCTTATTTAATCCTAATAATAATCCCATAAAATGTATATAGTTATTTTTAAATTATAGATAAGAAAAATGAGGTTTAATTAGATTATGTATTTTCCCATTTTATGCATTACGTAAATTGAGTAAGAAAGGATTTTAGGCTGATCTGAAACTTTAAGCTGGACTCTTTCCTGCTTTACTCTTAATCTCTCTAGATCTTGGTTTCTTCGTTAGCAGAGAAGGTGATTGGTTATTGTTATTGTTGTTCTTCTAGATACTCTATAGAAAAAATAAACAATATTCAGCAATTGTGTTATTTTAATGGTATACATGAGCTAAAATTCTAATGATACACCTTGTGTGTGCTGTTTGAAACATTTTGAAATAATTTTAAGTCTTGATGCAAAGTGTTTTATGTTCAATTTCAGATAAAAGTAGGGCGAAAGCAGAAGGATGATAATGGTGTTTATTTCTTTTCTCCAGTGAGATCACTGTAATTAAAGTAGCTGCTGCTTCTACTTACTATAAAGCATGCTTTATGCTCAGATCATTTTTGCAATAGAACATACATAGCTGGTGAATATAAAAATTACTTCCAAAATGTTGTGTTTAGAGACTTGAATTTTAAAATGGATCACTGCTGGGAAAGGTAAATTCTACAAGATACACTAATTTTAAACAGCTCTAATACAATCTAACACTTGAAATATCAACTCATAAAATATTAATATCTTAATCCATTTAGTACCACTGATATTAAAGCATATAGAATATAATCAGACATGTTAAATTTAATAACTTCATTTTGATATTGAGAATACTGAAATTCAATTAAACTAAATCATTGACTAATCATATTAAAAAATCTCTAAAGGGACGGCTAAACTAGAGAAAACCACATATAAGAGAAAATTGAAATTACAACAGCAGTCGCAAACAAACAAACAAACAAAAAAACACAAAATGATTCTACCCCAAGGGTGCATTTTGCACTTCTTCAGACAAAGTTGTCTGCTTGATTTCTGCTACTGTATAAAAGACAGATCTTAAATCCAGGGTCTAAATTCATATTCTCTACTGCAAAATGAGTGCCATGGGAAAGGTTAGAATGGTTCTCATGGCCCAGCATTAGAGTCAGAAGTATTACTATGAACTCATATTTAGCTTAATTATAGATGGATTGATACAATAATAATTATAGACATATGTAGCTGCATTGATTAGTGTACATACATATATTTCCTAGTTCTGCCAATTGAGAGGGGTCACAGGCAATGATACCCCAATCCCAATATATATATAGCACCCAGATCTTGTATCTGATAAAAGTCATCAATATGAAGAATAAGAGTTTCTTGAAGAATTGCTGATTCTAGGGCTGAACTAGGGAATATATAAAATAATCATGAGGAATGTGATTGCTAGAAAGTAAAGAAGTGCTTAAAAAAAAAGAAAGAAATAGGAACATATCCAAAGGACAAAGAAGCCAACTGAAAGCACTCCCAGTTGCCAAAGTTGGAACCATTTGAGCAACAATATAAATAATGTAGTAATACATCCAAGAATCCTTATTAAAGTTTATTAAATTAAAAGTATATTTATTAAAAGCATATATATTATATATACGTTTGTATTTATGTGTGTGTGTATGTTTATACAGTCATGCATTATATAATGATGTTTCAGTCAATGACAGACAGCATATATGACAAAGTTCTTATAAGATTATAGTGGAGCCAAAACATTCCTATTACTTATTGATACTGTAGTCATCCTAAGATTATAGCACAGGGCAGGTTTGTGGTGATGCAGGTATAAACACAAAACTTGCTGTGCTGTCAGTCTTATAGCACATAAAATCGTGTTCAGTGTATAATACTTAAAAACGATAATAAACAACTATGTTACCAGTTTACATGTTTATTATATTATACTTTTTCATTACTTTAAAGTGTACTTATTATACTTGTGTTTTTAAAAAGTTAACTCTAAAAGAGTTGCAGGCAGTACCTTCAAGAATTATTCCAGAACAAGGCATTGTGATCACAGGAGACGACAGCTCCATGCATGTTATTGCCCTTGAAGGCCTTCTAGTGGGACAAAGTGTGGAGGTGAACATTACACTGATGACCTTGACCCTGTGTAGGCCTAAGCTAATGTGTATGTTAGTGTCTTAGTTTGTTGAAAAGAGATTCCTATTTCATGGACACTAAATACAAGTTTATAAATTAAAAATATAAAATTAAAAGTGGAAAGAGCTTATAGAATAAAGAAAAACTATTTTGTACTGCTGTACAATGTGTTTGCATTTTAAGCTGTGTTATTACAATAGCATCAATAATTTAAAAATTCAGTTTATAAAGTAAATAGATTATAGTATCCTAAGATTATGAAAGAAAGAAAAAATGTTAAAATAAACTTAGTGTAGACTAAATGTACAGTGTTTATAAAGTCTATGGTAGTTTGCAGTAATGTCCTAGGCCTTCACATTAACTTACCACTCACTCATTGACTCACCAAGAGCAGCTTCAAGACTGCAAGCTTCATTCCTGGTAAGTGCCCCATAGAGGTGGACCATCTTTTATCTTTTATACTGTATTTTTACTGTATGATTTATATGTTTAGATATGTTCAGATACATAAATGCCATGGTATTACAATTACCTACAGTATTCAGTACTGTAACATGCTGTACAGGTTTGTAGTCTAGGAACAATAGGCTATACCATACGGCCTAGTGTGTGGTGGGCTATGCCATCTAGGTTTGTGTAAGAATACTCTGATGTTTTCACAACAATAAAATTGCCTAATCACATATTTTATAGATATATATTGGAGTGAAAGAAGAAACAAATGTCCCATAGAAAAGAATTCCTAGTAATTTATGTATATACTTCTTTCTCATGGAGGTGGAACTTAGCTCTCCACCTTTTGATCATGGATTGCATTTAATGACTTGTTTCTAAAGAGTGGATTATTAGGGGATGGTGAGTAACTTTACAGTGGAGAGAACTGCTTTGGCCAGGTGATGAAGGTTAACATGAACAGTGCCAAGTCATGTTGAAAGCATGTACCCTTGTTATGTTGTAATGAGAATAAAACTTTATCTCTCTAATCTTTTTTCCACACCCATAACTCCAGAATTACTGTGAAAAACAAATCAGACACAGTAAAATTGAGGGTTACTTATTCTACAAAATACCTGAGTAGTACTCTTCAAAACTCTCAAGATCATCAAAATCAAGGGAAGCCTGTGAAACGGTTATGGTACAGAAGACGCTAAAGAGACATGATAAGGGCATATCCTGAGATTTGCTGAATAAGATCCTGCATCCAAAGGGCACGATGGGAGACTAAGGATGTCTGAGTAAAGTGTGCCATTTAGTTAGAACAAAGAAAGAAAAAGAAAAGGAAAAAAAGATGACTCAAGTACATAGATGCTTTAATGTTTCTCCTAACGTGTTTCCCTAAGAAGACTGAGAACACTCTTTTGAAAAGAGTCCAGACTTTTTCAATCTGAAATATTACTTTCCATAAGTAAAGATGCATGAAGATTGGTTTTATATCTTGAGATAAAAGCTGAAAGGCAGAAAACTATCTGAATTTTTTTTTTATGTTTCACTGAGCGGATTCTTTTTTCACTGCCTATAATTAAGGTATATGTTGTTTTAGTCATTTACTAATTATGGAAGAAGCCAGCATTCATATGAAGTCAATAAACAAAGGAAGGCAGATTTGAGAGGATGCAGAGAAATGTAACTGGAACACTGATCTTACTATATTGAGGTAAAAAACTATAATATGTCATTGTGTGTGTGTGTGTGTGTGTGTGTATGTGTAGAGCTATGTAAATATCTTATTGCACATATAAATAAAACTTTTTTAAAAGACAATCACCTATTTACGCCAATGTTTAATGGCAAGGAGATAAGAATACAAACAAGTAGTAATAAACACCTTTGTGGCAGACACCCTCCTGGGTGGCCCGCAGTGTTCTGGTACTCATGCCCTTGTGCAGTCCCTTCCCACGTTGAATCAGGAATGAGATACGTGACCAGTAGATAACCGTGGAAGACATGACATACAAATTCTGAGGCTAGATCATAAAAGGCATTTCACCTTTCACTTATCCTCTCAGATCATTTACTTTAGGGAGCTCTAACTGCTCTGAGGACACTCCAGCAGCCCTGGGAGTACACCCTTGTTGGACAGAAACTGAGAACTTCCACTAATAGTTACTTCTAAGTTGTCAGCTATGTGAATTAACAACCTTTGAAAGCAGATCCTACAACTACAGCAAAGGCTTCAAATGACGGAATGCTGGCAGATGTCTCCCTATAACCTCATGGAGAGACCCTGAACCAGAACAACTCAAACTTCCCCGGAATTTCAGATCCACCAAAATTATGAGAGATAATAAATGGTTATTACTGTGTTTAGTCACTAAGTTTTGGGGTAACTGCTCATGCAGCAGATAACTCAGACAACCCTCATAATTTGTGGAAGGTTGGGTTGAAAAAAGATTCCTATTTCACGGACACTAAATGCAAGTTTAGGGTGATATTAAGTGAATATCTTTGTGCTGAAGCATTTGCCTCTTCCCTCCATTGGCCTCCAGAACAGAGACAAACGGGTTTATATCCAGGAAAATGATTGAGGACTTTTTCATTGGGAAATACAATAACTGGAAAAGCAAAGACCTATAGATACTGACCTTTCACAATTTCCCAGTGAAATAGCTGAGCCTCCATCTGATCAACAAAACGTAAAGCTCATCCATCAACTTCTGTCCCTGCCCACAGAATTTTCTGTAATTTTCTTAGAATCTCATACTTAACTGTGACAGGACACCCACAAACCACCAGACATTTAAGGAAATGATTAAAGAAAGTTCTTGCCATAAAATATTTAAGCAAGACAAACTGGAACAATGAAAGAATTTGAGGAAAGACAGAAAAATACAAGAATAAGAAGAAAGTTTAAAAATCATCCAAAAGGTAAGATATCCCATCCAGTAAAAAATCAACACTATTCTAAAACATATTTTAGATCATAAGAAAAAACATCATTAGAATTTAAAAATAAGACCAACTGAGTGAAATGTAAATTTGAAACTATCAGCTAGAAAATAGAACAAAACAATGAATTTAAAATGAAAATAATAAGACAATGTGAAGATCACTACACTTGACTAAAATGATTTGGATATCAGGAAAAGGGAAGAAGAAAATGGAAGTGAGGTTACCATCAATGTAATAATATAAAAATGATTCCCAGGCCTGGTTAATATAAGTTTTCAGATTCAAAGAGCCCGGAGAGAGGCCAGCAAAATGAAATTTAAAAGATCCATAACAAGACAAATCATTGTGAAATTGCAAAACAGCAGGGATAGAGAGAAAATCCTAAAAGCTTCTGGAGAGAAAGATTAAAAAAAATAGGTCATCAACAAAAAAGCATAAAAGGAATTGCATTTTTAAAATAGCAACTGTAGAATCCAGATTTATGAGGTCACTATAAACTTAAAGCTTCCAGCAGCCATTTTGTCTCCTTGTTGGCAGAGCCTATCTAGAAAGAAGGTAGCTGAAACAAACATATGCAGGAGATGAAAGAGGTAGATCAATTTCTAATGACCTCATTGAACCCCAAATTCAGCCATGCTCAAGGCGACACCTACTGTTTGGGCATGCACGATTTATGTGATAATTAATTATCTTTTTTTGTTTAAGTTAGTTTTAGTTGGAATTCTGTCACTTGTACTTGAAAACATTCTGACAAATACAAGTAGATTTATTATTGTTACTACATACATACACATATACAAACATATATAACATGTGCATGCATGCATGTGCATATATAAAACATTTACCTCTTGTATTAATCAGGGTTCTTCAGAGGAACATAACTAATAGGATATATGTATATATGAAAGGGAGTTTGTTAGGGAGAATTTGCTCACACGATCACAAGGCAAAGTCCCATGATAGGCCATCTGCAAGCTGGGGAAGAAAGAAGCCAGTAGTGGCTCAGTTGGAGGCTAAAAGCCTCAAAAGCAGGGAAGCTGACGGTACAGCCTTCAGTCTGAGGCCAAAGTTCTGAGAATCCCTGACAAACGACAGGTGTAAGTTCAAGAGTCCAAAGGCCGAATAACCTGGAGTCTGAGGTCCAAGGGCAGGAAGAATGGGAGGAAGCATACAGCACAGGAGAAAGATGGAAGCCAGAAGACTCAGCAAGCCAGGCTCATCTCACCTTCTTCCACTTGCTTTTTCTAGCCTTGCTAGCAATTGATTGGACCCACCCACATTGAGGGTGAGTCATCCTCTCCCAGTCCACTGACTCAAATGCCAATCTCCTGTGGCAACACACTCACAGACACACCCAGGAAAAATACTTTACCGGTTATCTAGGCGTTCTCCAATCCAATCAAGTTGACACCTAGTACTAACAATCACACCTCTTAACACATTCAAAATGTAAAATGTGTATTTCGTGTCAATTTACTCATAGATCAGAAATGGGACCATCTTGGGAAACATCAAGCATCCTCTATTAGATTTATGTGTGAAGAGGTATTCCAGACATTTCACTGGTTCCTGTGGACAGATGCATAGAGGAGTGTGGGAATTGGTAAGGTAAACATGAAAACAGTATGTCTTAGGACAGAGTCCCGGGAAGTGGAGCCTAGGATGAGAATTTGTGAGCAAATAACTTATTAAGGGAATTTTATCAGGGGACACGCCAAAAGGGAATCAATAAAGCAGAACAGTAGGGAGTAAGCCAATCAAGAGTGTGGTCTCAGGCATAGTCCTCAAAGTGGTAACTACGGATTGAGTACAAGTTATGGCACAAAATTGTCCTGACCTCTGTCAAGGAATCTGGTGGGGGGCGGGGGTGGGGGGGGGCTTGCTTTTTCCCACACCTGTAAGTCCTTAGTTAATGACCACCCATGGGAAATACAAATTCCTGGACACTTCTGACTTTCTAGGTTGTGGACAGAACAGGCTGGAGGAACTGCAGGTGCTAGCTGTTGGAGGCAAAGCCATCCCAAAGCGATTTGATACTGTTTTACATCAAACAATACACAACATGGGTCTTTTTAGGTGGGAAACAACCTAATCTTCTAAGTCAGAAACAGACGAAAACAATAGAAAAGCTAGGACATCTAAATTAGATCATTAAGAAACTGAGAAGTTTGAGAGAGCATCTACCCTGATCATCTCTTCCCCACAACCTGGAGGGAAATTGGCCTGCTGTTGATGTTTTCCCATCTCTTGAATCAATTACAATATTGCAAGTTTAAAGCCCAGTGTCTGACTGGCAAGTGGTCACTCCTCTTAAGCTTTGCGTTAACAGGAAGTGTTTTCCACACTGATGCTTTTCAATCCTCTCCCCTGTCAGCCTATCCCACAGGAATTCTCAAATTCATAATGATCGAAGCTGGACTCCCTCTCCTCATACAATTAGAAACTTGTTTTTCCTAGGTCTCTGATCTTGGTGATTTGAACCAATAAACTCCCAGTTGTCCAAGTTGGAAATGGAAGTGCCATTCTTAAATTTGTCTAAATTATCTTTCTGCTAAATCTGGTCTGGCTTTATTCAGTCTTGCTTCATTTCAGTTCTCCCTATGACTGTTAGATACTTTTTTTTTCTTTTTAAAGTATACATCTGATCATATCACTCCTCTAATTAAACATGTTCACTGGCTCCCTACTGATTCTAAACTTGTAATTCCATCTCCCAAAATCCTGCTAAACTGCCACATCCAATTTTTGGCACATTTGTCTTATATTCTTATGTTGTAGCATACTGAAGAATTTTCAGTTTACCAATTTGATAGACTGATTTCCTTGACCCTGTGTATATGCTATACTTTTATCTGGAAATAGTTTTCCCTTTGCTCTCCTTCTCTATCCTATACAGACTGACTTTTTCAAATATAGTCCAAACATTTAAATAACTATTTTTCAGGGAAATTCTTACAATTAAAATGTTTAGTTGCCCCTCCTATGAGCTAGTTTAAGCCCTTCTTACTCTAATCATACTTTGTTTTGTATTTTATTTTACTTTTCATTGTTCACAATCAAGTTTTAAGACCCTTGACAACAGAGAAAGTGGCCTATTCTTCACTGAGTCATGGTAAGCAATATACTGCCTGACAGTACCCAGTGAAGTTTTGAATGAATTAATAAAAACATGAAAATATTTTTCTATTTTACTTGTCTAAAAATATAAGTTCAGGGTCCTTGTAAAACTCTCTCTTTTTTTTCCCCTTTTCTTTGACTTTCATCAGTGATAGCTCCTGGGTAATCTGGTGTCACTGAATAACCTTAAATTTAATTCTGTCATATCAGCCTCTGCCTAGAGTGAAATAAATTATAAAAAAGATCATCGGGTTCTTAATAGATTTGAATACTTTCCTAGATAGTTCACAGCTTGACAGGCATTTGTCATAATCAACAGGAGACACTTTTGTGCTCGTAATTACTTTAAAAACACATCAAATAATCTAATTGTCCAATGAAGTGAGAAAATGCAAGTGACAACAGCAAAGTACTCACATTAGATTTTGAGGGTTTATAAAGCTGCAAAAACTGTTGATGGATGAGCTTTTTTCATGATTTCTCTATACACACAAATTCTCTCAAAGTCAAACAGAGAAATATATATGCAGGGATACAAAAGGGGGATCTTCAGTCTCCTCTAAGAAGGGAGGTAATGAGCTATCATGTGGCTTTGTTTAATTACTTTACTGACCTTTCCTCTTGCCCAAGCATACTACATATAAACACACATACACATATGCGTAAATGTGCATACACACACACAAATATACCCACATATATCCTCTCCTCTATATCATGCTACCATGGAAGACAGAATAACCCTGCAGCTAAAGATAATATATTACTATAAAGAATCCATGTAAAAAAAAGTCAGACATTTCTGCAATCCCTTTGTAATATCAATATATTTATATTTCTTATTCCTTAGTAGAAAAAAATGCTTCAAGTGGTACTGGTAAGCACACTGCCTCAGCAATTTCAACACAAAGCACTGCAGACTCGTTTCTTTTGTCTAAATTCCATTTTCATGGAGCTATCAGAGACTTCACAAATAAAACTTCTGTGTCTCTGGAGTGGGAGTGTTTGTGCCTAATCACCCTACTTTGCCATACTTTTAGTAAAAAAGGCAGGGTCCTAATCACAATTCGACTGGTTTAGCACATACTTGCTCACGAATCCTTTCAAAAAAGCGAAACTGTCCTACATATATATTCATCATTTGACAACAGACCCTCAAATCTACTGCCAGTACAGGCCGGCAATTCAGTACTATGTAAACAGTTAATATCTTACTTTAGAATTTCAAATATTATCATAATACTTTAAGATGTATTTTTTCCTCTATGAGTATAGTTTCAGTGAGCTTAGGAAATTTAGAACAAGTCATACATTAGCTATTTCATCTTCTGATACACTAGGACCTAGTGCCCACCTCTGGTTCAAATATGGTCCAGCCTAGGGACTTAGGACTTTCATCTTGCTTGTTTCCTTCTCTCCTCTAGAATGACATTTTTTTTTTCCACAAGTATACTTTTCCTTCTTTTTCCTTGCTGCCATTATGAGCTCCAGATATAGAATACAATGATTATACCGCCCTCCATTTGTGCACTGATCTCTTCACAGGAATTCAGGTAATGTGTTAGGGGCACCCCCTCCATATTCTTTACCTTCTCCCACCCTCACTAGGAGCACACACCTCTGAGACAAGGTGTCTTTGCCTTTTCATTTATTGAAGGAGGATGGGGAGGGTAGTTTTGACATATAGGCTTCTATTGCCAACAATAAAGACTAAATTTTGCAGAAATAGAAACATCAGGCTATTCCTGAATGGATTAGATATCTGTTAGGCAGCACAAACCATTCTTTATTTGCGTATCCTCTGAGAATAGAGTACTAATAGTTGAGATGTATCAAATTGATTAAAATATAAGTATAATGATTTATTCTCAGGTGTTGTGCTAAACTTATTATGTAGCTTTCTTGTTCTTTTCTTGTTATTCACTAGTAAAAGATCTCATTTATAATTGCCTTCACGTTGTTTTCCTGATGAGAATCAGAGTTTACCTAGTGGACCCAAACCCAAGTCCTGAGCTTCCTGATATTCTAACTTATTCAGGAATTTGGTTTGTCTCAGAATTCAAAGTACCAGAATGCATAAAAATACACTAGCTAGAAATCAGTTTGGGGTATGCTCTAGGAGAGAGAACAGAGAGTTCTGAAATCCATATGGAGAAATGAAAGCAAAAAATCTCTCTAGAACTCATGTTTTATTTAATTGGTAATATTTCAGCAGGAAGAGAAAAGGTGCTATAAGTTACTTTCTATCAATGAAAAATAAATATTTTATTTTGGCAGTGCTACATGACACAGATGTAAAAAATCACCTTTATACTCATTGTATTTAGGTGAAAATTTCTGACTTCTAAGAAGAAACTGCAATATATTCATTCAGAAAGCAAATAATCTGTGATACTAATTAACATTATATTTTATATGTCCTATTTGTTCAAATTAATTCTTATGACTATTAAACCACGTTTGAATTTCAAAACTGAACAAAACAATAGAAAGTTATAGCCATCAACTAAATGTATTGGGATTTGAGAAAAGTAAATGTCTTTGCCCAGAATAAAAAGTATTAGCAGCAATCATAAGCACAGGAAAAATGATATATTTGTATAAATGTTTTTGAAACATTTCCAAACTTATTTCCTTTTTATTCCACAAGTATTTTTGTAAGAAGCCTAAGTGTGTTTTTTTAAAACTATCTTAGAGGATAAAAATCAGAAATCTGGTGTGATTAGTCAATTTACTAAAAGTTATACAATTAGGAATTAAGTAAGTTTACTTCTCTACTCAGGTCCAGGGATGGACTTGAATTTCACTGTATTTTTTTTTATTCTTCAGTGAAAATACTTCTTAGTCATAAGAATTATTTGGGCCTTTTGTTTAAAACACAGATCCTGAAATGCCTGCCCTTGAAATACTGATTCAGTAGGCTGAAAAAAAAATAAACTAAGGCATTGTCCTTCAGTACTTCATAAAATTAACTTGGAATACAGAATTCCTATAATGTTTTTTATTCATTAAATAAATCTAAGTAGTCTTATTTAGCTAAGACAATAAACATTTGCTGAGCACTAAGATTGCCAGAGCAAAAACTGAGACAATAACAGCAGAAATATGGGGAGGTACTGAGGGACACACAGCAGCAGCATCCAGATGCTCTCATGCCTAGATATAATCCAAGTTCAATTTGTCAAATAAGGACCAGGAGACCAATCCAGAAAGGAAACAAATGAGAAGCATGTGTTTTTACTTTTTCAATGCAGACATGACATAGGAAATCTTTCTTATCGAAATTGAAAGCAAGATCACATGTAAATTGCAGAGTAGTAATTTGAGAGTACAATATGTAAAATATGCCAGTGTGAATTACAAACACATTAAGTACTTTAGACAAGCCATGCTTAAGAAATGTGAATCTCTGGGGCAAGATGTCATTAGAACTAATAAGCTAGCAGGATTTTCAAAGAAACTGGGTGTTATGAAATACTTGTAACTGCACCAGATAGTCTCACAAATAAAACAACATTATGTCTCATATCATAAACTGATTGTGTTTAAGAATATCCTTGCTTTCCTTGGCTGTTGTAAAACTGACATAAAGTCTCGTGTGGGTAGCTTTATTTTCATCTCGTGCAAGAGGAAAATTTATCAAGGTTAAAAGAAGAATCTAAGACCAATGAATAGTTCATCCAAATGACAAAGATTTGCCAACACTATAATTCATTTGATATGTTTTTTCCAATGCTTTTAAAAATACACAGCAAATAAAACTTAAAATCCAAGAATTGTAAATACTATAAACCTAAGTAAAAAATAAATGATCATTTATATTTCCATCAGGGTTTAAACTGAAACTTTCTTAAATATGTTTGTTGTGATTTTTTTGATTTTCACTCAGAGGGTCATAAAAATTGAAAGAGATTTCCCTTGACATTCCTTCACATTAAAGATTTTCTTGCTAGTGACAGATTGGATAGTACTAAATATTAATAATAAAATAAAATAAAAATAAAAATTTGCAGCTTAAATTACCCAGGAGAAACACAGAATTAGAATGTAACAGAACTATATATGCTATTAATACCATGTTGCAAGTAAAACTATATGAATAACTATGGAATAATCAAGTCCCATCTGCTTTGTTTATTTCAATATATTATTTACAACATTTTACAGGAATAAAGTGCTATGCAAATACATAGGAGGCAAGAGATCTAGGCTCCGGGGCCAAATCTGATTTTTAATAGTAGATAGCCTTAAATAGACACATTACACTCTCTATAACTCTGTCTCCTCTTCTGTAAAATAAGGGATGAGCATTGGAAAACTGTCGCATTACAGATAACTATACATACATTATATAGTATTTTACTTTAAATTTACAAAACTATATCATGTTAGAGTTATTGCAAAAATGGCTCTAATTCTCCACTGTTCTTTCATAATGGGACTTTCTACTCCTTCTTTCAAAGGATAAATATGTCCCCATTCCTTGAGTCTAGATGGGCCTAGCAACTTGCTTTGGCCAATAAAAAGTTATGGATGAGATATTGTGCCAGATTTGAACCTAGTCCTCAAGACACTCTGTGGACTTCCACTCTTTCAAAAGGATTCCAAAGGAAAGAGGAAAGTTTATTCCAACATGAGAGAACATGCAAAGCAGACATGAACAGTCCCAGCAAAGGACATCCTAAACCAGCCCCCAAGTGACTTGCTAGCTGGTTGCAGATCTGTAAATGAAGTGAGGCACGACGAGCCAAGCTCAGCCCAGATCAGCAGCTTGACTCAGATGACCAAATAGACTCCTGAGCAATAACAAATGGTTATTGCTTTAAGCCTCTGAGGTTTTTTGGTGGTAGTTTATTATCCAGCATTATTGTATTAACAACTAAATTATCCATCGATAATGTATGTATGATTATCCTCCTCCCTTTTTTATCAATTAGGAAAACTAGAACTTAGAAAAGTGAGCTAACTTGCTCAATATGAATAAGTAGAAAAATTATGATCCCAAATCATATGCTTTTCACTAAAGAACAGTGTATCTACATTTTTATGGGGCTTATAGTCATGCCTACCAATCAAATTATCATAGGGCACAAACGTCCTTCAAAAACTGCAAGAAAAACATAAATTATAACTGTTATCATCCAATGCCATACTTAATTAAATATACTCAATTACGTTATGTATAATATATATACATGAAGAGTTTTTAAAATGTAATTATTTTTTATTTTCTGACTCCCTTCACCCAGACTTCATGGCTCACTGCAGCCTCAACTTCCTGGGCTCAGGTAATCCTCCCACTTGAGCTTCCTGAATAGCTGGGACTACAGGTGTACACCACCACACCCAGCTAATTTTTGCATTTTTTGCAGAGATGGATTTTCACCATGTTGCCCAGACTGGTCTGGAAGTCCTGGGCTCAAGCAGTCTGTCTACCTCAGCCTCCCAAAGTGCTAGGATTACAGGCATGAGCATAGCCTATGAAGAGCTTTTAAAAGCTGAGGATCATTGTTTAATATATACTTTCAGTTTCAAAAAATGTGTGTGTGTGTGTGTGTGTGTGTCTGTGTCTGTGTGTCTGTATTCTTTTATTTTTTTCTGTGGAATGTGTATATTATTTGTATACAGACGTTAGGAAAATAACTGATAGCAAAATGGGAAAATATATCCATAATCTATGCTGGTGGTGGGTTACATGATATAATCAATAAGAATCCATTTATGTGTGCTCCAACAGAGGGAAAAAGATTTTTTATGTCTCCAATATCTACCATTCCTCAAGAATTCATTGTATACAAATTGGTTCATTGTATACAAATTGCATACATGTTTGCACACGTGTGTGGATGTGCATTAAAATTTAGAATGATGAAAATTTTGGATAAACAAAACAGATTGATAATTAAATGCCTTCTTCAAGGATATGTATTCTATAACTATGTTGTACTAAATGTACATATCAGGTTTCTATTACATTTTCGAGACACTCTCAACCTTATTGGAAATTTAGCTATTAATATTTTATATATCATACTGCAATATGTTCAAAAATGAGACTCTAGGCATCATCTTAGTATCCCTGGAAATTCACTTTGATTACTTTGTGCTGGATTAGACCTATTTTTCTCCCAGGGTCTAGAGAGATAAAAAGAAGTTTGAGAACCTGGATTAGATAAAGGCTTTTCTTATTGTCTGATTGTGTGACATCAGGAAGACAGGATGACACTCATTTTTATAACACAGGGAAAAAAGAGTCTGCTAGGATAGTAAAACAATTAAATGAAAATAAAACTCATTTACATATATTTATTCAAATGAGATTTATTGAGTATATACTCTGTATCATATGAAGTGATCTCTTTAGTTATCAAAGATCATATTAAGGAATTTAAAATATGGGGAATTGGTAATATTAATAGTTAAATAATTTGGAATATCTCTAACCATTTTTTAAAGTGAGCAAATTTTGTTTTAATTATCTAGATACTTCAGAGGAAATTATGTTTTTCTATAGTTATACTAAAATCTGATCAAAAGTTAAGAAATAGGATCTATTTTCCTTTATCCTTACTATAATTTATTATCATAAACAGGTTAATAATATTTACATATGCATACACTGTATAGCAAGGTTATTTTCAGCATGGAATGAGATGATATAAATGAGTGGGAGTTGTTAAATAATATACATTATTCAGTATATCCTTTGGTCTTCAGAATGTATACTGCAAAATATCTGACTTGGTTTAGAATTGGTTCAAATAAACTCAAACGTGAATATATGTCTTCCTATTAAAATACTTATTTTATCCTAAAAGGCATTTTCTATTAATAAATAAATTCCTCAGTAGGAATTTATAAATGTTATAATGTTAAAATCTTATAAATTTTATAATATTTTATATCTTAGTGTGTCTTATCAAGGATAAATTATTCTTTCTATTGTTGTCATGTGGAAAAATAAGAGAAAAGGTGAAATTTCTTCTTTCTAGAGTAAATTCACAGATGATAGTCATTCAAGTTTTTCTAGAAACCTGATTCATATAAATGGTGGAAGTGGGCAGACTGTTTATCCAAAACCAATGTATAGTGATTTTTCCCCCATAACATTTGCTGGAGTAAAAAATAACTCCTGAAGTTTTTCTTTTTCTTCTTGCATTTGTAACGGCCCCATCATCAATGACATAACAGTAGTGTTCAGTGTCCATCATGGGAAAATGCATATTCATTTACATTATGAATGAACTTCCAAAAAAAGTCATAGATAGTCGGCAGAACTGAAGAAATTATAACATATCTAATTATAAAAGGAAGCACTAACAGATATATAATGGCATCTTTTACATTTTTCATAGATGATTTATTACAGTAGTGTTGCATGTGCATTATTTTGTTTTAAAACGAGACATCTTCTAATACAAGGGACAAAGTAGAAACACACACACACACACACACACATCAATGAACATTTCCATATATGGATAATTTGGTAATAAAAATAGGGCATAAATTGGAGGGCATAAATTTTAATTTTCGATGACTTGGTTGAATATTGTCTTTCAAGTTTGACAGGGACAATTATGTTTTAATGGTTAAATTTCCATTTGGAATAGGAGTATTCCTGAGATGTAAAAAAACCTTGCTGATAAGTATACTTTATGCTACAAGAAGGCAGAACTCAAGTCTTCTTGAATAAGTCATTTAATTATCAATCTTTTTCTTCTTCCAAATTTCTACTGTAATAAGTTTAATAAGAAATGAGTTTTATTAGACATGCCAATCTTATTGAATGCATACATATATTTATCAGACATCTAAACATATATAATGCATATATATAATGTAATGCTAATATTAATAATAATAAAATTAAGTCCAATGTACTCACTAGCAGCTAAAGAATTAGAAATCAAACAGGAAACGTTAGACAAAAATGACTAAGATCTGAATGAAAGTTCATCAGATAGGTTTTGAGGGAAAGAAAAAAGGAGCTGGAGTTCCCTGAATGCCGTTTAGTTTGACTAAACTTTATTGTGTTTTCACAGGTATAATTTTTTTTTTAGTTCCATTGGCTTTCAAACTTTTGGTTATTTGTAATATTTCATCATATTTTTAAGCACCTCTTTCGATCTGTAAAGTAAATCTTGCTCTGTTAAATTTTGATAGAAGTGATGGCATTTGCTCTTTTTAACTCCTAGCCCACACCCATTAGGTGGAAAGCAGCATACCACCAAGCACCAGGGATAGGAGAAATGTGAACAGATCAGATTAGTTCTGAAATCCACGTGGCATAAAATAAAGGCCAGTTGTGGAGTCTACTCTGTTTGCATGGGTAGCCAGTGCCCTTTATTATATTTCTTTATCATCTTTATCCTAAAATTTCACTCTAAAAAATCACATTTTCCATAAATCTAGATTTTATATTTTTAGCCAGAAACTACTAGTTCCTGGACAAGAGGAATGAGTCCAATTCATCACTGTGTTCCTATATTAATCCGTTTTCATGCTGCTTGATAATGACATACACAAGACTGGGCAATTTACAAAGAAAAGAGGTTTAATGGAGAACCCACAGCTCCACATGGTTGGGGAAGCCTCACCATTATGACTGAAGGCATGGAGGAGCAAGTCACATCTTACATGGATGGTGACAGGCAAAGGGAGAGAGCATGTGCAGGCTTTTTTTTTTTTTTTTAAACCACCAGATCTTGGTGCCCTGCATCCCAACTACTTCAGCCATGGCTGAAAGGGGCCAACATGGCATTCACTGTCTCATTCATTATCAGGCAGTGGCATTCCATATCTCATTCACTATCATGAGAACAGTATGGGAGAAATTACCCCATGATTCAATTATCTCCACCAGGTCCCTCCCACAACATGTGGGAATTATGGGAGTACAATTCAAGATGATATTTGGGTGGGGCCACAGAGCCAAACCATATCATTCCACCCTTGGCCTCTGACAAATCTCTTGTTCTTACATTTCAAAACCAATCATGCCTGCCCAGCAGTCCCCCAAAGTCTTAACTCATTTCAGCATTAACTCAGAAGTCCACAGTCCAAAGTCTTATCTGAGACAAGGCAAGTCCCTTCCACTTATGAGCCTATAATATCAGAAGCAAGCTAATTACTTCCTAGATACAATGGGGATACAGGCATTGGGTAAATACAGCCATTCCAAATGGGAGAAATTGGCTACTGAAAAAGGGCTACAGGCACCATGCAAGTCCAAAATCCAGCAGGTTAGTCAAATCTTAAAGCTCCAAAATGATCTCCTTTGAAGCCATGTCTCGCATCTGGGTCATGCTGATGCAAGAAGTGGGTTCTCATGGTCTTGGGCACTCTGTCCCTGTGGCTTTGTAGGGTACAACCTCCCTCCCAGCTGCATTCATGGGCTGGCATTGAGTGTCTGTGGCTTTTCCAGGCACACGGTTCAAGCTTCAGTGGAGCTACCATTCTGGGGTCTGGAGGACTGGAGCCCTCTTCTCACAGCTTCACTAGGCAGTGCCCCAATATAGACTCCATTTGGGGGCTCCAACCCCACATTTCCCTTCTGCACTGCCCTAGCAGAGGTTCTTCATGAGTACCCTGGCCCTGCAGCAAACTTGTGCCTGGACATCCAGGCATTTCCATACATCTTCTGAAATCTAGGTGGAGGTTCCCAAACCTCAATTCTTGGCTTCTGTGCACTCACAGGCTCAACACCATGTGGAAGCTGCCAAGTCTTGGGGCTTGCACCCTCTGAAGCGATGGCCTGAGCTCTATATTGACCCCTTTCAGCCATGGCTGAAGCAGTTGGGACACAGGGCACCAAGCGCCTAGGCTGCACGCAGCATGGGGACCCTGGGACTGCCCCACAAGATCATTTTCTCCTAGGCCTCCAGGCCTGATGTGAAGACCTCTGATATGTCCTAGAGACATTTTCCCCATTGTCTTGGGGATTAACATTCAGCTACCCATTACTTATGCAAATTTCTGCAGCTGGCTTGAATTTCTCCTCAAAAAATGAGGTTTTCCTTTCTATCGTATTGTCAGGCTGCAATTTTTCCAAACTTTTATCCTGTTTCCCTTTTAAAACTGAATGCTTTTAACAGTACCAAAGTCACCTCCTGAATGCTTTGCTGCTTAAAAATGTCTTCTGTCAGATACCCTAAATCATTTCTCTCAAGTTCAAAGTTCCACAAATCTTTAGGGCAGGGACAAAATACCATCTGTCTCTTTGCTAAAAGATAACAAGAGTCACCTTTGCTCCAGTTCCCAACAAGTTCTTCATCTACATCTGAGACCACCTCAGCCTGGATTTCATTGTCCATATCATTAGCAGCATATTGGTCAAAGACACTCAACAAGTCTCTAGGGAGTTCCAACCTCTCCCACATTTTCCTGTCTTCTTCTGAGTCCTCCAAACTGTTCCAACCTCTGCCTGTAACCCAGTTCCAAAGTTACTCCAACATTTTGGAGTATCTTTTCAGCAATCTCTCCCTCCCAGTACCAATTTACTGTATTAGTCCGTTTTCACACTGTTGATAAAGACATACCTGAGACTGGGCAATTTACAAAGGAAAGAGGTTTAATGGAGAACTCAGTTCCACGTGGCTGGGGAAGCCTCACGATCATGGTTGGAAGGCAAAAGGAGCAAACACATCTTACATGGATGGTAGCAGGCAAAGAAAGACAGCTTGTGCAGGCAAACTCTTGTTTTTTTTTTGTTGTTGTTGTTTGTTTGTTTTTAAACCATCAGATCTCTTGAGACTCATTCACTATCACGAGAACAGTATGAGAGAAACCACCCCAGTGGTTCAATTATCTCCCACTGGGTCCCTCCCACAACATGTGGCAATTATGGAAAGACAATTCAAGATGAGATTTGCTTGGGGACACAGAGCCAAACCGTATCTGTTCCCTTCTGTCTTACCCATTTTAATTGTTCATGTACTTCCAGGTATTTATATATGAACTCCTGGCATGTTAGGCTTTTAGCTCCTGGAGTGTATGTAGTGTATTGGTGCTTTGTTTGATTCAGATTCCATGTATATCTTCCTTTTCTTTTCTCTCATAATTGTATTTATACATGTTTGTTGTCTGTCTAACCCATTGCTCTGTGATTTCCGTGATAATGGCAGCCATGTTGTCTTGACCACCATTGCGTATCTTCTGTCTAACTCAGAAATTTGCTTACAAAAGGAGCTCAATAAATACAGTTATTTGTTGAATGGGTGAGATTAGGATCAATAGGATGATACTTTCAAGAGCAGAGGAAGAGAAACAGTTCTTCATAGATCAAGATTCTTAACTTAAAAAATTGTTGCTGTATGTGTGTATGTATCCATTTTCTGTCATATTCTAGTGTTTTTCAAGTAGATAACAAAGCCTTTGGCGAATCTTTTACTAAGGGATTTTTCTTTCTTTTTTTACCACTGAAAAATTAAAGTTGCTTGAAATTAGGTGTTCTTCCAAACTTTTGTAAAAATAAGTCCAAGAAAAAAGTAATGAAGAAGGAGACACAGAAAGAGATAGAGAGTGGCTTTTGGATTAATAACAATAGGAGTGTCCATTTGTCTGACTAGAAATAGGACTTGGGAGTGAGTGGCTAACTCTCATGTAGGTGCCAGCACTTCAGAGGTCTATAACTCTATGAATCCCCAAGTATACTAGGCCCTTGGAACTGATGTTTTCAGCTTCCACAGAGATGTCCACAGTTCTGGGTAAATGCTGACATAAAGAGCCTTCAGATTCAAGAGACCTTATGACTTGAACCTAGAGGATACAAACAGCCAGCTCTGATTTTCCACCTCTGAAATTTATGGTAGCTCTGCCACATGCTGACAAACAAGAACCATGACAGCTTTTCAGGTCAGACAGGTAAAGGCATATTGTCCAACTCCAAAAGCAACACCATCAGTAGCTGAGAAACACACGTTATATTTCATAGCTATTGCCTCATCATAGAGAGTTAACATTTCAATCATTTTCAAAGCTCTTTCTCTTGCAATCCACACTGCTTCTAATGAGAAGTTTTGCTTTAAAATATTTATTTTAAACATTATTTGTATTAACATCTATTAGGATGTATATTCCTATAGAAAAGCTTAAATTTAGAACGTGATTTTTCTTTGGGCATTGGTTTGTGTTCTAGCTATTATTTTTAGTCTTTAAGAGAAATTACAAAGATACTTTGTTTGCTTTGGAGATATTAACCTCTCATTGTGAATAAATATAGGAGAGACCTTATTTGAACTATGCAAGCTGAAAAAATCACTATTAAAGTAAAAATTCCACTAGAAAAATCATTCCCACTGAGTTCAATTTTCTTGTATATGGATGATTTATTTGACTCTCTAAAATCGTTGTTTATTCTATTCAATAAAATAATTTGTTTTTTTTTCACTTAAACCTTCTCTGTTAATTTATGAACAAATTCTGCACTGGATAGTCTTGTTTTGCCCTTCAGAATACCCCCTTCTAAGTCTGTGACCCTGAGGTTTTTACTCTACATGCTTCTTTATGAATCATCTGGGAAAATTTCCAAGAGTATTGAAGCACAGCCAGGAAGCCAAGGAAATGTTGAAGAATGCTAGAGAAAGACTGCTGGGAGGGTCAGAAGAATGTCAGAGAAGGTCGAGAAACATCAAACCCAGGAAGACTCTAAACACATACCCAGAAGTCAATATCATGGCACAAGCAAAGCTTCAAAAATATCAAGATTAGAAAAGATGGTTTGCATCACTTTTTCTATCTCTCTTCATTAGCTTAGTTTTCTTAATGTTTTCTACTAAGGAGATAAACAGTATAGTAATAGAAATACATTAGCAAAAATATTATGGTCAGATAACAATGTCTGCTTAATAATAAGCATAGTAGCCATCAATTATTGAGTAATAATTAATGAATAAATAATAGCCTTTAATTATTTCTCTGTGTTAAGCATTGCATTAGCATTTTACATGCACAATCTCATTTAATCCCCACAGGTATCCTGTGGTATTATTGTCCCATTTTGCTGATGCAGAATATGAGAGTCAAAAAGAATTTGTGTGAATTCATGGAGGTCACTCAGCCAATAAGTGAAACTTAGAACCTGGTGTACCAGACCACAAAGTTTCTTTAATTGTATATGACCAGTTCCACCTTTGTAATTCTCTAATGGTGAAAATATATGTGGTTAATAAATTAACTGTATGTATAAATTTATTTTCCTTTCCTCTTATAAATCAAATTTTAGGACAAAAAGAAAGTATTTCACTTATTCTGCCTTATCAAAAGTTTAAGCATGCCTGATATTCTTTATCCAAATTAAATCATGTAGAAAACCTTTATATCCTCTTCATTGTAATCAAGCTTGTTTTTCATAGTTGCCAGAATAAAGTAGGCTTATATCTGAAAATAACCTTAAATTTTACTGTTAAAAATCATGTTAAAACTGGAAATATTATTTTTGTCATAATTGTTATATAAAAATATTTCAGCCAATATCATCAGTAGCTAACAAATAGGACCCAGGAAATTCATAAGATTTAACAAGTTAGCCCATCCAACTACAGATTCGTGAATTGCGTATTTCAAAAAAAATTAACATTTCTATGATGTCAGGATGACATAGGACTATACTTTCCAGCTATGAGATTTCTAAATTTAAAAAAAGTTGTATTTTAATCTTGAGCAGATCTACTTACATTGTTGAAATAGCACAGGCTCATGTTTATGCTAGTTTCACTTGGATTGTTATGAAGCAAAATTTTAAACGTATAAACTACTATATGCTACTTTTAAATAAATATGTGTTATTTCTTAAAGTTCTGCATGTTGAAATAGAAATGAAAGAAGATAAGCTTATCATAAACAATTGCCCATCAATATGATTTAATTTCTCTAAATGATATTTTAGTTCTGTTTAGCTAGAGATATTCAATGTATATCATACCACATATACTCTGACATTTCTAGAGAAAAGAGGCAAAGAATTTATGGCACTTGCCCTTAGAAAGCTTTTATCCTAAATGAAAGACAGGTGCTAAATATATAGTTTAATGCCATTAATTTTGTGACCAGATAGAGGGTACGAAAAATGCGACCACATGCTTGAGGATAGAAACTTAATTCTAGGAATTTGGATCACTCACCAGCTGCCTTTTAGAATAAACTGATAACATGTTATCTATTTTTCTTTTTTCATATTCAATGTGCAACTGGCTGTACTGATACTGTTATTTATGTGCCATAATATTTTTTCATCAGAGCAGACTGATATAATTATTTAATCTATTCCCTGAAGTAACAGACAATAAAACAAATTTTTGTACACTGTGAGGGGAACTGTATCCATTATATCCACCCCTAAAACCCTAGTAGCTATCCCAGTGCCCAGATAAAGCCAGTGATCAGGAGATATTTTCTGAATGTATAAAGGAAGGAATAAATTGAAACTATCACACCAGTAACCTCACCCAAAAATGCTCTGAAAAGTTCTTTGATCATGAAACATTTTTTAATATGTAGAATTTGCTCTTATCCTGATAAAATGATTTTTTAAAAAAGATCAACTCCTTAATATTGATATGGGTAGGACTATTGTATTAATATATATAAACTCAAATTGTAATGCAAAAAATCACTAAGCATGTGTATATGTACTAATAAATGATCAAAAACAGGTTTAAATTCTATAGAACTATTTCAGGTTTTACATACATGTTATGTTTAAAAATATTCTAAGTATCTCTAAGGGCCAAAGAAAAATGGGACTCTCTGTACACATTTAAGCTCGTGTCTTTACAATATGAGGAGCCAAAAATATAATTGAGAAGGGCATGGGCCATTTATGTAGGTAGAAGAGAAAGAGGAACCCAGATTTTCTTCCCTGTTGTATTCTTATCATCTCAATCACTTGAGTCAATCAGATGATAAGAATATTCCAGACCATTGGTTTGAATTATAAGGCTTTCTTTGCTCTAGACACACTGGCCTTCTTTCTGTTCTTCCAAGTCCCTTATTTTCCCTTGTTTCTGAATCCTTGTATGTAATTGCAATGGACTGAATGTTTGTGTACAGCCCAATTCAAACACAAACATTCATACACATATGAAATTCATTAGTTGAATTCATTCCAAATTCATATGTTGAAACCCTAATCCCCAATGTGTTGTTATTAGGAAGTGGGGGCCTTGGGAGGTAATTAAGTCATGAAATTTTTCCCTCATAAAAAGGATTAGTGCTCTTATGAAAGAGACCCCAGAGCAACCTGCAAGAGGGCCCTCATCAGAACCCAACCATGCTGATACATTGATCTCAAACATCCAGCTTCCAGAACTGTGAGAAGGAAATTTCTGTTGTTTATAAGCCACCAATGCTATAGTAATTTTTAGTAGCATCTATAATGGACTAAGAAAATGTCCCTTGATCCCTTTGTTAACTGAACTGCTCTTTTTTTCCTGATGTCAAACAAGTGTCACCAACTAAGGATATTTTCCCTGATAGGGATCAACTCTCCATGATTTAAGCACTCATAACACTATAAAATACTTCCAGTAGGTTTCACAGCTTCTGAATACTTCTATTTATTTGCTTACTCACAAAATCAGCATGTCTCTCCCACAAGCTTTAAGAAATGTGTGAATACACACAATGTGGAAGATAGAATAATAGTCTATATTGTCTACGTTCTAATGCCTAGAAGCCGTTATTATGCTATGTTACCTGGCAAAAGGAAATTAAGGTTGTAGATGAAATTATGCTTTTTAATCATATGACCTTAAAATAAGGAGATTTTTCTATATTGTGGAGCACAGGAAACGTAATCACAAGTGTTCTTTCAAGTAAAAAAGGAAGTGGAAGAGTCAGTTTCAATGTGATTCATTATGAATATGACCAGATGGACCAGCTTCTAGAGGTGGCTCATATTTCTTGGTTTGTGGCTACCTTCCATTTTCAAAGGTAACCACAAACCAAGGAATATGGACCACCTCTAGAAGCTGGAAAACATAAGAAAGTGGGTTCGTCTCTGGAACTTGCAGAAATGAATGCAGCTCAGCCAACATGTCTTTAGCCTAGTAATATATACTAGACTTCTAACCTACAGAATTGTAAGATAACAAACTTTGCTGTTGGAAGCCATGAAGTGTGCTGTAATTTGTTACATCAGTCATGGAAAACAAATAGCAGATGGTATTCCCAGCACCTAAAACAGTGCCTGGCACATGGTTGGTGTTTGATACTATTTTTGTATTAAACAGATATATAATGAGCCTGAGAGGTATCCTGTATCCATTTTGTGATATTAAGGTTTTCACCATTTCCTTCTCATTTCATTTCCATTCTCTGAAAACAAGTAAATAAATTAAGCTGATTCAAGAAAGAAACATTGTTTCATAAGAAGGATCTACAATCAGTTGTCTAGGGTTTGAAAATTACAGGCCATATTCTCATCTGCCTGCATGGACAGCAGATGTAGCCTGAGAGTCTAAACCACCATCATTATCATGTTTGTTTTGCTTTTGTTAAAGCTCTGGGAATGGGGACAGCAAGCCAATGTGAAAGGCTATCACTGGTCAAGTAGTGGAACATTGTTAGAGACCAAATGGAAATACACTTTTTTAGGGGGGTTCAAATTCATGACTTCTATTATTTTAGAGTGACCGCAATACAACTGCTTACTTCACTTAAATTTTCTCATTTACAGCAACTCTGTGGGTTCCCCATTCATAATTCTGTTTCATCATGTGGTGTCTGAAAGCATCTAATGAATGTTGGTCTTGGCGATAGTATATGAAAAAAGGAAGATGGAGGTCATGGGAGAGGCCCACCTCAATGGGGAGGAGTATCTTCCCCCTGACATTAAAAAAAAAAAAAAAATAGCCTTCACACGGTGATAATAAAAACACAAGCAAACTTTTGCTTAGTTTGACTGTTTTTAGTTTGTTTGTAGACAATGGTTTTCCTCCTCATCTCCTCCCATGAGGTTATGATATAGAATTTAAATCCAAGCTCAAAGAGCCCCACACCTACATTTCTTCAATCATATCTTGTCTCTTTTCTGGAACCTGAATGCCTGTGTTCAAATTCTTTTAAAATTTGAATATTATTTCTCCTTTCTCTGCCCCTGTTTCATTATCTTTAAAAGGAAGATAGCAACAGCATCTATCTCAAAGTGTGTCCGGAATTGGTGGGTTCTTGGTCTCACTGACTTCAAGAATGAAGCTGCGGACCCTCGCAGTGAGTGTCACAGTTCTTAAAGGCGGCGTGTCTGGAGTTTGTTCCTTCTGATGCTCGGATGTGTTAGGAGTTTCTTCCTTCTGGTGGGTTCGTGGTCTCTCTGGCTTCAGGAGTGAAGCTGCAGACCTTCACGGTGAGTGTTACAGCTCATAAATGCAGTGTGGACCCAAAGAGTGAGCAGCAGCAAGATTTATTGCAAAGAGTGAAAGAACAAATTTTCCAGTGTGGAAGGGGACCCCAGCGGGTGGCTCAGGCAGCCTGCTTTTATTCTCTTATCTGGCCCCACCCACATCCTGCTGATTGGTCCATTTTACAGAGAGCTGATTGGTCCATTTTGACAGGGTGCTGATTGGTGCGTTTACAATCCCTGAGCTAGACACAAAAGTTCTGCAGGTCCCCACTAGATTAGCTAGATACAGTGTGGACACAAAGGTTCTCCAAGTCCCCACCAGAGTAGGTAGATACAGAGTGTTGATTGGTGCATTCACAAACCCTGAGCTAGACACAGGGTGCTGATTGATGTGTTTACAAACCTTGAGCTAGACACAGAATGCCCATTGGTGTATTTACAATCCCTTAGCTAGACATAAAGGTTCTCCAAGTCCCCACCAGACTTAGAAGCCCAGCTAGCTTCACCCAGTGGATCCCACACCCGGGCGGCACGTGGAGCTGCCTGCCAGTCCTGCGCCTTGAGCCTGCTGCACTCCTCAGCCCTTGGCTGGTCGATGGGACTGGGTGCCGTGGAGAAGGGGGCGGTGCTCTTGGGGGAAGCGCCGGCGGCGCAGGAGCCCTCGGCGTGGGAGAGGCTCAGGCATGGCAGGCTGCAGGTCCCGCGCCCTGCCCCGCGCGGAGGCACCTAAGGCCCTACCAGAAGTTGAGCACAGGAGCTGCTGGCCCAGGTGCTAAGCCCCTCACGGAGGGCGGCTTCCGGGCCGTCTGGCCGCTGCGAGTGCAGAGCCTGCCGAGCCTACGCCCGCCCGCAAGCGCCGCGCGCAGCCGCGGTTCCCGCCCGCGCCTCTCCCTCCACACCTCCCTGCAAGCTGAGGGAGCCGGCTTTGGCCTTGGGCAGCCCAGAAAGGGGCTCCCACAGTGCAGCGGCGGGCTGAAGGGCTCCTCAAGCGCGGCCAGAGTGGGCGCCAAGGCCGAGGAGGCGCCCAGAGCGAGTGAGGGCTGTGAGGGCTACCAGCATGCTGTCACCTCTCAAAAGGTTAGATTTAAATGGTTTAATAGTGAAACAATATTGCTTAGAATAGCATCTGTCATGGAGATGCACTCTACATGTTAGCCATTATTATAAGGAGCTCAGAAATTGTCACTGTCAACTCTTCTCAGAGAAATCATGTGCGTCTGCTAAATTGAATGTGGTGACTGATGAGACACCCTATGAAGCATGTGTAATAATAGTTCATCCAACATGTCTTCTAAAGGGGATGAGTTGAATTAGCTAAAAAGTTTTAATTGTTGACAAGTGTGTTTGTGTTTCAGTGTAAAGCCTACTCATTTGGGCTTACTCATTGGCACAGTTTATTGAGACACACCACCTGTATGTGACTTTGGGCAAATTAATTTGATACTTCTATTTTCCTGTCTGTAAGAGGAATAATGATATTAGCCTCATAGAGTTGCTGAATGTTTATTAAGTCTATACTTAAAAATGTGCTTAAAATAGTGATTGTCACACAAGTGCCTTATAGTTATGGGTTGTCTTTATCATAATATCCAAAAGTAGTCTTTCAACCAATCTTAATTATTTTAAAACTAAAAGCATTATTTCTTTTTCACAGTAGAGTTTTAATGGATAAAATATATAAAACAACAGCAACAAAGTAAACAGGTGTATGTTTTCAGGGCCAAGGTCTACCAAGAAGCAGATTGTAGATATAGTTTACATATTCACTAACTGGTTAAGCTACAAAAGTTGGTTTTACAAATTTTATTGTTGAAATGATAAAACTGTGGCTGTAAAGCATTTGTGAAGCCTTTTGTTTTATTTTCCAATATATGAAAATAACTTTCAAAAAGCTAAGTGGTATGCTTTTATTTGTTTCCTGTCATACATTCTAAATGGCCTTCAAAAGTCAGTAGCTGTTACTCAAGAATAATGAGGTATATTATTCTCTCAATGCACATGCAA
Organism: Homo sapiens; assembly: GCF_000001405.40. Lineage (NCBI taxonomy): Eukaryota > Metazoa > Chordata > Mammalia > Primates > Hominidae > Homo > Homo sapiens. The sequence goes on along the minus strand of NC_000013.11, from coordinate 68,169,865 downwards.
ATCTCCAATTAACACTAATGGGATTTATGGCAGTGAGACCAAAAGAAAATCTACTTCAGTGTCTCAAAATAGAGAATCTTTATTTTTTGATATCTACCTTTTTACCATGTAAGTGCATTCTAGCATAAATAAGCAAATTAATATTGAGCATCAATTTGACGCTTCCATTCACGTTGAAATTCTGAAATACTGTCTTTAAAAGGTAATGTGTTTTAAAGCAGAGATGCAGCTTTAGATAGCTTATTTAAGAATTTGCATGTACCCCTCCCCCTGCCATTAATTTCAAAATTATAAAGAATAATCATGAGCAGCCCTACTCACGTTTGAGAAATATGGAAGTGATGGATTTTCAAATATGTGTGGTAAAACATTTCTAAGAACAGTATTTTGGAAGATTATCTCTTTTATGCACATACACATGTAGAACCCCAGTATCTCATTAAGGCACAATTATACCCATTCTAGTAAGTCTTTTTTAGATTTCTATAGTTTTAGTCCTATTTATACAATCTTCTTAGAAGACAATTTTTAAATAGAAAAGTAAAAAGCAGATAAGATGCTACTAAACTGAAATAGCATGTTAAAGAATATGTGTTTAAAGTATTGAATAACAATCTGAAAAAGATTTGAGAGCAAAATTAAAATGATTATTTTCATTTGTCTAAATTGGAATGATCAACAGGGGCTCTGGCCAGAAGTGTTTGGCAGAATTTTAATCTTTAGGATAATTCTATAGAGATATTAGACTACATAAAGTGCAAATTGCTGTGTAGAAAGAACACATGGAAGGGCTAAGGCCTCGTTTAATATAACTCACTAAAAGAATAAAAAGTATAATAAACAGTTAAGTATATGTTCATACCACCAAAGCCTATTAACTTATTTAACAAAATTCTTCATTTCTGAATCCCTCAATTAACAAATTTTTCATACCAGTTATATTTAAAACAACTATAGCAAGTAAATAACTTACCAACCTATAAAAAAGTTTATTTCCTGAATTTTTTAAAAAATGAAGTATTAAAAAGTCTTGGCTGATAAAGTAGAATGGCCCTCAAGCTGAGATGTTTACCTAATGTTAACTCATTTGGGACATTCTATTCCAGGTAAAGAGAAATTGCCATTTAAAGAAGCTAAGTAATTCTACTAAATAGTGTATGGAAAATTTATTGACTTATCAGTGACTAGGACTGGAAGAATGCCCAGAACACAGTAGGCACTTGATAAATATTTTTTGAATGAATAAATCAAGTAACTAACTTTTCAGAAATCCTATTTGCAACATCAAAAATGTATTTAAGTCTCTGTTGTACCTTGACTTTCAGTGCCAGGAACTAAAGATAAGACATGTCATCTGGTTTTGTGAGGTTCATAGTCTGACTGAATATAAAGAAAAAAACTAAATTATTATGATTTAATATACAATAAGATGAATGATATGGAGAATATCACTTGAATGGATTAATTTTATTTCATGATTTTAAATATATATAGAATCTATTTTTGGATAAATATTGTTCATTTTTTAAAATATTTTGCTACATGATTACTTTGTTAATTCATCGTATGCATTCTAATCTATCAGAATGCATCAATGAAAACATTTTTAGAATTTCATAAAACACAGTTATTGCCAATAATTACATTTATTTCTGTATTCTTTTTGATTAATGAAAAGTAAAATAGGTTTTAAAAAACTAATGAAAAGTTACTGACAGTGTGGCTTGAGATAAAGTTACACAAATAAAATTATATTTATTTATTCAATCTGCTGATTGCATTTTCATGAAACTAGCAGCTTTCACTAATTTTTTTGATGATACTGTCAGTTGATACTGTGAAGTGTTGGTTTGACATACTTTAGGAAAATACAGGAGTATTTTTCTTTTTTGTGTGATCATATTCATGACCTGGTGTTTTATTTACTTGTGACTGGTAGATTAATTTGTTTCATATTGATTTAAAACAATATAGCCCCTTTCCTCCTTGCTCTTTTAACATGATCATGCAACTAATGCTGGTTGACAGCCTTCAATCTATGGAGTGGTCATATCTCTAACTGATATGTCATTGGGTCCACTGGGCTCAATTTTAGTTTTTGAGTTTTTTTTTATTGAGCAGCTCTAAGTCTTTGTACAACCTGACATTTTATGGCATTCATCTTTTTTAGCCATCCTGCAAAAAATAAGAACAAAATTTACTTAGTATTTTTTAATTGAATTCTATCCCACAATTGAACTGTATGTTCTTTGCACTCTTTTGTGAATCTAAAAAATACATTGAACCTTAGTTATCTTATATTTCCCATATAAGATATGGGAAATATCTTTTTAGAGTTCACGGAATACAGTTGAGAATTTTGGATACTTTATTTTTTTCTTTTAATAGCAAAGAGAAGAAAACAAAAAAATACATTTCACAATTATTAAATGAATCAGAAGATAAATGCAAAATTATACATAGCAGCACTGTTAATATGTCATTATTATGTAATTATTTAAGATATATAATTTATGACTAAGGACAAAAAGGAAATGTAGCATTCTCTTCCAGCTAGCCATTTAACTGGAAGAACTTCATCATGAAATGTTCCAGTCCATTTTACAAGAAGAACATGTGATAATGTTTGTTCATTTTTGAAGATGTTTGTGCATAAAATTTTCTTGATACTAAAGGGTTTTACTATTTTAGATTTTTTTTAAAATTTCTAATAGCTGTCTTTCCTGTCTATACATTTTTGTTTTGTAGATTAGTCATAAACCTATGTGAACTTTATTCCATATATATATGTATATATATATATCCATCTGTATACTCCACTGGACAGAGATGACAAATAGTGATTATTTCTAGTGGTATGCTGAGGATTAAGTGACTACTATATGGTATTGGGTCACATTTAAAGCCATCATGGACCTCATGCAATCTGCCAACAGTGGATTGGACAAGCTGGCATAGTATAGAAGACAAAAATTTTTAATCCCCTAATCCCTGGATTCAAGCCCTTCTTCATGTACCTATTCCAGTTAGTCACTTGTTTTTGCTAGGCCTTAAATTTCTCATTTCCAATTTAACTGTAAGATTATCTGTCTTTAAGGATGAGAGTGAAGAAAAATGGGTGACATGTGGATCATCAACAAATAATTCTCTTCTCCATTATTTGTAACTTCCAGTTGCCTCCTGATAACCCATAACTTAGGGCCATGACCTCTGCTAAGAAATATTACATGGCTTGTCAGCATTTATCTGTAGTCTTAGATAACTATTTAATCACTTTAGATCTCAATTTTCTCAAATTCAGAATGAGAGAAGTGAAGCAGAGTTATGCTATTCAAAGGCTGGTTCACAGACCAGCACCATCATCATCATGTTAGAGTTTATTACAAATGAGGTATGTCATCCCCACCTCCAAACTACTGAATCAAAAATTACATTTTTACAAGATCCTTAGGTAATTCATAGGCACATAAATTTTAAGCAGCTCAAACTAAATTACTCTGAGCCATCTTCCTGCTTTCATTTCTGAAAATATAAAAATCTTTAAAAAATCATATACATGCTATTTTATTAGCAAGTTAACTTTTAAACGTTTTAGGTATATCCCATTGCAGTTATCAACTGCTAAGTTACAAACTGCTACAAAACTTAGCGAAATGAAACAATTAGTTGATTCTGTTGGTTAGGAATTTAGACAGGGCACAACAGAGACAGTTTCTATCTGTTCTGCAATTTGCAGGAAAGACTTAAACTGCTGGGGGATGCTGGAACAATGGAGAGATGGAATCATTTGGAGACTTCTTCACTCGTAAATCTGGCACCTAGACTGGAATTACTAGTAGATTGGGCACACATGGATTGTTGATTGGAATGTCAGTGTGAGGCTTCCCAAGAAACATGATCTTCCCACTGTATTTTGACATCAGAATAGTGAGACTTCTGACATAACATCCTAGGGCATCAGGAGAAAATGCTCCTTTGAACTCAAGGCATAAGCTAAGCTAAATTAACACCATGTCTTTACTTCTATTGTAATTTATTTCTCTAAACAATGACAAACTTGTCCAGTTTCAAGGCGAGAGAGTACGGATCTCTCCTTTCCTCAGGAGAAGTGTCAAAGAATTAACAACTGTGTTTTTAAACTCTCATACTTAATGTTTTTATTTGTAAGTAAATGCTTCTCAAAAAAATATCTACCAAAGTGCTTCCTCAATAGGAGTAAACAAATAGTAATGAAAGTTCTGGGAGGATAATATGACACTAAAATAAAATATTATTACAGTGCCTTGTTTCATTGTTTATTTGCATGAAATGCTTACATCTGGTAATTTTTTTGCATCTGTTTATTCTGTAATTATAGCTGCAGATAAAATACAGAATGCCAGTAAAATCTGAATTTCAGATAAATGACAATTTTTTAGTTAACTGGGTTCTAAACATTACAAGAGGCCTATTTATATTACAAATGATTCATTGTTTATTTGAAATTCAAATTCAACTCAGAGGCCTGTATTTTTGTTTCATAACTCTGATAACCCCAACTTTAATTTAGATGTATACCCTTTCCAGTCTTTTATTATATGAATGCTTTAGAAAGATGTGCCATATTTACCCAGGTTCTTTTCTTACCCTATGACTCAAAGAGTGATATATATTGGAATATATTCATCTCAATTTTGTGTGTATAGTTGGTTATAGACAAATGAATAAACAATGAGGATTTCACACAGGTGGCAAGCTAATAGAGACTATGTTTGAGGCAAGTAAACTTTTTAGATTTCTTCCAATTCTAAGTGTTTATATACATAAACCCCATTAAGATATCCTTCTATGTTTAAAATTTCTGTAATTTTAATATTTAAAGATACAACCGTTGTAATGTCCAACCACATATATAATTAGAACCTGTATACCTAATATTATTATGTTGATATATACTGCAGAGCTATAGTCAGGACTCTCAGATTTCAAATAGCATATTTATATTCTTCTATATTTGAACCTTATCCCCTCAAATAAATTGCATGCATGTACCAGGATCTTAATTTAACAATTTCTGGTTGAAAAATGAGAAATTATTTACAGACAAAATAAAAGGCAATTTCCAATATATTCTTATGTAATAGCCAGGAAAGTGATTTTAATAGGAATTTTCCCACTCAATATTATAAATTAGGTTTAAGCTGTTTAAATCATGTTTCCCATAAATTTAGCCTTTATTATTTTGCTTCCAAATCTGAAATTAATATTGCAAATATACAATGTTAAGCTGTAGAAATATCTATGAAAACTTAGTTTATACATTCATCCTCAGCAATTATAAATATACCTAAATATTTCCCTTGAAGAGAATCTAAGGCATCTCAAACATTTTCTCTTCACTAAAAGTAAGTACATAATACCCTCTGTGTCTGATTTCGTGCATTAAAAGCAGGTTATTCAACTGAAGCAAATCCACAGCTACGTTAATTTCTCTGAGGAAAAAAAAGTCTGTTAAAGAAGATAAACCCTTTCCTACCTTTTCTGTTGCAGATCAAAGAAAAATACACCTTTTTATTTTTGAAAACTTGTCTGAGAGAAAGATTTATAACCACATGTTGTAAACTTCATACTAAATCACATAATTTTGAGCAGAAAACAATCAAATCTTCACAGCTTGTATTAACATTTCTACTGTTGGTATTTGAATACTTTTGCTGATGGATCAGAAAATATTGTGAGTTATATATAGTTGGATAACAAAGGAACAGAAATAATGGGAAAAAAAAACACAAGAATTTCCAGAAGGGCTGTCAGAAAATACTGGCACCCATTCTCATAGGCACCAACATTTTAGTATTGACAAAGTGGGCTATTAGCCTTCTTTTTCTTTTTAACACAGCTCTGTTATATTTTCAAGGTGACTTAAAATCATGTTGTGATCCTTACAAAATTGTTATGGTTCCAACAGACATAGATGTTATTTGTGATCAATAATTGGTTGGTAAAAATAATGGTCGTGTTTTCTATTTACCTCTAAAGTGGTTCTTTAAGTTTACAAATTCGAAAGCAAATCCTCTCAGTCAGACACTAATAATAAGTGCCTATAAGACAGTAGGGAAACGAGCCAAGACACCTGTTATTAGGTTTCAACAACACCTATGCTGTTTAGAATTATTAATTTTTTAGAAATGTATTAAACATTTCTTAAAGATGTTATACCATGTGACAGAAGTTATAAAGATATTAAAATAAGGCAACAAAATACTAAAGAAGTTATTTGAAGTCTTCCTGCTAATGGTTACATGAGATTCAGAAAAGCAACAACAAAAATAATTGTATAGAGAATATTATGTATCATTTTAGCAAATAAAAATGTCCATATCGCTTATTGGCAATGTAATATAATTAGTGTTTTTTCACATTCAAGCAAAATATAGTAAAATATAATACTTTCTAAGGGAAAACAAAATAGTTGATGACCTGGAAACGATTAAACATAAATTTACTGTATATTACAACTCAATTACAATTGCAAATAAAAAAGAACAATGAGTTAGTGCCTAATGCATTTGGAGGCACAAAGTAGATGCTCAATATATATTATGAAAGAGAAGACAAAAAGACACATTGCCCTCTCCAACATACTTCCATTCATTCCTACCCTGTCAGCCTGCACATGCCCTCCATCAATTGATGGCACCTATTTAATTCACTCTCTTGCTCTGGGCTGCCATGTGACTGTTCTGAGAAATCAAATGTAGTGAAAGTGACTCTGGCCAGTTCCAGGCCTAGCCATTGAGAAAACTGGTACCTCTTAAAATGCTTTCCTATGGAAGCCAGCCACCATGTAAGAAATGTGCGTACCCTGAGACCATCAAGCCATAAAAAGCCCAATCTAGCTTTGAGGGATAGAACACTAAGTGTTGAAAAGTGAAAGAATATGAAGGCACTGATCATGTGAGTGAAAAATTTCTCTGCTGGATATTCAACAGAGATGCAGCTCCAGGTATTATCTGGCTGCAGTTGTATGTAAGATAATAACAGAGAACCATTAAAACTCCCTGTCAACCCAAGGATCAAAGAGAGATCATAATTAGCGTTATTTGAAGGCTATAATTTTTTCACAGGATTTGTTACTTAGTGATAGGGACCTTAAACAAGGGTTTGTTTACATTCAACAATCCTGTGAAACTTGGATAAACTTCATTCAAACTGATGTATGTATATGTGTCTTTGCTGTAGTACAAGAAACATGGATCCTTCCCCCAGTAGTTAGATGTTCTCACACCAAAGAGAAGGAAACACTCAGCTTCTATACTTGGGCAAAATGGGACAATGGTAAAATCTACCTCACTGCAAATTATGGTTTAAAAAATTTAAAAAAAAATTGTGTCAGGCATAACAAAAGACAGAAAAGGAGCTAAAAATTATGTCAATGCTAAGGGAGGCACCTATTCAGTTGAGATCAACTTAAAGCAATTAATAATAAAACATGGGTACAAGGAATATATAAATATTAAAAAATGGGTAAAAACTAGATTTACAGGGAATAGCCAATAAGGCTAATGAATTTTACTTCCTCTTATTCCTAAGAGGTAAAGCCTTTTTTGGGAAGATGTTGGCTGTTGTTTCAAGATGAAAATTGGTAGAAATATGAGGGAAATTTTGTGCAGTAGAAAAGTACATAGAGTCTTAACCCAGATAAAGGAGTTGGGAAGGATGAAAAGTTGAATATGAAAAACACAGCCCACTTGAGAAAAATGTACATGACATTACATACAGGTTGCTCTTGTAACTCCTAAGCCCTACTTGATTATTTTAGATCTCTCTAAATTACACTCTTGAAGAAAATTTATAATGGACTCAAAATCATAGCCTTTCTAATCAGTTTTTGGTGAGGCAACATTCTCAGGCTCATCAAGTATATCTCCAAATAGACTTCAAGGTAGATGGCAGTTATATTTACTCTGACAATTCTTCAAAACTGCACTGTTCCTTGAAAAAAATTACCAGCGATCTCTCTTTTTCATATTCTTCACCACCCACATGTCTCCTGTTATTACCTTTATCATTATTCCCTGTACAGTAGAGGGGAGTAACTCCTGATGGCCTATGGGTAACAAAAAATAATACAAAAGAATGCACATCAATATAATGGCTAACCTTTATAACAGATATATATATATATATATATATATATATATATATATATATAGCTTTAAAACTATACTGTTAGCTTTACATAGATTATTTGAATTAATTTTCATAACTCTATGGAGCATGTATAATAATCTTATTTCTACTTATCTCAGTAAATGTTATAATAAGGAATACTTACTTTATAGATGAAAAACTAGAAAGAAATGAACAAGTAACTTATCCAAAGATGTAAGTATTTTCTATATTAGTATTTGAACCCAAGCAATCTAATTCTAAAGTTCTCTTTTCATTTCTCTGGAATACACTAGGGATAACAATTAATGGAATTTTTAAGCATTGCTAGATGCACAAAGTATTGAGGAAACCCAGTGGCTAATTCTCTGGGATTTTGAATCCTCCCACCAATGAACTCTTTACCAGTTAACTATTTGTAAGTACACACCATTCTGCAAACATATGTGTGATCTTTATCAAGTTTATAAAAAAAAATGAGAATTAGAAGCAAAAAGAGGGAAGAAGAGAAGTTGTTAATATAGATAGGTTTAATGTGTAAATTTTGAGATCATATTATGTTAAATACCATGTTCAATTAATTCTAAGATATAGTTTGCACAATTCAATATTTGTATAAATCAAGTTTTACTTCTACTTAATATTTTATAATTAACATTGAGAATTTTAAAATTTCATTTTATTTCAGTTTTATTTTTACCTGCGAAAAGGTGATTTATTTGTCACCATTTTTTTTTTAAGACAGTATCTCATTCTGTCACCCAGGCTGGAATACAGTGGCAAGGTCATAGCTCACTCTAACCTTGAACTCCTGGGCTCAAGGGATCCTCTCACCTCGGCCTCTGGAATAGCAAGGACTACCGGCACATGCTACTATGCCCAGCTAATTTTTATTTTTATTTTTTATAGAGAAGGAGGTCTTGCTAACATTGCCCATGCTGGTCTCAAACTCCTGGCCTCAAGCAATCCTCCCTCTTTGGCTTCCCGAAGTTCTGAAATCACAGGCATGAGCCATTACACCCCGCCCAGCTAAAAAGCTGTTTTCAATTTGATGACACATCTTAGTATTGATGTTCCAGCTTAGATTTAACAGCATAGCTAAAGTACAGAACTACAGTCAGGATTGGTTTCATGGACATGCAACATAAGCACAAGGCACCATGCATTGAAAGGCCTCACACTTACTAAAACACTGTATCACCAACTTAAATTTCTTAATAATTTTTTATCAAGGCACCCCCTATTTCCATTTGGTGCTGGGCCCTGAGACTTAAGTAGCCAATTCTTACTACTGTCAACATTTTATATAGTTACCAGTGTGTGACTTAGTAACTCAAATTTGGACTCAAATTTTGTGATTTCTAATATATTGTACTTGTGTCCAAATAATCACTTTGCCTGAACTACTTTGTGAAGTCAGTGGCCTGGAAGCGATCATATACTAGAAGGAAGGTGTTTATCACATTGCAGAATCCTCACAAATCATTATGTATCTTTGGATGAAATTGACAACTAGTTAAACAGATGGAACTCCTAATTTGAAAGCAAGGAACATACGGTATCTCTCACTGTCCCTCATTATAAGAGACATACCTCATTTTAGACCCAAGTGTAACTCCATCCCACACAGACCTGATGTTATCTGACATTTATTATGGTAAACTATTTACATGAGAAATGCTACTTTATGAAAGTAAGGCTACAGAATATCTTATTTATGCTTAGACATTAATCATACAACTTTAAACCTCCTACATCACACTTTCCATGTGTTCTTCATTCTGTTTCTTTACTCCATATTCTTTCTGCCCTTTAGTCTTGGACATCTAAGAAATTTAAAGTAATATGTTAGGCCTGTGTTTGTGATAGCATTTTGCCAAATATACATGATAACCTATACCAGAAGGAGTATTGCACACTGTTAAATGAAGCTCTTCTTTTAAAGGAGTGACTATAAAATCAGCAGTTACAACCTCTGGTGAAACTAATTTAATAAGCTCCTATAACACTGTGTTTTTGACATTTTTAGTGGTTAGTTCTGGGGTAACTATTTGCACTTTTAGAAAGTAGTTGGTGTTTTAACATGACATATTTACAATAGTAAGCTCTTAATCATTAATCATTGGCTAGATATATCTACTTATCTCTCATCATTATCTATGTTTCTCCATCTACCTATCACTTCTCTAGGACACATTTGTTTCTGTTCCTTAGAAAAAAAAATATAAGCAGATTTGAAGGGGGTTGTCATAAAAGGAATTGTCTCCTCTTCAGCTTTTCAGAGACATCCCTTCATTACTATGGTAATGACTGAGGTAAAGATCATACTAACATACCTCTAAAGAAAACTAGAAGAAAAAAAGAAAATAAATGTACATGCTCCACAAGAACAAAACCTTAAAAAAATGACATCAGAGGTTTTAGGTTTGGATCAAATAAAAGATGAAGGAGAAATAAGAAAGCATAAAAATAATTTAGAAACACAACAATTTAGACTAATTAGAACATTATATTATAGTTTGGTACATAATTAAATTTATACTTTTGTACATAGTTAACAATGTCATAGTAAATAAAACTTTTCCCTTTTAAATCTAGTTTACTTCTCTTATTTTTAATAAAATAAATATTTTAATATATATTTCAAAATTATAAAAGCACAGCCTTTAACTCTGCTTACAGCTAAATGTGGCTGTTTTTAATACTGTCTTAGGGGTTCTAAAAGCTGGCATTACAGTAGAGTCACCTGAAGAAACCTAAAACTGGCACCCAAACAAATTAAACCAGAGTAATTAGACTCTGGCATCCTTATTTTTGTTAAAGTGACACAAGAATTCCAATATGCAAACAAATTAGACAACTACTGCTCTTAAGATATCATTAATCATCTGGTGCCAGTTTATTTTTGTAAGTGACAGAGCAGATTCCACTGTACATTACGAATAAAAAAGTATATTACACTACCTACTTTTAAAAATTAATTTAGTGTATAACTTACAAATGGTAAAATGCATCCACTGTAAGTGTATTGTTTGATGAGTTTTGGCAAATGTATATACTCATATAAACATAACCACAGTAAAGATATCAAATGTTTCAGTCACTCCAAAAAGTTATCTCATGACACTCTGACCCTGCAAATTGTCTGACTTCTATCACTATAGACTAATTTTAACTGTTATGAAAATTAACATTGAGTCTTTTACATGACATATTTTTGAGAATCATTGATACTTTGGTCAGCATAATATTTTTGAGGTTCTTTCATGCTTTTAACAATAGTAAATTTTTATTGCTGAGTAGTATTGCATGAATATGACAGAATTTGTTTAGTCACATATTGATGAACATTTATATTGCTTCCAGTTCTTTGCTAGTGTAAATAAGGTTGCTGTGAACATTTTTGTAAAAGCTTCTATAAAGACAAGTATTTTAATTTTTCTTAAATATCTGCAAGTGGAATGGCTGGGCCAAGTAATATGTGCATGTTTAATTTCATAAGAAATTTCCAAATTACTTTTCAATATTTGTTGTGCCATCTCATGTTTCCAGCAGCAATTTATTAAAGTTCCAGTTGCTCCAGTGCCCTCACCAGTAATTAGTATCATAAATCTTTTAGATTTTGGCTGTTCTAGTGATTATACAAGAACCTCATTGTAGTTTTAATATGCCTTGCTTGATAACTGAAACTTTTTTTAGTATCTGTGTCTTTGCTTATTGGCCCTTTGTATATTTTATTTTGTGAAGTATCTCAACAAATGTTACCATTGAAAAAATGACTTGTTTGTCTTCTTAATGAGTTATAAGTGTTTTCTGCATATTTTGTGCATCTGGTCTTCATTACATAAATGTATTGAAAATATATACTCTATGGACATAGTATCCCCTTTTAATTTTATAATGTAATTTTTGACAATAAAAACAGTTTATTGTTAGGGTCCCTTTTGGGTGTTTTTTGTTGTTGTTGTTGTTGCTTGCTGTTTTTATGTCCTAAGTAAATTCTTTCTATTAGAAAACTATTGATGTAGTTTAGGTCTCTGTCCCTGCCCAAATGTTAGGTCAAATTGTAATTCCCATTGTTAGAGGAGGGGCCTGGTGGGAGGAGATTTGATCATGGGCACAGATTTCCCCTTTGTTCTTCTTGTGTCAGTGAGTGAGTTCTCAGAAGATCTGTTAGTTTAAAAGTGTGCAGCACCTCTCCATTCTCTCTTTTCCTCCTGTTCTGGCCATGGAAAGACGTGCCTGCTTGCCCTTTGCCTTCTGCCATGATTGTAAGTTTCCTTAGGCCTCCCCAGCTATGTTTCCTGTACAGCCTGAAGAACGGTGAGCCAATTAAACCTCTTTTCTTTATAAATTATCCAGCCTCAGATATTTCTTTATAGCAGTGCACGAACAGACTAATATAGAAAATTGGTACCAGCAGTGGGTCATTGCTCTAAAGATACCTGAAAATGTGGAAGTGACATTGAAACTGGGTAACAGGCAGAGGTTGAAAGAGTGTAGAGGGCTCAGAAGAAGATAGGAAGATGGAGGAAAGTTTGGAATTTTCTAGAGACTTGTGAAATTATTGTGACCAAAATGCTGACAGTGATATGGACAATGAAGTCCAGGCTGAGGAGGTCTCAGATGGAGATGAGGAACTTACTGGGAACTAGAGCAAAGGTCACTTTTGTTACATGTTAGCAAAGTGATTGGAGAGAGTGTGTCCCTGCCCTAGGGATCTGTGGAACTTTGAACTTGAGAGTGATGCTTTAGGGCATCTAGTGGAAGAAATTATTAAGCATCAACGTGTTCAAGATATGGCCTGGCAGTTACTAGCAGCCTATGCTCACATTTATGAGCAAATAAATGACCTGAAACTGGAACTTATATTTAAAAGGGAAGCAGAGCATAAAAGTTTGGAAAATTTGCAGCCTTGCTATGTGGTAGAAAAGAAAAGCCCATTTTCTGGGGATAAATTCTAGCCAGCTACAGGAATTTATGTAATTTAAAAGAAGGCAAGTACTAATAGCTAATAAATGGGAAAAGGGCTCTGAAGGCATTTCAGAGAACCTCCCAGCAACCCCTCCCATCACAGGCCTGATGGCCTAGGAGGAAAGAATGATTTTGTGGGCCAGGCCTAGGGCTTCACTGCCCTGCACATCCTCGAGACACTGCTCCCTGCCTCCCAGCCACTCCAGCTCCAGCTATGGCTCAAAGAGGCCCAGGTACTCAGGCTGCTGCTTCACAGGTGCAAGACTTATGTCTTGTGGAACCTTGGCAGCTTCCAGGTGGTATTAAGCCTACAAGTACACAGAGTGCAAGAGTTGAGGCTTGGGATCCTCTACCTACATTTCAGAAGCTGTATGGAAAAGCCTGAATGTACAGGCAGAAGTATGCTGCACAGGCAGGGCCCTCATGGAGAACCTCTGCTAGGAGAGTGTGGAGGGGAAATATGGGGTTGGAGCCCCCACACAGGTTCCCCACTAGGGCATGGCCTAGTGGACTTTTAGAAGACGGCCACTGTCCTCCAGTCGCCAGAATGGTAGATTCACTGCCAGCATGCACTGTGTGCCTAGAAAAACTGCAGGCACTCAATGCCAGCCTGTGAAAGCACCCATGGGTGCTGTACCCTGCAGAGGCACAGGGGAAGAGCTGCGCAAGGTCTTCAAAGCCCACCACCACTTATATCAGTGTGCCCTTAATGTGAGACATGGAGTCAAAAAACATTATTTTGGAGCTCTATTTAATGACTACCCTACTGGGTGTTGAATTGCATGGGAGGTATAGCCCTTTTCTTTTAGCCAAATTCTCCCTTTGGAACCCAAGTATTTACCCAATGCCTGTACCTCCACAGGATAAGTAACAAACTTATCTTTGATTTTACAGGCTCATAAGCAGAAGGGACTTTCCTTCTCTCAGATGAGACTTTGGACTGTGAAGTTTTGAGTTAATGCTAAATTAGCTAAGACTTTGGGAGACTGTTGAGAAGAGATGATTTTATAATCTATTGGAACGTGATAAAAACATGAGATTCGAGAGGGGGCAGGGGCAGAACGATATGGTTTTGATTTGTGTCCCCATCCAAATCTCATGTCAAATTGTAATCCCCAATGTTGGAGAAGGGGCTTAGTGGAAGGTGATTGGATCATGGGCACGAATTTCCTTCTTTGGTGCTGTTCTCATGATAGAGTTTCCCTGAGATCTGGTTGTTTAAAAGTGTGTGTCACCTTCCGCCTCTTCTCTCTTTCTTCTGCTCTGGCCAGGTAAGATGTGCCTGTTTCCTTTTTTCCTTCCGTCATGATTGAAAGTTTCCTGAGGCCTCTCCAGCCATGCTTCCTGTACAGCCTGCAGAATCATGAGTCAATTAAACCTCTTTTCTTTATAAATTACCCAGTCTCAAGGATTTCTTTATAGCAGTGTAAGAATGGATTAATACAACTACAAAATTTTTTGGGTTTTCTTATGAAAATTTAGACTTTTATCTTTTACATTTTGGTCTCCGACACATTAACAACTAATTTTTGTGTGTGGTGGGAGCTAAAAGTTTATTCTCTTATATAAAAATACAAATGTAACAACATTTGTTAAAAATACATTTTTTTCTCTTTTAAATTATGTTGGTATTTTAGAAAAAATCTGTTAATTATATACGTGTGTATCTAACTTTATTTTATTATATTTACCTATATGTCAATACTTAGACACTATTACCACATTGTCTTCATGTTTAAAGTAAAACAGAAGTATCAAAATAAGACCATGCAAGTCCATTCAACTTCATTCTTATCAAAAGTGTTTTCACTCTCCTATCTTTGTTCGTTTAAATATATTTTATAATTAGCTTGTCAATTTTGAAAGCAAAACCTTCTGAAATTGTAACTGATTGCCAAAAAAACTAGTTCTATTTGAGGGAAATTAACTTCTTAAGAATATTGTTTCTTCCATACATAAATATATCTGTTTGTTTACTTAGTTCTATGTTTTACAGTTTTCAGTGTATGTATCTTATAAATATTTCCTTAAGTTTATGCCTAATTATTTTATGGGTGTTTTGGGCATTGTAAAATTCTGTTTTAATATTTTCATTTATACTATTTAGAAATACAATTAATTTTGATATATCAATCTTGTATCTGGTAACTTTGATATTTTTATTCGTTCTTTCAGTAGATTGTACAGTCTTCTATATTGATCTTACATGATCATGTTATCTGTGAATAAAGCCTCCTTTACAATTCTTTATTCAATCATTTCTATTCTCTTGATTCACTTATATTGGCTAGGAAGACATGGTAAAAACAGAAAAAATGTTTTTTCCATGGAAGACATAGTACAAGCATGCTTACATTATTCTTTGTATTAGATTCAGACTTTTACCATCAAATGTAATGTACACTATATATTATTTCTAAATGTCATATTTTATGTTAAGGATGATTTCTTCCATTTATAGTTAGATGGAAATTTTTATCTTTAATATGTTCTAAAATGTTATAAAATTATTCTACTGTATCTTTTGAGATTATCATATGGTTTTTTTCTTCCATTATTCTATTTACAAGGTGAAGTCAATTTATTGATTTTCCAATATTAAACTAACTTCTCTCAGGATGTAGACCGAACTTAATGGAGAAGTAGTGTTAATGTTATTTGTTGGTGAGTTCAATTTTCTAATATTAAGTAAATAATTTTTGGATATTCATCAAGGAGATTAGACGGTAGTTTACTTGTGATATCTTCATCTGTATTTGTTACTAAAGTAATATAATATCGTCCTCAAAAAGTGAATTGGGTGGTGTTTGCTCTTTCACTGTTTTCTGGAAGAATTTATGTCAGAGTTGTATTATTTCTTCCTTAAATATTTGAAAGAAGTCACTAGTGATCCCAATTAGACTTAAAATTTTGTAATGGGGCAGGGCATGGGGAAGATCTTTAATTATAAATTAATATTTTTTCTTATAGATACAGAACTATTTACACTTTTATATATTCTGGTGTCAGTTTTGTGATTCAGGTTTTTCTAAGATGTGTTTATTTAATTGAAATTATTGGATTAATTAGCAAATAATTAAAATAATAATTATTAATCATTTTTTAATGTTGTTAAGATGTGTAGTAATGCTTCTTCTGTCGTTCATAATGTTAGCAAATTGCATTTTGTCTATTTTATAATCATTGTTCCTAGAAGCATAAATCTATTTTTTATCTTATTCAGAATACATTATATGTAACAAGTCATTACTCTCTAGCTGCATTTCAAAATTTTTGGGGGGGGGGCATTATTTCAAATTTGAAATACTGTGTCTAGATCTTTATGTTTTTGTGTTTGTTCTATTTGGAACTCATTGCGCTTTTTGTAAGTTTGGGATGTTTTCAGCTTTTTTAAAAAAATATTCTGCCCCCCACTTCTGTAACTCTTTAAGACATATGATTATCTACTGTATGGTGTTCTACATTTTCATTAATCTCTGTTCACTTTTCTTTACTTTTTTTTTTCTTTCTCCACATTATCCCTAGCTATAAATGAGTCACTCCAGGAGATAGTAGTCATACTTAAAGAAGAAAAGGAGCATGTGAAAGTGTCTTATCAAATAGAAAATACAAATAAAGTAATAGTTTAGAAACCAAAAATGAATACATGCTAAGAAACAGTGTTTTGTGCCACACATGACAAAGGTCACAGACTGTTAAAAAAAATTGGTAAAAGTCACTGAGCAGACTGCAATAGCCTTCAACAATGTTTTTAAAATAAATAAAATCAAAAGCATACTCTGAAAGGGAGAAAACTCTGATTTCAGTTACTACATTAAAATATTCAAATGCCTAGTTTCAACAACCAAAAAATCAAAAGGCTTATTAAAAAAACCAAAACATCTATCTCTGAAGAAGTCCAGACACTGGATTTACTAGGCAAATACTTTAAAATAACTGTCTTAAATATGCTCAGAGAACTAAAATAAAACTTGGACAAATAACAAAAGGAAGCAAGAAAAAACAAAACGCGGATATCAATAAAAAGACAGAAATGATAAGGTACCAGCCATAAATTATTGAGCTCGAAAGTGCAATAACTGAAAAGAAAAATTTACTAGAGGACTTCAACAGCAGATTTGAGCTGACAGAAGAATCAGTAAACTTGAAGACAGAATAATTTAAGTCACCCAGCCTGAGGAGAAAGGGGCCAAGAGTTCTCACGTCTTCACTCTCCTGCCTGAGTAGAACCACTTTATTACTGAGCTGGAGCTGAATAGTATGGACAAGGTGGCCTTCTTCTAGAGTTATTCTTCTGATCTTTGTGGAAGACTTAGGAATGGAGTCTCAGCCACAGACTTCTTCATTAGACATTTTAGCGTGATATCGTCACTGTACAAAGTGAGAGCTGAGAAGATGGTGAGATGATGGGAATCCATGGTTTTTCAGCCTGTTAACTCGTGACCTACCGGCCTTATTCAGGGAAGAGTCTTTTCCCTAGGAGTGGGAGGTGGGTAGATTATAGGAGTTCTCGGTCCTTCCTGGCAATGCCCGCTAATATTAAATATTTCACAACATAAAGCTAGAAGGATCAGTTTGAGGGCGAAAGTCATTTTTGGTTTAAATGCCACATATTCTAACCACACTAAAAGTTTATAGATTTTATTAAATTAATGATACTTTGATTTGCTGCATACTTTTAGGTCAATTTCTTTAGATGGCTGTTTTTAATAATTTTCACCAGTTTAGTGTCTGTTTCACTGTAGAGATGGTTCACGGAAAGTTACTCGATGCCATTCCCAGAGTCTCACTCCCTCCAAATGTATTTTGTATGCTTACATGGTACATATTTTCATATTTTACTTTCAAAATACCTGTATCTTTATACTTCAAGCATGTTTTTGTACACATTGATTTGCATATATCATCTTTTTCATTGATTTTTATCAATAGCTATTATATATTTTATTTTACTTTTCTGGAGTTTGCAAGAAGCTTTGCTAATTAATTACAATTTTCATTCAAATAATATTTTAACACTTCAAATATGGTGTAAGAATATTACAAAACCCCATTACTTTCATATCTCCCTGGTTTTTAGGCAATTATTATCATAACCTTCACTCCTGCATTAGCTATAAACCTCATACTACATTCTAATAATTTTAACAGTCATTTTACTTGTGGATTAAATTATAAATTTAAAAATGTACTTTTACATTTAACCATATATTTATAATTTCAGTGCTCTTCAATTAATTATTTATGTATGTATTTTCATCTAGTATCTTTTTTTCATATTGAAGACTTTTCTTCAATGTTTTTCTTAGTGCAGGTCTCCTAGCAATAAAAAAATTCTTATCTACTTTTTCTTGTATTTTTGTCTAAATTGTTTTCATCTTGACTTATATTTTAATAAATTTTTTGCTGTATATACAATTAGAAGTTGAGTGTTAAGTTTTTACTTTCAGAAATTTAAAAATGTCATTCTAGTGTAATTTGTTTTTCATGATTTTTTTTCTTGTATGTAATACGCTGCCACACAAACACTTACTGAGGTTGTTTTTTTTTTAATTCTCCAATTTTCAGAAATTTAATTAACATGATATAGTTACTTCTTTATTTTATTTTTTCCTTTCCCCTTTCTTCCTTCCTTCTTTTGTTAAATTTATTCTTACTTAAATCTTATTTGAGATGCTTATGAGTTCTCAATCTGAAACAGTTGAAAAGGTCAATAAGTCTATGCATTTTTTTCCACTATTTTTTAGTCTGTGCTTCAGTTTGAATATTTATTATCTTGTTTTATGTATCATTTGTTTTAATCCTATTCAATTAACTTTTCATATCAGATATTTTGCCTCTAGAAGTTCCAACTGGTTTCTTTATATTCCAATTTCTCTCCTCATTATGTTTCTCTTTTACTTTTTATCCTTGAACATATTGAAAAAACAAATTTAATGTCTTTCTTGTTTCCATGACCTCTTTCATGTTTGTGTCTCTTTCTACTGACCGAAATTTCTCTAATATTTCTAAGCTATTTTG
This sequence comes from Homo sapiens, assembly GCF_000001405.40. Taxonomy (NCBI): domain Eukaryota; kingdom Metazoa; phylum Chordata; class Mammalia; order Primates; family Hominidae; genus Homo; species Homo sapiens. The sequence goes on along the minus strand of NC_000013.11, from coordinate 68,150,719 downwards.
AGATTGTGACCTCATATTTTAAAAATACCTTTACTAGATACTGACAGTAAATATTATGATGTTGAGGGTCTAGATTACTGTCTGTTTTAATGGATGAACAATATAACCTCCAAGTGTTAAGGTAAATTAAACAAAGATAAAGAGACAGAGACAGAATCAGGATCTTTTCTCATTTCATGTTATTAGGAAAAAATATTCCTAGTCCTAAATAAAGCATAGAAGATGAACAGAAGATAAACATTATTATTCTCCAGCTGCCTGGTCAAAGAATCAGCAGGAGGAAATTGATTATCTTTTCTTGGACCTGCTAAAATTATACTAAGAACTAAATGCATTGCATCAAAAATATTCACCAATTATAGTTGCCCAAATCTCCAGCACACGAAGAAATCATACTCCATTAGTCATAATTAACTGCAGTAGAAACTAAAGATAGGAAAGATGTGGAGACACTCACATGCTATGGTTTTGTTCCAACATTTTATGAATTGCCTAAGAAAAGGGCATTTGGGGACATTTCTGTTTTTATCACATATTTGTATATTAATTTTTGTGGGCAAAATAAATCAAATTAATAAATCAAAACCAATTTCCACTTTCCTGAATTTCAGTCATCTCATTTAATGTGTGCTATGCAATTTCTGTCAATTTTAATATTAAGAGTACTTAGCTAAAGTGGACTCAGGTAAAATGTTTACTTACTCCATTAGCAACTTCTTCCTTTGTCGTTCATTTTAATCAGATATGATGGCCCTAGGATTTCATGTCTTCTCATGTAGTTCATTGTTTTCTCCATGTTTCTAGTGATCTAAAATCTAAATGTCTTTGTTCATTTACTGCAATATTTCCTAAATATAAAGGCGACTAGCAGCTCCTTGTGTTTGAAGCAGCAGCAGTTTTCACTCTATTTTTGCGTACACTTGTTATCTTACTACTTCAAATAAATTGCCAGACACTTTGTCCTCCTGTACCTCAGAGAATGATTAAATTGCCAGGCCAAAAGCAGAAGTCCCTCTAAAACAAATTTGTTTTCCTACTCAATTTTACAACGAGAAGGGGATCTTCATCCCTTGAAGGAGTTATTCTCATATGAATCCACACATGTAAAGCAGAAAAAGAAAGAGAGGAGACTCCCTAAAATTAAGACGGGCAAAGAAGTCTGGTATACCATGAGAAATAGAATTTTACGGCCTCATTTCATCGTAACATCTCAGAGAAATGACAGATTCTCTACCATAACCAGCAGTACTCATATTGCTCACCAAGAGGTAGAACATTGAGTACGGAAACATCTGTGAAGGTGGGACTCTGGGCAGTAGGCAGCATTGTGTAAGGCGTGAGCCTTAGAGACAGTTTTTAGTTTTGACAAGGTTTGCTTTGTGTCACTACCACATTCTAGATAGTCACAGGCCTTCATAAAGCAATTGTAACTTGATCAGTGGATCAGGGAACATCTAGTGAAAACCATAGTGAACCAAAGATGAGTACTGTGATGTGTGTGTCTATATTTTTTTCCTGTTGAATGCCCCAAGTATATATTATAGACACTGGGAAAGTGAAGTGGTCCCAACAAGCATCAATTCTTCATCCCCATACACTCTAATTAGATGAGAAGTAGAGTCAAATTTAATTTTATTTAAATGAAATGAATAACTGTGACAAACTTGTGTATCTTAATTTGTGTAGTAAGATTTTCATCCAGTGCAATAGTACCCTTTAGACAGGTAAATATATCAGGTGGATTTCTGACTGATGATACTTGCTGGATTTTTCTAAAGTAGTTCTTACAATTTATTTTTACATCATTACCTGATTGTAGTTTGGCTTCTTACATAATTCTTCTTCGAGAGCTGGCCTGCACCAGCAATCTAAATATCTATTATTATCACCTCATTAATCTATGTTGGCCATTGCCTTACTGAATGTGAGCAGCATAAGCACCACACTCATTCTAAAGAATCCTCCATTAGCCCTTCCACCATAGTGGCAAAGTCAGTTTTTCTCTCCCTGTCTTATTGAGAATCTCACAATCCACGAGATTATTTCTTATTGAATTCTTCATAAATCTTATATTAGATTCTGATAGTTTCATTAGAGCATTTAGAAATTGCTTCCTTTTTAGATGAAGACTAAAGAAGGTTTACATATTGATGGTACTGTTAAATTATTTTATACCTCAATATTAAAATTTTGATGAAATAGATATTTCCTAAATATATGTTTAAATTTTTTCTCAAAAATATTTAGAAATCCTGAATAGATAAATAATCATACAAGAAATCAACAAAGCACTAACACTAAAGAATACCAGGAATAATCTATGAGAGTAAACTGTGAAAGTGTTCAGTAAACCTGAATAGAACAAAAAACCAAAAATATTGAACAAAGGGAAAGAAAATATAAATAAGCCCGAGTTAATGTAAACAAGCAGATAATCATAAGCATTTATTAAGTCCTTATTACATTTGAGGCCTTTGCTAACCATTATACATGAATTAATTTATGCAATACTCATAAGACCCTTGGAGACAGTTACTGTCATTACTGTTAGGTGAGAAAACTGTGGCACAGGGGAATAAACACCAGCTCAAAATCACAAATCAATTAAGTACAGAAGAATGATTGTTCCCAACCATGCCGTTACCTTAACTATTATAAATGTGAACAAAGATCTAAACATTCTTGATGAAACGAGAACAACAAAGTACTAAAGATATTTAAGTACTGGTCAATTTTAATTATACTGAGAGGGAATATCCAAAATAAAAGAAATTATAAAAATCCAGAGCGAAGTGTTCAATAATCAAGTTCCAAGAAGAAAAAGTATGATGTAGTTGGCCAATGTATAGTGACTGATGTGCAGTGTCACTCATAACTCAAAGAAGAGCAAAAATGAGTTGTGTCCTGTCCATCAAATTAGCCACATTTTATAAGTCAGAATATGTTATCTTATAGCAAAATTGCCAGCAAATAGGTCCTCTCTGATTTCATTTGTTAAACTAAAAATAAGGAAGCATATTTAAAGCCTTAAAGTCAACAATTATTTCTGTAGGAGTCTGGCAAAAACAAATAAATCAACATAACAGCAACAACAACAATAATAAATTCAACCAAAATGGCAGAGTACAGAAGTGTCTGGCTTCACTCTTCTTGATCTGCTTCTTATTTTTCTATGCATTAATACTTTTACATTCTTCAGCTTGTAACCCAGTTTTCTAATTAGTTGACTTTCTGGTCATTTTCCTTTGTCTTTCTAGTCTTTCTCATTTAATTTTTATCTTTAGATGTTATGCTTTCCTCTCTTTAACAGTAATCTCTTATATGCTTTTCTCCATTTAACTTTTCTAACATTTACAGTCTTCAGCATGAGAATAATCTCACATTTGTTTACTTTACTTTTCTTTGAAATTTAGTGTTTGTCAGATTTTCAAATTTCAACTTTTTATTTTATGTTCTCACTTTAGAAGCTTGAAACAGTATATTTTTATTAGTATAAAGTTGAAGTAGGGAAAGTAACAATAGCAAACAATTTACAGTATTTGCTATGTGCCAGACACTCTTCGAGGTATTTTATTATATTTGTTTATTTTTATTTTTAGAAACGGGGCCCAACTTTGCTGCCCAGGCTGGAGTGCAGTGGCATGATCAGAACTCACTGCCATCTTGATTTCCTGGGCCCAAGAATTCTTTCCGCCTCAGTCTCCAGAGTAGCAGGGACTATAGGCATGTGCCATCAGGCCCGGCTAATTTTTAAAATATGTTTTGTAGAGGCGAGGTCTCGCCATCTTGCCCAGGCTTGTCTTGAACTCTTGGGCTCAAGCAATCCTCTTGCCTCAGCCTCCCAAAGTGCTGGGTCTATAGGCATGAGCCACCGTGCCTGGTTCTTGTAGATGTTTTATAAAGCATTATAACTAAATAATGATAGGAGGCTGTTGAGCTAAGGGAACTAGCCTAATGTCATTGTTCTGATTTCAAACTCTGCAATTTAACTCCAGGGTTTGCACCCAATCACTATTTTATAACTGCTTTCTATCACAAGCTAAACAATGGGAGAAATATTCTAATTTTATATTATTCAATATTAATTGAAACTAAATAAAATGTCCATGCTCCAAAGCATTTCATTTTAAAAAATGAGACTTTTAAAAGAAGCTCCTAAAATAAGGTGTGCATTATTTGTAATATGTGAGACAGGTTTTATAAGTGATTTTTAAGTAAATTACTTTTCAAAAATTTTAACAGCAATGTCCGTTTTTTCAGCTTAAAAATATTTTGATATTTATAAATATTTTAAATTTAATAATTAGAAAAACTATTTTCTAATTAAATCAAATAACACTTTTTAAATATTTTTAGAAAAGTCACATTTAAGAATAGCTATCCTTTGCTAAATGAAGGGAATTAAAAAACTTCAAAATGTAGTGAATTGACCTACGAAGGAGACAAGATTCAAGAACAAAGTTAATGAAAATCATCAATCAAGAATTAGTATATATAAATCACTACTTTACTATACATATTAATATATATTACTACTTTACTATGTGTTACTATAACTTAATATATAACATAACATGTGTCATAAGAAAATTGTTCAACATTTCAATCCTAACAGGTAATCACAAATTATTAAGCTGATGATCTTAAAAATAACAAGATGCACTGTCAGCAATAAGGCTATAATGTGATAAGGCCTAATTTGGAAATTGCTTCTCCTCTATAACGATTTATTTCCTTCCAGTTGGATATATGCATTGTGTTGGTCTCTTAAATTAGTGGACTATACACCCTCTTAGTACCATTTGAGGTGCCCTCAGAGAAACACCTGTATATTTCTATTTCCGTCAATTCCTTTGGCTTTTCCATTTCATCTATGCCAATGTTCATGTGGTTACCTTTATCTAAGGTTGCAGATGTTTTATGTCCGAAGTGATGATAGGTGATTACATGGAGATTGGAGATGAATAAGGTGAGAAATAAAATAGAATCCTGAAAGGCCTGTTTTTGTCAGTCTCCAAAATCCCACAGGAATAATGAACTTAGGCGGGACGTGGTGGCTCCTGCCTGTAATCCCAGCACTTTGGGAGGCTGAGGCGGGTGGATCACGAGGTCAGGAGATTGAGACCATCCTGGCTAACACGGCGAAACCCCATCTCTACTAAAAAATACAAAAAATTAGCCGGGCGTGGTGGTGGGCGCCTGTAGTCCCAGCTACTTGGGAGGCTGAAGCAAGAGAACGGCATGAACCCGGGAGGCAGAGCTTGCAGTGAGCCGAGATCAGGCCACCGCACTCCAGCCTGAGTGACAGAGGCAGACTCCATCTCAAAAAAAATAAATAAATAAAAAATAATGAACTTAAAAATTTTTTAAAACAGTTCCTATAGTGTGTTCCTAAAATCCTGCATACGTACAGGAAAGAATGATAAGAGGATATGTAAAAAATTTCCAGCTAATTATTATGAAGAAATAGGTATTAATTGTAAAACAATGTAAGCTTGATGGTAGACAGAAAAAAAATTCACTACATGCTACATGATAGCGAACACGAGGGATATTTTTGAAGGGAATTTCAAATGAAGGAAATATTGGGAAAGTGGTACTTGAAAGGAAGGGGTGTTAAGAAAGATTAGCACTATATTCTTAGTAGCACGGCTTTTAAGTGTCTTTTTGCATAATTGCCTTTTCGTGTCTTAGTAAGTACAAGAGCAGCACTTTATTATTATTTTTTTACCTGACTTAATCACTGCATTTCAGGAGCTTTCTTTTAGTATTCCAATTGTCTTCTCATTAGATTTACTTCATTTGTGTTTCATTGTTTGGAACATAGTAAAGGTCGTTATGGCCTCAATAGCTTCTGCCCACATTTGTAACCTCTTAGTAATTCTCTTTGTTTTATTGGCAATTGTTCAACAAATTTATTTGGATTTACTTGGAAAACAGTCTTATATAGTTTTAAAAATTACTTAGGATATCTTATATTATTTTTAACCATTCATGGAGATTGCAAATATTTTTAGGAAGAATTAAATTACTGACAAGATTATTGCCCGTGCACATATTCTTATACCCTATTGCCATTGCTCATATTCTTATGAGACTCTCATTCAGCAAAATATGTGGTTTATCCTGTATCTAAAATCTTACCCTCTGAGTAAACTATTATGAATCATGTCATAGAATGTCCTTGCCTCTTAATATATTTAATATATTTTAATGCATAGATTAAATTTAATATAAATAACAGTTCATTCCAGTTAAGCTATGTATTTGTCAGTGTCAGTTCAGTTATCTTTTTGACAATATTGAATGATTTAATTAATTGACTCATTAATTAAATGTCCAAACTTGCTGCACAAAATACTTGAAGCAGCATATAGTCTACAATATGGTCATAAAATTTCATTCTTGAAAGAGGCTTATAGCTAGTCTTGCTTCATGTCTCATGTATAAAAATAAGAAAGCATTGGCCCAGATATGTTAAATTATTTTTGCATGTTTAATTAGTAGTAGAATGTGGGGGACCAAAAGAGAAGAGGGGGAAGAAATTATCAAAAGGAACTTGCCCCGTCACCCCATAGAAGGATCACTAACGCAAACAAGCAAGTTCCTCCCATTTCCCTGGAACAATCTGGTGATAATAAAGCAGGCATTTAAAAGTAGATATAGTTGGCCGGGCGCTGTGGCTCACGTCTGTACTCCCAGCACTTTGGGAGGCCAAGGCGGGAGGATCAGTCTTTTGTATCTGGCTTCTACCACTAGTGTAATGTTTTTTGGGGTCATGTATTTAGTAGCCAAACCTTTTCAGTGCTGAATACCATTCCAGTGTATATGTATACCACATTCCATTTAACCACTCACCAGGTAATTAATAGATTGTTTCCTCTATTTAGCTATTGTGAATAATGTTGTTAAAAATGGTCATGAGAGAGTCTTTGTGCGAACATATGTTTTCATTTCTCTTGAGCAGATAACCAGGTGTAGAATTGCTGGATTGTATAGCAAATTTATGTCTATACTGTTAAGAATTAAAAAAAAAAACAACTATTTTCCAAAGGGCTTTACCATTTTGCAAGCTCACAAACAAGTTCAAGGCTTACATTTTCTCCATACCCTTGCCAATTGTTAATATTGGTGTTAACAGTGTATGCGATGAGTGCTTTTTCTCTTGTAGCTTTCAAGGTTTTGCATCTTTTGGCTTTCAACTGTTTGACTATGATGGCTGGGTATGCATCACTCTATGGTTTTCCCACTTGGAATTCCCAGGATTTCTTGATTTACAAATTTGTGTTTTGTCACCATATTTAGGAAGTTTTCTGTTATTATTTCTAAGTTTCTTCTATATGTCTAATAACAATTTTCTGTCCCTTTTTTCTGTCTCCTGCCCTTCTGAATCTTTCATTATGTGTGTGTGTGCATGTGTATATGTGTGTGAGTGTGTGTTTATACTTGACATTATTTCACAAGTCTCTGAGCTTCTGTGCATTGTTCTTCTCTCTGGTTTTCAGAAAATTCTATTGATCTACCTCCAAATTTACTGTTTCTTTTTCCTGCATTCTCCAATCTGCTTTTGAGCACCTCCAGCAAATTTTGTAAGCCATTAAACTTTTCAATTCCAAATTTGTTTATTTTTATAACTCCTTTCTTTAGTGAGATTCACTATTTGTTGAATCAGTGTTGTTATATTTTTATGTAATTCTTTAAACATGTTTTCCTTGATTTTTCAATCGTATTTACAGTAGCAGCTTTGATGCCTTTGTCTGTTAAAATACGTGCTTCACATTAAAATATGTGCTGTCTTTGTCTATGTCTTTGTCTGTTAAAATATGAGCCCTGAAATATATGCTAAGTATGAGACAGTAGCTACTTATTTTCTACTGCCTATAGGTCACATTTTCCTATTTCTTTGTCTCATGTTTTATTGTGGTTGAAAACTGGATAGTTTAGATCAACTATTGTAACAAATCTAGATTCTTATTACTGTTATTAGACAATACTTAGAGTTGTTATTGTTTACTGGTTTGCTTATTTAACACACTTATTGGATTTAATTTGTTTCTCTTGAGGTATATGACCATTATTTATATCTATCTGTGTCTCTACTCAGCTTTTATTTCCCCTCCCCTTTCATCTCACCTCTCAGGGATTGCCTCTACTTAGTTTGGGGGTCAGCCAACACATTCACTGAAATTTTAATTAAAAACTTCAAGTTTCTGTCTTCTGCTAATGGATCTGTGTGTGAGTTAGGGTGTATATTAACAGTTCAGTCAGTTTTCACGTCTTCCCCAGCTTTTATTTTCTGCAAGGCTGTCTTATATCTCCATTATACTTTTTTCTTTCAGGTACACAGTAAGCAAGGGATATATGGAGAACTTCCTGATACCCTCTCTGAATTTAACATATCCAAGATATCACTGTTAAATTTCTGTATTAGGATTACAATTTAAAGCTAGCAGAGTCCTTTGTCATCTCTGTTCATTAGCTACTAAGATTGCTATGTTATTGGTCAGGCACATTATTTTTTTCTTCATTTCAAACCAAATAAGCCCCATTTTTCAGAAAAGTAACTGGGTTTTCTGGCTTGATCCATGAAACTATGGGGTAGAGGTAAGGGGAGTGGTATTCAGGCAAGAATACCCCAGTATCTTCCTGTTGAATAGTTCAGTAGATTTTCAAAAATAACATGTCTCGATTAATAATTGGTTATAAACCTTTGATTAATTTCCACAACCCAGAAATTGTTGTTATAGATTATTTTGTCTAATTTTATAGTTTCTTCTTAAGGAGAGGATTTGCTGAGCTCCTCAATTTGGCATAACAAGTCCCAATTATGAAAATTCTTTTTTCAAATCCAAAATATGAAAAATAAACTTTTTTTCTTTAATTATCCTTTACATTAGTCATGTTCCAAGACATTCTAACTATTGCCTGGATAGGGAAAAAGCAATTGAGATTGGGCAGAGAATTCTAAAATTTAAGGAAATGGAGATAAAAGAAAAATTCTGCCACAAATTTAACACCAGAATATCTGATGTCCCCTTTCATGCTATAGAGATTCTTATTTCTTACATTCCCTTCTATATAAGTTTCATATTCCACTCTGATGCATGTTGGTAGCCAGATCTTGACTGAAATGTTTGCTTTTTCTGCTAGATGATAATTTGTACCTTTCTCTGAAACATCACCACATACTCACCACTGTCAATATACCCAACACATAGAAGTATTCAATAAATAGTACTCACCTGGAAAAGGGTTATTTGTTATCAGATGTGGAAGATGGAGACACAGGTGACCCTATGAGATATGTGTGAATTAGTTAAAATTCTATGTGTGTGTGTTTGTGTGTGTGTGTGTATTTAGCTTCCCATGTCATTTCTGCATATAATGCTTTTAAAGTATACATGAAATGTATAAAAACACATTTTTGACCAAAATGTAAATTAAAGAAAATGCAGTCATATGCATAACACAAGTGAATTAAACATCATTTACATGTATTCTTTAGTTTCATAGTTCAAGAAATATGAACTTTCAGAATTTCAGAGCAATATTTTCAATGGAAATATTTATATTAACATGGATTTTTGCTTAATAGTGCATCAGGACATAACTGAAATTGGTGACAGTTTATAGCCTTGTTTCATAAATAAATTTAACATTTATATTGTTATTAAATATTTTTAAGGACTATGATAGGTGATTTATTATTCTATTTTGGGTTCTTTAGATTCCTAAAATTGGTCCCAAAGTACACAGAAGCAGTATTTTCCAAAGTCTAAATAGAGAATGATACAGGTTAAAAAATCCTGCTGCTGGGCAAGAAAGCTGCAGTTCTTTACAAAATCTCTCAAAGACTATTGGGGCAAAGTCAGACAGCATCAGTGAGTTGGCAAAAATCTTTATCTCATTTTCTTTTGGGTAGTTTTAGATTAAGAAGTTCTATCAAAAAGCCCATGCTGTTTTAAAATACAGCTCACGGGGAAAAAAAAAAAGACTTGATTTCTTTATTGGTTTGCCATCTATATAAGAAAACACTTTTGTCTCTTATACTCTTGCTTTCAGATACCACAGTAAATGTGTGAATATCTTGCTAGCTTGTTTCATTAAGTTGATTTCCTCACATTTTGACTTTTTAAGTATATAAGCAGGTACCACCACATAGGAGGAATAAAGAAAATTGCTTCTTAGATTTTATGTATTAGAAAAACTGTTTCATGCACATATTTAATTCAAAGAACAATTTAGGCCCATTGAAAACCATTAGGTGTTTTGCTCTGACTTGTTGTTAAATAGAGTAAATGAGCTTCGTTCTATATGAGAAGCAGCTTTCTTTGCCTTTCAAAATGTTCTAAGTCCTGTAATACACAGAAAAGCTCTGAAATACACAGAAATGGATTCATTATTTTGTTTCTTTTTCTAATACATATTATAAGTGACTTAACATTTTTCTTACACCAGGAATAAATGTCTTTAAAGTGTCAATGTGCTTTGGTGTTGAAAGGCCATATTGGTTCATTTGCGACTGTATAGATATCTTCTATATGTATATTACATATATATAAATACACACACACACATCTATATATATACAACTGCTTTCTACCAATGATCTGTTTGCTCTGCCTTGTTTTCACTAGCAATTGGAGTTGCATGGGCATAAGATTGTTAGATTTTATTTTTATTGAATGTGGAGTATTTAAATTTTTTTAATATATTGCATAATATAGTAGTTTCCATCACTTCAGGAACATCTAGAAAACAATATGAACAAGTCCTACCCCAAAAATAATTGGTTTCAATTGTTTTTGTGGTAGGGCTTAGGAATTAGTGTTTTCTTTTAAGTGTCTCATTGATTTTAATGTGGAACCAGGTTGGACATCACTGATTTGGCTCATTGTTACTGATTCTAAGGTTTTCTAAGTACTTAATACAGTATATTACTTAAAGAAAATGTACCCTTTTCATTCCTGTTATTGACTTCATTCTAATAAGTTGCTTTTCTACTGTAGTAAAATAATTTGAATAACTCAGGGATCTAGGCTGTAGCAGAACTTGTAACCTTCTTTACCACTAAATTTAATTCAAACTCAGAACAGCCTTGAAGAGCCTAGTCCTTCTTTTTCCTTTCTCTAACATAAAATCCTGATGCATGTTTTCTTCTTAAATTGAGAAATTCTCAGGGACAAAAACTGCCCGAAACCATTCCAATGGAAGAAAGGCAAGTAAAAAGAGAAAATTTTACTCCTTTCATTACAGATTCCTATTAAAATATTCAGATTTAAGCCAAAGAAAACGTACAAGCATTCTATTTTGGGGATAAGGGTAACGTATTTTACATATCCTACAAAAAAAGAAACTGCATGAATGACTTACTAATCATTATCAGAGTGAAAATGAGTTAGTAGCATACAAAGAATTTCAGTTAAGGGTAATGTGAAAATATAACAGAATGAAGGGAATTAGGAAAATGGAAATAATTGCCAGTTATTAAAATGTGCATAGCCTAAGTTTTCACAAAATCACACATTACAAATAATGATCAGTAACAAATATTCAAAATCTGTGTGTACATGGTAGCCACTTAATAAATACTTACGAATTGAATGAATGTGAACATAAACATCCTTCAACAGAATCTCAGTTCAACAATCAACAGAAAGAGCAAAATGAGGCATCCATTTACTTATTCTATACTAACTATAGCATAATTTATTTGGGAAATTATAGGAAAACATTGAAATTACCAGCTCCTCCAATCTAGCCTTCCAATCTCTGAGGGCTGTTGTGAGACTTAATCAAATTCTAGCAATTCAAAAGAAAGTGTTTTTGTAAAAGTAAAAATACTATGCAACTTTAAGATATTAATTTGCAATATTAGTGTTGTAATAATATTGAATTTCAGAGATATTTGTACTGTCCCACAGTATCTACAGAACTCTACAAATGAAAGAAATTTACATCTTGGAACTTACATTAATCCAAGTTAATTATATCAAATTTTAATGTTCATATTTTTTAAATGCAATTGACATATTGAACTATTTTTAAATTTTAAAATGTATTTTAAATCGACAAAAGAACAAAGAATCATATTCAATTGATTCTATTGAACAAATAATAATCCCATTAAAATAAAAATGGAAGTCCTAGGTTTATGAGAAAGAACTAGTAAAATATGAACACATAATTTGCCATTTTCATCAAATTTATGATAATAATCTAGAACTTATTAAGTGAAAAGTGCTTTTTTATACCATATAAAACTTAGGCATTTTTCCTAAATGACTGCATTGTATTAATTTTAAATAGTAATACTTAGCTACTTTTTTCCCTGATTTTCTCACTTTTTGATTTTTCTGCACCTATAACTATCAGAAAGGCAATTAGATTTCTCTGAAAACATCTTCTGATAGTGAATCAAATCATCATCGTTTTATCCCCACAATTAAACATAAGAAAGCAAAATTAAAAGAAAAACTAGTTAAATATGTAGCCTGTATATTGGTATATAAATAGGAAAATAATCAATAAGGATATAAAGCTTCAACAAATTTTATAAGAACCACAATTATTAAAATATACTTTCTAGCCATAAGACAATTTAACTAGTAAACATAAATAAACTAGAAAATCTCCAAGCACTGAGGAATTAAACAATGAAGTTTTAAATAACCCATATTGAAAGCAATAAAAATATTTTGAATATTAATAAAGATATGAATATTAAAATGTGGACAAATGCAGCTAAACCTAATGGACATGTGGAGCATCAATGTACATATTAAGAGAGGGAGAATGTCTGAATAGTAATTATCTAATTTGTATCTCAAGAAAGTAGAAACAGAAGAAAACATCAAACCCAAAGATGGAAAAGGAGAAAATAATCAACATGGCGGCAGAAATCACCTCAAGTCTACACAGCTTTACTGGTAAATTCTATTGAAGAATAGCATTGATCTTTCACAAACCCTTCCATAGTCTAGTAACAGACAAAAAACTCCAAAGATAGTTTTCTTGTTCTTTTTTCTTTTTTTGAGACGGAGTTTCGCTCTAATTTCCCAGGCTGGAGTACAGTGGCGTGATCTCGGCTCACTGCAACCTCTGCCTCCCCGGTTCATGCGATTCTCCTGCCTCAATCTCCCGAGTAGCTGGGATTACAGGCACCTGCCACCAAGCTCCTCTATTTTTTTTGTGTGTGTGTTTTTAGTAGAGATGAGCTTTATCATTTTGGCTGGTCTCAAACTCCTGTCCTCAGGTGATCTGCCCACCTCAGCCTTCCAAAGTGCTGGGATTACTGGCATGAGCCACCACGCCTGGCCTCAAACATAGTTTTCTGAGGGGATCACAACATCACAACCTTGATTCAAGAACTGACAAGAACATCAAGGAAAAAAATTTGCAAACTTTGTAATTAATTTGCATACAAATATCCTAAATAAAATAGAAGCAAATACAATCTGGTGATATATAAAATAATAAAATAATTTGACCAAGTGGGATTTATTCTGGCTGTAAGAGTCATATAATATTCAAGTATAAACTAAATAATATAAATTATAGAAAAGGAGAAAATGAGTTGCAGCAGTACAAGCTGGCATATATTCACTCCAAGATTCATAATTCTGGGGTTCCTCTTTTGCAGAGTAGATCCATGCCATACCTGCAGGCTCTATACATCTCTCACCAGTTCAACCTATGGAGGACAATGGGGAATGAAGAACTAGCACCAAAGTAACCACCTGCCTCCAATTTAAAATCCTCATATTTACTGTCAGAAATACATTATACATACACACAAACATACATATATATATATACACATACATACATACTAAGATATATATTGTTTTGATATTATGTGAATTCATAAGTGAATTTACCAAGATTGTTGCATACATGATCAATATTCAAAAGTCAACTGTATTTCTATATATCAGTAATAAATAACTGGAAATTGACTTAAAATATAACATCAAAATTACCAAATGCTTAAAAAATACATCTAACAAAAGACCTGCAAAATTTCTATACTGAAAACCATAAATCATTTTTAAGAGAAATATAAGATAAGACCCTATTAAGTAGAACAGGAATACAAAGTCATGCTCATACTTTGAAAGACTCAATACAGTAACAATCTCAATTCTCTTCAAATTGAACTACAGATTAACTGCAATCCTAGTCAAAATTTTAACAGTGTAATCAGCTATAACAAGAAGATTCTTAAATTTATGTGGAAATTCAAAGAGCCAAATAGTAAAAGCAACCCTGAACAAGAACAAAACAAGATCATCTTTACTATAATATATTAAAAATATAAATGACTACAAATTGCAAGAATTCAAAGTAGAAGAACTGCAAGTGTTTGAGAAATAATTGCGAAACAGAGTACAGCATATGGTAGAACTGAAGGATTTTGGCTCTGGAAAGCAATGCCTAGGTTTTGAATTCAGATTCTGTCATTTACCAACTTTGTGACCTTGGATGAATTATTGGGGGCTATGCCTCAATTTCATGTCACATACAATGGTGCTAATATTAACACCTATCTTATTGGGTTGTTGTGAGAATTCAATAAATTAAATTCTTAGATTATTGAAATAATCAATTTAAATAAATAATTTAGTGTCCGGAACATATTTAGCATTCAATAAACATGAGGTATTATTTACTCAGTAAAAGAGGAAATAAGTTTCAGGGAAAATAATGTAGTGGAGGAAGGCTACTGTGATTAGAACACAGGGATCAAGGGAGAGAGAACTAGAAGGTGAAGTAAAGGAGGAAGGTAGACACATAATAGTTGGTCATAATGAATGTTTAGAAAGTCATTATAATTGCAAATGCAAACAAATGGAGGAGTTTAAGCAGGGCAGTGACACAATCAGATGCACATTTGAGAAAGTTTTCTGTCTTCTGTGTGGAGGATAAAATGCAGTTGTGAAAAACTAAAGAGAGAATATTTGTATAAAGTTGTGTAAGTCAACATAATAGAGAACTGCTTTAGAGTTTTTGAAATACTGAGAATTGGTTTAATACAGGCTACATTTTAAAATCAGAGCTAACAAGATTTGCTGATGTGGGTAAAGAGAAAAAGAGAAACCATCATCCTGAAGTTTTTAGTGTTAGCAACGTATAGGAATGGTGATAGTGTTCAACAAATTGGGAGGAAAAAAGGAGCAGGAGATTGGGCAGGAGTGGGAATTTAGTCTTTTAGATATACTTACTATGAGTTGTGTATTTTGTACCCAAGTGGGCATGTTGAAAAGACGATTGAAATAGAAGTCCATAACTCATGGGAGAGATGAGGAGTAGAGATAAAGAATTATGTGTCAGATAGATGGTATTTAAAATAAAAATATTAATGGAAATTATGATGATAGATATTTAGTTATGCATATCTTCTTCTCGCCAGCCTCTGTGCAAACTGCTTTATAAGCATCATCTCATTTATCTCTCAAAATGACCCTAAGGGATAGGTTCTATTTAATATCCATCTTAAGATAAATTTAAACTAGAGTAGGAGTAATTTGACCATGATCACAAATAATAAGTAGTAGAGCTATGATTTGAATAAATGCCAGTCTGACTAAAAGCTTTCTTTTTCAATTATGTGACTTTTTAAAAAACATCAAATCACCTCTCCCAAGTCACAGAATTAAAAATGTGGCTTTCTAACAGAAGATAACTATTTAAGTCTGTCACTATGTTGTCTTAAACATTTAACTTATGCCATATCACACAAGAATGCAAATCTTCATTTGAATTATTTTGTATTAAGAGAATAATAGTTCCTCCATCATATAAATTTATGTTATAGTATGTCATTGGTATTTTATAACCTCATAATGCAGTAGCCACGATCTCTGTGTCCTTGAAGAAGAAAACGAAAGAAGAATTACATTTCTTAGTAAGCAGTCTAACGTAAAGGAGTGGTGACACACCACCAATGGGGAAAAATTGTCTATTACGCTTACTAAAAGTTTTTCTTCTTAAGTTATAAAACACTTAAGATATCAGCCAACTGTGCAATGAGTATGAATTCTCACTTAATCCACCAGCTCCCCATTTTAAACAGTCTTCTATCTACCTCCTTTGCAGATTCTCTTTTGTGGTCTCTCTGACACATATTTTCACTTTAGCTGAATCTCTCCTGTGACTTTTTTTTTCCTCCTGCACAAACTAACTTTATCTCAACTGTCCTTTAATTAAATCAATAACTGATGTTGTACTTCCCGCTAAAAATATTAACCAACCCCGATGGGCAGCTGAGTATTTGGGGAAAAGAAAGCTTCACCAAGCACAACTGTGGAGCCAAACACATTTTCTTCTTTTTGCTCTTTTACTCCTGTCCTCTTCACTCTCCCTTTTTGTTCATTATTTTTCTTTTTCCCTAATCACTCAGTTAAAAAAAAAAAAAAAGTTTATGGTGAATAATCAGCATCTGAGCATGGCTTTTCAGTTACTGAAAGATCCCGCTGGAAGCCATAGCATATAATCAAACATGCTGCTGCTGACCAGGAGGAGTGACTGCATAATAGCTGCAAGGCTATGGCTCTTGGTCTTTAATTCTTTGGATAAATGCTGCTACAAGGAAGAAAAGTGAGGATACAAACCTCTCTAAACAGGATGCTTTTCTTTTGAAATCTGCAGGGCCCCTATGTCTCCCAGGTTTGAAATTCCTTCTCTAAGCAGGAGTAATGCTTTTTTAAAAAGGTATCTTCTTGTATATTTTAATGGGCCTGATATTGCAGCTCCAAATATTTTTAAAAAAGGAATCTTTGGCAGTTCTTATGGATGCTAAACTGAATAAATGCAGTTTCTACAGTACAAAGTATACAATTATATTTCCATTCTGAGAAACATATGTTACTAATAAAAACTCTTTCACAAAATCAGTGATTTTTTTTTTAAAAAAAGGACTCATTTTCTAATAACAAGAAAAATAACCTGATATGTCAAAAATGGTTTCCATTTGTTGTATTGCAGAACAATTGCTTTTATTTCAGTTTATGACAGAAAATAAAGTATTTCAGTTCTATTTTTGCATTCCATGATGCAATTTTTCATACATAATTTTTATAAGCAATGTATAAGTTCTTAAATTATTTTTTAGAGAAATATTGTACAATAATTTGTTAATCGTGGGAAGGGAAAATTAAACCATCATCACCCATTTACGCTATAATTCGAGCATGAAATGGCAGCATAGTGTTCGGAAAATACTGTAGGCTTGGAACTAGAAATACCTGAAATAAAACTTTACCTTCATTATTTACTAACTGTATCATCCTAGATAAGCTCCTCAGAACTCAGTTTTCTTACTTCTAAATTAGGATAAGAATACAAATATTTTAAAGTATTTGGATGATAATGATTACAGATATGTATATATATATGTATATATATATAGCATGACAGATAGCACTTATTCAATACATGATTCCCATTTGTTGACCTTATTATTACATCAAATCATAGTTGCATCCAAGTATACCTTGCCCAGTTGTTTTTAATCATGTCATGATATATATTGTGATTTCATGACAGAGTTCTCTCAGAATATTTTTAAACCAGATTTTTTTGGTAAGATACTGAAATCAATAAATCACCAAGAAACCCCCAGTCTAAGAATAAAGAGAAGCCACTCCGATAAAAGCAATTAAGAATCTGACAAACAAGAGTATGGATCCCCAAAGAACAGTCATCCTGGAAGTTTAGGTCCTAAGGACTTTGTCCCAAATGTATCACTGCTTTGAGCAGATGAACACTGTAAGTACTGGTACAAGCACAACAGAGAAGTTGGCAATCAATCTAAAGTGTTTTGATTTCAAGGGAAATTACTATGGAATGTTTCTGTGGATAAGGATTAAGTTTTAGTAGGCAAAAACTCAGCACATTTCTCTAAAATGTTTCCATAAAGAAAATCCTAAATATCTAATCTTGGGGTTCTCTCCTATACACAATAGGTATAATCCAATATGTAGCCTTTGCGATTGCAGAAAATATTAGATAGAACCTAGATATATACAAAAAAATTATCAGACATTGGATTCAAGTCTCCAAATCACCCATTTTCTTAGCAGTCCTCGATGGGCTGATGTCTTGGTTTACCAGGTGAGTTCTTATTCTCTCCTTTCTCTTATTTTCAAATCATTTATTTATTCATACTGTAATATAAATGGAAAAAGCCCTAATAGACATTTTCTTTGTATTTCAACAGATGAACAAATGGGGACATACTAGTAATTTTTAAGGCATTATTCATTGTGTGTTTATGATTGTGAGTCTGTGTGGGTGAGGGAGTGGATATATTTAAGAACATTAGTGTAGCTTTAAGAATATTAGTGTAGCTCTTCTATCACTCTTGAAACCTTACTATTTCTATTTAAAATTAAACAGCATTAATCATCTTTCATTTTGCATGAATTGCTTCCCAGGATACTATCTTCCCTTAGGAGAATTACAATAAAAGTGAAAAAAAAAAAAAGAAAAAAAAGAAAAGAGGTCATGTAAATCAAGTAAAATACAAAACACAACCCAACAAAACAAAACAAAAAAATATCCAGGGCTCTGTGGCTCACGCCTGTAAT
This sequence comes from Homo sapiens, assembly GCF_000001405.40. Lineage (NCBI taxonomy): Eukaryota > Metazoa > Chordata > Mammalia > Primates > Hominidae > Homo > Homo sapiens. The sequence continues at coordinate 68,132,129 of NC_000013.11, read as the reverse complement.
CCCAGCACTTTGGGAGGCTGAGGCAGCTAGATCACCTGAGGTCAGCAGTTCAAGACCAGCCCAGCCAACACGGTGAAACCCTGTCTCTACTAAAAATACAAAAAGTTAGGCAGGCATGATGGCAGGAACCTATAATACCATTTACTCAGGAGATTGAGGCAGGAGAATTGCTTGAACCTGGGAGGCAGAGGTTGCAGTGAGCCAAGAACGCGCCATTGTACTCCAGCCTGCGCAACAAGAGTGAAACTCCTGTCAAAAAAAAAAAAAAAAAAGAAAAGAAAAGAAAAAAGAGAACGATCAGATAATTTTATGTGTTTGTGAAATGTCTACATGATGGAAGAAACATTTATCTCTCAAATTATTGGTATATTTGCTTTACTTTTCCACATTCTATTTTTATACATCTCAGTTGCAAACAAATTCATTTTTTAATGCTTCTTCATCAACATAAAGTATCTTCACTACTAAAATCATCATAATGCTGCCAAGAATAAGTACTTCTTATGAGGTTCCTCAGAATTGAATGACATAGTAGCAATCTGTTCCTGATTTGGTTTGGTCTATGTCCCTGCCCAAATCTACGTCGAATTGTAATCCCCAGTGTTGGTGGTGGGGCCTGGTAGGAGGTGATTCAATCATGGGGGCAGATTTCCCTCTGTGACAGTGAGTGAGTTCCCATGAACTCTGGTCATTTAAAAGTGTGTGGCACCTCCCCCACTCTTCCTCCTGCTCCTGCCACTTAAGATGCCTCACTCCCCCTTTGCCTTCCGCCATGATTAAAAGATCCATGAATCCTCCCCAGAAGCAGATGCCTCCATGCTTCCTGTACAGCCTACAGAACTGTGAGCCAATTAACCTTCTCTAATTTTTTTAAATAAATTACCCAGTCTCAGTTATTTCTTTATAGCTATGCGAGAGCTGACTAATACAACTCTATATCTCTTAATTAATGCTTTTTTCTAACAGTCGTCTGCACCTGACTTTTCCTAACACTCTGCTCAAACGTCATATCATTTGAAACCCATCATTATTTACTTTCTTGTTTCTTCCTTTCTCAACTGCTCATCACATCATGATATATAACACACTGAGCCATTTATTGATTTCTTATCATGTTCATGCTTTTTGCTTGGCAATCATCCCGCAGTTTCAAATGCACTCCAACTTAGGGAATTTATATCTTTAAGCAAGGACAAGTGGAAAAAAGAGCAAACCTCAAATATTTTATTTAACCCTATTAGCCCTTTTGGAGATTTTAAAATAAATTACCAAATAATTTCAACTTATTATCTGTCTATCCTTTCCTCCAAATAGCTCCTTAGAAACTATGACAGCATTTTAGACAACGTTTTTAATTTAACCCTAACAATAGCGTTGTAAAAATGTCCATCTTAGGAAGTAGCTAAAGCCCAAGATAGGTGAAATTTAAAAGAAAAATCTACGCAATGTAATAAAACTAGTCAGTATAATGCTGTGTTTCAAGAACATAATTTCTCATTTCATGTAAAGGACATTTTTACACTATTAGATTTTTAACATCTATTTATTAACATTTTCTTAAGTACATATACAAAGTTTCTGAAGCCAAAAACATTATCATTATTATTATTTATAGCAAATAATATCTACATGTTTCTTCTATGCCCCAATTTTTACCACTGGAGTAACACAATGAAAACCAGATGTCACTCTACATACACAGCATCTGTATTGTAGGTGAAGCACCACACACACAAAAAAAAAACTGGACATTTTTTCAGGAAATAGAGGCAGCTGTCCCCCATTCCCTTCAGAGAGAATCATTTTGAAAATGTAAATATTAGAATCCTGGGTCGTCAATAAGACTACTGTCTCCAACTTCACAGACCAGGCAATGTTTCCTGGTCCCAGATCACACCCTGCTTTGAAATTTAAACCCATACCTCTGAAGAAGTAAGTATATGTTTTCTATTATTTAATAAGTTATAAATCAACTTCTATAGCTTGTCTTTTAGCCTAGGTCTGAAGTTTCAGTAAGATCTTCTCAAAAAGCCCTAACGGTGCAGAAACATAAGCATATTTTCCTTATGGTCTCACACTAGACTGAGATGAAATGCATTTTTATAGCCAAAGTGCACAACATATTTAAAAGAATAGCAATTTAACAGAAACTATTGTTCTCTCGTATCTTGCAAAACATCGTGTTGTTGTCATTTTTATTTCATATGGGACATGTCCATTTGCTTTTAAAAAATTGATATGGGCCAGACACAGTGGCTCATGCCTGTAATCGTAGCACTTCGGGAGGCCAAGGTGGGTGGATCACAAGGTCAAGAGATCGAGACCATCCTGGCCAACATGGTGAAACTCTGTCTCTACTAAAAGTACAGAAGTTATCTGGGCATGGTGGCATGCACCTGTAGTCCCAGCTACTCAGGAGGCTAAGGCAGGAGAACCACTTGAACCCGGGAGGCGGAGGTTGTAGTGAGCCAAGATTGCACCACTGCACTCCAGCCTGGTGACAGAGCAAGACTCTGTCTCAAAAAAAATAAAAAAAATAAAAAAATAAAAAATTGATATGGAGGTTGAGCACAGTGGCTCATGCCTGTAATCCCAGCACTTTGGGAGGCCAAGGTGGGTGAATCACTTGAGGTCAAGTGGGTGGATCACTTGAGGCCAGCCTGGTAAACATGGTGAAACCCCATCTGTACTAAAAATACAAAATTAGCCAGGTGTGGTGGGTGCATGCCTGTAATCCCAGAAAAAATTTGATATGAAAATACTGACTTAAATTTTAATATTAAATTAAAATTTGGTTTTAAAAATAAAGTATAGCGTAAGTCCATTAAAGAAAAAGATAAAATTGAGTGCTTATTTGCTAGAGATTGGACAGAATGATGGACATGGCCAGACTCTTGTCTAAAGTATCTTTGTGGCTTTGACAAAATAATTTGACAGCTCTACACTTATGTTTCCTTATCTCAAAAGATTTAATGCAATTAACATTAACAGAGGCAGGAGGCAAAGAAATCCTACGCAGACAGGGGTAGGTCCCCAGTGAAACCCAATCTTCAAGCTGAAGATAGTCCCAGGTAAAATCATGGACCAGAGTGAGAACTTCTATTCTTGTTTGCCCACTCTCTCCCAATGGATTCTTTCAACCAATCGAATGTTGCCTTTTTCAATATTACCTGCAGCCTGCCATGCCCCCTTCCTGTGCCTATAAAGACCCCAGACTCAGTTGGTAGAGAGAGAGAGACCTCCTGACTTCAGAGAATATTACCTGCCTTTCACGTCCCCTCTCCAGCTGCCCTCTTGGCTGAGAGCGCTTTTCATTGCTTGATATAATTCTCAGCCTTCACCATCTTTCAGTCGTCAGCATGACCTCATTCTTCTTGGATGCTGGACAAGAGCTCGGGACCCAGTTAGTGTGGATACCCAGAAAAGCTGTCACACTGGCTCTTTGCCCTTGCTGGCAGAGGGCAGCCACCCCACACAACAGGGCCAGGGACCAACTAAGCTGCTTACACATGGCTGTCCATCAGACCGTGGACAGTGGAACCCAAAAAGTTAATTAGCACACTAACACCCACTCTGGGGCTTCAGGATCATGGACACCCTTGCCTGGGCACTGCCATATTCCCCTTGAGGTGACACTACTGGTCTGGCTGTGGGCCCTGCGCAGAGCTTGCTCCTGTGTCAGCATTTGGGGTGGCTGGCCCAATTCTGCACTCGCTTGCTCACATGCTCCCTCCCTCAAAGAGCTGAGTGCAGCAGGCTGAGTAGATGGGGTGCCTCTGCTGGGAGTCCACCAAAGGGGCTGAGAAAAAGCCTGCATCAACTTATCATAAGATCATTGTGAAGGTTAAATGCATTTTTGCATTCAAAGCAACTAAATATGATAGGCAAGTAATGTATTTCTCAGTATCCAACACAATGTCTTACAATTAATAATGATTTCATAAATTACCAGATATTCTTCAGGGTGTTCTAAACTAGCTGAAACTTCAACATATGACTATGTTAGATCACAAACAGTATAATTCTAGACATTTGGGGAAATTTGGAGAATCTTTAACAAGTGTAATTAAGTTTGCCAAAAACAGCCATCATAGTGTGTATTTTTAAATGAAAGAGTAAATCGTGAGTTAGTACTATCCTGTGCTTGAAATTTTCTTACTTTTCTTCTAGGTACATTAAATTCCTACCTCACAATAAGATATTTTTGGTATGAATAAGTTGATGAATCAATAATATAAAAAATAAATGATAAGGACATAATTTGAAGAAAAATTACAGGAGTGATACACATAAAATGTGTGAGTTTCCAAACATTTTTTACTGTATTATCTTTCTTTCACTTATTAAAACCAAAGCTAGAGAAGGTTCTAATGTTTTGACAATTTGAAGACTTGATGCTAATAAATCAACTAAGGAAAAGCAGTCCTTGTGATTGAAACAGCTATAATAATTCAATCAGATTTCTTTTACTTGAAAAATAACCTCCCCTGGTGAAGAGTCATCTAGCATTCTTTCTTTCCTTTTTTTCCTTTATTTTTGTAGACAGAGTCTTCCTCTGTGGCCCAGGCTGGAGTGCAGTGGAGCAATTGCAGTTCACTGCAGCCTACTCCTCCTCAGCTCAAGCGATTCTCTTGCCTCAGCCTCCTAAGTAGCTGGCATGACAAGTGTTTGCCACCACACCCAGCTAATTTTTGTATTTTTAGTAGAGATGGTGTTTCAGTATGTTGTCCAGGCTGGTCTCAAATTCCTGACCTCAATTGATTCATCTGCTTCGGCTTCCCAAAGTGCTGGGATTACACGCATGAGCCACTGCACAGGGCCCTAGCATTGTTTCTTGATAGTAATGATCTAATCCATTGCTACCAGGATTAATTTTCATATTCAAGGAATTTTGCATGCCACCATAACCTCAAATTGCTTCCTTTCACTTAACATGACATAAGTGATTGGGGAAGGTATCTTCTTTTAAGTGTAAACCTATTAGCCTGTGTGCATACAAACAAACAGGAACAATAAAACACAGTGATGCCTAACATTTTAAATAATCAGAAAAGAAATCATCCAAAAATAATTCTGAAAGCATTTCAGAATTTGTTTATGGATGAAATTTTCTGTATCTTCATATATAATCTAGTGAATTCATTTTAGCATGCTTCTTTGATATTTTTAAAATCTTTTCTGGATTTCCATAAAATCTCTCTGGATTACAAAGTGAAAGATTCCTGAACATCTATTGTTCTCATAGAGAATTATGTTCAGAATGATATACTAAAGCTAAGTTACCATGGAATTTATTTAAATATTTTACAAAAATTCTATTTTATTAAAATTAAAACTTTATTTTTTATATTTTTTCTTAAATTCATACTTTACATAATGATATGTCATTCATCTGCTATGTAGCATCACCTCTTGAGAAAAAGAAAAAAACTGATTTTTGTTGAGAAATTCTCTTCTTTAGACTATAGTTTCTGTCTAAACGTTTAGGATCTCTTTTTCACAAAGGTGGAATCCACTATTTATCCCCAGAATACAACCTATTTAAAAAAATCTTATTTAGCAAATAATCAATACAAAGTATTTCATTTAATCTAATTCCTTTTTGAATGAAGTCAGAAAGTAGTAATTTATTCATGTTCAGTGACAATGAAATTATCTTATCAGTAGCAAAATGAATTATTAGTCAAAAATTGAAGACTCCAGCTCTGGCTCTAATGACCTGGAGCAAGTCACTGCCCTCAGTGGAGCTATATATGTGATGACTGTTTTGACCATTTAGCTTGAAAATTTGGAAGCAAGAGTACTTAAATGTCTTTCTCATTTAAATTCTAAAATCTCATTATCTACAAAAGTATCCCATCTAAATGAGAAGCTGTTCCATTTTCTGCAGGCAAAATTCTGGAAAAGGAAAAAAGAGTATAGCATTGCTGCCAACAGTGAACTCTTCCAAAGCGACCTCTATTGCTCTCTGTTTAAAAATATTTCAGTAAGTCAGCTTTTGATCAGTACAGATTTGCAGTGGAATAGGGTGGATTAATTTCCCTTCCTTCACACATGAGTGCTACCTGTGAGAAGTTGTTTGGCGAGTTAGCATTTATAACAAAAAAAATCAGAAGGCCGAGAGTTGTCAGGAGGAGACACCTATGCTGACAGTGCATACAGATTGATTAAATGTTGGTGGGCATGCTCCACTCAACATAAAAAGCAGGTAAGCAAGGTAAAGGAAAGTTTCTAGCAGTCTCATCAGGAGTCAAAGTCACACAGAAGACCAAATCTTGGCTCCAGGAAGCAAGAAATGATAGGATGCAAAAATTAGGGCAGAGTGGATAGAGCTGGGTAATCCTATAAACTAATTAAAAAAATAGAAATAGGTTATAGAACAGGTCAGTTTAATAAATCGAAAAAAATATTTTAAATGTAAACAATATTTTTAAATATAATGATGAGATTATTGTGAAAGGATGAGAATAAATTTATGAAAAGATGAGACAATAAAAGACATTTTATTAGCAGAAATCAGAAACTAGCACTCACATGAGCTTGGCTGCACATAGGCATGTTCAGATATCAGTGTTCAAAAAAGAAAGTAAATAGCTCCCAACCTTTAAAAGCTGGAGTTTCCACCCAGGAGAAAAAACATTGCCTTACGTCTCTGACCTCATTACCTATTTCTCTCACTTTTCTGTAACCAGTTTGACTTACTTGTCCTTCCTTAAACATATGATATTTTATATTAGTAGCTCTTTCTGCTTTCAATTCTTGTACCTCGATACCAGCATGACTTGTTCCTTCATGTCCTTCAAATTGTTATCACAATGACTACTCTGTTTAAAACTACAACCCCACCAGTCATTCCTTAGCTTCCTTTTGATGACTTAGTCTTTCTCCATAGCACGTATCACATTTTAAAATATTATATTATTCACTCATTTAGTATGTATATTGATGGTTAGTATGTATGTTGCTGGTAATTTCCTTATAGAATATCAGCTCCACAAGGGCATGGCTTGTCTGCTTTGTTTATTGCTTTATCCTATATGCCTAAAACAATTATGATCATCAGCCTCCACCCAAGTTAGATCTCTAGATATTCCTAAAGTTTTAGAAGATCCTATAACATCAGACCTCTACTACGTTATAATAAAATGTGTCTGAATTCCAGTAGCACATGTATCTTTTATATAAAGCATTCATTCATATGTGAACTATAGTCTCAAATATTCTCTTTTGTCTTCCTGATGATGAAGCTTGAAGTCATCACTATTTATGACCAACTTTGTGCTGATCTCTTTCTGTTTTCAAACACTGAAGTTAAGAGGAAATTTATGTATATATTACATCAGTGTCTTCATCTAAAATGACATACAAATAAATAATAAAAGATATCTCACTTTATGAAAGTGAAAAATATTTCTTTTATTCAGCTTTAGTATACACTTAAGTCAGTATTATGAAACAAAATGGCATGATTCACTCCCTACATTATTTGCTTACCCTGTGGGAACTTGAGTTTGAGGTCTCCGCATAAAGGGTATGAATGGAATACAGTACTAGAAGTCTCAATAGGGTAAATTGGGGCCAAATAATAAAATAACCTGAATGGTATATTAAGAATTTTACAATTGTTGTTGAATGAAGCTCCAATTTGAAAGTTGACATGTTATAATAATTTTTATTCCAATTTATTTTTGATGAGAGCTTTTATTCTTAATGTTTACTTTTTAATGAAAAATATTCTTTTTACATTTTGGTGAAAGAAAAATTATTTCCAAACTTTGGTATCTTTAGAGAGTGAAAAAAAAATTACATTTTTTCATGTGTAAATCAAGTCCTCATTCTGTCTAAAGTACAACTCTGATTCTAAATCTGACTTAGCAATTCCTTCCATTTCCCTGTCTTTCCAACAGATGTTATGGCATTTCCTTATCCAAAGGTGTATTTCAAAACTGCTTGAACACAATTGAAATGAACGTGAAAAAAAAACACTAGAAATTATATATGCCAGAAAGTGCTGACTATCCTGTGTCTATAAGTTATTTAGAGAGGAATGGTACCACTATCTTAATAATTAAACAAGTGACCAGCTAATTAACTTTAGAATTGTTAATATGTATTTTCTTGAAGACATAATTACTTTAACTACTTTAGTATTAACTTGGTTTGCACTGATTTAAGAAATTACCATGGAATGTAAAGGAGGGCCAGCATAGGTAGATGGAGACAGCACTGAAGTAGGATTGGGTCTTAGCATTGGCACTGATGCTAAGATCTGCTACTTTTGACAGCCCAGTATTACAGTTATTTTTTTTTGTTGTTGTTAATCTCTAAGATTAAGGATTAACTGTGTAACTTTGGGCAAATTACATAGTATCCCTGTGTCTCAATTTTCTCATTTATTAAAATGGCAATAATTAACATTACTGCCCTCATACATTTGTTATGGGGATTCAACGAGTTATTAAATGTAACAACCCTTAGAGCATGCCTGGCCCAGGGTAATTGTTACTTAGTGTTAGGGCTCTATTAATAAGTAAAATAACAAGCATCTAATTCTTGTAATAATTTTTAAAATGTGAAAAATTTCCTTATAGTAATAAGTGTCTTTAAATATTATAATTCACTAAAGATATTTGGAATTTGATTGTGGTCATAAACACTGCTTCAAATTACACAATGAAGTCAACCATGTAGGAACACATATTTTTTAGTCAGGCAGTGGGGAATTCAAGAACACAATAATTTAAGGTAGAAGACATATTCTTGTCGCCTTTGGAATATGGAGAATATATTGGAATCCCCTGGTAAATTCATAGTACAAAATATTACACTGATTAGCAATTATTAAATCATTCAATTTTAGAAGAGGCAGCATCCTCAGTAGTATTTACTTCAAAAACCACACATTTGACAATTTTAGATACGCAAGCTGATGTAAAGATAATTGAAGGAAAATTCCAGTGTGATTAAGTGGAAGGCCACTAGGATGAGAAGACTTATGTCTAGTCCTTGCTTCATGACTTAACCACAAGATACCAGGCAAGCTATAGAATTCCATGTGTTTGGATTGTCCACAGTTAAGTGGTGATAATTGTGCCAAGCTACCTGCATTAATCAGGGGCCTAGGAGAAAACAGGTAACTTGTTCAGTGGGTAATTTAAAATGTTTTAATTAAGAGATGATTTTCGAAGGCTTGAGTAGAGCTTGGAGAAACCACTGGGGTTAGGTGAAGCACTAAAGGATTTGTACTTTTCAAACTATGACTAAGTTTCTAAAGAAATGGGTTGGGATACATTGGAGTGGATAGAAGCTTTGCTCTAACAGACAATGAAAAATTACTTTTAGTGTTCCTTCTGCCATTTATTTCTCCCTTCATATATTTTCTATTTTCCCCAACCACTTGAATAGAAAGATGAAATTACATTTATTAGCTAATTCATCAAAAATACCATGGTTTTGTACGATCATTATGAAAGGAAACCAGTGAAGAGACAAGAATAATGGAAATGCATAGAGTATTAAAAAAGAGATATTTATGGATTTCTAGCAAAATAATTGTAGTAGACAGAGTCCCCAATAATCTATAAGTAACTTTTATGTATTACATTGCAAACTCATCCAAATCCCCTAGGAGTTATTTATAACTATCAGTGATTAGACCTTAAGAAATGCTAATGAACAGCTTGTCCAGCATCTTCACTTTACAAATAGGGAAACATGTGGAGAGGTAAATATAATTTTTTTAAGACACAAGTAGAGCCAAGTTCAATGTTTATTTCAGTATAAGAAACAGTCTCTTTATTTAGGGTAGATAGTGTAATATTTACATAGTACATAGTATTTACTTTTTAAATAAAGTTTTGGAAATTTCGTTCTCTTGGAAACCAATATATAAAAAAAGATTAAACCAAGTTTATTTTGGAACCATTGGGTTACTTAACTAAAATAAACAAATAGTGTAATGGTAACTAAAAAAAAATCCACAACAGTGTCACTTTCCCCCAAGTCAAAATTTTCATGTTTTCTGACTGTGACTCATAAAAATATTTAATAGGCATTGTTAATTATTAATTTGCAGAATATCTCCAAATAGGAAAAATAAAAGGATATATTTTATCAACTATTTATCTCATATAACATTTCACTTAATGACAGGAATACTTTCTGAGAAAGGTGCCATTAAGTGATTTTGCTGTTGTGCTAACATCATACAATGTACTTATACAAATCTAGAGGATATAGGCCAATACACACCTAGGCTACATGGTATAGCGTATTGCTCCTAGGCTGCAAACCTGTGCAGCATGTAACTATACTGAATACTACAGGCAATTATAGCATAGTGGCAAGTGTTAGTGTATCAACATATCTAAACATAGAAAAAGTACAGTAAAAATAGAGTGTTCTAATATGGGAACACCATCATATATGCAGTTTACTGTTGACTGAAATGTCATTATGCAGCACATATCTGAATATATATTTTTTCATATATATGAATACATAAAATATATGCAATATATGTATTTTATATACATGAAAAATAAATGGTTGATAACAGATGGTATGTACATGTATATACATACACACATTCACATGTACATGATATATATCAAAATGTATCATAGAATATTTTTCTTGAAATCATTTATATATTGATAGATCTTCCAGAATATGTCAAGTGTTCCAAAGTTTATTTTTTAAAATACATCCCTATTCTGAGAGACAATTCTCCATGATCTGTAACATATCTGCACATTATAATTATGATGTAGAACTCTTTCATCAAAACCCAAACCCTCTTTTGGCCAGCCAGTCATCATTTGTGTATATTAACCAAGTCGGCCTGGAATTACAGTGATGAGAAGGAAAGAAATATCATTAGATTAAACAGGGTGTAATTCTGAATTTTAAAAACAGATGTACATAACCTCCTATTTCTTTTCCTTTGATCATTAACTGGGATGCAGTGGAGGTGGGTGATCCCATTCTAGGGATAGATACATGAATAAAAAAATTGCCTTATGAAAGTGTGTGGACTAAGAGGATGTAAGAGTGGTGTGGTCAGAATGTATTGTAACCAACTTTGAGGCTGATCCAACACTCAGCAACAGCATATGACTGTGGATAGTGGGGAGTATAGATGATCCATGAAATGCCTTAGTATAAACCATTGTTGTGTGGCTTTGGTAATAAAAGACAAATAATTATTATACAGCAAATGCTTTCAAAAGTCAAAAATCTGATACAGACGATTTCAGCAGCCACAGTGATGTTGTGGAATCAACTGATTAGACCAGAACTTCCTAGAATGGAAATGTGTAAACAATAGGGAGGCAGCATCAATAGACCCACTAAAAGTAAAAGATTCCATATAGCGAATCTTCCAAGAGCATATACTGGTAATATACTGTATGTATTGCAAGTAAGGAATTAACTGTTCTTTTTTCAAGACTATATTTCAAGATCTCTGTATTTTAAAAAGTGAAAAAGCTTTGGACGACAGTAGCACAGTACTATCTCCCTCCATAGAGAAAGGGGCTCATGCTTACTTTCCAATTCATTTTGCCTCATCCTATGAAAAATGGGTACAATTTATGCAAGCGCTCAAAATGCTGACATATACTGGTAGCTTCTGCATCGGAATCATAGAGAATTTTATTTTGTGTCCACTCTATAATGGTGGGTGTGTTGCTGTATGTGATGTGATGATGGGTCTGGGCAACAGTGGTGCAATTAAATACAACCCAAATTTATTTCCAAAATTCACTGGCCAATGAGGGGTTTTATTCACCTACAAGTCTGTAGCTTTCTAAGTGGCACTGCAAACATATAAGCCATTGGCCATAGCCCAAGAGTTAATATTTCAAAGTCATCAACAGGGAATATTGTTCAGAGCCATAAGAATGGCCTTGAGTTCTGCCCAAGTAGAACAATCTCACACACTTTAATCTTCTTCATAGCTTACCCTGAAGTTGAAAAGCCACAGCAGCCAAGCATACACTGTCGGATTTCCTTGAATCAATCATTTAGGAGAGCCTCTGCGAAGAAAGAACCTCATTGATTCAGTGGTTTGCATCGATGCTGAGGGACTGTCTGTCTCAGGAAAATCTCACCAAGATGGTCAAATCTGCCTTAGAGCAACCAGGGCCCACTCCAAATGGATCTAAGATTGACATCCCATCCCCTTTTCTCCCAAATGAAAGAGACAAATTTTTAACAATTTACCTGGTTCCTGCCTGCAGTCCTGGTAACTATTACTTCATGCATGTTCAGTGTGGGTATATAGCCCTGGGTAAAACTCCATGATTCTTGTCTCAAAGGAGGCAGTGCCCATTAACCATATGGTATTATTATTATTATAACTATTTGTTAAAATGAGGCTAACCAGAGACTGGCATTCTGCTTAGTGAGTAAGTTCCCTTGCCCAGATGACAGCAAAAACCCACTGAACAGCTGTCTTTGAAGCTACATCCCAGTACCTGTTCCTTAATTCCTTCATTGTAGGAAGACAATTTATTGCCCAGTTGAGCACACATATAGTCAAGTTTGTGTGCTACCAATCCCAATGAATTTCCGTGAAATCTCTGGATTATCTTATTTGGTGAAGAGTTCTAGATCATAAGAATAATCACTACCTGTAAATCACTGTCTGTTGACTACAGGTAGTTCAAGTACATGTTTGACAAATTTCTCTACAGTGGACCAAAGGGGGCAAGGTCATAATGGATCTCTGTAATTGGTTAAAAATTCCCTTGTCCTTCTTGAACTGACTATTCCAGATGAAATGTTCTCATGTGAGTAGAGAATGATTGAAAAAAGGGTGAAGTTATTCCTAGTGGAACGGAACACACTGATTTTGTGGCAAAGGAGAAGTAAACTCCTCAGAGAATACTAAAACCAAGAGAGAGAGGAACAGTAATGATCTGTCTCATTAAGATAAACCCCTGAAATTTTCCTCAAAGAAGAAAAGTATTCCGGAGCACCACTCCCAACCTGTGCAGGTACATTACATTTAATTGACTACTGGGTTTCCCATTCTCTGCCAGTTTGCACTGACCATGATTTTATCACCATTCATTCTAATCCTACTAAGGTGTCTATCAGAACAGCAAGGGATGACTCTCAGCCTCTGCACTTCCCACATAAAACATATGTCAACACCTCCAGAAATCTTCTTTACACCAATTCCCATAGCCATAACTCAGTCAGATAATGAGAGAGATAAATTTTACTTGGCTAGAGGTGTGAACACACACAAATGCCTTCATGCAGTCCTTCCAAAATCATGGAGTCAACTCAGTTATTTGAAATGAACTATCTTGCCAGAAGGTCACTGTGGAAGCCCTGTCAATCTGTGCCCTCAACTGATATAGGTCAAACTTATGAGCCCGTAACAGTTGATAACATGACTTCCTTTTTGGGTTCACTTTGTGTATTTCCAGTGCTGCATTTTTGTGTAGAAGACATTGTCTCCCTGTTGGAAACATGATGGTTTGCATCTTATAGGTAGTTGTAGAAATCTTTAAGTATTTAAATAAATACCATCAGATTACATAGCCCTCAGATAACTGTGAAAAATCTCCTCAAAATGAAACTATCCTTGGCTATTTAAATAACCTTCCTGGAAAGAAAGTTAACACATTTATGTGCACTTTATAAGCTCTTATCCCAGTAATGGCAGTAATGGGAACCATCCAATTAAAAAGGTGGAAGGGAATTTGTCATGATTTTAGCTTAAGTTTTCAGTGATATCACTTTGGCATTGGAAGGTCAGTTTCAACTCATTAATCAGGATTGTTGTGAATGACTGAATTGTCCAAGATTTTATTTTTGCAGGCCAAGGTAGAATCTGAACAAGTACTAACACATCCTTTTCAGTGTGGATTAATGCTTTGGGAAAGCTGGAAAGATAGATACAGAAATTTAATGAAAAAAGTCACATGACATTCTAAGGCAAGCTCTGGTGGTTTATGGAACTAGTTCAGCACATTGTGTCCAGGACATTGAGGGGATGGGTAAGGTCAGTACTCAGGCTATCTTCATTTTGCTTCTTGGTAACGTGTTGACAATAGCCTTAATTAAATGTTAAATGGGACAATCAAATGGATATGTCGCAGTCTCTGTAGGCCAAATCAATCCAAATGGCTGACTAAATGAAATGCTCATGGAAAATCTTTTTAGAAGTGAAGACAATATAGAAATAAAGGGTGAGTATTGTTGAGCTAATTCTTGTGAGCAAGATATTAACTGCCTTTTTTAAAAAAATCTTTTAAAAAGTGTTTGCATGGTGTATAGCATTGAAACATATAGTGTCTCCTTTGAAAGAAGAAGACAGGCATGCTTACTAGTATTACAAATATCTAGTATTATGAAGATGACATCCTCCTTCAGAGAAAAGGATAAGCATGCTTACTATCCATTTAGAGAGCCAAGTTCTCTAAGCTCAATGTTTTTTTCTTTTTCTTGTAATACAGTCCAGTACATGTACTGTATTATTTAATCTGTGCCCATTTTAATTTCCTCTGCAAGACTTGGGGGATAAGGGGAACTAACACAAATATGTTAGTGCTCATGTTGTCTTCCGTGCCATAAACCTCCTGGTCTCTGACTGGGAGTCTCATGTCTTCAGCCAAGAAAAATGAAGATGTGGCAAGCTAACATTAGTTTGCAAGTAAGGAAAAAAATCTCAGACCTTTCACAGTTCTTGACACCTTTGGGTCACTTATAGACTACATATTTAACTTTGAAGATAACATGAGTAAGTCAAGTATTTATATTTTATGTTGAGAATCTCTTACATTAATATATATATTTTTAAATATATGTGTATAAATATATAAAGAATGGTTACACTATAAGACTATCAGTTATAAGTTATATAATGCTTTTTTTTTTTTTTTTGAGACAGAGTCTCACTTCGTCGCCCAGGCTGGAATGCAGTGGCACCATCTTGGCTCACTGCAAGCTCCACCTCCCGGGTTCATGCCATTCTCCTGCCTCAGCCTCCCATATAATGCTTTCAAAATCTTAGCCCAATCAATTGGAATAATAAAAAAGAATTTAAAAAACATACTTCACACATATAATAAAAGTATTTAGTTACCTTGTTAAGAATGAATGTTTTAATAATCTTTAATCTTTCCCAAGGCAATATCATTTAATATTAGAAGCTTTTCCTAGTTAAAACAACTTGGTGGAAATTCCCAATAAAGGGATAAAGTTGGTATTTATATAGTTCTATTAAAATGAAGGTCAGCTTTGCAGCCAGTATAGGATTCATTAGTAGCAGACTTCTCACCCTGGAAACCTTCACTGCCTCGGATGCATTGTGGAACTTATTACAAGTAGGAACTTTATATAATGAGTCTGATTACCCCAATTTTCAGTATATCCTCCTCTTTCACCTCCCCACAACCTGCATATTTTGTTTAATACAAATTGCCATTTTTCTTGGTTGACTGCCAATTTGCTACATTAATTAAAATGTTCCAAATTAAATGCCACTGCCAGGACAGGATGTTCGTATGAAAGATAATGTCTATAGACTCTACCTAGTAGTTGGAGAGCAGAACTCATAACAAAGACATGTATTTCTAGGATTTTGATGATCAAATCATTTTAGATGTAGCAAAGGTCAAAGAAAACTTTAGCCCTTCACATGTCCAGGAAGGTAAAAATGGAGAGGGAAGATTTTTTTTTTACGAGCTTTCATTTTTTTCCTAAATTAATATTCCCTAGAAGAACATGAAACATCAATACATATAATAGACCTCCTGTACTTTCAGGGTTAAAGATGAAAGTTGACTTTCCTATATGTTGCCAGTATCCTGACCATCATCCAATGCAAAGAAACAGCTATACCATTTTGTAATCATTTATCTACTTGTTTCTTTTCTGTACTTGATAGTAACTTTTTTTGGAAGCAGAAAACATGTCATTTTTGCATTTTTATTTCAATTAGTAGATTTTGGCATTTGTAACTAATAAGAACTTGAATAGTTTTAAGATACTTGTCATAATTTTAGAAAGTTATAGCTGGTTTTATTCCCAGAAATTCCACAGACGTTGTTTAGTTTCTGTCCATGAGACTGCATCAGTTAGAGTGGTGCTATAGGACAAAACAAATGAGTCTCAATAGCCATGTTGAGCTGGATACAGGATCACCCAGAAGATGTGCTGTGTATATACAAAGCCATAATTAAAAGGAAACCCTGAACAACAACCACGATGAAAAAGACTAAACCAAAACAATTACCAAACCAACCAACCAACACCAACAATACTAGTGACAACATCCACAGTCTTTCTTATTCCAACTCTATCCAGGAAGTTAAAGCCAGAGTGACAGACATCAACATTTAAGCTGTAGGACTGAAACAAGATCTTATTTGAGGTAGATGGGAAAATAGGTAGCCTTGACGGAAGGAAAGAATGAAAGTGTTACAAAGCATTTAATATTTACTCATTGAGCACTCAAGATTTTAGCATCCAAAAATTAGAAATATTCCTGCCTTTTAGAGAAAGCTTCAGGAAAGACTCCCTGAGTGGGCAAACTTAGCCTGACTGCTCACCTCTGAGCCAGCCAAAAAACTGGTGGTCTAACAATCACGGTTTCTCCGCACTCATCCAACAGATGCAATCTAGCTTCCCTTTGCTCTTGACAAATAAAATGATGATAAAAGAAAAGTTTTAACTAAGAATATGAGACAAAACAAAGTAAAGCAAATAAAATATCAATAGAGTTAAAAGAGAGTGTTGTTTTCAGTAATTAAACATGGTGTAGTTACTGTCTTAATACATCAAATATGAAATAAACATTCATGTCTCAGAACAAATAATTATTTCTGGAATTGCCATTTTACGCTTAACTTTTTTTTTTTTTTTTTTTTTGAGACAGGATCTCTGTCGCCCAGGCTGGAGTGCAGTGGCGAGATCTCAGCTTACTGCAACCTCCGCCTCCTGGGTTCAAGTGATTCTCCTGCCTCAGCCTCCTGAGTAGCTGGGATTACTGGCGGGCACCACCACACCTGGCTAATTTTTGTATTTTTAGTAGAGATGGGATTTCACCATATTGGTCAGGCTGGTCTCAAAAGCCTGACCTCGTGATCCACCCGCCTTGGCCTCCCGAAGTGCTGGGATTACAGGCTTGAGCCACCACACTCAGCCATACAACTAAAACTTTTTAGCTCTTTATATCACCCCCTTTTCTTCTTTTCCAGTTTTTCTTTCTCCATAATTCAGGGCAGTTATTGACCTGTTTCAAGTCTGCTAGTTACTACTTCTCATTTTAAACTAATCTACTGATAAAAACATTCACTGAGTTTTATCCACGTATTTAACGAACATTTACTATACTGATTTAATATATTTAAAATATTAAGTTATGCTACTGAAAAAAAAACTATTTCAAGGGCTAGCCTTTCCTTTTTCTCCTTTCTCAAAAGGCAAGATGATTTATTTTTTTAAAACAAGAAGATATGAGGGCTTGTTTTCTTGCTAGTTGTGGCCTTATGAAGTCTACTGCCAGTTAGCTATTTTGGCAACTACAATATTTTTCCTTTGCCTGTCCCCAGATTTATTAAGGCATAATTGACAGTTAAAATTTGTATATATTTACCATGTACAACATATTTTGACATATATGTATGTATTAGCTATATCATTAACATATATATCACCTCATAAACTTATTATTTTTTGTGGTGAGAACATTTAAGATCCACACTCTTAGCAATTTTCAACTATACATTACGTTATTATTATTATTATAGTCACCATGCTATACCATAGCAATTCAGAACTTATTTATCCTGTCTGACTGAAATTTTGTACCTTTTCTCCAACATCATTCCGTTTCCTGCAACCCCCAACCTGGCCCCAGCCTTGCTTCTGTGAGTTCAACATTTTTTAGATTCTACATATAAGTGACATGATGCAGTATTTATCTTTCTGTGCCTGGCTAATTTCACTTAGTATAATGTCTTTCAAGTTCCTCCATGTTGTTGCAAATGGCAGGATTTACTTCTTTCTAAGGCTGAATAGTATTCCATTGTGTTGTATATGTGGCAGGCCAAGTCTCCCTAATGCAGGCTTCATTAACAACTGCTTTGGCACTGACTGAGTCATTAAGTTAAATATTAAAATTTTCTATGGCTGAATAGTACTCCATTGTATATATCTGTCACATTTTGTTTATCCAGTCATCTGCTGATGGAAACTTACGTTGTTTCCAAATCTTGGTTATCATGAGTAGCACTGCAATAAACATGGGAGTGCAGATATCTCATTGATATTCTGATTTCATTTATTTTGGGTATATACTCAGCAGTAAGATTGATAGATTGTATGGCAGCTCTAGCTTTAGTTTTTTGAGGAACCTCCAAATTGCTCTCCTTAGTGGTTGTACTAATTTACATTTCTACCAACAGTGTACAAGCATTCTGTACATTCTCACTAACATTTGTTATTGTCTGTTTTTGGGGATTTAAGCCATTTTAACTGGGGTGAGATGGTATCTCATTGTAGTTTTTATTTGCATTTATCTGATGATGAATGATGTTGAGCACCTTTTCGTATACCTATCTGCCATTTGTATGTCTTCTTTTGAGAAATGTCTACTCACGTATTTTGCCCATTTTTAATCGTATTATCAGATATTTTTCCTCTACAGTTGTTTGAGTTTCTTATCTGTTCTGGTTATTAATGCTTTGTCAGATGGATAGTTTGCAAATAATTTTCTCCCAGTCCATTATCTCTTCACTACGTTGATTGTTTGCTTTCTTGTGCAGATGCTTTTTAACATGATGTGGTCTCATTCACCAATTTTTGCTTTGGTTGCCTGTGCTTGTGTGGTATTATTCAAGAAATCTTTGTCCAGACCAATGCCTTGGAGAGTTTCCCCAATGTTTACTTGTATGAGTTACATAGTTTGATGTCTGAGATTTAAGTCTTTAATCTATTTTTATATCTCTTCTATGACAAGAGATAGGGATCTAGTTTCATTCTTCTGCATATGGATGCCCAGTTTTTCCAACATCATTTATTGAGAAGACTGACTTTTCCCCAAAGTATTGCTTGGAAACTTTGTCAAAAATGAGATCACTGTAGATATATGGATTTATTTTCTGGGTTCTCTATTCTCTTCCATTGGTTTATGTGTCTATTTTTATGTCAGTATTATGCTATTTTGATTTCTGTATCTCTGTAATATAAATTGAAACAAGGTAATGTGATTCCTCCAGTTTTGTTCTTCTGTTCAGGATAGTTTTGGCTATTCTTGGTCTTTTGAATTTCCATATACATTTTAGGATTTTTTTTTTCTGTTAAGAATGTCATTGATATTTTGATAAGGATTGCCATAAATCTATAGATTAGGTAGTATGAACATTTTAACAATATTATTTTTCCAATCTAGGAACGTGGAATGTCTTTTCATATTTTGTATCTTCTTCAATTTCTTTAATCAGTGTTTTATATTTTTCATTGTAGATATCTTTTACATCTCTGGTTAAGTTCATTTCTAGGTATTTTATTTTATTTGTGGCTATTATAAATGAGATTGCTTTTTTGATTTTTTTTTACATTGTTCACTTGTAGGCATGTAAAAATGCTACAATTTTTGTATGTTGATTGTGTACCCTGCAACTTTACTGAATTTGTTTATTTATTCTAGTAGTTTTTTGGTGGTCTGCAAGTCCTTCAAATATAAGATCATATCATCTGCAAGCAGGGATAATTTGACTTCTTCATTTGTAATTTGGATGCCCTTTGTTCCCTTCTCTTTTCTGATTGCTCTGGCCAGGTCTTCTAGTACTAAGTTGAATACCAGTGGTGAGAATGGGCATTGTTGTCTTGTTCCAGATCTTAGAGGAAAAGCTTTCGATTTTTGTCCAGTATAATACTAGCTCTGGATCTTTAATACATGTATTTTATTATATTGAGGTATGTTCCTTCTATACCCAGTTTTTTGAAGGTTTTATCATGAAGGAAATTTGAACCTTATCAAATGTTTCTTTTAGCATCAATTGAAATGATTATATTGCTTTTGTCCTTCATTCTGTTGATATATTACATTTATTCATTTGTATATGTTGAGCCTTTCTTGAACCCTTGGGAAAAACCCTACTTGGTCTTGATGAATGATCTTCCTAATATATTGTTGAATTTACTATGCTAGTATTTTGTTGAGAATTATTAACATATTATTCATCAGTGATATTGCCCTGTAGTTTTCTGAGCGTGTTCAGGGATGCTGTCTGGAAGCCAGGGATTACAGACAAGTAACTTGGAAACCTACCTGGTGTTCTTCTATTCTACTGTGGCTAAGTTGGCACTCAAACCACATGACAAAGCCCTTCTCACTTTTTATTTCCCCTTTCACAGGTAGAGAGGCCTCTCCTCATAGCCACCACTACCCCTGGACCATGAAGAGTTCTGACAGGCTACTGATAATGTTCACTTTAGTCCCAAGGGCTCTTTAGTCAGCTTGTGTTGAATACTGCCAGGCCTGGGACTCGGCCTTCAGGGCAGTGGGTTCCCCTCTGGACTGGGGTAGGTCCAGAAATGCTGTGTAAGAGCCTAGGCCTGGACCCCAAGAGCCTAGTTGGTATTCTACCCTACTGTGAAAGAGCTGCTACCTGAAGCCAGGATATCAGAGAGTCTCACCCAAGGCACATGGCGTACTACCTGGGTATTGCTATTGGTTATTAAAGGCCAAAGGGGTCTTTAGCCAGGATGTAATTAATTCTGCCAGGACTGGGTCCATTCATTCAAGGCAGTGGTTTCTCTTCTGGGCCAGGGTATGTCTAGAAACATCATTTGGGAGCTAGGCCCTAGGATGGGGACTTCATGACTCTGTGCAGTGCTCTATCCTACTGTGGTGGAGCTAGCATACAAGATGCAAAGTCTTCTGTACTCTTTTCTCTTTTCTCCTCAAGCGTAAGGAAGAAGTCGCTTTTGTTGCTACGAACTGCGCTGCCTAGTGCTGGGGAAGCAGTTGTACAAGCACTCCCCACCCCGCACCCTGTTTGGTGCCTCACTAGATCATGTACCACCCCACTCCACTGCCTCGAAGTCCAGCACAGCATCAGTACTTACCTAAGAATTGCAACCCTTTTGTCCTAAACTGCCTTTCAGTTTACTTATAACTCCAGAGATCTTTAGCCCATGGTGGCAAGGTCAAGTTATGACTACTGGGATGGATGTTTCCCCTCTAGCTAAGTCTGATCCAAATACTCCCTTCGTGAGTGGGTGCGGCTGAGTTCAGCATGTTTTTTTACTGTGACAGGGCAGCACTGAGTTCAATGCAAAGCCTCCCAGTCACTGGGCTCTCTCTCCCCAAATGCATAGATTCTCTCTGTTCCACAGAGCTACTGATGGGGTATTGGGTATGAGTATGGGATTGATAATTCAAGGCTGTCTTTCCTACTCTCTTCAGTGATTCTTTCAGCAATACGAAGTTCAAACCAGGTACTTTTATTGCTTACATGAATTTTGGTTCTAACAAAGGTGTTTATATGTGTGCAGACAGTTGTTTAAATTTGGTGTTCTTGTGGAGAGAACGATCAGTGATGGCTTCTGTTCAGCCAACTTGCTCCATCCCCTTGTCCATTTACATTTAACAGAATTATTAATAGGTCAGAATATACAGTTGCCTCTTTGTTAATTGTTGTCTTGTTTTGAAAATCTTGTAATCTTTTCTATTCTCATTTTCTTTTCTGGATGACAGCTTTCTAGATAAGATATTCTTGGTTGACAGTTTTTTTTTTCCCCTCCTTTCAGCACTTCAAAAATACCACCTCACTTTCCCTTGGCCTACAAGTTTTCTGTTGAGAAATCTCTTATGGCCTGATTTAAATCCCCTTGTATGGCATATGCATCTTTCACACTTTTCAAAGTTCTCTTTGCCTTTGATGTTGACAGTTTTCTATAATATGTCTTGATTAGGTCTTCTTTGGGGTATATCTGATTGGAGATTTTAGAGCTTTTTGCACCCAGATGTTTACATCTTTCCCCAGATTTATAATATTTTCAGTAATTTTTAAAAATATAAGCATTCTGTCAATTTTCTCTCTCTCCTCCTTCTGAAATTCCTATGTTGGAAAAATTTGCTTTTTTAATAGTGTTCCATATAGTTTTTGGCTTTTACGATTTTACTCTTTTTTCTCTTCTGACTAAATGATTTCACATGATCTGTCTTTGAGTTCATTTATTCTTTCTTCTTGATCAAGTCTGCTGTCAGAGCATGACATTACATTAGTTAAATCATAGTATTTTTCAGCTCCACAATTTCTGCTTATTTTATGTTTTCTATCTCTATTGAGCTTCTAGTTTGTTCTTGTATTGTTTTTATGATTTGTTAAATTGTTTATTTGTGCTCCCTTATAGATTGTTGAGCTTCTTTAGAAAAATTATTCTAAATTTTTTGTCAAGAAATTCATGGATCTGCAATTCTTTCTGGTCCATAACTGAAATTTATTTTATGCCGTTACCAGTGTCACGTTTTCCTTATTCTTTATGATCCTTGTAGTCTTGCTTAAGTGTCTGTACATTTAAAGAAGCAGTAACCTCTTACAGACTTTATGAACAAGCTTCAGTGAAAGACTTGGCCAGACACAGTGGCTTACACCTATAATCTCAATAGATTGGGAGGACAAGATAAGAGGATTGCTTGAGCACAAAATTTTGAGACAAACCACGGCAACACAGTGAAACCTCTTTTCTTCAGAAAATAAAATTAGCTGGGCACGGTTGCATGCACTTTTAGTCCTAGCTATCCAGGAGGCTGAGGTGGGAGGATCTCTTGAGCCTCAGAGATCAAGGCTGCAGTGAGCTGTGATCACGCCACTGCATTCTAGACTGAATGACAAAACAAGAGCCTATCTCAATTTTTTTTTTAAAGAAAGGACTTTTAACTGCAAGAGGGAGGGGGTACACTGGAGCATGCTGTGGCACTAATTCTAGTGTGGAAATGTGTAGAAGCTCCACAATTGGAGAAGCGTGGTGTCTCAATAGCTTATGCAGCTGATGTTTGTGGCATTGACATCTGTGTGATCCTTGGTGGCAAGAGCTCTGATGGTTCTACAGTGGCTTCAAGGGCTGTTGGTGTCCTTAGCAGTGCCTCCAGGTTCATTGCTAAGTGCCTGGGGCAGGCATCTATAGGGCTAGCGCTAGTGTTATGCATGCACTTGGCTGCAGGAACTGGCTACAGGTATGTGCATGACATCACAGCCCAGCTGCGGGCATGTTTATGGTGGCATGGCTAAGACCAGGGGCAGAAGCCAGGTCCAACCCCAGGCACATGCATGTCACTGGAAGTCAGCAGTCTGTATGCATATAGCTATAGATATCAGAGCCACTGGCATGCATGTACACAGTTGTAAAGGACAGCTACAAGCCAACAAAAGTGTCAGGCCAGCCTTGTGTACATGCACAGCTGTGGGATCAGACATGACAGGGTGCACATGCATGGTTGTAAGCATGGTCGTGGGGGCAAGTACCAAACGGTCTACTGGCAGTTTGTGTGCTGATATGGTTTGGCTTTGCCCACACCCAAATCTCTTCTTGAATTGTAACGCCCAAAATTCCTACATGTCATAGGAACAACCCAATGGGAGGTAATTGAATTATTGGGGTGGTCTTTTTGGCACTGTTCTCATGACAGTGAGTAAGTCTTACGAGATCTGATGATTTTAAAAAAGAGGAGTTCTGCTGCACAGACTCTCTTCTCTTGTCTGCCACCAAGTAAGAGATAACTTTCACTTTCTGCCATCATCGTGAGGCCTCCCCAGCCATGTGGAACTGTAAGTCCAATAAATCTGTTTCTTTTATAAATTGCCCAGTCTTGGGTATTGAGAGGTGACAGCATGCCGGCAGCCCTCGCAGCCCTCGCTCACTCTGGGCGCTCCTCGGCCTCCGCACCCACACTGGCCAAGCTTGAGGGGCCCTTCAGCCCCCTGCTGCACTGTGGGAGCCCCTCTCTGGGCTGGCCGAGGCCAGAGCCGGCTCCCTCGGCTTGCGGGGAGGTGTGGAGGGAGAGGCGCGGGTGGGAACCGGGCTGCGCACGGCACTTGCGGGCCAGCGCAAGTTCCAGGTGGGCGTGGGCTCGGAGGGCCCCGCACTCGGAGAGGCCGGTGGGCACCGCCGGCCCGGGCAGTGAGGGGCTTAGCACCCGGGCCAGCAGCTGTGGAGGGTGCACCGGGTCCCCCAGCAGTGCCAGCCCGCCGGCGCTGCGCTGGAATTCTCGCAGCCCTCAGCTGCCTACCCGCAGGGGCAGGGTTCGGGACCTGCAGCTCACCATGCCCGAGCCTCCCCCATGCCATGGGCTCCTGCATGGCCCGAGCCTCCCCGACAAGCGCCGCCCCCTGTTCCACGGAGCCCGGTCCCATCCACCGCTCAAGGGCTGAGGAGTGCGGGTGCACAGTGAGGGACTGGCGGGCAGCTCCACCTGTGGCCCCAGTGCAGGATCCACTGGGTTCAGCCAGCTGGCTCCTGAGTCTAGTGGGGACTTGGAGAACCTTTATGTCTAGCTAAGGGATTGTAAATACATCAATCAGCACTGTGTGTCTAGCTCAAGGTTTGTAAATACACCAATCAGCACTCTGTGTCTAGCTGAAGGTTTGTAAATGCACCAATCAGCACTCTATATCTAGCTAATCTGGTGGGGACTTGGAGAACCTTTATGTCTAGCTAAGGGATTGTAACTACATCAATCTGCACTCTGTGTCTAGCTCAAGATTTGTAAATGCACCAATCACCACCCTGTGTCTAACTCAAGGTTTGTAAATGCACCAATCAGTGCTCTGTGTCTAGCTGATCTGGTGGGGACTTGGAGAACCTTTGTGTCTAGCTAAGGGATTATGAATGCACCAATCAGCACTCTGTGTCCAATAAGTCTGTTTCTTTTGTAAATTGCCCAGTCTTGGGTATGTCTTTATCAGCAGCATGAAAACAAACTAATACATGTGCATAGCTGTGGGGGCCAGAGTGGCAATGAGAATGTGTGCAGCTGTAGGGACTAGCTGTGGGCATGTGTAGGGTGGTGAGGCTGGTTATGAGGGTCAGGTGGCTACATGCATGTGCATGGCTGCAGGGACCAAAGCTGGCAGTGTTTGTAAGCCCAGCTACAGGGGTGAGCTTCAGGCACATAAAATGGTAGTAGAAAACAGGACTCATGATGACGGGAGCCAGAAGCTGTTTGCAGGCATGCATGCAGTGGCTGCAGTGGGTCCTTGAGCCAGAGCACTCATGGTGGCAGCAGCTGGGGTGGATTTAGGGAGGGTAGAAGCATAGTAGTGGTGACTCGAGCTAATGGAGGCTACAAAGATAAACAACTGTAGAGCCATGAGTGGCAAAAGCTGCAATGGGTCCACTATTGCTGTTCTGACTGTTGATTTCTTTGGTGGTGAAGATGCTGGGGTCCTTCATAGAGCAAGCATCTGGGATCCAAAACAGTGAACACTGCTGTGTTGCAGTAGTCAGTAATTAAAGGTGCTGGAGTGCCTGGCAGCTTTGATGGGTATTGAGGTGATCAGTAGAAGGGAAGGTTATTCAAGTCTTGTGAAGAGCAAGCCACTGGGACCATGCTGGCTACTGCCATGTGGTTGATACTGATAGCCTTTGTCCTTTTTTCCCCAAGCCATCTCCAGATGTCTCAGCTATGCCAGTCTCCTTAGAAATCTGGGCAAGGTGAAAATGAAGCTGGTCATTCAGATAGTGGCCTGAAAGATTGGAAAAGCTGCTTGTTCACTCTGCTCTCTTTTCCCCTGCAAAAGGAACTTGAAGGGCTTGGAATTCTCTCTCCATGCTGTGCAATGCTGGCCAGCGGGGTAGGATGATACAGGTAAAATAAAACTCTTCCTCCTACTCTTTTGTGCATTTTTTTATTTCACTTTATAAGCTAAAACATCTAAAGTGGGCTCTCGAGCTCTTCCAGAGTTATTTTCATTTATGGATTGCTGTCCAATTGTTCTTTTGGGAGAAATGAAGCCTGGGAACTCCTACTGTGTCATCTTGTTATGTCATCTCCATTGAGTTCTTGATTTAGAACCAAAAAGTATTTTTTGGTTCTAAAATATACATTTGGTCATGTAGCATAAATTCTAGTTTACTGAAGAAAATCTTAAACTAATTGCTCATTTCCTTAAAGAGAATAAACGGTTATTTTAAATTAAGTGAATTTATATATATTTTAGAACCTAAGATAAAATTCTCTCTCTAAAGCAGATGTGTGTTTGCTTTCTGGCAGTCATCTAACAGCTCTAGAGGTATTGAATCAACTTAATGCAATTACAAATTTAAATAGGTTTAAAACTCAGGCTCACTTTCTGCAAGCTAGTTCATTTCCAGCTCACCCTCACTTACAGAATATAAATTTTTAGAGTTGAAACGTAAATTTTGTGTATGTGTGGGGGAGCAGGTAGGAGGGAGTTGCAGGTAGAAGTTATTAGGCCTTTCTCTCTTTGGTAATCTCCTATATCCATGTTATTTTTGAAAGCTCTGCTCAGCTTCTCTGCTCTCTTTTGATTGTTCAGGAATTTGAAATGTGTATAGTAAAAAGTGCCCCCAAATTCAAATATTATATCTCTAAGTTTTCATCTTCTTCTGAGTCATGGTTAGTATTTCATCATTGCCCTATAAAGCTCTCCAAACTTTTCAGAAGGCTTTTAAATTATTGCTCTATGTTTTTAAAATTTCTCTTATAATTACTTAATTTGATATTACCAGAAGTCCCAAATTAGATTTAAATGCCAAATCTATGAGAATAAATTGAATAATTATGAAGATTATTATTTATAATTATACTAGCATTTTCTTTGGGATATTATAAAAGTTTAGATAAGACTGCACCACAAACTATATTTAAATGTACTAATTTTCACCTGTGTTATAAATTTTCGGGAGGATTTCTCACAGACCAGAAAGAAGGTGGCTTGGAGCAGGTTGAATAGATAAGGCTCCCTTGATTCAGTAAGAACAGCCTTTCCTTTACATGTACATACAAGTTCCTTTCAAGAAAGGGTTTTTTTTTTTTTTGCTTAAAAATATAAAAATCAGTGGCATTTATTGAGCTGTTAACAATTTTTAAGCTCCATAATGACAGAAAAAGTTTTTAAGTCTGTTTTACCACTATTATGCTAACATATACCATAGTCCCTGGGATGTTTAATTAGCAAACCCATATTTATTTAACAAATAAATGGATTATTCAGAAAGCTAGAAGACACATATTATGGTATCCACAAAAATAAAATTGAAATAATTTGTGATATTTAATTTAAACAATTTCTTGCTTTTCATTGAATTTTCATTAAAATTCTAAAGTTATTTCTCTAAGCTTTGTTAGTATTTAACATATGAATAAGGCTTATCATCTAAAAATATACAGTTGAATGTTTTTAGTATATTTACAGTTATGCAGCTATCATCATATTCTAATTTGAGAACATTTTACCATCCTAGAAACAGATCTTGCACCCCTTAGCAGCCACTCCCTATATCCTACCATCGCCACTTATCCCTTGCCTCAACCCTAGGTAACCACAAACTGACTTTTTTTGTCAACCTAGATTTGCTTGTTCTAGGCATTTTATATAAATGGATTCGTATAATATGTAGCCTTCTGTGACTTCCTTCTTCCATTCTGTATAATACCTTTGAAGTTCATTCATTTCATAGCATATATAGGGCTCATTTTTTTTAATTGCTGGATAATTTTCCATTTTATAGATATATTGCATTTTGTTTACTCATTCATCAGTTGATGGAAATTTGGAAAATGTAAATTACAACTAGAATTTGATACTTGTTCAGACCCCTCAAAATGGTTTAATAAAAAAAAAATCAGACATTAACAAGTTTTGATGAAGACATGGATAAATTGGAAAACTAGGAAAATAAAATGGTATAGATGCTTTGAAAAACAGTTTGGCAGTTCCTCAAAATGTTAAATATAGAGTTGCCATATTACCCAGCAAATACAGTTCTGGGTAACATCCCACAAGAAGTAAAAACTTAAAGCAAAACTTATACACAAATATTCATTGCAGCTTCATTTATAATAGACAAAAAGTTTAAACATGTATTTGGCCTTTTTAACATGTATAGTATTTTATATTTTATGATTTTTAAAAGAATTTATGTTTTAACTGGTGTAATTTAGTTACTATTATTTATTTTTCAACTTTCTACTCTAAACCAATTTTGACTAATTTATCTAATGTGTTGGGAATTTTTTTCTCCCAGCATAAACCTAGCACACATAACCGTCATTCATTTGTTGGTAAGTCACAAATATTTTCTGGGTAGCTACCAGAACTCTAGCAGTTCTATAATATTTTTCAAAACTCTAAGAACACATTAAGTCTTTAATCAGAGTGTCAGGCACCAAGTGGACATTTAAAAGCATTTATTAAAATCACAAATGGTTAAATACACAAATATACAG
The DNA here is from genome assembly GCF_000001405.40 of Homo sapiens. Classification (NCBI taxonomy): domain Eukaryota; kingdom Metazoa; phylum Chordata; class Mammalia; order Primates; family Hominidae; genus Homo; species Homo sapiens. Next base: position 68,103,685 of record NC_000013.11, on the reverse strand, counting down.
GCACATCTTGTTTTATTGTGCTGAGTTTTATTATTCTTCACACATACTTCATTTTTAACAAATCAAAGTCTTATGACAAACCTGTGTCAAGCCAGTCTATTGGTACCATTTTTTTAAAAAAACAGCATGTGCTTACTTTTTGTCTCCATGTCACCTTTGGTAACCTTTGCAATATTTCAAACCTCTTCACTATTTTTATATCTGATATGGTGATTGGTAACAGATATAAAAATACTTTGATACTACTATTATACTTGTTTTGGGGTGCCACAATCCATACCCATATAAGATAGTGATATGGTTTGGCTGTGTCCCCTTCCAAATCTCATCTTGAACTGTAGTTCCCATAATCCCCATGTGTCATGGGAGAGACCTAGTGGGAGGTAATCAAATCATGGGGGTGGTTACCTCTGTGCTATTCACATGATAGTGAGTGAGTTTTCAGGAGATCTGATGGTTTTATAAGGATCTTTTCCCCCACTTCACTCTGCACTTCTCCTGCCTGCCGCTATGTGAAGAAGAATGTGTTTGCTTCCCTTTCCACCATGATTGTAAGTTTCCTGAGGCCTCTACAGCCATGCTGACCATTGAGTCAATTAAACCTCTTTCCTTTATAAGTTACCCAGTCTCAGGTATGTCTTTATTAGCAGCATGAGAACACACTAATACAGTAAATTGCTACCAAGTAGTGGGGCACTGCTGTAAAGATACCTGAAAATGTAGAAGCAGCTTTGGAACTGGGCAACAGGCAGAGGCTGGAACAGTTTGGAGGACTCAGAAGAAGACAGAAAAATGTGGGAAAGTTTGGAACTTCCTAGAGACTGGGAGGGCTCAGAAGACAAGAAGATGTGAGAAAGTTTGCAACTTCCTAGAGACTTGTTGAACAGTTTTGACCAAAATGCTGGTAGTGCTATGGACCATGAAATTCAAGCTGAGGTGGTCTCAGATGGAGATGAGGAACTTGCTGGGAACTAGAGCAAAGGTGACATTTGTTATGCTTTAGCAAAGAGACTGGTGGCATTTTGTCCCTACCTTAGAGAACTGTGGAACCTTGAACTTGAGAGAGATGATATAAGGTATCTAGTGGAATAAATTTCTAAATGACAAGGCATTCAAGAGGAAACAGAGCATAAAAGTTTGGAAAATTTGCAAACTGGTGATGCAATAAAAAAGAAAAATGCATTTTCTGAGGAGAAATTCAAGGCTGCTGCAGAAAATCGCATAAGTAAAAAGAAGTCAAATATTAATCACCAAGACAATGAAGAAAATGTCTTCAGGGCATATCAGAGACCTTTGCAGCAGCCCCTCCCTTGACAGGCATAGAGGCCTAGGAGGAATAAATTGTTTCATGGGCTGGGCCTAGAGTGCCCCTGCTGTTTGTGGCCTAGGGACTTGATGCCCTGTGTCCCAGCCACTCCAGCCATCGCTAACAGGGACCAAAGTATAGTTGGGGCCATGGCTTCATAGGGTGCAAGCCCCAAGCCTTGGCAGCTTCCATGTGATGTACAAGAATTGAGATTTAGAAACCTCTGCCTAGATTTCAGAGGATGTATGGAAACACCTAAAAGTCTAGGCAGAGGTGTGCTGCAGGGGCACAGCCTTCATGGATAACCTCTGCTAGGACAGTGCAGAAGGGAAATGTGGGGTTGGAGCCCCCAAACAGAGTCTCCACTGGGACACTGCCTAGTAGAGCTGTGAGGAGAGGGCCACTATCCTCCAAATCTCAGAATGGTAGATCCATCAATAGCTTTCACTGTGTGCCTGGAAAAGCCACAGACACTCAACGCTAGCCCATGAAAGCAGCTGGGAGTGAGGCTGTACCTTGCAAAGTCACAGGGGCAGAGCTGCCCAAGGCTGTGGGAGCCCTCCTCTTGCATCAGTGTGACCTGGATGTGAGACATGGAGTTAAAGGAGATCATTTTGAAACCTTAAAGTTTAATGACTGCTCTATTGGATTTTGGTCTTGCCTGGGGCCTGTAAGCCCTTGGTTTTGGCCAATTTCTCCCATTTTGAATGGGTGTATTTACCCAATGCTTGTACCCTCATTGTATCTAGGAAGTAACTAACTTGCTCTTGACTTTACAGGCTCATAGGTGGAAGGGATTTGCCTTGTTTCAGTTGAGACTTAGGAGTTGGACTTTTGAGTTAAAGCTGGAATGAGTTAAAATGTTGGGGGCTGTTGGAAGGGCATGATTGTGTTTTGAGTTGTGAGGACAAGAGATTTGGGAGGGCCCAGGGACAGAATGATATGGGTCGGGTGTATCCCCACCCAAATCTCATCTTGAACTGTAGTTCTCATAAACCTCATGTGTTGTGGGAGGGACCTGGTGGGGGGTTACCTCCAAGGAGGCAGTTACCACCATGCTGTTCTTATGATAGTAAGTTCTCATGAGATCTGAAGGTTTCATAAGGTGCTTTTGCCCTGCTTTGCTCTGGACTTCTCCTTGTTTGCTTCCCCTTTTACCATGATTGTATGTTTCCTGAGGCCTCTCTAGCCATGCTGAACTGTGAGTCAATTAAACCTCTTTCCTTTATAAGTTACCCAGTCTCAGGTATGCCTTTATTAGCAGCATGAGGCTAATACAGATGGTGAACTTCATAAATTTTTTGTATGTTCTGACTGCCCTACCTATTGGCCATTCCTTCATCTCTTTCCCTATCCTCAGGACTTCCTGTTTCCTGAGACACAACAATACTGAAATTAGATACAACAGTGACCTCTAAGTGTTCAAGTGAATGGACGATTCTCATGTTTCTCACTTAATATCAAAAGCTAAAAATGATTAAGTTTAGTGAGGAAGGCATGTTGAAAGCCAAGACAGGTTCAAAACTAAGCCTCTTGCTCCAAAGAGTTAACCATGTTTTCAATGCAAGAAAAAGCTCTTAAAGTAAATTAAAAATGCTTCTCCCATGAACACACAAATGATAAAGGGAAACAGCCTTTTTGCTGATATGAAGGAAGTTTTACTGGTCAGGATAGAAAACCAAAGTGGCCACATCATTCGTGAAGCCAAAGCAAAAAGAAGGCTGAGAAAAAAGAGAAGGCTGAAGAAGAAAAGTTCAAAGATAATAGAGGCTGGTTAATAATGTTTAAGAAAAGAAGTCATCTCCATAACATAAAAGTAGAGTTATCCAGAAGATGTAGCCAACATAACTGATGAAGGTGGCTACACTATAAAATAACAACAACAATAACATCATATGTTCAGGGTAGATTAAACAGACTTGTATTAGAAAAAGATGCCATTGGGACATTCATAGCTTGCAAGGAGAAGCCAATGCCTGGCTTCAAAGCTTCAAAAACTGACTGACCCTTTTGTTAAGGGCTAAGACAGCTACTGACTTTACGTTGAAGCCAATGGTCATTTACCATTCTAAAAATTATTGGACCCTTAAGAACTATGCTAAATCTACTCTGTCTGTGTTCTTTAGATGCAACAACAAAGCCTGGATGACAGCACATCTGTTTACAGCATTTTTTACTGGATATTTTAAGCAGAATATTGAAACCTACTGAAATCATTGTTATAAACTTGAGAAAATTAATCAGAGAAAAAGGGAAGAGGGAAACAAAAACTAACCAAGTTCACAGCACATTGAGCATTAATTAGTAGGTCAACTTGCTCTTTGACCTGCTTCCTTGTAGTTGTTCATTCATTATTGCCCCGGAATTGCATAAACCCTGCCACAAGATTATGGATCCCCTAAACTGTTCTATAGATGACAACTTGAACATTGTGAAACTTATGTTTTCCATGCGAGATAGTCTTTCAGGCCTTGCATCATGATGAAACTACTGATGTCAGCTGGTCTGAAGGATCCTGCCAGCAGTTGACTCATCAAAGAATGCAAAGAATTTTCATATCCTGATGATTTCAGCCCTCTTAGCCTGACCAGTCAATGACCCAAATTTTACATCCCCTTGCCCACCACAATCCCCATAAAACCCCAGTCCAGAACTCCTCAGGGAGATGAATTTGGTGGTCTCCTTGTATCTCCTCACTCAGCTGCCCTGTGAACATAAATTCTTTCACTGCTGCAAACTTTGCTGTCTCAGTGTAGTGGTCTGTTACAGAGCAGCAGCCATACAAATCTGTTTGTCCTGTAACACTACTGCTCAGCAAAATGATTCCCTTCAAAATGTTATTTCTTATTGACAATGCACCTGTTCACCCAAGATCTCTAGTAGAGATATTCAAGGAGATTAATGTCATTTTCATGCCTGCTGACACAATGTCCATTCTGCATCCCAGGGATCAAGGAGAAATTTGATTTTCAAGTCTTATTATTTAAGAAATATATTTTGTAAGGTTAGAACTGGCATAAATAATGATTCCTTTGATGGATCTAGGCAAAATAAATTAAAAACCTTCTGAAAAGGATTCATCATTCTAGATGTTATTAGGAACATTTGTGTTTAAAGAGGGGAGATCAAAATATTAACAGTAACAGGAATTTGGAAGGAGTTGATTCCAGTCCTCACATATGACTTTAGGAGGTTAAAGACATCAATGTGGAAAGTAACTGCACAGGTTCTGAAAATAGAGAATTTAAGGTGCATCCTGAAGATGTGACTGAATTGCTGCATTCTCGTGATAAAACTTTAATGGATGAGGAGTTGCTTCTTATGGATGAGCAAAGAAAGTGGTTTCTTGAGGTAAAAACTGCTCCTGGTAAAAAAATGCTGTGAACATTTGTTGAAATAACAACAACAAAGGTTATAGAAGATTATGTAAACTAAGCTGATAAAGCAGCAGCAAGGTTTGAGAGGACTGACTCCAATTTTGAAAGAAATTCTACTGTGCGTAAAATCTTATCAATCAGCATCACATGATACAGAGAAATATTTCAGGAAAGGAAGAGTCAATCTATGCACAAAATTCATTGTTGTCTTATTCTGAGAAAATGCTGCAGCCATCCCAATCTTTAGCAACAACAACGCTGTTCAATCAGCAGCCCTCAACATCAGAGTAAGACATTCCACCAGCAAAAAGATTATGACTTGCTGAAGGCTCATGCAATTGTTAGCATTTTTTGGCAAAGTATTTTTAAATTAAGGTATGTACATTCTTTTTTAGATATAATGCTATTGCACACTTAGATTATAGTATACTTTAAACATAACTTTTATATACACTTGGAAACCAAAACAAATTGTATGATTATCTTTATTTCATTTGTCTGGAACTAAATTCACAAAACCTTGTAGGTATGTCTACACTGCCCATGTCTTTGGGATTTATAAGGGCAGCTATGGATAGGCATAGGGGCTCATGCCTATAATCCCTGTATTTTGGAGGGCCAAGGCGGGTGGATCACCTGAGGTCAGGAGTTTGAGACCAGCCTGTCCAACATGATGAAAGCCCATCTCTACTAAAAATACAAAAAGTTATCTAGGCCTGGTGGCAGGTGCCTGTAATCCCAGCTACTTGGGAGACAGAGGCAGGATAATGGCTTGAACCTGGGTGGTGGAGATTGCAGTGAACAGAGGTTGTGCCTCTGCACTCCAGCCTGGGAAACAGGAGCAAAACTCAGTCTCAAAAAAAAAAAAATTAAATAACATAAAAAAATAAATAAAATATAATAAAAATAAAAATAAATTTGAAAAGCAGATGTAAGTACTGTAGTTTCCTCTCATCTTTTTTGCAGTTTCAGCTGCCTGTGGCCAACCATGGTTCAGAAATATTAAATGAAAAATTCCAGATATGAATATTTTAAAAGTTTTAAATTAAGCACAATTCTGAGTAGTGTGATAAACTCTTTTGCTATCCATCTCCTTCCTGCCTGGGATCTGAACCATCGCTCTGCCCAGCATACATACTGTGTATCACTCTACACAGTATGTATGTATAGGAAAATACATATCATTTACATGATTTGGTACTTTTTGTGGTTTCAGGCATCTAGTGGGGGTTTTGAAACATATCCTGTATGAATAAGGGGGAACTACTGTATTACATAAAAGAGTGTACAGAATACTGTATAGCAGAGACATTTGGATGATCTCCTCTTCTAAAATTCATGATATTCTTAGCAATGAATATTCTATCTCACAGTTTGAGAATCTTTCTTGTCTTTCAGTGATTTATAACTTCATTACTACTTTTATTCAGGTATTTTTTCTTATTTTATTATCTTATATAAATGCTCATATGCTATTGACTCAAGATGGTTAATCAAGGATTTTATCAACACAAATGTTTGTGCCTATAATTCATATTATTTTTGTCAAAATTCAACTATACACCTTCTGTAGAGCACCTTAAAAGGATCATTTCTCTGTATTATTTACTTTTTTGATCTTCTTTTATTTCAACATAAAAATCCAGAACCAAATGTGTCCATATATGTGACATATATTGCACAAAATATTTCAAAAATGAAGTTGGCTCAGAGTTGGCTTTATTCTATTATTAATTCAAAATGCATTTCATTCATAAGGATCACATTGTGAACATAAGTTACATATATTAACTGAGCATTTTGTTCACAATTAAAGGTAATTAATTTATTTCCAAACTGAGCTTTCATTTCAATAGTCAATCTATAATGTGCTGCATGGAAAACAATCAGTTTATTAAGTAGTTTTGCTGGCATCATAAAATTTTGGAGTGAGAACCTAATAACAACATAATTAGCAAAGTCACCCTGGTTTCAAACATTTCACTATGTGCAGTAATGCAATTTCTTCCTAACAACAATTCAATGAAATATTATTAGTTTTATTTACCAATGAGGAAATCAAGGTTTAAAGAAGTTACATAATTTTTCAAGGTCACATAGGTAGTGTGCAGCAGAGTCCAGCACTGACAATTTTAATCACAATGTTACATTGGCTATATTGGATGCTCTTGATGTAGTAGTCACAGAATAGATTATTTTCTAATACATACATTTATTTGATTATTCTAATATTATCGTCAACTAAAAAATTAAACTTAATTGAACTCCTGAAGGCAGGAAACACACGTTTTCACCTGTTTGTAGCCTCAAATTGCAGCACTATATTTACATCTATTAGGTGCTCAAAACTATTGAATGAATAGTTTCAGATACAAATCTTTTCACCTCTTTTCAATATGGAGACTGTAGCCGACCATAAAAATGTCCTTTTATAAAGGCTCGAAATTATGTGGAAAATAAGAATAGAGAATGAAGACTTACTTGCAAACATTTGCTCTTCTAAATTTACATGTTGTTCAATAAATTTTTAATAATTAATTGTACCTGAGGGGAAAGGTTAAGTGAGGAAGTGGCTTGTGGCTTATGAGAGCACCATTCTCAACCCTGTAATGCAACACTTTCCCTGTTACCACATTTCATTACTTCAAATTTTCAAAGGCTAGATGTATTTTTCAGATTCATAAAAAATTAAGTTGCTTTTGATAGGATCCTTCAGTGCAGGTACTAAAGGTTTTAATTAGCATGGAAATTACTTTGGAAATTAAATAGTAACAATGAACCAAAGGGCTTTAAAATTAACTGGAAGCAAGTGTTTATTGCTTTTAGAGACCTTTACCTCACAGTAAATGCATAGTAACTAATTGGCTATCTTAAAACTGTAATTATTGTTTTCTGCTGAAATCATCTTCATTAAAATAACCTTCAAAGGGAGGGAAAATAACCAGGATATCCAATATTTTCTTTTCTAGTTTTGTTAATACTTCAAGACAATACAAGCAATCAAACATTATTCTCTTCTCTTTTCTTTCTTCATCTAATCATTATAGTATATTTAATATTTAGTATGTTTGCATGTTTTCATACTATTTCTACATAAGAATATTTTTAAAAAGAATGCACTGTATTTTGGAGAATACTTATCATTCCACAGTATAATTTTTCTTTCAATATCATGCTTTTGATATGTATTTATTCTGATACTTTGTAAATCACTTAAATTTTATATATGAGTTATTGTAAAATATCCGCTTTATTCATCAATTTACTTGTAGTAACTAAGTTAGTTGTAACTTTTGATTTTGCAAACAAGGCTCCAATGGTCATACCTATATACGTTTGTCTGGGCAGATGAGTGAGGATTTTTCTAGGGTCCTGGCTCAGAAGTGAATACTAGGGTCAACATCAGCTTCCACTTTTCTATCCAAGAAATTTTTACAAATTCTGAATTCCACCAGAATTATTCAATCGTATCTCAAATACTTTAATTTATAACACACTTTATAAAGATTGCTAATCTGAAGTTTGTTAAATGATTACTCAAGATTATTTTGGTTTGCATTTTACTAATTATTTACAGAACTGAACGTATATTATATAAAGCTCTATGTTTTGAGTAAATTTTATTTTTTTGGTAATTAATATGTTGAATTGTTTGCTTTTTTATTTCTTTGTTGACATTGAATATGTGGTAAAAACAAGTTGTCTGATTCTGAGACTTGTAATTTCACTTCATTGATGGTGATATTTTGTGAAAAAAAATTAAAATTAGTACATTCAAGTTAATTTTTTCTCAGTTAAATTAGTTGTGCTTTTTTCTACCCTTTTATTAAAGGCATAATGTAGTCTTCCTTACTTTTTATTAGTTTCAAAGATTTGACCTTCTTATTTAAGATTATTAGTTTTTATTTGTATAAGGAAAAAATCTAAAGTAATTTTTTCATAAAAAGTCTCCATCGTATTAGTATCACATTCTAAATAGTGCATTATATCTTGAATAACTTGAAAGGACTTTTTTGAGGTGCTCATTTGTTCATGCTATGTAGTAAATTTTATTTGAAAATATTTAGAGACAATCATGTTGTTTTAGTTTTCCCATAGAAATCTTCTGTCTCAATTTCATAAGATGACAAGGGTCTTTAATCTGTTTTTTTCTGAACGTTCTATCTCCAAGTCATTTTTTCCTTATTGTAATTACCAGGGCCTCTCAAAGAATGTGTAAAATAGCAGTGATATAAAGCGTTCATACTTATTTATACCTTTGCTGAGAAAGCTTGTAAAGTGTCACCATCAAGTATTATAACTAACCTGCTTTTGATAGATACCCTTTTTCAGGTTAAGCAATTTTCCTTTATAATTAATTTCTGAAGAGATATTTTTGCTGGAATTTATGCTTTATAAGAGCAAGGTTTTTTTTAAAAAAGTTATCATCATATCCCCAGTTCCTGAAATTGTGACTACCTGACACATAGTAAGTCTCAAATATATAGATGTTGAATGATTGACTAAACACCCCTTCAATTTTTGTTAATGTGTTTTTTTCTACCTGTGAAAATTACCATATATATATTTTTTGTTCTTTCATCTATTAAAGCCATCTTTTATATTAAGAAATGTTCTCTTTTCTCTGGATGAACGACCTCTAATGAAAATTCCAAAAGTAAGCACACTGCTGGTATGTGTGTGTGTGTGTGTGTTAGTATTTTATTTAGCATTTTTTAATTTGAGCATTTTACTAGATTGGTCTGTATTATATTTTCTTATTTTGTCCATGCCTGTTTTTGGTTGTAAAAATTTATACTAGCCTAAAAAAAATGAATCATGTTGTAGTTTATAGAGTTTTTACAAGATCAGAATTATCTCTTTCATAAGGTAGAGCAGATACTGTTAATGTCTCACTAATAAGCATTCTCCCCTCATTTCTCAGCAATAGATATCTATCTAGACATATGATCACTCAGTATAAAGACAGTATTTCCTAGTCTCTCTTACAGCTAGGTCTGGCCATGTACCTAAAATTTGGCTAGTGGCATATAAGCAGAAGTAGCCTCTTATGGCATCTGTCTTTAACTGGGGACTGCAGGCCCTCTTCTTCTACCATTTTCTTCATTCTGTTGCTTTGAATATGGATGTGATGGCCACAGTTCCATCTTTAATCATGATGGGTGCATGAAGACTGAACATTGCCATAGCAGGCCCGGACAGCCTACTTCTAGAATTTTACATGAGCTTTTATCTTGCTTAAGGTAGTGTGCTTTGGGAATTGTTTCCCTGCTGTCAAACATATTTCCTAACTAACCAGGACACATGTGACAAAACCTAGAATGCATTCATGCATTACATACATACAAAATAGTATTGGCTTAGTAGTCAAATATTAAGTATCAAGAATTAAGTACAAAATGCTAGGAAGCTGAACATCCTTGTTAAGCAAAAACATAAGTTTTCACAAAAGAAGAGGAATCCTGAAATTATGAGACTTTATATATGGCAGCTGTCATATCTGCTGCTTCTATACAAGAAAGAGAGAAGTAGAACGTTATTCTCTAATGTAAGCACATCTTCTTCCTTAGGGTCAGATATGAAAGTTGTCTCTGGGTTTATTATCATAGAATGGAAGCAAATACTATGTCTTGTACTCAATAGGAGTCATACTGAGGACTTTGGGAAAAGCTGTATTATTTGACTGCACTGGAAGTCCACTGCTAATAGGAAAGGAATTGTTCAGGATTATTTCATTATTACTGAAAATAACTGAGTCTAGTTATAATGCAAAAGATGTTGTTTGCATTTATCTAGCAAAGCAAACCAGAGTATTATTTCTATGTGTTTGGATTAATTTTACTCTCCTGTAGATTTGCCCAGTCTGATAAAATTAATGAATTAGAAAGAGAATATAAGAATATAACCAACCTCTAATAAGATGTATATGCTAACTGATTTTTTTAAATTATAAACATCTTGAGTGATAGGACAATGTTGTACTTGAACTAGCAGTATGAGTACAGTGAGAGAAACAGGAATTACTTTAGGTATTTTGAATAAGAAGGACTTTTATGTAGATGATTAAATACTAACAAAATTGTTGAAATGTCTGTAGGATCAGCCAAAACTGTAAGTCTAGAATGAGTACTAGAAAAATTAAAACAACAGAATCACTAGTAATCTACTACCCACGAAATTGCAACACAAGTCTTGAGTACAAGAACATATACCTTTATATGTATTCACAAACATAGAATCAAGAATCCTTCATTCTTCTGCTGCCACAATTGCTCCTCAGCATCCATTTTTGAGCCAAAATTCTGTAGGAAAAATTTCATCGACAAGCTTGCCAGCAGGAAACCAGTTAATAAAGGAATGTGGAGGCCAAAGCAAGTCCATCTTTGATGGTATTCCTCCATGTTGACTTCCGACTAATCCCAATTCCAGGAAAACCTTTAAGATTTCCACTTTATCTATTGTTCCTTGTGTAAGAGCACATACTTACCATAAATACGGGCCTTAGGTTAAAACAGCCTTGATGTTATTGTGCTTCAATTGTCCTACAAATCCCTTCGGAACCACCCCTCTACTATGGTATATAAGCTCTGGGTCTAGAGGGTAATGGTGCAGGGATACATCATCTTGTCTCACCCCTGCCTGAGACACAGACATGGCTTCTGTTTCTAAGTCTCTATTAAACATTTGCTTTTGAGAAACTGGATTTGTCAGTGTCTTTCTTTGGCCTCTTAGCTTCTTCGGATTTTAGAGGTATGTTTACATAGGTGTGCCCACTTTGAAAGAAGGGTAGAAGATGGCTTCTATTCTATTTCTAATTTCAAATCACATATGAGTTTATCTAACAGGTACACATTAGTTTTCACCTAGAATCCTAGCAAGATGGAGTTTGGTATCAGTTTTTAATATATTAGCCTTTCCTATATGTGAGGAAATATTAGAAAATGATTGGAAAGAAGATCTCTAAGAATGTGATTACTTATTTATTAGAATGTAAATAATCAGAAGGACAGGAAATTTTTCCTGTTTTGTTCATTATTTAGCCTCAGCCTCAAGAACACTTACTGGCTGATAGCAGACACTTAGTGAAAACTTTTTGTATTAGATATTATTTTGTTGAATACTAGATATGTAATGAATTATTTGGTACATACTGAATAGTTAGTATTGATGTTGCTTGCTTTTTACCAGATTATGGTTATTTTCCTACAATCCATAGAAAACACATGCGTACACACACTTGTAAAACTAACATGAAAAATATCGTTACATTACCTATATTTGCTATTTTGCATTTTAATTTAATATCTGTGAAGTTTTAAGACTAATTTCTCATATCCCTTATGTCCCCAATCCTTTTATCCATTCTTTCCTTTCCAATGATGAAATGCCCCTCGTCACTACTAAATTATTCTCTAAGAGTTCGTCTCTCCTAAATTCCTCTGATTTCTGATAACTACTTACTTTCATTCCTCATATGTACTATTTGCAACATACCCCTCTCATAATGCATTGCTGCTCTATACCACCTTATAATCTCAGATCTTCACTGATGCTCCCACCTGCAGTTTATCACTGGGTCTTGAGATTTCATTAAAGTAACACTGATTAGCCATTTTATACGCTACAAGCAGTTACCATGTGGTTGTGGCCTCCTACTATCCTGTGAATAGAAGCTGACATCACATTAAGGAAAGGCTTTTCAGTCCAAAGTCTATTTATCTATTAAATATACCTTACAATAAATGGTATAGTGAGCTCTTTTATTCCATGTGGTAATATTAGATTCAGTAACTTCTTTGCTATTTTGAAGCAGTTGTTCTAGATGCCCAAGTGCTCCAGAAAGTTCAAAAGAAGAAACAAAGTCATATTTGCATTTACTAACACCAGGGACCGTGTATATATGCTCTTAAATTAAATATTGAAATATATGTTACCAAGCAGGAATTTTATCAGGAGGCATGCTCTTTGGAAAACAAGAATGCTACAGAAAAAAAGAAGGCAGACCTGGTCAGATTGAAAAGTTGGTCTGCAATGCAGTCTTGACAGAGGACTCACACAACCTCTTGGGAAACTCTGAAGACAGAATAATCCTGTAGCATTGTTTTGCTTTGCATAGAAGCACAAATATAGATGCATTTCACATTCTTTATTTGTTTGGGTATAGTTTTCTATAGCACCATATTGCATCTTTGTTAATGTAGATATTAATGTATTTGAGTTGTACCCCTGACCAGTTTTCATTTAAGGATGTGTAGTGGATACTGGGATATGCCACCTAAACCTCTATTCAAAATAAAAAAGACTTAATTTTCCAGTTGCTGGGACTTCCAGCAGACATCTTTCCATTTTCATTTATATTTATATATTACCCTTGATTAGACAGAGTTGCCTCACCCTCCTTCCCTAGACAGCTTACCTCTAATGAGGTAAGCTACTGAGTGCTTGGTGAGATATGTAAAGACCTGCCTCCCTTGTTCCAATGTAGGATGCTTCTGAAGAGCCATCCCAGTTTCAGAGCTCTCTGTTGGGTCATTTGAGATGATTGTGAAGATAAAGTGCAGCCTAACTTATTTTTCTCCCCAGTTATTCTTTATCCCCTGTCCACAGATGTTTACCCAAAGATAAACATTTTCGTAGTAAATATTTTGCATAATAATATCTGTCTCCAAGTTTGTCTTCCAAATAATTTAACCTATAAAAGATGAGTGTTTTCAGACTGGAGAAGCTCCTAGGATTTTGCATGTACTGCCAAATAGAAAGACTTAGTAAATAATTTTGTAAAACCAGTTCACACCATTAAAATAGAAGTTGAAAACAAGAAGTTATGATGAAATCCTAAGCAAAATCATTGACACTAAAATTGCCATCAGAATTCAGAGAAGGAGGAAATAATTGAAGGCGGTCAGAGTCAGGGAGAATTTTATGGAAGAGAGATATTGAGCTCAGCCTTGATAAGTGGACAGGATTTTGATAGATGAAAGGAATGAAGGGCATTCCAAGCAAGGTGTACTTTGTTGAAATGAGCATTGAGCCTGGTGAGTTTCTGGTATTCATTATCTATCAATGAATGGTGGTACTTGGAAGGGTGGCAATCAAATAGCTCTTATTCAGTTGTTCTAAAGTAGACTTTTATGATTTTTTTCCCTGAAAAGCCCTTAAGTTGATTGTGTCTCTTATCACAGTTTCTATGAAATCTTTAGATTTAATGAGCTTATTACTGGTTTAAGTAAGCTGCCACTGGAGAGCTGTCAACCTAAAATAATCTCACATGTTCTCAATTGAAGAACCCTCCCAGGAAATGGATGATCAAGGAAATGATTACTCTTAAAATAAAAGTGTTTTTTTGAGATTCTAAATAGATGGTGTGTCCATAGTCCTTTATCATGTCATTTTCTCAGACCAGATCATGTCTTTATCAATTAAGGCATAGCTAAGTATATTCATATTGACATTAAAATATGAATAACACATAGAATCAGTTTTGACATAGTGTTCATAAATCAAGATTGGGTATCTTAGGGAGACCACGTTTCTAAATGATAATTAGTGATGATGTGTCCTATCTTCAGGTACAGGAAGAGAGCTAATGGGGCAGTTTAATATTTGACATCTTTATTTTTATGCATGCTTTCCCATAACTTATACAGCCATTTCAAGATTTACAAAACAATAGGCACAATTGTTAGCTATTTTTTAGTTCAGAACATATATAAAAATAGCAAAACTTTTGATCAGTAAAGTGGTTCCCTGTAGTAGACATTTGGAAAAAACAGGGAGGGAGAGGCTCCTGTGAATAAGATAAGGCTTTTTTATATAATTCTTTAAGACTCAGGTCAGTTACTCAGTTTCTCCCTTGAGCAGATAGCTAAAACAGGGCAGCCACAATACAGTTGTCATGGTCCCAAACAATTTATTACTACTGCATCCATTACCAGCCAGATATGTTCAAGGAATTAAGAGAATCTTATCCCAATAATACAAGGAAAATAATGGCAGTGTTTACCACTACATTCCTTTTGGTCAAATCCATTGAATTAAACTGGTTCCTGCCTTTCCTATCTGGTTTGTTGAGGCTGTGTGGGTGAGCTAAGTAACTCTTAGATTAGATTATTTTGTATCATTCAATCTATCTAGCTAACTTAGACAATTTCAGGATCACTGTATAGCCATGTGATATGGTTTGGCTCCATCCCCACCCAAAGTCTCATCTTGAATTGTAATCCCCACATGTCAATGGTGGGACCAGGAGGAGGTAATTAATCATGGGGGCAGTTCTCCCCATGCTGTCTTTGTGATAGTGAGTGAATATCATGAGATCTGATGGTTTTATAAGGGTCTGGCATTTCCCAGGTTTGCACTCACTTCGTCCTGCCACCCTGTAAAGAGGTGCCTGCCTCTTCTTTGCCAACTGCCACGATTGTAAGTTTCCTGAGGCCTCCCCAGCCACGTGGAATTGTGAGTTAATTAAAACTCTTTCCTTTATAAATTACTCAGTCTTGAGTATTTCTTCATAGCAGTGTGAGAACAGACTAATACACCATGTTTGTCAAAACACATAAATCCAATTCTCAGCTACTGTATATAGAAAGTTTAATTCAACTGAACTGAATGAAATACAATAAAAGTGATTAGTAATCACAGTGTGATTACTGTTTGCACAGCATTCTCTAAATATCATGGAGGGAAAATAAAGTAAAATAAATGGAGCTTATATTAAAAAATTAGACATTTTAAAATTCACACACACAATTTTATAATCTAGGCTTTCTATAATAGAACAACAACAAAAACTAAATATGCATTACTCTACCTCTGTGAAAGCACATTGAAAATTTTCTTCAAATGCATAATTATTTAAGACTAACACCATCTTGTTTTTTAAAGTAACTTTTAAGAGGTAAATGTGGTGAACACATTGTATCTTAACACAAACAACATAAATATAATGGTGGTGATGATGAAATTAGTTTTGACCCTGAAGACCTCTGAGATCCATCTTGAACTTCAGTTTGTTCTTGAATATGAAAACATTGTAAAACAAAACCTAAAGTGAAAAAAAGTTAATATGGGAAAATGGAAGGAATGATAAAACCAATAGCTAGCACCAACTTCAACTGGCTCTATTATTATTTACAGCAACACTGTGAGATAAGTACTCTTATTATTTCCTTTTCTCTGATGAGAAAACTCTAAGAATCAAGGTTAAGTAATTTCCACAAGAAGACAGAGCTAGTAAGTATTAGGTGTGAGATTCAAACATTATTGTTCCAGCTCCAGAGTCCATACTCTTAATCTCTACTCTGTATTGTCTTTTTAATGTTTGTTTATCAACAAAACATACACAAGAACCAATATTAGGAAAAAAACTACAACTATTTTGTTAAATGTGACTCTTGGTACTGCATAAAATGCATTTAATCATTTCATTTAGCTAAATGTGAGCACTTCACATTTGTAAATGATATTATTGTTTAACAGTTATTTAGTGACCTATACATGTGATAAAACTATCTGGTAAGAGAATCAGGAGTTCATAAAATAATAAAGAAATGTAATAAAATTAGCCAATTCATTTATAGTCATTTTTTAAGAGACAGGTTCTTGCTCTAATGAAATGATCATAACTCACCATGGCCTTATCCTCCTGGGTTCAAGTAATCCTCCTGCCCCCACAGTATCTCAAGTAGCTAGGACTACAGGCACACGTTAGCATGCCAAGTTATTTTGTTTTGTTTTGTTTTGAGATGGAGTCTCACTCTGTCACCCAGGCTGGAGTGCAGTGGTGCAATCTCAGCTCACTGCAACCTCCACCTCCCGGGTTCAAGCAATTCTCCTGCCTCAACCTCCTGAGTAGCTGGGATTACAGGCGCCTGCCACCATGCCCAGCTAATTTTTGTATTTTTAGTAGAGATGGGGTTTCACCATGTTAGTCAGGCTGGTTTCGAACGCCTGACCTCATGATCCACCTCAGCCTCCCAAAGTGCTGGGATTACAGGTGTGAGCCACTGTTCCCAGGCTCATGCCAGGTTAATTTTTGAAATTTTTTGAAGAGACGTGGTTTCGCTATGTTGCCTAGACTGGTCCCAAACTCCTGACCTCAAGTGATCCCTCTGCCTAGGTCACTCCAAACAGTAGAATTACAGGTATTAGCTACCACACCCAGTCCATGTATAGGCTTTCCAAAATGATTAAATGATTTACCAGAACTGAAAGTACTTGTTAGAAGAACATTAGTAGACTTTAAATCTTATAATTGATAACCCAATGCTTTTTCTAGTTTTCTGTCATGTTGCTGTTAGTGTATCAAGAAATAGAAATTCAAAATTCTATATTTATGAATGGAATAATGGCACTCACAGCAGCCTGGATGGAGTTGGAGACCATTATTCTAAGTGAAGTTACTCAAGAATGGAAAATAAAATATTGTATCTTCTCACTTATAAGTGGGAGCTAAGCTATGAGGATGCAAAGGCATAAGAATGACATGGGGTAGACTTTGGGGTCTTGGGGGAAAGAGTGGGAGTGGGGTGAGGGATAAAAGACTACCCATTGGGTACAATGTAAACTACTGGGGTGACAGGTGCACTAAAATCTAAGAAATCACCAATAAGGAACTTGTAACCAAAACCACGTTTCCCCAAAACTACTGAGATAAAATTAAAATGTTTTATTTCCATGTGTGTAAATAGGCATTTAGTAATGCTTCTGGTGATGAAGGTGTGATAAAAAATGTTTCATATCACTTCTTTTAATTTATTCTGGGGTATCTGCATCTTGCTGTAGGAATTTTAAGGAAATATTCAATAGAAATTCTTGCTGATGATAGATTATTTTCCGCTTGAATGGGTTATATTGATATGCTCAAGAAATGGGACACCACTATGAAAATTTGAGAACAATATTGACCATCATGACATATTGGCCATTCATCAATTATTATTAACACATTCAGGTAACTGTGTAGTTGGATATTATATAACATCATTTCAGGAATATAGCGATTTTCCGTACCATTGGAGAATTCCCAGAGAGCAATTAAATATAAGACTATTTTTATTTATTTTATATGTGTTTACAATAAAAATTACCTCACAGTATCTAAATATCAGCCTCACTTGGGGGAACATAGTGCATGTACGATCTTTCAAAATAAATTTAGATCTGTTTCCATCCATATAAAATTAGCTTATACTAACTTCCTCTTGAAATCACTGTGTGTTGTTTGACAAACCTAGAATTCTCTTACTGCTAATTAAAACTCCAAATATCTGTTGGATTTTGTCAACAAAAACCTGTATTCATTTCCTTAATAATCCATTCTTTATCTCCTTTCAATCTATGAATTGTAATTTATTCTGTAATATAACACAACATCATTTTTATTAGAATTAATCTTATTTTACATTTTTCAAAGTCAAAAAATGTGGCCTGTTTTCAATTCTTTTAAATAACATTCTTGGTCTTAAATATAAACTATTTCCATTTTCCCTTTTCAGTCATATCTTAGAAAATATCATCTGTCATATTCTCTGTGTTGCCTGAAATAGCTAAGGGTTATTGTATTCATTCTGTGTTCACTAAAAAAAGTTAGCCTAACTTTTAAATTAATAAAAAATATATTTTTCTAAGCAAGTAAGAGAGACCTATGTGCATATTTGAGTTGGGTGGATGAGGATTATTTCTGAAATTGCGGATCATAAAAGCACTTTGTATCAGTTCCATTCCTGACAATTGGATTAGTCCGACAACTGAAAAAAAACAAATGGTAGAAAATAAGCTTTGTGAGGTTCTTTAGAGATGGTAACTGATGTCTCAAATTAAAGTTCATGTCAAAATATCTCTCAAGAAGATGATGAATGAAACATGTTCTGCAAAGTACTTCTCAGCAATCCCTTTGTTTCAAAGCAAAGTTCAGTTCTCTTGGTACTTTTCTTAAAGTTGGTCTTGGATATATAAATAATGTTTACATCCTGTAAACCAGGTTGAGAATTATTATTTCTTTTCTCAAAAATACTGTGTGTTCTTAAAAGATGATTTCTGTTTCATACAAGAACATAAAATAATTGTTGAAAATATATTGCTGTGAAATGTGCAACACTTTTACAGCCCAAATTTTCTAATATGATGGTGTATAGTACAATCAAGATTATTATATGGTAACAGAGGGAGAAAAATTGATCTGTCATTAGAGATAAGTATAATAATTAGCTCTTCTTGAGATTTTTTCCCTCAATAAAAATGGTCTTCTAAAATGATATTTAAAATTTGTATTAAATATGATGAAATTATTGACCATTTAGCATATGGAAGTTGGTGAAATATCCCTTTTTCAAAAACACTGTTGAAAATTGCTCTTCAAATTATTTTAAACAAAGAAATATGCTTTATTAAGTATATGAAATATGTTTTCTGGTCATAATAGTTATGTCTCTTAAAAACCTGGTAACTTTCCTATTTATATTTTTGAAATTCTTCTTTCAATTTTGGTATATGAGTTGTTCAACTTGCCATATTTTCAAGATTTTTCCTTTATCATTTTGATGTCCTAAGAAGCTCTTACATCTCAAATGTTTCTGTGACTTTGAGGCTGTGAATCTCTTTCATA
This sequence comes from Homo sapiens, assembly GCF_000001405.40. Lineage (NCBI taxonomy): Eukaryota > Metazoa > Chordata > Mammalia > Primates > Hominidae > Homo > Homo sapiens. The sequence continues at coordinate 68,084,397 of NC_000013.11, read as the reverse complement.
GGTCCCTTAGACTTCAGTGTTCCAGAGCTGTGTGTTTATTTGCTTTTTTTTCTTCTCCAAATCTATATTCATCTTTTCTCTAACCTCTCCTTTCATCTCAAGGGTATGATACAATGTATTCAATAATAAGTTTCCCTTGCATCTTAGTTATCACTATTCTTTCTCCTACTTTCAGTGCAGTCCTCTGCACTGGCTCTTTGTCACAGATGCCACAGGTGTTGGGCTAACCTTAAAAGCCACATGGCTTTTCAGGGGAATAAGTAGATATTCTTGAATGTTCCTTTTTTTATTTTTCCTAATTAAGGTCTATTTGTAATGCAGGGCTAAGAAATACATTTTTATCATACTGAAAATAGGCATTGAGGAAGTGATCATCTACTGCTGAGCCACTGCTTGGTATGACACTATGGCAGTTTACTGAATATTCTGGAGACAGTATTTATGGATAATAGTAATATGTATTAATTTGTGGGAATACTTTTTAAAATTACTTCACATCAATATATATTTGGGTTTCTATTCTTCAAATAATTCTGATGTACAGGGATTAAGTCAGTTATTTAAAGTTTATAGAAGTGAAGAAGTGGCCTTACCTCACCTACCAGTTTTAAAAATGGCTATTAATCTAATAGTTACAAAATTATATTATCAAGCAATGATCCTAGCCATTCATTTAACAAATTGTATTTATTTATTTATCTTGATTTATTTATCTATTATATGCCAGTCATCATTCTATGTACCATAGTAATGTACATAAATAATATGAACAGAATTCTTCCCTGAAGTCTAGCAATACAATCAGATAATGAACTAAGACATAAGTCTCATTAAGTATTATGGAGAAAAATATATAGCCATGGGTGAGTAAAGATATAGTCTGGGGCAGGTTGGGGCATGTGCTGTTTTATTTAGGGTTGTCAAGGGAGAATTCTTCTTTAAGGCAATATGTGAACAGAGACCCAAAGAAAGTGAATGAGAGAGACAGATAGATTAGCTATCTGGGAGAAGAGAGTTTCAGGGCAAAGTAACAGCCAGTACAAAGACCCTGAGGGATGAGTGGTTAACACTCTTACAATAATCCAAGCTTAAGGTGGCAGTGGCCTGGACCAGGATGGTGGTAGTGCAAATGGTAAGAAATGATCAGATACTAGATATGCTTTGGCACAGTCATATATTTTCTTGATAATATAAACGTATACTATTTAAAAAATATTTCAAGAATTATGTGAATCTATAAGCTAAAATGAATATCTCTGCATTCCATCTAAAATTATAGTTCAGAAAAATGGGAAAACAGGAAGGTCATATTATTTATGAAAGGAAGAACATGTAACATAGGAGAATATTCACCTCTGCAGGGCCAGTGGTTAGTGGGAAAAGGAAAAAGATAGAATCTGATATGTTACTAGATGTCTCCAGTGAGAAACATTGATGGATAAATTTGCATTTCCCTGTCTCATATATAAAAGTTGATTTCATTAGAAATATCCCACCACAGTCTATATTACTTGAGTATTTGTTCTGAGCTATGTGGATATTATAAACTCTCAGAAGTATAATCCTTTAATACAATAGTTTTCTGAAATTCATGTTCAGACAACCTAGTTTAACATGAACGATTTCTGGGAGATATTTTAATTCATTACATTCTTTAAACCCTACAAGACTGTGACAGCATCAATTGCATAACCTAGATTTCCTTGCATTTATGTGTCCAGAATGGCAGAGATCAGTGGTTGTGGGGGCAATTCTAATGGGTCACATTGACCCCTTAGAAATTATAAGAGATGCCCATAGCCATGCTTTTCTGTTTTTATAATCTCAACTAGGGGAGTTATATATATATATATATTATATATAAAAATATTATATATTATATGTGTGTATCTAGTATATTATATATAATATGTATATATTATATTTTATATAATATGTATATATTATATTTTATATAATATGTATATATTATATTTTATATAATATGTATATATTATATTTTATATAATATGTATATATTATATTTTATATAATATGTATATATTATATTTTATATAATATGTATATATTATATTTTATATAATATGTATATATTATATTTTATATAATATGTATATATTATATTTTATATAATATGTATATATTATATTTTATATAATATGTATATATTATATTTTATATAATATGTATATATACAGATTAGCTATGTGGTAGAAGAGAGTTTTGGGGCAAAATAATAGCTATATATATAGCTATTATTATATATATTATATATAAATATATTATATATAATATAATATATAGGAATATATATAATGTATATATAATGTATATATATGAGAGTGTCATATATATGACATATATGAGAGTGTCATATATATACTATATATATAATGTATATATATATATATATATGAGAGTGTCTGATTCTTAAGGAAAAAAATCACAAAAGATAGACAAGACTCAGGGCATTGTAGGTAGAACAAATAGGAGTGTAGGTATTTATTCAGAAACAGCCCACACCTTTGGCTAATCATATTAATTCTTTCCTGCAGAGAAACAAAGCTTGAAATAATATCCAAATAAGATAATCAGCTTGACTACAGTAAAAATAAAATTTGGTCTTTAGCTGGTTCGTATTAAATTTACATTAAGAACTACTTTTCTCAATGCTAATCTAATATGCATAACTATAACAGTGCAATCTCTAAAATTGCTTTCGTGGGAAAATATTGTTATACCAAGGATAAGAGCTAAGACTTATATCCAAGGTATTAACAGTACCTCTACCAAGATACATGGATTATGAGATTATGGAAACTATTTATTACACATATTAAGAGAAGATAATCTCAAGAAAATCATCAAAAACTCTTTTCATTAAGAGTAGCTGTTGATTTATTTCAATAATGTTTTGAGGTGGGAGAGAGAAGGTGCTGCATTTTACTCTATTGATTCTAGGCCCCATGTTATAACTGTTGTACTCTAGTGGTTAGACACCTCTTAAAGTGCGAGTGTTTCTAAAACTTTGTCACATTTCAATCATGTGTTTCACTGCTCTAAGGGAGCTTTAGTCTTATATAAGTCCTAACCCAATTCTCTGTCTACCTCTTCAGCTGGATTCCAGAAAAAAAAAAAAAAAAAAAAGAGGAACAGGCTAACTTAAAAAAAGGGAAGTATATAAAGTATTGTTTTATGCCCTAATAGTTTTCACCATGTCATGCATAATAATAATTCCAGCAGTATATCTAGAGACATTCTTCAGAACTGTTGAGTATTTCGGCATTGGCTTAAGAGAAGTTGGGAGACAAAACAAAAGTAGCTTATAGTGAGATCCAACCTAAGTTAAGTTATCCTTTCTCGTCCAGGTGAAATGCTACCAGTTCCTATGCAACATGCTATAAATTAGGACTTATAATTTGTGGTAGAGGTGAATAAAACTAAAGATTCCCTGAGCTTGATCAAGCAAAGAATAAGGGCTAAAGCAAAAATTGTTCAGATGTCAGTTAAGGTTATTTGTGAAAGGATAAATTTTAAAAGTAAAAGAAAAATGATTCAAACCAGAAGTAACCAAAGTGACAGCATTAAAGCTGAGAGAAGAAATTAAACAAACAAATCAAGTTCAATTTGAGGAACTTTTGGTATTACAACAGATGCAAATAAACAAAATCAAAATGATGCTCACTAGAAGCGCAGCGCTGTTTTGGAGGTTTTAGCCACCCAGTGTGCAGGCATTTCTCCTTTGAACCAGTTCAAGTGTATTCAGAGAAACTTCTGACGAAGAATAGAGGGTACAGGTTGCTTTACAATGTGCAAATGAGAAACTTGATTAATTGAATTGGGTTCCTCCTGCTTATGCTTCAAAAATAACAATGTCTTTGTAAGATACTTTACCACTAACAATATAGAATCTTTTGTGTATTTAGTTGTTTTGTTTCCTTTTACTATTTCTGGCTTTTCAGAGTAAGAACTATGATGCTTTGATTGAAATTGATCTTTCTAGAAGGTCTGTGAGAGTATAAACTTGACTTCCTCTCCCATCTAATATCTTTTATCTTTTATAGGAATTAAACAGGAGACAATTGCTATTCTCTTTTACTAGGTATTAAAATTGAGTTCCCTCAAAATTTCTTCCCAATTCCACACTTACATAACCTCTTAGTTGTTTCATTCTTACCTTCCTAGTAGGTTTTGACAAGTTTTTCTTAACCAAATATTATCCTATAATTTTCATGCCTAATTTTTTAATCTCCTTGTTTTCTTTTCTGTCAGGTAATTTTCAGATAATCCAAAATCTCTGTGTGTGTGTGTGTGTGTGTGTGTGTGTGTGTGTGTGCACGTGTATATTCATCATGCAATGGCAAAGTAGCCTTTGTGTGTGTGTGTGCACGTGTATATTCATCATGCAATGGCAAAGTAGCCTTCAGAAATCATCTCCACACTTGGAAAGTAGAAGCTACTCTTCCTACTGTCATTGATTTCTATGTCCTAGAAAAAACTACTAGTTTTTATTATCTATGGTTTGATACATTCACAGAACAAAAATAGATAGTTTTGGCTTGCAATCTCACATAAATTTATTATTCATATGCTTTTAAAACCTTGTCACTCATAATCTTGAATATTCTAATTATCATATTTGATTGATATTATTTATAATTCTTTATATGCTATGATATGAATGTGTCCTCCAAAGTTCAAGACTTGGAAACTCAATCTCCAATGTGGTGGTGTTGGGAGATGGGGTCTAACTAGAGGTGTTTGGGTCATGGGGACACCTTCCTTGTCAATGAACTTATGCCATTATCAGAAGAGTAGGTTTGTTCCCGGGAGCAGGTTTCTTGTAAGAGGACTTATAAGGGGTTTGGACCCCTCTTGCTCTCTCTTGCCTTGCCTTTGCCCTTTCACCATGCAATGAAGCAACGAGAAAGCCATTCCAAGATGCCTCGTGGTTTTAGACTTCTTAGTCTCCCGAACTGTGTGTCAATAAATCTCTGTTCTTTATAAACTATCTAGTCTGTGGTAATCTGTTACAGCAACAGAAATAGACTAAGGTGCTGAATAAAGCAGAACCACAAAGGGAGGATGGCAAAGAGTTGGCATTTTACAGAGAAACTACAGTCATGGCTCTCAGTGAATTTTCTGTAGAGATTGTCTATGAGTTTCTTACACTATTTGCAAAAAACTATCCTTCAGAGTCTGGGCTTCCCTTCCAGGAGATCAAATAAGGATGCCAATTTCTGCTTCCTGATTTTCCATGGTAAGTCAGTTCTTGGAAAAACTAAAAATCTTGTTGAGAAACAAACAAGATGAGTCATAGGCTAATCATTATACTTTAACTCTTCATGAAAGTAAATAATCAGAACCTGCTAAAAGGTTTTATGATGAAAACCAGAACACTGACAGACAAGGAGTTGTTTTGTCAGCCTACATACGCAAATTCTTCACAACTCTAATTGCAAGAAATTGACACTGCAGGATGTCTTTTAGTGTGTGTTTCTTTATTTTTTATCTTAGTCTAGTTTTATGCATCGTAACTCTTCATTTCCAGCCTCAGATTTTTCATGTGCATATTACATTGATTCTATACAGATTCTCAGTTAATGTTTGGTGCACTCCACAAATACACCTACCGCAGAAATTCTTAAGTCAGTCTTTACTGCCTTCTGAAATATTTTCTAATTCCACCTCAGTGCAGAGTGCTGAGGCAGTGAATGATGCAACCACCCACAAATTCTCTGGCACAGAAATCCAGGTGTGATCCCTCTCTTCTGTCTCACCTATGAGAGTCAACTAAGCCTTATTATCTAAATGCCAAAATATTTCTAAATATCCATTTTCTTCATTGAGTCACTACATTTATTGAGTTTCTCATCATCTCTGGCCTTGAGCATTTCAGTATTTTCATTAATTTGTCTTGCTTCTTCCAATCTTTCTAACAGGCCAATATTTACTGCCTCTAAATGGATTTTCTAAAATGTGAGACTACTCCCTTTACTCCACAAATACAGAAACTTTCAGGACCCACCACGTCACACGGATGAAAACTTCAGCTTTATTTCTGTACAGTCAGTGCTTCTCAATCTGAGTACCGCCCTATCCTTCCCAGACTCAATCCCTGCCACTTCTCTCCCAGATAGTTTTCTTTCTTTATCATGTTATTCCATCCTGAGAATGTGCCAGGATTTTTCTTGCTTCCACATTTTTATGCATATTGTTGTTTTTCATTCTTTAAATGTTCTCCACAAATTTCTCATTATAACCATTAAGAGAAGCTTTGCAAGCCATGCACACATACAGATTTAGCATATCTAGGAACTTCTCTGTGGCTCCTGTTAAACCCAACATCCACTTTGTGTCAACTGTTGTGATTTGGGAAGACTTCAATTACAATTCACAAAACACCCCACTGCATTTGTCACGTCTGTCTCCAAATATTCTTTTTCTTGAGAGGATAAGTATCCTTCTCCTCTTCATATACTCAATACCTAAATTCCTGGTAATTTCTCAGATAATATTTTAATTGAATTGATTAATGAGTGAACTAGAAAGTTTTTCTATAGCTGAGCCTTTGCCTTATTCTCTAGTTTTAATAGTTGGGTCACTGTATTTTAATTCCATATCCAAATTTCTGCCTAGGAACTGGTTCAATATCCCTTTTTCTACAATTCTGGAGCTCTACCATATGCCTTGATATTCCTTCTAAACAAAGTTATATTTTGCTTTCCCAGTACCTATGAACAGAATAATCTATGCTCATATATATAGAATTCCCTCAGCCTACCTCTAGTTATATTTTGTTTTCCTACTAAATGTCACTGATGACCAGCTGTACACCTGTTTTAATGTGCTCTTTGGATTGTGAGGGAAGTCATATTCATTCCTGAAAACTTATCTGGTGCCTCAGTCCTGAATTTTATAGCAGCTTATTTTTTAATCACTTATGGCTTTCATTTCTATATAAATCTAATAGGTATGTATTACCTAATAGATTGTAAGAGGACACATGAGTAAATAATTTAGGAGTGTATCTACATATATGTGTATACATAAAAATCTAAAGGTTATACAACTGGGTTGTTGGAAAGTTGTAAAATATTGAAGAAACTTGTCTTCAATAACATGATGATAGCTTTTCAGTAGCATATAATTTATTTTAAGTCATTTTAAAATTACTTCCTGAGGATCATATATTTGTTCAATATTAGTTCATGCACACATACTTCAATTTATGTCTTCAATGTATACCTAAATATAAAGATCAGCAAACAATGTCACCAGTTCACAAAATACCACATTTCACACCTCAAATTATGGAAGATAAAGAAGGCTTAAACTAACAGTGTAAAACATTGTGCTACAGAAAATTATGTAGCTGAGAATGGTAGTATTTATTCATGATATATTTTATATAGTTCCACTAGCTTTTGAAATTTAGTTAATGTTTGTTGAGAGGTATCATTTTGTTGTTGTTCAAATAGATAATTGATATAAATTAAAATGACGTTAGTCTTAATATGAAATAATTAGAACATTCTCTTTCAGAATTTGCTAGTGGACACTGAATTTCCACATTATCTATTTTATAAAGTTCTATTTACAAAAGTTTGCTTCAACTATAAGCCAGTCATTGAACAATATAGAAGCCCGTTGAAGTGATCATTTCTTTATGTTAGCTTAAGGAAGCTAGTGGGGAAAGTTAAAAGTAGAAATTTACTTTAAAACTCAACTTTATGTGATTATGGTAATTACGTGGTGGTAGTGATGATGATGATGATTTATGCATTTCTATTACATTTTAATTTTGTTTTATGCTTATTAACTAAATGTAAGTGATTGATGATAAAATTTTATCATAGAATCTTATACCTAGAAGAAATTTTAGTGACAGTGATATTTTAGGTAAGGGAAAGTTTATTCACCTGCCAATTTGCAAAACATTATAGTGTTAAAATTTCGCAGGATTCTTCAGGTGTCACTTCACGAATTGGAAACCTCTGTAGCCGGTGGCACCTCTGCTTGAGTTCTGCCCCTAACCCACTGGGCTTGTTCCGCCCACTCAGCCTGGCAGGCTGTGCTCGGCCCACACTACTGGCCTGGATCCCATGCCTGCCAAAGGCAAGCCAGGCATGGAGCAGCGAGGGGTGCGTGAGCAAGTGAGCACAGAGTCTGGCCACTGTGCATAGCCAGGCACACCAGCTGCTGTGGCAGGACAGACAGCTCCAGACACCAGCATAAGCGCCAACTCCGTGTGAGGCTGTGTCTGCACCAGACATACCACAAGCAGCTTCTACTGCAGGACTACTGCTGTCTGGATTAGGGGAACTCAGTGGCACCAAAAAAATTCAGAGATGCCAGGAACTGGTGAGCCCCAAAGAGGGTGTTACAGCCTGTCACAACCCTGACTCAGGGACCCCCAAGGTCTGGGATCCCAGAAGGGCCGCAGCTCTTTTCTCCTTCTTGTTGCCTATAGTGTGGCAAGTAGGGGCGGCATGTTTTGAGGGGAGGGAGCATGTTTCAGCCCATTTGTGTTACAGCTCCTTCAGTCCCACTGCTCCACGCTGGCCCACAGCTATTGGGCTGGCCCAGCCTGGATGGTGCTTCCCATTGTGTGAGGTGGCTGCCCAGTGCCAGTAGAGGGTGAGAGGGCTGTAGTGTTACAGCTCTGGCTCTGGGAATCACAAGGTCTGGGCCCCAAGAAGAATCACCGCTCTTCACTCCCACAGTGTGAGACTGTGTCACCACTGGGCAGCTGGATAAGCTGGACAGGAATGTGTTACAGCCCCTTTAGCTCTCACCCACAGCTTGGACAGCTGGCCAGGAAAGTGTTATAGCTCTTTTCATCCTACCCTTAGGAGGGTCCTGAGTTCTTCCAGGGAGAATGAGGTTACAAAGACAACTGGAGGGTGAGCAGGGAGAGAAAAGCTTTATTAGGTGACTGAACTGCCCTCAGCAGAGAGAAGACCGGAAGTGGGCAGCTCCCATCCACAGGTAGGTAGTCCCAATAAGTGTCTGAGTATGGCTGAGTCTGGGGGATTTTTATGGGCTCAGAATGGAAAAAGTGTGTGCTGATTTGTCCATAGGCAGGAGGAAGTGCATACTGATTGGTTAATGAGTGGGCCTGGAAAAAGCACCACTTGATTGGCTGAAAGGCATTAATGAAGTTCTTACTCCAGGTTGAAGACTTCACCAGAACTGACCCCAAAACCCCCAGGCTTCATGTCATCCCCAGCTTGAACGTGGGATTTCACCAGGGACTTGTCACTTCCCACCTAGGAACCTATCTTCCTCCCACCACCATCAAGATCTAGAAATTCCCAGACCAATATTTTCAAAAATATCAATGCCATGTTTCTGAAGAGATAAATAACTTTATGGAGTTTACTTTGCTTATACTACGTTTGAATTTACTCAAGAGCTTTATATAGGACTTTTATTCATAATTATATATTAATTTACACTACTTTTATTGAATTAAAATCAAAGAATATTTCTTAATTACATATGAACCAATCTATCTAAAATATACAACAAATTAGACAATTTGCAATATATATGGTAGACAACAGTTATTTCTAACAATGTAGGATTTGGGTAGTTGAACAAAATTGTAGCCTTCATATTAGCTCTAACATCTAGAATATTGGAGGAAAAGCAGAATTGGCTATATTAAAAGGAAATTCACATATACACACACACAAAACCTAGTCATAAGTGAGCCTATCAGGTGAAGTAGGATAAGGAGGAGTTCTAGACTACCTGGAAATTGATGAAGGTAATTTTCTAATTAGGGCTTTTTATGATGGTGCTTCCCAATGTATATTTGATTGAACACCCTCAATCATAAAAAAATAGAAAAAACAAAAGAAAAATAAAAGAAATGAAAACACTAGGTGTTGTGAACAATTATGTAAAGGACTACATCCTGCATTTCAATCCTAGAAATTCATAGTACATATGAGCATATTAACCAGGTCTGAGGAATCCCGTAATAAAATAAGCTACTAAATTTTTTAAACCATGATTTTTTTTCTTTTGCCCAAGATTTTGTGAATTAACAAATATTCCTTGGAAATAATGTTTATTGGTCAGATTTTTAAAGTTATTCTATAGAAATATATTTCATACTGTGAAAAAAAGTTGTATGAATTTTGTATGTCTACTTCTAAATGAACATCAAAAACACCACCAGATGAATACCATGCTAATAAATTGTATTCACTAAATATGTAGCCTCAACATAGGTAATGGAAAAGAGAATTAGAGATCTTAGTTGAATTACGTATATACAGCCCAGAAGTCTTTATTTAAAAAAAAAAACTGTTAGAAGGTCAGTGTGTCTATAATACTGAAATTATAGGAAAGAATAGTCAAAGTTTTCCCTTTATTCAGCAAACCTTGATAGAATACCTATGTGTGGTAGTCACATAAATAAAAAGATGAATAAGGACATTGAGGAACTACAGTACATTAAGGGCACATACCCTTAAAAATAAATTTGTACCACATGACATATAGATGTTAGTATATTTGCATACTTGGTATGTGATCTGCTCATGCTTGCTAGGTAGCAATTGCCTTAGGAGTCCAAGCACCTAATATGCACCCAATTGTATCACAAATCTCTAGTGACTCTAATCTGACCAGCTTATGCATCATATGTCTCTTTTGTGCTCTGGTCCTGAGATATAGATGACTAACTCTATATATACCCAGAAAGGTAAAAGAAAGACAGTGTAAGTCCTAGTTTGATAATAATCAGATAGTAAGTGAAAATACACGAAGTGTGAGAGTCAGGGGAACAAAATAATCAACCCTTTAGTGAAAGCTGAGAAGTTAAATTCTCACTCTTATCCTTAGCTTATGAGGAAAGTAATAACATGAAATTTCAGAAAGATAATTGCTCTATTGTGTCTGGTTCAATTTTTTCAGAGTGCCGGGATTCTAACTCTATTCTCCAGAATTTGCATCTTTTTTTTTTTTTTTTTAACTAGAAACATGGGTGAATGTATCTTAGAAATTTCTGGAAATAAAACAACTACAGCGTTACTTTCTAAATAAAAACAATTATATCAAATTCAATATAAGTTATATACTACAAGATCATATTAATACAAGTTTGTGATGATGGTTAAGGCTGGATATTCTTCTAGATTAGGACTCTTCTCATATGAATTACTTTTAGCCATTCTCTATTCAAATGGATTTCCAGCTCTGAGGAAGTCCACAATAAGCTAAGCATCCTTGAATCTTGATCAAGATTTTTGTTAATCAGATAATCATGAACGATTGGTTCACATTTTTTCTTTTGCTGCCAAATCCTATTTTTTATACTCAAATCAAAAAGCTCACAATTCTTGCTAGCAGTATCTCTCTTTGCTTGATTGTAAGTTAGGAAATTTGCCATTGGTGTACACCAGTACAGTGTATAGTTATAAATATGCATCTGACATGGTTGCTTTATATCATGCAATGTTCAAAAATAAAACTATAAATAAGAAGAGAGAGTAAAAATTTGGATGGGGTAAAGATAGCTCTGCAACTATAGATAGCAAGAGAAATTTAGGAAAAGGTGAGTGTCAAGTCAGCCTAAGGAAGCACCTCCCTAGTCTACAGATACCATATAAAAGTGCCAAGACAAATGGGGTACCTATTCAAACCATGTTTATGGCTGTTTGCATTTGTCTTCCAAAAAATAAAAATTCCTCACTGTGCATGAAGCAGAATGCCAAAAGGTAGTATTCAGAAAAATAGTCAGATAGAAACTGTGCTGTTGAGCTGGCAAATGATCAGCGAAAGGAGTTCCTGTTCGTGTATATAGGTTTGTATGTCCTTCACAAACATAAAGATCTGTATGTATTGGTTAAGAAATATAATCCATATAATGATGGATATGTGAAAAACATATGTGAGGGTACAGAAGTAGTTGTAACTATATGGGTCTGAGATTGAGAACCTCATAGAGGAGCTGAGATTTTGAAAGATGCTTTTCTTCTTTCAACAGGCAAAGACACCAGGTGATACTCCAAGATGTGCAAATAATAAGCTTAAATACATGGATAAACATTGTATGAAAAGGAAAAAGTGAAAATATAGCATGGAATGTATAAGATGAAATAGTTAAAGCTGAGATTTGAAAAATTGGCAGGTTCTGGATCACAAAATAATTGGTCAGCTATGCTACGGAGTTTAAAATCTATCCTGTAGGTAGTAGAAACCAATGAAAACAATTCAGCTGAGGAGCTAGTATAAAGGTTATGAACTAGATAGAGAAAATACAGGCAATAAAGCAAGGTAGGACACTATTGCAATTGTCTAGAAAAAGGTAATACTAAGAGAGAATTCTGGGAATATGGCAGAGTGAGAAGCATAAAGCATCTGTTTCTCCACCTAAACAATAATTACACTGTGAGAATTTGTTTAATATAATAATTATTTTGGAACTCTGGAGTCTATTGAAAGCTTGCAACTTCCAAGGAATGGTTTGTATGGTAAAGCATAGTAAATATTGCTCAATTTCGGTCTTTTCTACAGTAGCAGCTACCCATCTCCCACCACTAGTCCTATGACTGGCAGCCATATACATGTTCCTGCGGCAGATTGTGCATAGCTTGTCTGCAATAAATAAGGAAATAAGTACGCTGTCCTTCAAATGCCAATAATTTGTATTCTGATCACTGATTGTGGCTTCTGATGACACAGGTGCAGACAAAGAGGTGGACAACCATTACTCCTTCCATTGTGATAAGCACTTTCTTCTCCAGCTGATGTGACCTACAGAGGGTTTAAAGGAATGAAATGCTTTTGTTTCCTTCCCTTCATTTTCCTGTCTTCCCCTAATGGAAGCCAGGTATTAAAGATGATGTCATTAAAATACAAATATATTTATAAGAAAAATTAAAAATTAAACATGTTTGTCCATAGAATGGCACAGGCTCAGAAAAGAACTGAAATAGACCTTATGGTTACACATTTGGCTTATCCTTGGTGCAGAGACAGCTTACAACAATGAAAACACAACAAAACAGAAAATCCCAGGGAAGAAGGAAAATCTAATTTCCAGAGTTACCACATTATTACTTTCCAATATCCAGTTTTAATAAAAAAATCCTAAAAAGTGTAAAGAAACAGAAAAGTATGGCATTTTACAAATCAACAGAAACTGTTTCTAATACAGACCTGAAGATAAAGATTTTAAAACAACTGTTTTAAAAATGCTGAAAAAACTACAGGAAAATGTGGTGAAGGTCAAGAAAATAAAACATAAACAAAATTGAAATATTAATAAAAAGAAAAATATAAGAACCATAGAATTTTTAGTTAAAATGTACAATACTGAAATGAAAAATTCACTAGAGGGATTTGTGATGATTAATTTTAGGTGTCAACTTGACTGGACAAAGAGATACTTACATAGTTGGTAAAGTATTATTTCTGGGTTTTTCTGTGAGGGTATTTCTGGAGGATATTAGCATTTGACTCGATAAACTAAATTAACAGCTCCCCTCAGTTTCAGCAGGCACTATTCAATAGGCTGAGGGCTAAGAAAAAACAAAACGCTAAGCAAGGGCACTGCTCTATCTCCTGGAAAAAGGATGCCCTTCTTCTTCCCATTGATATCAGAATTCCAAGTTCTCTGGCTTTTGGACTCTAGGATTCACACCAGTAACCCCTCAGGTTCTCAAGTCTTTGGCCTCAGATTGAGAGTTTCATTGTCAACTTCACTGGTGCTGAGGCTTTTTGGATTTGAATGTTGCCACACTACTGGCTTTCCTGGTTCTCCAGTTTGCAGACTATTGTGAGAGTTCTCAACCTCTGTAATCATATGAGCCAATTCCCCTATTTAGTCATCTGTCATCTTTCTTTCCTTCCTTCCTTCTTTCCTTCCTTCCTTTCTCTTTCTTTCTTTTCTTTCTTCCTTTCTTCCTTTCTTTCTTTCTTTCTTTCTTTCTTTCTTTCTTCTCTCTTTCTTTCTCTTTCTTTCTCTCTCTTTCTCTCTCTTTCTCTCTCTCTCTTTCTCTCTCTCTCTTTCTTTCTTTCATCTGTCTATTTATCCTATTGAATCTGCCTATCTGAAGAATCATAATATAGGATTCAAAGGAGATTTGAATAGATATAATAAAGAATTAGCAAACTTAAAGATAGGGCAATGGAAATTATCATATCTAAGAAATAGAAAATAAATTGAAAAAAGTGAATAGAATCTAAAGGACATGTGGGACAACATTGTGTGGTTCAATTTACAATTTGTCTGGAACAAATTACAAAAGTTCCAGAGGGAGAATAGAGAGAAAAAACAACAAATAAAATATTTTAAGGAATGATTGCAGAAAACTACCTAAATTTGATGAGAAAATGATCATTAACATTTATAAAGCTCAGTGAACTTCGAGTAAGATGAACTAAAAGAAACCTATACTAAACAAATCTTTGAAAGACAAAGACAAACAGTTCATATTGAAGGGAGCAACAAGGCGGCGACTCATCACATACATGGAATCCTCAACGGAATTTATAGCAGGATTCTCACCAGAAACTTGGGAGACCAGAAGGTAGTGGGCCAATATATTTGAAGCACTAAAAGAAAAACAACAATGTCAACCAAGAATCCTGTATCTGGCAAAACTGTCCTTTGAAAGTGAGAGAGAAATTAAGACATTCCCAGATAAAGAAAACCTGAAAGAATGTGTTAACACTAGACCTGCACTACAGGAAATGTTCAAGGGAATTGTGCATGTATGAAGAAACACTACACAGTAAGTTGAAGCTGTGTGAAAAAAAAAACTCAATGTAGATAAATATATGAACATTATAAAATCTAGTATTATTGTAACACCAATTTTTAACTCAATGTTATTTTCTTCATGATTTAAGAGCTAACACATTTTTAAAAAATACAGTTAGTCTAAAAACTAGTATTACTTCATTTGATTTGTAATTCTACATCTTGTTTTTTACACAATTTAAGAGATTAATGCATTTAAAAGAATGATTAGTTTGTTTTGAGGCACATAATACATAAGAATGTAATTTGCTGACATCAACAACTGAAAGGGGGGAAGTTGGAGCTGTAAAGGAGCAGAGCTTTTCTATGTTATAGAAGTTAAACTGTTATAAATATAGGTTGTTATAAGTTTAAGATGTTAAATGTAATCCCCATGGTAACCACAAAGAAAATAGCTATATAATATACAAAAAAAGAAGTGAGAAGAGAATTTAGGCATTTTACTACAAAAATCAGCTAAATAGAAAAGAAGTCAGAAATGCAGGAAATGAGGGCCAAAACAGATACAGGGGACATAGAAAACATTTAGCAACATAGCAGCAGTAAGTCCTACCTTATTATCATGATGTAAATAGATTAAACTCTGCAACCAAAAGACAGAGATTAGCAGAATGGACAACAACATATAATTCAACTATACGCTGTCTACAAGACGCTCGCTTTAGATCCAAAGACATAAATGGTTTGAAAGTGAAAGGACAAAACAGATTTACATGCGAAGAGTAACCAAAAAGGACAGGACTGACTCTATATACCAGTATCAGACAAATTAGAGATTTACGTGAGACAAAGGCAGACATTATGTATTAATAAAAGTTTTTATACAACAAGAAAATTAACATTGTAAACCGTTATACACTTAATAAGAGGTCATATATAAAGCAAAAACTGGCAGAATTGAGAGGAGAAATACATAGTTCTACAATAATAGCTGTAGACTTCAACACCCAACTCTCAAAAATTGGTAGAACAAATAGAAAGATAAGCAAAAATTTTAAAAACAAAGGAATTAGACAACATAACAAATTACCTAGATGTTGTAGACATATACAGGACACTACCCAGCATACACATGTGCATACCTTTTCTTCTCAAGTTCACATGGAGCATGATCCCCTATAGACCATATGTTAGCCCAAGTTAAGTCCCAATATATTTTAAAAGATAAATATCAAAGTATGTTTTCTGACCATGCCAGAATGAAAATAGAAATCAATAATAGAAGTAAAACTGGAAAATTCACAAATATGTCAAAATTTATTGACACATTGTTAAACAACCAATGGTCAAAGAAGAAACCACAAGGGAAATCAGAAAATATTTGGAGATTAATGAAAATAAAAACAAAACATACAAAAATGCATGAAATATAGTGACTTCAGTGCTGAGGGAAGTTTATAGCTATAAATGCTTTCATTTGTTAAAAATAAAACAAAAAAAAAAAGAAAAATCTGAAATAAATAATCTAATTTTACGACGTGAGGACCTAGGGGGGAAAAAAACAAACTAATCCCAAAGAAGAAGAAAGAACATAATAAGTATTAGAGGATAGATTAACAAAATAGGAAAAACAATAGAGAAAATTAATTTAACCAAAGTTAATTCTTCAAAATGATCAACAAAATTAGTTATCCTTTAGCTAGATGGACTGAGAAAAAAAACAAAAGGCTCCAATTACCAAAATCAAAAATGAAGGTGAGGTATTACTACTGAATCTACAGAAATCAAAAAAGGAGTATAAAGTAGTATGACGAACAATTGTACACCAACAAACTGGATTACCTAGATAAAATATATACATTTCTAGAAAAACAAAACATGCCAAGGCTAAGTAACAAAGAGATATAAAATCAGGATAGACCTATAACTTGTAAAGACCTTAAATTAGTAATCAAAAATCTTTCAACAACAGTGACAAAAAGTCCCAGAGGTGATTGATTCACTGATGAATTCTAACAAATATTTAAAGGAAAACTAAAACCAACCTTTATTAAGCTTTTCACACAAAAAAATGAAAAGGAAGGACCACTTTTTAACTTATTCTGTAAAGCCAGCGTTACCCTGCTACCAGCCAGCCAGAGACAGTACAGAAAAATACAGACCAATATCCCATATAACACATTGATAATGCAAAAATCCTCAATAAAATACTAACAAACTAATTTCAACAGCAAATCAAAAGGATTATATAACACGATTGAGGAGGATTTATTCCTAGAATGCAAGGATATTTCAACAGACAGTGTGCTGGTTTCCAACTTGTTTGCATCTGATAAGACAGAACACCCATGCTTGCAAGGTAAATAAAGAGGGTTTATGACTTACAGACAGGCAGCAAGGAACAGTAAAATCTTAGGATTCAATCTGAGCAGTTTCCCAAGGCTGAGGAAAGCTGCCTGGTTGCAGATGGAGTCTTACCATCAACTGGAAAGCTGAAGAAGACTGGAAAACAGCAAGCTCTTGGTCTTATACCCTAGAGTAAAATGTGATTCACTGGGCTGAAGAATTGAAGTACATCCTGTTTCTATGGTGGGGGTGAGGACTAGAACAGAGCCTGAGCTGTTCCTGTCAGTCTCTTCCTATCTCAGGACATTACATTCCAAGCACGTTTTAACAATTAATCTTGAGAACTGTAACTGAGTAAAGGGGAAAACTGAGTTGATCTAAGGCCACCCAGAGAACTGTCCTGTGCATACAAATATTGATTAATGTAATACAACACATTAACAGAATGAAGAAAAATAATCAATATGACCATTTCAATTGGTGAAGAAAAAGTGACATTCAGCAACACTTCATGATAAAAATACTCAACAAACTAGAAATATAAAAGACTATCACAACATAATAAAAGCCATATATGAAAAATCCACAGCAAGCATAATACTCTATAAAGACTGAAAGCTTTTTCTCTAAGATTAGGAACAAGGCAAGGATACCTGCTTCCGCTACTTCTATTTAGCATAGTGCTAGAAGTTCTAGTCAGAGAAATTAAGCAAGAAAAAGAAAACAGTATGACAGTTTTTAAAAAAATTATGAAGATAAAAGGCACCCCAAGTAAAAAGGGAGAAATACACTTATTCCTGTTCAGTGATGATGTGATCTTATATGTAGATACTCCTAAAGATTCCACAAACATTTAAGAACTAATACATATATTCAGCCAAGTAGCAAGATAAAAATTAACAAACAAAAATCAGTCGCATTTCTATACACTAACAGTGGACAATGTGAAAAGAAAAATTTTTAAAAATTATTTATAATAGAATAAAATAAAATACTTAGAAATTAAATTAGCCAAGGAGACAAAAGAATTGTATAATGAAAACTATAAAACATTGCTGAAGGAAAATTTTTAAAAGACATAAATAAATGGAAACGCATCCCACGTTCATGGATTAAAAGACTTAATATTGTCAAATATCCAAAGCAATCTACAGATTAAATTAAATCACTATAAAAATCCCAATGACATTTTCTGGTAGAAATATAAAAATTCACCTTGTAAATTCACCTTGTGGACTCTTAGGAACCACAAATAGCCAACACAACCTTATGAAGAAGGGAAAACTTTGAAGATTCACTTCATGATTTCAAAACTTAATACAAATCTACAATAATCGAAACAATGTTGTTGCCGGGAGTGGTGACTCATGCCTGTAATCCGAACCCTTTGGGAGGCCGAGGTGGGCACATCACCTGAGGTCAGCAGTTCAAGACCAGCCTGGCCAACATGGTGAAATCCTGTCTCTACTAAATATACAAAATTAGCTGTGCTTGGTGGTGTATGCCTGTAATCCCAGCTACTCGGGAGGCTGAGGCAGGAGAATTGCTTGAACCTGGGAGGCAGAGGTTGCAGTGAGCCAAGATCACGCCACTGCACTCCAGCCTGGCCAACAAGAGTGAAACTCCATCTCAAAACAAACGAACAAACAAAAAACAGTGTTGTGCTGGCATAAAGACAATCATATCAAAGAACTGAATAGAATAGACAGTTCAAAAATAAACACTTGCATATATGGTCAAATGATTCTGACAAGGATTCCAAGACAATTCAATGGGGAAAGGACAATATTTTGAATAAATGGTGCTGGGACAACAGGATGTCTACATGCGAAATAATGAAGCTGAAGCCTTACCCAATACTATATAGAAAAATTAACTCAAAATATATCAAAGACCTAAATATGTCTTAAAACTATAAAACTTTTAGAAGAAAACATAAGTCGTAAGATTCACAACGTTGAATTTGGCAATGATTTATTAGATATGACATCAAAGGCACAGGCAACAACAGAAACATAGACAAGTTAAAATTCATAAGAAATTTTGTATATATATGTGTGTATATGTATACATATATACATATACACATATATATATATACACATATGTGAAAGAAAATATCAACAGATAAAATTCAACCCACGGAATGGTATTTGCAAGTTATATATCTGACAAAGGATTAATATCCAGAATTTTTACAACAAAAATAAAAAATCTAATTAAAAATGGACAATAGACTTGAAATCTCTCCAAAGAAGATATACAAATGACCAATAAGCACATAAAAAGATATTCAATATCACTAATTATTAAGAACATTCAAACCAAAACTACAATGAAATACTACAACTTCATACTCATTAGAATAGCTATGATTAGGAAAAACAAACATCCAGAAAAAAAAAAGAAACAGAAAATAACAGGCATTGGCAAAGGTGTGAAAAACTGCAGCCTGTGTGCACTGTTTATGGTAATGTAAAAATAGTACAGCCACTTTGGAAAACAGTATGGCAGTTTTTTAAAAAAATAAAAATATAATTACTATATTATCTAGTAATTTCACTTCTGAGTATATACCCAAAAGAATTTATAACATGATCTTAAAAAATGTTCCTATAGTCATGGTCTTAGCATCACTTGTAGTGTAACAGGTTTCTCACTAGTTTACTTAAGTGTTTGTGTCCTCTGCTTGAAGTCTGAAGGCTGGTCAGTACTCAGCCAAGAAGCAGGTATCCTTAAGAACCCAAACATCCTGGAGCATATCTGGGAAGATGCCAAAGGAAACAGTCCCATTGCATTCACACAGTAGGCAAAGAATCAGAAAATTAGCTTAGAAGCAGCTGAGAAATGGAATGCAGTGCAGATCTCTAGAGCTGTCCTGCTGCCATCCAAGAGTACCCTGTATATAAGTTCTGA
The DNA here is from genome assembly GCF_000001405.40 of Homo sapiens. Taxonomy (NCBI): domain Eukaryota; kingdom Metazoa; phylum Chordata; class Mammalia; order Primates; family Hominidae; genus Homo; species Homo sapiens. The sequence goes on along the minus strand of NC_000013.11, from coordinate 68,064,410 downwards.
TAAACTCATCTACTCGCCGGGCCAGACTTGTCTCAGTCATTCTTTGGTCTCTCACTTCCCTCCCAGTTTGGGGAAATATTTTTCTACACAAATCTGGGTTTTTCTCATAACATCATTATTCACAGTATTTAAATTTCGGAAGCAACCAAGTGTCCGTGGACAGATGCATGGGTGAGCAAAATTGATATATACTTTCAATGAAATATTACTCTATTGTAAAAAGGAAGGAAATTGCAACACATGCTACAACATAGATAAGCCTTATGAACACTATGTTGTGTGAAATAAGCCAGTCACAAAAAGACAAATATTGTATGATTCCAGATAAATGAGGTACTTAGAGTGGTCAAAATTGTAGAGATAAACAGCAGAATGGTGGTTACCAGAGGGTGTGGAAGGGGAAAATGAAGTGTTGTTTAATGAGCATACATTATCAGTTTTTCAAGATGAAAAGAGTTATAGAGATGGATGATGGTGATAACAACATATTATGAATGTACTCAATATCAATCAACTGTAAACTTAAAATTGTTCAAAATAGTAAATTGTATGTTGTGTGTATTTTAACAGAAAAAAGGAAAAAGGTAATACTAGGAGTTTTAAAAGGGACATTAATTATAGATAAGAAATGCAGAAATATTTTATGGAGATAAGTATTTGAAAATATAAACATTACTTAAATAAAAGACAACTAACATACGTTTATATCACTGTAACCTTTTCTCCTCCACTACTTAATTTTATGCATGTTTAAGAACCTACCTGTGACATTTTCTCATATACATAATAAGTATTTCAAATTATATCTGTAACTTAGAACTTTATTTTAGTAAATCAAACTCTGTTTTTACCAAACTCTATTGAAGAGAGAAAAAAAATCTATGTATTTTGGCTGCGAGGAGAAAATGACATCCAGAAATCAGGTCTCTTTTCCCAAAGTAGTCCTGTGACATCACTGGGAAAATTTAATTGTCACAGATCCTGTTGGAAAACCATTACATTAGATAATTGCTAAGATCCTTCAAGCTCTGTAGTGCTATTATTCCATGAGGATATGATTACTCCAATGATTGATTTATATTTTTACACAAGGTGACTATTCTCAGCAATAATGTCACTCACTAACTATGAAGAGTGGTAACTTACATAAGGAGGTGAAAAAAGCAATATGTAGTCATTTTCTTTTTAAGTCTGAATGATTACACTTTGTTGTAATTTGTCAGTGAAAATACTCCAAGTTTAAAACTACAACTGAGTTATTTCACTGGTTATAGAGTAGGCCAGTTCAGTCAAGTAAAGATTAAGTAACCACCATGTGTTATGAGAGGAAAAATATAGCTATAGGCAAAAAAATTACAGCTCTGGAATAGATCATATTAATCCATTCTTTCAGGTAATAGTTATGTATCAAGGCCTATGGTTTATTAGCATTGCTCCTAATGTTGTCCAAACTAAGCTATATTGTTATCAAAGACAACACTCCCTATTCTATTATCTGAGCAAGATGCCAAATAATTTCAAGTGATAAAAAAAAATAAATACAGGGGACCAGCTTACAGTTCTGATGCTTCTATTTGAAATTTATTTATATCCTACTGCTCAAGGTCATCACCAAGGTCTGATTGCAAAAATTAAAAAAAATTGCAACCTCAGGCACAAATGGGTTAATTTGACAGGTAATCATTCCTGCTAATTTTGATATTCCTGGTGGTTTTCAAATGCAAGTTATGCATAAGCTGTGGTAACCAGCATTTTTTTCAACATTTCCAAAGAATAAATGAGCTATTCAGGATACCTAAGAAGAAATAAAGCATGATAACTTCATATCATATATTTATATTTCATTCCTATTTAGAAAAATGAGAGATAATTTAGGCACAATGATGTAAGCAGACAATAATATGAAGCCGAATTTGTGTAATAATTTTTTGGAACAGGTAGCACGTATACGAAACACAATCAGATTCTTTTCCATCATTCTCCATTCATCTTATTCTCAAGATGAATTCTTCCCCATCTCTGTAGAGAAAAAGTAAGACATATCCTATATTCTTCTGATTATTTTTTATAATAAAAGAGCTTTCTAGGTACTTCCAGTCAAAAGGACAACCTTGGTTCAATAATCAACATGCATCTTTATTCTGGCTTGTTGGCTTCAACTCCTTTGTGGATACCTAGATATTTGTAGATGCACCTTCATATTCTTCCTGTTGAGGTCTTCTCAGCCCCTTAGCAAGCTGTCTTGGATGGTTTTAAAACAACCCATGCTAGCTCCTACATGTTCATAGCTCTGATCTGGTACATGGGGTAGGTGTTCTAAGCATCCTTTGCTCTGGAAAACTCTAGGATATGAGGCAAATCCTAATGCAGCCACCTTTCCTTTCTCCATAGACAGTACATTTAGAGAGTAGTTATATTAGACTGAGGAAAATCCTATTTTACTATATCTCCCAAGTTCCAGGGTACATAAAGTTGTGCCTCTTAGATCCTTGTTAATTGGAAGACTTGTTGCACTAGCTGCCAATTCAGTCTCCAGCTGTTGTCTATTTCAGGGTTTGCATCAAGTTCATAGAACCGTTTTTCACAAAAGTATGCTATTTCCTGAATGATCTACATCATTCAGAGGTATAAAAAATGCAGCCATTTTGAGCCAATAGAGGATATTTCTGATAGGGCGTATTGGTTTTTTTTAATTATTATTTAAGTTTTAGGGTACGTGTGCACAACCTGCAGGTTAGTTACATATGTATACGTGTGCCATGTTGGTGTGCTGCACCCAGTAACTCGTCATTTAACATTAGGTATATCTCCAGATGCTATCCCTCCCCCCTCCCCCCACCCAACAACAGGCCCCGGTATGTGATGTTCCCCTTCCTGTGTCCATGTGTTCTCATTGTTCAATTCCCACCTATGCATGAGAACATGCGGTGTTTGGTTTTTTGTCCTTGCAATAGTTTGCTGAGAATGATTGTTTCTAGCTTCATCCATGTCCCTACAAAGGACATGAAGTCATCATATACCCAAAGGATTATAAATCATGCTGCTATAAGGCATATTGTTATAGAGTTTCGGATAGGGTTGACTGAGGCTTTGAAGGACCTGCATTGCAGGGTGACTTCTACCCAATCCCACTTCATTTATTCCTCCTTTTCCATAAAAGTTGATCTTGAAAAAATATCCTGAAAACCAACCTCCATCAGAGTGTCTACTGCAAAAGAATCAAATCTGAGACATTCTGTGGAATTGTTATTCATTCATTTTAGTATTTGGCATCTATTGTCTTAAGGATCCAGCTAAAAAAGATACTAAAATGCTTATTATGTGTGTTTTTATACATACATATTACTGAAATATTCAACAATTCTGTGCAATAATTCCTTGGACAGAATATCATTAAACTTGTTCCAGCAAGTCTCAAATTTACCTTGCTGCTGAGTTCTTGGTAATTTGCATTTTGTCCTACATGGCACTAAATTTGTTTGCAATGTAATTGCCTATTTATTTTTTCTTTTTACTAGTATACTGTATAATGAAAGTTATTTGCTGATAGTATGTGTTCAATAAAATATTTTGAATGAATGAATGAGAAAAATATAAACTATCATGTAAAATATTTTCATACCTTATTAATATTATTTTCCTTCAAAACTACAAATTAGATGCTATGAACTTTATAATTTAAATTTGTATAACAAACACATACATTTATATAATACAAAAATTTGATCAGGTTATTTTATTACTTTAACCAGTGTAGCAGTACATCTCTATTAACAAAACATTCTTTTAAAAATATTTAACATTACCTAGGATTAGCGATATCTATATCTCAGTAGGTATTATAAATTTTGGAAATAATCTAATAATTATTTCATTAGTATTATTTTAGATCAACAGCTAATGTTTCCTGATGTTTAACTTAGTTTTGTTTTGTTCTGTTTTATTTTTCAGAAGAACATAGAAAATAAAATTTCGTCATGTTCATTAGGGCAGGCTAAACTATTATAAAAATAGACTAAAACAAATGATAGCTCAAACACGAAAGTGTTTCTTTTTTTTTTTTTTTTTTTTTTTTTTGAGTTGCAGTCTGGAGTGCAGTGGTGCAATCTTGGCTCACTGCAAGCTCCACCTTCTCTGGGTTCAAGGGATTCTACTGCCTCAGCCTCCCAAGTAGCTGGGACGATAGCCACACGCCACCATGCCTGGCTATTGTTTTTGTTTGTTTTTTGTATTTTTAGTAGAGACGACAGGGTTTCACCATGTTGGCCAGGCTGCTCTCAAACTCCTGACTTCAGGAGATCCGCCCGCCTCGGCCTCCCAAAGTGCTGGGATTACAGGCGTGAGCCACGGCACCTGGCCAAAAGTGTGTTCTTTGATCACATAACTATTCAAGGTTGTTTTAGACTGGCAGGTGATTCTTACCCAACTGTTGAAACAAAAACTCAGTTTTCTTTTTTGGAGGCTTCAATAACATTCTAGATTATTGCTAAGGAAGCCCCATTGCTGAAAGTAGAGACATTGTATAAGAAACTCCAAAGTATATAGTTTGAAAATATGCAACATTATGTCAATCTTATTTAGTCTCCATCTGCTTTTTAAACACACATCTCAGACATTATGTCTTTTCACACATAATACCCCTACATCCATCTTTAAATATGTATGGACTTCTTTTTTAGTACACCACCACTATGTAATTATCTCCCAACAAAATTAATAATAATTTCTTCTTATTGAGTCATAACATATTTCTAATTAAATTTATCTGATTGAGAGACCAGAATTCTAACAACATCTAGTTGTAGAGAGCTAGCAACCGCTTTCTCTCTCAAAACTTTTGATACAGACTGTCAAATGGCTATTTCAAGGACTGAGAAATACATAAATGGTCATTTTATGGCCAGTTTTAGAAGTTTAGATTTATTTGTGGATCTGGTATACTCTGCAAGGACAGACTTGCAGTATTCAGTAGACTGATTTTAAGATTCTCATAGGGAAGCTAAGAAAAGCATGTTCCCACATTCTAATCCTAGAGATTTTGTTTCTGTAAGTCTGAATTGAGATCTTGGAATAAGCATTTTTATCAAACGCCCAGGTGATTCTTCTCGTCATAGTGATATAGGAAACAGCATATGGATAATGAGAGAGTGGTAGGAAGAATTCTAAGATGGCTCCCCAAATTTTATACACACAACTTCTCCCTTATTTAATCAAACACTAGAAACTGTTGTAAAGGGATTTTGCAGATATAAATAAGGTCTCAAATCAGTTGCCTTAAGATTATCCTGGTGGGCCTGACCTCATTACCTGAGCCCTTTAGATTCAGAGAGTTTTCTCCAGCTGATTACAGAATGGAAAGTAAATGAGACTCACTCCATATGGTTTGAAAGAAAGCAAACATCCATGTAGGTATGCATTGATATGAGAACCACATGGAAAGAAACTGAGTTGTCTTGGCCATGATCTATTAGGAAAATGGAGACCTCAGTTGTACAACCACAGGAATATCAATTTTGCGAACAACTAGCATATTAATTTCCTGTGGCTGCTATAATAAATTACCACAAACTTGGTGGCTTAAAGCAACAGAAATGTATCCTCTCACAGTTTTGAAATCTATAAGTCCAAAATCTGTATTACTGGGCCAAAATTAAGATTTTAGCAGGGCCAAAACTCTCTCTGAAGGCTCTAGGGGAGAATGTTCTTGGCCTGTTTCAGCTTCTAGTGGTTGCCAGCATTCTGTGGCCACATTAGTTCAATTTCCCAGGCCAGCATCTTCAACTCTCTATCTGCTCTATCTTCACATAGCTTTCTCTTCAGTGTGTGTATTTGTCAAATATCCTTCTGCCTCCCTCTTGGTTGCAGTTAGGGACCACCAGAATAACCACAAGATACTTAATCACATCTGCAAAGACTTGGCCTGATAAAGTAACATTCACAGGTCCCAGTGATTATGATGAGAGTACCTGTTGGTGGGTCAGTTTTTAACCTACCACAACAAGTGAGACTGGAAGAAAAGCATAAAGTTCAAATGGAAACTCCAGCCCCAGTGGACACTTTTATTTCAGTCTGATGATGCCCAGGCAGAGAACCCAGTCATGTCATGCCTGGACTTCTGCCCTCTATGGCAATGAGTTAATAAATAAGTGTTGTTTTTAAGCTGCTATAGTTGTTATTTGTTACACAACAATATAAAAATCAATACAGAAATGAAGAGATTTTTCTTTAATTGGTTATACTATAATCTTTCCTTCCTGCAAAACTTCTCCTTTTATGTTACACAGCTCAATAAAGAGCACCTTCTTTCACTCAGAAGTGCAGCCTATAAACTTGAGAGTTGTCAGGGACTCCTCTTTCAGTCCTAAACTCCTCCCCCAAATAGCCAATAAAGGCATTGCATCATATTTCCTTAATATTTCAAATCTCTATCATTCTCTTCATTATTATGGTCAGTATCTTCATTCACACTCTGCACCTGTGAGTAGACTTTTAACTCCAGCATCAATTTGTAATCCCAACCTGACTTGAGCCTCTTCTTAACAAGGCTGACAAAATGACATATCTAAATATTAAATATAGTCATGTCACTTTCCATCTGAATACCCTGTTTTCTTCCTGTATAATTCAGATAATAAAATCTAAGCTCCTTATCATAAATATGTACAATTTGCTATACATTTTAAACTAAAGTGGGGAAATCTTGTTCTTGATGCATAACATTTTGAGCCCCTGAGAATATGAAACATTATCTTCTGTAGTAAAGTTTTATGGAAAAACTTGAGAGCCCTATGCTAGCCTGTGTATAGGCACCCTCTGTCCCTTCAAGGTTTCACCCTGCTAATTGCAGGGATCCTATGCTTAAATAAAAAATGATCCCCTTAGAATCTTTATCTGCTATCCCCAGGCTGGAATAGGCACTTCTCCTATGCCTTTATAGTTATCCCATTACCATCACAAAATACTCATTTACCTGAGTGCCATGCCAGTTTCATTCTGTTATCAATACTTAATGCCTAATAGAGTGCCCAGCATGTAGGTGTTTCTCAGGAAATGTTTATTTGTAAGGAATATGCCTGCACTGCAGCCAGGCAGGCATAGGCCAAGGTAAACATCCTGTGTGACTCAGCGAGTTTGGAGCGCAGGAGCGTAACTCCACTTATTACATAATCACAGCTATGTAGCCATAACATGGGAAGGCTCATAACCTGGCTCAGAGCAACTATTGACTGTAAAAGGTATAACTGCCCTGCTGACACTGTATAGGCACACTTGCATCCAGAGAAAAAGAGGGGGAGCCAGAGCTTTCTGTCTTTCAGATAGACGGGGGGAGCCAGGACCCAGCTCAGCTTGCTCGCACCCAGAGAGAGAAAGAGTTAAGCTGTTGACCCTGTAAGGGAGAGCCAGCCATGCAGCTATGCATGAGAGTGGAAGGAGCTGCAGAACAAGAGCAGGCAACTAAGACAGAGACAGACAGTGTAAGGAAGCTGCTGAATAAAACCATCTTTCACCTGCCTACAGCCCCCCAAGTGTTCTTTCAGCAATCTGCCACTCTTGCACTCACTCCCTTCAGACCTCAGCATGGGCTGGAACCTGACCCTGGACATGACATTATTAACTGAAGCCAATGAGAAGATAAATGGGTAACTCTTGAATATGTGTTGGATATGTTTCTTTTTCTCTAGCTGAATTTTAAAGAATGTCTAACTTATGAAATAGGCTGTCAAGGAATGAGGGGTGAGGGGAGGGACAAATAGCTAATGGATGCATGGCTTAAAACCTAGATGATAGGGTGATAGGTGCAGCAAACCACCATGGTACATGTATACCGGTGTAACAAACCTGAACGTTCTTCTGCATGTGTATGCCAGAACTTAAATTAAACAAACAAACAAACAAAAGGAATAGCAGTTCTCTTTCATATATTTCTCAATTATGTTTTCATAGTACTTATCAAAATGTATTGTAATTGTGTTATTATTGGTCAGACTTGTGTAACTGTGACTTTTAAGCAGGATATTTCCTTTGGCTACTGTATTAGTTCCTTCCATGCTACTAAGAAGAAACACCCAAGACTGGGTAATTTACAAAGGAAAAAGGTTGAATTGACTGACAGTTCTACAGGGCTGGGGAGGCCTCAGGAAATGTACAATTATGGCGGAAGGGAAAGCAAACACATCCTTCTTCACATGGTGGCATGAAGGAGAAGAATGAGAGCTGAGTGAAGTCAGGAAAGCCCCTTGCAAAACCATCAGATCTCATGAGAACTTACTCACTATCATGAGAATAGCATGGGGAAAACTGCCCCCATGATCCAATTACCTTCCACTGGGTCCCTCCCATGACACATGGGGATTATGGGAACTATAATTCAAGATGAGATTTGGGTAGGGACACAGCCAAACCATATCAGCTATAGTCCAGCATATAGCAAAATAGCCTGTGCATATTAAGTATTTAATAAATATTTTGACTCAAGAAATGTATAGTGAAAGAGAAAGGGAGGGATGAGGAAGAAATAAATTGGGAGGCTAAGTTATTTTGGGGAAATTTGATGGTTAAAAAACTGGCACAATGTGGTTGGAAATGGAAATGTGAGCACTTTTTTGTTTATTTTCTTTATTTTCATTTTTTTTTTTGAGTGTGTGCTTTGGGAGGAAGCAGTATTCATTATAGGGTTAGAGATTGAAAATAAAGGAACTTAGACCAGAAAGATCAACTTTACCAAAAAGATGCAAAGGTGCATACTCGAGTGTATAGAAGGGGCTTCTGTTCCCTCTAGGCAACTTTAGAGGTAGAAAAGAAGAAAATTTAGAAAAGTTCCAACAGATGGCTTCTATTTTTTTTTTTCTTAAATAAGAAGCAAGGTTGCCTGTTGAGCGTAGGAGAAGCGGGTGGGATTCTCTGCTTAAGGAAGGGTGTTTGGGAAGGATTTGTAACAGCCTCTGTGGGCTGAATGAAAGCAAAATTTGGTGATCAAGAATAGGTGCCTTGATATTCAGATATTATTGCAAAATTACAAAGGACAAGTTGCAGTATTCTCCTTGTAAATCCCTGCATTTAGTATTCCTACTGGCAAATCCCTTCTGCTCACGTTTGCCAGATTAAGCCTAGTAAGTATTATTTTGTTACAATAAAGACTGTGCATTTTAAATGCCGCCATAAAGTTTACAAAATAATTATTTAATATGTACTTCATGATAAATATTGAATACAGAAATGATATAAATAAAATTTATCTAGTTTGGCTTTTGTAAAACCAAAAAGACTATTCTGTCATAGACACACTTACACACCCACACACACACTCTTTCATTATTATATGTTAGAAAGTATTAATAAACTATATGCTACCAAAGATGTAATCTCGATTATAAAGCTAAAGATAATAGGGAGTGCTTAAAAAAGTCAACAAGGATATTATAATTTCTGGTTAATAACTGTGTATTTTGCCATAACTGATTACCAAATGCATCATTATATAAGCTCCATTGAGTTCTCCCCAAACCAACATTGCACTGAGCTTTTTGGAATGTACAGGATATCATTTAATCAAGGGACTGAAGGGAGACAGCGCAAAACAGTGAGACTAGGTAAATACAAAGGTAAAAATTTGAGCTATAAACTACCTGTACTAATGGCAGTCATTGCTGTTATGACACTGACTCTAGATATGAAAAACCATTTGAAGCCCAATATGATTTCATTTTAAATGATATTAAAATAAGAGTAATTGGACCTAGATTAAGTCATCTTATGCACATTCAATCATGTTTCCACAAATTTCTCTAACTTTTATTTCTGGGTGTCTGACTATTGTGGGGTATTTTTATGCCTACTCTACAGTGATAATTATTTTCATCACAAAGAGTAGCACTTTTATCAAGAACTTTGCAACAGACTCGGTGCTACAATTCCTTCATTAAAACTGTTAAGTGAAATTGCCAATACTTGCTTTATTGACAAGGATCGTAAATCTGTTATCTTTCACTTCTGAAAGGTTTCTTGTTATAAAAAAAAATCAACACCTGCTCAGAATTTAAAAATATGTATATATTAATACATTGAAATAATTTTGTTATAATTGCTATTTCAAAATACTGTTCTAGGGTCCCCGAAAAAGTCTAGAAAAGTAGGATTTAGCAAACCTGTTTCATATGCCTGACTGTCATTAAGGCAATTCAAATCATCTCGCCATGCTAAAATGCTTCAAGATTGTGGAGCTAAATAAAACTCAAATTGGTGAGTAAATGGCTCATACTTAGGAGAAAGCATGCAGATAATAAAGAAAGATTAGATGGAAGTATTTCAAATACAAGAAATGTTGGAAAGACAAGCTGTTTATTAATTTCTTTCAGCAAATATTTATGTAGTAACTACTGTGAAAGAAAAGCTGTTTGTTGTTTCAACAGATATTTATGCCACCATACTGCTAGTTGCTGAGACAATAACTATGGAAAAATCACAGTCCTTGGCTTCAATGCCAACAATTGGAATTATATAATGCAATTGTGATATTTTAGGAATTGCAAATAATTCATTATTACTGTAACATAAAGCATAAAGGTTTATGACAGGAGCTGGGTCTGGATAAATAGCCAACAGAGCTGTATAATGAAAGTCTTTTACAAAACAAAAAGATCCCAGTGGAGGACCTTATTTCTTCTATGAATCATGTGTATTTAATCATAAGAAGAAATATGTCAAAATTGATTTAAGGATCAAAATGAAATATGTACTTTTGATACATCCCTAGCTTAGACAAATTAATGCAATTACTTTAATTAAAGAAAACACAGTGTAATATGCATGTATGTTACAGATTGACTATTCCCAATCCAAAACACTGGAGACCAGAAATGTTACAGATTTCAGAGATTTTCAGATTTTGAAACCGTAAAGTATCCCTAATCTGAAAATCCAAAATCCAAAGTGCTCCAAAGAGCATTTCCTTTGAGTGTCATGTCAGTGCTGTGCTCAAAAAGTCAGATTTTGGAGTATTTTGGAATTCAGATATTCAGATATGGGATTATAAATAACATATATATGTACACAATATAAAAGATATAATATTTAGTATAAATCATTCTCAGAAAATCAGGAAGAGATAACAAAAGGTCAAATAGAAATGACAAGCTTTATTTTAAAATGGTGTTGGAGGGAAATGTGAGCTATCTTGTTTGTAAAAATAAACACCGAGGCTGGGCGCGGTGGCTCATGCCTGTAATCCCAGCACTTTGGGAGGCCGAGGTGGGCAGATCACGAGGTCACGAGTTGGGGACTAGCCCGGCCAACATGGTGAAACCCCGTCTCTTCAAAAATACAAAAAATTAGCCAAGCATGGTGGCAGGCGCCTGTAATCCCAGCTACTCGGGAGGCTGAGGCAGGAGAATCCCTTGTACCTAGGAGGCAGAGGTTGCAGTGAGCCGAGATTGCACACCACTGCACTCCGGCCCCGACGATAGTGTGAGACTCCGTCTCAAAATAATAATAATAATAATGATCGAATTAAAGAATATTCTTATGGCATTCATTACAGTGAAACAAAATTCTAAAGTAAAACCAGTTTAATAGAAAGAACAAAGAGTAAAACTATTATATAGTGTGGAAGTAATGAGGCTAAGCAATTAATTACAATGTAAGTCTGAGAACTTGACCCGATGATAATTCTTGTATAAGACTTTTCTGTGATTTGACCAACAAGAAACTATCCTTTCAAGCCTGCAGAACAACTCAGGAAATAATCAAAAATCAGTTGCTCAACAGTTCCTAGAAGAAAGGAGGCAAGAAATTAATAATACTAAAGCAATTTACAGCATGAACATGTTATCAATAAGAAAGAAATTGATAAGGATATTGGTGAAGAGGATTTCCAAGTTTAAATGTGGAAATAAATCACTGATTGTACTAAATATTTTTTAATTACAAAAGAAAACTGAGTACAGGAATGACAACAAAGGGCATTAAAATAGAAAAGAGCTGTGCCATTTTTTTTCAAAAGTTGTTTATATCTTCCTGGTTAAAATTATCAGAAGCACAAATAATAGAATAAAGATGATATTAAAGATACTTGAAAAACAACTGGGCCAAACCAACTGTCATATAAATTGCCTAATATGGAAGCCTCTGTTAGCTCAAATATAAACTGATGATGCAAAAGAGATAACACATGCCCAAGGAACTGTGGGAAAGAAAACGTGCAAATATACCTCTTCTCTGAATGTAGCCTAGTGAAAGACGGCGTGAGAGGGCATTAACATGAACAGCTGTCTATTAACTGAACGTAAGTCAATTCATTTAGCTGACATAGCTCTTTTTTTCTGTATGTCTTTTTTTCAGTTTCCATGCATCCTTCGCAGTGAAAGAACATCAACCTGAGGGGCAGGAGGAGGAAAGCACTTGTCTTTCATAATAAGCACTTCTCTCTTGTTAAAACATCCAGAATGAAAACTATTTAGGCACATTTAATAAGACATTCCTCTGTGATTGTAAATATCCTCTGATGTTCTAATTTTCTACTTCCAGTTATCTTTTGGCTTTTTCCAAAAGGCAGGGATCTACAAGGGCACAATTCAAATTTAATAGAGCAGGAAAAGGCTGTGTATTTTTTAGGTCAGATCACCCTATCTAGAAACAGTTTAATGTCCTTAATTAACTTGCTTTTATTTAATGACCCCTGATTGGTATCCTGCTATGCCCAATGTACATCTTGTGTAGGGTTTTCAGCCTTACATTTTTAGAAAAACACATCTTAATTAACTTAATTACTGTTTATTTCACATGGAAAAGTAGAAAAATTATTAGTGTCATTTGTTGAGGCAGACTGAATAAAAAGCATGGAATTGAAGTCAAGAAACCTGAATTTAGTCTAAACATAATCTGTAACCAAGTGTTTAGTCTTAGTTGAGGTAGCTCTCTTCTCTAGGTTTAATTGAGAGACATGTTAGTATTGGAGTTAACAGCATAAATTTCAAGACGGACTATCCATTTATGTACTTTCTCCATAGCTAATCCCATAAATTTGGGAAAATATTTCTAATTGCTTTGAGCTTCAGTTTCTTTAAATGTAAAATTGGACTAATAATAATAATACCTACCTTATAGAGCTTTGGTACATGTGGTATATGTTAGCACTGTATATGTTAAATAAGGATAACTAGAGTATTTTATTGTGAATGACTGTTCAATTTTTTCAGATAAATTGCTCTTGAATTTGCCCATAAGCACCTACTCAATGTTAACTATTTTTATTAGTATGATAAAAACAAAGACATTTGAGAACCATAGAGAAATAGATCTAAGCAATATTTTGAGTAACAGTGCACTGTTGGGAAGACATCCATGAATTTCATCACGTTTGTAAAGGCTATATGCTTCAGTTATTACTGCTCAATTTAGTGGAATAAAAATGTTTTGTAATGCTTGTGGATTCTGTGGATCAGGAATTTTGGCAGGACATAGCACTATGACTCCTGTCTGTTTCATTTGTCTGAGGCTTCAGTTGGAAAGATCTGAATGATTGGCATGATTAACAGAGGCTTTCCTATTACTATTACTATATAATACAGAGTCCTAAAGTTTTTTATTTTTATTTTTATTTTTTTTATTAAGGTCATGGATTCTGTGTTCCATGAATTTAGAAAGAACATCACAGCTGAAAATACTCAAAAGGAAAGAGGTAGAAGAGCTGAGGCTGGGGGATCCACCTCTGAGATGTCTTTGTTACTTATATGTCTGGACCTGGGCTTGAGAGGCTATAGGATGTGTTCAGCAGCTACTGATGACCAGAGAGCCAAAACATAGATTCTTCATATGGTTTTAGCTTCTCACAGCCTGGTGGCTATGATTTTTTAGAGATCTTTCAGAGAAAGCATCCTAAAAGAATGAGCTGGTGTTGGCAGTCACTTCTGCTGTAATCTATTGGTCAAAGCAGTCACAGGTCAGCCCAAATTCAAAATGGCCTCTCAATGGGAGAATACCAAAAGACTTCTGGGGCAATGTTTTAAAACCACTGCAGAATTTAATGTAAAATATCAACAACCACTTTTGTCCTTTCCAGGTCTGACTTTTATGCATAACCACTTCTTAACAGTCAACTTTTGAACATTCACGTCTTTAAACCATTCCAATTTCCATCTAGCTTTCTGTTCACCTTAAACTTTTTAACATATTGAAAAGTAAACTAATCAATATTTCCTAAAATAAGTTTATTCTCTGGGCCTCCCTTGTTTTAAAAGAAGAGCATCTGACTAAAATAATATCTAATATGACTTCGTTAGAAAACTAAATTCAGTGACATTCTTGACATTTCTCTAGTTATCTACTTCTACATTTATTCCTCAAATATTTTCAAATCTTTTTTTTCTAAATTCTCTCACCAATGAATTTTTTTTTAAATTTTCCTATTTAACACTAGTGCAAACATGCATTATAATTCGTGGGGCCTATTAAATATTTTTCTTGTTTGACAAGATTTTTATTACATTCTTCCTTCAGCTGCCCCTCCACTTTGCAAAACTGTTTGCCCTAAAACAACGCAAGGTAAATATTAACCACTGATTAAAGAGTTTTGATTATTCCAAAGTTCACAGATTAAATTTAGGATTTATTTTTCTCAGGGCACTTTTGTTGAAAACTTTGTGTCTAACCTTGCAAGTTTTGTTATTAATATATGATGTGAATGATTATTTGAATGGGCATTTGGGAATAGATGCAGGCATAGAACTACAGAAAATACAAGCAATAGCCCCAGGCTACTGCAGAATCAAATTTACTCCCGTTGATGTTTTAAGACTACATTGACGCTGACCTTGAGAGGAAAGAAAATCTACTCTCAGAGCAGCACAATCATGGCCAGATGGAGCCCAGTTGACAGCAACTTTAAAATCCATGCATTTAACCTTGTCCAGATTAAAGTCCTATACTCTTCATTCAAGCCAAGTTTGTCTGCACATTGGTCTCCTTTTACAACAAAACCCATTCAAAATTCTTATTTTTTCTCACATTTTCAATATACATGAATTATCTCTTCTCTCCTTTTCGTTTTAGCAAGCTGGCAGTTCCCACATTTGTTTAAACGTCAGAAGTTCCTTAATCTTAGAAAGTTTTTTTATAGATCCACATTTTTTAATGCTAACCCCAGAACTACTAATTCAGTTATGGGACAGGGACAAAAAAATCTGTATTTTGTCAACTGCAAATCTGAGGCTGTATCAACCCCAGGAGATCCTAATGAGGCTGACTAATGCCAGATAACTATTAGGAGAAAATGTTCTAAAGATAACTTAATAGGCCTCCACTTAAATTAGAGTTCAAATATCAATTTTTTAAGAATCTGTCTCAATCTTGTAAAAATGAAACTAAATACTCCACTATCTGACCATTTTCAAAAGTTTCTAAGACATCACATTATAGTAAAAGGGCCTGTGGTCTAGGGAGAAATCAGATAATTTTGCTTCTATTTCTAGCCTGGTATAAACATGGTTGGTTATACTGCCTTCTGAGCATCTTTATCTGGTTTTCTTTTTCATCTGAAATACGAGAGTGATGACACTTACTTGCTTATTTCCTAAATAGGTTGTGAACGTAGTTGAATTAGTAAACTTAAAAAATAACTTTTAAGTACTAAACATGTCTATTACATTATTTAGAAAATTATAGCCACTCGTATTTAAACTATGCTATTTATTTGCTTATTTTTATTTCATATTTAACTTCTGTAAAAATTGTTCTTATTCTACCAATAAATTCTTAACACTTTAAGGGAAAGAATTTAGTGTCCTCAAATTACAGCATTTTCCCTTTTCCCAGATGTGCTACCTGTTAAGAGTTTTTAATATTAACTATATGACTTACATTAGACAAAACTAGACTCATTTATGTGAAATTCTTTCCCACATTTGATCCTGGTAGGATGCATGTGACCATGATTCTCAATCAGAGTGACAACTTAATTCTTTCTCTTTTTTTTTTCTTTTTCTCTCTCTCCTTTTCTGTCTTTATTTTAGTCTTTAATAGTATCCTTGTTACGAGACTTCCCTTTGAATTAAAGATAATGCATATTCATTTTAACATGCCAAACAATACATAGATACATCAATACAAAGTTAATAGTTTTTTTACAATCTCATTCTAATTATATCATCTCAGAGGTAAGTGTTAAGTTATATTTCCTCTCTTATTTTTTCTGTAAGCTCAAAAGAAAAAAAAAACGATGGTCACACAGACCAGAAAGTGGGAGGGGTTCCAAAGTGGCATAGTACTACATATCTGGGCACACAGGCTTAACCCACAGATCGGGTTACATCCATGTAACCAGACAGGTAACAAGTAAAATGGCTAAGAAATGAGTCAATAGAAGTGGTGGGGATTAGGACTCATTGCAGACTTCTCTCTGTCTAAAAGTGGCAGTCACCAGGAGGGAATGCAAAGCTAGCGTATCCAGATTTTCCAGGTTTTGAAAAGACAAAAAAAAAAAAAATAGAGAAAGAAAAAGAAGAAAAAAAATCACCTGATTTAGTTAAAATATACTAATCTTGAAAACTCTATGAAGACCCACATAAACACATTTCTAAGTACAGTCAAATCTGTTAAATAGCTTCTTTTTGGTTTCTTGATGTCTAATTTATTACTAAACTATGATAAGACTCTCATTATATAATACCCAAAGGGTGTGTTGTGGACATTTGGTGATAGATCTTCTTTTTGTTGAAAACAAGATTTTCTTTTGACACACTGGTGATGAAAATTTTGTTAGATGTTTACCTTAATCAGTTGGTTTAGTTGGTGTCTATTATGTTTCTCCATTGTAAAGTTACTATTTTTCCCTTCTCCCTTTGTAGTTGATAAATATCTTGGGCGAGCTACTGAGAATATCTAAGCCCTGTTTTCTCCTCAAAACTTTTGCCTGCTGTGTAGCAGAGTGAGGAATATAAAATAACTATTTGTACTATTTTTCATGTAATTTTTATATAATTATGAAATCAGTTTAAAATAAAATACTCTTAAAAATCATTTTCTTTTTTGTTGTTTGAAATTAAAATTAGTTTGTACTTTGTACTTGGATATATCCTCTTGTTGCTTATCTGCTCACATAATTTCTTTGTTCAAAATTGCTTTTCTAGACTATATCATTTTTTCTTAAATGCCTTCTAAAATCTTGCAATTATGCAATTATAAAGTATTTATTTCATAGCTCTTTTGCGATAAAGGAATTTCAGTACTGCCTAAAACTGAAAGCCTAGTGAGAGAGATTTATCTAAGAATGAGCTCATCACAGTGTTGAAACACATAATTTGGCTGGACCTTTCCGTGGAAGACTATTTCAGCATTTACTGAAACTACTAGGTTCTAGATCATTGGACTTCACTACTCAACTAAAAGGCATAGATATCTGATTAAAGAATGGTGGTGTGCTCTTTTGGCTGAAACATTTACTTGTGCCATTAGAAATGAAACCATTCCCAGACAGAAATGTCAACATTATTGTAGGCTTACTGAAAACTCTGCTTATGGGTAGTAGAATTACAATTGTATTATGGGTACAGAATGGATCGAATATTTTCCTTTTGTGCAATACACAGTTACATGTTTTCTTCAGCCCACTGTCACTTTGCCACTCTTCTGAAATTACTATCTTTTTTAGGAAAAAGATATTTCTTAGGAAATGGATATCACTTAAAAATTAGTAAATTTTTACATCATGAATACTAACAACCTTCCTAACAGATTGCTTCATGACCATTAATATTTATTTGACACAATAACAAAGAAAGCATATTGCTATTTATATAGTCTTTGATATAACACTTGTTAATATAAAAGTATACTATGTATGGTTTATTTGGTGATACAGGTAGAATTGCTTTTTCAGTCAGCACCTATCCCATTTGTTTTCTTTCCTTTTGATGTTAAAGGAATAATTGCACAATGTATTTTTAAAAATGTTCATCACGGTAAAAATAAAAATCAATTCAAAACTTCTCAAAATGGCTTTCACCCAGTTGCTTCTGTAATTCTGTGCCTCTTTATTTTGTGCTCATTTTCTTTTTTCAAAGATCTCCTTTAGGCTACCTTGCAGCATGTTTTATGGATCAATGATTCTGCTGATTGTTTTTTCTCACCAAGGTCATTAGTGGAACCCATCTATCCTAGTCTCCAATTTCCACATAGAGTTTCATCTGTTTTGCAAAACATAATCCTAATAACTGTGTGTATCCTGGATCTTCAACTAGAAAGTCTGGTTAGTTAGAATTGATTGATTTTTTAAAAATATTATTGGTCTATTATTAGTTATGCTAGCTCCTACTTTATTAAAATTAATAATAGCTTATATTTATTGAACATCTATCATGTTCCAGGCACTGTGGAAATTTATTGTAAATTTTATTTCATTCAATCCCTCTAATGCATTAAGTAGAAAGGACTAATATTATCCCATTTGTACAAATGGTAAAGGTCAGTATAATCTTGTCCATAGTTACAGGTTAGTAAATTTCAGGAATGAGAGCTGACCAAGAATCTGTTTATATACAGATTCTGATTTCTTAGCCCCTTTTCTTATCTGCTGAATGGTACTGTGTTATTTCTTCTACATAACTTGACTAAATCCATGCCATTGAATGCGTTTAGTAAATTTACCTTGAAATTTACTTACCTACAAGTAGTTAAAATGTAAAGAAACTAAATCATTCTTGAAAAAAATTATTAAACTCAGACATATTTGTTAGACAATTTGGTAAAAATAGCTAATGAGAAGCAAATGACAACAAATAGATTCAACTACACTTCATATTTCTAAAACACCAATAATTTTTATTTGATTAATTTATTTGCTTAATTCACAGTTAATTTCTACCCTATTATAGGTTAGAAATCATATAACCTCGATTTTAAAATGTTCTTCAGAATTCTAATCATTTTTTCCATAACTTAATTTTTCTTTAAGTAAAATAAGGATAGAAATGCTTTAATTCATTTATATATCAAATAATCATTTATTCTGTGTATTCTATGCTATGCCAACGAAGTAACACTAAGCGGTATTGTATGTCTATGAGGATGAATATTCATCTTGGAAGGAGATGGGTCCCAATACAGGAACATGGAAGAAACAAAGTACAAATTAGCAGGGAAGGATACATTTTTCTCTCTTCATCTTGTGCCAAGTGAGTAGAAGAAAAAATAACCCATGATGCCATATGACTTACAGTCCAGAAGAGAAAACTGAGAGGTATTCAGCTAACTGAGGGGGTCATAAGAGGATTCCCCAGAGATTTTGACACTGAAGGTGGAGCATGTGGATGAGGAATGAGCCGGATGGTTTTGGATTAGGTGATAGTTTGCTATAGAGAGAATAAGAAAAAGTGTACAGTTTGATCTGCTTAGGTGTTGAGTCTGAGAATGTTGGTTGGTCAGAGTCAAATCAAAGAGAACTTTGTATTCTTTCAACACTTTTTTTACTTTACCTAATTGATACTAGGGAACAACCTCATGATAATATGGCATATATTCCATTCATGTCCAGTAAAATAATTTTAAAATAGTGGCACAGGAATTACCATTGGTTTGCCAGACATGCCTCTATGTTTTAATATTCTTAGTAATATATTTCTGGCTTCAGACTCTATTGTTTCTTTCAACTTTATCAACATAATTCAACATACTTAGAGTCTTAAACTATAAGAGTGATTTTGTGTGTGTATTATATTAGATTCCCTAGCAGTCTCTAACTGCCCTTCCCCACTCTTGCTTGCATTAGTTTTTCTATATTTGACATGGTTCTTCTCTTTTTAAATTTATTTTTTTAATAACTTCTTCAACTTGTATTTTAGATTAAGGTGTTCTCATTTTTATAAAAGTTAATGATCAAAGACTTTTGGAAAGTAATGTATTTGAGGTGTTTTCCCCTCCAAAAATTGCTGTTTTTAGCATGGGGCTTGCACCTGTAGTCTCAGCCACTCCAGAGGCTGAGGCTGGAGGATCGTTTCAGCCCAGAAATTTGAGACCAGTCAGCAAAATAGCAAAACTCCTTATCAAATTTAAAAAAAAAAACTGCTTTTAAAAAAATTGAACTCACACAGTTAATCAGATTTTAATGCTATCTTAATGCAACTCTAATAATGCTAAAATTGTATTAATAATAAAAGAAAGATGTCAAGACCCCAATATATAAAGGACCTAGTGACAATAATAAGAAAGGTTTGTATGTGTGTGGTGGAGGGTCAAGTGTGTTTATGCATGATTGTTTGTAGGGTAAATAATGAATCAATTATTAAATGGGGAAAAATATGTTGTATTATTTTATGGTACAGTAAAACTCATACCTAAAAGCCACATACATATATCAACATCTACAGAAGTTTGCACAAAGAGTAACATGACATCATGTAATTTGGACTATTAATTATATCTCCAGGTAATAATCTATTCTAGTGGTTTCAATTGTCTCAATTTTCTTGTTCCTAGTCACCATCTATAAAGTAGACATAAATTCAATTTGAATTTCATTTTAGGGTCAGTGATAAATAGACAATTTCCTCTGCTCTTATCTAAAGCCATCCAGATTCATCACCTATGCACTATTTGGGACAACCCACTCCTTTTATTCTTAGGAGATTAGTGCTAGAAATATTTACTGTTTCTGAGAAGCCCTATATTAATTCATAAAGCTGTTGAGCCCTCAGTAGCGTAACCTTTCTATTTTTCCATGAAATAAATGCATCTATAATAAAGGAGATTTTAGCATATCCATCACTGAACAGGCATTTGCTGGTGGGGACTGTCCTAGGTACTAGGAGTAAAATAATGAACAAAACATGATCTTTGCTCTCAAGTCTCTTACATTTTAGGTCAGATTACTGAAGAGGTCGTTGCACTGATGTCTGAGAAGCACTTGCAATGGGATACACAGTGCATTATCCCAAAGGAGAGGATCCACAATTGTCACCATGTCACTCTGTTTATTTCCAGGATGGCCACAGATTCTTCTAAATCACAAGACAAAAGTAAAACAGTGTTGATGACTATACCTCCATATGATGACGTGGAGAATCTACCAGTGGGGGTTCTGAAATACATTCAAACTAAAATGTGTTAGGGCATCCAGAGACATGTGCCTAGTTTAGGATGTTTTATGTAAGGGAGTGTAGAGCTATCCCAAAGCTTAAACCTCTACCAATATCATAACAAAACTACCTCTGTTAGTGCTTTGGTAATCTGTTCTTTCTGAAGTTGACTTTTCCTGTATTTTGATTATGTGGCATAGTTTTGAAAGTTGTACAGTGAAGCATAATCTGCACAACACAAAATATCTGCTCAATAAACTAAATAAATTGCTTTTTAAACTGCAATTTTCTTAACTAAGAATAAAAGATACAAAACTATCATAAGATTCAAGCAAGAAAAAATATATACCAAAGCACTTTTGATTTGTATACAAGATAAAAAAATCAGTGATATTATTTGTATATTTGAGTTCATTTATGTCATTGTCACTTATTTGCCAAGACATTATTCGGTGTTAGCAATGAACTTAGGTCAGTTATTCATCATACGCCAAGCATTAGTGAAAATACTCTGAATGAGTATCGTTTTTGAGTATGGTTTTGCACACACAAAGTTTTACAACTGTTCTTGCCATTTTTTTCATTGCTATACACAGCAGACTGTGAACTGAAGAGCTTTTATTTTTATTTCTACAGTTTTATGGTATCTTCAACATAACATTGAAATTAATCCTTTTTTCAGAATTTTTTCTCTTAAAACTCAATTTCCATCTTAAAATATTAGCAGATTAGCTGTTTTCTTCCCCAATAAATAGACACATAAATATAAAAGCACTAAAAGGGAAACCCTACTTTGCTTTTGTATCACCATCTGTTATAAATCACATTTGATGTGTTGTGCTAACTGACGCAAACTGTATACTGCCAAAATGAGCATTGTCTTTCCACACTTTTTAGTGAAACTTTGGCAAATTCAATGATTTTACTCAATAAATAAGTAGGGAAGAGTGATTTACAAATCATACATATGTATTTATATTTAGTCTGTAGCTTCTCTGTGAACTAAGATAAAATAAAAAGGCAACAGTATAAAAGATCATTACTTGTTTCTAGACAATTCTATAATAATATGAATGTAAAATTTATGATTATTTTAGTGAAAACAAAAGTAGGTCAATATCAGACATTTTATTTTGTCCTGATTATTATGGTATGGTGTGTTAATTATGGGATTTACTAAGTTTATATCCAAAATTTAGTCAATATATAATTTTGAGCATTTAATAAAATGTAAAATATATTAATGCAATATAAATGTTTCATATTTGAACATTCACATGCCTACAAAGACAGAAAAAGCATGTGAATTGTTTCCAAATAATTATACATTTTATGTAATTGCCAAAATGGAATTAACATTTATGAACTCATTGTGGGAAATGTTGGAAAATGATATAAACTAACCAGTTACTTTGTCCTTGAGAATTGTATAATTTATTTGTAGAGCAGATGCATGTGCAGAAAAAAGACTTCCCAAGTTAAGTATAATGCAATATACCAAGAGAAACAAGTTCTCAAAAAGCTTGAGCTATATTCAACAAAATATTCAGAAAAGCATAGTTTACTTTGGGCTTTCTGTCTTACCATTTCTTTCCTTTTCATGCTGAATTTGGACATATTGAGAAACAAACTGATTTGAGCCATAACTTATTCTTTTCCATTCCCTTTACTCCAAAAGTAGCAGAAAAGTAAAAAGAGTACGTAGTGTTATTTTCTAGTTCCACCACTTATTTGCAGTTATCCTGAGGAAATCAGCTAACTTTATGGTCCTTACGTCCCTTTTTCCTATTCCGTTCCTTTTTTCCACCCCTATTTCCAAAAAGGAACAAATAAAATCCACTCATTCTGTCTCTCAGATGCTTTACATGTATAAATGGAATTTCCAATATGGTGATCTTAGAACCTGGCCACCAATTTTTTTGAAATTCTTGAACATGAATGGGCTTGCCACTGCTTTGACCCATATACAACTGCAGAAATGACTTCTAAGCCTAAAAGGTAATGCAGATTTGACATTTATTTTGCCAAAACATTGAGCTATCATGAAAGAAGTTCAAATACCATGACGCTGCCATTCTGAAGAACTCATAGGTCAGCTCTCTGCCAGCTAATTCCAGCCTTCCATCCAACTCAACCAATATGCCAAACATCATGGTAAAGAAACTGCCTTGGAAGTGGATACTCCAGCACTATTCCTCCAAGTTCCATGCAAACCAAGTTACCTGGAAGTGAGAGGCTACTGTAAGAAAAATCTGAAACTGTATAATACTGGGTTTGTGACCACGTGACAGGCAGAATGAGGTAGAGTTTTGAAGACACTGTTAACAGAAGCCTGATAGGCCCCCAGAAGGTTGTTAATGACAACTTCAAGTAAGAAAAATGTTATAAAAACTGCAGGAACAGAGACCCTTGTAATCTACTACACTACATTTAGCAAATGTTTACCTGCATTAAGTGGAAAGTAAAAAATATGTCTGTTGAACTATCAGAAACTGGCTATGGAAAGTGAACACGTCATTGGTAGAAGCGGAACTGGCTTCTTCTGGCTGCATATTATGTGGTAGAAATCTAGAGACACGGTAAAGATGAAATTCTCTAATTTTCAGGAAAAATTTAGAGAAAATTATAAAGGTAATTAAACATGCTGTGTTCAAAAATAAAGCTATCTTTCATCTGAAATCTGTCCTGGGATAAGATTCCTTTAAAGATGCTTTAAATAAGACACAATATTAAGATAAAATGAAAAGTACTGTCAGGATAAAGATTTAGCCAAGACTGTAACTATAAATCCCTTAGGCAATATTATGAAAAAGATTTAAGCTTATGCATCATAAGATATTTCAGATAGAAAAAAAGTTCTGAAGGGTGTGCTTTGTGGTTCTTCTCTCAAACAATATGATTATTATGAATCTTCTTGCTGTTTTCTCACAGCAAACTCAGAGGAAACTAAAGTAAAGAAGGGTGACTTTCAGTGAGATTTGTGTGTATGGCTTTAGTCTAATGGACTGAATTATATAGAAGATTATAAAACACTCTCTGAAAACACAGCTTGGAGTAAAGGAACAGAGTAAAACATTAAAATGAAGCCCCAAACTTTGATAGGTAGTAAGGGGACTGAGAAAATTATCTGTTATAGTTGTATTTCTTATGGAAAGGCAAGGATGACTAAGGTGGAGAGTTAGTTCCTCTGCCTAAAATCATGGACAACCATTCCCAGGAAGTAAGACAGGAGTCTAATAATAATAATAATAATAATAATAATAATAATAATAATCCCAGCTATATCCGCTTGGCTTGATTTCAGATTTGCTACAAAAAGTGAGCACCTTCCCTTTTGCTATTTTGCTTATGGGCTATTACAGTTATGCAATGTCTTTTCTTGCATTTTATGTTCATTATGAGAGAGGCAGGTAATTTGTCTCTAGTTCATTAGTTTTCAGATTGATAGAAGTTATACTAAAGAACAAAGACTGAGGAGTCTCATATGCATTTTGACCTGATATCGATGAAGCAATCCTAGAACTTAAGCCTGAGCCTAATGTCATAAAAGGGGTGGACTTTTGGGGGATCATGGGAGGGAGGGAGTTTATTTTATATGCAGGAAGCATAAAAATAATTTGTGAGCACAGGGTGGGTTATAGGGCTTTAGAAAATAGGTGCGCACATTGTGGCACATCCTATAGAGAGGTTGAGACTATGTCACTCTGGCTTGGATGAGGGTGATTTTATGCCTGCTTTGACAAACTAAGTTCAGCAGCTGGTGGTGCTATGTAATTTTCAAGCCTAGGTCATGAAATGCCATGTAGTTTCCACCTTATGCACTGTAAAACTGAGCTGAGTTGCATCCCAGCTATGCAGAGGTCATTATGCTAGAGAGACTATATTAACACTTCTGAACATCAGATCCAGATGAGTGGAGCCTTCCACTCACGTATGTTAAGGCACCAAGCACTAAGTTAAAAAAGCTCTATTGGAAGTACATCCTGCAGCATCACCTCTTCCACCCTCAAATCACTAAAGCTGTCACCATCCACATCAGAACGTAATGTGACCTAAGAAGCTCTTCAGGTTTCTTTGTTTTGTTTTGTTTTTGTTTTTGAGACAGAGTCTTGCTCTGTCGCCCAGGCTGGAGTGCAGTGGAGCGATCCCGGCTCACTTCAACCTCTGCCTCCCGGGTTTAAGCAATTCTCCTGCCTCAACCTCCCTAGTAGCTGGGACTACAGGAGCGGCCCGCCAGGCGTACGCCACCAGGCTTGGGCTCGGCTAAATTTTTTTTGTTATTTTTTAGTAAAGACGGGGTTTCACCGTGTTGCCCAGGCTGGTCTCGAACTCCTGAGCTCAGGTGATCCACCCACCTCGACCTTTCAAAGTACTAGGATTACAGGCACGAGACAACGTGCCCAGCCAAATCTCTTCAGTTTTTATCAATGCTTCTCTCAATGTTTACCATGTGGTAGCATACCTATTTCTATGTGTCAGTTTGAGTCAATCACTCCAATCATCACAGCATTTCCCCTCTTTTTTCCGTTAATGGTTGTGTTATAAAAAATTGAGAATGAACAAGTTACTGTCTCAGAAGCAATCTCTGGTGAAAGTACATCTTGTTTTAATATTAGAATATCTCTAAGAAGGTAGCACAGTGTCATGATAAGCAAATACTTGGGCAACATGTTTAGGAATAATCATAGAAGACTCTTCCTACACTCCCATACCTTGTTTCCAAGCAACATGTAGTCTTGACATGGAAGGAAAAAAATCATATATAAGTTACGAATTTATAGTATATTCTACATTCTGCTAGAAAGCATTGCATCTCAATGCATTGTCACATTACTCATGCTATAACTTGACTTTCAAAAGCCACATCACCAATCTACAGTAAAAGCAAATTAATTCCATAGTAAGGTAAATGTGTTAGGAAGAGTATATTTCATGTGTACTAGCTCCTCCAGTGATATATGAGGTATAAGCAAGGCTGTGTGAGACATCTTAAAAATCTTCAATGAATTTCCAAATTATAATAGTGGAAGAAGTCTGAGAATAAGTACAATTTAAAAATTACAAAATAATTGCTTATTGCATTAAAAAATCACTAACTATTCTGACATATTAGGAGCACATAGTGATTTTTTGTTAGTGATTGCCTGTAGAAAATCTTGCAGTAGCAGAGGCAGGGATATCTATGGTGAGAATAGCCCATATTTTTGGGCCCATTTGTAGGCAGCAGTTTTGTCACAATTCTCATTCTGTTCATGAACTCATTAATCTTAAAGTGGTCACCTTCTCTGGCAAATTTTAAATAACCTAATTTGTAATGTACATCTCTTGATAATCATACACAGTCCATGGATAGTCTTAATTTCTAAGTAATTAAAATAGGTCTATTTATTTACTTTTTTCCTAAACAAGTTTGACATTAACCATCTACGTTTACCATAGGCAGGTTACCTCACACTTGGCTGGATAAGTAGCCACTGCCAATAATTTTTTTTTTTTTTTTTTTTTTGTGACGTAGTCTTGCTTGGTCACCTAGGCTGGAGTGCAGTGGCGCGATCTCAGCTCACTGCAAGCTCCGCCTCCCAGGTTCACGCCATTCTCCTGCCTCAGCCTCCGGAATAGCTGGAACTACAGGCGCCCGCCACCACGCCCGGCTAATTTTTTGTATTTTTAGTAGAAACGGGGTTTCACCGTGCTAGCCAGGATGGTCTGGATCTCCTGACCTCGTGATCCGCCCTCCTTGGCCTCCCAAAGTGCTGGGATTACAGGCGTGAGCCACCGCGCCCGGCCAATAATTTTTTTTTATATGTTGACCTCACATCAGCTCTTGTTCCAGGTTAAGTGAAAGCAAGACATATTATTTGAGATATACAATTCCAATAATACAATGCACCAGAATATTTAGACGAAACCTCCACTGAAACAACTAAAAAGTGTGAATGGACAGTTTGAAAAATCTGCACTCCAGGCTTCAGAGATATCCCACAAGTATTTGAAGAAAACATGCCATAATTGGAAATAAGAAACTGAAGGTTGAAAAAACAAAAAGAGAGGCATCATGTGTTAGGAGACTGGAATTACTGGATACAAAATTTAAAACAAATTCATTTACTATTTCTGAAAAAATAAAATTAAAATTAAAGATATGTACAGGGCCAAGTTAACCATAAGATATAACATTAGTAACAAGGCAACGAAATAAAAGAAAAAACAACAAAAATTACACAGAGGACAAGTTTAATGACTCATTTGACACAGTTAAAAAGCAGTGATTTCCAACTCTAATTACACTGTAAAAATCTCATTTGCTATAAACTATAACGTACTCATGGAAGTACTATCTCATCCTATTGATAGATTTTGCTCACACTCAACACAGGGATGAAAGTCATTGAGGATCAAATTAGACTCAGGGTCACAGAAATTCTGCCAACTTTAACATATGCCTCCCTAGGTTTCCCTAGGCATTGTCACAATAGTAAAGTGAAAAGAGAAATAATATGAGGGATATCACTGCGGAGAACTATGGCTCAGACCAGGGGGTGGAATACACATTTGTGTGTGCATTCCATTGGCTAAATGTAAGTGATATAGCCATTCCTAAGAGTTACAGAAATTAGAAATATTATCCAGCTCTGTGCCCAGAATGAAAGGAGAAGTGCTTTTAGATGGTTACCTTTTGATTTCTGTCAAAAGAGAAACCCTTTCCAAAGTGATTTTGAGAATTTATATTTTCCAAAGTTGGCCACAACAATATGTTTATTCCCACATGCACTTCTGCAATGTGACATTGCCATGCTTTCATGAAGAAACATTTTATTTCTCCAGGCCCTTGAACATGAGCAGGCTGTGGAGGCAGCTTAACAAGTAGAGCAGGGGAAAAGTAGGACCTTTCCAGTTCTGGGAAACTGTGATTGATCCTCAATCAATCTTGAAGCATCACAAATTTTGGAATATTGATGCTTGAGTTGTTCTCCAGTGGGACATGGGTACCATCCTGTTTGAAGTCCAAGTCACCTTGAGAGAGAGACCACATGTAGATACTCTGCCAGAAAGCCGCAGCTGACCTCCCAGCTGACCTGCTAGCATCAACTACCATGTCAGCGACCCTTCTTGGTGACTCTAGCTGTAGCTGCTCCTGAGTGTAATAGATGAGGTACCTGAATAAGAATAACTTAGTTAAGCCCAGACAACCTACAGAAATACAAAAGCTAATAATAAATGATTGCTTTATACTGCTACATATTGGGGTGCTTGGTATGCAAGAATAGATAACTGGAACAGAAATTGGTTTCTGGACTTGAGGTTCTATTCTAAAAAATATCCTCAACATATGACATTAGTATTATGAATAGGCAATAGGCAAAAGCACGGAAGCCTTGAGGAGACAAAAGAAATGTAAGAAAATATTGTAGTGGAGGATGGAGGAAAACATGACCTATATTATACAGTATTGGAAGGTATAACAACACAGTCTGCAACAGTTTGCAATAACATGGAAAATAGAAAATATATTTAAGAACCTGGTGGCTCTAGTTAGGAAGATGGTCAAAATAGTAGCTCTCATCCCATATTCTCTTCTGCAACATGCCTTTGTCACTCCTGTATTAAGATATAGATTTTGTCTGTTAACTCTCTTGAATCTGACAAGGCTCATGACTGCTTTGACCAATGAAATATGGCAGAAGTGACAATGTGGTTGCTCAGAGAGTAGCCTCCAATTTGCCCAGTAACTTCATATTTCTGCTTCTGGAGACTCTTGTTCTTGGCATGTTCCCTCCCAGAACACAGCTGCCATGTTTTGAGAGCCCAGTCACACGGAGACACCATGTGCAGGATCCAGTAAACAGCCCCATCCAAGGGTAAATATCAATTGTTGGTATTTTGAGCCGACCATCTGGCATGTCCAGACCAGTTGAGCATTCAAGGGATTCCAGCCTCAGATGCAATCTGTTTGCAATTTCATGAGCGACCCAAGCAAGTACCACCAGCTGTGCCAAGTTAACCTATGAAACCCTTCAAGATAATAATAAATTGTCATTTAAGCCACCAAGATGTGACATGGTTTGTTATGAATAAGGTGGGGGCACTCCTGCTGCCCAGGACCCAAAGGACAGAGTATCAAGCCACAGAAGATTCTTGGAATAATTCAGATCTTGATATTTGATGGAATCTGCTCTGCTTAGCTATGAACTAACTTGCTTTAGAGCAGTGCTCCCTTTATTTTTCCCATTTTCTCCCCTTCTAAGGGGGAATGCCTACCCTTTGCCAGTCCCATCATTGTATTTTATAAGCAGGTAACTTGTTTTTGACTTTTATAGTTCCATAGATAGAAAACAATTTTGCCCAAGAACATACCCAGAGTGTCACCTACCTGATCCAGATAAAATTTAGATTATTTTGAGTTGAAGTTTAGATGAGATTTTGGATTTAGAGTTAATGCTGGAATGTGTTGGGGGATATTGAGATGAGGTGAATGCATGAGAGACAGATGTGAATTTTAGGGGATGATAGGGCAGACTATAATGGTCTTAATAATTATTTCCAAAAATTCATATCTACCCTGAACCTCGGAATTTGACCTTATTGGAAATAGGGTCTTTGAAGTTGTAATTAGTTAAGGTGAAGCCATAGAGGATTAGGTAAGCCTTAAATTCAATTATTTGGTTACATGATAAAAAGAGTACAGGAAACAAACACACAGAGAAAATAATATACAAAGACAGAGGAAGAGATTGGAGCACAGCCAGGAGCTAAGAAATGGCAAGGATTTATTGGAGCCACCAGAAGCTAAGAAGAGGAAAGAAATGGTTTTTCCATACACCATTCAGAGAGAGAGTGAACCTGTGGAAACCTTGATTTCAAACCTCTAGTCTTTAGAATCATGTAAAAATAAATTTCCATTGTTTTAAATCACCGAGTTTGTGGCCATTTGTTACAGCATCACTAGGAAAGTTACACAAAGCATTATAATATTTAAGAAAAATATATTTGTCATGCTATTTCCCCTCATTTCAGTGTCAAGAAACAAGGATGATGCTAAAAGGTAATGTAAGAGTAGATTATTGGCTCTCAGGGCAGGATATGATGCCCGTTGAATGTACAGAAAAGAGGTAGTGAAGTGTTGTCAGATTCCAGGAGAGGTTGTATCCTTTCTCACAAGTCAGGACAAGAAAAATACTTCCAACAGAGGTTTTTTTTTTACAAGTGGAATATCTTTGCCATCAACTGCACGCATGTTCTGTTCTTTCCCACTGCCCTGGAAAGATGATTATATGATTCTCTATATTTTAAATACATTTTTGCCTAAATTCAAACTAATATATTATAAACGATTGTATCAAATCTATTTTAAGCCATATATTTTTAGTTAATTTAAAAACATTGTAAGAAAAATCAGCTTTTTACAAAGTGGCTGTGTTAGTTAACTCTTGCCCAATAATGCTTATTAATATCTCCCTCCCCCAAAGCCTACTGGCATCCAATGGTAAGCTTTTATCTTCTTTTCTATAGCTCTCTAGGTCAGCTGGTATGGTTCTGCTTCAAGTCACAGATTTGCAGGTTAGCTGAAAATTTCTGTGAACTCAGCTGGCCTCAGCTCAGCTCAGCTGGGCTTGGCGTCAGGCTTCAGAAATAGTGGCTGTCTGGAGTATTTCTTGCCATGTTGCAGTAGCAGAAGCACAAATGCACTAATCCAAACATCCATACATATTTCATGCTGATACTTTCATCTCATTGGCTAAAGCAAGTCACATGGCTTAGCAGAAATTCATGGTCTAGGAAAGTAGAAGTGTACTCCACTCACAATGAAAATGTTGCAAGTGTGCAGTTCGTACTACTACTAACGGGGACATGAAGAGTCAGGAATAAAATTCAGTCCCCCACAATGTTATAGATAAATGGGCTCCAAGCCACCAAGGGAATTTATGGTGAGATTCCCTAGTTAGGAATCTGACTGCCACATATTTTTCAGATTCTACCAGCACAGTATCATCAGCCTGGCAAATGATTGGCACATTCTGAGAAATTGCCATATTAGAGAGTTGACATATCTTTTATGTAAAATGGAAAGGAGCCATAGCATCCCCGACAAGTGGAAACATTGCATCTGGCTGTGCACTGGCTTTGTACTTTGTCAAACTAGCTCAGTTGGAACTACATTTTCTAGAATCCCTTTCTCTGAATACTTCTGAAGTAGGGTTTACAATATGGAAAAATTGAGCAAGATTTAGAGTCAGTAGTGAATATTTAATAGCTGGCTTCCCAGAAAATAAAAGTTCTAATTAGAATTTGCCAGTTTCTATGATGAAAAGTCTCCCCCCTTTGGCAATTTTCACCTACCACTAGGATGTTCACTGTCACAACAAATTCTGGAAATTAACAATTGGCTCTTATGAACTACTACGACCCAACTCTGTATTTCCACTAGACATATGTGTCTTTTAGTTTTTCCTCCTACATTCCATGTTTTCTTTGAAAGTTTGATAATGTTGAGGGTTTCAGTTTTCCTTGCTCTCTGCCATTTTATATCCAGATTTCCTTCTTGACTAAAGATCTGAAAAAACATGAACCTAGCTTAACTACGGTGTCTTAAATTCTAATACACAATTGCCTTTTAGAGAATTCTCCGTCAGCCCCCATAATTACACAGTTTAATCCCTATAATAAATCCTTTATTTTATAGCCGTCTTGGCGTCTTTGTTCAATTTCTACTAATATAATATACTTTATTCTTCATAATATAGATGAAAGTTTTTGCCAAACTGATAACCATATACTAGCAGCTAAAGACAATATTAATTTTTTTTTTTTTTTTTCTGAGACGGAGTCTCCCTCTGTCGCCCAGCCTGGAGGGCTGTGGCACGATCTTGGATCACTGCAATCTCCGCCTGCTGGGTTCAAGCGATTCCCCTGCCTCAGCCTCCCAAGTAGCTGGAACTACAGGCACACACCACCACACCTGGCTAATTTTTTTCTATTATAGTAGAGATGGGGTTTCACCGTGTTGGCCAAGATGGTCTCAATCTCTTGACCTTGTGATCTGCCCACCTCGGCCTCCCAAAGTGCTGGGATTAGAGGTGTAAGCCACCATGGCTAGCCAACCATATTAATTTATAAGAAGTCTACATCTGGAATAACAGCTATAATTGCCTGATTAACAATTAGCACTGACAGATTTAGAAGTTAGAAATCTCACTCCTGAGGGTTTCAAGTGGTTGATGCAAGAATACACAAGGTAAATAGCAAAAGATTCAATGTCTTTTATTTAGCACCACAACCAAAGTAATTCTAATTATATTAGGATTCTTCAAGGAGCTGAATATAACTTTTTCTACTATAGAGGTAACAGACATGTCTAGGTAAAGGATTTCACTATTAAATCAAACTACATTTGTCATCTGTTCTCCATAATACCACAGTCTGTCTCATGGACAGTGGTGGTGTCCAAATTTCTATGTGATTCAAGTAAGTTCGGAATTAAATATTCCCTTAACATATTTAGTTATTTTGCTTGTCTAAAAGATGCAGTCTCCTATATTAATAATCATAGGACACTTTGGGCAAGGACAAGAGGATAGTTTAAATATGCACTTGTGATTTTATAGCAGAAATATTCCCCAAAGGTACTTACATTTAAGGGACTCAGTCTTTGAAGCAACTCAAGCCTGAAAATTATAGTTGGAATTATTTCACAGAGTGTCTCAAATCATAGCTATGTTCACAAGAATAAATTTTCCTTTCTTTTGCCTGTTATTGCTAGTGGGGTGTTCATACAAATTATTTATCCACATCTAGAGATTTCTGAGGTTTGGACTACTTTTGTATCTATGATTACTGAGTATTTCTAGTTGTCTATGATAATTAAAATTATTCAATATTTGATGGTGATTGCATGATTCCATCTGGTCTCTGCTTTTACTATGCTACACACTTACTGATATCAAAAGCACCTGTTAGATTGCATAATAATAAACAAGTATGAACTCTAGAAGGCCTTCTTGGTTTTGTCTTACAAGTAAGGAAATCTTCATGAACTACTGAGTGTGTTTAGGGGAAACTGAAAGTTTGGATGTTTCCAAGTCTCATTCTAAGATATCCTCACTCCAGTTGCATTATCATGGGTTAATATGCCCGTTCTGTAACATGAACTAGAATATCACTGTCTTTTACTCTATCACCACATTATTGGATCATTTACATGCTCCTGGCCACCTGATCTGAGCAATCATTCTCTGGAAACAATTTTTGCATGCGAAGAATTGATCTCAAGTAACAATAATAAAATGCCTAATGTAAGCATAAGGAGCTTTTTGGAATTATGTAAATTATATCACGTAATTTGAGTGGGAAATAATCTATTCTTAAAGAGGAGATGAGCTTTATGCAGAATTTAGTGCAGTCTTTTTAGTATACGACTGTAGATATAGACTATTCACTTTTTCAGTCCTGTGTACCTTACCTTAATTTGAAAGGATAGAGCATCTATTTAGCCTAGCTTTGTCAGATGCACAAAATTTGGCAGAGTTTTCTGACAAGCTGATTAATGTTGCAATAAGGAATATATCCAGCGAAAGTATGACTGTTCTCAAACCAAGACAGGAGTCATTACTAAAATTAAATAAATGGATGCCAAATGGGTAAAAACAAAAGCTGTCTACTATATAACCTAAAGATGGTGTCATAACAAGAGCAGAATCTTAGAAATAAGAATCTAATAGTGGCAAGAGGCTTAGCATGACTGACTCCATTTTGCCTTTGACCCCCCAACTGTGGAATATCCTTTATGTTAAAAGCTTCTGCTTACCTTTGCATGTAGACCAGCTAATTATAGGAGGGCTTGAGCTTGTAGTTTAACTTTAGGGGAAAAATGATAATAGTGCCTGTCTCAAAACTAACTCCTAAGGAGATAAGGAAGTGTATACACAATTAATAGCATTTTGTTAAAGATTAATAGAAACATCATGACCTGATCTACTTCATCTGAACCACAGTCAACTGACCAAAAACAAAGAAGTTTCACAACCTCCTCAGACCCTCCCTGATCCCCACATTACTGTGGTCATCATTACATCTTGACCTCAACACCTGTTTTTTCCCTTCCTTTAACATAAAAATGAGCCTGAAGTTTATGTTAATTTAAGATGGTTCTTTAGGATGCTGGTCCATCATCTTCTTGTTTGTTAGCTTTCCAAATAAAGTGACTTTCCTTGCCCCAACACCCTGTCTCTCAATTTACTGGCTGTCACATGGCAAGTTGTATGAGCTTGGACTTGGTTACAAGGAGACAGTTTTTAAAAAATGCACACATGTATCAATTTCACATGTATGCACGCATGTATGCAGAGAGGCACTTCACTTCTCTGAGCCTCAGTTTTCTTATTTTTGAAATAAAATTGTTAGACTAGTTTATTTTTAAAGATAATTTTAGTTATAAATTTTACTGTTTTATTTTTCAATTCTTAACAAATCTGATGGTCACATTATGACTCAATTTACTATTATTTGTTTTTCAACTTCAGCAGATATGTCCAGTCACTATTTTCCAGAGATGTTTCTGAACTATATAACTAGGTTATAAGCTCTGGTTACATATGAATGTACTTACCCTTTTTAATGGTAGATTCACTGAAAAAAGAGTGAAGGTCAGTCCTAGGAAATATTTAAATAAAAAACATGTTCTTCAGTATCCCCTCAATAATCTTGGTAGCCCTTAGAAATCTTTTGATGCTTTTCATCTTCCCAGTCTATTTCTCACCAGACATTGGCAAATATGACCTGAAAGATAATAAAACATATAAAACATATTCTGGATATTTTTATACTCATCATATCCAGCATCTACACTTTGCTAAAAATTGTATTACTTTTTCCTAATTGATAACTAATAATCGAACTTCTGGATACTAGATTTTCCAGGATACTCCTGTCATGTATGCTCTTCTAAATTTTTTTTCTATTTTCCTAAGCAATGGGAAACTAGAATCATGTTTCTAGACATGGTTGTCAGCAATACTCTGGTTTGAATTTTGTCAAAATAATGCAGTCACATGACATTTGGGAAGTGGGGAAGAAATAAACTTCTCCTCTGGCCTGAAGGGTAGATGTGTGGACATATGACACAATTGATGTTTGTATGATTTCCCAGTATAGCTCCTGTAAATCAACACTTATCATTGCTGGGGTGCTGAAGACACCTTAGATTACTGATAACAATTTATTGTGCTTCTGCTACTTTCTGATTTCTCAAAAACAATCATCATCAGACTAGAAGGTTATGCTTGTTTCAAATGTTTTTCTGATGACAAATCTGAAGATCTGTATGTAGGTCAAAAACCAATGATAAAAGCTAAAATAGGAATGTCTGATTTATCTATTACAGATAAATCTGAGGCTCAGGAAATCTTGACTCCTTTGACACATGAATAAAACAAATAAATATGGCAAGACTCTTCTGCTTTTGTCAGCACCAAATATATGTTACTGGCTTTTTTGGTTGCTTCTTGATAGTCTCCTCTCTTGCTTTCAAAATATAATCCCCTTCATCCCTTAGGCTTTGAGCTGAGGTTTAGATCAAAGACACTTATATCTTCTCTTTTCAGTCTGTGTGATAAGATTGATTTTTAAAAACATTTTTGAATGTGTTTTATAACAAATTGTATATTACTGTTAACTCTTAATTCAACCACTTCGATACACTGCCTATTGCTTTTATACTTTTAAAGTGTTTCTACTGGAGTTGAAGTCTACTCACAGAATAATGATCAGGAGGAGCATATTTTGCTTGTTGCCTGTATTTTAGCCATACAGGTTACTTACAGTATAGTTATATGATATAGATTCACTGTCAACCTAAATAACCAATAAAGACAGGCTCTCTAAAATAAAATGATATTCAGGCATAGGATATTGCGATGGGAATATGCATGTTATAGTAAACTATGTGCATATGCAGGAGGTAAAAGGAGACAAAGGCTTTTAAAGAAAGAATAAGGAGGATCACGTAATTATTCTGAAATAATTACCCTTGGCCATAAGGATCAAGAGTGATGCCAATCTGAAGTTAGACCACCAGTTGCTGGGCAGATGTCCTCAGAAGTATTTTTTGTAAAAGGCTTGTAATGATTTTTGTGCAAGTTGATGCTTTTTCTAGGTTCTTTTGTGATTGTTTCTGTCATCAGACATTTATGCATGACAATTCTCTTCATGGGCTTCTGTGGCTTTATTTGACAGTTTTTTTTGTTTTAATACAAGTGACTCCATTTTAATTCTCACAATTTTTACTTCACAACAAACTGTGGAATTATATTTACAGAAATAATTGAAGCTGCAATATGCTGCTTTTTTCTTAATTATCTTTTACTTTATAATATATTTTTAAAGATTTTCTCTTTTATTGAACTAAATGTTTTGATTTCTAGCCAAAATAAATAATCATAAATATTATTGCCTCCTATTCTTTCTGGAATAAGCTTTTGAGTTCTATTGTACAGCATAATGACTATAGTTAATAATAATCCTGTATTTCAAAATTCCTCAAAGACTAGATTTTAAATCTTCTCACCACAAAAAATTATAGCCTGTAAAATTATGGATATGTTAATTACCTTGATTTAATCATTCTTCAATGTATACATATATTAAAATTTCACATTGTACACCATAAATATATACAATTACTATTTGTCAATTTAAAATAAAAATGAAATGAAATAAAATAATTTTCTAGGGAAGATTGTATATCATTCTTTCTCATAAAGGACCCCCTACTAGGTTGCAATCATGTCCGTTTGAATGAGACCGTGAAATGGTCCTTCATGCTTTGGTTATTTCAAGCTTAAATTACTGCAGCCCCCGGCTGGCTTCTGGCCCAAGAGGAAACTGCATCAACTCCAGCTGGTGTAGGATATTGCTGTGAAATTCATCTTGCAAAAAACATCAGTCTGAATATATTTTCATGCCCCTTTCTAATTTTTATCCAAATAATATATTATACGATATATTAATTATAAAATAATTTCTTTTACTGTAAAATGTTTAGTGACATTGGCTCACAGAGTATTACTCTTTGCTCAAGTTTTTCTTTTTTTTTAAAGTACTCTGAAGCAAACTTTCCGTTAACCTCAAGGTTAGCTTATAATCATCTCCTAATAAAAGCCTTGTGAAGTTGCTTTGCACCTTTATTTATAGAATTCTTCAATAACGTGTGTTTTGGTATTTTATAGATATAGATACATCTTTTTTCACAAAGTTATATCTTCAGCTTTTGTAAATATAAAAAAATTAAAAATTGTTTCAAGGTTACAGCTCTTACATTAACAATGTTTTCCAAATTGTCAGAAAGTATGTTACATAAAACTGTGACTGCAGTATTATTACACAGTGCAATATATATTCTATATTTAAGTGTTTGGTTTAATGGACAAAAACAGATCAAATTTTCTGATTTTCATTTGAGAACTAGTTCATTTCTGTGAGCAGAACATGCTTCAGGTAAGCTTAATATCACAGTATTGCTCTTCGGAAAAAAAAATGTATATATATATATATATATATATATATATGCTAGGGTTACATGGATTTACAGGATAGTATTGGGGCCTTAGTAACATTTATAATTTAGGAAAGTAGATGAAAAGTTTACCCTATTGTAACATAAAGCAATTTTTTATGTCTGCTATAAAATACTGTACACACAATATAACACAAGAGAGGAGAAAGATGAAGGTCAGTGCAAATTATATGCAGGATTTGGCAGAATCTTGGAAGGTGGGAAATTTTT
Organism: Homo sapiens; assembly: GCF_000001405.40. Taxonomy (NCBI): domain Eukaryota; kingdom Metazoa; phylum Chordata; class Mammalia; order Primates; family Hominidae; genus Homo; species Homo sapiens. The sequence goes on along the minus strand of NC_000013.11, from coordinate 68,026,571 downwards.
AATAGGCCAGAAAAACAGTAGGGGAAAGGCCACAGAATCAGGGAACAATGACATGGGTAAAGAAACAGAGAAGGAAATATCTGAGAAATAGGGAGCTATACAGTTTAACTTTCCTCTTGAAAGTGGGGAAAGAAAAAAAAAATCATTTGTGTAAAAATAATATTATAAAATCCCTTGAAAATCTGCTCAAATAAATTCAGAGAAAGTTTGTGAAGAGGGTGGTGGTATAATTACTATAAGGTCCTAAAATAGTAAATTATTGATGAATGAGTAATAACAAAAGCGTGAGTTAGAGCTAGCACAGTGCAAAAGGACAAGAATAAAAATAAAACAGCAATAGCCTACGTATTTAGAGGTACATTCCTTTTGAGGGACACTAATGTATATACATTAGGGACTTTCCAAAAAATTTTAATTAATATTTATCATTAGAAATCGTTGTAACCCATATTTTATTAGATGGCCAAACTGACCATCAGAAAGCATTACCAATACACTACCAATACCTGGCCCACCTTCACTTACCTTAATAATAAGTCTCAGGACCTGCAGTTAAATTCAGGCCAGTCTAACTTTGTCTAAATGATGTCTATGAAATAATTCTCTGTCTAAATTCAAAAAGACATAAAATAAATTCCTGTACTTTTTCTTGGAAATTATTATTCTTCCTTTTTAAAATATCATTGTTGTGTTAATAAAAGGTTCTTTATGTCATGTTACTATTTTAGGTACTAAGCAGGAAAACAAATTCCAGAGCACTGAAGAACACTTAAGGTCCGGGTACATCAGTCAGCTGATAGCTCTCAGCATTGGACCGGGAAAAAAAAAAAAAGTCTTTATAAATCCAAGGCATTTAAAAATACCTATCAATCTTTCTTTTCATAATATATATTATAATCTCATACACTTCTCTGTCCATGTTTGTAGTCTGTATTTTAAGGACAGTTACAAACATATTATTTATCTATCATCATAGAATATGATTTTATACAAAATTACATTCACGCATCTTCATACCTATAAAATGTTTATTTTGTATTTTACTTTTTCAGGACCCAGACCTCTGGTTTAATTCAGCACATGAAACAATTTCTTCTCCTACCTTTTGAAAAGCAGCTGCTAATAAGTCCCTGAGTTGGCGGGTAAGGATTCCACATAATTTATAGACTAAAGCTTGAGGATGTGTTGCAGTACAAATCTTATTTAGCAGAACTAACGAGATATTGACCACTTCCTCCATGTTACCCAGTGCTTTTATTTTGTACCCTACCTGGCGATAATGCTAACAATTGGGGATTTCATCCCCCAAGGGGGGAACTAGCAAATCCCATCATAAATAAAACTCTGTATTTAGTGGTCATATCAGCTCAATATTTGCATGGCAAAGAGCATTATTGCTGCATAACAATTTGAGAGTGAGTTACTTTTTAATAAAAAAATTGTTTCTAATATATTGCTAATGCATTCAATTACTGGAAAATGTCAACTAAAATTACCAAATTACTAACATGTGAAAATCCTCAGTAATTTAATAATTTGTTAGCTAATGAGGTTAACTAGTTTTATAGCTCTTCGTTTTTTGGTGAAGAGCAAGTTCCTTTTCGTGGGAAATTATTTATATGTATTAGGTTCCACTATAATTAAAGATATTTTTAAATAAGAGATTTTGTAATGGAATTATTTTCTGTTCATAAATTAGTAGCACTGTTTTAAAGGTAGAAATTTATTCAATATAAAATAGGTTTTATTAATTTTTATACTCTAAAATACGTTTTCATTAATCTAGTTTTGTTTTGTTTGTTTGTTTAAGTGGACATGTTACAGTAGGTAGCTCGTCAGACTTGAGCAGGGCAGGAGAGCCTCCCCCCAAACACCTGCCACCAGGAATGTCAGGCAACCATCAGGTGATGGTCAGGCGGTTGTGAAACTGTCGCTCTAAAATAATAATTGGTGGCAGCTAGTTCCAGAGAAAGGCAGTTTTCTAATAGATAGAAACACGTGAAGTTGGTGATCAGCAGCTTTCCGATGAGATCTCAGGAGTTAGGTTAGTGGGCTCGAGCATGCACACTAAGAGGCAACATGGCGGAGTTTAACTGGTATATGACCTTCCTCTAGAAACACTGGACTAGTAAGGGAAGAACACCTCGAGTGAGCATGGGTACAATTTCAGTAAACACAGTGCGCATGCGGCCCCTCCCAAGTGCTGGCAGGCGGCTGTACATGCAGACAGCCTACCCCAAAGGAAGAATCAGGGGATGTAACCCTCCGGAAGCATGGCAATGTATAAAATCCAAGTCAAAGGTCAAAAGGTGCACTTGACCCTCTCAAGTCATCCATTTGGCCTTCTTCTAAGTGTACTTCCATTCGTTCCTGTTCTAATACTTGTCAATAGACATTCACTCCTGCTCTAACATTAGCCTTGGTCTCTCACTTTTCTTACGCCCCACGGTAGAGTTCCTTCTTCTGAAGAGGCAAGAAGGAATTCGACCTTCCTACGCATTGCTTCAGACACCTGCGGATAAGCCACTGCTAATAGGTACTTTTATAATGTTAACAAAAACATCATAAGGCCATTAAGCTGACATGCTCCAGCACCCTGCTGGGCTCCTACATAAGCAAACCAAAGTGCAACTCAATGGAGACAGTAAAATAAAACATAAGCTTAACCAGTCAGAAGCCACCAAACTAACCTCTAACTAGAGACTTTGGACTTTAAACACTCAAATATATTTTCTTTGTCTTGCTTCCGTGAACACATTATAAAAATTTCCCTTTGCATTCTCTCAGAAGATCCCAAATGCTTACCATCTGGCCCTGCCCAATTCATGAGCTTTCTGCTCAAATAAACTCTAAAATTTTAATGTGCCTAAGTTTATCTTTTAGCAAGAACAGTTAAGGACTTCTCATTGGTGCCATTTATGCTGTCTACTTTTCAACCCAGTAAAGACTGTACTTAAATTTCAAAATGTGACATTATTGAAATTTAGACATGTACATTTGTTGCAATAACCTAAACAATGTAGGACTGTGAGAAACACATATACCTATTTTGTTTGTTTGTTTGTTTCTCTAAGTTTATTACTCTCCATACAGAACAATAATTCTAGAACACTCTAATATAAACTCAATTTGTATCGTTACTCCTCCTAAAATTTGTCCATTCTTATTTAGGTTATTTATAAAAACATCTAGCTTTATAAATCCAGGCAGTATGAAAGCCATTTACTGAAAATTCATTTCACTATGTGCATTTATGGGGCAGAGAGGAGTATAATGAAACTCACTACACTGGAATTTTGTGACTAGAGGTTTTACTTTTTTTTCCATTAGTTTTATATAAGAAAAAAATTAATGAAAGGAAAATAAAATTGCATGAGGAATATTTCACATACCTGAGAGAACATTCAAATTCAAGTAAATCCTTCTTATTAAATGCAAATGTAATGTTAATTAAGCTTATCTATTCATTAGAAAAGGACCTAGAGGACCTCCACTTGGCCATGCTTTGTTAGCAGTTCTTTAGAAAAGACAAATATACTGTTGACAACAGTTCATTGTCTCAAAAATTCCATAATTTAGTTACATTTTAAATTCAGACTGGCTGACCTATGTTCTAATTTGGAGTTTTTAGCCTACTGTAAGTAGGTGGCTAAACTGACAATTTCTATTACAAATACTGTTGTCACTTATTGGAAATTAAACATCTCTCTTGCTGATGTTTCCCTCAGTTCGACTGTATTTTAAGCAGGATTATTCCTGAGTTTAGGTCCTGACCTACCTTTTTTTGGAGGATTGTTTTTAGAAAACTTAGAAATTATTAATCCACTGCTTTGAGACATACGCGTCTTTTGTAAAAAAAAAAACCTCTTGCCAATTTTACAACCCAAAAATGTCTTTCTCAAGAACCTGGGAGCAGTCCCTTTGAAATGTAATCATCAAGGAAGATAAATCCTCTATTTCCTAGTCTCTGTGGGAAGGGTAGGAGCCTAACTTCTGTAAGTACCACATCAGCAAAAACAGATGGCTTAATGACAGGGAAGAAATAACTGCAAACTCAGAAAATAACTCAATATACACCACGCATCTTACAGAGAGATTTCCCCTCAAACATTTTCCAGTACTTTTCCACTAGTTCATTCCTACTTTGCAAAGTATGCATCCAACAAAAGTCTAATATCCAAAATCTATAATGAAATTAAACAAATCAACAGGTGAAAAACCAACAGTCCCACTGAAAAATGTGCAAAGAACATGAACAGACACTTCTAAAAGAAGACATACATGTAGCCAACGAGCATAAGAAAAAATGCTCAGTCTCACTAATTATTAGTAAAATGCAAATCAAAACCACAATGAGATAGCACCTTATACCAGTCAGAATGACTATTATTTAAAAGTCAAAAATTAATAGATGCCGGGTATGATGTTCTGAGCCCTGACACAATCTGATATCAAGTGAAGGATTACAATTTTTTCAAAGGGGAAGTACTGGGGTTAGGGTTAGTATAGTACAACCACCATGTAACTACAAACTCAAGAATGAGTTTAACAAAAGGAATTTGTAGAAATGCTCAGCCTATGAATGATGCAGTGGTGACTTCCTGCTGGCACCCGGTTCAAGGATATTGGGAGCAACCTGATGATAGCAGGAGCACTAGCATTGGTCCTTCCAGGAGATTACAGGTGGTAGCAGTGCTTCAGGTAGGATGACCCAAGTAGACTAAGAATCTATCTCCACAAAAAGAAAAAGACCTGGTTTTCAAGAAGGTGAGGAAGAGATGTATTATTTATTGCTTTACTCATAATGCCCAGTGCCGTACCTGATAAACCCTCAGCAAATGTTGCATTGAAGGGAATCAAGTTGAATCTCTGGCTGTTTCACAGTGTGAGATGGAGAAAGTAACCTGAAATCTCCAAACCTCAGTTACTTTCCCTATAAGGTGAGCATATAATGCATGTGAACCTGCCTGGCAAAATTCAAAGCAAATCATAAATGAAAGAAGTGAAAGATGAAGCTGCTTTTGTGATCATCTAAAATATTTCTAGATATTAATATTTTCATTATTAAAGAGCAGGGCCAATTTCTCAGTAACATACTTATATTCAGTAAAATAGATCATCCAAGATATAAGAATATATATTACTTATGGAATTCCACAAAACTCTTTAATTTATCCAAGAAAAATGGGGGGCATAAACATTTTTATTTTTCTTTAATTATCCTCTTTGCATACAACCTTCCTCTTCACACATTACAGGGCCATGCCTGAAGGTTTTAACCTTGTACGTAAAGGCTGCCTCTCCTTATATCTTCTTCCCTCTTCTATGCTACAGTTAGACCAGCAGATGTAGTAACCTACCTCTGTGCTGAGTCATCCTCACTTCCCTGGATTGCCATGTTCCTTTTTACCTGTGAGCATTTGAGTGTGCTATCAGTTTAGAATTCCCTCTCTGATCTCTCGTGACTTACATCTTTGTACTATTTCAGGCAAAGACAGTTTGCCATATGACCATCTCATACAGCTTTCCATGAGCTTTGTGTGCTGCGAAGTATTTGTAGAGGGAATGTAAATATGGAAACAGCCATTGAGAACACCTAAAATAAGTTCACATATGGTAACATGACATAATTTTATATCTAACATTAACTAACTGTATAGATACATTTTTAATCTTTATATATCTAACTGTATCTTCATTCCTTAGAAAATGTGCAGTGACAAGACAGTGCCTTTCTTTTCTAGATCAGTATTTCTTATATAGTATTTCATAGGCTATTACAGGCAATAATGTAAAAAAATCTAGGGTTATATATGTTTGGTAAAGGCTATGTCAAACGAAGTATTTTTTAAACTCCTGATAATATCTGTGATGTACTTTGGGAACGCTAAGATAGTTCTTCATTAAGCAGTGTTTCCCAAACCTTTTTGAACATATGACCATGTATGTAGAAATAATACCTTGTAGATGTACTGAGATAGACCTACCAATTTGCCTTTATAGACAAAAGAAGCAAAACGTTTTCAGTAGGTCTGCCCTGAGAAATATTTCCCCAATAATGCCATCTCTTCAAAGATATGCCAATGCATAAAAGTCTAGTTAGAGTTTAGTGTAGAGCTCTTGGATTATTTTTTTTTCTGTTAAAGTATCATTATCTAAGAGAGTGACTCTAGTTTATGCCTTACTAATTACATATACTCGATGTTAAATCTTTCTCTGAAAGTTAACATTGAAAATTATTAGAAGAGTTATGAAAACTTTAAGCATTTGGGATGCAGTTATTCTAATAACAACAACAATAGTCTGGTAAAAAAAAAAAAAAAGAAGGGTCAAATAGCACTACCTGAACATTTTTCTAAGTGTCGAAATGTTACAACAGTGGAAAATTGCAAGGGAACTAGCTAGTCTTGCCATCACACCTTCCTAAGAAATTGCTATTTGTAATCTGCCTCAAGAATGAACTCATTTGGAGTTAACCATTATCCAAAATCTATTTACAAGTTAAGGGCTCTCTAAGCCTCCAGCTATGGAATCATGACAGTATAATAGATGGTGTGCATTGCCTTTGGAAAAATGAAGGTTACTTACCTATAAGCCTGTTTTTCTGACTATGTATCATTACATTTCAGCCATTAGAAAGCCACTCACTGCCCAGAGCAGTTAGCTTGCTGATTGGTTTCTGATTATTATATTTCCGTGGGAATACTGATTGATTGTTAGCATTTTTTTCTCTTCTCTCAAGATGCCTGTAGAAAGATTCGTATGCTACAGGTATTTTTTGTTGTTATCTTCTGCCAGCAGGGAGAGTTTTGTAGTTTTCTTTCAAATGTACTCCTTTGCCAGGAGGCCCAAATTGTGTTCCAATTGCAGTAGCAATGATAATTAATAAGTTCTAAGAAAGAATTCCTGAGTGCCCTTCTAACAGGCCTTACATGTAGCATGGCAGAAGATTCACATTTTCACAGAAATGTTCTGACAAATTTGGCACTATCATTGAAATAGGGATGATAAATAAAACATGTCTTAGGTTAACTACTTTAAACACAAGTATCATTTCTTTTATTCCAAAAAATATCACAGAAGATTTTTTAAATTAAAGGCTATGTCCTTTGATCAAAAGGATTAATAAGTGGGACTACTGAATGATATTTTTTCGGGCAAATCAAAGAAATACCATATGAGATAGCATAGGCAACTAAAACTTGGAATTTGAAAGTCAATAGGAATTCAGCTCTGTCTGATGTGCTTTAAATCTATCTACATAAAGTCCCTATATTTGCCTGATTATTGCTATACTAATTTCAGTTAAGATAGTGTCACTTCCATACATCTACTTTAAAAATTTTTATTTTTATTTTTAAATTTATTTTTAGAGACAAGGTCTTGCTCTGTTGCTGAAGTGCAGTGCTGGAGTTCAGTGGCACAATCATGGCTCACCACAGCCTCGAACTTCTGGTTTCACGCAATCCTCCCACTTTCCTAGTAGCAGGAACTACAAGTGCAAGCCACTGTACTTGACAATTATGTAATTGACCAAAAAAAAAGGTATATATTTATTATGTACAACATGTTGTTTTGAAATATGTATACATTGTAGATGGCAAAATTGAGCTAATTAACACACATGACCTCAAATACTTATTTTTTGTGGTGTGATAACATGGATAAACCTGAAGGACATTATGTGGAATGAAATAAGTCAGGTGCAGAAAGACAGATACTGCATGATCTCACTTATATGTGGAATCTCAAAAAGTTAAATCCATAGAATTAGAGATGGTGCTTACCAGGGCCCATGGTGGAAGGGAGTTGGGGAAATGCTGGTCAAAGGGTAAAAAATATCAGTTAGAAGAAATAAGTTCAGTAGACCTATTGTACAAGTGGTGTCTCTAGTTTATAACAGTGCATTGTATTCTTAAAAATTGCTAAGAAAGTAGATTTTAAGTGTTCTATCCACACATTTGCTTTTCAAATGAAAATACAAATGCAAAAAGTAATAAAATACACACTCAGCTTTGTGTGACTTAATTTTCAAACTCCTTTGCTTAGTGATAACTGATAAGCTAGAAAATGGAGCATTGGATGTGAGATTCGTCATAAATAGCTTGAATCATAGGTCAGGGAAGATAACAACTGTGGTGTGTTTAAGTGAGAAGCTGTAAAATGAAAGGGACTCACGAGAAATGGACAGCTATGGAGGCGGTGTGTTAAAAGAGAATTTGTAATGAAAGCAAAGAGGGAAAAAAGACACACCTCTCCCACTTCACAGTCTTGCATAGGAACAGTGAAATTCCAGCACACTCCTCAAAATTCAACAATTATCATCCACTGACAGGACATCTTTGTCATCAGTTTCCTGAATATAACCAATAAAAAATCCGTCATGTTTTTGTGCCCTATTGGCAATAAAGATGACATTTCTCTTGTCTTTTCTGAAAGGTTACCTTGCTCTTCATATTTTTAGCTGTTGAAAGGCAATATAATTCTAGCATAAAAGGACAATGAGTTTAGAGCTTTATGGAAAACTAATTAAGAGTTGTTGCTTTATCTTTAACTTAATGATTTCTTGCCTAAATAAAGTAAAATTAGTGTATTCTATTTTAATAGTAGATAATCAATTGCTTCTTTAAGCAATGAATTTAGTTTTAGAAAATATTTAAAGTGCTGATAATCTAATAGATGCAAAATTAGAATTACTTGGGCTAACTTAATTGCAGATGATGATGTTTCTGAGTTTTAGTTTTAGCAAAGGGAGGAAAAATCATACAAAACCTGCAATTTTACCCTTTTAACATCAAGTAGCTGTAATACATTAGCCATTCTAAGATTGGTTAAGCTTTGTGTTAGACAATAGTGAACCAAAGCACAGTGATTTCTTAAATAATTTAATTAATATTTCTGGGTTATTAATATTGTTTCAGGAAATATTGAAGGACAAAGCGATGACTTAAACACGTATATTCTGTTCTCAGGGGACCTAAAGTTTACAGAAAACCAAAAGTAAAATAACAAAATCTAATTAATAATTGAAAAATACAGTAATGTGGTAAATGATACATAAAATTATTACAAGGTGTTATTAGAACATTTACCGAAGGACTTAATCTATTCTACAGTGTCCAGTAAAACTACTTGAGTTAAAATCTAAAACAAGGTGTAAGGAGGGATATTAGCTTTTTCATAAGGTCTAAATAGGAATTCGAAACTTTGGGAACAATTTATTTATAAAAGATGCATTTATTGAGTGTCTACTATGTTCCAGGCATTGTACTGTGTGCTAGAAATACAGCAATGAATTAGATATTCCAGTCCTTTTCAGAGAGCCTATAGTCTACTGAAGAAGAGTAAATAACATGCCATTGTCAATCTGGTAGTTTGTGCTTCCTTTAGAAAGCACTTTTTCTGGCTGGAAAGTACATGTTTTGAACTCCTATAATAAATTGTCTCTTTACTATTTATAAAACATGACACATCGACTCTAGATAAACGTATTGAAGATTTTTTTAAATTTTCTCTTCTATTATTTTATGAATTGTGTTTTTGTTACTATTGAATATGTGTGGTCAAGATAAAGATGCATATTGTAGGTAACGATAAGGGAGAAAATAATTCTTAAAAATTAAAAAATTAAAAAGATAGATATGTAGATATTGAAAAGAGAAAGAAAATATGATTGTTTCATAACAACTATATACATTTTTAAATATCAATAGACAGTGTTTACATATCTTCTTACAATCATCAACAAATTTATAGAAAAAGTCCTTCCCACATTAATACTAACAAGGGAGTATGAACATAAAAATGTTCTACTTAGAAAGTTCACTGTATACACACACAAAATAGTAATTCAGTAAAATTATTTTGAGCAATTTCAGCATGCTAAATACTGTAGCAACTGCAGTTCAGAAAAAAATAATAAGGCCATCTATCTCAGCAAGTTCTGTATAGTCAGAATCCCATTAATATCGATTTGATTTAAGCAGAGAGGAATGATATCTTTTTCTTTGCAAATTTCCACATTTTCCACTATAAGCTTTTTGAGTTCATTGGGTTTAGTCTCATTTTTTTACAGCATTGGTATCAAACAGATTTGTAATATATCATTTATTTGCAATAATTATGATTTAAATGACTGAAGAATAAAAGGAGGGATGGGGGAAGAGATGCATAAAGAGAAGAAGGAAAAAGGAGGCCAGGCACGGTGGCTCACGTCTGCACTTTGGGAGGCCGAGGCGGGTGGATCACCTGAGGTCAGGAGTTTGAGACCAGCCTGGCCAACATGGTGAAACCCTGTCTCTACTAAAAACAAAAATTAGCCAGGCATGGTGGCCGGCGCCTTTAATCCTAGCTACTCGGGAGGCTGAGGCACGAGAATCACTTGAACTTGGGAGGCAGAGGTTGCAGTGAGCTGAGATCATGCCACCGCACTCTAGCTTGGGAGACAGAGTGAGACTTTGTCTCAAAAAAATAAAAAAGGAAAATAAATTTTCATCACTTATTATGTTTATCATCATCATTTCTTAAGTGAAGCCAAAATACTTTATTTTCGCTCATTGAATTTTAGTAGAAACTTTTATATTTCTAAATTATAAGCTTCCATGCTAGATAAAAAATAGTAAACATAATTTTTAAAATTGATAATGACAGAGACTTACTATTACATTGTTTGTTTAGTAATGCAGGCTTTTGTAGCTATATGAGTCATTTACCCCTACTTCTAAGACCTCGTGCTTCTAGATGATGGCCTTATATTTCTTTATTGTCTACTGCAACTATTTCTTGAGATTTTATATTTTTATGGTATATAAAATTAGATGCTGCCTGTAACTGCTTTAGAGTCTGCTTGTAGCTGCTTCTCCTGTATGACCAAGAATTTGTTTTTAGTTTTGTGATCATGATTATGCACCATAAGACTGAGGATGTAGGAGATGAGCCTTCTTGTAACTAAGGTATTATTCTCAAATGTCTAACTCATGCTAAAGGGCTAATCTATGCGTTAGAATGAACTGCTTTGATGTTTCTTTTTTAAATGTATAACATTATGTCAACAAATGTTCAAGAAAATTACATTTTAAATCACATTCTCTATATGAAATGAAAACCTTAAATCATGTGTAGACTCAATGAATTAAATAAGCTTTATGTTGGTTGAAGGCAAGCAAACCTGTTAAGCAGCCAACCAAAGTCAAATAGACATGGATGCATACTTGCTAAAAGGGCTCTATCTGTAGTTAATTTGGAAAGTAGACACCATAAACAGTGATATTTCTTATTATAGATAGTTAACATTTTTGACTGTGTCTCAGTGAACACACACTATATCAAAAATCAGCAAATTATTTAATATTCTCATTATTTCAAGAGATGTGGAGAACAGATTTTTTGTGTGTGCTGATTGAGTTGACAAATTTTTATCTTACAGTCAAATAACATATACTATAAAAAATTGAAGTTCAGGGGTACATGTGCAGGATGTGCAGGTTTGTTACATAGGTAAACGTGCCATTGTGGTTTGTTGCACAGAGCAACCCATCACCTAGGTATTAAGCCCAGCATCCATGAGCTATTTGTCCTGATGCTCTCGCTCCTCCCCCCACATCATTCCCCGCCATGTATCCATGTGTTCTCATCATTCAGTTCCCACTCACATGTGAGAACATGCAATATTTGGTTTTCTGTTCCTGTGTTAGTTTGCTGAGGGTAGTGGCCTCCAGCTCCATCCATGTCCCTGTAAAGGACCTGATCTCATTCCTCTTTATAGCTGCATAATATTTCATGGGGTATAGGTACCACATTTTCTTCATCCAATCTATCATTGATGGGCATTTGGGTTGGTCCCAAGCCTTTGCCATTGTAAATAGTGCTGCAATAAACATACATGTGCATGTATGTTTATAACAGAATGATTTATATTTCCTTGGGTATATACCCAGTAATGGGATTGCTGGGTCAGGTGGTTCTTCTGCCTCCAGGTCTTTGAGTAATCATCACACTGTCTTCCACAATGGTTGAACTAATTCAGTCTCCTACTAACAGTATAAAAGCATTCCCTTTCCTCCACGACATCATGAGTATCTGTTGTTTCTTGACTTTTTAACACTAGTCATTCAGACTGGTGTGAGATGGCATCTCACTGTGGTTTTCACTTGAATTTCTCTAATGATCAGTGATGTTGAGCTTTTTTTCATATGTTTGTTGGTTGGATGTTTGTCTTCTTTTGAGAAGAGTCTGTTCATGTCCTTTGCCCACTTTTTGATGTGGTTTATTTTTTTTCTTGTAAACTTGTCTAAGTTTCTTGTAGATACTGGATATTAGACCTTTGTCAGATGGATAGATTGCAAAAATTTTCTCCCATTCTGTAGGTTGTCTGTTCACTCTGATGATAGTTTCTTTTGCTGTGCAGAAGTTCTTTAGTTTAATTAGATCTCATTTGACAATTTTTTTGTTGCAATTGCTTTTGGTCTTTTTGTCATGAAATCTTTGCCCATGCCTATGTCCTGAAAGGTATTGCCTAGATTTTCTTCTAGGGTTTTTATAGTTTGAGACTTTATATTTATGTTTTTAATCCACCTTGAGTTGATTTTTGTATACAGTGTAAGGAATTTGTCCAGTTTCTGTTTTCTGCATATGGCTAGCCAGCTCTCCCAGCACCATTTATTAAATAGGAAACCCTCTCTCCATTGCTTGTTTTTGTCAGGTTTGTCAAAGATCAGATGGTTGTAGCTGTGCAGTCTTATTTCTGGGTTCTCTATTCTGTTCCATTGGTTGATGTGTAACATATACTTTTAAAACTAAAATAATACCAAGCATTTGTCACCTTTCACCAGACAATCCAATTCTATACTTTCCTTGAATTGCTGTCTGTATCCTATTATTCTTTAACATTTTAAACCAGGCCTTTTCTGCCCAAGGTAGCTAGAGTATGTAGATACTACATATATACAGAAGAGCACTGAATAATATGTGAAGATTGGCTGAAGTCAAATTATATTTTTTATTTTTATTCATTAGGAAATTTTGAAAAGAAAAGTAGGAGGACATGAAAAAATAAATCCTACAATCTTGCAGAAACTCGCAGTGCAGTTTTAGAAGCTGTAAAATAGCACCGACTTAAGAAGGACATCTGGACTATAAAGTAAATGGCCACTAAACAATGTCATTTGCTATTCTCTAGGATTACTGTGTTCTACGGGGTCCCCTTGAATCATTTGTCACTGCATGTTTAAAACATCTGCATTTGCCCTGGACACTTATTGTATCTGGCATTAGGAATGATATGTATTAGTGGTGGGAGGGCTACCTATTTTGCTGTAATAAAGGCTGTGCTGATGTTGTCTAAAATTTCATCCATTAATTCATTCAAAAATATTATTAGATACTGAATATCTGCCAAGCAGTTTCAGGCACTGGGAATGTCAATTAATAAAATCAGTAAAAATCTGTGCTCTCATAAAGCTTAATTCTAGTGGAGGGTACAAGGAATACACAATAAGTAAAATAAGTGAAACATATGGTATGTTAAAAGTAATAATGTTAAGTGTAAACTAAAATAGAAAAGGGGAATGGGAGATATTAGTAATTGAATAATTTATATTTATTACTCATAAGTTAAAACTGGGAAGTAGAACAAATAATGTTTAAGTAGTAGATTGAGGTTTTATTTGTTACTTTGTATTTGTTTGCTTAACAAATTAAATACATAGCTTCATTTTGATGGGTAATCTGTTCAAGCCATAAATTTCATTAACACACACACAAAATAAGAGCACACACACAAAATAGAAAGAACAACAGAGAATAATTTAACCCCAACAGTATTCTTTCCTCTTTCTGATTTGGGTGGGAGGCAATTAATTGTGCATAGTAGAGAAACAGAGAGACCATTGTCAGGAAATGTGAGTGTAGTTTCTCATCAATAACTATCTGTGTTTCTCTAAGCAAATCATAATTTTTTGATCCTCAATTTTCTTAGTAAGATGAAGAGTTAGATTGGATATTCTCTTCAATTTAATATCAGAAAAATGTTGTTTTGTGAATGCTTTTCCTACTCACAGCCTTTCCCCTGGCCTCTAATTCTGCTCAACTAACTCCTCTAGGCTTATGAGTATAATCTGACAGCAATGTGAGTGACTTACTGTTTATCCCCAGGGATGATTTGGCTGATCTGGCCAGCTAGGAAGATGACCTTCTCTTCTTTATGTATCACATCAGAATTTCATGAAAGTAAAGATGTCTCTGAAATAGGAAAACAGTTTTTTTTGTTTGTTTGTTTTTTTGCTGGAGGGTGGTTGTAAGAAGGGATATCTTCCCTGAATCTCCAAATGAGCTCTCAAAGAGCATTTGTAAAAGATAGAGGAGTCACACTTCCAAGTACTAAGTGAAAACTAAAGTTAAATCCCAAGAGAGATTTCTGAAGATGAAATTTCAGGCACAGAGAAAGGTAATGAGGGAGATATTTTAAGTAAAAATAATTTTCCAATGCTTTCAAATCATATGACATATTCAACTGCCTACTCTGACTTCTTATAAGACTTACTCATGAATAAGGCTTGACAATTTGATTCAAGAATGCCACATTTGATTTCACTTTCCATGATTAAACATAGCAAAATGAGTAATACATAAATTTACCCTATTTTAAGGATTGGCAATTAATGGAGACATACAAAATTCATCTGCTTAGAAAGCTTGCATAACAAATAGCCAATGTATAATTAAATTAATATTAAATATCAAAGTATCTTAATTACATTTTTGGTTTTCATTTCACATGATTTTTGCTATAGTTATATTCAACTAAATAAAAACAAAACTACTTGATCTCATCAATCATAAATTTGTAAAAATATGCAACATTCTATTTTAGGATTTATTAAAGGGATATTTTTGAAGTGGGTGTTACGATTCTACACTTTTCAGAATCCATCGTTTTAAATAGTTTTTACTTATGATAAATGATATCATAAAAGAGAAGGGTTATTTCTTCAAATTTTAGTATCTAAAAAGTTTACACTGACTCACATAATTATGTTTGAGCAATGAACAATGAAATGTACTGTAATGAAATTATAAAGTCAATGGTCACTATATTTTATATTTTTCCTTTGGTTGTATGAGTAATAGGAAAATATAGAACAAGTAAATAATAATAATAATATTGAGAATATTTATTCACTCATTTATCTATTCATTCAGAAATATATTTATAATTACTCTATTGTCCTCACAGGTAAATACTGGTCTAGACCAAAATGCAGTAGTCAAAAACAGAAACAAGATCCTGCTTGTGTGTGAAGTTTACATTATAATGTGAAAGGCCTGCATAATACACAAATAAACAAAATTATATAAACATTTACCTATCTTCTAAAGTAAATAAATAGGCTAATATGATACACAATAGTGGGTTAGAGAGGAAAGCTGTAGAGTGGGTGATTATGGAAGGTTTCCATGTAGAAGTAGCATTAGGCCCAAAATATGACTGACAATTATTAATCTAAAAATCTCCCAGGTTTTCTGCAGTATTTATAAGATCATGTCACTTAAAACACAATTATATTTTTAAAATGTGTTGAGTCATTTCTATTTTATGCCTTGACATTTTGCAAAATTGAAAACCTTTAAAACCATGTTCAGAGAAAAACTATATATAACATAATATGGTATAATGCAATATAGTATAATCAGAAACACATATATCCATGCTTAAATGAGTGTAAAGTAACATAAATAGCAAAGTTGCACATGGATATGTTAAAACTTAAGAATATATTACAGAAATTTTGCATAACTGTGCATATATCTTCTTGGAAATATTAACAGGAATTTTTGAAATTTTACTATGTCTCAGATTCTGAATGAAGAACTAATTTCCACCAAACCATATCTGTAATTATACCATGTAAAAAAGAAAAAAAAATTATCTGTGTTAGTAAATTCTGCTTTTGTGGATTAGAAGTTTAGATCTGAAGCAAAATGAAAACATACAGTTCTTTGTATTTTAGATTTCCAGTCATTTCATTTTTATTTGATGAATTCCAAGAAAGTAGTTATCTACCTTTAATATTCAAAACATTTTTTGTTGATATAACTCTTATATAGCACAATGCATTCTGTTTGTTGATGGCAATCACCATTAGTTTTATTTACATTGTTATTCTTTTGAACTACTGGATAGCATTAAAGATAAGAACACAGTCTTGATCTGCTGACTGGTGTGGATTAATTTCAAGCCTTTCTTGTTGCAAATTATTTTCTCTTGACAAGGTCCTTGAATTTCCCAAGCCTTGTGGAGAGAAAGAAATTAACCAAGTTTATTATCTCAAGCCATTATTAAAATGTTGTGTATGAAGAACTCAGTACAATTGTTCTGAAAAAGAGCAAGAAGTTTAAAGATTGAATAGCATAGGAAGCTAGCGATTTTACATAAGCTAGATTGAGGAAGGTCAGCCAAAGGATGGACTGAATGTGATTGTAGGTGTAAATGCTGGAGAAGATTTAGCTTTGTAATCGTATGTATAAGCACTGCTGCTGTTTTGCTTAGAGCTGCAGTTAAATAGCATTGGAGGGTGAGCTCATAAATCTATTAATCCTATAATCTTATAATTTTTAATGTGTAAATTAGAAGAATGTTTTTTCTATCAAAGGATTATATATTGTGATATTGCTTAAGTGCCTCTACTTAATATGATTGTTATTTCAGTTCTTATTTTAGTTTGCTTCGCTTGAGAATAAGAGAATATGGGCCTAATAGTGTCTAACTTCAAACTAAGATGCTAGTTCATTACGATGCAGGCTACTCCCCCGATTTCTCCCCCTCATGTCTTAGTAGGCACATAAATCATGATTCACCTTGATTGTATCCTAGTGAATGTGAACTATTTTTGCTATCCTTGACTTGAAGTTGGCTGGGTCCTACATAGGACAAATTTGTTATCTTTGTAACATAATGGCTTAGAGGTGGAAACAGAACAACAACACTGCTTATCTAGTATTTTGATTCTATTTAAAATTCCATAATTTAAATGTAACATACATTGCCTATATAAAAACTATGAATAAAATTTTAACTTTGGTACACAAAGAATCTTCCTTACCAATTTGATGCAATGCATAAACATGTACCAATGAATTAAACAGTTATATTATTAATAAAATCTATAATAAAAATTATTGGGATAGATTTTACCTACTATACATGTCATTGACTAAAGACAAAATTTTGAACACTAAGAAGGCTTAAAGATAAACTAAAAAAAAAAGACAAAAAAATGACAGGGATATTTGGCAAAACAAATTGTTTATAGGATCCAAATAATACATTTTCTTGAATTGTATTGGATGTTCAATTGAATTGGATGTTAAAGTATAACCGATAGGATACTTGGTAGAAATGACTCTGAGACTATACATCTTGAAGTAGTATTGATAATAGTATATATTTAGTATCTACTGTAGGTCAGGAACTGAGGTAATATTTTAACATGCGTAGTGTTTTATAGTACTCATAGGACTGGTATGAGTTTTAATGGATTAATATATTTAGATAACTGTTGTTATTGTTGTTAGCTAGTAACATAGTCTTTTGGTGAATAAATGAAATAATACATGTAAAGTACTTTAAAAAGCATCTGACATATAGTAAGCTCTTAATAGAATAGAAATTATCCCTGTGTGAGCAGTGGAGCATGATGAATAAGCATACAAGTTCTTGTAGTCCTTGGGCTCTGTCTCTCTTTGTAATTTTGGGCAAGTGACTTCACCTATTCAGTGATTGGGGCATATCTCCTCCCACGAGGCCCTTGCAATCACCATGTTACCATTTGTCTCTGAATTTTATTGCTCTATGTACCTTATACTATTGGGCTTATTCTTTTTTGGAAAACTTTTCTTATTAAGCATACTTTGTGCTTTTTGCCTACTTTACTATTTTTAGATGATGTAATCCAATTTGGGATAAACTTTAAGGAGAAACAAAAGCATAAATAGAGTTGAGTACAGAATCTCCAAGTCACGTATCTTAAACTTCTGTTTTCACTCAGAAAATAATTACCCTCCTTAATATACTATGCTTTGTTTTGTACTATGTTCTTGTTTAGCTAGATATGATAAAAATCCAATGATGGACTTTGATTTTGAGATTTTGAGGAGGTAATATATCCACCAAGAAGTTAAATGAGTTGACCTCTTTGGTAACATTTCTATTGCTGATGAGGCCAAGAAAATACCATAAACATATTAAAAATGACAGAGGAAATCAATAAAGGCAAAGATTCCTGAACTGAGATCAGTTGATAGTTTGTTCATCTTCTCTTGCCAAATAATGCACTATTATTGGATATAGTTCATCACTGTAATTAATAATTTTTTAACTATATGATGTAGAAGAGTAGATATGGGAACACAAAATTATGATAAACACTTTTCTTTTTGGATTTGGGCTTTAGATATATATATGCTATCTCCAATAATGCTGATGTACAAGATCCATGAAATATGTGTTTCTTTGAGAGAAATTAGATAGTCATTATTCAAAGTCCCATTCTCAGGCCCCGGTATATAAAAAGAATATCTTTGGGAAGACAATTTTCTGAATATAGGAGCCAAAGCACACTGGGAACATTGGTTTGCTTCTCTGTCCAGATTCCATAATGCAACTATTGAGGAGGTTGGAACCAGGTAGCAGTAAAATTCTCAACTTAAAGAAGACTAGTATTATACCAATTCAAGACAGCACTTTATTGAAAGTTTGCTGCTAAGCAACTCAGAGTATATATGGAAGTGTGTTGCTAGGCAACACAGCTCATCTAATCCATGGCTGAAAACATTTTTTGTTAGTGCAATGAGAAAATAGCCCAACATTAATCTCTCATAAACCTTTTACATGTATAAGTAAGTTTGCAAAAAGCAGAATCCTTTTAAGTATAAAATAAAGACGTTAGAAAAGAAGTTAAATATTACCACAATTTGAAGACTGGCAATACTGTATGGTTGACTGATTGACTTCTCTATGTGTCATTTTGACAATCATGGAAAATCAATCACAATTGAAAAAACACACTGAAACAATGAGAAATGATTAGAATATGATATTCTTCTTACGACAAAGGTCTTGCATACCTAGTTAGGGAAAACAATAAAATATCAGTGGGGATTAAAAAGACATGACCAGCCATAATAGGAAAACTTAATAGATGAACAGAGACTAATTAGCCTATTAATTTCTAAGTAGGTGTTGGTGTTAAATGGTTTCTGTTCCAGTGCTTCTTCTCTGCTTCTTCATTCAGTCATCTCTTCTGACATACGACAGAATCAAAATGGTAGCCACCTACTCTGAATACCTCTTAGATATCCTGCAGATGAGACATTTAAAAAGTACTGTGGTCCAAACTGAACTCTTTATAATATTTTATTCCTCCTTCTTCTCTCACTCGCATTCACTACCCAATACAAACTCCATAACCAAGTTAACTATCTTTCAAAATATTTAGTTCTTTCCATTTCTGAAGTTTATTTTTTAAGCATTATCTGTCATCAAAATTATTGCCACAGCTTTCTACCTCCATCTCCATATAATTCTTTCTAGGAACATTCAGAAACAATAATTTTCTTAATATGCAAATGTTAAATGACATTTCCTGATTTAAAAATATACAAGTAAAATCAATAAACCTTTATTGTTGTCAAAATTTAGTTTCCATCTCTTAGTTTAGCTTCTTGTTTATATTTTAGCTTTGTATTATTTCGCTCCTGTTTATTTCTTAAGACTTATGTCACCATACTTCAAATTCTATGCTGTAAACTTTCTAAGTAACTTCATGTTCCTTATTTTATACTTTCATGATAACAAGCTTTTGTAATTACTGTTTCTCCAATATCTGTAATAATTTTCCTACTGTTCCCTTCATTTATATAGTATACTCTCATGTTACATACTAATTCTTCTGGGAAGCCTGGGTGATTTTCTGAGCTGTGGCTCTGCTGTTCCTATTTTGTCTTCCCACTGCATCCTCTATACTTTAGATCTCTTCCAAACTAACTTTTAATTGCTCAATGAGTGTTTATTTCTCTATATTACAAGATATGGAAGAGAAGGAATCATTTGGGTCTCTTTTTACCAATGTATCCCAATACTTACCACACTGCAACACATGTAATATATATACATGTAAAATAAATTGATTTCGCAAAAGGACAAACTAAGACAAAATGAAAGAGCAATGATTTTTTTTTCTATAAGGTAACATTTTTCACAATATTATTATTAATCAAGAGTTTAAAATACATTTTTTACACCACTAGTAGATTAATTAATTTCCTAGGAAAACCATCAATATGTTCAAAAGGTCTATCTTTCCAGAAATTTCGTTTTGAGGAAATCTATCCTAAAGAAAAATAAAAGTACATAAAATTTCTGAACAAAATTGTTTGTTATTTTGTTCCTTATAAGAATAACAATAACTAATGAGCAATTTATGTACTAAACAACAAAATAATATTTAAATTAATGTTGATATGTTTATAGAATATAATGCTGTACAATAATTGAAATTATGTTTTTAGGCAACATCAGCAAGGTGAACAACTAGAGTTGCCTAGCACTTCCCACACACCCCAAAACAAGAAACAACTATATTTTGATAAAAATGACTGAGGAGATACATTGAAGAGCACCAGAGGAGTGGCAAAATATACATGGTAAGCAGACGCTCAGGATAGTACCATAGCTCTGCCACCGTCTCACTTTCCATGATTAGTTTGGAGCCATGGGGGACTTCTTATGGGACAAAGTATGCTGGAGAACCCTAGCAATCACAATAACTAATGCAGAAACTTAAAGCCTTTACTACAAAAGAGTCTTGAAGTCCTCATAGGTCCTGAATTGAGTTTGGAGTGTTGCCAATTGTTTGTAAGCCTGCATTACCGCCAAGTAATAGCCTACATGGTACACTCTCCAGCCCCATGACCTAAACTGCCATACCATGGTTCCGTCTTGAAACTGGGCCCACTACTAGAGTGCATCTTGCCCTTGGGGTGAGTAGCCACTGCCTCTCACCATCCCTGAGGCCCTGCAATCATTCTACCATGCTCACATTAGTGACCACAGAACCACAACACGGGACACCCAAAGCCTGGGACCAACAGGAAGGCTGAAACTGCAGAATTTTAATTCAAACAATATTTCACCCTCAGGGAACAGACAAACCTGCACAGCAAGAAAGCCAACATACAGCCAGCTAGAATGCTGCACCAGTGCTTGCCCACGTCCCACCAAACAAATAGTAAGGAGGGGGACCCATGTGTGCCAGAAACTCACCACCAGAGAGACCACCACACAGCCAGCCAGTCCACTATGCCAGTACACATTTGTGCCCAGCCCAATAACCTCTGGTGCTCCTGCACACAGCAAAACCACACCACTGCTGGTATAAGCTCCCAAAGCCTAGGCTACTGATGCAATCACAGACTTCACTGACTGAGATTACACCTGCACAGAGATCATGCTACTGAGTCCACCTAGAAACAAAGCCAATCTGCCGTACTCAACCAACATCCAGGAGAAGGATTCTCAAAAACATGTAGAAACAATAAATAAAAAACCAAACAGAAATCTTTTAAATGGAAAAAAAAGAATGTAATAAAAAATACAGTTTACAACTTCAACAACAGACAAATAAGATCAAGCAGAAGAAAGAATTTCTAAGCTTGATGACAGTTCTTTTAAAATAACCCAGTCAGACGGGGAATAAAGGAATAAAAAGGAGCAAAGAAAACCTAGGAGTCTTATGAGGCACCATGAAGCAAACAAAAATTTTTATTTTATTGTATTTTATTATTATTATACTTTAAGTTTCAGGGTGCATGTGCACAATGTGCAGGTTAGTTACATATGTGAAGCAAACAAATATTTGTATCATAGGATTAACAGAGAAGAAACTGAGAATGGCACAGATAATCTATTTAACATAATAATAGCTGAAAACTTCCAAAGGCCTGGGAAATATATGGACCTCCAGATGCAAGGTCAAAAATCTCCAAGTATATTTAAGCCCCAGAGATCATCTCCTAGACACATTACAATCAAACTATCAAAACTCAAAGATGGAGAATTTTAAAAGATGCAAAAGTGTCAAGTCACATACAAGTGAATCTCCATTAGACTGTCAGTAGATTGTTCAGCAGAATCTTTGAATACTAGAAGATAATGGAGTGATGTATCCAAAATTCTGAAAAAGAAAGAAAATTTTCAGCCAAGAATAGTACATCCAGTGAAGCTCTTCTTTAGAAATAGGAGCGAAATAAAGACCTTCCTAGACAAGCAAAAACTGAGAATATTTGTTACCACTAGATTCACCTAACAAGAAATACTTAACAAGAGTACTAAAACTGGAAGTAGAAGGGCAATAATTACTATTATGAAAGCACATGAAAGTATAAAACCTACTAGTAGATATAAATTCATAATCAAACACAGAATACCCCAGTCCTATACAGGGAGTATGTAAATCCTTCAGTTCTCTAACATGAAAGTTAAAATTTAAAATAGTCAAAATTAACAACACTTAAAATAGTGGCTAAGTAACCATAATAGATACATATGTAAATAAAGGAAACAAAAACAGGAATTGTGAGGGGGGAGGTAAGAAGGCTAGAGTACTTTTGTGTGACAAAGTTGTTATCAGCTCAAAATAATTAATTATAACTAGAAGACTCTTTATGTTAGCCCTGTGGTAACTACAAAGAAATGAAATACAACAGATACCACACCAAAAAAGAGAGGGAAACAAAGCTTAGCATCATGGAAAATCACCAAACAACATAGGTAAATAACAATAAAGGAGAAAAGAATCTACAAAACAACCAGAAAACAATAACAAATGGCAGAAGCAAATATTTACCTATAAATAATCATCATAAATGTAAATGAATTAAACACTCCAATTAGATATAGAATGGCTGAATAGATTCAAATATGTATATTAAAAAAACAAGGCCCAACTGTATGCTGCCTGCAAGAGATTTATTTCTCTGTTAAAGACACACATAGGTTGAAAATGAAGGCAGAGAAAAAAATATTTCATGCAAATAAAGCTAAAAGCAAGCAGAAGTAGTCATACTTATATCAGATAAAATAAACTTTAAGTAAAAACTGTAAAAATAGACAAAGAAGGTCATTATATAAAGATAAAAATATTAACTCAACAAGACAATATAAAAATATATATGCATCCAACATTAGAGCACCAAATATGTGAAGCAAAATTAATTAGATCTAAAAAGAGATATACAGTGCCATGTAACAATAGGAGGGGATTTCAACACCTCACTTTCAACAATAGACAGATCATCTAGATAAGACAAACAAAGAAATATTGGACTTAAACTTCACCATACCAAATGGACCCAAAAGACATGTACAGAACATTCCATCCAACAGCTGCACGTACACATTGTTCTCAACTGCACATGTGACATTGCCCAGTATAGATCATATTTTAGGCCACAAAAATCTTAACAAATTTAAGAAGACAGCGATAATATCTTATATCTTTTCTGACCACAATGTTATAAACTAAAAGTTAACAAAAAAACTGCAGAAACTTTACAAATATATGCAAACTCAGCCACATGTCCCTAGATAGCTAATGGATCAAGGAAGAAATTAAAAGAAAAATTTAAAATAATGTATTGGGACAAATGAGAATAAAAATACATCATACCAAAACATACAGGACAGCAAAGCAGGAAAATTTATAAGAATAAATGCCTATATCAAAAATGAAAAAAAAAAAGATTTCAAATAAACAACCTAACAATGTACTTCAAGGAACTGGAAAAGCAAAAACAAACTAAACCCAAATTGGTAAAGGCAAGAAAATAATGCAACTCAGGGCAAAAATAAACCAAACAGAGGTTAGGAAAACTATCTAAAATATCAACAAAACCTGGAGTTTGTTTTGGGAAAAGATAAACAAAGTTGACAAATCTTTAGCTAGACTTACTAAAAAAATAAGTAAAGCATACACAAATAAAATCAGAAATGAAAGGATACGAGGAAGATTTATCATCTGCAAATCAATAAATGTAATCCACCACATTAACAAGAATAAAGACAAAAACCCTATGATCATTTCAATAGATGCAGAAAAAGCATGTGACACAACAAGCATGTACATCCCTTCGTGATAAAAACTCTCAACAAATTAGGTATAGAAGGTAATACCTCCATACGAAAAAGGCCATGTATAACAAAGTGATGGTTAACATCATACTGCTGTCAGCTTTTCCTCTAAGATCAGGGACAACACAAGAATGTCCACTTTCACCACTTATAATTAGCATAGTACTGGAAGTTCTAACCAGAGCAATTAGTCAAGAGGAAAAAAAAAGGCATCCAAATTGAAAAGAAGGAATTCAAATTGACCCTATTTGCAAACAACATAATCTTATACAAAGAGAACCTTAAGACTCCACCAAAAACACTGTTTGAACTAATAAACTAATTCAGTAAAGTTGCAGGATACAAAATCAACATAAAAAATCAGTAGTATTTCTATATGGCAGTAGTAAACTAGCCAAAATAAATCAAGTGTGATTTTATTTACAATAGCTACACAAAGAAAATAAGATACCTGAGAATAAACTTAAGGAGGTGAAAGATCTCTACACTGAAAACTACAAAACATTAATGAAAGAAATTGAAGAAGACAGGAATGAATCTTATTTTCATGGATTGGAAGAACTAATATTGCTAGAATGGCCACACTAGCCAAAGCAATCTATAACTTTAGAGCAATCCTTATCAAAATAACAATGACATTCTTTACAAAATTCTTTGAAAATCCTAAAATTTGCATGGAACCACAAAATACTCCAAATAGCCAAAGCAATCCTCAGCCCAGAGTACAAAGCTGGAAACATTACACTACCTGATTTCAAAATACATTGCAAAGCATTAGTAACCAAAACAGAATGATGCTGGCATAAAGACAGATACACAGACCAATTGAACAGAATAGAGAACCCAGCAATAAATTTACACCCTGACAGCCAACTGATTTTGACACAAGTGCCAAGAACACACGTTGGGAAAGAGACAACATCTGATAAATGGTGCTGGGAAAAACAGACAGAAGAATGATATTAGACCCATATCTCTCACTGTATATATGAATCAACTCAAAATGGAATGAAGATTTAAATGTAAAACCTTAAACTACAAAACTACTAGAAAAAAACCTAAAGGAAACACCACGACATTGGATGAGGTAATGATTTAAATAATACCTCAAAATCACAGAGAACAAAAGCAAAAATAGACAAATGGGATTACATCAAATTAAAATACTTTTTCACAGCAAAGAAAACAATTAGCTAAGTGAAGAGACAACCTACAGAATGGGAGAAAATATTTGCAAAGTATGCATCTAACGAGGGTTTAATATCCAGAATATATAACAAACTCAAATAAAAATACTACTACTAATAATAAAATAACTCTATTAAAAATGGGCAAAATATCTTAATATACATTTCTCAAAAGAAGACATACAAATGACCAACAGGTAGGTGAAAAAATGCTCAGTGTCATTTAATGATAGCCATCAATTAAGGCTATCAATACAGAATCTCATTTTGAAAAATAAATGTGACATATACGTGTATTTGCAATGTAGGTAGGTGTGCACATATATGTGAATTTGCAATGTACACACATACATCCTTGATAACAAAAAAGAACTAAAAAATAAGAAGACATATATATTAGTACATTTTCATACTGCTAAAGACACTACTTGAGACTGGGTAATTTATGAAGAAAAGAGGTTTAATTGACTCACAGTTTCTCATGGCTAGGGAGGTCTCAGGAAACTTACAATCATGGTGAAAGTTAAGGGGGAAGGAAGACAGGTCTTACAGGATGATAGGAGAGAGAGAGAATTAGGAGAAGCTGCCACTTTTAAAACCAACAGATCTTGTGAAAACTCCCTCAGTAACATGAGAACAGTATGGGGGAAACCGCCCCGGGATTCAGTCACCTCCCATCAGTTCCCTCCCTTGACATGTGAGGACTACTATTCAAGATGAGATTTGGGTGGGGACATAGAGCCAAAATATATCAATATATTAATAATTCTTTTTCACTAGTGGTTAAATTATGAATTTATTGTATGTTTTCTGTTTATTTTTCTGTTTCCTAGTTGTCTATAGCATAATTAGCCTATATTAATTTTATTGTCAAATTAAAAAGATGAAAAAAAAGGCTTGGAATTATGAATATTTAACCTTATAGAACAGCTCTGAGCATGAACAGAAGTCATAATTTAGAGAAATGTCTGGCTATGAAGGCTCTCAATCTCATAATGAAAGGATTACAGTTGTTATACATTCCCCTTTCCCTTGCAAACACAGTCTTGAACACTGAACATAATCTAATCCTGACTGATCAAATGCAGTCAACTTGAAGTTTGAAACTGCAGAGAGAGATGAAAAGACATCAATTGTCAAATGATTCCCAGTGTGGCAAGGCAGTATCAGCTTGTGCTCAGTGGTGGCGTTAAGGGTAGAGTGACTATAGAGCACCAGTCAGCATCTTACCCAAACAATCTTAACAGGATCTAACCTGGGTTTTATTCTTAATTATCCTCTCTTGTTGCATCTGCTCTTTACTACTCATTTTCTATACCCAGGTCCCCTTTCTTTGCATCAAATGTTCCCATTGATTATGATTTTTCCCATCAATTTACAAATAATATAATCTATATTTCAGATATCCAGAGTTTTCACTTGTTACCAAAAAACATAATTAATACTGATTTTGATTATTTCAGACAGAAACACACCCAAATAGAATGAAATACAGGGAAATCCAGTTGAATGCTTAACAGTGATACATTATAGGCAATACAAAATTCACTTAAAGCATTTTCAATAATTTACTCAAGTCATATAAATACAATCCTACTGGAAATAATTTTTCAACAAAGACACATATTTCCAAATGATCAAATTGGCTGAAATACAACCTTAGCACATCTTGCAGATTCCAGTAACTACGTACTAAAAATGTATATTTATTCCAGACTTTCTGTATGATAACCTAAAACATTAAGCAATACTAATTAGCATAATTTTTTTACTCTAGTAATATTTTACCAGAAATTTATTTTCTTCTGTTGGAAATTAAATTAAAAATTCTTCACTACTGTGTGTCTTAACTAGACATTTGCTTATAGATATTTGTACTCATAATAACAAAGTAGATATTAACTGATTATAGATCTGAAAAAGAAATTAAAACGCAGAAAATAAATCAAGATCAGTAAATCAAGTCAAAGGTAAGTCAAAAGTGACCTCAAAGTAAGAAAAAGTGTTTTACCATATAATTTTGCTCCAAGTAGATTTGTGTTTAAATCTAGATTTTCCATTCCTCTCTTGAATAAGATATAATGCATAAATATGAACTATATCATAGAGCATAACTTATAGAACCAATAGTGTTCAGCCAGTTACATTTTGTAAGGTTGTGTTATCATATTAATCTTTCTTTTATCCAGTTAGATTTATCATAGGCTGAGGGCCGCTGTGAAAGTTTGTCAGTTATGAGACAGGTGACTGTAAGAGGAAGGTATGTTTGAGGAGACAAATTAGTCCACAGAAATTAAGTGAGTCTATGAAAATATAAATTAGAGAAAGTTATAACTATAAATCATATTGATTTAAATGTAATGATATATCTTCAAATGAAGGATAAGGTAATATGCAAAATAAAAAATATATTTATTTGAATTATATTAATCATCAAAATCTGAGTATTATAACAAGCAGTCTTCAAGTATTTCACAAGTGTATTACAAGATCTTAAAATATTTTAAATTTTTATATTTAGATTTTATTTTATTTTATATTAAATTTTATTTTTATTTTAAATTTTAATATTTTTCAATGGGCATTTTATTAGGATATAGTTAATGACTTTAATCCTTTGTCTTCATTTTAAATATAACTCAAAATAGAACAGTTAAATAAAGCAGAAAATTATTATTTAACTGTAAATAAAATAATTCAAAACAATATTAATTAGTGAGAAATTTATGAAGAATGTATTGAATACTTCATAAAGGCCAAAAGTTTATTAAATATACAAAATATGAAAGTTTACTACATAAATAGAGTTCCAACTTACTACTGAATGGAACAGTTTGTAGATTTCAGGGTCAAGTTAATAACCTTTACAAATAAAAGAAATAAGACATGATATTTCTATTCTATATATCTCTAACAGAAATTCAAAAATCTCAAAAACAATTGTTAAGGGATGTCCATCTGCATTGTGGTGTTTGTCATGTGTCTCATGGCTTCTAGTTTCCATTGTGAGATAAGCAAAAATAACAAATAATTAGCTCACATTTTAAATAGGAAGAATGTCACCAATAACTACACATTTTAAACTTCTAAATATATTAGAGTGGAAATATTTATTTAAATAGTAAATTTAAAATGAATATACATACACATATGTGTGTTTGTATAGATTGTTACTATATATACAGCTTGGTCCATCAAATCTATAAAATATCTAATATTTGCATACTAATATAGTATAAAATATGAACTTGTGCACAAAGAAACTATCAAGTACAAAATTCCTCTCAAAGATTTAGTAGAATTGAGACTTCAATGGAAATTTAGCTAGCTATCAACTTCATTTCCTTTCCAAATTGAAAATGTCTCCTTCAATCTCCCAGGCAAATTCTTCTTGGAAATACTCACTTGAAGAAAATTGTCACCTCACAAAATTGCCAATTCCATTATTGTATAATACTAAATTTTAGAAAATCCTTTCCCATAATGAGTGAACAAATCTTTCTCTCTGTAATTTCTATAATTTAGTCTCCATTTTGCCCCCTCTGTTATAACCCAGAGTAAATATGCATCTACTTGCATGTGACATGTATGCTCCGGCTTCAAATATTTTCCTCTGTGATATAAAGGCTCTACTTACTTCATTAATTTTCCATATGACATGGCTTCTAGTTGTCACAAGATTTTATTCATCGTCTTTTGTATACAACTTGAATATTAAGCATGCCCTTAAAATAGGATGCCCAAACTGGACAGATAATTTCGGATATTGTCTAATAAACACAGAGAATAGCTGAATCTTTTATAAAGCAAGTCCTTGAAATCTGGATTAAAGTTTCTAAATGTTGAAATATATTTGAGGATTTTATTTTATTTATAATAGTATTGATATTATATTTCCGGCTCATTAAAATAATTTTGAGCAAATTTCTGTTTTATTAATAATGTGCCATGAAATGTCTTTCATATTGTATTTCATATGTGGTTGATAATTGAAGTCAAAGCTAAACTCTACATTTTTTTTTAATATCACCTAAGTCATTATTTTTTCTCTAACTTGCAAGAGGAAGAGTCTCTTTGGGAGAGACTGTTTTTGCCATCTAATTGATTTAAATCACCAAGTTTGATCAGGATGTCCTCTAGGTCTTATCAGAGCAGCTATTTAATAGGACAGTGCTGTGAATAGATTCATGTATCTATGCTTAACGACTTTATCTGTTAACAGCAGGATTAGGTTTTAAGTCTTTCATAAAATGCGATGTGATCCAGATGTTTCCTTATTTGAGGTGTAGGGAAGATAAGAAATACTTATTGCATGCTTTTTATGTGTCAGCCATGGTGGAATTCTTCCCCAATAAATAAACTATTCAAGTTACAAATAATTAACATTTACTGTTTTGTCTGTTTAAGCAATGTATTGAGAAATTATGTCAATAATCAATGTTCATTATTCTATTATTAATAGACAATTGCCTAGTGGTCTGTAATTGCTAAGCGTTAACATTTTTCGCTATTTTACTTTTTTTTTGTCTCTGATTACTTCATTTTCCACAGCTTTTCAGAATCTTGACACTGTCACTCTTTGACAATGCCTAAACATTAAGTCACAGAACTTAACAGTGCTGGACCAGCAATATCACATTTGTGACAGCATGGAACCAATGGCACTATAGTAGTCAATAAAAGATCCCAGGTATTTAATTCAACGCCAGACCTTTCTTATTTGTTCAAGGAGTACATTTGAGTACCACAATTTGCTCAGAACCATGTAAGCACCAAAGCCATAAGATATAAGTGAAGACGGTCCCTGCTACCCCAGATGAAGGAGGAATCAACACAGAAGCACACACCAGCCTCAAGCTAGAGAGGTCCAGATTGCGACGGAGCCCCACCAGACAAAGTGGAGGCGTCATGCAGGACAGGAGCAACTTCTGCGCCCCGGCTTAAAAGGACGAGTTGATCTTTCAGACAATCAGTGAAGAACGAGAGCATCATGAATGGGATGTCTTTTCTGAGGGATCTTCTGTAACCGTTGAAGACAGGTTAATGACGGAGGAGGCCTATTGAGGGTCAGTGAGTTAAACAAGGGACAGGGCTGTGTCTAGTGTGACCTGATTAAAATGACAATAGACAAATTTTTAAAAAATTAGTCTACGTTAAACGTTTTTTAAAACTGCAATATCTTACTTAGAAAAGCTTTCCCCCTAATTAATGAAATAGGTTTGGCACAGTTCGACGAATCAATTCAGTTGCTTGGATTGACTGTAGCCTGTCCTTTCCATAAAGGAAAAGAATCTATATATTTGCCATTTTTTCTTCTATTTGCCATCTACCATTTGGCCATTTCATTGCCCATTAACTCTTCAATTAGGCATTTCAAATGAAGTAAAATAAACTGAAGAACAATAAATTTCAAAGTTCTGACTACCTTAGAAAACTAATACAGAAATGTGACAAAAAAAGTGAATTTTAACAATTTAAAATGTAGTTAGAAATTTTAATTGTGATGTTAGGGTGTCAATTTTGGATCTTTCCTGCTTTCTCTTGTGGGCATTTAGTGCTATAAATTTCCATCTACACACTGCTTTGAATGTGTCCCAGAGATTCTAGTATGTTGTGTCTTTGTTCTCGTTGGTTTCAAAGAACATCTTTATTTCTGCCTTCATTTCGTTATGTACCCAGTAGTCATTCAGGAGCAGGTTGTTCAGTTTCCATGTAGTTGAGCGGTTTTGAGTGAGTTTCTTAATCTTGAGTTCTAGTTTGATTGCACTGTGGTCTGAGAGACAGTTTGTTATAATTTCTGTTCTTTTACATTTGTTGAGGAGAGCTTTACTTCCAACTATGTGGTCAATTTTGGAATAGGTGTGGTGTGGTGCTGAAAAAAATGTATATTCTGTTGATTTGGGGTGGGGAGTTCTGTAGATGTCTATTAGGTCCGCTTGGTGCAGAGCTGAGTTCAATTCCTGGGTATCCTTGTTAACTTTCTGTCTCGCTGATCTGTCTAATGTTGACAGTGGGGTGTTAAAGTCTCCCATTATTATTGTGTGGGAGTCTAAGTCTCTTTGTAGGTCACTCAGGACTTGCTTTATGAATCTGGGTGCTCCTGTATTGGGTGCATATACCAAAGCCGGACAAAGACACAACTAAAAAAGAGAATTTTAGGCCAATATCCTTGATGAACATTGATGCAAAAATCCTCAGTAAAATACTGGCAAACCGAATCCAGCAGCACATCAAAAAGCTTATCCGCCATGATCAAGTGGGCTTCATCCCTGGGATGCAAGGCTGGTTCAATATACGCAAATCAATAAATGTAATCCAACATATAAACAGAACCAAAGACAAAAACCACATGATTATCTCAATAGATGCAAAAAAGGCCTTTGCCAAAATTCAACAACCCTTCATGCTAAAAACTCTCAGTAAATTAGGTATCGATGGGACGTATCTCAAAATAATAAAAGCTGTCTATGACAAACCCACAGCCAATATCATACTGAATGGGCAAAAACTGGAAGCATTCCCTTTGAAAACTGCCACAAGACAGGAATGCCCTCTCTCACCACTCCTACTCAACATAGTGTTAGAAGTTCTGGCGAGGGCAATCAGGCAGGAGAAGGAAATAAAGGGTATTCAATTAGGAAAAGAGGAAGTCAAATTGTCCCTGTTTACAGATGACATGATAGTTTATCTAGAAAACCCCATTGTCTCAGCCCAAAATCTCCTTAAGCTGATAAGCAACTTCCGCAAAGTCTCAGGATACAAAATCAATGTACAAAAATCACAAGCATTCTTATACACCAATAACAGACAAACAGAGAGCCAAATCATGAGTGAACTCCCATTCACAATTGCTTCAAAGAGAATAAAATACCTAGGAATCCAACTTACAAGGGATGTGAAGGACCTCTTCAAGGAGAACTACAAACCACTGCTCAATGAAATAAAAGAAGATACAAAGAAATGGAAGAACATTCCATGCTCATGGGTAGGAAGAATCAATATCGTGAAAATGGCCATACTGCCCAAGATAATTTACAGATTCAATGCCATCCCCATCAGGCTACCAATGACTTTCTTCACAGAATTGGAAAAAACTGCTTTAAAGTTCATATGGAACCAAAAAAGAGCCCGCCTCGCCAAGTCAATCCTAAGCCAAAAGAACAAAGCTGGAGGCATCATGCTACCTGACTTTAAACTATACTACAAGGATACAGTAACCAAAACAGCATGGTACTGGTACCAAAACAGAGATATAGATCAATGGAACAGAACAGAGCCCTCAGAAATAACGCCGCATATCTACAACTATCTGATCTTTGACAAACCTGAGAAAAACGAGCAATGGGGAAAGGATTCCCTATTTAATAAATGGTGCCGGGAAAACTGGCTAGCCATATGTAGAAAGCTGAAACTGGATCCCTTCCTTACACCTTATACAAAAATTAATTCAAGATGGATTAAAGACTTAAACGTTAGACCTAAAATCATAAAAACCCTAGAAGAAAACCTAGGCATTACCATTCAGGACATAGGCATGGGCAAGGACTTCATGTCTAAAACACCAAAAGCAATGGCAACAAAAGCCAAAATTGACAAATGGGATCTAATTAAACTAAAGAGCTTCTGCACAGCAAAAGAAACTACCATCAGAGTGAACAGGCAACCTACACAATGGGAGAAAATTTTTGCAATCTACTCATCTGACAAAGGGCTAATATCCAGAATCTACAATGAACTCAAACAAATTTACAAGAAACAAACAAACAACCCCATCAAAAAGTGGGTGAAGGACATGAACAGACACTTCTCAAAAGAAGACATTTATGCAGCCAAAAAACACATGAAAAACTGCTCACCATCACTGGCCGTCAGAGAAATGCAAATCAAAACCACAATGAGATACCATCTCACACCAGTTAGAATGGCAATCATTAAAAAGTCAGGAAACAACAGGTGCTGGAGAAGATGTGGAGAAATAGGAACACTTTTACACTGTTGGTGGGACTGTAAACTAGTTCAACCATTGTGGAAGTCAGTGTGGCGATTCCTCAGGGATCTAGAACTAGAAATACCATTTGACCCAGCCATCCCATTACTGGGTATATACCCAAAGGACTATAAATCATGCTGCTATAAAGACACATGCACACGTATGTTTATTGTAGCACTATTCACAATAGCAAAGACTTGGAACCAACCCAAATGTCCAACAATGATAGACTGGATTAAGAAAATGTGGCCCATATACACCATGGAATACTATGCAGCCATAAAAAATGATGACTTCATGTCCTTTGTAGGGACATGGATGAAATTGGAAATCATCATTCTCAGTAAACTATAGCAAGGACAAAAAACCAAACACCACATGTTCTCACTCATAGGTGGGAATTGAACAATGAGAACACATGGACACAGGAAGGGACACATCACACTCTGGGGACTGTTGTGGGGTGGGGGAATGGGGGAGGGAATAGCATTAGGAGACATATCTAATGCTAAATGATGAGTTAATGGGTGCAGCACACCAGCATGGCACATGTATACATATATAACTAACCTGCACATTGTACATATGTACCCTAAAACGTAAAGTATAATAATAATAAAATAAAATAAAAATAAGAAATTTTAGAGCTCAGAAGCATACTTTTTCCTTAAGATTAGAGGCAATGTAGTCTACATTTATATGCATAATTATTTCAAACATATATATTTTCTATTTAGTCAGATAATAAAACTATTCATGAACATTGTGTAATGTAGACACTGCTTACCTTCCACTTTACTTTGTGCATTGGGAGGGGGGTCTTTGCTACTAATGTAAATATGAATATTAACCTTGATAAGAAGTCAATGTTTATTATTTCCCAATAACCAATTTTTACCTCACTTATACAGGTAATTATTTTAATCTTCCTCTTTTGCCAGCACAGGTATATTGACTAACAAAAGGTTAGATAGGAAAGATTTATTTTCTTGTTTAAAAAATCCTGGGTGATGGGATGAATCGTATTCTAAACCTCACCATCGAGTGATATAATCAAGAAACAAACCAGCACATTACCCCCGAATCTAGAATAAAATTCAAAATTATTAACAATTTTTTAAATGCAAAAAAACATATTATAGAGCTTAATGAATAAAATAATATACTTTTAAACATTAATTTCAGTTATTTGTACCATTATTCCTATTTACATTAGTAATTATATTACCATTTTTGACAAATTATTTAACAAACAAAGGATGTAGGTAGACAGCTTTTCACAATTGCTTTGAGATTTTGAGAGGGAAAAATCTTTGCTAATAAACCTTTTCAATTACAAAATTTTCCTAGTAATATAGTGAAGGGTAGAAATATGACTTATTTCTTTCATTAAAATTATTATTACATGATTGTTATCATTACTGATGTTCTCTCTGTTGTAAGAAAAACATAATATTCAAGAGCATGGTTGATTCTCTAAGGAGTTTCCATTAGTCACAGAAGCAAAATGTGGATATAAAATGTAACCGACCATGAGAGGTCGGTTAAGTCTCAGAGGCATGGGATAGCTTAAATCTTTTCTTAGACATAGACCTCTATTGTAATTTCCAAATGTGAGATATTTGTCTATCAACAGTATTATGCATTTTCTTGTTTTCTAAAAAGTTGTAAAGTTAGCTACATAAAATAAAAAAAAACATATTAAGGGATTAGTTTTTGTGAATATCTTTGAAGACACAAGAACAGAAAGAATTTGCAATTGCACTATTAGAAGCTTCTAAAAGAAGTCTACAATTACACAGTTTATATGTATTCAAGTCTTTGTTTTTAACAGCCTTTTATTTAAAATGAATTATACATGTCATTGAGGTATAATTTGTTTTATATAAATACATGTTCCTATTAAGGAAATATTAAAGGCGATATAGTTTGAATGTTTTTCCCGTCCAAACCTCTTGTTGAAAGGTAATCCTCAATGTTGGAGCTTAGGCCTTGTAGGAAGTGTTTGGGACAAGGGGCATTCATCCCTCATGAATGGCTTGGTGCTGCCCTGGTGTTTGTGAGTTCTCATGAAAGCTGGTTGTTTAAACTAGGGCACCTTCCCCCACTCTCTCTTCTTCCCACTCTCACCATGTGACTCTCCTGCTCCCTCTTTTACCCCCGCCCCCGCGATGATTGTAAGCTTCCTGAGGCCCTCACCAGAAGCAGATGGTGGAATCACACTTGTATAGCCAGCAGAATTGTAAGCAAATTAAACCTCTTTTTTCTATAAATCACCCAGCCTCAGGTATTTTCCTTACAGCAACACAAAACACAAAAGGTGAATAATTCCAGTTGAATTTATTTATTCAAAATGTTATTGATTGTCAGCTATATTCTAAGTACTGGTGTGGTCACTGAGGATATGGTGGTGTACATGATAGACTCGATTATTTCCCTTAGGAATTATAGTTATCAAACAACAAATAACTAGGTTAGCTAGAGAAATAATCACTGGTTCAGGTAACACAAATAATAATTTTGCTGTATTCAAGTACGCAGTTAACTCATAGCAGATTGTGGCAGCTTATTTTACATGCATGACATGTATGCATGAAAGTTTGAAGATAGAAATGTATACAGTGATATTGGAGGATATTGGGAATATGTATCATACCTATTTAGCCTGTCTTCAAATTGTAATAAAAAGTGTATTTACTTCAGAATTTGATTTCTGGCCTAACTTCCAGTATTATGTTTGTAGGCATACCCTTTATTTAAAAATACATAATCCAGACTATTTTTATGCTTGTCATTTGTATGGCAGGATGTCAGATGACACATTTTATAAAACACATTTGATTATATAAAAAAATCATGCTCTCAAAATCATGTCTGAAAACTATAAACATAGAGGACAGTTTAATATTTTAAATATGTAGACAATACTCTATACAAGAGTTGTTCTTACGAGATAGTGTATCTTCATAGAGACATTAGAGGATATTAAATATAGTTGTGTTTTGAAATGTCAATATGGTTTACAAACTTTTGGATCAAAATATTGTCTAAATAACATTATATATTGAATTAGTGTATTAGTCTGCTCTTATGCCTCTAATAAAGACATACCCAAGACTGGGTAATTTATAAAGAAAATGAGGTTTAATGGACCCACAGTTCCATATGTCTTAGGAGGCCTCACAATCATGGTGGAAGGCAAAAGGCCTTCTTACATGGCAGCAGGCAAGACAGAGAACTTATGCAGGGGGAAATCCTCTTTATAAGACCATCAAATCTCATGAGATTTATTCATTATGACAAGAACAGCATGGGAAAGACCCACCCCATGAGTCAATTACCTCCCTCTGGCTCCCTGCTATGACACAGAATTGCAGGAGCTACAATTCAAGATGAGATTTGGGTTGGGACATAGACAAACTATATCACTTAGAAATAATATATATAATACGTAATTTGTGTATATGCAGGACTCTTAATAAATCCCTAAGGGAAAGACAACAACCCCATAGAAAATATGGGCAAAGACAGGAAGTTTACAGAAAGGGAAATATTCAGGCCAAACATTTATAAAAATATTTTCTCAAACTTGTTAAACATTTCAAAATTCAATTTAAGAAAACAAATATAATTTATAACAAAAATATCATAGTTTTTCCCTAATAAAGTTTGATAAGACCTTGCAGAACCCTAGACATTTTCAGAAAACTGTTGGTGGAGATGTATGTTGGCCTACTGATGATAATTTGAAAATACCTTTTAAATATAAAAGTTTTCACACACTTTGTCACAATATGTCCATTTCTATTTTTTATTCTTCCTATACAGTCACTCAACTTCAATGGTGACCAGAAAATGTAATGGGAAAATTAGATATGCAAATACCATCAAAAGATATTTATGCTACTTTCACACTATAACTTTATCGCTGTTAAAGATGGTGAGTTACATCTAGATAGGGCCTGTTAAGAGGAAAATGCAGATTGAAAAAAATGTGCGTAATATCATACTTTTTCAAAGAGGAAAAATCAAAATAAATTAAACGCATGCATATTGAAAAAATATATGGAGGTTTACTCACCAAATAAAATTGCAGTAAATTTTTTTCATTGTAATATAGGCTGCAGGAGTGGAGACAGTGTGGCTTTTTCTTACACTGATATACCTCTAGCACCTAAAATAGTTCTCAGCATATATGGGATCTCAATATGTATTTGTTAAGTAAAGGAATTAGAACTACTTTATGTGAAATCCAAATGCAATATCTCAATTCATAATATAATTTCTTCATCATCTAATTTGCCCCTTAAATTACCCCCACTAGTAATTTTCTCAATCTCAATAAAATATCCAGGCTTTTCAACTATTCTAATATTTTTTCTTCAGGTTTCTATCTTCCCTGCTCAGCTAAATATATACTTAAGACTTATCATCTAACCTTTCTTTTGCCAATATATCCATGTAAGTTGTTTCATTGCTTTTCTGTCCTACCACTTTGTGAAAAGCCACTCCACCCCATGAATTTAAAGGTCTCTTATTTCTTATGTACATTATAGAATGAATCTACCATATGCTGAGGGCTGCCTTAGAAATATCATACAGAACCTCAAATGCCTTTACACGTGGTCTTCAACAGCAACTGTCCCCTCAAACCACTCAAGAATCC
This sequence comes from Homo sapiens, assembly GCF_000001405.40. NCBI lineage: Eukaryota > Metazoa > Chordata > Mammalia > Primates > Hominidae > Homo > Homo sapiens. The sequence continues at coordinate 67,988,544 of NC_000013.11, read as the reverse complement.
TATTTCATATGTTCAGGCAGCTCTCTCTTGTTCTAAACAGCAACTCTTTTAAATTTTATCCACTACCATCAAACTTCTGACTTTCTCACCTGCCTCCTCTCTCTGCTGATGAACTCTCCTTTTCACAGCCCTGAGAAAAATGGAGGCCAAGGGAAAGTACCTTTCTCAACTTTTGCTGCAAAACATACTTTCTTTATCCACATTAGACCAAAATATGCTCAGATCTTTTTCACTTTAGGAAACATACTCCTGTAATCTTATATTCTTCTCCATTACCATATTACATTCTTTTCCTTCATAACAACTTATTTTTACTTCTCAGCCCATTCAATGCACAACCTATTATTTTCTGGTTTTCACTTCCATCAAATCTATAAAAGTGTTCGTGCTAAATTATCAATGCCCTTCATGTTGCCATGCATAACTGTCATGTTGAAGTGTTAGTATGATTTCACTCTATACAGCACTTTCTTCTTAAACCATTCTATTGCCTGCTATCCTGTACTCCAAACACTTATGTTTCAGACACACTGAAATGTGTTTCTCTCTACTGTCCCATAAATGTTTACATGGCTCAAAACTCTGTTGCATAAACTGTTTTTAATCAGTCTATATGTTCATGCTAGGTTTTCTCATATTATTCTATTCATTAAATTGTAATCTTAGAATCCCTACTTTTTAAATCTATCTTCTTGTCCACTTTTCTATACATCCAACTGTCTGTTGGGCATCTCTTCTTGTGTGTGCTTTCAACACTTCAAGTTCAAAATTTCTAAAACAGATTTTGTTTTCTTCTCACTTAAGCTCATCCTCCATCCTGTGTTCCCTGTTCCAGTGATCTTTGGTTACTGAAAAATTTTTCAGACGTGCTTAATTAACCACTGTTAGGAACTCTGAAAGGCCTTGGAATTTACCCTATTTTTAACCTAACAAACTGGTCTGTTACTACTTGATGGATATAGGTAGAGGATTGGTGGCTTCTGAGTCAGAGACAAAAGAAGTTATTATTTAAGACAAAAGTATTTGGAGCTTCTACACCAGTTCACCATGACCCTCAAATTCCATGGGGGCAATGCAGATCAACCCAGAGAGATACAGCCCACTCAGTGTGTTGCATTAAAACAGACAAAACTGAGTTTGAGGAACTTACTGCTTTTACAGTGAGTATTTAGTAGTCCTGCTGTTTATTTCATCCCTAAAGCTTACTTTCTGCAACCATAATCCTCAGAGTCCAAGGTAGAATGCTTCTCCCAACAACCACTATTCACATCCAATCAATAACCAACTCTAGTTGACTTCAACTCTTAAATAGCTTTTAAAATAATCCATTGGTCTTGATCTTCACTGTCATTATCCTAATTCAGGCCACTACACATTTTCTCTCATTAGTATTACTAAAACAGCCTTTACTCATTGTGGCCCTGCCCTACCTCACCCATCAAATCCTCAATGAATCTCAAATCTAGAACCAAACAATCCTTATACAAATTAATTCCAATCATTTTGTTTTTATATTTATTAATCTTCTTGCTCTCAGGAAAAACTGACAACTCCTTAAACTAATTTAAATTAATGCCTTTTATGATCACCCCTGCCTGCATTTCATGACAGGCATTTAAATTAATGCCTTTTATACCTTTCATGATCACCTCTGCCTGCATTTCTAGATTAATTTATATCACTGCTCCTTCTTTATCATTCCCTTTTCCATTTACCAATAATTCTCATGCATTAACTTTCCTCACATCCCACTGCCAATTGCTATACTGTGCTACTTTCAATTGCTGTTCCTCACCTCAAACCCATTAAATATATGTTTTGTTTACTTGTGTCCACTGACTTTCTACTTGGTAATTTTAAAATTCATATTTTTTCAAGTTTCAGCTTTAAGATCATGTCCACTAAGATGTCATTATTAACCCATCATATATGTTGGATACTGCTTTCATGTCTCCCATTTGTATTCTAGGCTTTCCAGTTCAGAATATCACACTGCTTGTCTTTTTGCTGGCCCATATCTCTCAGTAGGGTCTTTGTGCTGACCAGAAATTGCACATTTTCTTTTTTTGATCCCTGACATACCTGCAGCAAATAGCAAAGTGATTAATGCATAGTCAGCACTTAACAAATATATGTTTAAAGAGTGAAGAAAATAAGTTACAAAACATTTATGAGTATTGAAGTTTCCCTTATACTTGAAAAATTAAGGATCTTTGAAGGCATAGATCTTATTTAACTTTGTCTCTGCAGCAGTTAGGATAGTGCCTACCTTAAACGGTCAATCCTGATCACTTGCAGAATTTGTATCTGTGAATTCTCCTAGTTCTTAAAGTTATTTATATTGACTAAAGAAAAACGAGTCAAGCTTTTAAAGAATTAAAGACAGTTTCATTCAGAAGTCTTACTGGTGACTTTATCCCATGAGCAGTTCTGTTAGACTGTTCCAGCACAGTATTTCACCCCACTGCTTACATACAGGTGCTGAGAGTTCACTATGTGAAAATCACATCACACTTGCTCAGATGTTACATTACAGCAGAATCTCATCAAGGTTTGGGTGTAAGAGTACATCAGGTTGTATATTAGAAGAGGCATAATCACTATTCCCATCAGACAATATCTTATGTGTAGGAAAAGGCAAGGCTAGGGACACTTATTGTTTCAGGAATACAGTAACTCAGGCAATACATAGAGTAGACCACGTGCTCTCTCCTGTTTTGTCTTCAAAGCATCTTTTGGGAGAGCTGCACCTCCTCACAGAATCTGGGGCTTTGTGAAATTATGTTGGCAGGCAGAAATTAGTCAACAGTTTGTTACTTTGCCTAACATTTCTAATTCTAAAATCAAGCTCTCTGCACTTTCCTGGTCATTTGTGGACAGCACATGAGCAGAGAAACAAGCAACTTGCAACACCCAAAGCACACATTGCCAGCTGAGGTGCTCAGTGGTCTTGTTTAAGCTCTGATACTGTGAGAAAGTGTCCTTCTTATGGTCTATTTAGTGCCATGGTTTTCTTTTTCACTGTTATGCATTTTCCTGCTGATTTTGCAGCTTAACACGACCCCCAAGAGTAATGCTGAAGTGTTGTGTGAATTTCCAAAGTTTAAGAAGGCTGTGATGGGCCTTGCCAGGAAAATACCTACATTTGATAATCTTCCTTCAGGCATAAGTTATAGTGCTGTTGGCAGTGAGTTCAAGGTTACTGAAACCATAATATATATTAAGCAAGATGTCTTTAAACAGAACATAAAATAAGTTGATATATTGATTGGCTGATGGAAATGCTTGACCAGAGGCTTGCAGGAAACGAATCCTGAATTTTCGCTAAGAACGATTGGCTGTTTGCTAATTCAGTGTTCACATGACATTACACGACATACCTACCACAAATAACAAGAATTGACAGTAATTAGTTTTTCATAAATATTTTATAATTAATGGTTTAATTAAAGCAAGCAAAAAATGAAGAAGGAAGATACTGGAGTATCTCTGAAATTATATTATGAACAAGTTATATAAATTGTTGTGTATTTTCTTTAATGTTTTGAGTGAAGATCAAAGCATATATTTGTGTAACGGGTGGATAACTCATATCTGTGAGATATAATTACGTAGAATTCAAAATAATCATACTAGGCTAAATAAATTTATGATAAATCAATAAAATAGGATTTAACATAGATGCCAGAATTCACCATTTAAATCCCACATATTAAATATCTTAGAAAATAAAAAAAATCTTGACACCTTTTGATACGAATTTACCTGAAAATTTAATTTTACTGAATCAGAAGAAAAATATGAGAAAAATGTTTTGAAGTCAGAAATACTAAAAGTTAAAATTAAGAGATCATAATAGAGAGAATAAATAGCATTTGTGGTTTAGTTTTGTTGGTGTAACTACTGAATGAAAATCCAGATAAACTAACAGTGTTCTAAGTCTTTAAATTTAAAAATAAGTACAAAATGAATAGATTCAATTAACTAATCATGTCTCTCTTTTCTAACTGGATGCATGTAATTTTTTATGTTATTAATTGAAAATCCTGTTATCCAATATTGAATTTCTCATCTCTATTTACGCATCGCTAAACTCAGCATAAAACACCTCAATTGACTAAAAATGACAAATCAATCAATAATATAGTTAGTGCCACTTCAAGGACACCCCTCCCCCAACACATCTAATTGTGCAAAATAATATTTGATTTCTTTGGAGTCAATATTATCTAGGTACATTTTCAGTTAATAAGTTGATTATAAAAGCATAATACCTTAAAAATATTATACACTTTAAAGCCATATCCCAATATCATTTTGGATTAATATATAAGCTATATCTTAAATGGTCAACATTATATGTCTTTGTGAAAATTACACTATAGTTATTAATCTCATACTAAGGGTATTGTGGCTAATTATTTGGTTTTGTTATAACAAAAATATTGTAATAAAATGCACCACTTCCCCTATTAATCAAAATCTTTCAAGTTCATCTACATTTTTACTGATCTGTAGATATGAGATTTTATTGCACTATTAATGCCATTCATGTTTTGCTTCAAAGTTAGCCCAACCCTGAAAATATTCCACTTGCCCTCCCACTTCCAGGCCTCCTGTTGGACTATTTTAAACTTCTAAGTCTCTTTAACAAAGTTGAAACTTTAAAGCAGTCTAACTGTCTCTGAGATCATGCTGAGAGTAAAGAAGAAATACATCACTTACTTTAAAATTCAACCTCTTGAGGAACATGCTTGAAAATCTTTAAAAAAAACTCCAGCTTCTCTGTTCTCAGACTAACCACCATGTTTTATTTCAGGGAAGTCTAGCCATTTCATAAAAGATAAGACTCCTCTGGAGCACATTGGGCATGCTATTTAAACAGCTGGATCATTTATGTTTTTGAACTACAGAGTATTTCTACCTCCAGAGACACTAAGTAACTCTTAAAGTGAAATTCTTCTTCCTTTAGAGAATGCATAATTCTTTAGGGAATCATGGTCAGTATCAAAATATATGTAATATTCATAAAACAGGAGGATAGGTATTACTAATCGCCAAATGCTTTTAAAATTCAGCAGACAGTGTTTCTGGAGAATGAATGTTATTATATTTCTTTTTCATGTAAGTATATCTTTTTAACATTGTCTTTGAGAACCTACCCAAATGTTAAGTTTTCAAATGTATGTAATTATATATATATGAAAATTTTAGAAATAAAAACATTTTATTCAGTATAAAAATATTTTTATATTTACAAATAATGATTCTTTACAGCATTAATTTCTTTCAGGAACATTTTCAAGACTGGTAAAATGTAGTTAAAGAATTTTGCGCAAAAGATGTAGCTGAAAGTTTTGGATAAGAAATTACGGACCATTTCAGAAGTATAAATTATGAAAAATGTTTTACAGCATTTTATCAGAAAAAGATTTTATAGCTTTTTAACAGAGAAAAAAATTAAAACTTCACTAAGTAATATTTTGTCTGATGTTTGGAGAATATAAATAATCATTATTCGCACCATATAGTTTTCTATATGTTACAGCTAGCCAATCCTATGATTATTATAAATACGCTCTACATTTACTTCTGATACTAGTATGATTCCATTCCCTGCTTCCTTTTTCTACCAAAATATAACTAACTCTGTGAATATTAAAACCATGTTTATAGAATCCATCTTATCATTTTGACCTTTTTAAGAGTAAATTATTGAAAACAAGAACATCTAAAATTTTTAAGATGAAAAAATATGCAAAAATGTAAGACATTATAGAATTTCCAAAATAATGTTTATCAATTTCAATGACAATTGAGCAGGTGTTCTTTAATATACCACACAATGCCATAGAGTTGTAACAATGAAATCAAGATGCTTAAAGAATAAACAGCTTAAAAATCACGTCCTATATTTCAAATCTTGATCCAAATATATTAAGAATTCAACATATGATGAGAAATCATTACTAAAAGCATTAGGGCAAGTATGAATAAACTAGCAAATGTTTGAAGGAAATTAGCTGTTATTTGGAAAAATTCTGCCTAATTTTAGATATTACACTGAATATATTTATTTCAGTTGTTTTAAGATCAAAACATTTAATACTAAGAGATAAAAGCACGGCCGGGCGTGGTGGCTCACACCTGTAATCCCAGAACTTTGGGAGGCCGAGGTGGGCGGATCACGAGGTCAGGAGATCGAGACCATCCTGGCTAACACGATGAAACCCCATCTCTACTAAAAATACAAAAAATTAGCCGGGCGTGGTGGCGGGCGCCTGTTGTCCCAGCTACTCGGGAGGCTGAGGCAGGAGAATGGCGTGAACTCGGGAGGCGGAGCTTGCAGTGAGCTGAGATGGTGCCACTGCACTCCAGCCTGGGCAACAGAGCAAGACTCTGTCTCAAAAAAAAAAAAGATAAAAGCACAAGAATAATACAGTGATCAATAAGTTAAAATCTATTCAATATGTATGCATGAGCATTTATTTAATCTGTGAAAGGTGAAGTGATTAATAAATGTCACAGCAATAGAAGAAATTACTAAGGAAAAGTTTTAAAATGTGTGGAAAGGAATTAAAGTTCAATACTGTTAAAATAAATCAATTTTGGCTGAAAGCTGCCTGAGAACTTTGAACTCCTAAATAACAAACTAAAACCTAATTTGAGAGTATATTCTTCTGATGAATAGCCAAGTGTTCAGCCAATCATAGCATCTGAGCTTCAGCCAATAGCTTGCTGCCAATTGATCAGACCATGTCCATATAAGGCAAATGCCTCATCACACCATGCCCAAATAAAGCAAACACCCAGCTATAATCAATCAAGTTATTTCTGTACATTACTTTCTTTTCTGTCTCTAAATCCTCCCTGCCCATATTGCAGGATAGAGCTCTCTGAACCTCTCCCGGTTCTGAGAGCTACTGAATTCACAAACATTCTTTGCTAAAATAAACTCTGCTGAATTTAATTAGTCTAAAGTGTTTTTTTTTTAAATAGCTTGGTATCAGAAGTGGAATCTAAAGTAGATCTCCAGTGATTCCCAAGAGCACCAAGTGACCAAACAAAGGAACCTACCAAGTCCCTTGTACTAATTAATCGCTTTGAACAACTGGGGTCCTGGGTGAGTTCTATCTTGGACATGAGCTCCAAGAACTTGTGTTTTCAGCATTCCAAGTTTATGTAAGCATTATTTATTTGAACTGGGTTTGGAATTCATGACAGAAACAGGACTGGATCCTGTTGGTACATCTTAGGTGTTGGACTGGGTCAGATAAAAACTCGACTGAATTCAGTAGGTAGGTAAGGTTACTAGAAAATAGAGAATCATTGATTCATCTGAATTCAAGAGGTCTCAAACCCCTCCATCTGAAACTTTAGCCAATTAAATTGTATAAGAACTATGAACTCAGAATCTGTCTTTTCTAGAGAAATGAGCAAACCTCACCAAAAGTAACTTAGAGTAACAGTGGCCACAGTAGGGAAACTCCTTACAAAAAGCAAACAGGTGCATATCTTTGACAATACAACAGCTACAGCCTAAGAGGAACTCCTTGCATATATTTGAAACCAAAACTAAGGGATTCCCAAATTGAAAAATCCTGTGCCTTGAGATGTCTGCCTTTATTGTAAGCAGTCAAGCCATTGAAATAGAAATTCTTCACTTTTACTCTAGCCATCTATGGCTTAGATGTTTCCCCAGCAGTGGTGTGCTCCACTGGAACACCCAAGGGCTTCACTACCAGGATAATAATCAACCTGCCTCTTTGAGAAAAAAAAATTAGAATATTTCTTTAGTGACATTTTTATATCAAATCTGAAATGTCTAAATGACACTTGTCTAATTGACACTTGGACTAGTTTCAGAAAAACATTTGTAAGGATTAGTTCTTTCCCTTTTCTCTATTTGATCCTGCTTCCCATGTAGACTTATCAGTTGACTGAAACCTTTCTAACAAATCCCTGCTAGCTATATGCTGTGCCAACCCTGTCCTCCTCTTTCATTTTGTTGTTATCTTTGCTGTGCTGCAAAAACTGTTTTTTGAAAAAAACAAAATACAAACAAACAAACAAACAAAAAACACTGACTGGTCTGTCATTCAACCTTGAAAACAAAACAAAAACAAACAAAAAAAGACCAATGAGTCTCATATTATAAGGCAAGATTTGAGGTATGCATGCTTAGTCCAGGCACATGAAATGCTCATACTATTGTACCTGACACATGGCTAAAACGTTAAAATAAAAGCTTTATGATCTGTGTCTATGTATATGTTTATGTATATTTGTATGTATAATATATATGCATGATATTTTTATTTTCTCATAATATTGCCAAAATTCAATTGTAAAAGAGTTCTATTGAATTGGCTTAAAGAAAAATAGGCATTCATACAAATTATGTATTCTCTCAGAAAAATAAGAACTAACCCAAATGCTTTTTAAGTTCATGTGACTTCGGTAATCTCTGGTAAATAATAATGATGGTTAGGTTAAAACAGGCATATCTTCAGAATTGTCAATATTAAATATAATACAGATGCATGACTTTTCCAACATAGGTTAACTGTTAAAATAAACTTATATTAAATCTATATTACAAAATGTTTTTGCAAGAAAATTAAATTAAAATGGTAGTTAGCTGTTTAGTGTTTCACTTTCATGAACAACCTAAGAATAACTGTTAAAAACAAGTGAGTTAAATAGACATAAATACCATAAAATTCCATGTGAAAGATGCCTTCTCCATACCAAAGGTTTTAATATTCTTATCATCAAGAATGAGAAGTTGAGGATGAGGGAAAGCTGTACAAAACATTTTTAATTCCCAGGCCTAGCAAACACAAAACCAAACCAAACCAAAACCCTAAGAGGTTAGAGATAAAATTTTACCTCCTTTATTCCTCTTCAGTTTCTTATTACAAAAAGATTAAACATATTTGTTACTCTTAATAAATATGTTTTGTGCCACACAGACAATTTGTGCTATGAGAAAGTACATGCTTCTAGAAATTATGATCCATAGATTTGCCAATCCATAGATTTCTGGTGTGACAGAAAGTTCACAATTGCTTGCTGTCTAGTGTTCAGTGGAAATTAAGGTCACTAATGATTATGAAACCTAAATAATAAATATAACTAAAATTATAGACATAATAAAAACTAGTCTATATGTAAATATACAAGGAAGGTAAGATGTGCTTTTGGAAAGAAAAAGCTATACGTTATGAGTATGTTTTATTTTGTTAAGGAAGAGAGTACTTTTTGTCCAAAAGTAGAATAACTGGTTGTTTTAAGATGAAAAAGAGGAAAAGTATAGGAAAAATCTGAAAGGATATAGAAAGGTTGTAGCTTTGTGGAAGTTGGATCTTGTGAAAAGAATTTATTATGAGATCAAGCTGGCTAACATTAGAAGAAAATTATTTATAAGTTTTTCTAAAAATTGAGCACTGATATAACAGGACATTGATGAGTAACTAGAATTTGGCTGCTGTGTCAAAACAAGGATTTTGGGGGGCAGTATTGGTTTGCTCTTAATAGGAAATTATGAAAGGGTTTTTTTGTTGTTGTTTGGTTGGTTGGTTTTTACCTTTTGGATAATTTACCTGAGAAACAGAGATTCTGTGTTTTACCAAGATAATTTTCTGTTCTTCATGTTGTATTTGTTAGGTTTTTGGTCACTTAAAACTAAGTTTTCTCTACTAAAAGAGCTAAGGTTTTGCTACAACTATATAACTTTGTGTTTGCCTTTGAAGTCTTTTAATCATCACTGTGGTTAAATGAATGACTATTATTTCACAGTGGCCTGTAATCTTTTTTTTTTTTTTTAGGTTGGGTCTTACTCTGTCTCCCAGGTTGGAATGCGGTGCAGTGGCCCAATCTCAGTTCACGGCAACCTCCTCCTCCTGGGCTCAAGCGATCCTCCTACCTCAGCCTCCCAAGTAGCTGGGACTATGGGCATGCACCACCATGCCTATTTGTGTGTGTGTGTGTATTTTTGGTAGAAACAGGGTTTCTCCATGTCGTTCAGGCTGGTCTCGAACTCATGAGCTAAAGTGATCCACCCACCTCGGCCTCCCAAAATGTTGTGATTACAGGCATGAGCCACTTTGCCTGGTCCTGTAATCCCATTTTGATGAAGTGTCTTAAGCCCTTGATATTTTTGACAAACTTTCCACAATCAAATTCTAAATTAAATATTTTTCTTGGCCTTAAATTAACTTTGAAATACTCCAGATGGGTCCTTGGAGCATACTAAAAGGATTTTTTTAAATAAAAAGCGATATTAAACTAATAGAGCTTATTTGATCTATTAAATTATATGGGAAGCATGGTCAAATAATCAGTTATGCTCAACCTTTTCTGAGTTATGTTTGTATGGATGTGTTATTAATATGCATCTCGGAAATTGTAAGAAATCCCTGGAAATTCAATAATGCATTGAACTGGGAAACAATTTCCAGAACTCTAATGGAAAAACTGATTGATTCTTTAAAACTGCTAACCTAACATCAAGAAAAACAAAAATTAACTGAATGCCAAGGAAATGCTTTGGCAGGTTTTCATGCTAAATCAGAAAGTACTGAAACTGTCAAGATACACAATTTGAATGAACCTCATGAGATTGATCCAGGTCAAATTATTTATGTTAACTTATTTAATAAACATGACTATGCACTTGAATGGGAGAAACAAAACTGGTATTTAAAAGGATATACAAAAAATGTTAAGCATGGACTCATGGAGAATCTAGTTCTTTCAGAGTCCGTAAAGCTTCTATTATTAAAATCTCTGCACTTTGTGACTTATAATGAAATAGTTAAAATGATAAAAATTATTTTTAAAAATTGGTAGAGTGACTGTAATTGCTCACCTGGTTTATAACCAATGTTTCATGGCTCAAACCTATAATTCTGGTAAGAAAATAAAAATCTCAGGTGATACATTTCCAGTACCTGTTGGATCATTTGAATATTTACAGTAGGATTTCGTTTTATTTCCACTTTCATTGCATGTTTTCTGATTGTATAGAAGACTTTCCATGCAAGAAGGCTGTTGCTATCATAGGAACTAAAAGGTTATAAGAAAATGTATTTCCCTTATAGGGCATGTCTGGAGAAATCTTCAGTGATAGAAGTATTTATTTCAATGGATAATTTGTAAAACAGTTAAATAAAGCATTACAAACACAATGGCATTAGGCAAGCTAGCTGAATAGATTGCATCAGCCACAAGTATTACTGTTGGCTTTGATGGCAATGAGATCTATCCCCAGTGGGAAACACAGATTGATTCCATATGAAACAGTTACTGGAAGGTTATGATTCTAATAATAGAACCCCGTGTATCTTCTGCTCTTATAAACTCTGACATGACTCGATATTGCAAGGCTTTAGTGCATATGCCAAAGAATATTTTCATAAAAGAAGCCCTGCATGACCCACTAACTGAGGACAACCAGACCTTTCACTATTCAAATCCAGAGACTGTATCTTTTGAAAATGACGCCAGAGAAAGACTACCCTTGAGCCACATTTAAAAAGTCCATACCAAATTCATCTCTGCAGTAAAACTTCAGGACCCCAAACCTATGTCCACATCTTTTAACTCAAAAGGGCCCCTCCATAGTCTTGAGACTGTATACCCATTGAACACCTCAAGGTAAACCTAATCTGGGAAGTTTCTCCTCAGAAGCAGATTATATCCTACAAATGAACAGCCCTCCCAAGATCACAGATCAAGATTTCTTTCTTCTGTTACCATGCAACCTTTTTCCTCTTTCTCCTTTTCGCTCTTTCTTCTTTTTCCTGTGTTTCTTTTCTGTTTATACATGACAAAATAATGCAATAACTTAAATTTCATGATCAATAGCTTCTGCAGGGAACCTCACTGAATGGTGAATATGTCATGTTATACTTAAATATTTGCATGATCCTAGAGATTCCCTGGTTATCCCTGTAACACATTTCACTGATATTCCAAGTGCAATAGCTAGTCCTTTCTATAAGGTTAGGTTTTTAAATTCATGTATTAAGATTCCGTGTTTAAATTTAACAATAGGCAAAATTGTAGGGATGGTTTTACAGTTAAATTATGCCAAAAATGAATAAGAAAACCTATAGAAAGATACTCAACCATTAGTATACAAGTTTATAACCCTAGTCTCTTAGTTGTCAGTAGTCTCCAACCATTCAATGATTTCAATAATGAAGCATTAAACAGAATTACTAGTGCTTTCCTGCTAATGACCCCTAATGCATAAGGCATCTCACAGAGAACTATCTGTTGTGCCTCCTTCAGGATAGATTTTTATCTGTAGGGGATTTAATGATCAACCATGCATGTGGGGAATTCCATGTCTTAAGTGGGAAAGAGGGGGCCAATGTGGATTAGGGATTCTAACAATATCATTGTCAACTCCATAACCAACTGCAAAATAAACATTTGTTCATACCTCTTAATTTACACTATGGAATAAAGAGGAGTTTGCCAGAAAACATAAATATCTCTAAATGAATATCTTTTGGTAAAATGTTTCTTTCCTAGCTTGGCATAAATGTAATTAAAATTATGGTTAGAAATCTGTCTAAAATATTAGCTACTGTAGCTGACTCTACTCCAAATGCAATAATTGCCCAGAAAACTTCTTTAAATTATCTTGCCAAAGTTGTTTTGGATAGCACGATTTCCTTGGACTGTCTGCTGGATGACCAGGGGGAAGTGTTAGCAGGGGGTGTGATAACTAACACCTCTTGCTGAACTTGGATAAACATATATGGGATGATAGAAACTTAGTTTTAAGAACTCAACAAGCTCCTTGGTTAAAACAAAGGTTCCTTTCTTGGCTCTTTTTTGATAGATTTGTTTTTGATTGGTTCAATTCATGGGGAAGGTTATGTTCTCTTAAGGAGCATACTTCAGTGTTTTAGTAATATCCTCCTGACAACCATCATGATAATTTCTCTGGTGTGCCTTTTCCTCTCAAGAGTCTTCAACACTTATATGCAGTCATTCCTTATATGTCAAATGGTCTCATTACAGTTAGAATATCAAAAAGACAAAGGAACATAAAGAATCATCTGATAACTTGACATTGTGAATTCCACACAAAAATAAAAAAAATCATTATAATGGTGACAGGGTGACATTAAGGTTTTGGTCAAATTCTGAAAATTGAGAGGTTGATCAAAAGAAAGGCATTGTTAAATTAAATACAATTTGGGCTAAAGCTGCCTCTGTACTTTGAATTCCTGCATAATGAACCACGACCTAACTCGGTATATAAACAAACTGCAGCCTAATTTGAGACTATATTCTCACAATAAATAGCTGAGTCTCAGCCAACCACAGCAGCTGAGTTTCAGCCAATCCCAGGCTGTCAACTGTTCAGACCATGTCCCTATAAGATAAATGCCTCATTACATCATTCTCAAATAAGGCAAATGCTGAACTATAGGCAATCAACTTGATTCTGTATGTCATTTTGTTTATCTGTCTATAAATATCACCTTCCCATGTTACTGGGTAGAGCGCTCTGAACTTCTCCTGGTTCTCATTGCTACTCAATTCATGAACTATTCTTTCCTTAAATAAACTCTGGTAAATTTGTGATTCTAAGTGTTTTTTTTAAACAACACCAACATGTTATAAAAATGAAGTAAAAAAAACTAGGAAAAGGTTTTACAAATATGAAATATAGCTACAATGTCCTTAATATTTGAAGAGTATACACATGTGCAAACATACAAATAAGAAAAGAAATGGGACTTTAAAGAAATAAATAAAAGGACAAAAAGATCGATGGAGTATTTAAAGATTACTTATTGAAGGAATGTGTTGTAGAAGAATGAAAGAAAAAATACTAACACATTATCAATGAATATTTTGGACCATTTGATTAGAAATAACTTTAATTTTTATTTTTTTTCAATTTTAAAATATTTAAAGTGATTATCTATTGCCTTTTAGAACCATAAAATAACATTAATTTTAAAATACTGTGATGAGATTATTAATCATTTTTATATCAGCCTTTAGGCAAATCACAATTGAAACATGTCAAATAAAATCCTATGCAAAAAAAGTTGTTAAAACCTAAAATGGTAAATATGTTACATGTCATCAATGCAAATTTTTGCTTGACTATTAGAAAACTTGTTGGGATTACATAATTTCAAACTTAATCCAAGGAACAGAAAGGATATTGAATTCCCTCTATTTACGAGAAAACAATGCTAGTGAGAGGTGAAAAATTTATCTAGAATGACATAATTAACAATTAATAGGAATAGAGGTGGAATGCAGTTATTTAAAATGACAACTCAATACTTCATTCTACACCATGAAAACTTTAAATAGTTTAAACTATTTACAAGGCAATGTTTGTTTTATATCTAATAATAAAAATGGCCTAAAGGAATAATAACATTATTTTCAGCATGGGATCATTTTGAAAAAAATAAGTGGGAAAATCTTCTGTTTAAAAGTTATCTAGAACTGATAGTAATTTGCAATTAAAGGGAGATTCCAATTCAGAATATTATTCCTATTATGAAAGCAGAGCTTGCACAGTCCATGATCACATGTAATTTTATTTAAAGAAGAAGTTAAAAGCAATTAGATGAGAACAATCCTGAATAGTGTATTTGTTTTGTAGTTCACTACATTAATTGTTTAATTGAGTAATGTTTGTATTATAATCAATAGTTTATTTTGAGATGCAAACGCCAAAAAATAAATTTCTTTCAGTTTAAATTATCAGCCCTTAAAAATTAAAATAATAGACTCTGGAGACAACAAAAAATGGGAGGGTAGGAGGAGGTGAAGGGTGCAAAATTACCTACTAGGTACAATGTTCATTCTTCAGGTGATGGATACAACAGAAGCCCAGACCCCAATACTACACAATATATTCATGTTATAAATCTGCACTTGTATCCCCTAAATCTATAAAATAAAATAAAATAACTAAATAGAAAACACACTCACACACACACACACACACACACACATTTTCAGCCCAGATAAACTACATGGTAGTTCTAATTTTCTTTGCAGCCTAGAAATATTTTTGACTAGTCTTTGAAATACTGTTTTAATCCTGTATTTTAATGTCATTATGCATATTATTTCTTGATATTAGAATAAAGTAATTCTAATTATCATTTTGAATATCCTTGTCTATGTACTGATTGGAGATTCTGAAATATAATTTACAGATAGATTATAAACTAAATTTCTATTGTCTCATCTAAACTTCAGTATAAAATATGAATTGAAAAATGTGTTTCAAACATATTCATTTTGAAAAAATATTCTAATATATTAAATTATTCAATTACAAGTATACTGAATAATATATAGTTTTTCTCCTTATGATTTCTATGTTGCATGTAAGGCATTGGCATTTAGGTAAAAAACTAAACAAAAATATTAACGTTTTATAATTTAGAGTGGGAGGTATGAAAACTCAGACATCATTGGTATTTATTGAATAATGCACAGGTTTATAAAAAGAGTTTTCATCATTTGTAATTTTCTTTTATCTATTTACTGAGATAAAATAAGGTATTGTAAACCATTATAATGAAACTACTATAATAATGTAAAACTAGACATGAAGGAAAAGAACAAAATAACAAACAACACACACAAAAAGATAGGAGATTGAATTTGTTTTGCCAATCATATAACAAGAGGTATAAAATTTAATGTTGTCAAATTAAAATAATAAATGAAGAATCCAAAATTTAATCAGCATGCACAAAATTGTTTCAATTGAACTTGTGCAGAAGTCTAAGGGTGACCTTGGAGAAATTTAAACTCCTCTTTAACTATGTCTAGACAGAGTAGAGAAACATTTAGAATGCTGAGAGAATGTTGCAATGGAGACGGTGGTGGAATATGAGCTATAATCACTACTCACCACCATGATGCTAGTCTCCACTCACACAGCCTTGCATCTACAAATTACTCCTCCATCTACCTTGAAATGATTTTTATGCTTGGTTTTGACCATTATAACTATATATTGACATTATTATTTGAATACTTGTGATGTGTCAATGCAGCATATCCCTTTTAATATATAATCTAATATAATTGAAAGTAACAACATAAAAAATTTTAACCATATACATAACGTTTTATCATCTTAAATGTTTTTCAGAACTCACTGAAACACCTTAAAGTCACTAAGATTCCTTATTGTAAAGCACTTCTAAAAACATATGCATATCAGTTCTAATTCCCTTTAGGAAAAGAACTGCAACTTTGAGGAAGAAATTGGAAGAGAATAAGGACTGAATAGACTGTTTTTCTTTAGAAAGAGAACCAGCAAAGCATAAGCCCAAGGTATAAACATTCCAGCACACTGCTGTTGTTGTTTTCTTCTGAATACAATAATTATAACTTCTCTGAGCTTCAATTTTCTTACCTGTAAAATAAGGAAGTGGGTTAGAATGTCTCTAATTCCTTTTCAAGAATAAATTCAATGAAGCTCTCTCTCTCTGCAGTCTTATAAAGCAGCATAGTGTAATGCTTTTTATTTACTTCCACAATAGAGAGAAAAATATTTCTGAATTTACACTAACCAAAATCTATGGACCTGCTGATGTGTCATCATGCCCATTAACCAAGCTCATTATGTGTTAAAAGTTACAGAAATGAAGATCCCAGAGGCTCTTATTTTCTTTATATGAGAAGAACATTTTGTTTGCTACTAAGAGAAAATAAGTCATCATTTAATTATAATAAATTAGTTCTTATATAAGAAAATTTTTTCTCTAATTATTGCTTAATGTAGGTCTTCTCACTTTTACAAAGTTATGCATTTTTTATTGTTTAATCTCGTATTTGTAAGCAATCAGAGAATTTTTTTTTCACTGATTAATCAAACAGAGAATTACTCTGACTTCATAGGCACTGTCTGAGAATAAAGAGCACATTTTGAAGGGAACGGAAAAGTAGCATGTGACTCGTCTCCCCATTCTATTTCTGTCTCTAAGCCAGCGTGATCCTCCAGACTTGTGGCTCCAATAACAAGCAAGTTTACCCAGGACAGTAGGAGAGTGAGTCTCCCAACTTTTCCCTTTCCACATTCCTTCCATGCAGCAGAGCTGACAAATTAGGATAACAAATGTGGCCGATGGACATGTAGACATGTGGCCTCTTAATCATAATGGCCGATGCCAGTGAAGGAGCAAGTCTGTGGGCTCCAAATGTCTCAAAAACTGTTTTTGTAAACTTACAAAAGTATATATTTTTTAAAAACTTTCTTTTTTGTTTGCTCTTTTATTCCAACCAGCTATCCACCCATTTTTCCTCTGAAATGGTATTGGAGATTCAAATTCCATCACCCAGCTTCTCTCTACTTTAGAATTCTGTGCATGTGTTACACCTGAACATTCCCATCTTCGTTATTGGGCTGCTATTTTGTGAAAAATGGTTTCAGTGTCTTAAAATATCCTGATTCTTACCTGCATGGTCTTTCTTTGGAGATAACCTTAATGATAATTGACTTTTCTCTCAAGTGTACACACACAGAAAGAATTATGCTTCTGTGTTAAACTTATCCAAAGAATCAACTGTTACATTTTGTCTGATTGTTCACAACTTAATATAAAACACATCTACTTTATTATGTGTCTTTTTCTCAAATTTTGACTAGCCTAATTATTACTGTTTGTTCTTGAGCACACTAATACAATTTTGTCACTTTTCCACCTTATAATTTACTCTCAATAGTATAATTAGAAGTGCATCTTGAAGAATGAGTAAGTTTTTTTTTTAACGTTAAATCTTTGGAAAGGACAACCCAGACCATGGAGAAGGCATATTCAAAAGCAAAGAGGCTTGAGGAAAATTCAAATAATTAGAAGAATCATGTCTGATATGCTCACCCACAACAAATGGCTGATAGTACTTAAAATATGACCCAAAATAGAAAATGTTAATCAAATAGCTATAATGGTATGCTGTTAACAAGTATCTCATTTAATAAAGGATTGAAATCATGTTACCCACATCAATCCTAACTTGCACTAAATTCTTTCTTCTTGCCTCAGATATTAAAACCACAACCCCGTCACTTCAGTTCTGATTTTTAAAATCACATCTTTATATTTATTAGTCTATAGGAGATTTATACTTCTTCACAATAGAATGATACGGCTTCAGATACAGAAATGGATTGTTCTGCCAGCCACAGGGCAATCAATAGAAAACTACACTGAGTGTTTCACTGGCTGTTTGCCAATTTTTAGAAGGAAAAAAAAGTTACTGATGTGCAGTGTGATATCAGTTTTCTCTTTTAAAAAATATGAGAAGCTCTCCTCCAACCATCATTGACAAAGACCCAGACATCTCACGATCTAACTTTATAATATACTGTCTCCTGGGGCAGCAGGAGACTATCATACAAATGATTTGAGAACAGAGAATTAATGGTAAATAAAAACTCAAACTAAAAACATAAAGAGTGCTGAAAAGAGCAATAAAACTTCAAATGAGTGAAATAACTAAATTTTAAAAATAAATTTCCATATCATGTATGTATAGAGATTCAGGGTGATACAGGTCAGAAAACATAAATATTGAACAAAAATCATATATGCTTCTTAAGAACCTCATTTATTCAAAGTGCTGGGCTATGAACAGAGAGCTAGTTCATTGTTTTCCAAAAATTCTACAACAATACCCATAGAAAAATGAGGCAAATTGAGCAAGAAAACTCTATGAACTCTGACTAAGGGTTATTTGCCTTTCCTGGTCTGGGGAATGAGATGGACAGATAAATGCTAGCGGTCTAAAAACCTCATTCCATCTTGCTCTTTACTCTTGAATTCTTTAAAAATCTTAAACCTTATAAAGTTAAAGTAAATGTCCTATTGTATTTAATACAACTGATGGTTGGTTTGCTCTATTTTTACCATCCAATGATCATTTGATAAATTATCTGCATTCAAGTTGATTTTTAAAAATCCTTAAATTTGCATTTAAATTTATTAAAGGGCCTGATATTATCTATATTCTGAAATCAAACATACTTTATTATTAAAAATTATCTTTTAAAAAGTACTTTGTTCTTAAGATATAATTTACTACATAGCCTTCTGAGTGATTATGTACAGAAGAAAAGGAAGGAAGGAAGAAGGAAAAGGAAAGAAGGAAAGAAGGAGGGAGGGGGAGGGAGAGAAGGAGGGAGGGAGGAAGGGAGGCAAAAAGGAAAGACGGAGGGAAAGGAGAAAAAAATATATCTTTGAGATGTTCAAGAGAAAGGTTGCATGTACAAGTTTCCCAGGTAGCTAGCTAAAAACAAACATTGATCATTTATTTCTTTACTTGCAATTCATTTTGTTTTATGACAAAGAACAGGAGGCTAAGCCACTGTGCAATCTACTTTGACTTGTATGATTCACATGTTACCTGAAGTCTTGCAGAAAAAAAAAATCCACTTTAGGTAAGACTGACTGAAGCCCCATCGTTACATTCAGGTAGGTCAAACATTCTCTAAGAGACTGCATCTCTTGTGGCCATCTCTGCCCTGGATCTGCCATGAAATCTTCCAGCTTTCAGTCTTCTAGCCATTCTATGTACATTGCTAGTTACAAACCATATAGATACACCTAACACTTAGTTTTAAACTTTAGTTTGAAAGTAAATTTTAGTTGTCTCACTATAAACCTAGTCATACAGCTAAGTTTCTTCACCAAATAGCAGACACATAAAAATATAACTGGGTAGGTTGGGAGCAGAGTAATTAAGCTCATAATAAGACAAAGTATAAAATGTTCTGTTGTTAAGATATTTCTTAAATACAGTACTACCAGAGAATTGTCACTGCTGCTTCTCTCCACACTACGTTCCATCCTTATCTCTTTTATGATCCTTAGTCCATGTCCTTCTGCCATCCACTCTGTGCTCTGCTATGTTGTTCCAAGGAAATTAAAAATTCTTATTCTTTCTTAATGTAGTAATTCAGCCTTAAAGTCCTTAAACTGCTAATTCCATATTCTTTTTACTGTACAGATTTGTCACGTTGCTTAGCATGACAGCAAAATCCCACATAATAGGATTGACTCTTCTAAGCAGGTAGTTCTACTTGCACTTGTCACTGTTTTCCCCTCAGGTACATTTAACATGTAAATCTAGGTTTTAGTAGGAGAAATAGGAAGAAGAGATGAACAGAGTTGTATGAAGGTATATTTTTTAAAATGTTTCCAGTGATCAAAACAGTATTTACATTATAGCGCTTGAATTTTCATGAGTAGTCGCATCGTCATTGTGTTTCTCAAGCACAGGGGTTCTGAATTAGCGATTTTGTTCCTCAAGGGACATTTAGCAAAATCTGGAGACATTTTTGGTTGTCACAATTATGATGAGAAGTGCTACTGGCATTTCTAGGTAGAGGCCAGATATGCTGCTAAATATCAGAAAAAGTGGATAAGATGGTTCCCCACAATAAATAATTATCTGGAGCAAAATAGTATTAGTTGAGAAACCCTGTGTACAACACCAGCAAACATCAAAAGTTGAAGGGTTTACTATAGTAAAAATCAATATGACATCATGAAAAATGGCATTAAAGCAAGATAAAATTTGATCATGCAAATAATTATGAATCCTTTGATGACATTTTCTTGCATAGAAATTGAAGTCTTTATCTACAAGTCCCTCAATCATGTAGGAACCCATTGTAATTTTAATATTATCTCCCACATGTCTCCCCCATCAAAACTTATACTCAAGTCTCTCTAGAGAACCTGAGTATCCTCAATCTCACACACCCTGTTAACTCTGTGCTTTCTCTCTGCTTCCTCTGACTAAAAGAGACTTTATGTCTATTCTCTTCCATAGAATGACAAGGCAAGTTATTATTACAATCCTTAAAAAAATCTGATTTACTCCAGGAAACTTCTCTAAACCTTTTCTTCTCTAGAAAAGAAATTTTCTTTGTCTCATGTATGTTCTTAGTAGTATTTCTAAAATTTAAATTACAGCATGTATTATACAATATTTGGCATCTCTTTATGCATGTCTATTCCACTAGATTGTATACTTATTAATTAAATTCTTTTTGAGCACCACCTATGGGATAACAGAGATTTGAAATCATAGTGAAAACATGACAGAATTGAGGATTATAATGATATAGTTAGCATATATGTGTGTTTACTGTGTGCTTGGTCCTGTATAGGCATGATGTAAATAATTTATTTCAAACACCCTCTGAGAAAAATGCTATTACTTACTTCATTTAACATGAAAGAAAAGTGAGGTTTGGCAAGTTAGTAGTTTGGCAAAGCTAGAATGTCAACCACATTTTTGGAATTTCCATCCCAGAGTCAGGAATGTTAGATTGCGATATTAACTAAGTCAGTTAAGGCTAAATAAGGTGAAAGATTTTATGATATACCAAAAAAAAATTTATGTGATAAGGCAAAAAGTGCTATATGAATGTTTAAGGAACAATGCAAGCAGCTTCTCTGATGTGTGCAACAACTTCACAGAGCCAGATGTACGTTTACTCTGGGCCTCGGAAGGAAGTAGTAAAAGTGAGGAGATGAAGCAAATTTCATTATTCTTAACATTCCTAACACCTATTATAATGTAGGCATGTATTAGAGTCTTAAAAATTATAATAGCTGCTAACACTTAACACATCAGGAAAATTTATAAGTGTTTTCCATAATTGATTCATTTAATTCCCACACAACTCTGCAAGATAAATATTATCATTATCCCTGATATACAGATAAAGAAATTGAATAATGGAGAGGTTAAGTAACTTGAACAAGAGCACATAGATAATAATTTGCCAATAAAATTTCCTCTAGATTTTTATGTATAACCATGGATTAAAAAGTGGAAGAATTAGAAATGTGCAGAATATTAAAATGGAGTATTAAGTATATCTCAATCACAGGGAAATCATAGAAATTTTAAAAAGCTCAGTTGCAGCTGAAGAAAAAAATACAGGAAGAATATGTGAATTACAAGCATTTGTTTTCATCAAAATATTATAAAAGTGACAATCGCTTATCATTTATATGTCTTACTGGATATTGAATACCAAAATCGATCTGAATACATGCATATAAAATGTTAATAGTCATCACATAAGTAAGGACTATGGGTAGAAAAAATCTTTAGATTTCTTACAAAGGAACTATAACTTTTTTTTTGAGTAACTGTTAAATTGCTTTGTGATATGCTATAGCATGAAGATGGTGTGTGTGTGTGTGTGTGTGTGTGTGACTACATTATGCAAGAATTTGAAAGGAAGAGAGGACAAAAGATGTTAATGAAAGTGGGAAAGCGCTAAGATAGTTTCTCTTCTTATCTGTCTATGAGGGTTTCTTCCCAGGGACCAAGCATAGAACTCAAATAGATCAAAGGTCCTAGAACTGAGCTTGGCTTCTGCAGTAGATTAAGTGGAATGTGCAATTATATTTGATGCTACTCAAAGGGAGGTGTCACATCATTTTGTTCACTAATGCATTACTAAAATCTATCACAGTGTTTAATACATGAATAAATAAACACAATAACTAATGCAACAAATAAATAACAGTTTTGAGATGTGAAAGTCTGTCTAATAGCTGTTGTGCTCCAGAATAAATGGGTCGAAAAACAGGTAAATTCTGTATCATTTTCTAGTCAACACTAGTGAGCAGAACAATCACACTATTCAACTTCTGTTAGAATAATTGTCTGCTTCTTGAGCTTTCTTCTGATATAATGCTATACACAGACACACACACACACTCAACATTCCTATGTAATGAAATTTCATGAATGTGAATGCTTAAAAGGCCTACCATACACAAGTATGTGTGAGTGTTTGATACACATATACACACACTTATATGGTTAAGTGGCTTTTGAGTGACAGGAACATTTTTACAAAAATGTCTTACAAATAAAGAATAATTCAAAGAAACAATTTAGAGAAAGGAATGTAAGTTTGCTTGGTTGGATTATAGTATGAAGAGCATATTTCAAAAATTAAAGTTCAGTAGAGAAGAAAAGTCATAATTTTTAAAGAAACATAACAGGTAATAGGTTGATGTTCAGATTTCCCAATTTCTGATTTATTATTCAGTTTAACTATTTTTCATCTTTATTTCATTCTTTAGTCATAGCACATTTAAAAATAAACTCCCTATTTTTGCTCTTTTCTCACCCCTAATAGTTGGTGAAAATTTTGAAAATAAAAAAAAAACTATCTAATTCCCACAGCTGATAATCCTTACAGAATTCTTTTGCCTTTGCTGATGTCATGCTTCTTCCTGAGGCTAAATTGTGTATAGAGGGATCAATTACAGAGAAAAGCTAGAATGACAGTCTAAGTCTTCTGTGGCTTGATTATATCTAAAGTTTCTTAGTTAAGTCAGTGAGACACTCCCTGCAGACATGGATCATTGTGTCATGAGCATCATCGGAAGTGAAAAAAAAAGGAGGGAGTGAGAGAGAGGAACAATGATACTTGTACTTAATGTATAATTTGGTATCTCTATAAATGGTGGACATTTGATCATTTTTGAATAGGTCACTCATGTTTTTCTCTGCTAGCCAACATTGTTTAGGAAAAAAAAAATTGAAGAGATCTTTTAATACGGTTAACAATGCTGATACCATGCTCATTTTTTGTGGGTGCTAGCTAGCTAAAAGATAATGAAAAGTTATGTGCATAGTGATATAAACAAATACTTATTAATCTCTTCCAGGAGTTTTAAGAAATTTTTACACCCTAAAATAAGAGAGAATAAGTGAAATAAATAAGAAATTTTTACACTGTAAAATAAGAGAGAATTAGTGAAAAAATAGTGAATAATTTGTATCTTAGATGTTCCAGTTGTTTTTTCCATTCTAATATTGTTTAATCAGTTATTTTCTAATGTCCATTGTTCTGTAAATTTCTAAAAACATTTTATATTGTTTCACATTCAGTGAAGTCTAATATAAAGTCATTTTTAGTGCTAAAACATTTTAGTATTCTCTTTTTCTAGAATTAAGGTAAGTGAAACAAATGCACAGAAGCATCATACACAAACGTTGAAACAAATGGCTAAACTGATTGCGATGGGAAAAATGAATTTAAAAAACTACAAATTCCACATAAGCTGTTTATTTTTTTATATGATAAGAAAGCTTTTAGCATAGTACATTGCTTTCTTAACCTGCCAAAAACCTATTCACAATGTGAGAAACTACAGCTACTGTCTTATGTCAATCAGAATGAGAATAAGAGAAAGAAAAGATCCAGCTGTTGTGTATATTACATTTGTAACAAGATAATTTGTTATGGCTTATTCTTTACCACAGCAGTCACCTAATTCAGACAATGGCTAATGGATGTCAGAATTCTGGTAAAAGATTCAAAGACTCAAGTAACATGAAAATTGAATTCTGTTAGTTTATTAGATTCTGAAATGATAAAAAGTATTTTAAAAGGCTTACGAGTGATTGAGGTTATTCAAACAGTGTCAGCCTATTAATGCTGCAAGTCTTCTATAACAAAAAGCTTTGGATCTATAATAGTGTATTTGATACCACCTGGGATCTGAAATTTGCAGCGAGAATTACATCTAAAAATTCCAAATGCAATTGACTTCAGAGATTGAACCTAAAATGAACTTGAAATCTGTAGCTAACTGGATAATTTGTTCCAATTCCCTTCCTCTGATGCTCTAAAAAATGCAATATTTTAAAATATATTGGAAAGTCTTCAAAACTCAATATAGAAAATGTATTCCCACAACTAAGATGATGGTCTAGAGGATTCATATGTGAAGTTTAGCCATTTAGGTGTAAAATATATAAAGAGATTTTTTTTCATGTACCTTCAGGTTGAAATATGATAAAAGTAATTGACCAATGGAGACTTATTCAATCAAATGAGATAAAAATAAATACAAACCTAGACTCAATATACAAGATGTATATGTGTTACTTATGAAAACATAGTGATATGTTAGCAGAATATAATTTGCCTATTTACTAACAATGTATAAAAATGCTTTCCTGTGTTCTTAGGAAAATTTTGTTGATTTGTAATGACCAAATTTACAAAACAATTTGTTAATTTGTTTTTGTAAATTTTTATTCCTTATTGCATCTAAGTTATCATGGCATGTGGAAGGCAACATCCTCCCCCAGTCTTAGAGTACTTACCAGAGGCTCACAGAGTATTAACAAAGGCTAATCTTTAATAATCTTTTTCTTAAATAACATACACTTCTACGTGCAGAAACACCCTGAAGGTACCTGAAGGAACATTTTAAGATGAGATTAAAAAATTATTTTTGCAGATTCTAGTTTTGCCAGAATATTATTAAAATCTAGTCAGCCAAAAATTTGTTTTTTCTCAAATTTTATGATTATTTGGATATAAAATACAGTCACGCATCATTTAATAATGAAAATATATTGAGAGAAATGGGTCATTAGGCAATTTCATCATTTTGTGAACATTACAGAGTATGCTTACACAAACCTAGATGGTATATCTACTACACGCCTAGGCTACATGGTACAGCCTATTGCTCCTAGGCTACAGACCTGTATAGCATGTTGCTGTATTGATACTGTAGGCAATTGTAACACAATGATAAATACTAGCCCATATAAACATTTTAAAAGTACAGTAAAAATACAGTATTAAAAAGTTATCAAATCATCATTTTACATGTGGTACATCACTGAATAAAATATTGTTGTGTGGCACATGACTATACCAAAATTGAGATTGCACAGTAGATTATATGTTTATGTATAGAAGACAGGGATCAGGTCTCCTGATGGCCATGGAATGCTTTCTTCAATACAGGAAACAGCCTCTATATCCAAAAGCATAAGCTGAGCATTGCCCATGAAAAGGCAATTATATAAACTAACATATTGAAATGAAATCTAACTGCAGGCTTATTCAAGCAGCTCAATATTGAAAGAAAAATATATTCAATCACATTAACTAAAATCTTGAAAATTTTACATTACATCTCACTCTTCTTCCTATTCAAATTTCCATCTTATCAAATTTTGAAAATAGCTATCATATTCAATTTAACGTTTACTGTACTTTTCTTTTCAAAATATAATTATGTCCCCTGTTCAAATACCATATTCCTAGAAATTCCTTTTCCAATCACCTAAATTAAAGTCACTCTCAGTTCAGTTGTGTAATTTTTAATTTTAACAGCATGGATCGCTGTTTAAAGAGAACTTGTAAAACCTTTTATTGTCTGTTTCTCCTCTCTCTCCCCAAAGTACAACAAGAAGAGCACCCTGTGGATCTAATTTACTCAACATCCATATTCATATTTTCAGATTTTTTTTCGCACAAGATGGGTCCCAATAACTATTTGATTAATGAATGAAAAAAAAACTTAAAAAGCTTCTGACAAATAAAAATTTATTTCTAAATGGGTATACATCAATTCCTCCATAATTCTTATATGGTAAGCGCCATAAAAAACTTACTATAAAAGTGTCTATACTGCACATAGAGTAGTAACCTAAAAAAGTTACAAAGAAGTGCTGTAAGTGTTGAAAGTAGAGTCACAATTACTCCTCCTTTTATATCTTTTATGTCTAGCACAAACATTTCTGCTACAACTCAATATACATTACTGAAAAATGTTGTATTCTGCAAATCACTGCCTAAAAATGTTAGGACAAATAAGTAAAATGGGTGAGAAACCATTTACTCAAAAACGATGTGATTTTATAACCATAACGCCAATGAAAATAATTATTCTGAAAGAAATATGTGCGTAAAATATGTTAGGTTCCTAGCCACGTAAGTGTTATACATTAAAAAAAAATCTTCCAAGATAAGGGCCTATGATGAAGAGTTTAGGCTGCTGAGTTATGAAAAGCAAGGTTAAATGCTCAATGAAGAGGGATTCTCATAAAAAACATTCTAAGACCTAAGGGGGCCAAACAGAGTAACAGGAAAAATGTGACACGAATGGGCTTTTTGTGTGGCCTAATCTTAGTCAGTGTCTTCCAGAGTTCAGCACTGTGAGTCTGTTTGGATACAGCTGCCACTACTTGATAGTTCAAATTACGGAAACACTCATTGTAGCTATACACAATTACTTTGTCCTTAAAAATTATGAACTAGTAAGTATTTGCTGAATCCCTCTCTAAATGGTAGTCCTGTGATGGAGACTAGCACATTTTTAGGCCTTAAATGGAAGGAATTTTCTTTCAGCAAAAAGCAATCCATTAATTATATTTTGTTGGTACTATATCAAAACATTAATAATCAAATAAAACCAATGATCTCTTATAAGCCCAGACTAAGA
Organism: Homo sapiens; assembly: GCF_000001405.40. Classification (NCBI taxonomy): domain Eukaryota; kingdom Metazoa; phylum Chordata; class Mammalia; order Primates; family Hominidae; genus Homo; species Homo sapiens. The sequence continues at coordinate 67,961,230 of NC_000013.11, read as the reverse complement.
AAATACTTTCAGAATATTGAACTGAATGAAATAAAAATTGAAATTTTAATTTTATGCTTATGCTATAACAAGTTATTTTCTCTGTTTAATTGACTACCAAATGAAAGTAACTGATAAGGTTTATATGATAATTATGTGTTTTCTGAAGACATTTTATATTTATCTGATAAGACATGCTAGAATAAAGAACGATATGACACTGTGACCATGGGCTTTAATAACAGGTACGTGGTTAACTCAGAAAGAAAGATTCTTAGAAGTTATTGACATAAATGTTTTTCCTGTTTTATAATATCAGCTTCTTAAGAAAGTTTTTTCTCTGTTACTAGCACACTAACACTTCTGATTTTATTACATCTTTATTTTTGTAGAAATTCTATTTGCCAATCCCCACAATTACTATCTTTCATTTTCAATTTATAACTTTATTGTTCTAACCACTGTTAGTATGTCTGATGAATAGGACTAGAAATGTGTATTCGGTGAAACCTGAATGGTAGAAAAAAAACAAACAAACAAAAAATTTCATTAGTTAAAAAACTTTTTAATTCAAAAATAATAATGAACATAAAATCTTAATTATATTAAAGTCACTCTCATTTTTAACAAGTTTAGTCCTTTTTTATTTTATATAAAATTATTTTTACTTACTATGGAAAATGTATATGAATTTTTATTGATTTGTAATTTTTAGTAGTTTCAAGAGCCTTTAGTAATAAATGTTCCATAAATTAAACCCATCACATAATTTAACAAATATATGGCTGGGAAAATTATATTTGCCAGATATGTACTTACTTTCATGCTGCAAAATATTATTTATTCTTTTATTATTATTCTACTTCCAGTTCTACCATATTCCATTTCAGTTGAGAAACATTTATAAATGTAGTATAATTAAATTGTTTTTCAAAAGCATAGGCCTGGCACAGTGGCTCACACCTGTAATCCCAGCATTTTGGGAGGCTGAGACTGGCTGATCACCTGAGGTCAGGAGTTCAAGACCAGCCTGACCAACATTGTGAAACCCCATCTCTACTAAAAATACAAAATTAGCTGGGCATGGTGGCGCATGCCTGTAATCCCAGCTACTCAGGAGGCTGAGGCAGGGGAATCACTTGAACACGAGAAGTGGAGAACCCAGGAGTTGCAGTGAGCTGAGATTCTGCCATTGTACCCCATCCTGGACAAGAAGAGCAAAACTCTGTCTCAAAAAAAAAACAACAAAAAAGCATATGTTTTCTCCTATGCATCTCATTTAATGTAATCTTAGAATATACTTTGTATGTCTACTTACATGTGTAGTTACATTAATTAGTGGCACTGATATCTGCTTTTTTTCCTCATTAGTGGCACTGATACCTGCTATTTTTTTCTAGATTTTGAATTTGCACTAAAATGCTAAATATATAAGCTATTGTCACAGTACAATTTATGATTCACTTCATCAAGAGAAATATATGAGTTAATATTGAAAGGCACAATATCTAGAACAATTGAAGCTATGAAATGAAAGAAGATAGGGATAAAGAAGATACTCAATTTTGTACTTTCTCAAATTAAGTCCATTTCAAGGAATTTTGGTGCAGTGGCCTAGTTGTTCAACTTCCTTTAAAAAAACAAGTTTTATTGATTAGGCTACATAGTCAGGGGGTAAAGCTAAAAATGTAGAAATTGATTTCTTAAGTAATACTATGGAGAATGAGTCACAAATTCAGTTGAAATGTAGTCAATACAAGATGATGCAAATGCTTAGAGGTAGAAAGTATCTTATGTGATGATAGAGGAGGAACTAAAACTAATTTTTGTTATGAAATTCCCTCTGAGATACTTGTTCTGTTTATTTCTTAAATATATGGCACATTCCCAAGTGACAACAAATGCATTGAATATCCTTGTTTTTCTCAAATTTCTTCTGACTAAATGTGTTTATTTATTCCTTTACCAAAAGACAATTTGACCAAATGGGTAAATGAATACTATTAGTGAATGGCAAATAAACATTGTGTCATTTTAAAGCTTCAATCCATGATGCGGACTTTCATTTCTGATACCCTGGATTCCAAGCTAGGCTTTACATCATATGACTATTTGAATTTGGATCATGTACTTTATCTCCCTGAGCCTCGGTTTTCTTTCTTTTTCTTATTAGAATGACAACAACAAAAACTGGTGCTAACAACATTATTTGTTTTGAGAATAAAATAGCTTATTAGTAATAATGGTAAATACCTTTATAATGCTTAATATTTGCCAGAAACAGGTGTGTGTGTGTTTGTTGTGTTTCTGCGTGTTTCATCTTCATAATAGCTCCATAGGGTGGGTGCTATTACTTTCTCCAATATGCAAATGTTGAAACTGATAAACAGAACTGTATTAGTCTGTTTTCACGCTGCTAATAAAGACATGCCTGAGACTGAGTAATTTATAATGAAAAAGAGGTTTAATGGACTCACAGTTTGACATGGCTGGGGAGGCCTCACAATCGTGGCAGAAGGCAAAAGGCACGTCTTGCATGGCAGTAGACAAGAGAGAATGAGATGCAAGTGAAAGGGGAAAACTCCTTATAAAATAATCATATATCGTGAGACTTACTCACTACCATACGAACAGTATGGGGAAAATCGCCACCAGGATTCAATTACCTCCCACTGGGTCGCTCCCACAACACGTGGGAATTATGGGAGCTACAATTCAAGATGAGATTTGGGTGGGAACACAGCCAAACCATATCAAGAACTTTCCCAATCTCAAACAACTAATACGTAGAAGAGCCAAGAATTGAATGATACCAAAACTGGATCCAGAGTCTGTTGGGTCTACCACTGAATAACTAATTTTAAGAAGGATCTCGCTCAGTCCTGACAAATAGTAAGTACTTAGTGGATGTTGATTCAAAAGATTCACAAACAGAGGGATTCTGGAAAAGAGCTAACCTGAGCAAACTTTCCTCTTCCTCCACTTCCACCCTCAAACCATTTTTGCATTCCTGACTCCAAGGACTCCTGGGGTCCCTAGGTGCTTATATGCATGGAAAACCTTAGGTTTTGAGGAATTTGATGCCAACATAACTGGGATATGTGTTCAACCGAGAGCTCTGGGCCAAGGATTTATACAGGAATTCAGCAGATTCTGATAAGGGCTTGACTATCAGAGAGCTGTGCCTTCCCAAGTGATTATTTTTACTTATTATTCTTACTTATTTCATGGTTTTGTGTGTGTTCTTCAGTCCCCCCACCCCACAGTGGATTTTTCTTTATTTGCTTTAATTGATATACTTCTTGCTAGAGGCTGCAGTTACTTAAAGTCATTTGCAGTTTTTCTTAGTTGACTGTTTGGTCTGTTGGATTTTGCTGGTAAAAGAAGTGGTTAAAAGCAAACTTTTCCTGTATTTGTACCAAGATGATCTTCCAGGCCATTATGAACCTTAACAATCCTCATTGAACCCTCAATCCCTGATGTTTATATACTAATCCAGTTTAGGAACAGGGGAAAACTCAAATTGTATTTTTACTTTCTTCTTTTCTTGGGGACAGAACACTAGGTTAGAAATATAAACTTGAACTAAATTAGTAATAATAACTATAATAATTATATCACTCTTGGAGATGTAAATTTTGCACAATATTAAATTTCTAGATCAAAAATTATGATTTATTAAATAAATAATTTGTGGATAAAAGACTGAAAGCACAGACACTATGGAATCTTATATAAATCACTTAGATTATCTCCTACAAGTACTGTGAAAATATATAAAGAGGTGAAAACTCTAAAAAAAACATATAAGGTAGATTAAAAAGAGGCAATAATGAAACAGATTAAATGAGAAATTTACAATTTAAACAGTCTGCAAATTTTAAAGACTTGATAAATCTCTAATGTCTTAACAGACATTCAAGATCAAAGATACACATCCAGTAAAATTTCGAACTTTAAATACAAAAAGAAAGTATATTATAATAGTCCCAAACAAAACAGAAAACAAAAACCTAACCAAAAAGAAAAAAGAGCATCAGATTGGCATCAGATTAATATACAAAACAAGATAGAAAACAGGTGAGGTCATGTACTCAAAAAATAAGAAAATCCTATTCTTATCAAAATTATAATTAAGTTAGGATAGAAACAGAAATTATTTGAGAATGTAAATCAGAGAAGATGACATATAATTACTTCCCTAGAGAAAAATACAACTACAATACGTTTAACTGTCTAAATCTGTTCATCCTGAGTTTGGATAGCAAAGATTTGCAGAATAATCAGCGCTGCCTCCCAAAGGTTTCCATGTCCAATCCCTGTAACCTTAAATATGTTATCCTACATGACAAAAGATATGGTGCAGATCTTGAGATGGGAAGATAATCTAGAATTTCCCGAATGGGTCCAATGTCATAATAAGAGTTTTTATACGTAAAAGAGGGAGACAGGAGAGCCAGGGAAAGAGATGTGGCATTGAAATCAGAGGTAAGAGTGATTATTTTGCTGGCTTTCATGATGGAAGGGGCCTGAGTTAAGAAATGGGGGCAGCCTCTAGAAGTTGGAGGAGTGTCACCTAGAATCTCCAGAAGGTATTGCAGCTCTGTCCACACCTTGATTTTTGTTCAGTGAGACCATTTTAAACCTCTAACTTCCAGAACCAAAACGTAATATAGTGGTATTGTCCTAAGACACTACATTTTTGGTAATGTGTTACAATAGTGGCAGAAAACTAATACAAACATTATCTCAAAAAAGTATTCTCGTCTGTTCAGTTGCTAAGTTCAGTGAGAGAACATTCACATAATGAGGGATATCTCTACTCAAGTCTCTCTGAAAACCAACTAATAACTAGAACAAATACCTGACTTTGAGACAATATAGAAAAAAAAGATAAGCAAAATATAGCTCTCCTCTCTCTCTTTTTTTTTCCTTTTTTCTCTCTCCCCTACTCTCTGTCTCTCTGACTCTTTCTCTTACTTCCTACACACACACACGAATGTAAAAGAATAGAGTGACTGGATCTATGTTACATACATGCCAAGTGAGAAATCTTGATACGGAAGATAAACATTATAAGATAAATTCTGATATTGTAATTTTGTATCTTTTTTACTGTAAAGTACACTATTTTTGTGTTACCCTAAGAAAAAAATAATATTTTTATTTAAATTGTGACATGGCATGAACTGTAAGATTTATTCCAGTTTCAAAGAGGTCAAAATGAGGAAAACATCTAAGGAAAAATAGCATTTGGTAATACTTTAGCATTATACTTATTAATCAATTGAAGCACAGCTTAGGTGTTTATGGGTCAGAAAGATGAAGAAAGAAGAAAACTGTTTTTCAAAAGTCTCAGTTGAAAAGGTAGGACAGATTTAAAGAGGAGAAGAAAAGAAGTGATAACAGGCTAAAGTTTTAATTTGATAAAAGAGCATCTTAATAGAAAAAAATATATTTTAATTGCAGAGAAAGTTATCCATTTTGAATTAATAGTACACTACATGTATAACTAATAGATATAGTATAAAAAGAGTAAACATTAAAGTAAAGGGGAAACTAAAACATCTTCCAAAGCAAAAGAAAAAAATAAAAGTATGGCAACCTGACCTAACTAGCAACTCTTTTGCCTTAAAAAGAAAGAACGACAGTGTAAAATACATTTAACGCATGCATAAGTATATGTACAAATGATAATACCATGTGCAATAAATGTACATGGATTAGATTTTACAATTTAAAGACATAGACTGGGTGATTATCATAAAACAAAACTATACAAAATCATGCCATATGCTATTTTCAAAGAATACATGTTAAATGCATGATCCAAAAATATTATCTTACATAGGACATATATGATTTTACATCTTTCTACTTTACATTTTTTATTTTCAAATTTAAAACTTATGTATAGTTGATGGAACATACAGTTTTGGCTTTGGTCTGAAAATAACCAAAGAAATTGGTGAAATTAAATAGCTAATTGAGGAATAAATTATATTATATATATATATGTTTATTTACTAAATTAAAAGATTGAAAGCCCATTTCAGTAGAAAAAGCATGAACCACTTATTAATGGTGTGGACACATCCAGTTGTCTATATGGAAAAGATAATAATATGCTTATATCTTATGTAATATAAAGTATAGTGCTAAAGAATAAATTAATATGTTAAAAACACAAAATCATTTTACCAGAAAACGACGGTGATTGCTTTTATAATATAGGGGCAGAGAAGACCTTCTCAGCCAAAACTAGGCACTCAGATTGTTTCAGAAAAACAGGACATGTTAAAATATATAACATTTGAATATTTATATCATAAAATATACCATCAGATTTATCGGAGATATCATAAATTTTATAAACCATATTTAAAATGCAAATAACATATAAACATTTAAATTATACACACTCTATAAGAATGCACAATGAAAATACAAACAGTTCAGTTCGATATAAAGATGTGTAAAGAATATGAACTGGCAATTCTCAGAAATTGTAATAATTACAAGAAAAGATGTTCAGTCTTACCAGCATTTAGGACAACACGAACTAAATAAAATTAACAAAAATGAACAAAAACATAATGTTTTAATGTGTCTAGAATTTGTATCACTGAAACAAATATGAAAAAATAATCTAAAAACATCTTTAAAAATAAAAGTATATATCTTTTATCAAGCAATCCCCTTTGATGAATTTATGCATAAGAATAAAATTACTTATATATAGAAGAATGTATGCACCCATATTTATTATAGCATTGTCTATATTGGAAATAAAGCTAGAAATGAAATAGATGTTGAGAATAACTGAATTATATGTCTAATCACATGAGATCAAATATCATGTTGAGTAATACCTCATCATTTAATATCACATCAAATTACTAGAGAATGTATTATTATTAAATTATTAAAGAGAGTTCTAAGATCCAACTTGAGGGGATTTTCACTCAGTTATGTTGAATGATAGTATCAACATACGTATAAAAATACATGTGTATGTGTACCACAATAGGAGTCCGTCGCTATGAATAAACACTTGTAATAAAAGAAGGTATTCTTTTTATATAGATTATGTTGGGGCAGGTGTTGGAGAGGTTTGCATAGAGAGATGAATGTGGAAGAAGCTGAAGGAGATAAAGTGGCCTGAGACTCTTTTTTGCCCTCCCGACATTCCATCTCCCAATTCAGAGGCTGAAACTGTTGGGTACACACTTTCTTACCAACAGTCATGGCTAGGGTGAAAGCAAGTAACCTAATTCTAAATAATAGGTCAGAAGGGAATTTAAGAAATCATGTCTGGAAGATATTTTCTTTTGTATTAACAAGAGGTTCACAAGAGGAAGTGCTCATTTTTATTCTGAATATAGTTATTTGTTGATGTGATACTAGGAAATGCTACAGCCATATTGTAACCAGTAGAGGAGAAAGTGACAACACTGGTAAAATAAAAAGAGCAGAGGAGAAAAATGGGGAGAAAAAAACATTGAAACACTAAATAAACCCTGCAACCTGTCATCTATATGAGGTCTCCTTGCTAAGTGAGGTGATAAATGTTTTTATTATTTACATAATTTTAGTTGATTGCATGTAAAAATACCCTAGATTTTACAGCAGAAATAAAATGCAAAGAAAAAGGAAATGCATGAAATTATTACATGTAGGCATTGTTTTAACAATGTAGATATATATGTGTGTATAGAAAAATGCCAAGTTGAAATTCATCATCATTTAGTGGAAACTAGAGTACTAACGTGCTTAATTATCATAGCACAATAAATTGGAAGTTAATTTCAAATAACACAGTTTTAAGGTTTTCTAAATGATCATCTAGAAAATGCCCGCCAGTTATCAAAATCTGTATCTCACATGTATTCACCTTTCTTTTTCAGCTCTGTCCTGTGCTGTAGAAAACATTTCTCAAGCTCCCTTGTTCTCTGGCTTCCCGATAGTTTAGATCATTAGGAATCACTGCTGGAACTTCTAAGGTGGGAAGAAGGGGAGAAGCCCACACATTCGTCCTTCTGTCTTTGCTTCTTGTGCTTCTAGTAGTGGATGCACCTCCTGCCCGGGTCTAGTTGCCATTGGCTAGTCCCTAGCCACTTCTAACTCCTGGCTGTGGTTTCTGGGCTGTGGAAAAACCACTTCTCCCGATTGTGCCTAACCCATTGGGTGACAAGGTTGATTACACCCTAGATTTTAAAATCTCAATGCTTAGACCACATCAAGACTAATTACATTAGAATTTCTGGGGCACAATGTAGGATTTAAAATTGTATTTTCATATACATCCATGTTTGAGACCTAATTCTCTAGCCTTAGAGATGGTTGGGGTTTCCTAATTCCTTACCAATACTTGTTTAGCTTTTCAGCTTCTCCACCACCTATATAACTATTTCTGTGTGTTAAATTTTCATTTGCTTAAAAGGTCTGGACTGGTTACTGTTTCTTGGCCCGGCCTGATACATTTTTACTATTATTACTATTATTTTAGAAATAACAATTAATATAAAAATTAGATGGCTGAATACCCAGTAGTTTTCGATTTCTGAATATTAAAGTACATCAAAATAGCCACAGGAAAGATTGCTGCACTACATCTGAGATGGTCAGGCAATGTCTATATGCAATTCAGTCACGTTTATCTCTTGTGTGCTCACAAAAGCAATGTTGGAAATGATCAAATAGAATAACTGAAACTGAATAGAACAAAAACTAATAACCTTAGGAATTCATCTGATCAGTTGACCATTTTCTCTGTCTCTTTTATTAAATTCCTAAATATGAACTGTGGTATACTTTTTTGTTTTTAATATAAAGCATTAGGTAGAGAGAAATTATAAAACTAAAAATTAAAAATAAATCAATATTGGTAAAATGATACTCTTGTATGTTAAAATTTTTAAAAAATCTTATTTCTTAATGATAATAATTGCTTGTACTAATGATAATGCAAAAATCATCTTTCCATTTAATGTGGTAATAAAATTGGTCATTATAAATTATTCCTTAAGTAATAATTATCAAACTAGTTATCCATGTTTAAAAAAGGTCTATCCATCACTAATCTTTATTTAACATATAATTAGTGTTTTTGAAAAGACACTATTCTTTTTAAAGCTATGTGTCTACAGGTGATGGGTGCACCAAAATCTCAGAAATCACCACTAAAGAATTTATTCTAAACAACACCTGTTCTCTCAAACCTATTGAAATAATAATTAACAAAAGGAATGTAATGATCCCCAATGCTGGAGGTAGGGCCTGGTGGGATGTTGTGAGGGTTAATAGTGAGTGTCAACTTGATTGGATTGAAGGATGCAAAATATTGTTCCTGGGTGTGTCTGTGAGGGTGTTGCCAAATGAGACTAACATTTGAGTCAGGGGACTGAGAGAGGCAGACTCACCATCAGTCTGAGTGGACACCATCTAATCAGCTGCCAGTGCAGCTAGAATAAAGCAGACAGGAGAATATGGAAGAGCAGACTTGCTGCTGGGCCTTCAGGCTTCCTCTTTCTCCTGTGCTGGATGCTTTCTGCCCTCGAACATCAGACTCCAAGTTCTTCAGCTTTTGGACTCTTGGACTTAAACCAGTGGTTGCCAAGGGCTCTCTGGCCTTTGATCACAGATTGAAGCCTGCACTGTAGGCTTTCTTAATTTTGAGGTTTTTGCGCTTGGACTGATCCACCATTGGCTTCCTTCTCCTCAACTTGCAGACAGCCTACTGTGGGACTTTACCTTGTGATCATGTGAGTCAGTTCTCCTTAATAAACCCCCTTTCATATATACCTATAATCTATTAGTTCTCTCTCGAGAGAGAACCCTAATACAGAGGTGTTTGGATTATAAGGGTGGATCCCTCATGGTTTGGTGCTGTCTTTGCAATAGTAAGTGAGTTCTCTTGAGAGCTGGTCATTTAAAATTATGTGGCACCTACCCCCCATCTCTCTCTCTCTTGATCCTGGTTTCAACAAGTGACATGCCTGTTCCCCCTTCACCTTCCACCATGATTGAAATCTCCCTGAGACTTCATCAGAAGCCGAGCAGATACCAACACCATGTTTCCTGTACAGCCTACAGAATCATGATCCAAGTAAACCTCTTTTCTTTAATGAAAAAAAATAAATAAAAATAAAGCTGTGTGTCTAATTAATTGGTCTGTTATGGCAATTACTGTTGGCTACAATTTCTTTGTATTAGACTGATTAGTCACAACTTATTTTTATTTTATGTAATTTCATATATATTTTATGAAATAATTATCCTTAACAATTATTCCACTACTGTCATTATTAAAAGCAGGCTATAACAATACTGGCCTATTTCATCAAGTTTTATTTTGTCCTGCTTTTTCCCCAACTATATCTCTACAATTAATATAAAGTATGTGGATATGAACATTAACATTTTTAAGATGCAAGTACTGAAACGTAAGTATGTTACGCAACTTTCAGAGAGACTAAGAATAGCACTCAAGTTTCTGAGCTCTTAATTTCTTTTGAGAATATATTGATGTCGTGCAGTGAAAATAGAACTGGTCAAGTAATGCTGATATAACTGCAATTCACTGTCCTATTGGATTTCAAACACTGATTTTATTGGAACTTAAAAGTTTTGTTTTTTAAATAGAAATATAATTATGCTAGTGTTTCATTACCGAAGTTATAAAATATCTCAGAGATAGAATATGGAAATTCTATTATATTTTTGCTCAAAAATGTTTTTTATAATAATTTCTGTATCTTTGTAACAAGCTAAGAACAAAAAAAGCACCTTTGCTCCTACTTTCTTCGCTGTTGTTTCAAAATAAAAACTCAAGACTAATTTGTAATCATCAGGTTCTTTCACAAGAGTTAAATGCACTTGTGGGCCTGGCCACGTTTTTTCTGTTTTTTTAACTTTCTTTGGTTCTAGTCCACCATGGAAATTTGTGATTGAGGAGTAAATCATACAAATGTCATTAGTATTGAATAGATAAATGTTTCAGGATGGAGTTGTAGCCTACTCATTAACATTTAGAACACACTTTGACCCTAGTATACCTGCTGCTTGGGATAAGGTGTCATATTATGTTATAAAGCGACTTTTGGACTATTTGGGCTGCGAGAAACTATTAGAGAGCATGCCTGACACATCTCTAAACAACTTCCTGAGCAAGACTTTGAATGGTATTTGCAGTAGTAACTGCTTTTACCGGGAAATCAGCGCCTTAATCTGGATATGAATTTATTGCTAAACATAAACATAAGTTTATTCTCTAGAAGTAGTAGTATGATGGGAGGAGAATGAGAAGACTAAAGAACAAGGTGTTTTGCACTGCCTCTGGCACAGTATTGCACTGTGTATCCTCCCAAGTTTCACTGCCTAAAGTGGTCTTTGCCACAGAAACACCTTGGGCTTATACCTATGCTAAGGCAGATTCTCTTCCCCGTGCCCAGTATACCTTGCACACACTTGGGTACTCTGTTGCACATAACCTGGCTGTGAGGCTCACTGACTTCTGATAAAATCAACAACATTGCTCCAGTGTGAATTCTTCCAGGAGCTTTGTTGTAATAATTTACATGGGAATATAGGATTTTAGTATTCTCAGAAATCTCTGCCAATTGTATCTGCAGGGACTTGCTCCATAAATGTCTTGATCCAATAACATAATCATTATAATGCCTATGGCTAGATGTGGGGATTTGTATATATTAAGATGATGTCCTGATATCACCGCACCAGAGAACCTTAGGGGAATTTTTAGACAAAATTCAGTAGATACCTTTTTCTTGCCTGACCCCAAATTAATTCACTGATTCCTTTATAAAACAATGTTGAAAAATTCTGAATTCTAAGTGATTGTCAGACAATTTTTTTCTCAGAAAAATACCTTTGTATCCTACTGAAGATAATAATAAATAAATGGGGCTGCGCCTGCTTACACCTCTAATCCCAGCACTTTGGGAGGCCGAGGCAGGTAGATTACTTGAAGCCAGGAGTTTGAGACCAGCCTGGCCAACATGGCAAAACCCTGTCTCTACTGAAAATACAAAAACTAGCCAGGTGTGGTGGTGCATGCCTATAATCCCAGATACTTGGGAAGCTGAGGCAGGAAAATCACTGGAACACAGGAGGTGGAGGTTGCAGTGAACCGAGATCATGCCACTGAACTCCAACCTGGGTGACAGAGCAGCCTGGGTGACAGAGACTCCATCTCAAACTAATAATAAAGATGATAATAATAATAATAATAATAAATAGCCATTACCTGCTACTTGTGAGGCTCTCATTCTTAACTGGATAAAGTAAAATTGCAAACTCTTTCCTATTTTAGAAGAGGGAGGCAATACAGTTTCATTTACAGTCAAGCGTATTAGAAATGACTTTGTCATTCATTTTTACTCCCTGGAATGACCTGCCTTATTTTTTACCTACATGATTGCCAGTGATGACATTGAATTATATATGTTTTTGCTCTTTTGGGATGCTGGGAGGAGGGTTTTCTCCACTTGCTTACAAAAATCGTACAAAGTAGACAAAATGCAAAATTGTCAAGATATATTGCAACATATGAAGTATGAAGTAACTCTCAGGTTTGTTATTTCCTTGTTATAATTATTTTTAAAATGTATGGGAGTAGAGCAGCCTCAGCCTCACTAAACTGTACTCTCGTAGTCACTGTTATTAAGCCCATATGTTCAGATAAAGAAAGGATTTGAAAATTGCAAATACCCAAGAAGCCTCCTTGGCCTGATGAGGGAGGCAGGGTCAGCTAAAGTTCCCCTGGCACCTGCTTTTATCTTTCCCATGTTTCCCCAACACTTACAGATCAAAATGCTATTTTATAAAGAATGAAATTCTTAGAAAATGTCAGAGAAATGCCTTATGAATATTCACACATGGTAAATTTAGTTGTCCATATTTGGCTCTTCCATCATATGTCTCTTTCTCAGGCTGGCCTTTATTCTCTTTTTCCTTATCACAGTAATTCAGGGAAGATGCAGGGGTAAGTCATAGCCCACTGTGGTGCAGTAGTTTCCAGCCCTCTTCCTTGAAGGTCTTGAGTCCTAAGGAAATGATTCAAGGGTTCTAGAACATCTGTAATATTAACACGTGTTGGGTGGTAATTAAAGGAAATGCTCACTGTGCTGTAGAATTTTAACACATTGGAAACCACTGATGCATTAACTTAGAATGTAAGGTTAATTTGCTTTTGGGCATCGCTGAATAAAGCTGCCCATGTCATCTCAGTAAATATATTTGAAAGACTTATAATGTGTAACTGATTAGTAAAGTTGTAACTCTGCCCTAATCTTTTTTATTTTTATTTTTAAAATTTCTATATGAGCATTTCACTACCTTTAAAAGTATCCAGCAAGTCCTTTATTAAAACGTTCGCCTAATGTACCCAATTAAACAAGTAAATAAAGCTAGGCGACATCAGCTTATTGCTTACCCTATTCAACAAGTAATGGTCACTTATACAACAGCTAGCAAATGCAATATAGGTCATTTTAAAAATAAAAATGAAATAAGCAGTTTTAGCCTTTTAAATTTATTGACTTTCTAAGAAAAATGATAAATTTTAATATACAGAAAAATTTGTTTTGAATTATTGTTCTTATAAGTTTTATGTTCTAAATATACAGAACAGAAAATTTTGTTTTCAATATTGGGAATCAGTTTTTTTATAAGGTGGGGGTTACCCTATGGCATAGTGAAGAAGAACTGGGAGTGAGGAGGTCTTGAGATGCCTCTACTCTAACTGCTTTTGTGGGCTTGGCAATTCACTTTTTTAGAGTGGCTACAGTTGGAATCAGAGATGTAATCTGGACTTGCTATTTAGGCATTAGAGGTCTGAAATTATATCTGTTTCAGGATCAGGTTATTCATTATGAATGAGACAGTGGTATAAAAAGTTTTATTTTCTATTATATAAACCACTAGGGAATGATTTCAATTATTTTCATCTTTAATTGACTCCCAAAATTCTATAGTTACTGATGTAGATTCCATCTAATTTTACTATTTACCCAGAAATAACTGTGGAGGACAAATTTCAAGATTTCTAGTAAAGCCCAAAGTTTTCAGAGCTGATGGATAGATAAAGATGATGACAGTTTTGACAGGACCTCAGAGTGTAATATGGGAGCTGAAAAATCTCAGCTACAGTTATCAAGATAATTAATTTTGTTCCCTTTGGCAATTTTTCTATACCTTATTGCCTTGTCTAAAGATAAAAATGATTATTTGAGGGGGGATAAAACTGAGGGAAATATTGTGTAATACTTTGTTAAAGAGTTGTGTAATTATTGAATAATTATTGTGCATCTTTGAGGCAGGCATTTGAGACAACCATTCAGGGTATATTACCTGTCTCCCGTGTGACCCATTGACTCCAACATGATAAGGGAGTTGTCTATGTTACACCTGGGGACACTGATGTAGTTCCAAGATGTAAAGGACTAAAAAGTAACTAAACGATTCTAGCTCTCATAAAAGTCGCTTTCTTGACAAGCAATCAGTTGATCTCTAACCTACTTTTTAGTTAAAAAACAAGCAACAGCTATGATCCTAAATGAAAGAGTGTATTATCAGAGATATTTTCAAAATTGAACTCTACTACAAGTTGTTATTTCACTGCAATATAAATCACCTGTTTACAACAAAACATTTGAAAAATAGTTTCACTTGTGTGTTTTATTTAATATAGCTTGCTTCATAGTTTTAAAAGATAATCGACAGCTGTAATATATATCGATATTGAAATGTATCGTAATAGGATGTTTTTCTTGCTTGTCTGAGAGTTTCCTGCCTTCTTCATGAATGTCAAACTATCAAAGAACAACATCAGTATTTTTTAATTTATGCTTCATACCTAGCAGTCACACTGCTCACTTCCTTCCCCTTTAGAGGACTGTTCCTAATCTATGCTGGGCAAGAAAACCTTGTAATTGAAGTTGTTGGCATGGACTAAATACAGAGTAGAAGGACTGTGAGTAAATGCCTAATGACCATTTTATTAGGAAACTACACAGAATTAAAAATATTGACAATGTGGTTTATTTAAGTTGTTCATCGTTTGGAAGCATTTTCCAAGCAATTGAAACTAAGTGTAATTGTAGCGCAGGGTAACAGAATTTTCCAGATACCCCAGGTGACCTTTCTTTATTTCACAGGCTAGTATTTTACCTCCACCTCCAGGTTGCTAACCATAGTTCTGATTCTGCCAAAATCAGAATGAAGGGGAAGAAGAAAAGGGTGAGAACAGATTTTACTTTTGTGGTACTGTCTCAAGATGGCAAGTGTTTAAAGCTGACTCACTTTCATGACATTTTAATAAATTTCACATTTTCTATAAAGGCCGATGATCTTTTTTACTCTAGCTGAATGGTTTCTCCTGTTATCCATTTCAAACCAATTATATCTCATTTGGGATTCCATGATTGTTTCCCCCAAGTGGTTTCTTTGGCAATATGTAAAATGATTCAACCTGGCTTTTTCCCCTTGTGGTCTTCATATATACATATTTCTTGGACATCTCAAAAGCTTTGATCCAATAAAATATGGAGAGATGACTAATTCCCAATCAGCAACACTTTCCTTAGCTCCACTTCTAAAACATAGATCTACATAGCGATATTCTTACCTTTTAGATCCGAGATCAGCAAAGTAAGGCTCATAACAAATTCAGTTCACTGCCTGTTTGTGTAAATAAGGTTTTATTTATACACATGCCCAGTTGCTTAC
Source organism: Homo sapiens (assembly GCF_000001405.40). Lineage (NCBI taxonomy): Eukaryota > Metazoa > Chordata > Mammalia > Primates > Hominidae > Homo > Homo sapiens. The sequence continues at coordinate 67,945,501 of NC_000013.11, read as the reverse complement.
ATATTGTCTGTGGCTACTTTTGCATTATAAAGGCAGAGTTGAACAGTTGTGACTGAGATTATATAGTGTGCAAAATCTAAGATATTTACTATCTAGCCATTTACTGAAAATGTTTGTTAACCACTGCTCTAGACACCTGGAGTTCAAGTTAAATTTCAGTGCACCATGTTCTGAAAACATCTAGGGACACATAATGAGTTCCACAAATGGACCTAATGAAGAACCCTTCGGATAAGTGTGTACAGTTTGTACCCCCTCAAAAATCATCTCTTCATATTTTCCTTCTCCATGATTCATCATTGCTACTTGTGCGTTTTAAACAGTTATGGGTATTTACTTTGATTTATCTAGACTGTTGTCTGTATTAGACCCTGTTTTGACATCCAATATTTAGTAATTTTACATTTCAATAGAAACCTCCAGATCGACATCTTGCTGCAAATACAAAGTATTTAGTGAAATGAGCCACCTCTTATCTCTCCCTTTCTTCCTTCTCAATCTTGTTTAACTAGGACTTCTTTTGTAGAACCATCTGTGCTGTATTTTTTTTCAAAATTCTTCAAATAGAATTCCAAATTATCCAAATTCTCATCAACAGAGATTGAGGACTGACTTACCTATTTGGAAAATTTGGAAAAAAAATAACAAAGCACAGATGGCTTGATTCATTTCTTTCTTATATTGTGTCTGCCTGTTCAGAGAATGGGATGGTATTTTCAGATCTTGTTCCATTTTTGAGGATATTTGGCCCAGACCCCAGCTGTACATTCTGGATTCCAGATCTGGAGGCCAATCTTCTCTCACTCCCCAAGTAAGAAGTGTATGTGAGGCAGCATGGGGTGGCTGGTGTTTCTATGTTGCAGTTGCAAGCATTTCATCAGGTCACCATTTAAGAGTCAAGATTTGAAAGGAATGTTTAGGGGTCTTGGTTGTGTCATCATAGCTAGGCCAGGTTATCTATTATTATCAATAATAATGCTGATTTTTGTTTTGTTTTACTTTTTGTTTTTGTTTTTTAATTTTAATAGCTTTTATTAAGTAAAAATAATCAGGTAATTTGATACAGAGTAAATAGAATTTAGCTCAAAATCAATTTGTATTCTTCACTTTTTTGAATACTCCAGAACAAAGATATCATGCCTTCTATTTTTCTTCTAGATATGTATACTATTTGCATCTAGGACATATTATAAACTTGTAAACCACATTTGAGAGTGCAAGCACAAAAATCAGATGCATGTTACTAGTTAACAGTCTTATTTTTAATTGGTGCCTTTTCCTAAATGATAATAGGCAAATAGCAACCATTTATTAATTATTTTTGGGTCAAAAAGGTAACATTTTCAAATTGTTATATAAAAGTAATTAAATATTAAAATAAAAAACACATTACATTATATAGAGATTTAATACCAACCTTGAAATCTTACCAGCAAAAGATAACATTGTTTTATTTTCTCAGCATGAAGTCTGACCTGTGCTATCTTTTACCATGGGGTTATTTTGAATAAAATTTTTCTCAACTGAATGACAATATGCAATTGAAGTATTTTTTTCACTACTGTCATTAGTAACAGCCATAAAATTTATTTAAATTAATATGTAAATATACTGCAAAATGTAGTAAAATACTATATTGATATTGATGGAAATGATGGATGGATAGATATACGATAGTGCAAGTAGGGTAAACTGTTCATTATAGAATCAAGGTGCTGGATATAAAGAAGAAAGAAAATTTAAACACAACATAGTGGAAATAAAGCTGATTTTCAAATATTGTAATAGGCTGAATGTTTGCATCATTGCAAAATTCATGTGTTGAAACTTAACCCCCAGTGGGATGCTATTAGGAGGTAAGGCCTTTGGGATATAATTAGATTATGAAGATGAAGCTGTTATAAATGGGATTAGTGCTCTTATCAAAGGAGACACAGAGCGCTCTCTTGCCCTCTTTCTGCTATGAGACTGCAATGAAAAGTTGGCAGTCTGCAACCTGAAAGAAGGTCTTCACCTAGGACCCAACTATGCTGACACTGATCACAGACTCCCAGCTTCAAGAACGGTGAGAAATAAGTTTCTGTTGTTTATAACCCACATAGCCTATGGTACTTTGTTATAGTAGCCTGAACTGACGAAGACAAATCTCTATTTGCCATATTGCGTCTTCTGTGTGTCTACACTCAAAGGGTTGAGTCATTTCACTTTCCTAATTCAGCACAGCTGAAATAATAAGTAGTAGAACTGAATAAATGCCATCTCTTATCATCGTTATTACAAACCATAAGTTCCACTTTTATACCTTAGAATTTACAATGAGCAAAGGAAAACTATAATTCAAGGTGAATATTGATTGCTTCCCTTTACCTCTTCTCTCTGCTTATTCTCTTCTTTACTTTTAGCCTGATCCTTTAAAAGTAATTTCAGGAGGTCTTCAGGTCTTTGAGAGTGAATAGATCTTCACCAGCTTTCACCTGAAACTTCTGTGATAGCTAAGGGCTACAATTTAAATATATAAATGAATATGTTATACATGTACATACATATATGTGTGTATCACACATAATAATTATGATAAAAAAGAAAAGAAACTGTATTCTTTTATCATGATAATTATGGTCAATAAGAAAAAAATGTGTATTCTCCAATGTCTATGTATATACAGACAAAATGTGTGACTTTGAAATAAAGAGATTGACATTATATGCTGTTGGTGCACATGACTTTTATTTCTTTACCATTACACATACTATACCATAGCTTATGACATTTTATCCAGTTTAGCACATGATAAATTATTGTTTCCAAAAAATGTTGTCGCAAATTTAAAGTTAAAGCAAAGAAACTGCATTCGTATAAATGGCTGACCTTCTTTGTGCTTAATTGAATTAAAATGGATTTAATCATTTCTTGATTGCTTGCAAATCTCTAAATCTAGTAACTGTAGAAAAAAAGTGAACAATCAATATTTTATCCCCATAAGACTGACAATGACATTAAATTTTGTGTAGTAGAAAAAATAAAAACAGTTAATGTATTTGAGTTGAAATAAAATCTGGACCACTTTATTCACAGCTGGCATCTTTCTTTTGAGATGCTTTGTATTTTACCAAACTACCTTGAATATTTTCTACAACAAGGTGAGTTTTACACACACACACACACACATTCAAAGTCACATTTCCACAGAAAGAATGAAGCCAGCATTAAAAGAATGCCTCTAACAGCAATTTTATTTCACACAAAGAAGATCGTTCAAAGAATCATATCGTAATAAAAAGAATCAGCATCTCAAGTCCCAGTTTTCAAATTTCATCTTGATATCTTAAGGTTCATTTTTAAAAGAGTCTCTTTCACATCACTTGAACATTTTTTGAAAATGGGGCAAGAGTTGCATAATTAAATTGCAAAACAAAAATACATTGTATCATATTATCTCTGAGCTGAAGGTTTTCATAAATGATCTAGTTTTAACTTCTTATTTAACAATGGAAACAAATTCAGTATTGTGATTTTACCAAAGTCACAGAGCCAGGCTTTTGACCTTAGAGACTGTGTTTTCCAATACCTGATTCTTACAAAGAATCAGCAAATACAATGGGGAACTGGTGATATTTATGTCAATTGTATCATTATTTCCAGATTTTCTTCATTAACACTGCCAAACGTTTTATTCAACTATTTCCATTCTATCTTTCCTTTCAAACACAATATTCTTGGCAAATAAAGCATCCATAAGTACACTTGGTCTATCTTTGGGGTTTCTGGCAATTGGCATTTTAAGATAAGCACACAAACAAAGGCAGATGGCTTCGGGCAAGGTATCTTGATAATATTCAATTTTTCTCTCATATAAAGAAACATGGCTTCCTTTCAGGAAGCTATACTCCATTACAAGGATTAGAGTAATTATGAAACTATTCTTTGTAGTCATCACAAATGATACTTTGAAAATGAATATTCTATATATTTTTTACAGCGCTGTACAAAACTTTACCTTGGAGCCATTTGTGGGGGAAAAGAAGAGCCACATAATATTATTAAATATCTAGAGACAGTTTAACAAATAGTATTGCCTATTAGAAAAAGCTAATAAAACAATTACATAAGAATATTTTAAAATGCAGTAAATACATCACTGAAATAATGACAAGCTCTGTATGTGTTCTCAATTTATTATTTTCATGCAAATAGATGTCTCTAAAATGCCTAACGAGATTTATTTACTTGTTTATTTTCCTCTCTCTCCTTCCTTCCTTCATTCCTTCTTTCCTTTTCTCCTTCTGAAAATTTGAACTTTTTTTTGAAAGAGGTAAAGATATATTAGTATTTTAATAATAAATTACCTTTCTGGGTGCCAAATATAAATTCTAATCATTTTGTTTTATTTTATACTGGTGAAAGTAACAAAATAGAATAAATTGGACATGTTGAAGAATATTTGGAAAGAAAACAGTTTGACTTTGTATCCAAATGTTTTATGACATGTTAAATAAAATACAAGTAATTTCCTAACAGTGGAAATTTATTAGAATGTTGCTTAAATAAAATTCCTCTGGATATATTACTCTTTTGAAGTAAGATTAAAAACAGCATTCCAAATTCACACAGTTATTCTATTCTGTAACCTTTTCCCTTCATTGCCCTATTCCCAGATTGCTGGAGTTAAAGGACAGATTCCTGAAATAGATAATTCTACAAGGGCAGAAACATCACTATATCTATGTTTCAGAGAGATATAAATATGCCAGAGACTTGGAGTTTAGTCACAATTACATTGAATTCTACTGGAACCTGGGTAAGGGCAAGAGAATCTTCTGCTCAGTTATTGCTTTCAATTTTCCAACTTAATACAATAGTTCATTCTAATACTGAAAGTAATGGTAATCTCTGCCACCTTCCACCAAGTGCATGAATTATGTGAGAATAGAGGTAGAAAAATATGTAAGAGGATTCACCATCTCTTAGATTATAAAGAAACATGAATCCTTTTTCTGCTTCAAAATGATATGCATAGTTCTAGGCAGAAAACAATATAATTTCATTCAATGGTAGCATCTGGGATCTTAGGCACTTTCCTCTGTTCTTGTTCCCACATATGAATAGTGAAAACTGTGGTCTCTTCACCATGACTACAGTTCTCTCCCTTCATGTCCCCTCAGGACATATTGGGCATGTTCCCTTAGGTCTATTGGGAAATCTGGGTCCCCTGCACCCCAGAAGGTGCCCATGAGGGATTAAGGTCACCTAAATTACTTTCACTTGCCAAAATCACTGAACAGTTTCCCATACACTGTTGGAAATGAAGCTTTTTGGAATTTTTCCTAAAATTTATAGCCAGATTTACCATTACCTGCTCTATCATTAGAGGTTTCATGCCATGGTCTTTCTCCTTTTTCTGTAATTCTCTAAGATCGTAAGAGTTTGAATTTGTCTTTTTCATTTCTTCATGGTTATATATTTTTATTCTTCCCTAGACAAATTGTAAAACTCTAGTGTGCAGTTGGCCAGGATAGATATAAAAATTTGAAAACTCTTTATTTCCCAATGAAGTCTGACTTTCAAATTTATTCTCTGGTATTTGGGAAGTGAGAGACTGAGTATTTACTCTTTTTGTGTTTAAATTTCTGGTCCAGCAATCCTATAACTTCTTTCTATTCTGAAGCCCCATCTCACTAGGAGGCTAAGAAAAGGACATGAGCAATAACATGCAAAAAGAAAAGTATAGGAATATATTTTGATTCATTCTCTATTATATATTTAACTACTAAATGCATAATTTGATTAGTTAAATATTAATAGTCTCTACATTTTAATGTTTACATAAAATTTTACTGCTTAGAGTATGATATGAAAGCTATGACTTTTTTCATTTCTAAAAGAAAGCTTAAAATGTGAAAAAGAATGTAAATCAGGTAAAAGTAATAGAGAAACAGTTGGGAAAATGGAAATTAAAAACTCTGAAATAGATTGCCCAGGCTCAGAAATTGTATATCAGATTTGAATCATATTCCTGTATAGAACAGGTTGGCTCGAATCTCTCCTTTGTCTTCTACGCACTGCTGCTCTACAGTAGACCTTCATTATTGCGCCCCTGTGCTAAGACAACATGTTTCCCATCTTAAAGCTCTGCTTCTGTTTCTATGACCCTGTCCTCCACTCTGGACACTTTCTTTCCCAAACACAACTCTAGGCTCAAATCACAGTAGTCCCATTTTTTTTTTTTTTTTTCTTAAATTCTGAGTGTGTTTCTGTAGCACTAAACGTGTTTGGCATTCAAATCTGCTACTTCATTGCACTAACTTTTCCTCTACAGAGATTTTTTAAAAATTTTTACTATTACCATTCTCTCTTACTTCTCTTCCACTACGATTCAGCAACATGTTTTCACCAGAAGGTTACATTGTTTCATTGTTTTGTCTATTTTCTTCTTCATCTTCTTCATCTATGATCATCTTTTTACTGATAACTCTATCTTTCTATCTCCCATCCAGTCTATTGGAAAGGCTCAGACACATGACCAAAGTATGCTATGTCTTCTCAGCATATTTCTCTGTCTTTATTGTTGATACTGACTTCCTCGTGTAAACTACTGGAGAACCCCATCAATCAGAAAAGCTGTTTATTTAACTTGCTGAAGCAAGTGAGAACACCATCTTGAGATATTTTAGTACTATGTTAAAAGAGAGAAAATAGTTAAGGTTACTTATAGGGATTTGGGGTCTGAGATCAAGTGGTTTAAAGGAAAGAAACGGGTTTGTTTTTGACAAGGTGTAAGACAATATTTTAGGATTGTGAGAAAAGTGTTCTGTGACAAGTTTTAAAAAGCCGATTTTGTGATTTTAAGTAAACTGTTTATACTGAAGTGCAAACTATCATTTTAATTAGACACTTGATTGCCTAGATGAGAAAACTGCCCAAAAAATGGTTTCCAATAATTTTCTAAAAGAAACAGTAAAGTTATTGATGATGTGCAACCTTGCCTCTTGTGCAAGAACTTCCTGGAGCAAGTAGTTATGTTGATACAGATATTCTCAAATATGCATCCCAACAATTATGTTGATGCCAGTGGGCTCAATTCTCAGTCCCTGTCCATTGTCATATTCAATCCTAACAAAATTCTATCAGAATTTAAGTTATACCAACAGAACAGATTGTATTCCAATATTAACAGAATACAGAACTAGATATAGATATCAGCTAAATGGCCTAATTTAATTGTTTATTCGTTTTCCTGGAGCTTTTTCATATTATCAAGATCATGGAAAGTTCTAGGGATGTAAATACTTCATTCATCCCCTAAGATGGCACATGCTCCTTCTCAAAACGTCAAATTAGAGAAAGGGCTGTTTTGTTTTGGTTAGCTGTTTATTCTAATTGATGAACTTCTACGGCTTGTTGTCTGGCCTCAGTGACTTTTTTTCTGGTTTCTTAGTCATTATCTGAACCACAGAAGTATAATTTTTCACACTTTCTGGTCTCCTTGTAAAGTGTGAAATGTAGAGACCTGAAGACAGTCCAGAATTCATTTTTGTTGGTTTAAATTTGGGGTCACAACTCAAGGACTGAATTTTACCTTCATGAATTAAGTTATTGAGTGATCTCTCTTCCTCTTTTTTTTTTTTGTTGTTTGTTGAGAGGGGATAAATTAACATATAAAAATGAAGCCTGGATTCATTTGAATATGAGACTATCAGCAAAGCTGGCGATAGTCTCCCATGTTAAGTCCCTATCCAGTTTGCGTGTAAGAGCTTATAGGTTTTGGTGCTTAAAATCAAATACCAGTTTGATTTTAATTTGGATGCTACCTAATTATCTGGATTTTAGCAAAAGGTCATTAAAGGTAGCTAACTTGTATGTTCTCAATGTCATTCAATAAGAGCAGAAAGTAAGGCATCATCAACTAGGGATCTGAAACACAGATTCACCCAAATAGTGAGTGTTCCTGTTAGTCTATAAAAGTGAGACAGCTTTAATATACATACAGTATTTTCCATAGTTTCTTAACAAGCTCTATATTTATTTATTTATTAATTTTGAGAAAGCCTGTGGCTCTGTTGCTCAGGCTGGAGTGCAGTGGCATGATCTTGGCTCACCACAACCTCTGCCTCCCAGGCTCAAGCCATCCTCCCACCTCAGCCTCCTGAGTAGCTGGTACTACAGGCACCCTCCACCCTGCCTGGCTAACTTTTGTAGAGACGAGATTTTACCAGCTGGTCTCCAGCTCCTGAGCACAAGTAATCTACCCATCTTGGCCTCCCAAAATTCTAGGATTACAGATGTGTGCCACAGCACCCTGCCAAGCTCTATAATTATGAAAGTTAAGTTACAAAGACAAACTCCCTAAAAGGTTCCTAGATTTTTCCCCAAGTTACATGTGAGGGGGATTTTTTTTTAGCTATTTGCCTTTTTGTGATGTTTACCTTCTAACAAGTGTGTTTACTGATTAGGAAAATTAAAGTTGAAACAATGCATTCCATTAGAATAGATCTGGCTCACACCCAGAGGAATATATATATATATATATATATATATATATATATATATATAGAGAGAGAGAGAGAGAGAGAGAGAGAGAGAGAGAGAGAGAGTCCCAATAGATGATTTGATTTTAGATTTCAGCCAAATCATAAGCACATTGTAGCTAGATATTAGATTTATATCAAGAAGTAACCTGGTATGAAACAAGCAATATTAAGTAAAAGGGCTTCAAGGCATCATAGTTAAGAGCTAACTAGTGTTCCCTGCAAGTCAGAAACATAAATTAACAAAGAGAAGAAAAAATAGTTATAAAAATAAAGAACATTAACACACATTAAGGCATAATACTCTGCTGTTTCTGTACATAATACTCTGAATCCTGTTTTCTGGGTATTGGGCAGAAACTTTACATAGTTTCTACATGAGCCTAAAGGTGGCTGCTTCTGGAGAAACTGAGTATTCTCAGTTTGAAGTCTCTAGGAAGAATGTCCTTCCACCAACATGAGAAGAGCTGTGTCTCCTAAACTGATAGTTGTCATTCCGAAGACCAGCCTCTTGGAGCTTTGCTCATATACTTATGTGTCCTATTCATAGGATTTTATAGGCTGTCCTCAGGATTTTCTTCCGGAATATCAGATCTTCAGGATTTAGGTCATACAAGAGTTGTCTAAAACAATGTTGAGGAAGGGCCAGCTGTACCTCCTGATTATAAGAATGAGTGTTTTGCACAAGTCCTTTGAAGTATATGTGCTGCCGATTTGCAATAAGGCAGAGCCTATAATCAGCATGATATCTCTAGGTGGGTGAGTTGGCCTTTTACTAAATCATAAGGTGATAGTAAGAGTAGATTCAGCACAAAAATGTATTTATTTGATATTAAAACCAATGATAATATTTTAGGCCATCTAAGATCAAAGTTTGTTAAGTGCTTTGCAAATTTTACTTTCAGATTATGTTTGCTCTTCCTAACTGTACTGAAAATTGAGTATAATTCAAACAGTGAGATTTCTGGGTAATTAGCAAGGCTTTGCATTTCTCTGTAATTTCTGTCATGCCAAATTGGTGCTCTTTTCTCTGGATAAATAGACAGGAAATGCCCAGACTAGACATGATGCAATATTTTTGCTAACAGTAAATCAGTAGCCCTCCCTCAAGCAAAAGCTTCAATCTATCATGGAAATAAGCAAACAATGACCAAAACATTCTTAAAATTTATTGCAAGGTATACTTTATGTTACTCATTTGAATGTGTTCAAAGGGGCCCTAAGGCTGGGCCTCTTGTACATATTTCATCTGTAGGTTTACCAGAACTACAGTGAAATGACAGGTGAGACACAAAGCAGAGGTCCATCAGCAATTTTGATAAAGTCCCCCACTCCAGTATTTGTTGCATATAATATGCTTGTTGTGTTCTTGCTGTGGTGAAAAATGTAGTATAAAATTATTGCAAGTTTTTTGGAGGGATAGAAAATGGCTGATCTGAAAGTGACAAAGTTTATTTTCTTGTAAAGTAATATATAACCAGATTTCTCCCAAATGTTTTTTTTTTAATTATGGTATGCAATTACTGGCATTCCATAAGGGCTTCTTTGAACTTCTTTAAAAAAATGGCCTTTTGCAATGTCAAGGGGCCAAGATCTTAATTAAAGCTCCTGTCTTTCATAATGATTACTAAAACCCTTCCCTTTGCCTTCAAGTAATCCTTTTTTGTGCCGACTTCTAATTTTATAATGACTATATACTTCAAAAGCATCAGGGAATAAAGAGTACTTTAATCTATTGGACATTCTGAATTGGAATTCCTGGTGATATCAAGAATTAGTACTGTTTCCAAAGAATTCCAAAATGACATATTATATGCAGAATGTGTCTTCTGTCACAATAAACATTAGCTCTGTTATCTCTAGCCATTTGTCAAGATCAGGAGTGTGGACTGTGTTCTGTCATCTGAGCTGATGTGGTCTTTAGTAAGAGGTCATATATGATGAGTAAGTTGATCTGTTTTGACACATTCTGACAAATTCTTGTTCTTTTCTTAAAATAAGACCCACTAACAAGTAATATTGTATCTATATTTTATATAAGAATTTTTCAAATAAATATGTTGGGGTACAAATATTTCTTGGCAGAGTCCAGTCAGTCATTTGCATCTCCTTTTGCTGATTATGAAAATAAAGTACCATGATTTTAAGAATAATGCTGATGCTTGCAAATATGTGAGGGAGTAATAGAATTTTATAGGAGATAAACTTAGTTGGTAATAGACCTATTTGTTTAGACCTACTTGCTGAGTATTTTAAATGAGCAACAAAGAGTTTTTAGCATTAGGAAGCATTACATTTAAAAGAAAATCTAAATTCAAATCCATAGAGGGTTTCATTACTTCAGCTTAAGCTGTTATTGAGCTGAAACAGGGTGAATAGGCCTTTGTCAGAGGTAAAGAGACATGTTATAATAAATTCATGGTGTCTAGTAGTTCCCCTGAAGTTGAGCCAGAACACCGAAGGCCTGTGCAGACCATTTGTTCATCGATGAATGAGATGCTATTGAAGACTTATTTTTTCTTAAGAAATGGAAGTGCTGAGATTACAGGTGTGAGCCACTGTGCATGGCTCCTAATTTTAAATAATAAAAAATTAGCTCTTGCTTAGGAGTTAGCCCATTCAAACTTTAATTGAATTATGCATTCTCATAGTGATTTCAGAAAAGTAATAAACCCATTGTTTGTAGTGACACCAGTGAATCCTGTAATTATCTCTTGATGACCATGATGGAAAAAAATTGATGTCTGTTTGAAGTGACAGGTTTACACCCTTGTGATATATTATGTCCTATCCTTTGCTTTGACAAAGTTATAGCTTTTCCTTAAAAGCATTATGGTCTTTTTAAGAAACAAACTGCATAAATTTAAGGGGTATAAGAACAGTTACGTTATACAGATATATTGTGTAGTGGTGAATTTGGAGCTTTTATTGTAACCATCACCCAAATAATGTGCATTGCATCCATTCATTTCTCATTCTTCACTTCCCTCCCACCCTTGCACACTTCCAAGTCTCCAATGTCTATTATTCCACACTCTATGTCCATGTGTCACATTAGTTAGCTTCCACTTATAAGTGAGAACATCCAGTATTTGACTTACTGTTTCTAGGACGTTTCACTAGAAACAGTAAGTCATGATAATGGCCTCCAGTCCCATCCATGTTTCTGCAAAAGACATGATTTCATTACATATATTCCTTTGTGTGTGTGGTGTGTGTGTGTGTGTGTGTGTGTGTATCACATTTTCTTTATTTATCTGTTGATAGACAGTTAGGTTGATTCATTATCTTTGCTATCATGAATAGTTCTGTGATAAACATAAAGGCTGGCATCTTGTTTATATAATGATTGTTTTTCCGTTGGGTGGATACTCAATAGTGAAATTGCTGGATCAAATGACAGTTCTTTTTTTAGTTATTTGAGAAATCTTCATCCTGTTTTCCATAGAGGTTGTACTAATTTATATTCCCAGCAAACATGTATAGCATTTTTTTCCTCTGCATCCTCCCTAACGTCTCTTGTATTTTGACGTTTTGAACTAGGTAAATACATGAAATCAATCTTAGATATCATTTCCCCAATAATCCAAAGCAAGTGGCGATCCACTTATTTTGGATTAAAAAGTAAAAGCAGAGCGCAGATACACGATGGGAAAATATTTAGGCTTAAGTGACATTGAAGGTAAAATAGTACTTGGGTTCAGTGTCATGAAAAGCAGAAGATGACTATTTTCTTTTTATGGTCCAGGAGTGTGGAGTAATTCGATATCCTTTCCTGTTGTACTTGGTGACTAAGAGGATAAATATTACAAAGATGGGTACAAGTATCATGAGGCTTTGTTCCTACCAGGCTTTCCGTGTTGGTTTTGGTTCTATATTGACACAGTGTTTTGAAGGAAAATGTACAAGTTGGGAAGATGTGTATGTGAGAGAATCTAAACTTTAATATATTCAACACCAATAAGTCTGTCAATATCAACAGGATACTTGGACCATAAGAAGACTAAGAACTTCTGAAGATTTTCAATTAGAGTTTCAACTTAGATAGGAGGAAAACAATAGGTTGAGATTCAAATTACTTATCTAAGGAAGAATACTTTAGGAGAGCAGTTAAAGAGGTAGTTCCATTTATGATATCTTTGTAGTTAGCAGGTGTGGTTTCACAAGAGAAAAAAACATTCTTTGGTTGGAAGTACGCTAGTGAGATGTATTGGCTGAAATATGGTTAATGTTTGAAGTTTGTTTTCTACCCCCTGAAGAATTTTTCTTTCCAAGGGTGAGTTTGGGTAATAGTGGCAGGATTTAAGGTTAATATTGTAGCATATGTTATCAATAAAATGTTTTCAAAGATTGTTCTTTAATGCTTACAGAACTTTCTTCTGAGGAATTTAAAAGAAACCTGAGTTAAGTGCTTGGTTCCATTTCAGAGTACATTATTTATCCACATTATTTTAGTCTTCTAGTTTCTTAACTAGTACAGGACAATTTTATATTGTGAGGATCTATCTGTATGAGTTTGGATTCCCCAGAGAAAAAGGACCAATAGGATGTGAATATATAAAGAGAAAGCTGTGTTTTAAGGAATTGATTCATATGATTACAGAGGCAGTCAGGTCCAAAATCTGCAGAATAACCAACAGGCTGGAGACCCAGCAGAGAGGCAATGTTGCAGTTCAAATATGAAGGCTGTCTGCTGCAGAATTCATTCTTGCTCTGCAGAGGTCATTCTTTTTGTTCTATTCAGACTTCAGTTTACTGGATGATGCTAACCCACGCTATGGATGTCCATTTTACCCAAAGTCTACTCATTTAAATGTTAATCTCTTTCAAAAACATTCTTACTGAAACATCCAGAATAGTGTTTGAACACATTTAGGCACTCTGGCCCAGCCAAGTTGAAATATAAAATTAAACATCATAAGATCTAAAAGAATAGGATATTGAAGTGTAGTTCCTTTTTTGTTTTCCCTTGTCAAATTATCCTTTGCAGAACAATTTTCTAATTTCAGTTTTTCACATTTTCTCACAAAAAATTTTAAAAGCAAAGCATATGATATTTTACATGTTACCAATTTCTTGTCCTAAGTTACCTCTCAAAAGAACAATTGCGTTCGTATCAACAGTATCCCCAGCTGGCCACTATAACTTTGTCATTTAGAAAGATAGTTGACCAAAAGCAAAGCCTGTTGTGTAAAGATGTCAAACTGACAAGACTTTTGGGACTTGTTGACCCTTGGAACTCAATTAAGGGACAGATTTATTATAATCTATGTTTATTTTCTTGTCTACGAAATTCCTCTTATAAACTCAAAACAGAAAGTTGAAAGGACAATCCAAGGGAAAAAAAAAATAATGCCGTAAGTAAATGGACAGATTTTTACTGACCAAATGCTAAAGAAAGAGTTTTAAAAACTGATGGGCTAAGCAAAAGATTTATTTTAAAATGTTATTTTATTTTTAGGAGACAAAGTTACCTCAGCATTGTATTCAGACCCAAAGTGGGACCTACCTCACTATTATAGTCAGAACAACATTCTAAGCAAGAGACTCAGGGAGCCGCAGGTAATGCAATTTTCTGAGAGAGCCTTAAGACTTGATGACCACTGGGCAAGACATCCAGGGCTGCCTACTATTGACTAGGGAGTAGTTAAGTTAGGAAAAAAAAAATTACCTAAGTTATTAATCAAGCAATGCTGAATATATTAAATTTACAGTATCATAAAAGAACTACATCTTGGCAGAGTCTTAATAGTAATTCAAAATGTGGAAGCCAGGAAAATATACGAATGGGGTTTTGGGAATTTGGATTTGATTTAACATAGCTCATCCCAGGCAGGGGACTGGCTGGCAAAGTTTGTAACACAATAGGTTAGAATTGATTGTTATGAAAAGATGACAAAGTTTGATTAGAAAACATTTATTCTGACTATTAAGCTTTTTGTCCAGGTGAGCACACTATTGTCTTGAGGAGCCAATTATTTGCCCAAATGAGAAAATAGTTTTCAGAGATAAATTGTGTGTCAAACTTTCCTGAAGTAAAGATCAAAGATGTTGGATGCTTTGCAGTCTTATTGTCCTAAGCAAGAATTTCCTAAAGTTGATTTCAGTTTTCAGTCAAAACAGTTGCTATATCACTATAAGTTATCTCAAAAACAGTTAAGTTACATCTCTGTAAGTTATATCAATAATGGTTATTACTATTGATTTGCTTTTGCCATATTATGAACTTACTATGCACATATTTTCGGCTTCTTATACTGGTACTTAATTATTATACTTAAAAGATATTTTACCTATTCAGCTTTGTATCCTCTCTGGAGCTTAATATAATGTTGTCAAATAAATATATGGTAAGTGTAATTTTATTTTTGGTTCAAATTAATCAATTAACCCAAAGTAGGTTTGTTTAATTCAAGTTTCTATTTCAAAATATTTTTGTGAAAAATTATTGCAATACATTGATTAATTTTATTGAAATCATAACTCTTTCATTAGGGTATTAAGTTTTTCTTCATTCAAGACTTACTGAAATTATTAAGAAAACAGTAATGGCATAGATAGGACATTGTCTTTAGAAACTGAGAAACAGTTTGAATATGTTTTGTGGCTGATTACTTCCCACAAAAAAAAAGCTGTGGGAAAGAAACAACCTACAAGTACTACATAAGGTAACTGAGACAATTGGAATTATGTTAACGTCTTATACTTAGTGGTGAAATAATGTGGATATCAGGTAAATACTCTCTGTTATCTCTAATGTTAAAATTTCTCCTACAATTAAATTTCTTTCTTATATTTATTTTAGGGTAACAGGGCAAGTAAAGTTGAATTTAATGCTGAGAATAAAAGAGTGAGACCAAAAATGAAAAAGAATTGAGGTTCAGGAGGAATCATAGAATGTTTGAATCATGGTGATGTTAATTATATCTAAAAGACAGATGTTGTGTGAATAAAACATTTTAGTCTCCTGGAAAAATTTAAGTAAAATATTAAATTTAACAATGTGTTTGTGTAATATTTTTGTTATTTGTCTTAAAAAATTGAGATAATTCTGCTGAATAACAATAGTTAGTTTTTCTGTTGAACAATCACATGTGGTGTCCTGGGATTCATGAAAAGATTCTTTCCACAATTACTGATTTGTTAAGAAAATTTATTCATGTTAGTTCTATACCATCTTAATGAAAAGGGTGCTCATTTACCTCATTTGGAGAACATTAAAATCATTAAACATGACTCATTTCATTCTCTTTGATTTTAGTTCTTCTCTCATTTTTATGCATGCTGATTGAAGTGGAAGAGTTTGTTTCTTTAATCTCATTTTAAACAAAAGAGTGGGTCTGTGCATCACTTATTCTCTTTCTTCATAATGCCCTTTTCTTGTTGAAAAGAAATGATGTTATTTTCCAAGTTAGGAACTGTGAAAGCTATATATCTTCAGGGGACAACAAAAACAAAACTCCTCAACAAAATGTGATAAAAATTAGCTACAAATTTACATAAATTCCATAATGAATAAAGCACATGCTTACCACATTCTTTAGTATGTACCTTAGTACATGTCTTTCTAAGGTACGTTTTTTAAATTGCATATTAACATTAACTTTCATTTTGTATTAGTTCTGCCATTGAACCACATGATCCCTTGAATATATATAACTAAAAGGCAATAAATTATCAATGAGCACAGCTTGGCTCTAATATACAACTTTCATAATATGAAAACATCTATTATGTTATCCAAATAGCTTACTCTTATCAAATTGATAATCATAATGAATTTCTACTGAAATTTTCTCTCTCTTTCAATATCAACTGAAGTTAATTTTTGCGTTATCTTTTTTATGACATTTTCAAGGGAACAGAATTGCTGTTGCTTTTTAATAAGCCATGACATTCTCCACCTTTCTTCTAATTTGTTTTAAAGGACACCTGAATATATTCTTTATGCCTTGTATTCAAAGTGAAAATGATTATAATATGCATACTTTTAGATTTTATATTTTTAAAATACTTCTGACTTCTTGTCTAATTTAATAATTTTTGATTAGCCAATATCTGAGAAGGAACCCAAATAATATTTAAATAAATTACACTATGTCCTGTCCTTGTGACCCACATCTCTGTAATGTTTCAAATACTGGTATATTCTCTTGGCTGTCACACAGTTGACATTTCAGATTTCTGAGAGATTGATGTGTCACAAGAGATTTGAGGGTGAATGAAAAGTTGAATATCCACAGCAAACATCTAAAATAATTTTTCTACATTGTAATGTCACATCATTACCCTTCAGAAGGCATCGTACTTTATAGAATGTTACATAATTATTTTTACTAACTGTAATTATTTTCAAGAGTTGTTTGGTTTCCTTGAAAAACACATTAACATAAAATTATTCAACAGCTTTAAAACACAAATATTTGTGAATTTTATATACTTAAGGTATCTACTAATTTTCATCTGGATGACAGGAATATATAAGAAAACCTAGATTTAAGTTTTATTTGCCTGTCTGATATCAATACTTTTAAATATGTATGATAACATTTAATTGCTACATTTATTGTAAACAGTGGTTATGAGTGACACCAATTTTCCATTTTAAATGTTAATAATTGAATATTAAAGAAAATTTTAATTACTATGTCATAACAAAAGGTACTCATTATTTGTTTTAGAAAACTATGCTTGTGAAATAAAGGAGAAACTTCCAGCTGATACAAAAAGAAAAATAAAAAAAACATGTTGCTAGAAATACTTCTTTTTGCTTTTGTTTGCTTCATGCTTCTAATCCCATGACTTTTTAAAAGTGAAAGTGATAAATTACTATCAATCCGTGACAGCTTTTTGATGTGTCCCCTTGTACATGAGAAACTGAGTTGAGATCACCTGAACTCATTTCTCTTGGGATTTCGAACAACTATAAAAAATTGTTTTGTTTTGGACCTGGTTGGGCTCAGAAATGAAAATGCCATTATGTCGAGGATAGCGCATCAATCTAATTTGCTACCTGGATCCCCCATCTCATCCTTTTCCAGTTGAGGCTGTTTTACAATATGCAAGACAGTATCAGCATACTTCACACTTTAGTTATATTTTCTAAATGGCTGGTTTATATTTTTATTAACAAAGCTGAAACTTAACAGAGTATAATTAATTCAAATTGTTACTAATAATTTCTCTGAAGATGTGAAAACTGCAGGACTGGAGTACATAGGTGCTGTGGGATTTTTAGTACAGTTGATATAGCAGTGAAGATTATACCAAGGGACCTCCCCTAAATAGGACAATTGATAGACAGGAACAAAATGCTACTATTATGTTATACTGGGGGAAAAAAAGGAAAGTGTTTAATTGTGTAGTCATTTTATGCAGAGTTGAGAAACAAAAATATTGTTCTTATTTCTATAATATCATCATGAAATATGGATTTGATAATTCAGAGAAATGAGGAAATATTGATACAATAGACTCCTGCATCATTCTTATTGTTATGAAAGAGGAATTTAAGAAATATGATTCTATACAAATTTAACAAGAATTGCACTGCTTATAAATTTGCATAAAATTCTTATTAAAAAGAAATCCTAGACTTGACGAGAAGCATAATCTCTTTTTCTATTTATCTAAATATTTCTTAAGTGCCTATTATGCATGCCTATAATGTAGTTGTGCCTATCGTGCCTATAAAAGAATATATTTGTCTAAATATATGTAATGAATCCGTTGAGATTAAATGCACACACCCCCAACACACAGATCTAAAGATGCGTTACTCTGCTAGCATTTCTTCTGCTGGATAAAATGTCTATATTCTCGGCAAGTGTTCTGTTTAATCTGAGGTGCCTAAAGCCTTCAGGGTTTCATGCAAAATTTTGTGGAGTGTGTGCATGTGTGCCCATGTGTATTATGTAGTGTGGAAACCACAGTTGTCATCTTTTTGTATAAATGATGATAAGCCAAAAAAGGCTAAGAACTAATAATATCTAAAGTAATTTAATTCTGAAGCCACCATTATTATAATTGTAATAGTTATTATAATTATTATAATTACCCTTTACATGTGCTACTCATACCAGATGTAAGGAGAAAAGAACTTTAAATTTGCTGAAGTATGCACAGCCATGTTAGAGAACTATTCCTAAAAAGTAGATACAATGACAATTGCATTTTATTTATTTTTAATGTTAGTTCCCTCAAAAGGCAGCCTATTGAACCCATATTTTTAAACTACTATATTGAAATAAGTAAGTGTTGTAGATGGGATTAAGTGATTTCATAGGATGTTTCAAGCTACTCAGGGACCAGTAACAACTGGAAACCATTTCCAGCACTGAACCCCAAGTAAGAATTTAGTCAACTTACAGAAGCTATAGTTCTATAGGGATGCAACCACTTTCAAAAACACACAAAAGCAGGGCAGTAAAGAACTATGTAACCTGAACTCACTCTTTTTCTTCATTTTACCTCCTTCTATGCCTTCATTGGTTGAAGCCAACCAGAATCCAGAAGGAAAGAGAGTTATCCAATCTGTATAGCACTCAATCTCCCAGGGCTCAGAGCAGGAGAGAAAGAATGAAACATATGCATTGGGAGGTCGATGGAGAATAAACAGCACATGGGTACTGTGTTTTTAAGGCTGATTCGAAGTTATTTATTTCAAACAGGACTACTCAATCATCAAATTTCCTGGAAGTAGAACCGAAGAGTCTGCATTTTACAAACAGTGCTAAGGTGAATTAACGCAAAGTTTGAAAACTTCAAGAGAATCACCTAAAATACTTCTCACACAAGAAATACACTTGTACGTATCTTTGTTTAATCAAAAGATTTTAACAAAGTTTTCCCAAACAGATGAGCTCCTCACTCCCTAAGAGTAATTGCACAATCTTAGAAAATTTTCTTAAAATACTGGCTTTTTATACATAGTGGGGTTTTCTTTATTTTACTCTTACAACTTGTGTGAGGAAAATATTAGATTAGCACCATTGTTAAATTAGGTTACTGCTTAGTCTGGATTTTACTAACAAAAAGTATTATCTTACTCATAAAATGCCTATAAAGTTGGATAAAATACCAATATCAACCATGACTCAACAACTAGTGTCCTAAAGAGTATTTTTCATAAAGGTAATATTGCGACTTTATGTAAATTTCTAAAATTTCATAAAGGTAATATTGTGATTTTATGTAAGTTTATAAAATCAGGTGCCAATGATTTTATTTAAATCATCAATTATTGAGAAAACCAATAAGATGTTAAAATTGCTCCAAAGAACATTTGAGATTTTAAGCAATTTAACAAAATATATTTGGATAAAATACAAAACTGGAATTTTTAACAAAGCTGGTTAAAATCCAACAAGGCCATAAACCACTGTCTATGTTGTTATTTGTCCCAATGGAGGAAACATACTTTCATCTTTACTGGCCAATAATTACAAGTTAACCTCTGTCCCTACAGAGTTGTATCACAAACAATAATACATCAGTCTCAATACTGTACCGACAGAACACCCAGAATTTTCTTTTGTCTATTTCTGAATTTAGAATAACTTTTCAGACACTAATAACTATACTTAATATATACATGTGAAGTCAAGATCACCTATAATAAAATTTAAGAGCATGGGTACTTCATTATTATGAAAACAGTGTAACCAAGTTAAAACTATCCTCAATGAGATTTATTTTTGATATATTTAATTAAAAATTACATTCAACTGTTTTTATATTAAACATAGCCATTAAAAATCACAACCCAGGAAAGGAAGGTAAAATACAAGTAATTAAATTTTAAAAAATAATGTGTAGATTCCTGTGATTGCAAGACCTTAAAGCACATCTGGATGGAGGTGGGAGCAACACAGTGGCTATAAAAGCAAAAAGTGTAAAAGACAACATTGGTCTCAAAAATCTCATAATAAGGTAATTGTCCAAATCAATCCATGCCCCAAGGATAGTAACACACACAAAAAAATACATATTTTGTAATAAATTAATGCCATAGTGTGTAACAGTACAATAAAGTCAGTTTGTACTGGAGAAGTCAGAAAACCTTCTGAACCAAGTAGAATTTGAAATGAGACTTGTAGGAGAATATACTTTGGACGACAAGAGAATACCCACGATGGCACGATGAAAGAAATAGCAATGATTCATGTCTGCATTGATATTCAAATATTATTTGAGTACCAATTCTGTACCAGGTTTCACAGTTTTCATTATGTGTGCCAACTGTGCTCAGGTAGTCATGGTGGCCATGGTTTGTTTCATTTTATTTTTACTTATTTATTTTTTAACTTGTATTTTGGGTTCAAGTGTGCATGTGCAGGTTTGTTAGGTAAATTGCATGTCATATGAGTTTGGTGTACAGAATATTTTGCCACATAGGTAATAAGCATAGTACCCGATAGGTAGTGAACTATATAATATCACCAGACAACTGTTAATTAAGCAAAGCTCTGTTTATTAAAATTCTGTAAAGTGTGAGTACACCTTTGACAGATTATTAGCCATGTCTTGGAAAGGAGTAGTAGGTGGAAGATATTTATAGGGTTTTGGGCCTGAGATCAAATGATCTCAGAGGGTTCATCAAGCCAGTGAACTGACTGGGATTGAGCAAAGCCTGTGATGTGATAGTTCAGGATTGGTTAACCTGTGGAATGAGAATCTTGAAACAATCTTAACATGCTGTTTGATAGGGAAAATTCTGTTTGACTAAAGAAAGTATTCACCTTGAAGAGCAGAAAGTTGTCACAGATAAATTAATCTGCAAAAATTTCTGAAAGCAAAAGAGTGATATTATGTACTGGCTTATAATCTTATCTTTCCTGTGCAGTTTCCTGGAACAAACAATAAACAGTACACAAATGGTCTCAGTTATCAGTCATAAGACCTAAGAGAGTTATGTCAAACTTATACTAATGGTGTCTGTGTGAATGAATGTGTGTTTGTGTGTGTCCCCATACATACCTGCACCTGTTTGTGGGTATGTTTGCATTCGGTTTAATATATGCCCAATTGTCTAACATCCTGATCAGAATTACATTTTACAAAGACGATTAAATAGTATTTTAAAAGCACTACAGAAGAAGCCATAATAGTCTTTATTCACTATATTTCTGATCAGCAACTCTTAATAAAGATGCTTTATTAACAATTATAAATAGATTACTGTTAATGAAGTGAGTGGAGTTCAAAATAAAGTATTAGCTAGAATGGTTGTATAGGCTTATCTGTCTTTACCTGAACAGTGTATTGGATCTGATGAGTTTAGTTTTCTCTATTCTTTGAGGTGACTCCTGACACTTGAACCTGAAATGGTATTTCATTTGCCACTGACTTAGAGGATTATTGTTAACTACCTTTGATTGTATGGTTAATTGACAATCTGATATTATTTAATTTGATTCTAGTGCACATTTTATGCAATTAGCTGATGAAATGATACTGAGTCTTGGAAGTGAATGTTCAATTGTTAGGTTTGGGGGTATTTGTTATTGTTATTTTACAATTAGATGTGTAGTGTGTGACAGAATTTGATTTGAAGCTTATTTTTATTGTTATCTATGAAGTTAGAAAGGGGACATGTATCCCTGTTTGCAGATGACAAGATTGTATATTTAGAAAACCCCATCGTCTCAGCCCAAAATCTCTTTAAGCTCATAAACAACTTCAGCAAAGTCTCAGGATACAAAATCAATGTACAAAAATCACAAGCATTCTTATACACTAATAACAGACAGAGAGACAAATCATGGGTGAATTCCCATTCACAATTGCTTCAAAGAGAATAAAATACCTAGGAATCCAACTTACCAGGGATGTGAAGAACCTCTTCAAGGAGAACTACAAACCACTGCTCAATGAAATAAAAGAGGACACAAACAAATGGAAGAACATTCCATGCTCATGGATAAGAAGAATCAATATCGTGAAAATGGCCAAACTGCCTAAGGTAATTTATAGATTCAATGCCATCCCCATCAAGCTACCAATGACTTTCTTGACAGAATTGGAAAAAACTACTTTAAAGTTCATATGGAACCAAAAAGGAGCCTGCTTTGTCAAGACAATCCTAAGCCAAAAGAACAAAGCTGGAGACATCACGCTACCTGACTTCAAACTATACTACAAGGCTACAGTAACCAAAACAGCGTGGTACCGGTACCAAAACAGAGATATAGACCAATGGAACAGAACAGAGCCCTCAGAAATAATATCACTCATCTACAACCATCTGATCTTTGACAAACTTCACAAAAACAAGAAATGGGGTAAGGATTCCCTATTTAATAAATGGTGCTGGGAAAACTGGCTAGCCATATGTAGAAGGGTGAAACTGGATCACTTCCTTATACTTTATACAAAAATTAATTCAAGATGGGTTAAAGATTTAAATGTTAGACCTAAAACCATAAAAAAACCCTAGAAGAAAACCTAGGCAATACCATTCAGGACATAGGCATGGGCAAGGACTTCATGTCTAAAACACCAAAAGCAATGGTAACAAAAGCCAAAATTGACAAATGGGTTCTAATTAAACTAAAGAGCTTCTGCACAGCAAAAGAAACTACCATCAGAGTGAACAGGCAGCCTACAAAATGGGAGAAAATTTTTGCAATCTACTCATCTGACAAAGGGCTAATAACCAGAATCTACAAAGAACTCAAACAAATTTACAAGAAAAAAACAACCCCATCAAAAAGTGGGCGAAGGATATGAACAGACACCTCTCAAAAGAAGAAATTTATGCAGCCAACAGACACATGAAAAAATGTTCATCATCCCTGGCCATCAGAGAAATGCAAATCAAAACCACAATGAGATACCATCTCACACCAGTTAGAATGGCAATCATTAAAAAGTCAGGAAACAACAGGTGCTGGAGAGGATGTGGAGAAATAGGAACACTTTAACACTGTTGGTGGGAATGTAAACTAGTTCAACCATTGTGGAAGACAGTGTGGCGATTCCTCAAGGATCTAGAACTAGAAATACCATTTGACCCAGCCACTCCATTACTGGGTATATACCTAAAGGATTATAAATCATGCTGCTATAAAGACACATGCACACGTATGTTTATTGCACCACTATTCACAATAGCAAAGACTTGGCACCAACCCAAATGTCCATCAATGATAGACTGGATTAAGAAAATGTGGCACATATACACCACGGAATACTATGCAGCCATAAAAAAGGATGAGTTCATATCCTTTGTAGGGACATGGATGAAGCTGGAAACCATCATTCTCAGCAAACGATCGCAAGGACAAAAAATCAAACACCACATGTTCTCACTCATAGGTGAGAATTGAACAATGAGAACACTTGGACACAGGAAGGGGAACATCACACTCTGGGGCCTGTTGTGGGGTGGGGGGAGGGGGTAAGGATAGCATCAGGAGATATACCTAATGTAAATGATGAGTTAATGGGTGCAGCACACCAACATGACACACGTATACATATGTAACAAACCTGCACGTTGTGCACATGTACCCTAGAACTTAAAGTTAAAAAAAAAAAAGGAAAGAGGACATGTATATCCCTCATTTTCCTCTATTAAATAATAATGATATTAATGATAAGCAATATTTCAATGCCTCTTTGCCTTATGCCAGTTTACAACAGATTGAAACTAATACATTAACATGGTGTTATAAAAATACTTATAAAAAGGAACTTATTCGCTAGGAAGTCCTTTCTAGGGCTGGCATTTAAGTTGAAAGGTGATAAGATTATCTTAACCGATATCTCTATCTAGGGGAATCTAGGGGAACTATATTTTGTATTTAAAAGACAGAGAGAAAAGTTACTGTAAAGACATTGGAGCAGGAAGAAAATATGGCATTATTGAGAGAATGTCAGCAGGCTTTTAAGACAAGAAAATATAGAGATAATGGAGAGGACCGTAAGGGGCATCAGACCATCTTTGGAGGTTTGATCCACCAGGACTTGCTAGGCTTTGTATAAATAAAGCACGGAGTTAGATGCAGTAAGTCCACACCTAACGTCTTTGATAGGTTCTTGAAAACTATGACTTTGAGTGAAGCAATGTCTAATGAAACCAATTTTACGATAGGCTAATTGATATAAGCAAGAGTTAAGTTCCTATGGCGTATTTCTGGTCACAAATACATCACCAAACTTCTAAATAAAGACCCAAAACATGTCTAATATTGAACATTGAAATAAATGTGAGCTATAAATACATTTGAGAAAGAATAATAAAAACAAGTAAGGTAATTACCCACGTGTTAGTTGCGGTTCAGGGTTGCAGGTGTCCAAGTCTATCTGGAGAGCTCAGAGGACAAGACGGGAATCCACGCTGCACAGGAGGCCATGGCAGAGCACATTGACACACGCACCCACACCCACTCAGACTGGGGTACCTTGGACACACTAACCAGCCTGACATGCACATCTTTAATATGTGAGAGGAAAAGAGAATACCTGAGGAGAAAACCCAGGCAGACACGGAAAGAATGTCAAGACTCCACACAATGGCCCCTGCTGGGAATAGATTTATTTATTCTGATCAATGTTATTATTTTTTCTTTTCTTTTCTTATTTTAGATCCAGGGGATACATGTGCAGGGTTGTTACAAGGTTATGTTGTGTCATGCTGAGGTTCAGGCTTCTATTGACCCCATCACCCAAATAGTGAAAATAGTACCCAATAAAAAGTTTTTCCACCCTTGTCCCCCTCTCTCCCTTCTTTTGAAATCTTCACTGTTTGTTGTTTCCATTTTCTTCCTGCTGCAAGGTCTTTGGTTGCTACTGTCTGCAAGTCCTGGTGGATCAAACCTCCAAAGACGGTCTGATGCCCTTTACAGTCCTCTCCATAATCTCTATATTTTCTTGTCTTAAAAACCCTCTGACATTCTCTGGATAATGCCATATCTTCTTCCTGCTCCAAGGTCTTTACAGTTACTTTTCTTTATTTTCCTGTGTAGCCAATGTTTAGCTCCCACTTATAAGTGAGTACACATGACATTTAGTTTTCCATTTCTGCATTAATTCGCTTAGGATAATGGCTGCAAATGAGGTAATTTTGTTCTTTTTTATGGCTGTGTGGTATTCTACAGCGTATATTACGACATTTTCTTTATCCAGTCTTCCACTGTTAGGCACATAGGTTGATTCCATGTCTTTGCTAATGTGAATACTGCTATAATAAACATACAAATTCAGGTGTCTTTTAGGTAGAATAATTGATTTTCCTTTGGGTATATATCTCATCTATGTTATAATGAAATGACAACATTTGAGAATCTGCTATATTGTTCTGAGTAAAAGATTATGTATAGATTTTAAGAAGGATATTTATATGATCTTATTTGGGACATAAAAGGAATATTCATGTTGATCTGTGTGGAACGGATGAACTGGAGGGGCGAAACAAGGAAGTTGAGAAACTGATTAGAGTGATGGTCACCAAAACAAGGTAGTGGAGAGAAGAAGATAGATACAAATATTCTTCCAAGGGTCCATTAATATAGATGCTGAAGTCGCCAATAATGAGGATAAGAGATATCATAGAAAGGCTGTGAACCAGTGACAAATATTTCTAATGAAGAATGGCAGCTATTCTACCTCCTGTTCCAAAATTATATTGTGTCAGAGAGCTAAATATCTTCTACTTTTGTGTCTCTTGGGAAATAGCATCATTATGGAATAGCCATATTTTGGTTAAAGAAAAGTGCTTGGAGAATGTATACAAATAATATGAGGATCTTAGACTCTTGTAATCCCTAGGGGGGAAGCCTGAGGATACAGTTTTAAGTTTGTATAAAGTTAAAATTTGGCAAATTTTATCAGATTAATGGTACTGAGTCATATGTGGATAAAAATTCATTATCAAGAAGACGTATACTAAGTGTTCCTTAAAATAAACATGACTACAAGCCCGAGTAAATAGATCCTGGTGTAGATGTAGAGTGTAGGGTTCCTCAAGAGCCCCTGAATAACACACTAAAAATTGCATGTCTGGTTCATGTAGGAATCATTTTGGAAAGAACTATGGAGGGCCTTGAAAGCTCATATAAAAAACTTAATTTAATCCTATGGATTGCATTAGATACACGGATATGAAGAAGACTTTGTCTCTAAAATAGAATTCATCTCCCAGACAACTCTTAGTTACCTGTTAACTTTAAGAAGAATATTACCTGTTTAATTTTCAGCTTATCTCTAAAATTGGTACAATAACTCATTTCTTGTCCACTTGACACTATTTCTTAGAGGAAAACAAATAAAATTATAAGTGCTTAGAAATCATGTCATTATTAAAATATGTAGCTATTTATTTATTGTTATCTTCTTCCCTATTTTCATAAATTTCTGGATGTTCAAACACAGGACTTCTGTTTACAATGTTTTCTTCACTGATTGCTTTTTCGATGTACACAGTTGTGCAATTATGACCTAGCTGTAAATTTTAGAAGCAACTGAGAGAGAGGGAGAGAGATGAAGACAGAGACAGATAGAGAAGAGGGAGACAAGAGAGAGGTTGAGTCAGGGGAGAAGCATGGGTAGAAGAGTTATATGTTAGTATTGTTTGTAACTATGGTGCCACTTGGGAGTTGTTGATGACTATGTTTCAGGGGGATAAAAGAAAATCTGTTCCAGAAAAAGAGAAAATAAGGAAGCAGACACACTGAAAGAGGCAAAGATAAAGTGGAAATCATCTATTCACAGTTAAGTCTCTAATCTATGTTTTTGTTCCTGAGACACAGCTCCATTGCTAGCCTTAAGTTTTGTGAGATATTCTAATAATATTCCATGAAATTTCCCTTTTTTCCATAAAAGTTGTTCAAAGTGAGCATCTGTATGTTGGAATTTTTAAAAAATCCTAATATCATATTGAAATTACATTGCACTTAGAATGAATCATATTGCACTTTGAATGAAATTCAAAGCCTTTTCTACAGCCTGAAATTCCAACACGATCTGGCCCTGCCTTCCCTTTTTTACATCATCTTTTGCCAGTCTCCTCTGTATGTTCTAGGGCTGGAAAGATCATCTCTGTTTTTGCCCTAGCATCTCGACCCTACTTTTTGCATGTTGTCTACAATATGCTGCTTCCATTCGTTTTCCTGGCTGTCTCCCTAGATAAATTAACTAGCATGTCAACAGCTTAGAGGGCCTTTCTTTGGTCAAAGAAAGTACCCTTCACCTATCACTTTCCATCATATTACTCTGTACTTAGTAAAATTAGAATTTAAGGTTCATGACACCAGAGACATTTTACGTTTTATTTATTACTGTATCCATGTGACCTACAGTACAGAATAGACCTTAGTAAGCATCAAATATTTATTCAATGAATAAGTGACAAAAACTTAATTTATTAGAAATTTTTATAGATATTTTCGCAAGGAAATTACATGATCATGGTTATTTTAGGAAGTTACAAAAGCTGTAGTGTTCAGAATATATTACAGGATACAGAAATTGTGTTTGGACTCATTAAACATTATTGCAATAATCAGAGCTTCAAGAGTTGACAGTCCTATATGGTGTCAACCTCTAAAGCATGAAAGAAAATATAGAAGGGATACATTTCCAAGAAAGGCATGACGGACCATGAAAGGCACTAATTTTGTCTGTGTAGTCTCTTTTAAAAAACTAATTCTTAAGTTTTTACTAGTGGATGAGAATTTGTAGTTTTTAAACATATTCTTTTCTTTATATGCTCTTTTTAAGAAAGAGCTTATATGCTTTTGGTATCAGGTGAAGAAAAGATAAGGAAAGCATTTTATGTGTGCATTAATGATATAAAACAAAGGCACTCTATGTCTTGTTCTTACAGAAAACCTATAGAGTTAAAACAAAATTTCAAGTCTGCATGCCTTTGCTTTGAACTGTGCAGACATCAGATGTGCACTGCATTTTAGAAGAGTCTGTTTTTTATTGAAGAGGTAAATCAGATAGATAGTTTATATGTAGGCATGAAACTAAAATGTAGAGGATGTAAAGGTTATTCAAATTAAAAGGTTCAAGGAATTACAAAGCTCATTTGTAGTACAGGTGAACAGTGAAAACACGAAAGTCCATAAACAAAGTTAGAAAGGGGAACTGAAAAAAAAAAGGTTTTTAAGAGAGGTTTTGGAGTGTCCTGATGGTTGGTAAATAGGGTCACTCAAGAAAGAGTGGCATAAGTGACTACACTGGAAAGCAAAATAGCAAAGTTCAGTTAGATAATTATTACTAACCAGAAATTTGTGGTAGCCAACCACTCCTCTTTTTTTTTTTTTTTTTGTAAAGAAATGTTGTGTCCTATGGAGAGTGATAATGAGCATGGAATCCTTGGAAATTATCGAGTATCTGTTTGGTCAAAGAAATAAACAAAATGATCCAAAAAAGAAGTGGAGGATCCAGAAGACTCAATATGTCAGAAGTCCTAGAGAACATGACGTCAGGGTGCCCTGTCAAACAGCATAGGGGGCATTTTTCTCAGCCTAAGTCCAGGCCCTGCTTGTGTCCAATATGATTCTAGTAATGCTAGAATCATAGCATTAAAATAATATTCCTAATTTTAGGAACCATCTAGGAACAAGATGACTGAAGGGATGTACACCCACTGCGCTATTTTCAATAATGTCATCCTCTACCCCCTGGCTATTAGGAGTAACATCATAGAGGGGTGTACACTTTCTGCGATATTGGGAGTAATATCCTCTCCCCCACGGATATCGGGAACAGTTATATTAATTATTAATATTAATAGATATAATAATTAATAGTAATCATAGATATTAATAATTACAGTAGAGACAGTAAAACAGTACGGATGAAAAATATTAATGTTACTATTAATAATTAATAGCAATATCACTATTAATAATAAAATAATGATATCAGTAATTAATGTTACTTCAATCAATCATAAGTGATGTTGGTAATAAAAAAATAATTAATATTAAGATTAATAACTAATATTAAAAGTGACATTAATATTAATAATTAATTTTAATCATGCATAATCATATCTTGAAAATAATCATTAATGATTAATAACGTTATGCTATTAATATTACCATTGATTATTACTAAGACTGATGTTTAATAATTCATAATATTATTACTGCTAATACTGCAGGGGGTGTACACCTACCTGTGATATTGTTCCTAATATCCAGGGATCGAGAGCATTGTAATAGTTTTCATATCGCAGTAGGTGTACACTCACCCTGTGACACCGATCATAATACCCAGCGGGTAGAGTATGACATGACTGCCAACATAGCAATCAAGGTACAGCCACCCGGTGATATTGCTCCTAATATACACGGAAGAAGCGTATGATACTACTCCCAATATCGCAGGGAGTGTACACCTCTTCTGTGATATTGTTCCTAGTATCCCGAGGGGGAGAGGATGATAATAATTCCAGCATCGCAGGCTGTGTTCACCCAGCCTGTGAAATTGTTATTAATATCCTGAAAGGGAGAGGATGATATTACTCCCCATAATAGATAGATATGACTTCCCATAATAGAGCAGGAGGTGTACACCCACCCTGTGATATTCTTCCTAATATTCAGAGGCCGAGAGGTTGATAGTACTCCCAATATTGCAGGAAGTGTACACCCCCGTGTGAGATGGTCCTTAATAATATTCCAAGGCAGAGGGGGTGATATGACTACATATGTGGCAGAAAGTGGACACCCCCCATGGATATTGTTCACATGATCCTGGAGGGAAGAGCATGATATTACTTTCAATATCGCAGAAGGTGGACACGCCCCCACTGATATTGTCTCTAATTGCAACGTGGGAGAGGAGGATATGACACGCGATATCCCAGGGAGTAGAAACACCCCTGTGACACTGTTCTTAATATTCAGGGAGGAAGAGGATGATATTACTCCCAATACAGACGGGAGTACACCCGTCTGTGAAACAGTTCATAATCTCCAGAGGGGGAGATGATCTTACTCACAATATGGTAAACAGGCTGAGAGTCCACCGCGGATCCTAAAAACCAGAGGGGGAGAGGGTCTGGCTCTTACTCCCCGCATCACGGGGGGTGCCTCACCCCCCTGCTATGTGGATCTTCATATCCAGGGGGGAAGAGGGGCTGTCTCTTACTCCCCGCATCGCGGGGGGTGCCTCACACTCCTGCGATGTGGATCGTCATATCCAGGGGGCGAGAGGGGGGTGACATGACTCCCCGCGTCGCGGGGGGCGCCTATCGCCCTGCGTTGTGGATTGTCATATCCTGGGGGGAGAGGAGGGTGATATTACTCCCCGCATGGGGCGGGGGCGCCCGCCCCCCTGAGATGTGGATCGTAATATCCAGGGGGGAGGTGGGGGGTGTTATGACTCCCCGCATCGCTTGGGTCGCCCGCCCCCCTGCGATGTGGACCGTAATATCCAGGGGGCGAGAGGCGGGTGATATTACTCCCCTATTTTTCCTAGGATCCTTTCTATACTGCCACCCTCGGTTCACACCCTGGGACATTACCTTCCATATTCTAGCAAGATGCGGCTGCTAAAGTAGCAGGGGTTGTACACCCTTCAATATTATTCGCAATTTTGTAGGGGAATGTTAAACCTGATGTCACAGGATTCTGTACGCTGTGATGTTTTTCCCAATAGCCTAGCTTTACCTTCATAATAATGTCACATTGTGTGTACACCCTGTGGTGTTATTCTCCTAAGGGGAGGTTGCTTTTATTGTCACACGGGGTATGTTCCTTTTGATATTATTCATAATGTCCTAGAGGGATGTCACTCCTTATGTCACAGGGTTTGTACACCTTGTCAAATTACTCGTGTTATCCTCATAAGATGTCACTCCTCCTATCACAGAGGGTGTACACTCTGTGATATTGTCGTCATATTCTAGGGAAATGTTACTTTTAATGTCACAGAGGGTGCACCCTTGTGAAATTATTCGTTATAATTTTGTGGGGTGTTACCCCTAATGTCACACGGCGTGTACACACAGTGATGTTACATGCAATATGCTATGGAAATGTTACTCGTAATTCACAGGTCCTGTACACCCTTTAATATTCTTCGTAATCTTCTAGGAAAACATTACTGCTAATGTCACAGGGCATGTAGACCCTGTGATAAAATTCCTAATATCCTAGCGGGAGTTCACTACTAATTTCACAATGCGTGTACACCCTTTGATATTATTCTTATTGTCCTGAAGAGATGTTACTACTGATGTCCCAATGCAGGTGCATTCTCTGATCTTATTCGTTATATCCTCGGGGGATGTTACTTCTAATGTCACACGGGGTGTCCTCCCTGTGTTCTATTTCGTAATATCCTAGGGCAATTTTACTTTTAATGACACAGGGGGTGTACACATTGTGATGTTATTCATGATATTCCAGAGAGATATTACTCCTAATGTCACAGGGCTGTACACCCTGTGATAGTATTCATAATTTCCCAGGGGTCTATACTCCTATTGGCACAGACGATAACACCCTGTGACATTATTTGTAATATTCTAGGGAGATGATACTCCTCATGTCACAGGGGGTGTACACCCCATGTTATTATTCTTACTATTCTAGGGGGATGTTACTCCTAATGTCACAGGGATGTACACCCTGTGATATTATTCATAGTGTACCAGAGGGATATTAGCACTAATGTCACGATGTGTGTACACCCTGTGATATTATTTGTCATATCCTAATGTCACAGGAGGTGTGTTCCATGTGATATTCTTCCTAACATCCTAGACGGATATTGCTCCTAATGTCACAGGGTGTGTACACCTTGTCACATCATTCACGATATCCTAAAACTATGTTAGGGGTGTTCACCCTGTGATATTTTTCATCATAGTTTTGTGGGATGTTACTCCTAAAGTCACACAGGGTGTACACAGAGTCACACACTGATATGAGTTGTAATATTCTATAGACATGCTACTCGTAAATCACAGGGGCTGTAACTCCTGTGATATTATTCCTAATATTCTAGGGGAATGTTGCTACTATTGTCACGGGTATGTACACCCTGTGATATGACTCGTCATATCCCAGCAGGATGTTACTACTAATGTCACAATGCCTGTACGCCCTGTGATATTATTTGTAATATCCTTAAGAGATGTTACTACTAAGGTCACAATGCATGGACACCCTCTGATATTATTCGTTATATCCTCGGGGGATGTTACTCTTAATGTCACACGGGGTGTACTCCCTGTCATATTATTCGTAATATCCAAGGGGGATGTTATTTTTAATGTCACCGGGGGTGACATTATGCATTAAAAATGGGTATTCAACGCCTGTGATACTATTCCTAATATCCTAGGGGCATGCTCTTCCGAATGTCACATGGAGTGTACACCATGTGTGTACACCTGCTGTGATATTATTCGTAATATCCTAGGGGAATGTTACTCCTGATGACACAGGCAGTGTACACCATGTGTGTACCCCTCCTGTGTCATTATTCATAATATCCAAAGGGGATGTTTCTCTTAATGTCACAAAGAGTGTACAAAACATCACAGAAGGTGTACACGTTGTGACATTATCTGTAATACCCTGGAAGGATGTTACTCCTAATATGTCACAGGGGTGTACACGCTTTGATGTTATTTATAATCTCATAGAGAGATATTACTTCAAATATCACAGTGGATGTATGCACATAGTGTATACCCTGTGATAGTATTCATAATATCCTAGGGAGATACAACTCCTGGTATCACAGTGCGTGTACCCCGTGTGTGTACACCCTTGATATTAGTCGTAATATGCAGGGTAAATATTACTCCTCATATCACACAGTGTGCACACCCTGTGATATTTTTCATCATACTTTAGGGAGATATTCCTTCTAATATCACAGTGGGTGTACCCCATGTGTGTATACTCTGTGACAGTATATTCTATATCCTAGGGAGGTATTACTCTAATATCACAGTGGGTGTTCACCCTGTGATATCATTCTTATTTGACCTTGCTGCCTTTTTTAACCCACACTACAAAAGGAATGGAACAGATAAGAAGATATCAAGATTAGACCGTGCTGCTGTGCGGCCGCCGCAGGACACTTTTAATATCCCTGTTTCTCAGGCTGTAGATGAAGGGGTTCAGCATGGGGGTGACCACCGTGTACATCACTGAGGCCACTGCAGCCTTTCTCGGGGAAGATGACACATCTGAACTGAGGTACCCTCCAACGCCTGTTCCATAAAATCAGCAAACCACTGACAGGTGAGACACACAGGTGGAGAAGGCCTTATACTTCCCACCAGATGATGAAACCCTCAGAATGGAGAAAACGATTTTATAGTAAGAGAAAAGGGTCCCCAAGATGGGAAGAAAACCAAATATGGCAGCAGGGAAATACAGGATTATGTTATTGGTGAAGGTGTCACAACATGCAAGATGGGGGAGTTGAGAAGGGTCACAGAAGAAATTAGGAATTTCCACATCCTTGAAGCAGGTCATTTGTAAGGCAATCAAGTTGCGCAGCTGGACGTCTAAAAGACTGAGAGAAAAAAAAAAAGACAACAAAACTAGAAAGCCACAGAAACACGGGTTCATGATGGCTGAATGATATAGAGGGTGACAGATGGCTACAAACCGGTCATAGGCCATCACACTCAGGAACATGTCTCTCTTCCATGCCTCCAAAAATGGCAAAGAGAGACATCTGAGTCAGGCAGCCTGCATAGGAGATGACTCTGCTGTGAGACTGGATGTCCACAGTCATCTTGGGGACCGTGGTGGAGGTGAAACCGATGTCAGGCAAGGACAGGTTGGAGAAGAAGATGTACATGGGGGTGTGGAGGTGGGAGTCAGGGCTGACGGCCAGGATGATGAGCAGGTTCCCCAGCACCGTGACCAGGCACATGGACAGGAACAGCCCAGCGAGGACCGGCTGTCATTCTGGATCCTCTGAGGTTCTAGGAGGAGGAATATAGAGACATCTGTTAGATTCTGTGGGTCTGTAGAGATTGGACACCTTTTGCCTAGAAAAGAGGGTTGAGAAATCAGAAACAAGTAAACCAACACCCAGCATCGTGTCTGCATTTTGGATAGAAGCAATTCACAAGTAATGTTTTCAGATTTCAGAGCAATCCACACTCAGCAATATTTTGCAGTTCTGACAAACTCAATTGTCTTCTAATGCTTTCATCATTGATTTCTGTGTTCTTCACTTCTTGCTGTACACACCTGCCTCAGAGACACTAGATTCAAGAATGTTCCAAGAACCAGATCATCATATATAAGAAATTCCTAACTGCTAGAAAAGACAGCCTATCTTTACCAAAGGAAACTATGTAATAAAACCATTCTCTTCACTATAAGAAAAAGGTTATCCTAGTTAAAGGAAATTAAGAACTCAACTATTTTATTTTATTCGAATAGATTGATACAAATTCCCTTGATTTAGAACATCTGTAAACACTGTATAACTGCTGAGACCATGCCATCTGGAAATGAAATTAAAGTTGATAGTTCATAAGCAGAAAATAGTTCCACAGGCCAGTTAGGTCCTAGTGATTTCCTCATTAAGTTTTCTGACTTTTCTCCTTCAAGAGAGTAATTGCTTACTCAAATCGGTGGGTCTTGTTTTAAAATTCATGGAAGCTATAACTCCTGTCCTTAGCTTCGGTGGACTTAGAATTTTCATCAGAAAGTTTGGCCAGACGCGGTGGCTCACGCCTGTGATCCCAGCACTTTGGGAGGCCGAGGAGGGCGGATCACGAGGTCAGGAGATCAAGACCATCCCGGCCAACATGGTGAAACCCCGCCTCTACTGAAACTACAAAAACTTCTCCCAGTCTGGCGGCGCGCGCCTGTAGTCCCAGCTACTCGGGAGGCAGAGGCAGGAGAATGGCTTGAACCTGGGAGGCAGAGGCTACAGTGAGCCGAGATCACACCACTGCACTCCAGCCTGGGCAACAAGAGCAAAACTCCGTCTCAAAAAACAAAAAACTAAAAACACATGCTCTGTCACACTGACGTCACACTGATGACAGCCAATTTTTGTGAACCAAGGAAGTGTCAATTCAATAATTCACAGAGATGTTTACTTTTGCTATCTCCTATGTGCCAAGCAAGATACAGGCTCTGGGGAATCAGAAACAAAAGAGACTCACTTGTTCCTCTCACAATACTCAGTACTTACTGAGATAAGGACAAAAGAAAATGTCCTGTCTGGAATGCAGGGAAACCAGAACTTCAGGTCAGGGGATATTTACGTTGAACCGTATGGAATTTAAGCTGAAAATATTAACGAATGTATCTAAAATTCACTTTGCCTTGACTTTACGCATCCATCACACAGAGATCACGCAGCGGGCACCCACGATCGGTTTAATCATCGCTCGCTTCCATTGGATCAACTAGAAATCAACTCAGATGAGAGTGCTGAGTCTCAGAGGATGGACGTCTCACCCCTTGCCATACAGAGAAGTAGAAAGGGTGGTATTGAAAATTAATGGCCAGACTCTAAGTCCCGGGCGCTATACTTGATGGTCCCCAACCCTCAAAATGTTGTGCGTTCTTTTTTGTTTTTGTTTTTGCTTTTTTTTTTTTTTTTTTTCAGACGGAGTCTCGTTCTGTTGCCCAGGCTGGAGTGCAGTGGAGTCATCTTGGCTCACTGCAACCTCCGCGTCCCAGGTTCAAGCTATTCTCTTGCCTCAGCCTGCCGAGTAGCTGAGATTACAGGAGCCCGCCACCACGCCCGGCTCATTTTTTTCTCTTTTTTAGGAGAGACGGGGTTTCACCATATTGGCCCGGCTGGTCTCGAACACCTGACCTTGTGATTCGCCTGCCTCAGCCTCCCAAAGTGCTGGGATTACAGGCGTGAGCCATCGCGCCCAGCTTCCAAAAGTTTTCAACAGAGCTCAGAGGTCTTAACCACAGGCACATCTGAGGAGCATTTTTGAAATGGTTTCCAGCTTCCTCAATAGGAACGGAAGCCAAACCCCGAATTTATGACTCCTTTGAGGAAGTTGAGAGCTGTAAGGAAAGCCAGGAACAGGGGCAAGGGAGAGATGCATCCCGAATGATCCTGTGCCAATTCTTTCTGGAATCTTTGATGTGATCTCAGCTGCCCTTTCCATACTTGACACAGTGATTGTGGCACCCACTGGTCTAGCTGTGGTCTACAAGGAACCCCCAAAGGGAAGGGCACAGTGAGCAGGGGCATTGTCCTGAGTGACAAGGATTGGAGGGGGCAGGGTGGATGCAGGGAGAGGACTGGCCAGATGCCATGTGTCTGGCCTTAGACTGCCTGGTTCAAATTGGGCTTCACCCTTTTTGACTTCATGATCTGGTACAAGTTATATGAAAATGTGTTGCTCCTTTTCTAGTCTGTAAAATAATCCTGAAATGTGCACTAATAACTGGGAGACTACGCAGATGAAATGAAACAAGCTGCAGAGAGCACAGAGCTCAGAGCCTGGCCTTTAGGAAGCCCTCAGTAAGGGTTCATGATGTCGTGGTGTCTGTCACCATCCTCTTTATCCTCATCATCACCTTCATCATCTTTTTATTGTTCTGAGGGAATAGTTTAGAGGGGCTCATTCCCTGCTATCGTGGGTGAGACGTCTATGAAAAGGACAACCAGTGGGGGAGGGAAGCAAAATTTTGAAGAAGATTCCTGAGAGAGACCCCCCACCACAACCAAGAACAGAAACTCCACAGTCTGCTGAGCTGACAGTTAGCACATTGGTCTCCTCCCATCTGCCCACGGCACTCTCCTGTTTGTCCTGAGGATGAGGAAACAAACAAGGCTCCCGACCGTCCCTCAGCACTCACTGCACTGCCCTTCCCCTCTGCTGGGCCATGACCACGGAGAACAGGTCCACTGTCCTCCCTGCGTGGTGCACATTGGAGGCTCAGACTCCATCCTCAAGGCTGGCCAGAAGACAGGGTGAGACATGAGCCTCCTGATACAGGTGACGGTTGTGGAGCCCACAGGACTGCAACCTCACACTGCAGGGCTGGAGGCACAGACTGAGTATTTACTATTCTATGGCCTGGGGGGCTAAAGGCACAGAGCTCCTCATTAGCCAGTCACCCAAGTTCCCCAAGCTCTAAGGATTTCCTCATCATCATGCAGGAAGAAGAAAAGTGAGTGTCCATAGAAGCTTTGGGGCTCTTCCTCTAATCAGGAGAGAGCTTGTGTGTATTATTCGCTTCTTTCTTTTCTTTCACAAGATCCAAGTGCTTTAATTTTCACCTTTTATTATGGGAAAGTATACCACGTATAAATGTTATAAATTATAAATATAGATTATTTCATATAGAATGGCCAGTATAAACATTTACAATTTCCACTATTTTTCAGTTTACAGTTTAATCACATTAGGTACATTCACATTGTTTAGCAACCATCACCGCCATCATCTCCAGAACAGTTTTATCCTTGAAAATGGAAATTGCACCCATTAACCAACCTCTCCATTCCTCTCTCTCTCGCCCACCCCTGGGGGCCACCATTCTATTTTGTAACTCTATAAGTTTAACTACTCTAGACACGTGATATAAGTGGAATCACATGGTGTATAATTTTTTTGGTTTGTTTGTTTTGGAGACAGAGTCTTTCTCTGTCGCCCAGGCTGGAGTACAGTGGCGTGGTCTCGGCTGACCTTAACTTCCACATGGTGGGTTCAAGCGATTCTTGTGTCTCAGTATCCCGAGTAGCTGGGATTACAGGCGTGTGCCACCACGCCCAGCTAATTTTTGTATTTTTAATAGAGATGAGCTTTCACCATATTGGCCAGGCTGGTCTCGAACTCCTGACCTTAAGTAATCCACCTGCCTCAGCCTCCCAAAGTGCTGGGGTTACAGGTGCGAGCCACTGAGCCTGGTCGTGTTTATCCTTTTGGGATTTATTTATTTCACTGACGAGAATGTCTTCAAGGTTCATCTGTGTTGCAGCCTGTGTCAGAAGTGCCTGTCTGGTTGTTTGGGTGTGTTTTTTTTTGTTTTTTTTTTTTTTGTTTTGGTTTTGTTTTGTATTTACATGGAGTCTCACTCTGTCGCACAGGCTGGAGTGCAGTGGCACAATCTGGGCTCACTGCAACCTCCGTCTCCCGGGTTCCAGCGATTCTTGTGCCTCAGCCTCCCGAGTAGCTGGGACTATAGGCACACACCACCACGCTCCTCTAATGTTTTGCATTTTCAGTAGAGACAGGGTTTCACCAAGATGGCCAGGCTGGTCTTGAATTCCTGGCCTCAGGCGATCCACCCACCTGGGTCTTCCAAGATGCTGGGATTACAGGCGTGAGCCACCGCACCGGCCAGAAGTGCCTGCCTTTTTAAGGCTGAATAGTCTTCCATCGCAAGAATGAACTGCAGTGTGCCTTGTAATTCATCTGTCCACGAACCCTTGGGCTGCTTCCACATTTTGGCTGTTGTGAGTAATGCTGCTATGAATTTGGGTGTACAAATCTCTCTTCCACTCCTGGCTTCTAATTCTTTTTGGCAGGTACCCACAGTGCAACTGCGGGAACATCTGATAATCCTGTTTCTACTTTTTCCAGTACACGCCATAGTAGTTTCCCTGTTCCTTCATGGTTTTACATTCCCTCCAATCAGATTCCAGCATTCCTACTTCCCTCTAGTTTCACCAATGCTTCTTTGTTTATCATATCCATCCAAATGTGTGGTATCACATTCTTGGTTTGATTTGCGCTTCCCTATGATTAGTGATTTTGAACATCATTTTAGATGCTTATTGGCCATTGCTGTGTCTTCTTTAGGGACACGTCTACTCGAGTCTTCTGACCGTTGTTCATGGGATGCTTTGGGTTTCTTGTTGTTCAGTTCTAGCTGTTCTTTGTATATGACGCATATCAGCCTCTTTTCAGAGATATGATTTTTGAATATTTTTCCTAATCCATGGGTTATCTTTTCACTCAGTTCACAGTGTTTGCTGATGCACAAAAGTGTCTGTCATTTAGATGTCATCCAAGGAATCTAATTTTCTTTTGTTGCCTATGCTTTTGGTGTCATATCCCAGAAAGCATTGCCCAATCTGATGTCATGAAAGTGTGGCCAATGTTTTCTTTGAGGCATATTATACTTTCAGCACTCGGGGTTAGGTCTTTGATCCAGTTTGTGTTCATTTTTGCACCTGGTGTGACATAGAGTCCACCTTCATTCTTCTGCATGTGGAAATCAAGTTTCTCCAACACCATTTCTTGAAAAGGCTGCTTTTCCACCAATGGACTTTCTTAGCACTCATGTTAAAAATCATTTGAACACATAGATGAGAAGTTATTTCTGGGCTCAAAAACAAACAAACAAACAACAACAGACAACAGATAAGGATGCAGCATGGGCCAGGCGCGGTTGCTCACGCCTGTAATCCAAGCACTTTGGGAGGCCGAGGAGGGCGGATCACCTGAGGTCAGGAGTTCAAGACCAGCCTGACAGATAGGAAGAAACCCCCCATCTCTACTACAAATACAACATTAGCTGGGCGTGCTGGGGCATGCCTGTAATCCCAGCTGCTCGGGAGATGGAGGCAGGAGAAAAGCTTGAACCCAGGAGGCAGAGGTTGCAGTGAGCCAAGATTGCACCATTACACTCCAGCCTGGGCAAACAAGAGCAAAACTCTGTCTCAAAACAAAAAACCAAAAACGAAAAATCCAGCATGATTTCGAGAGCAGAAAGAGAATAGCTGAAAAACCAGCATAATGAGAAAGTTAGGAAGCTTCTTACCAAAGCATCTGGAAATATGCCAGAAATTCTTGTGAACTAAAATTTTCATACTGTACTATCAAACACTAGAACTCACTTATTCCATCTTTCTGTATTTTGGGACCCCATTATCCACTTCTCTTCATTCCCCATCCCACCCGTTTTCTTCCTAGCGTCTGCTAACCACCTTTATACTTTCCACCTTCCTGAGATTCCTTTTGTGTGTAGGTGTGTGATGGAGTCTCTTTCTGTTGCCCAGGTTGGAGTATACAGGCACAATCCGGGCTCACTGCAACCTCCGCCTCCCGAGTTCAAGTGCTTCTTGGGCCTCAGCCCTCCGAGTAGCTGAGACTACAGGCATGGGTCACCACGCCCGGCTAATTGTTTGTGTTTTCAGTAGAGTCGGGGTTTCACCATGTTGGCCAGGTGGGTCTCGAACTCCTGGCCTCAAGTGATCCGTGTGACTCGGCCTCCCACAGTGCTGGGATTACAGGCCTGAGCCACCACACCTGGCCAAGATTTTCTTTTTTGTTCCTACATAGAAGTGAGGATATGAAATATTTGTCACTCTCTGCCTGGCTTATTTCACTTAATATACAGACCTGCAATCTCATCCATTTTGTCTGCAGTGGAGAGGATTTTGTTTATTCCTTTTTAGGCTGAATAATGCTTCATTGGGTGTGTATACCACAGTTTCTCAATTGAAACAAATTTCTAAAGAGCAAATATTTTTAACGTGTCTCGGAATGTGAAACTTCAGGGATACTGTGCCCGTTTTATTCTTTTCTATTTCCCATCTTATGTATATGCAAGTGTATCACAAAGCAGCAATCAAAGTGTGTATAAATCTATAATTTCAACAAATGTAAAATGAAAATGCTAAGTGGTGGCTGGGCGTGGTCGCTCACACCTGTAACACGCCAGAACGTTGGGAGGCGGAACCGGGCGGATCACCTGAGGTCGGGAGTTCAAGACCAGCCTGACCAATATGGAGAACCACTGTCTGTACTAAAAACACTGAAAAAAAAAATTAGCCAGGCATGGTAGTGCATGCCTGTAATCCCAGCTACTTGGAAGGCTGAGACAGGAGAATCGCTTGAATTCAGGAGGCAGAGGTTGCAGTGAGCCGAGATCGTGCACTCCAGCCTGGGCAACAAGAGTGAAACTCTGCCTCAAAAAGAAAAAAAAAAGAAAAAGAAAAAAATAGAAAATGCTAAATGGTAAGAAACAACAGCATAATAGACATTTGTATGGTGTTGATGGACAATGCATTTGAAGATAATATTTGAAGAAATCATATTACAATTAACTTCTGTTCTTACTCATTGGAGCTTGATGCCTTAAAAACTTCGTCATTGCAACCACCTCTGATGCTTTAAAAAAAAAAAAAAAAATCCACATACTCACACAGGTGCCGGGAAATCAGAATCTCAGGTAATGAGACCCAGGCCTCATCATTTTTAAGCTCCCCAGGTGATTTGACTCAAAGCCAAGATTGAGGACTGGTCACATGGATCTCTACACATAACCTGCCTAAATAGATTCTCTAGAAGCAGTTTATAAAGAAATTACATGTGAACTCTGGAAGAGGATATGAATTAGATGTACAGCATGTCCTCACTTAACATCTTTGAAAGTCTCTTGAAAACTTCACCTTGAAGCAAAATTAGGTATAGTGAAACCACTTATTCCTCACCAACATTATAACTACACAACTTTGAATACACCAATGGTGTTGGAGGACCTGCTGTACATTGTTTCCATAAAGTCAACTTTCAGGGAATTCCAAAATGAAGTGAGGACTTCACGTATATAAAAAGATGGTTGTGATTCCACCTGGATGACAGGGTTATTGCTCAGAAACTAAAGGAGGCCGCCTAGGTATAGAGGATTCAGTCATGAGGTTTCTGCTAAACAAAGGATCCCAGAATACTCACCCATTCCAGTTAAAGGCATAACGAAGAAAACAATATTCACATAGGAAATGCGGAAAGGAATAAAAGCCATCAAGCCACAAAAATAATGTGACTAAGGAGCAGGATTTGCAGATGCAGGGATTTAATGTGGTTGCCCTTTCTTACCCACACAAGAAAAAGGATGGAACAGATCATGAGATTCGACTGTTCTGCTGCGCAGCCTCCAGAGGGCGCTTTGAATGTCTCTGTTTCTCAGGCTATAGATGAAAGGGTTCAGCATGGGGGTGACCACAGCGTACATCACTGACGCCACCACACCACTCCTGGGGGGTGGTGACACAGCTGAAGTCAGGTACACGCCAATGCCTGTTCCATAAAATAAGCAAACAACTGCCAGGTGAGAGCCACAGGTGGAGAAGGCTTTATACTTCCCATCTGACGATGAAATCCTTAGAATAGAGGGGACAATTTTATAGTAAGACAAAAGGATCCTTGAAATGGGAAGAAAACCAAACATAGTACTATCGAAATATAAGAATATGCTATTGATGACGCTGTCAGAACAGGCAAGGTTGAGAAGCTGAGATGGCTCACAGACAAAATTAGAGATTTCCACATTCTTGAAGAAGGTGAATTGTAACACAATCTAACTGTGCAGCTGGGAATCCAACAGGCTAAGGAAAAAGGACACCAAAACTAAGAAGACAGAGAGGTGAGGATTCACGATGACTGGGTAGTGCAGAGGGCGACAGATGGCTACAAAGCAGTCATAGGCCATCGCAGTCAGGAGCATGTCTTCTATACATGCAAAAAGGACCAAGAAAGACATCCGTGTCAGGCAGCCCGCATAAGAGATGACTCTGCTATGAGACTGCATGTCCACAATCATCTTGGGAACCATGGCCGAGGTGAAACCGATGTCAGCCCAGCACAGGTTGGAGAGGAAGAAGTACATGGGGGTGTGGAGGTGGGAGTCAGAGCTGACAGCCAGGATGATGAGCAGGTTCCTCAGCACCATGACCAGATACATGGACCGGGACAA
The DNA here is from genome assembly GCF_000001405.40 of Homo sapiens. Classification (NCBI taxonomy): domain Eukaryota; kingdom Metazoa; phylum Chordata; class Mammalia; order Primates; family Hominidae; genus Homo; species Homo sapiens. The sequence continues at coordinate 67,902,342 of NC_000013.11, read as the reverse complement.
CCCAGCGAGGACGGGCTGCAGTTCTGGATCCTCTGAGAGTCCCAGGAGGAGGAATTCTCAGACACCTGTGAGATTCCATGGCTCTGTGTGACTTGGACACCTAGGGAAGAAAAGAGGATTTGAAAAATAAAAGATAAAAACCAGCCCTTAATGCTGTGTGTATATTTTGTGAATACACACACAAAATAATGCTGTGTGTATATTTTGTGAATACACACACAAAATAATGCTGTGTGTATATTTTGTTCCTAGATGGTTCCTTAAAGTAATGGCGGCTAGATGAGGTGGCTCAAGCCTGTAATCCTAGCACTTTGGGGGGCCGAGGCATTTGGATCACGAGGTCAGGAGTTTGATACTAGCCTGGCCAACATGGTGAAACCCTGTCTCTATTAAAATACAAAAATTAGCCGGGTGTGGTGGTGGGTGCGTGTAATCCTAGCTACTCAAGGGGCTGAGGTAGGAGAATCACTTGAATCCAGGAGGTGGAGGTTGTGGTGAGCCAACATCAAGCCACTGTACTCCAGCCTGGGCAAGAGAGTGAGACTCTGTCTCAGAAAAAAAAAAAAAAAAAAAAAAAAAAAGGTAATGGCAAAATTGCAATAACTTTTGCACCAAACTAATACAAACTGGTGTTATACAAACTTTTCATTCCTAAAATAAATCCCATTTGATAATTGTGTATAAGCCTTTTTATATTTTGCTGGATCCAATTTGCTGGGATTTTTTTTTACAATTTTTTTCATCCTTTTTTTATTATTATACTTCAAGTTCTGAGATACATGTGCAGAACGTGTCGGTTTGTTACATAGGTATACACGTGCCATGTTGGTCTGCTGCACTCATCAACCCATCATCTACATTAAGTATTTCCCTTAATGCTATCCCTCCTCTAGCTCCCCACCCCCCGACAGGCCCTGGTGTGTGATGTTGCCCTCCCGGTGTTCATGTGTTCTCATTGTTCAACTGTCACTTATGAGTGAGAACATGCAGTGTTTGGTTTTCTGTTCTTGTGTTAGTTTGCTGAGAATGATGGTTTCCAGCATCATCCATGTCCCTGCAAAGGACATGAACTCATCCTTTTTTATGGCTGCATAGTATTCCATGGTGTGTATGTGCCACATTTTCTTTATCCAGTCTATCACTGATGGACATTTGGGTTGGTTCCAAGTCTTTGCTATTGTGAACAGTACTGCAATAAACATCTGTGTGCATGTGTCTTTATAGTAGAATAATTTATACCTTTGGGTGTATACCCAGTAATGGCATTGCTGGGTCAAATGGTATTTCTGGTTCTAGATCCTTGAGGAATTGCCACACTGTCTTCCACAATAGTTGAACTAATTTACACTCCCACCAACAGTATAAAAGCCTTCCTATTTCTCCACATTCTCTCCAGCATCTGTTTTTTCCTGACTTTTTAACAATCGCCATTCTAACTGGCTTGAGGTTGTATCTCATTGTGGTTTTGATTTTCATTTCTCTAATGATCAGTGATGATGAGCTTTTTTTCATGTTTTTTTGACCACATAAATGTCTTCTTTTGAGAAGTGCTTGTTTATATCCTTTGCCCACTTTTTGATGGGGTTGGTTTTTTCTTGTAAATTTGTTTTAGTTCCTTGTAGATTCTGGATATTAGCCCTTTGTCAGATGGATAGATTGCAAAAATATTCTCCCGTTCTGTAGGCTGCCTGTTCATTCTGATGATAGTTTCCCTTGCTGTGCAGAAACTCCTTAGTTTAATTAGATCCCATTTGTCTATTTTGGCTTTTGTTGCCATTGCTTTTGGTGTTTTATTCATGAAGTCTTTGCCCATGCCTATATCCTGAATGGTATTACCTACGTTTTCTTCTAGGGTTTTTATGGTTTTTAGGTCTTAAGTTTAAGTCTTTAATCCATCTTGAGTTAATTTTTGTATAGGCTTAAGGAAGGGGTCCAGTTTCTGTTTTCTGCATAAGGCTAGCCAGTTTTCCCAACACCATTTATTAAATGTGGAATCCTTTCCCCATTTCTTGTTTTTGTCAGGTTTGTCGAAAATCAGATGGTTGTAGATGTGTGGCATTATTTCTGAGGCCTCTGTTCTGTGACATTGGCCTGTATATCTGTTTTGGTACCATTACCATGCTGTTTTGGTCACTGTAGCCTTGTAGTATAGTTTAAAGTCAGGTAGAGTGATGCCTCCAGCTTTGTTCTTTTTGCTTAGGATGGTCTTGGCTGTACAGGCTCTTTTTTGGTTCATATGAAATTTAAAGTAGTTTTTTTCTAATTCTGTGAAGATACTCAATGGTAGCTTGATGGGGATAGCATTGAATGTATAAATTACTTTGGGCACTATGGCCATTTTCATGATATTGATTCTTCCTATCCATGAGCATGGAATGTTCTTCCATTTGTTTGTGTCCTCTTTTATTCCCTTGAGCAGTGGTTTGTAGTTCTCCTTGAAGAAGTCCTTCACATCCCTTGTAAGTTGTATTCCTAGGTATGTTATTCTCTTTGTAGCAACTGTGAATGGGAGTTCACTCATGATTTGCCTCTCTGTCTATTATTGGTATATAAGCATGCTTGTGATTTTTGCACATTGATTTTGTATCCTGAGACTTTGCTGAAGTTGCTTATGAGCTTAAGGAGATTTTGGGCTGAGATGCTGGGGTTTTCTAAATATAAAATCATGTCATCTGCAGACAGATACAATTTGACTTCCTCTCTTCCTATTTGAATACCCTTTATTTCTTTCTCCTGCCTGATTGTTCTGGCCAGAACTTCCAATACTATGTTGAATAGGAGTGGTGAGAAAGGGCATCTTTGTCTTGTGCCGGTTTTCAAAAGGAATGCTTCCAGATTTTGCCCATTCAGTATGATATTGCCTGTAGGTTTGTCATAAATAGCTCTTATTATTTTGAAATATGTTTTATCAATACCTAGTTTATTGAGAGTTATTAGCATGAAGGGGTGTTGAATTTTATCAAAGGCCTTTATTGCATCTATTGAGATAATCATGTGGTTTTTTGTCATTGGTTCTCTTTATGTGATGGATTACTTTTTTTGATTTGTGTATGTTGAACCAGACTTGCATCCCAGGGATGAATCCGACTTGATCGTGGTGGATAAGCTTTTTGATGTGTTGCTGATTCAGTTTGCCAGTATTTTATCAAGGATTTTTGAATTGATGTTCATCAGGGATATTGGCCTGAAATTTTCTTTTTTTGTTATGTCTTGTCAGGTTTTGGTATCAGGATGATGCTGGCCTCACAAAATGAGTTAGGGAGGAGTCTCTCTTTTTCTACTGTTTGGAATAGTTTCAGAAGAAATGGTACCAGCTCCTCTTTGTACCTCTGATAGAATTTGTGAATCTCTCTGGTCCTGGGCTTTGTTTGGTTGGTAGGATATTAGTTATTGCCTCAATTTCAGAACTTTTTATCGGTCTATTCAGGGATTTGACTTCTTCCTGGTTTAGATTTGGAAGAGTGTATGTGTCCTGAAATTTATCCATTTCTTCTAGATTTTGTAATTTAGATGAATAGAGGTGTTTATAGTATTCTCTGATGGTAGTTTGTATCTCTGGGGGATCAGTGGTGATATTCCCTTTATCATTTTTTATTGTGTCTATTTGATTCTTCTCTCTTTTCTCTTTTCTTCTTTATTAGTCGGGCTAGTGGTCTATTTTGTTGATTATTTTAAAAAACAGCTCTTGGATTTATTTTTTTAATGGTTTTTCATGTCTCTATCTGCTTCAGTTCTGCTCTGATCTTAGTTATTTCTTGTCTTCTGCTAGATTTTGAATTTGTTTGCTCTTGCTTCTCTAGTTCTTTTAATTGTGATGTTAGGGTGTTGATTTTAGATCTTTCCTGCTTTCTGATGTGGGCATTTAGTGCTATAAATTTCCCTCTAAACCCTGCTTTAGCTGTGTCCCAGAGATTCTGGTACATTGTGTCTTTGTTCTCATTGTTTTCAAAGAACTTGTTTATTTCTGCCTTAATTTTATTATTCAGGAGCCCAGTGATCATTCAGGAGCAGGTCGTTCAGTTTCCATGTAATTGTGTGGTTTTGAGTGAGTTTCTTAATCTTGAGTTCTAATTTGATTGCACTGTGGTCTGAGAGACTGTTATGATTTCTGTTCTTTTGCATTTGCTGAGGAGTGTTTTACTTCCACGTATGTGGTCAATTTTAGAATAAGTGTGACGTGGTGCTGAAAAGAATGTATATTCTGTTGATTTGGGGAGGAGAGTTCTGTAGATGTCTGTTAGGTCCACTTGGTCCAGAACTGAGTTCAAGTCCTGAATATCCTTGTTAATTTTCTGTGTTGTTGATCTGTCTAATATTGATGGTTAGTTTCATAGTTACTAATCTCATCTCTGTACTTGTATAAGTCTCTTCAGATTTTCTGTTTCTTCATGAGTTTTTTTCCAGTAGTTTCTGTCTTTCTGGAAATACGTCCCTTCCATTTATTTTCATTGTTGTTGTCGGTGTAGAGTGATTATAATATTGCCTTCTGTAATCCCTTCTGTTTCTCTAATGTCAGTAGTGATACTCCTTTTGTTACTAATTTTGGTAATTTGATATTTCTCTGCTGTTTTCTTGTTAGTTTAGCCAAAATTTTGTTAATTTTGTTGATCTTGACAAAAAATGGTCATTGGGCTTTGTTGATTTTCTCTATTGTTATTCAATTCTCTATTTCATGTATTTATACTATCATCTTTAATATCTTCTTCCTTCTGATTTTTTAGGTTCATTTTGCTCTACATGTCCAGACTCTTAAAGAAAAAGAATTATACATATGGTCATACACATGAAATCTTTCCTTTTATTTTTATGTAGAAATTTACAGACACATATTTTCCTCCTATGAGTGCTATAGCTGTAACCTTTAAGTTTTGGTATGCTGTGTCGCATTTTCAATCATCACAAATCCTAAATTTCTTTTTGTTATTGATTTATATTTCCATTATATTTGGTCACAAAATATAGTTGTATAATTTCAAATCTTTTAAATTCATTAGCCCTGTTTTATGGCCTACCATATCCTGTCTCTTGGAGACCATTCAATGATAGCTTCAGAAGAGTATGTATTGTATTTGGGTAGAGCATTCTATACATGACTGTCAGTGAAGTATTAAAAACAGTATTAAAAGTGGTACATTGAAATCTTCACTATTATTCCTAAATTGAATATTTCTTCCTGGAATTCAATCAATTATTGCATTATGTTTTTTGAAACCCTGTTTTTAGGTGAATATATGTTCAATATGTTTATAGTTATTAAATTTTCTTGATGAATTAACCATTTAATCATTATACAGTGTCCCTGTTTATCTTTAATAACATTTTTAAGTCTGTCATTTCAGATCATGTTACAGCCATTTCAGCTTTCTTATGGTTACTCTTTGAACGATATTATCTTTTTTCACACTTTTATTCTCCATGTATTTGAAAATACAAACTGACAATATATAGTTGCATTATCTTTTTTATCCAGTCTGACAATCTTTTTTGATTAAATTGTTTTCTCCATTCACGTTTTATGTTGTAATTGATTTATTTGCATTTGTCATTTTACTATTTGCTTCTATTATGTCACGGCTTTTTTCGTTCCTCCATTTCTTCTTCACTGATTTTTTTGCCTGAGTATTTTATGACGACATATTTTATTTCTTTAATTTTTTTAACTATATTTTTAGTTATTTTATTAGTAGTTATTATAGGGCTTAACATATAAAGCAGTTCTTCAGAATTAGCTAAAGATTTATACTAACTCAATTCCACAAAAGACATAGATGTTTTACTTTATATATCTCTATTTTCTTTTCTCCCCTTTTTTGAAAACTTTGTCATACATATTACATATATGCATCATAATCCCCAAAATTTAATGTTGTAGTTATTACTTTATATAATTTTAGGAATTTTAAAGACACTGAGAGATGGAAGAACAAACATACTATTAGATTTTGTCCTATTAATTTTTTCAACTCTGTTGTCAAATATGTTACATTTTTATTGTCATAAGCTCAATGATTTATTGATATATATATAGGTTTACATGATTGCTTTTTATGTTAGTTAAAGAAGAAAGAATACAAAATATGCATTTATATATTTAATTTTGCCCTGAAGAACAGACTTTCATTCTGAAGAAATTCCCGAACAATTTCTTATAAGGTTGTCTTCTTGCCACTAATTATCTCAGTTTTTATCTGGGAATATCTTTATTTCCCATTCATTTTTGAAAGACAATTTTTGCTGGTGTAATATTATTGGTTGATTTTTATGTTTGCTTTATTTTCTCTTAGTCCTCTGTTCAATTATTTTCTCACTTGCTCAGGTCTCCATTGCTTGCGATGATATTAATGAAACAGCTGCTGATCTTATTGAAGTTACCTTGTGCGTAAGTCATTTTTTCTTGTTGTTTTCAAGAATTTCTCCTTGTTTTTTTGACATTATTTTATGTGATGTCTTTGGGTGTTGATCTCTTTTGTGTTGATCTTACTGCTAGTTTATTGTGCTTCTTGAATGTGTAGATTGATTTTTTTCATACAGTTTAGAAGTTTTCAGTTATAATTTTCTTATTTTTTTTCTATTTCTTTCTCCTCTTCTTCTGCTATGCCTATTACACATATATTGATGTGGTTAAAGTGTTACACATTTTGTTGAGGCTTTGTTCATTATATTTATTTCTCTCTTCTTGCTGTTATTCAGATTGCATAATAGTTTTTGATCTATATTCAACTTAGCGGATTTTTGACTCCTGCCAGATTGCAGGTACAGTTGAGCCGACTAGGTAATTTTTTAATAAAATTATTATACTTTTCAATTACAGAATTTCCAGTTCTTTAAAAATAACTTTTTTGATGTTCTCTGCTTGATGAGACATTGCCAGAAATTCCTTTACTTCCTTTACTTCTTTATTTTTCCTTTTTTTTTACTTCTTTAAACATGATTTTTCTTTAGTTATTGAACATATTTATAATAGCTGCTTTGAAGTATTTGTGTAAGTCCAGCACCTATGCCCTCTCACAGGCATCTTCTGTTGCTTGAGGTATTTTTTGTTGTGGTGGTGGTGGTGATTTGTTATTGTTTTTGTTTGTTTATTGTTTTTTTTCCTGTTTATGGCTCACACTTTCTTATTTCTTTGCATATCCATATATTTTTCCTGAAATCTGTAAATTTTAGATAATATATTTTAATACTTCTAGATACTGATTTTCATACCTTCAAACTTTATTGTTAATGTTTAAAAATGCATTTCCTTCGTAATTTAACTGGTTTATTTTAGAGAAGGCAATTTTTCCCCTGCAGTGTGAAACATCTGATGTTGCTTCTCCGAGGATAGCGTTGAACATGTGCACAGTTGCCCTGAGATGACTTGTTAGCAGGGCTCTCTTTGACTTTATTTTTCTCTGATTTCTCTGTTAAGCCATCTTTTCCACTGGTCTTACACACAGCTGTTAGGCTCCACTAATTGCCAGCTTATTGTTCTATTTTTTATCAATGCACTGGGGTATAAATTTCTCCACAGTCTGACCCAATTAAAGTCATACTACTTTTCAGGAATAATTTTTGAGAATAATCTTTAAAGTTTGCTTTGACCCCAGAAGGTCTCCTCTTAGGAATACCTTTCCCTGGTTCTGTTTGGTAAACTAACAAGACTACAGTTTAGCTTATTGCTGTCATGAAACTACCCATATTTTCTTATGTCCATCTCACAAAAATATCCATTGTTTTTGATATCATCTTAAGGCATAAACTTCCTAACACTCCTCTTCAAATAAAGTCAATACATTTCAGGAAGGCTTCCGAGCTTTCAATTCTTATGGCCTTTCTCTTATTGGAAAAATCTCCAAGCCACTGCTCCTAGACAGGGGGCAGGCATAGTGGCCTAGCTTTCTTGAAGTGACATTCCTGTTTCATGAGTAGGGTGCTGAGCAGGGGAGATATTCTCTGGTAGTATTGCCTTTCTCTCCCTACGTTGAACTCTACATTAATGAACAAGCTTTGGTAAGAAAATTATTGCTCCAGTTCTCTTGGACTGTCATGCCTGGCACAGAAATTCTTACCTACCAGGGAGGCTAAGTGAAAAAAGAGATCATCATACCTCTCAGCTGCACTATCCCGGAATTTAGCCTTTGCCATGTGAACTGCAGCAGATAATAAATATTTGATGTCTGCCCCTTCCAGGAAGACACTGTAGCCCTTGACTTAGAGCTCAGGGCAGAAATATCTTCATCTCCTTGGCTGTATTCACTTGAAGTTGACTATCTTTCATGCAGAGCTAGGCAATGGGAAGTGAGTTGCAGCTCAATAACAAAAGTTCCAATTAACTTATTTTCAGTACATTTTCTTGAATAAATACTTTTTTGTTTGGTGTATACACTAAGGACAGTTTTCAGAGAGTTTTACTGCTTGGTTTTACCTTTGTCTTTATAATATTAACAGTTGTGGTCATGTCACTGGAGACCAGGTTCATAGTACTCCTCATTCTGCCATGCAGGAAATCTTTCTAGGGTTTATTTTAGTGTGCTAAGATAATGCTCAAAGGTAAGGGCTAATGACCAGCAAACCCACCTTTCTTCATTGTTCTTTTACTGTATTATTAGATCTAGTTAAAATTAAATTCATAATATTTAAGTAATCTGTATAAAGCACTTTATACTACAGATTGAATTTCCATAGTGACATTGTCTATTTTACATTATGACTCTCAATTCCTAGATGAAGGAACTGAGGCCCAGGTAAGTTTTATGAGTTGCTCATAATCATTCACCAGTAGTAGTTGGTCAGAAACTTCCATGAGATTCCTTCATTCCTCCAGTGCCAATGGCAGTGAATATGTCACGGAGCCAGTACTAGGGTTGGGCAAGACAAGTGAATGAGGCATTTGCTTTGGGCACAAAATTTAATGATGTACTTTAAACAGGAGGTACATGAGAGTCCTTTAAAAAAAATGGGGTGCTAAATTCAATTATCAATGTAAATACTTAATGTAGTATTTTTAAAAGTAAAAATCAATAAAAGTATCCATGATGAACAAATATCAAAATTTTAAGTGAAGATGCATTCTTTTTTTATTATTATGATTTTACTTTAAGTTCTGGGATATTTACGAAGAAGGTGCAGGTTTGTTACATAGGTATACATGTGCCATGGTGGTTTGCTGTACCTATCAACCCGTCATCCAGGTTTTAAGCGCCACATGCATTAGGTGTTTGTCCTAATGCTCTCCCTCCCCTTGCACCCCACACCCTGACAGGCCCCGGTGTGTGCTGTCCCCCCTCCCTGTGTCTATGTGTTTTCATTGTTCAACTCCCTCTTGTGAGTAAGAACTTGTGGGGTTTGGTTTTCTCTTCCTGTGTTAGTTTGCTGAGAATGATGGTCTCTAGCTTCATCCATGTCACTGCAAGGATAGGATCTCATTCTTTTTTTATGGCTGCATAGTATTCCATGGTGTATATTTACCACATTTTCTTTATCTCGCCTATCATTGATGAGCATTTGGGTTGGTTCCATGTCTTTGCAATTGTAATAGTGTGGCAATAAACACACAGAAGACACATCTTTTTTTCCTTTTGCCCCAGGCTACTGTTATGTTTCTTCATGGCAATGGATGTGCGGATTAACACTTGGACTCTAGAGTTGCAAAGCTTAGACACCAATTCTGGCATGTATTCCTGGTATAGTAGGCACATCACTTCACATCTATAAGTCTAAATTTTTTCATCTATAAAATGTTTGTAACATTAATACCTACTTGATAAGGTTTATGACAGAATTAAAGAGACAAAGTGTGGGGCATGTGTTTTGGCAATTTATAAACATTCAATACATGCATATAGTTTTAGCTGTTATTTATGGTTATATTTAAATATGGCCATATGTAAAATATATAAATATATGTATACATGCAAACACACTCATTCACACAATCTCCCTGAAAACATGAAAATCCAACAGTGAAGCAGTGTGTATTCAATCTACTGCAGTTAGGAGAAGAACACCTTTACATAATCTTGGAAATGTTTCAAAATAAAAAAAGGTTAGGAAAAAGTGTTTACTGGGTTTTAGATTCAAGAGTGGATGATTTTAAGGAGAGTCTTAGAGGGGAAAACAATTATTTGAGATGGTCAGAATTTGGCATAATATCTTTGGATTGAAGATAAAAGAGAGGAGAGGGCCTCGAACTCAGTCTTGGTGAGCACATGTATCTGACAGGTAAGCTGTTTGTTGTTTTACTTGTCTTCTAGAAATAGTTATTTCCTGGAGCAAGTTGATAAGTTATTTCTAATTATTAGCATTGTTTAACACAGAGCCGGAAAATACTTTGTGGTCTACATTTTTATCTCACACGCTACATGTATTTACACACATACATTTATGTGCATGTGTATGTATAGTATATTATACACACACAAATAAGAAATAGATCAACTTTTCAGTTGCACCATAAAGTAATTTGCATAGTTACTAAAATCCCTGCTGTTCTAGGTTAATTGAAAATCACCATCCTATTGCTAGGGACTCTGTTGACAATCACCACTCCAGTCTTCTGTGGATTGGATTTCCACAGATTCAGCAATTCCAGTGCCTAGCTAGTGCTGACTCTTTAGATAGGATGACCTTTATCATACCTTGTTAATTTTAACCTAATTTCAGCTCACTATAATCTATGATAACTGAGATATATTCTTTAAGTTAATAAAGAAATGTGTATCCAAAACTTAGCAAAAAACAACTGGCCATGCTGGAAACACAGGTTAGTTTACAGAGTCACTAATGATTGTTTATGATTATGCTTTTTCTAGTTAGTGAGTGTATTTTCAGAAAGCTACTACTTAAGTGAAATTTGATTGTGTTATTTGAATGTATTACTTATAATTATCATCACTTCAGTTTTTTTGTCTTTTAAAAATACTGGCAGCCATCTGACTGAAACAGAAGGCAAGGGACACTGTGGCCCAAGCCCAAGCATGGACCCAGGAGATCATGTTTCAGTACCTCAGAGAGCTTATTTTCAACAGGAATTAATATGCATCTTGTTGCTGTTCAGCTGTAGAATTATAGGGTTAAAATATATTATGATTTTTGGTATTCTATGCTTTGCAATAATGATTTTCATTCTAAAATTGTTTATTGTTACGTTATTAAAACTACAATACAATGAAGCAAATAAGTTCAATTAAAATTTAGTAAACAGTTCTTTTTTGTTTTTATGGTTAACCTGAAAGGCATGGAAAAGATTACAAAAGTTCTTACATTACTGTGCCTTTCTTTTAAAGTTGCAATTCATACCATGCCCATAATTTGTAACTATAGGTACGTGGAGGTACATAAATTTTTACCAAATCACATAATATAGAAAAAGTAAGAAACAGATATCTCAACATGACTAAAAGAAAACGCACTTAAAGTAAGCCAGGTAAAATGTCCTTTTAGTTTTGCCTTTTCTGTTTGTGGTCATGCTGAGAATAGTGATATCATATTGACAACAGGAAAAGCACAAATATAAAAATTTCTAGAAGACAGATGAATTTATTATTCTGTTATTCCTAGATAACAATTATCAAACCATGCAGGTACACTCAATTATCAGTTTTCACAATTGATAGAGGTGTTTCATAGACCAATGTCCTTTCCTAATGAAATACTAAATAATAAAAACTAATTGTATTCAACCTAGAAAGTAATTCTTAATTATCAAAAGGAAGGTACTCTCTGTGCAATTGCGATGTTTACTAATAGTATATTGCTTTATATTTGTATACTCTACAATTGTATACTCATATTTCTGTAGGTTGAAAAAACAAAATTATTTTATTCTTATGTTAAACTAATGAGAATACATAGCAATATTGAAGAACAAAGTGTGAATAAAACAAAAAAAGAAATAAGGAGAAAATCTGTGCAAGAGAAAAGGAAATGTCAATAGGCAAATAAAATTTACTCTAGAATCTTACTTACAATTTCTTACCCACTGTTATTGTTAATTCTATAGACCAAACCTCTTCCACAGTGTCAAAATTTGACACTTTGTAAAGATTATAACTCAATAACCTATTTATGAACTCCTGAATCTGTATAGTGTTTCTTCTGACAACCACCTATTCCATTTGATTTCTGGCCTTTTGACTTAATTCAAACCTATTCCTGGTTTTATTGAGATTTCTGTCCTATTTTCATGCTCATATGTGCACCAGGCTTTTAACTTATTACAGCTTCCCCCAAATCCCACCTTCATCTGTTTGCTGACTGTTCACGATTCTGAGTCTTTTTGCCTCATGGACAAAACCCAATGGAAATATCATTTTAATATATGATAACTATTTAAAGGTTTGCTTTCTCATAACTATCTTTAGCTAATATGAATAAAATTTCATATATAAATGATCATATCTTTAAGAATGTACATGTCATTATTTGACATTATGAGTCCAAATTCCTAAATTATGCACAAGGTATCCATTCACTTAAATATATATAGTCACTATTACTATGTGGATTTACTGAAATATAGTTTGTAGTCTAAAATTTGGATGAAATTTAGCTTTTAGAAAAATGTGTAGATCCTTGCAAACTTTTAAAACCTTACAGTGGGTATTACTGTTTATCTCATCTGCCTCAATAAAGAATAGTGACAAATAAAAATAAGATCCTCAGCCCCCCAACAGACTGAACAGATCCTCCTCTTCATCAAGGGGTATCAGAATGCAAAACAAAGCATTCTGAGATTCACCAAGACAATGAAAAGTTATAGGCTGTCTTGAATAAAAGTTATAAGATGTTAGAGCTAAACCAATAATGGCCCTCAGGAAATACAAATTTTTCTGGTTAGATTGGAAGGCAAAAGCAAGCTGGTAGGGCCTTTAAAGCTGGGCTTTATCCTATTATAATGGAGATCTTACTTAAATGTAAAAACTAGGTAGTGGTATGAAAACAGAACTGGATTTAAATGGAAAGCAGAATTGAACAGAGAGAATTTAAAAGGAAATTTTAACAGATTACTGAAAATGAAAGAATGAATTTTACACAAGCCGATTTTAGGGAATACAAAGTTCATATTTCAGAATGTGGCAAAGCACATAGATACCCTATGACTTCATTTATTTGACCCAGCAACAAAAAATGAAAAGAAAAAAAATGAAGAGTGATTGCTAGAGCTAAGAATGGGGAAAATAACTAAATACAAAGAGATAGCAGGGGAACTTTTGGGGGTAATGGGAAAATCCTACAACTTGAGTTTGACAGAAATGTCAAACTTCATAGAACTATACATCTTAAAAGAGTAAGTCTTACTGTATCTAAATTATGCATTAATAAATCTTACTTTTAAAATTATAAAAGAAAGGATAGTGACTAGATATTGAACCCTGAGTAATGATTTGCATGCCGAAATGTTTAAGGACAAGGTATACTGATATCTGCATCATAGCTTAAAATGCATTGAAAGGGTAAAATGATTTGACAGAGGGCTGGAGGATAAAGACATGACAGATAGACATGTAATAAAGCAAACATAGCATAATGTCAGTTGTTTAGAACTTTTTCCAAATTTTCTTTTTATTTTTTTCTGAGACAGTCTCACTCTGTCACCCAGGCTGGTATCAAACTCCTGACCTCAAGTGATCCACCTGCCTCAGCCTCCCAAAATGTTGGAATTACAGGCATGAACCATCGCGCCTGGTCCCTAAAATTTTCTTTACATCTGAAAATTCTCATAACAAAATAACAAGAAAAATTATAGAGACACACTCATGACTGCACACATACATAATTTATGCATGCATGCAAGAACAGGTTTCAAAGTACAACATCATCACACACCAAAATATTGACAGCGTTCACTCCTATGTAATCTGTACACTGGATTGATAATAGATGGGAAATGCGTGGTACTTTGACTTTTTTCCCTATAAAACTTCGGATTGTTTAATTTAACTATAAAACTCTAATTTTTATTAATTTTAATTATAGTACAATAAAGTAAATGAAGATGATATATTGCTAATTTTGTAAGTATATTGGAAGTTGTAGGCTGGAGAAACAGAGACCTTCAAGCATGTGAATAAAATCTGAGAGAATTTTAAGACATATCCTAATGGATTAACAGAGAATTAAAGGTGGATTAACAGAGAATTAAAGGTGTATTAACATAGGTCTCCGTGAGAGGAGTCACAATCAAGCTCTTGAGCTCTCTCTTTAATTGTCCCAAACTCACCTTCAAAACTGTTTTATTGACACCTCCGCATTGATAAGATTTTGCTTGCTCATGAATAGAACTATCATTGGAAGCAGATAAGTGCATGGTTGTGGCTTTCTCCCCCATCTTCAAAGTTGTTCTCTATGACTGAATCAGTAAGATGACTGTTACCCTCCATGGCTTTTTTCCTCACATAAATATTCTGTTATACCATGATGCCAAATACCAATTTGGAATGCCATTTATCTGTATTAATAAATCAGGACACGAGTGTGGAAGGAACTATGAAGATCATTACAAAAATTTCAGTGCAAATTTTGGCATCAGCCTAAAATACTCTATCAAAGCTTAACAATTTGCATGGGAGTGTTGGAACCAGGCCCAGAAATAATAAGATTGATGTCTAATAAGTTTGGCTCTGTGTTCCCACCCAAATCTCATCTTGAATTGGAATCCCCACATGTCGAGGGAGGGAAGTGATTGGATCATGGCAACAGTTTCCCCCATGCTGTTCTCCTGATAGTGAGCTAGTTCTTACGAGATGTGATGGTTTTATAAACATCTGGCATTTCCCGTTTGCACTTCTCTCTTCTGCCACCACGTGAAGAAGGTTCTTGCTTACCCTTCACCTTCAGCCATAATTGTAGGTTTTCTGAGGCCTCCCCAGCCATGTGGAGCTATGAGTCAATTAAACCTCTTTCCTTTATAAATTACCCAGTCTTGGGTATTTCTTTATAGCAATGTGAAAATAGACAAATACAATACTTTTAAAAAATCAATTATGTTTAACACTTGCTAAGATATCTATTAAGAAGTAGAGATAACTCCGCCAATGCAAGAGTCATATCCCTGGCATCTCTGGCTTTACTACATGAGATAGCACCTCAATATCAATGAGTTGTGTTAATTTCAAAACATATATTAAGAATCATTATTGTTTTTCAACTTTGGGTAGTTACTTAGTATGTTATATTGATAAATTCATCAAATTTAAAAGATTAGACTGAGGTAACAATAGGCAGGGCTAGCCTGACCAAAATGACAAATTAAAGGTAAAACTTATTTTGGTCTTATTTCACTTAGATATCAAAGTGTGTAGGTGTGTGGAGGAATGGGGGATTAGTTCTTGACATCTGATTGCTCTATGAAGTCTTCCCAAATCTGTATAAGAACAGAACTGAGCTAGCATTAAGGCTGAGTTCTAAGGCCAGATGAAAGATGGAAAAAACAAATACTGAAACTCGTAATAGTGATATATTTTTTAACAACAAAGTATGAGTTGGATTAAGATCATCCGTCATGGTTTTTGAACTTAAAGAAAATTCATGCTACGGATATGCCCTAGGTAAACTCTCCCCATCCCCATCCATCTTCCATCCCCATCTCATGTCAACCTCTTCATGTTTTTCTAAGATCTGGCCACATTGATCTTTTTATAAATTTTAAAGCATACAACATTTTCTCCTGTTTCAGGATCATACCTGTGTTTGTTTTGTTTTGTTTTAGATCTTAGTCTGTCAGGCATTTGAACCAGGGTGACTTCATCTTGAATAGGGGGCGGGGTAAAAATGAGGCTGAGACCTGCTGAAATGCATTTCCAGGAGGCTAGGCTTTGTTAGTCACAAGTTAAGACAGGAGGTCAGCAGGACTGGTTTCAAAAGATATAGGTCGCAAAGACCACACTGATGAAACAAGATGAGCCGGGCACGTTGGTTCATTCCTGTAATCCCAGAACTTTGAGAGGCTGAGACGGGCGGATCATTTGAGGTCAGGAGTTCGAGACCAGCCTGGTCAACATGGTGAAACCCCGTCTCTACTAAAAATACAAAAATTAGCTGGGCGGTAGTGGTGCGGGCTTGTAGTCTCAGTTATTTGGGAGGCTGAGGCGGGAGAATTACTTGAGCCTGGGAGGCGGAGTTTGCGCAGTGAGCTGAGATCATGCCCCTGCACTCCAGTCTGGATGAAAGAGTAAGACCCTGTATAAAAAAAAAAAAAACCTGGATGTGGTAAAGAAGCTAGGCAAAACCCACCCAAAACCAACATGGCAATGAAAGCAACCTCTGGCAGTCTTCACTGTTCATTAAACGCTAATTATAATGCATTTGCATGCTAAAAGCCACCCCCACCAGCACCATGATAGTTTCCAAATGCCATGGCAATGTCTGGAAGTTCTCCTATATGGTCTAAAAGGGGAGGTATCCTCAGTTCTGGGAACTCCCCACCCATTTTTAAAGGGAGTTGTCAGAACTGAAGGTGTCTCCTTTTTAGACCACACAGGTAACTTTTAAAATTTTTAACTTTTTAAATCCATCCCTTGTTTAGCATATGACCAATAAAAAACCATAAAAATGGACAACTAACAGCCCTCGAAACTGCTGTGCCTATGCAGTAGCCATTCTTTTGTTTCTTTACTTCTTTAATAATGTTGATTTCATTTTACTCTGTCGACTCACCCTGAGTTCTTTCTTGTGCAATATTGAAGAACCCTGTCTTGTGGTCTGGATTGAGACCCCTTTCAGGTAAAAGTCTATGATCATTTTTGAAAGAAAGCTTCCCTAAACTTTAGTATAATTTACGTTCCCTTTAATATGTTCTCTTATGTCATGTTTTCTTCAAAGCACCTACCTTAATGTGTAATTACATATTTTTATATATTCAGTTGTTAACCAAATTTCTCTCAATTGGCTCTAAATTCCAGAAAACTATGCACATGACTGCTGTGTTCACTATCACTCCATCATTAACTCACACAATGCTAACTACATTGTAAGGACACAATAGGTGTCTGTTTGATGACTTAATATTCTGTTGTTTATGTAAATGTCATTTCATTCTTGGAAATAGATATTGCTTTGTTTCCTCTGTAGCCCCCAGAATTCACAGCACAGTGTTCTGCATATTACTTTTAACATGTGAAAATTGGTGAAATTTTCAAAATATTAGCAAATCATATTTATTGAGCCCATACTAGGTGATTGGTATTGGGTTAATCATTATATTTGTGAATCTGTTTTATTTTCTGTGAAGTTAAAATGATGTGCTAGATAATATCAAAGTTTTTAGGCACTGCTATTCTTGGCTTTTAAAATATTCTGCTTGCCTATCAATGTCAGTTCTATTAATTTAGGGAGGAAAAAGGTGTTTTTTTGCAGTACCTTCCTAAAACAAACCTGCTCAATAGTTCAAGGCGATCTCAATTTTTCCACAGAAGTCTGCAACAAATTCTCAAATCTGACAGAAAAGTACCTACATAATATTGAGAATATAATTTTGATACTGATGATATATGTATCTTTTGAGTAGACTTTCTAGAGCTTTGTTAAAATTAAAATTAGTAGACTGATACTTGTATATCGGAAGATTTCTAAGGTAGCCAAAACAGGCTTCTCATGAAACAGGAAAGGCATTCTGATTGACAAGCTCATGTTTTCTCTAAAAGTACTTGTTTCATACCAATTTTCTGCCAGATGGAATATTGCATGATGGTACTGGGCTATTATTTACACATCTGTTGTCACTCAAATTTTAATTTTATTCTTCATATTATTATTCAAAAATTAACCTAATAGAAAACACATAATATGATATGTTGAGGAATGATGATGTATTATTCCCTCAGAGTAAAAGTCATACATCATTTCTAAAATGAGAGAAAGACAAAGTTAATAGAATATATTTTGACATATTTGATTCAAAATTGAGTGTCTTCATATATCTGCATTCATGATGGCATTCTAAAGGAGAGAAAATAAAGTCTTACTTGAAAGCACAAACAAAAGATAAGAGAAACTGGCACATTAACATCTCAGAAAATTTCTGTTGGTAGTTTAATTGAAGATCGTGAAAGGAATCGTATACTGTTCCTGAAAGATACACTTTTATTTAAAAAGTCTTGTATTTTTAGCACTCATTGGCACATGCAAGTTTCATTTCGTATATGTCAAATTTTTTCACATACTAAAAAATGTTGTATACACAAATCAACAAAGATTTAAAATATAAAATCAAATGTTATATTTGTACAATGTGTCTATACCAATATGTATTCATACATATGACTCAAGATATTCATTATCTCAAACTTAGAACCAAGCCCTACATCAGAAAAACTAAATTTTAGTACCATTTCAACATGAGATATTTGGCTGCTTGGGTTGATTTTGCTGATTTGGCCAACTGGGATTGTATTAATCTGTTTGAAACTGCCATAAAACAATTCCTGAGGCTGGGTAATGATGTATTTGGCTCATGGTTCTGCAGGCAGTACAAGAAGCATAGTGATGGCATAGCATAGTGATGGTATCTGATCCTGACGAGGGCATCAGGAAGCTTACAATCATGGCAGAAGGTGAAGTGGGAGCAGGCGTATCACATGGTGAGAGAGGGAGCAACAGAGAGAGGAGGGAGGTGCCACACTCTTTTAAACATCCAGATTTAATGTGAACGCAGAATGAGAACTCAGTCATTACCATGAGGGCGACACCAAGCCGTTCATGAGGGATCCACCCCTATGACCCAAACATCTCCCACCAGGTCCCACCTTCAACACTGGGGATCATGTCTCAATGTGAGATTTGAAGGAGACACACACCCAAACCATATCATGGATAAAATGTCCTTCTTCTATTATTATATTTTAGTTTCTTTATATACAGCATATGATATGAAAATTTATATCTGAAAATACATGAGTTATTTTATTTCTTACAACATATGAACAACCTCTTAATATAATTAACAAATATTTTTGGCTCCTACTTATGCTTATTATCCATAATTAATGTTTCATTTTTCTTTGGTGGAGATTAGACATGGAAGGTTGTGAACCTAGTAATAGAGGAGAAATACATGAGGATTTTATGAAAAGTCTTCCCCACAGAATCTCCTTTATAAGGCCTAAGATTCCTGGTATTGCTGTGTTCCCATGCTTGAGGGCATGGCAAAGAGAGTGGCAAGGGATAGAATAGCTGGGAAGGGGGCAGAGGAAGGGCTCAATTATCTGAGGCTGATGTTTTCAAGCATGCCTAGCTCTGTTTACTCCTTTTCAAACTAAATTATATATTGATAACAAGAGAAATGATTATACAATGTTTTCAGATAATCAGTAAAATGGCCCTCTTCCTCTGAGATCACAGTTGCCAGAGCACTTACATTTCTCCTACTTTTCAAACTTGTCCAAATGTTCTTCAGAGGTATAGTCTTACCTGCATAATAGACAATTTCTACAAGGTCAACCTCTATTTCCTAAAGATACATTCATATGTGGAGTTCACCAGGATTTGGACAGTTGAAGAATCTCTCATGTAGGCAGAAAGCAAGGGAAGATTGATCAATACCTGAATGTTCCTTGCTATCATATTTGATAGGAAACAAAATCTTTTCAGCTTAATCTGTTTCCTAAAATGCTGAATTTCTATTTCATTGAGGTGAAAGACTATATAAATGTAAACACAATCTTGCTTAGAGATGAGAGAAAGCCCTTATGTTGGGTAAGCTCTAGAAAGATGGAAGTAGTGTGTAGAGAGGAACATATTTTGAGGATGAAAGTATTTGGCTTCAGCTTTCCAAACTGAAGCATAGCTTTTAAATGTCTGACATTAAAATCTACACATATCTGGTGCTGGGAGCACAGGAGAGAAAGGTCACATTTGTGTTGTCCTTGTTCTATTACAAGAGACTCCTGAAGTATGACAAAGGAGTGAGACCCAATAGAAATCTGGATAGAAATCTGGCTCTTTTATTGTTGTTCTCATTTCATGATAGAAGGTTTAGTTCCCTCTTGCTTTTGAAAGTAGAGAGCAAGGTAGGTTGATGGGACTTTTCTCATGCATCACACCTACATCACTAAACATTAGAATGCAACTTGATTTTGTTGGGTCAATTCTTAAGTGAATGATACTCAGAAGACCCAGAGAAACAAACTAGAGGTAAGAAAACATATCCAGTTAAGAGTGCACCTGATCTTCACTCTGTTAGGAAAATCATGCATCTTACTCTATTACAGAGACTCTTAAAGGAGATTGTTATTATCTCTACCTCAAGAATACCTCAAGAATAACCCAGGTATTCAAGTTAAGTAGTTTATCGATGTACACACAACCACAGAGACAAGCTATGAGTCAATCCTAAGTCTTGATGTTTCTAAAAGCAAACTCCATTTGTAATAGTACACTGCCATTCAGGGGTGGCTAGATAATTTGCAGGAAATAATACAAACTGAAAATTGGGATATCTTATTCAAAAAGCAAAAATAGTGTTATTAAAATATTAAAACATAAAGGTTTTTTCTTTCATTGGCTCCTTCTTGACTCATTGTGATTTAATATTTTTCTAAGTAAGGTAAAATAAAAATTTATTTATTAGCTTGAATTAGCCATTTATTTTTATATCGTACAATGCAATTTTAAAGGCAAATATAAAATACTTAACTTGTATGCAAAATTACCCAAAATATACAATTCATATTTCTTTCTTTTTTTCCCTTTTTAGTCAGGGCCTTGCTCTGTCTCCCAAGCCTGAGTATAGTGGTGTGATCATAGGTCACTGCAGCCTCACCTCACCTCTGACTCCTGGGCTCCAGCAATCTTTCTGCCTCAGCCTCCAGAGTAGCTGGGACCACAGACGTGTGCCACCACACCCAGTTAATTTTATTTATTCATTTATTTATTTATTTTTGTAGAGACAGGTTCTCACTATGTTGCCTAGGCTGCTCAAATTCCTGGGCTCAGGTGATCCTCCCACCTCGGCCTTCCAAAATGTTGTGATTACAGGCATGAGCTACTACACCCAGCCCATAATTAGTATTTCACAGCTCAAACACAACTATCTGCTTTATTGTTAACAAAACAGCAGAAATGCTGCACAACACTGGCTGAATTGTGCTTCTTGTAATTATGATACGTGCATATTCTACCAACTCTCTCTACTTCAAACTTACTGATGATTAAGGAATGATTGAAAAAAGGGATTATGGATTTCCTCATCTTTCCCCTCCCATGTCATTGTTTTGAATATAAGTCATAGGCTATCCAAGGAAGTAGCACAAGTAAGAAAGAATATTGTAGAGCTGCCTGGTGATTCACATTTGGTAGAATGCTATCACTTTCTTTCTGTGTTTGGAAAAAGTTATCATTTGAGTGGAAAATGTAGGCTTTCTTGTACTTTTTACTGGCTTTGTGGCTTGCTCAAGCTCTAAACATTTTGAGTGCTTACAAAACTCTGGTTATGGGGTGTCACAAGTGCTATAGTTGAATGGGTTGGCAAGGAATGGGAGACACGGATGTTACATGGATCACCTCCTTTCATGCACATGATCCATTGCCTTTGTTCAGACAAAGACCCTTTCCAGAAATTAAGACATTGGACTGAAATTCAATTAAGAAATTCAAAGCAGCAAAAACAGAGCATTAAATCAAGCACAGTACAACTGCAAAGGTCACACATTCGTGAAGCCAGCTCTATAGCTTTTTTAGATTCTGAGCTGTGGGGCCATATAGGACAAGTAGAGCAACACTCTCTGAAATTAGCACATGACAACAGAGGACAGTGAACAAATTACATGTCAGTATACCTTCTTGCAGAGGGCATGGTAGCCAATTTGATGAAAGAAATTCATGCCCAGGAGGTCTAGCAAATAGGCCAAGTGGGATTGACTAGGTATTTGAGGAGGTTGACAGTGATGAAATAAAGTTAAGTAGACCCCGAAATTCAGCAACCATTTCTTAAATAACTGTGAATGCAGTAAAGGAATGTTATAATATTGATGGTCAGTAAGCAGAGTATGGGTATAAAGAAGTTATATAATTATGAGACCACCGATGTTAACTCCATTATAAATGAAATTTAAAGTAGGGAAGTAAGTGAAGTGTCATTTAAATCCGGTAAAGACAGGGAGTTAAGTCCCCCAGAGTGATTATAGTCCATGTGCTTCCAAGATAATGCAGGTAACACTGAAATAACTAAAGTGAATACTCAAAAAGCAAGTTGTTATTAATATGACACACATTATTATCAAAGCAGTTGAGAGTGGACAAGATTGACTTCTCAGTAAAGTTTTCTCTGCCTAGTTTAAGTATATAAGTAAGCTATATTTGGTTTAAAAAACCAGAATTTTTTCCATATTTATACTAAACTATGGTTATAAAAATTTACATGAAAGAGTTAACACTACTAACTCTATAATATTTATAGATATAAGAAAGGAAGACAACAATGTTGTAAAACAATTTCTATTCCCAGGTCTGACGAGTTTCGGAATGACATGTCCATATGTTCAACCGTTCCTCAAAGGCTGTAAGAGTCTGTGTGTATGTATGCATGCACATATATAATTTCAGGAATTTGGCTTATATAAAAGTTAATGCAACACAGTTGTACTGATTAAGTCCACTCAGTATCTTCTAAAAGGGTATATAGAATTCTTCTCTACATAAACAAAGCAGATGATATCATGATATGATTACATAAAAAAGAGGCAAATGTGAGGAAATAAATTCCATTTTGCCGTTAACTAAATATGCTTAAAACTGTGCAGTGCAAAATATTGAAAGTAAGAGAAAAAGTCTAAATATTTAGGAGGTACTGCAAATTTGTGTTCCCTCAAAATTCATATGTTTAAATCCCAACCCACAATATAATGGTATCAGGAGGTGGGGCCTTTGGAAGGTGATTAGGTCATGAGCGTGGAGCCCTCATAGATAGAATTAGGGCCTTTACGAGAGAGACTCCAGAGAACTCCACTGCCCCCTCCAACATGTGAGGTTACAGCAAGAAGATGGCCATTGAAGTGGTCCCTCACCAGACACCAAATCTTTTGTCACCTTCATCTTGGACTTCTCAGTCTCCAAAACTGTGAGAAATAAATTTATGTTGTTTATAAGCTAGCCAGCCTATGGTATTCTGTTATAGTAGCCCAAATGAACTCAGACAAGAGGGTAAGAGGAATTACGAAGAAAGATTTAGAGGAAGTCATTGAAGAAGTGATCAAATGTGAGAGGAGGCATATAGCATAGAAGTGGTTCTGTCATTTTATTTTTCTGTTTTTATAAGTTGTGAATAATGAAAATGTATCAAATATTTCAGATAAATGACATCAAAATTATTTTGTTGCACATGAGAGCACATTTCAGGAGCAGAGGCAAAATTAAGCTGAAGGTAAGTTATGTTTATTTAGATATATTTAGGAAAAAACTCAGCCAATCATTTCAAGGGGAATTGAATAAATAAATAATTGTTGCTGGTTAATATTAACTTGTGGCTTTTCATAATGCTATATATAAATTTTCAACATCAGTGAGTATAAAAAAGTAAGTCAGCAAGAGTAATAGTATCCTTATTTTATGAAGGATGTATAGAAGAGATGATGCACAAATCAACAGGTCATATGGTCACAGGATCCTAGGGTTGTCACTTCACCAGCCAGATACCTCGGTGGCCAGTGTTGCCTTTGCCTAAGTTTTGCTCAGGCCCACTGGGCTCGTTAAGCCCAGTTGCTCTGACAGGTTGCACTTGGCTTGCGCTACCTGCCCAGATCCCATGCCTGCTAAGGGCGAGCCAGGCGTGGAGCGACTAGGGGTGCAAGAGCAAGTGAGTGTGGGGTCTGGTCACTGCTTACAGTCAAGTACACTGGCTGTGGCAGGGTGGGCGGCTCCAGGCACCAGCATGGGTGCCACCTCCCTTTGATGCTGTGGCTGGACCAGAAATACAGCAAGCAGTTTCCATTGCAAGCACCAGGGAACGTGGTGGTGTCCAGAAACTTGGAGATGCCAGGAACTGCAGAGCCCCAAAGAGAGTGTCACAGCCCTGGCTTGGGGAGCTGCTAGGTCTGGGCTCCCCAAAGGGTCACAGCTCTTCTCTCTTTTCTTTCTCTCGTCGCCTACAATGTGGCAAGTAAGGGGCCTGTTTCAGCCCTGTTTGTGTTACAGCACTTTCAGCCCTGCAATTTGGCGAGTCTTGAGTTCTTTTCCCACATCTAGGAAGAATGAAGTAAGCAGACAAGTGAGATGATCCAGGTGAAAAGGTGCTTCATTGAACTGCAAAACAGCTCAGAGAAGACCTGCAGTGGGTCTTCTCCTCCCTGCACGCAGGTCATCCTAGTGAGTAGCTAGCTCCCAGCAGAGAGGAGACCCACAGTGGGCAGTTCCTCTGTGCAGGCAGGTTGTCCCATCATCTGCTTGAGTCTGGCTGAGTCTGGCATTTTTATGGACCTCAGAAGGGAGGAAGTGCATGCTGATTGGTCTATGGGCAGCCATGGGCACGCCCAGAAAAAGCACCGTAAGTTCTCACTCTGGCCCACAGAACTGGCAGCCTGGCCCGCAGGCCTCAGGCCCTTTCTGGCCTGAAGGTGGGGTTTCACCAGGGACCTGTCCCTTTCTGCCCAGGAGCCTGTCTCCCTCCTGCCACCATTAACCTGCCATCCAATATTCCCATGGCACCTAGGCTGTTTGTGCCAAGGGGTGCCTGCAGACCCACACCAAGCGGCTCTCAGCACCCCCTTAGCCTCCCTCTCATGCTCATCAGTACCTAACATCCAGAGGGGGCTGAAGTGGCAGAGAGCTGGCATGTCAGACCTTCTCTGAGTGTGCACACACCTGGTGGGTTGCAACAGCACCCAGGCTTGGCCTCAATTTGCTCTGAAATCGGAGCAAGCACCAAGAGCAGGAAGAGGCCAGGCAGCAGGATTAGGCACTTCTGATACTGTGGGGGAAGGGAGGCTTCCTAGGCCCCCAAGAGTGCAGAGGTGAAGGGATTCCTGAGTCTGCAGCAGCAGCTGGGCAGCTGCAGCTGTGCCCAGGAGGCAAGGGCTCCTGCCTGCTCCCAGGCCCCAATAGCATAGGGAGGCCTGGGTCCAGAGTCACGACTGGGTGGCTGCACCTGTGCCAGGGAGCCTGAAGCTTCCACCCTCCCAACTTGGTTGGGGGTGGGGCTTCCACCTGTTCCTGGCTCCTGCCAGCGCCGTGGAGCACGTAGCCCTGGCTGCACCTCCGCCACTGCAGATGGCATCATGGCAGCAGCCACTTAAGAAGGGCTGCTGCTGCCATGAATATAATTAAAATCATCTCATTTTATATAATAGTGTAAAAACTTATATGTGTGAACTAATATTGATGTGTATTTTTAAAATGTATTCACAGGGAAAGAAAAAATACTGGTCGAATGTCATGACTTACCACTTGCATTTCATTTGTTTCTGCTCAGGCAGTTTTTGGCAAATATACCAATAAACTTGTCTTCTAAACTATGTATAACTTTTAGTTCTATCGAGTTTCACAGTCACATTATGTAAAGCATTTCAAAAAATATCTGCCAGGGGCCTGCTCTGTACAAGTCACATGGTAGGGTGAAGATAAAGAAAAGATAAAAATTCTCTATCACAAAGCTCCTAACAATTCATAGAGAAAAGACATTAGCTTTTCTAAAGCAATAGAACCATCAAAAATATCTCCAAGTTTACTAATTAAATGTTATGGTACTCTTTTAGTGTTCTACTGCTGTGCAACACACTACCAAATCTTAGAGGATTATAACACTAACTTTTAACTTAGTTTTGTGAGTCAGAAGTTTGAAATGAGTTTCACTGGGCTAAAGTCAAGGTTTCGTTAGGGCAGCATTCCTTCTGGAAGCTCTAAGAAATAATCCATTTCCTTGCCCTTTCCAGCTTTCAAAGGTCACTAACATGCATGATCACTTTTTCATCTTCAAAACCAGCAACAGTGGGTCCAGTTCTCACATCACATTACTCTCACCTCCTCTTCTGTCTCCTTCTTCCACTTTACAGGTCCCTTTGTTTACACCCAGCCTACATAGATACTCTAAAATAATCTCCAAATTTTAAGGACAGCTGGGTAAGCAATTTTTTTCTTTTCTTTTTCTTTTTTTTTTTCTTTTTGAGACAGTCTCGTTCTGTCGCCAGGTTAGGGTGCAGTTGCGCGATCTTGGCTCATCATAATCTCCGCCTCCCGTGTTCAAGCGATTCTCCTGCCTCAGCCTCCTGAGTAGCTGGGATTACAGGCGTCCGCCACCACGCCCAGCTAATTTTTGTATTTTTAGTAAAGATGGGGTTTCACTGTGTTAGCCAGGATGGTCTCGCTCTCCTGACCTCGTGATCTGCCCCCCTCGGCCTCCCAAAGTACTGGGATTACAGGCGTGAGCCACTGTGCCAGGCTGGTAAGCAATTTTAATTCTATCTGCAATCCTATTTCTATTTGCCATGTAATGTAACATATTTACTGTTTCTGGGGATTAGGTTTGTACATCTTTGAGCATCAATATTCTGACTAATATAGGTACATCTGGTAAAATTTGAATACCCGAGGGGATAATGACTGAAGTTTGAAATAGTAGGGATTAACTATGTAAAAGATACGACAACTAAACTATGATCTTCTACGTGTGTAAAATTCAAAACAGCAACTATGTCAATTTTGAGGTTATCAGACAGCAAAATATCTTTAGTTCAAATTATTGATTCCTATAAAGTCAGGACTAGCAGTTGCTCCATAAATCATAAGTATAAATATTAAACATTATTACGTATACATGTTTTTTACTCAGGTCACCAAACGTAAATTAATTAAATAGTTATTGGGAATCATAATTTCTGATACAAGTTTTAAGTTCAGCACAAATTTGGCAGATATTTTGTAATTTGTTCTAACACAGGCTGTAAAATGGCACAAGATTTTATTATGATGCCACAATATAACTAAAAGCATATTCAGAAAAACACATGATTTAGTATGGTTTCAATTATTTTCAAGAAAATCCTACTGTTTTAGTTTATATCATAATATTTTAATTCCTGAGATTGACAATGTTCAATGAAACTGTAGACTTCCAATTAATCCAAGTATACAATTATTTTTCTAAAATACGTTATTTCCTGAGCCAAGGAGGAATGCTGAATTTTATAAAGTGTCTCTACCTTTAGATGCATTGGAATCAGTAGCCATTTTTTCCCTCATTTTAATCTAGATGTTTGGTGTCTCAGGGAGAAAAAATTAGCTCTTATTTCATGAACACCTCAACAGACCTCAAATCTAGATGAATGACACTATTACTTGGGTGGATAATCCATTTTTCTATAGTGACAATCTGCCCTAATGTTTTAGTAGTGCTGTTTTCAAAATGTGATGTTAGATGCCCAAATATATGCTTTAGTCCCTGAAGTGACAGTTAAAGAAAGGTATCATGAATAAGTATTTAATGTGGAACAAATATTACATAAAAATGCAGTTATTCTTTTTTTGTAAAATTAAATGGCATAAATTAATAAGGAGGTAATATTCTTAAAATAGTTATGATATATGATGATGATGTTTTTCATCTCTTTTTTCGTACCTGCATCTAGAGATCCTTTGATGGGAATGTCTTTAATATAACAGATCTTGTTAATAAAAGGAGGGGGCAGCAGCATTGAGTTTTCATGTATCTTGTCAAACAACTAATACATTTAGGGCAGTGGTCCTCAAACTTTTTGGCACCAGGGACTGGGTTTTGTGGAAGACAATTTTCCATGGACTGGGATGTGGGTGAAGGGATGGTTTCAGGATGACTCAAGTGCATTACATTTCTTGTGCACTTCATTTTTATTATTATTACATCATAATACTTAATGAAATAATTATACAACTCACCATAATGTAGAATCAGTGGGATCCCTGAGCTTGTCTTCCTGCAACTAGACAGTCCCATCTGAGGGTGGTGGGAGACAGTAACAGATCATCAGGCATTAGAGTTTCATAAGGAACGTGCAACCCAGATCCCTTGCAGCACAGTCCACTTTAGGGTTCATGCTCCTGTGAGAATCTAATGCTGCAGCTGATTTAACAGGAGGTGGAACTCCAGCATTAATGCAAGCGATGGGGAGTGGCTTAAATACAGAGGAAGCTTCCCTCGCCCATGCTCCTCTCTTCTCTTGATGAGTGGCCTGGTTCCTAGCAGGTCACAGACTGTCACTGGTCTGTGGCCCTGTGGCTTGATGACCCCTGAGTTAGGGAAACCCTGGGGCATTATATAATATTACATATTCTCAGTAAGCAGCTGATAACCTAAGAGGCTCCTTCCTATATAAATATGCTGTAAAATAGATATAATGACAGTAGTAAATACAATAGGATTTTAATTAAATTAATATAACAGATTATTGATGAATACATGAAAAAATAGTACTACATACCTCAAAGCCCTTAGAGAAAT
Organism: Homo sapiens; assembly: GCF_000001405.40. Taxonomy (NCBI): domain Eukaryota; kingdom Metazoa; phylum Chordata; class Mammalia; order Primates; family Hominidae; genus Homo; species Homo sapiens. Next base: position 67,873,964 of record NC_000013.11, on the reverse strand, counting down.
TGTCCCAGCTCTTGGGCACTGAAGGAAATTTCTGAAAGGTCAAAAACAGATGCTTTGTGAACAAGTTTCTTCAAAAGCCTATACAATATGTAGGTTCTTTGGTATTGCTAATATTTACCACAATTATTTATTATTTTACTCAATTTTATAGAAAAGGGGCTGCAAAATACAAAATTTTATTATTTATTATTTTATTTTTCTCAAATTCAGTCTTCTATCTTCTTTTATTTTCTTTTAGCTTCAAACATTTCTTATAACATTTCTTTCAGCTTAGTTTGTCTGACAACTAGTTATTTCAGCTTCTGGCCAGCTAAATCTATTTGTTTTTACTTTTGAGTGTAATTTCTCCAACATACAGATTCTAGGCTTCATGTTTTTTTAGCAATTAAAAAATATTATTCCATTGTCTTCTGGTCTCCATTGTTTCTGTTAAGAAGCCAACTATCTTCCATGGTTTTCAACCATTTGACTCTGATTTGCATGGCTTTATTTGTATTATCTAGCTTGAGGTTTGCTGAGCTTCTTGGATCTGTGAATTGATCACAGATCCTTTGTGAGTTGTTACCTTTAAGCCTTTTGCATTCTCTCTCCAGATATTTCTTTTGTCCTATTATCTCTCTTTCATTTTTCTCTGTTTCCATTTTGGATAATTTCCAGTGAACTCTTTTCATAGTCATTGACACTTTATTTAGTTGTGTCCAGGGTGCAAGAAAACCCTTCAAATGAGTTCAGCATTTTGATTTAATTATTTTAGCAAATAAGTTCAATTTATTTTAGCTCTCCAGCCCTTCTCCTTGAATTCTGTGAACCACAGCTTTGCCCATAGGAAAAACACTGTAAGAATCACAGTATAACTGCCCACCTTCATCTTCAGCAGCCAATGTCCTGCAATCTGTGAAGTCCTGGGATAATTTAAAGGGATATGAATATAAACGAGCTCTTTGGCTGTTTGATGTACTAACTCTGAGATCTTATAAGGGATTGTGCGATAGAGTTGTTGGGTTGCAGTTAGGACCCCACAAAATTCTAATCCCTGACACTAGCTGATATGCAACCATTAAAGTTATTTAAAACGTAATCAGTTCCTCCTTACTCTCATCCATATTTGATCTTCCAAGACCTGCATGTCATCCAGGGAGGAAAGAAGCTATAAAATATGCCACTGGAGGGAAGGCTCATCATTTTCTGAATTTTAGTTCGTTTAGGCTTGTTTAGACTTCTCAACTGCCCAATATGTTTTTTTTTTTATGATTTTGCAATTTATCTAGTAGATCTCATCATTAGGATGGGAGTGACAATCTCTTCTGACTTGCTACAATTCTAACTTGAAGATGCCTTGAATTAATTTAGTCCAATAGTTAATTTTAGTAACCTAAAATGTGTGTTAAGTGTAAGAGTTTTCCTCTAATTCATTAAATTTCTTTTTTTTTTTTTTTTCCAGATGGAGATGGAGTCCCTCTCTGTCACCCAGGCAGAAGTGCAGTGGCGCAGTCTTGGCTCAGTGCAACCTCTGCCTCCTGGGTTCAACGGATTCTCCTGCCTCACCCTCCTTAGTAGCTGGGATTACAGCCCGTCTAATTTTTGTATTTTTTAGTAGAGAGGGGGGTTTCACCATGTTGACCAGGCTGGTCTTGAACCCCTGACCTCAAGTGATCCACCTGCCTTGGCCTTCCAAAGTGCTGGGATTACAGGCTAGAGCCACTGTGCCTGGCCTAAATTTCATACTATACGCATTTACCCTCTATTTAATATAATACACCAAATAAAGGTATAGAATATCAAGAAACAATATGGAATAATTTCTTATATACAAAAACTTTAAAATTAGTTAAGAAAACAAGTGAAATAAACATAAGAAAAAAGTTAATAACTTTGGACAGTGATAAATTGTGTGGCACAGATAAATTTTAATAAGAATTAAGCTTATTTAGACATCTAGTTACATTTAAGACATCATGGGTGAAAGAAGATTACAGTTAAAACTTGACTCTCTCTTAAGTAAAACAAAGAAAGATGTAATAGCATAAGAAAAACTAAATGTCCTTCTGGTGTCAAGTCCCTCATTTTTTTTGTATGTGTTTAGAGTGTATTGGGGACAATAATTTCAATAGCGTAAATTATATGTAGGCCATAAACAGCATTGTAAGTAATCAGTATAAAACAAAAGTTCTGGGAGAACCAGGTACTAAAGATAAGACAAACCAAAGATTATTAGAATAAAATAATAGATCAAAAGAACAAAAGAGGATATATTTCCCTAGGAAAGAAAAACAACAAAATTTCAATTAAATTGTTGGATTTTAAAAGCATACAATTTAAAAAAAGAGTCTGACATTATCAAAGGCCAGAGTAAAACAGTGAGTTAAAATTCTTGATTAAAATATTAAACTTCTAAAATATGAAATATGTAATCTTGATGTGAAGGCCAGCATTGAGTGTAGGCATTCCATCCATGTTTGCTACTTCGATATGTGTTGCAGAATTCAAATGTGAAAACAGCTATCATACATAGCGGAACAGAAAAAGAAAAAGTAGAACTGACCATTAAAACTGATCATGTTATAGAGAAGGTTGGAATATCTTTATTAAGGAGATAAAATGCATATACATAAATTTTCTATGTTGAAAGATTATAAACTTAACTGAGAATAAATATAAATCAAACACTTGGAAATATGCTGAAATAATTACTAAATTAACAGAGTTTATGTCAATGTTATACAGACTCAAGCAGTCTAAAGGTCACAGATTGCTTACAAAATATTTTTTAAAAAGGTAATTCATGAGACAATTATAAAATAAATGGGAATTTTGTAAAAAGTCTGCAAAGAACTTTTCAAATTTTACATTAATAGAAGATTGAAACAGATTGAAATGTAGTGAGTGAAAATAGATTCATTCAAGATGAACATCATTTCCATTATTTCTAGTACCCATATCAAATTAGAGATTTAAGATGATTACACAAACTCAGTAATTACCTTTAATTATGTGGGCACTAGATGCTTTGATTTTTATTTTCTTAACATCACAGGTTATTTCTAGGTATTTTGTTAATATAACAAATTGCAAATAAATTTTTAGTCGAATAGAAAAATAGCTTCTGAAATAAAGGGTTTATGTTACAAAAGTAACCAACTTTACCCATTATAGTTTAAGAAAAACAGAACACTGTGTATTTTAATTTTGCAAATAGTTACATACTTTGAAATGCAACTTTAATTGCAGAAACTTGGATGTGGAGAGTATAGTAAAACCATTAATAACTTATCTTTATAACCATTTACTTAAAAATACATTTATAACAATAAAAATACGTTATTATTGTAAATTCCAGTGGCTATATCTGTACTTATAAAATATATACAGGAAGCTATTTCAAATATGTAAATAATGACACTTCTGAAATTGCATTTAAAATAACTTCAACAATACAATAAACCACAGAGTTAAACCACGGAAAAAACAATATACACTTTCACTATGTTAAAAATATATATTACAAAATGTGATATGGGCAATGGATTAGAATTAAAAGTTAATTAAAATCAAGTAATTTTAAAATATTATAAAATTAAATGTTAGTCTCATAGTATGTTTTTGGTTAAAATACAGTTTAAAAATACTCTCATGTTTTTCTAATTTATTCACAGGCAAACAAGAAATTTACTTTAAAACAATATCCACAATTTAAGATTAATATAGATCTCATATGTATGTATTTTGTTGTTAAATAATTTTGGACTTAACTTTCCAAAATTTAGTTTTATCTTATATGAATCTATTTTATATTTTCTGTTTGCCATTTTTGACTGAAAATTTTGCCAGAGATGCTAAACTACTATCATTGACCGTTTTTTTAATGGTGTCCTGTGATTTTAAAATGCATACTTTAACAAATTAAGCATGAATATACATGCAAAATAAGAATAAATTTGCATATTTGTATTATATTTTCTTATTGATTCTCATGACTAATTATCTTATATATTTATACTACAAATATGGAGAAGAAAAGTAAATTTTTATGAGTTTTACTCTCAGCAAAGCAGGAAATCTGGCATTTTATGATTTTAGATCATCATATTAACTAGAATCCAGAGTATCAAACTGAGGGCATAAAAATCTTTTTTGGCTGCAAATTTTTCTAGACTCAGTGGTAAAGCTAGATTGATGACTGTTTATAATAGCAATAATCCCTGCAAAATCAGTCATTAACACAGTTAACAACTAATTTGTTGGAGTGTTAACTGCCCTTGGCTTTGCCTCAAGCTGTTAGCAAGCTGGTCATTAACTGCTGGTTACAACCGATTTCTTGGGGCCCTATTTAACAGAAATTTGATTTCAATTCCACACCCACAGAGACTAATTTTGATTCGGTAAACGAGTCTCTTTTCTTAACGTTAGCCTTGATACAATTTTGTTCTTGTATGATGTATCAAAAGGCATTTCCCAAAAGCCAATGTGCATTTAAAAAATATATGATTACTCCAGAGATAACTAGATCAATGCCTATGTTTCTCAGCCTATGTGGCAGGACTGTCAGAAAATATAGGACAAGAAAAACATTGAAGAATATAAAATCTTCAGTTAAACTTGTTCATATATTGCATATTTACAAGGGCATTCTATTGAATGAAACCAGTATATATTCCTCAAATGGTATTATATTATTTAGTCATAGTCATTTATGGTAACAAAAGGAAAGACTAACAAGTATGAAATAAGTTAAAGACTAACAAGCATAAATAAGTGTGAAAACTGCCTTCTTTCACTAAGCCTAATCACAAAAATCCCCAACATATTGCCATGTGCGATTTTCAAATAAAATCCAGCATTCTTCCACTGAAAAGTGCTGTTTAGTATAGGATTTTAATCATTTACTCATTCATTCAACAAATATTGATAGAGCATGAGCTGTGTGCTGGGCATAGCTGTTTGTATTTGAGTAAAACAGAGATTACAAATTTGGGGAAACTTAGCTTATACCTCGTTAAAAAACAAACAATACACATAAAAGAGATAAATAATGTATTAAAAAATGATAAGTTATTTTAAAAAGAATAAAGAGAAAGGGGAGTCAGGAAGTAAAAGTAGGTGTTATGGTCAGGTTGAAGTTTGAAATTATACATAGGAAGGTCAGGATAGGCTTCAGTAAGAAATAGAGTTTCAAGAAAGACTTGAAAGAAGTAAGAGAGTTAGTCAAATAGACACATTTGAAACAGAAGGAACAGCTAGAGGAAAGTTCTTTTTTTTTTTCCATTAGGTAAAATATACAAAAAAAGAGGCTTACCATTTGCACCATTTTAAAATGTACAATTCAGTGACTTATAGTACATTTGCAATCTTGTATAGCCACCATCACGCTCTATTTCCAAGTTTTTAATCAATCAAAACAGAATCTCTGTAACTACTACAAAATAATTCCCAATTACCCCTTCCGCAAGCCTTTGATAACCTCAATTCTACTTTCTGTCTTCATGAATTTGCCCAGACGAGATACTTCATAGAAGTAAAATTATACCTTTGTCATTTTATGACTGACTCATTTCACTTAGAATATTTTCAAAGTTCATCTATGTTGAGGCACATATCAGAACTTCATTTTTTTAAGGCTGAATATTATTCCATCGTTTATTTACTCATCTGTTGATCGACAGTTGGTTTCTTTCCACCTTTTGGTTACTATGAATGATGTTATTGTGAACATGGGTGTATAAATATCTTTTATGTCCTTGATTCAATCCTTTTGGGTATACACCTAGAAGTGGAATTGCTGGTAATGCGGTATTCCTGAACTGTTGGAAGAACCACAAACTGTTTTCCACAGTGCCTCTCCAACAGACAGAATATTCAGGGTTTTGTTTGGTTTGGTTGGTTTTGTTTTATAACAGCCAACTGAATGGAAGTGAAGTGCTATCTCATTGTGGTTTTAATTTGCATTTCTCTAATGACCAATGATGTTTAACATCTTTTCATGTGCTTATTGGCCATTTATATATCTTATTTGGAGAAATATCTATATAAGCGCTTAGTGCATTTTGTTGTTGCTGATGGTATTGTGCTGAAAGAGGTTTATATATTCTGCATATTAATTCCATATCAGATATATTATTTGCAAATATTTTCTTTCCTTCTATAGATTTTATTTTCACCTTCTTCATAGTGTGTTTTGATGCACTAACATTTTTAATTTTAAAAAAGTTTGACCTATTTTTTTCTTTTGTTGCCCGTTCTTTGGGTGTCATATTCCAAAAAAGCATTGTCAAATCTAACATCATGAGTATTTTTCCCTACGTTTTCATTTGATTTTTATAGCTTCAGCTCTTATTTTTAGTTTTTCATCTATTTTGAATTAATTTGTGTACAAGGTGTAAGGTAAGAGATCAACTTCATTATTTTGCCTGTGGATATCCAGTTTCCCCAACACTCATTAGTTGAAAAGACCATCCATTCACCAGTGAATGACCCTGGCACTCTTGTCAAATATCAAGTGACTACCGATGTCAGTGTTTCCAGCCTTTCTATTCTACACCATTGGTCTATATGCCAGTACCAGACAGTTTTGATTACTATAGGTTTGCATTAAGTTTTGAAATAAGGAAGTATGAGTCCTCTAACTTTTCTCTTTTTCAAGATTGTTTCTGCTATTTGGGATCTTTTGGAGTTCCATAGGAATTTGGGGTTGAATTTTTCTATGTCAGAAAAGAATTATTCACCGAGATTTCATAGGCATTGAATTGCATTTATAGATCACTTTGGGTAGTATTGACATTTTAATAATTTTAATCCTTTTAACCGAGAACATGTGTTTTTCTTTTCCATTTATTTGTGTCTTCTTTAATGTTTGTCAGCAATATTTATAAGTCTTACCTCCTTGGGTAAATTTATTTCTAAGCATTTTATTATTTTCAAAGCTATTGCAAATGCGTGTTTTAAACATTTTTCTTTTTTACTATCAACTGCAAGACTATGCAAATGCAACTGGTTTGTATGTTCCATAACTTTGCTAAATTTAAGTTTTTTAGCTCTAGTAATTTTTTGTTTTCTTTTCTTTTCATGTGTATGTGTGTTCTTTAAGAGTATCTAAAGCTAAGATCATGTTATTTGCATAGAGAGAACATTTTATTTTTATTTTTCTAAAATGAATGCTTTATGTATTTTTCTAATCTAACTGCATAGACTAAAATTTGCAGCACTGTGTTAAATATAAGTGATAATAGTGGGTATTTTTTTTGTTCCTGATCTTAGATTAAACACTATTAGTCCTTCACCATTTATATGATGTTAATAGTGAATTTTTAATATAAGCCATTAATCATAGTGCAAAAATTCCTTTCTAATCATAATTGAGTTTTTTAAAAAGTAATGAAAAAGTTTTAGATATTTTTGAAAGTTTTTTTCTGCCTCAGTTGAGATAATCATGTGCTCCTTTCCCCCTTCATTCAATTAATGTGTTGTATTACATTGATTGGTTCTTGTATGTTAAACTGCTGTATTAGTTTAGTCTCTCATTGCTATAAATAGATACCTGAGACTGGGTAATGTATGAAGAAAAGAGGCTTAATTGGCTCATAATTCCATAGGCTGTACAGGAAGCATGATGCTGGCATCTGCTAGGCTTCTGGGAAGGCTTTAGGAAAGTTACAGACATGGCAGAAGATGAAGCAGTGAGTGCTTCATGTGACCAGAATGGGAGGAAGACCGAGTCGAGAGGGAGGAGATGCCACACACTTGAAACAACCAGGTCTCATAAGAACGCCATCAAAGGAAAAGCACTAAAGTGGGAAATTTGCCCCCATGATCCAGTCACTTCTCACCATGCCCTACTTCCAACACTGAGGATTAAAATTTGATATGAGATTCAGGTGGGGACACAAATCCAAACCGTATTAACTACCCTTATATTCCTAGGGTAAAACTATTTCGTGGTGTATAATGATACTAATATGGTGCTAGATTTGATTTGCTATTATTTTCCTGAGTTTATTTTACATCTATAGTCACAAATGACCATTTCCTATAGTTTTCTTTTCTTGTAGTACCTTTGTCTGGTTTTTATATCAAGGTAATGCTGGCTTCATTACATGAGTTAGTCAGTGTTCCCTTCTTTTCAATTATTTGGAAGAGTTTGACAGGAGTTCACTTCAATTCTTCATCAAATATTTGAAAAAATTTACCAGTGAAGTCATGTGGTCCTGGGCTTGTCTTTACTGGGAAGAATTCAGTTACTGATTGAATCTCTTTATTTGCTATAAGTATGTACAGATTTTCTGTTTCTTCCGGAGTCAGTTCTGATTACAGAAATTTGTTCATTTCATCTAGGTTTTCCAATTTTGACATATAATTGTTAGTAGTATTCTGTTATATTTCTTTTTATTTCTTTAAAATTATTAGTATTATCCCATTTTCTATTCTAAGTTGGTAATATGTATCTTTTTTTATCTTAATGTAGATAAAGTTTGATAACATAATTGATTTTTCCAAATAACCAAATTTTGTTTTGTTAATTCTATTGTTTTTCTATTCTGTATTGTATTTTTCTGTGCTCTAAACTTTATTTCTTTTCTTTTGCTAGATTTGGACTTAGTTTTCTCTTTTCCTAATTTGTTAAGGTGTATTATAAAGTTGTTCATTTTAGATCTTTCTGATTTTAGTAGGTGTTTAAAGCTACATTTTTTCCTCTTGGCCCCGATTTATCTGAATCTCATAACTTTTTGTAAAGTGTGCTTTTATTTGTATTTTTTCAAGGTATTTCTAATATTTCTTTTTAAAAAAAGTTGAAACTTATTCATTGTTCCATTTTATTCCATTTTATTCCATTATAGTCAAAATAGATATTTTATATGTGTATTATCTTTTAAAATATCAGACTTTTTGTGGACTAATATATGATCTATCTTACATTCCAGGTGCACTTGAGGAAAATATGTATTCTGCTGTTGAGTAGTTTTCCAACAAATAATTAGTCGGTCTAATATTTTAACACTATTCTTCAAGTTCTCTATTATTGACTTTTTGTATGCTTGTTCTATTCATTATTAAAAATTTGGTTTAGAATTCTCCAATTATTATTGTTTAACTCTTTTTAACTTGGTTAATTTTTGTCTTTTACATTTGGGGGTCTGTTGTTAATATGTTTCTAATTGTTATATGTTCTTGGTGAATGAAATTTTATTATCAATATGTAAGGTTCTTATTTGCTCATTGTTACCTTATTTGGACTTGAAGTGTATTTTGGTGGCTATGTTATATAAAATACATTTTTTTTCTTTTTTACTTTCAAACTCTTTGTGTCTTAGTATCTAAAGTGAGTCTCTTGTATTATAGATAGATCTTTTTTTAAGTCTTATCTACTAGTATCTTCCTTTTAAAGGAGAGTTTAATCCATTTACATTTAAAGTAATTAATGAGAAGGAAAAATTTACTTCTGTCATTTAACTATTTGCTTCTCTGTCTGACATTTTTGTACTTTTCATTTCCTCCATTACTGATTATTTTTGTATTTCATTAATTTTGTCTAGTTATTATTTTAACTTCTTTCCTTTTCTGTATTGCTTTAGTTATTTTCTTAGTAATTAACTTGTGCATTACCATTGATAACTTGACCTTATGGCAACATAGTTTGAATAATACTATCATAGTTTTATTAATATACAAGCACTGTGCTCCTATACATCTCTGTCACTTTGCCTTCATATTTTTATTGTCACGGATTACATCTTTATACATTGTCTGTCTTTTAAGATAAATATATAATTATTGTTTTATGCATTTGCCTTTTAAATAATATAAGAAAAAAGGAGCTACATATCAAAAATACAATAATACTGGTAATTATATTTAATCTATGCAGTTATCTCTACCAGTGTTCTTTGTTTTTTCTCATGGCTTCAAGTTACTGTCTAGTGTCCTGTTACCTCAAGCTGAAAGACACCCATTTGGCATTCCTTGTAATACACATTGACTAGTAATAATTTCCCTCTGTTTGTGTTTGTCCAGAAATATCATAATTTCATCTTCATATTTGAAGAATAGTTTTTTCAGATACTAAAAACTTGGTTGAGATGTTTTGTTTCTGTTTTGATTTTCTTCCAAGAATTTAAATATGCCATCCCACTGCCTTCTGGTTAAATATATTATCTCAATCCATAGTCTGATGAGAAATCAGTTATTAACCTTATTGAGTATTCCTTGTACATGATGAATTACTTCTCTCTTGCTGCTTTCAAAATTCTCTGTCTTTGGGTTTTGACAGTCAGACTATATTTTTTGGTCTGCATTTTTGGGTTTATCCTGCTTGGAGGGCTTTGAGATTATTGGGCATGTGTATTCATGTTTTTCATCAGATTTGAGTAGTTTTGGGCTATTATTCTTCAGCTATTTTATGCCTCTTTTAATTCATTTTCTTCTTCTATGGAGTCTCCCTCTCTCGCCCAGGCTGGAGTGCAGTGGCACGATCTTGGATCACTGCAACCTCTGCCTCCCAGGTTCAAGCAATTCTCCTGCCTCAGCTTTACAAGTAACTGGGATTACAGGCATGTGCTACCACTCCTGGCTAATTTTTTTGTGTATTTTTAGTAGAGATGTTGCTTCCATGTTGGCCAGGCTTATCTTGAACTCCTGACCTCAAGTGAACTACATGCCTCGGCCTCCCAAAGTGCTGGGATTACAGGCTTGAGCCACGATGCCTGGCCCTTATTTACTTTAGCTCTTTACTATGGTTTCTTTCATCCCATTGAGTGTATTTGAGACAGTTGATATTTTAATTTTCATTTTATCTTAAATTCAGAGGGTACATGTGTAGGCTTGTTACATGGGTATGTTTAGTGATGCTGGCATTTGGGCTTCTAGTAAACCCATCACCAAAGACTGAACATACTACACAACAGGTGGGTTCTCAGGCCTTGTCACCCACTCTCCTTACCCTTTCAGAGTCCTCAGAGGCTATTGTTTCCATTTTTATGTCCCTGTGTACTCATTGTTTAGCTCCCACTTATAAGTGAGAACAGAGTATTTGCTTTTCTAAGTAAATTCACTTAGGATAATGACTGTATCCATGTTTCTGCAAAGGAAATGATTTCATTCTTTTTTTATGGCTGTGTAGTATTCCATGGCATATATGTACCACATTTTTTAAATTCAATCCACCATTGATGGACATTTATGTTGATTCCATGACTTTCCTATTGTGAATAGTGCTGTGATATACAAGTGCAGGTGTCTTCTTTTTGTATTGTTTTTTTAAATAAAATACTTTCTTTTCCTTTGGGTATATACCCAGTAGTGAGATTGCTGAGTGAGATGTTTAGTTCTTTGAGAAATCTCCATACTGTTTTTAATAGGGGTTTAACTAATTTACATTCCCATCAGCAGTGCACAAGCATTTTCCTTTCTTCTCATCTTTGCCAACATCTATTTTTTTATTATTTTTTAATAATACTCACTCTGGCTGACATGATATCTCATTGTGGTTTTGATTTGCATTTCTCTGATGATTAGTGATGTTGAGCATTTTTTTCATGTTTTCTGGCCACATATGTGTTTTCTTCTAAGTGTCTGTTCATGTCCTTTGCCCACTTTTAATGGTTTTATTCTTATTTATTTAAGCTCCATATGGATTTCTTATATTATTCCTTTGTTGGATACATCATTTGCAAATATTTTCTCCCATTATGTAGATTGTCTGTCTTCTCTGTTGATAGTTTCTTATCCTGTACAGAAGTTCTTTGGTTTAATTAGGTCCCATTTGTCAATTTTCAGTTTTGTTCCCATTGCTTTTGAAGACTTAGTCATAAATTCTTTGCCTCGGCCAAGGTCCAGAAAAGTTTGTCTTAGATTTTCTTCGAGGGTTTTTACAGTTTGAGGTCTTACGTTTAAGTCTTTAATCCATCTTGAGTTAATTTTTATATATTGTGAGAGGTAGGAGTCCAGTTTCATCCTTTTATAAATGGCTAACCAGTTTTCTCAGCATCTTTTGCTGAATAGGGTATTCTTTCCTCATGTTCTTGTTTGTTGAAAGCATTCTCCCTAACATGTGGAACAAGACAAAAGTGTCCTTTCTCACCACTCCTATTCAACATAGTTCTGGAAGTCCTAGCCAGAGCCATCACACAAGAGAAAGAAATAAGACATCCAAATATGAAAAAAATAAGTCAAAATATCTCCTGGTGGATTACATTATTCATTACTTAGAAAACACTGAAGATTTCTCCCCAAAGACTCTAGACCTGATTAAAAACTTCAGTAAAGTTTCAAGATGCAAAATCAAGGTAAAAAAATCAGTAGTATTTGCACACACCAGTAATGTTCAGGTGATAATCAAATCAAGAACTCAATCCCACTTATGATAGTCATCAAAAAAATAAAAAAAAAATACCTAAGAATATATTTTACCAAGGATGTGAAAAAATCTCTGCAAAGAGAACTACAAGTCATTGATGAAAGAAATCATAGATGACAAAAACAAATAGAAAAACATTCCATCCTCATGGATTAGAAAGATTAATATCACAAAAATGACCATTCTACCCAGAGCAATCTACAGATTCAATGCAGTTCCTATCAAATTACCAACATCGTTTTTCATAGAATTAGAAAAAAAATTCTAAAATTCATGTGGAACCAAAAAAGAGCCAGAGACATTCTCAGTATTATTATGCAGTAACTCTAGAAATTTGATTCTCTAACTCCTCTGGGATTTCTGATTTTTTGTTTGGTGACATGTGAAGCAGTTTTTTACTTTTCCAAATTATTTTTATTTTTGTAAGATGTGTATTCCTTGCTGTGTGCAGTCACTGAAGTTTCTGTTCTGTTGTCTCTGCAGTCTAATGGTGACTATGTTTTTTTTCTTTCTTTTTTTTTTTTTTTTTTTTTTTTTTTTGAGACAGAGTCTCACTCTGTTGCCCAGGCTGGAGTGCAGTGACGTGATCTTGGCTCACCACAACCTCCACCTCTCGAGTTCAAGTGATTCTCCTGCCTCAGCCTCCTGAGTAGCTGGGACTACAGGTGTGTGCCACCATGCCCAGCTAATTTTTGTATTTTTAGTAGAGATGGGGTTTCACTATGTTGGCCAGGCTGGTCTCGAACTCCTGACCTCAAGATCCACCTTCCTTGGCCTCCCAAAGCACTGGGATTACAGCTGTGAGCCACCGTGCCCGGCCGGTGACTAAGATTTTTTAAAATGTGTTTCCAAGAAACAAAAAAAAAAAACAAAACTACAAAACAACAAAGGTACACTGGTCCTTTAAATCTTCTTGATCAATGTATCTGGGAAAGCTATGGTGTCCTAGAGGACTAAAACCAAGGCAAAAATCTATGCCAGTTCCTCAGGGCACTGCCATATCCACTAAAGTGCACAATCCCAAAGTTTCGGAGAACATGAATCCAGTTGCCTGCTCTGGCACAGGCCAGCTGCTCCTGAAGTGCAGGCCACTCCTTCTTCCTGAGCTTTTGTTATATACTGAGGAATGGGAAATGGTAGCTTGGTTATGCATGCCACGTTTTTGCCTACGTGTAGGAACCTCTCCCTTCATCCAATACTCTGTTTGTTGTTGTAAGTGTTTAAGCAGGTATCACTGTTCTGAATTACTTAATTGTAAATCTCTCTTTCCAGCTCAATTGTTGCTTTGGTAGAGGGGTATTAGACAATAATGTCAAAGAGGAAGGAAATGGAAAGAAGGAAGACAAATCATGCAGCATTTTATAGTCCATTGGAAAGAAAAATATATCTCTAATGATTGAAATGGGAAGTCATTGAAGGTTTTTAGGAAAAGAGTAACATGATCTGAATGAGGTTGCGAAAGGATAATTCTTGCTGCTATGGCTTAGCAGTTTATTGGATATGTTTGGTAAAAAAAATAAAGTGACGGATAGTGATTGCCTAGTGAATATAGGAAAGAGTGTTGTCAGGCACACGCAACTGCTATCATCTGTGAAGGCTGTAGGTGGAGCAGATTTTGGCAATAAGATCAAGAGTTCATTTTTAATAGAAGATACTGTAGGGGGTTGAAATATTTATGAAACATTCAAATAGAGATGTGAAAGTGTTGAATAGAGCATGGAGTTTGAGATAGGTATTTGGTAATCAACATATAAATAGTATTTAAACTATTGGGCTATGCCAACCAATGGGTTCTGTGTCTGCAAATGTCTTCATTTCAGCTTAATTTTTGAAGGACATAGAATTCTAGGCTAGCAATATTGTAGTCTGGCTTCTATTTGTGTGTGTGTGTGTGTGTGTGTGTACATGTGTGTGTTGAGTAATCAATTTTCATCCTGCATTTTGCACTTTGAAAGGTAACCTTGAATTTTTTCTGCAGTTGCTTTTAAGATTTGCTTTTTGTCTTGATTTATCAGAAGGTATACTGTGATGTTTCTACACGTGGATTACTTTCTTATTTTTTCTGCTTGAGGTATGCTAATCTAGCATCTGTGTGTTGTCTTGAATCAGTGTTATGTATTCTCAACCACAATCTCTTCAAATTCAGTTTCTGGTCCATTCTCTCTCTTTTATAGATCTTTACTTACATATATGTTAAACCATATCACTGTATTCTATATATCATACCATGTCATTTATTTATTTATTTATTTATTTATTTATTTATTTATTTATTTAGAGATGGAGCTGCACTCTTGTTGCACAGGCTGGAGGGCAATGGTGTGATCTTGGCTCACTGCAACCTCCACCTCTCAGGTTCAAGCGCTCAGCCTCCTGAGTAGCTGGGATTACAAGTGCCCCCCACCAGGCCCGGCTAATTTTTGTATTTTAGTAGAGATGGAGAGACGGAGTTTTACCATGTTGGCCAGTCTGGTCTCCAACACGTGACCTCAGGTGATCCACCCACCTCAGCCTCCCAAAGTGCTGGGATTGCAGGCTTGAGCCATTGCGCCCGGCCCTTTTTTGATTTTTAAACTTTTTGTCCTTTTGTAATTTAGTCTAAATATTTACTTATGGGTAGTATTCTATTTAACGAAAAATCCCTTCACCTTTTCTAATGTTATATTAAATCCATCCTTTCTGTTCTTCATTTTAGTCAGTATATTATTAAGTTTTGCTTAAGAGTTTCTAGATTTCTAACAAAATTATCTATTATTTTATTGTCTAGCATACAGAAATTATATTTATTTCTACACATAATTTCTGTAGGTTCTTTTTGTTACACTGATTTTTCTACATGTTGTCTACCTGCATTTATTTGTACCTAGCTATGTTTGTTCGTGTGTGGAAGTTATATTTAGAAAATTGTTTTAGAAATATTTTGAAAATTATAATAATATCACCCTCTGGGGATTTTTTTTTTCTTTCTTCCAAGGAGATAGAGGGCACAATCACTCCAGCATCATCCTAACGCAATGTCTAAGATTAGAATGATTTGAAGGTGCACTGCAGTCTCTGATTATTCTGAATTAACCTTTCTCATAGAATTCAGAGCTTCAGTATCTCCAGCCACTGTGATAGGGTTCATCAGGCTATCCTTCCTTGGCAAGACATGGAATCAAATCCTTCTCCCCACCTTCCTAGAAGGCTATCAATGCTCCACTCTACCTCCTAACTTTCAGCTGCCACCTCCATAATTAAATAGCTTCAGGAGTCTCTATTGCCAGGCTCACTCCCTGGTTTTGAGCCTTTCCTGGCTCCTTGTCTGGTAATTATTTGTTATCTTCTTAACTTGCCTGTGCCTTCACTTATTCAGGGAGATTACTATTGCTGTTGCTGTTCAGCAGCAATCCTGAGTGAGGTTTGTTCCACGTTACTCACTCACCATTATTTTTCTCCTTCCTTGGAGCAGGGTTATTCTGTTACGAGATGCTGTAACGTCCTGAGTTCGTTGGCTTCCAGCCAGGAGGTGACGTTTTTAAGAGAGCACCAGCTGCGTTAGTGGAAGGGGGATATAAGCTTGCCCCAAGATGGCCAGGATAAGCATTCGGGTTTCTCAGACGATGGGCGAGGTCAGAAAATTCCCAAGAGTTTATGTCTTCTGTGTTCAGGTACTGGGCAGTAGAGAAATAGTATCAGGTGGGGGCGGGGTTAGGGGGATCTGAGCTCAGACTATCCTTGGGTGGGGCTTGCCACGGTCACTGTGCGGGATGGAGGGGTGGTTCTTGAGCCAATGGGGTTCAGAGGGAAATGTGGCTGCCTCTGTCGCCAGGGAAGTGGGGGAAAGCCGGTAGCAGTAGGCCTCACCCAGCTCCCTCACAGTTGGTGTGGCCGGTCTGGCTCCTGCCATGCCCTGCCAACAGCACGAGTTTATCTCCAGGCAGACCATGACCCAAATTACTCACTCACTATTATTAAAGAGAGACCTGGCTTTATGAATCTTCAATCAAATCTCTGGTTCAATAATTATTTAATCAAAAAAATCTAAGTTTTTGAAATAGTGACACATATCAATATATTGACTTAAACATCCAGGTCTGTGTTTAGTAATAATGCTCTAATTCTCTGGGTGGAAAGCTCTACATACATTCATGTACCACATAATGACATTGCAGTCAGCCAAGAACAGTGGTTGCATGTTTATGATGCCATTTTTGACTGTACTTTTTCTATGTTTAGATATATTTAGATACACAAATACATACATTGACTTACACTCGCCTTGGTATTCATAACAGTAACATACTGTACAGGTTTGTAGCCTAGAAGCAGTAAGCTATACCATATTACCTAGGTGTATAGTAGGCTATTTCCTCTAGGTTTGTGAAAGTACATTCCATGATGTTTGCACAGTGATGAAATTGTCTAATGACACATTTCTCAAAATGTGTTCCCATTGTTAAGTGATGCATGGGTGTGTGTATATATGTATATATAAAACATGTGTGTGTATATATAACTACATATGTATATATAAAACATATGCATGTGTATGTATATACCTGCATATGTATATATGTATATCTCCTATTATTGGTACTTCTTGGTAGTTTGATGTGGAGTTTAATTTCTATTCACTGACTTCTTTTCTCAGTTTTTCAGAACTATCATTTTACTTTATGTTCCCTGATACTGCAGAGTACATGAAAACTATGAAAATTATCACAACTTCATGTAGTGGCTCAAAGGGATATCATTAGTTAACAAGATAATGAAATGAAAATTTTGGAAAGAGGTATTAAAAATTACAGCTGGTAAAATTGAAGCAAATGTTGGAGAGATTAGATTTTTAACTAGAACAAGGAAGAAAGCAATGTACTGCTTATTCTTCAAGTCATGATCATCATTATTATTTTGCTAGCAACATCAGCATAGAATGTTATGCTTTGCCTTTTATGTATGTCAAATATATTAAGAACATCCTATAGATTTAATACTAATGTTTGTGTCTATATTTGAGTAATTTTCTAGTTACTATTTTTGGTTTGCACATATACCCTACTCTTCAGATTAACTCAACACCTCAATTGCAGAAGTCACACAGTTTAAACTGTGACATTTGTGATCAGAGAAATCTGCATTCCCTAATTATTGAAACATTCTTCCAGCATGTAAAATATGAAAGGGTCATAATATCCTCTCTGTCCTTCTAGTTAAAGATACATTCTGTGATCATAATTTAAAGGTAGCATACAAATGCATCAGGCTTATTTCAACATTTGTCTCTATACTTTTTCAAATGTTTATATAATAAAATTACTAATTTTTTGATAGCAGAGTTGTATAACTTCTTATCCTTTTGCCTGAGGCAAAGTGCTAGTATTTGATTTATCTTCTGTACTTGTTTTTCTTTTAACAATATGAACTTTTTCCCAGACAAGTGCAATGCTGTGTGTGACCCCACAGGGAAATATTTTTCTTTTTAAGGAATGTGTACAAAGTACTTAATAAGTCATGTCATCCCATGATTTACTGTATATTATATTTTTGGTGACTACAGTTAACTTTCTCGGTCTCTAGATGCCAACATTTTAATAAAAACAAGACATTTTCAACGAAATGTCAGAAACAAAGTGATCAAAGTGCTGTGGGAGCAGTTTGGCAACAGTTTGAGCTTTGAATTTCCTATTCACTTTCCAAAACATTCACTTAAAAAGCATTTATTGAAGCTGAACTGCCTTTATCAGCCTGATCAGAGCACCATAAAGAGCATGCATGATTCAACTGCCTTCCCAAGCTTTAAAAAATATAACTTTGATATATGTCTCACGAGTGCAGCACAATAGTTTTCATGCTCACGTTTGTTAAGATTTAGTGCAGCCATTAAAGAACAGAAGGGCTCTTTGGTGGCAATCCTCAGACATACCAAATATCCCAAAGCAAAACCTTCTACAAATCAGAGATTAAGGTACTGACAAAAATTTCCACTTGATTGCAGTTTTCCCCTTTAAACCTTATATCAGGAGTGACTATCTTTTCGATCAAATCTCTTAGGGAGGTGAATAGATAAGTTTTTTCCCTCTTGGAGGAAAATATCAACTGAGAGATAAAAAGTGACATTTTATGTGCCTTGTCCAAAAGTCAGTCGATTTATTTAAAAAACGGTGTGTGAGACTGACCTATACATGAAGCTTGTGGCATGTGTCTTGTCAAGTATTGATCACTTAAGTCTTTACTGTTTGCCTACTGCAATGTAGCTAATAATCTCTTTTTATTTAGTTTGTGGCTTTGAATTCTTATCATGGCTTTGCTGATTTCTCTGGGACCTATTAGATCTTGCTTTTGCTGTGCAAATGGCTATGGAAATTAAGCTTGCTGAAGCACTTTTCCTGGGCAAACACTCTTTGTTTTCTATCAGTTCATGTGTCAAGTGGTTTGCATGCAGATAGGGTACATTTGGAAGCAGCGGGCGCCATCAATCTTCATGACTTTGCTATATACATCGTTTCACCTCTCCTTGGTTCAATGGGAGATTGTAAAGGATGGCTGAGCAATCAGGCTATTCCCTTTGACTGACATCAAGGTATTTCATCTGATTCACTTTAGCACTTTCGGTTCAATGCTGGAAGCTTAGAAAATAGGGCACTAGGTGATGTGGTCAAATGTCCACATATTTTAACATAGTTACTATCTCTCCTAAATTTCAAAATTGTATTTTTGAACTTCATTTACAAAACAGAAGCAAAGCTGAATTTTGTTGGTTTATGTGTGTCCTCTACTCATATTATTGTCCTAAATTCTTGAAGGGTTAGTACAATGGCTGCCTTACTGCCTGCATGACTTCATTGAGTTATTTCTCATGGAACTGAAGATATATATCATTTACTTATTATTAATAACAGTTAAAGAAAGTAACTCACATTGATGGGGCCATATGCTTCACTTGTTTGCATTCTAAGATGATCTACAGTAAATGAATTAAACTTCATTCCTTTTCAAGGCAGTAGTTGATATAGATTGAGGAAGTTATAATATGTATATTACAGTTTAAAAGTCTCATTGCACCAAGTATTCTCTGTATGTGTGTTCATGTATGTCTTGGTGTATATCTGTATATATAGAGATACAGGTATAAAAAGAAAAGGAGAGAAGAATGTGCTATTCTATCATTTATCAAGATTAATGAATTGACCAATAGTGTTCAGTGTTATACAACTCAGTGTGTCTACTGCTTCCAGTTAACAGATCGAAGAAATAACTCAACAGAAACCTAAAATATATTGGCTACATTTAATAGCCACAAATTTTCATTTGTATTTTTCTTGAAATGATATTAGTATCAAAATGTCACAATAGAACTACTATAGATAGAAAAGTAATAAGTAATATAATTACTTTTTAATTTCAAAGCCATATCCAATGATCATTTGCATTAGCTAATCAAGTTTATGTATAAATATCAGAACCATATTATATATACATAAATGAGGATTATGAAGGAAGAAGGTAAAATTTTAGAAGCTGCACATATGTTTGTTCTAATCAATAATGACATAGAAAGATTCAAAGTCTTTCCAAATTGGCAGAATCCTTTAGTACTTCAAATGTTCTAATGTTTGGTTTATAAATAAATATACGTTGAAGATTCCATGAAAAACACTCAAACATTCTTAAATCTGAATTCTGAATTGGTGAACAAAGTTAAAATTGTGAAAAAGTCTGTATTTGTGCATGCCTCTGTGTGTTTGTGTGTTTGTAGACTCACTAATGAAAATATATAATTCTTGATGCTTACTCACTGAAAACAAGGTTACCAATTAGGATATTTTAGAAAATATATTCTAAGGAATGTATGTCCTTTATTTATTATTAATAACTGCATTAAAATGGTAGTTTTTTGTGTTAAAAATATAAGTGTTCTCAGAATTTGTGATTCCTCTTTAATGTGTGTAGTATTATTTAACCCTATTGCTTCGGAATAATTAGACTCTTAATGAATTCAAATTAGAATATATTTATTAGGTTGGTGCAAAAGTAATTGCATTTTGGTCATTACTTTAATGGCAGAAACTGCAATTACCTTTGCACCAATCTAAAATTTGAGTAGTTAAAATGTGTAAACATAATTATTTGCAATCCCATTTGCCCTTTGTTCTTCTCTTATTAATAAATAATTGGACTTTGAAAATTACATTTATCCATTATCAATCTTTTCCTTTAAAGACTCTTTGTCCTCTCCACCTCACACTCAAAGTCCAATCACGTGGCAACAACAAGGAACAGTTACATCCTGATGAAACTCTGGACATAGTTGCTTAGTCCAGAGATGAGCAGTAGGTGTAAGCTGATCAATCAGAGTTATTCTCTGGAACATGACCAGGATGTACACAATAGAATAATCTCATTTTTGTCAGAATAACTTTTTCTACATTAAAAGTACTTAGAGGCAGGGCATGGTGGCTCATGCCTGTAATCCCAGCACTTTGGGAGGCTGAAGTGGGCGGATCACCTGAGCTCAGGAGTTGGAGACCAGCCTGGACAACAAAGCAAAATCCCGTCTCTACTAAGAATACAAAAAATTAGCTGGGCATGGTGGCACGTGCTTGTAGTCCCAGCTACTCGGGAGGCTGAGGCAGGAGAATCGCTTGAACCCGGGAGGCGGACGTTGCAATGAGCCGAGATCACACCACTGCACTCCACCCTGGGCGACAGAGCGAGACTCCATCTCAAAAAAAAAAAAAAAAATAAGTGCTTACAGAAATGCTTAACATATAGTAATTTCGTAAAAAGTGCGAGTCATTATTAATTTATTATTATTATTTGTAGATTTAGAGAATGAGAGAGTCAAAATCTTGGTTTTAAATTACAAAAGCCAGTCTTTTTTTCCTTATTTTGAGGCAGTGTCTCACTTTGTCCCGCAAGCTAGATTGCAGTGGCAGGATCATGGCTCACTGCAGCCTTGACCTCTTGGGCTCAATTGATCCTCCCACCTCAGTCCCCCCACCCCCGAGTAACTGGAACTATAGGCATGCACCACCACTCCCAGCTAATTTTTTAACATTTTGTAGAGACAGGGTCTCACTATGTTACCCAGGCTGGTTTCAAATTCCTGGGCTCAAGTGATTCTCCCACCTGGGCCTCCCAAAGTGCTGAGATTACAGGCATGAGCCATTGCATCCATCCTCAAAGGCCAGTCTTATAGACAGTTTGCAAAGAGGCTCCCATGTGCAGCAGTGGAAATGCAAACAAAGCTGAGGACCAAGCAGAGGATTTCATTGTCAGAATAGTTGAGCTCCAAAGAAGGCTGGCGTGCTGTATGAAGGTCTGATTTTTGGCTGGGAAATAATGTGACCTTAATCCATGTGATAGGAATATCTGGTTTGATTTTTTTTTTTTGAAATTTTGTATATTCAGATTCCTCTGAACTTACTGGTCCTGCAGAAATGGTCCACTCATCCACATTTTGCATTGGCACACATTTCTTGTTTGAGATGTTACAAAATTCTGTTTCAGGACTGTAATACTCCTTCTCCAACCAGGATCTGCTCCCACTTCCCACTACTACTATAGAATTAAGTTACACCTGCTGAAGATATGAAAAAAAAAAAAGAGCGAGAGAGAGAAAAGAGACTTAAAAAAAAAAATCAAAGGATCCGAAAGACCTAGCTAGCATGTACCACTAGAAAACAAGAGTGTGAGGGACTGAATTTTGAAGTCCTTTGATGATGAGAAAATTTATTGATTTTGGAGCACTGACCTGAAATAAACTATTTAGCTACTTGTAAAAAACTCCAGGACATGAGGTAAACTTGCTACTAGAATGACTTGTAGAAACAGGGAAAAATCAATGGACTACTCTAAGTGACATTGAAATGTCAGTATTGCCGTTGCACACTGTAAAGCAATGGGTTAAAATACTCAGAAATAGGCTTACTGGAATGGCAATTTTATATAAGGGCTTAGAATGTGTCAGATTATGTTGCAGGGGAATATCACATGATATGCCATTTACCAAGTGTGCTAGGAATATGTTAGTGAGGGGGCACCAGGAAATGTTTGATGGTGGCCCTCTGTGTAAGCCACTTTTGACAGTATGAGAAGCCATTAGGGAACTAGGCTTATTGACAGCCAGCAGGACGGTAGGACTCTGAAACAATGGTACTTGATTATTGACAGTCAACTGGATGCAGTTATTGTGATATGTGGCAAGGTCAAAAGGGCACATGGGGAGCCTCACTTGTAGCAAATTAAAGAAACGGCATCCCTAATTATAGAAATTGGCACCTCAGGGGAAAAATGACTGGGCATTAAGCAAAAGGGACCTACTCATTTATAATCATTTAATGAAAGCAAAAATGGATGACCAGGAGGCTGAGGGATGTCACTGTAAAAAAAAGTCAGCACCTTTTTCCTAGATTTTAGTACTGAGAATGTTTTTTGACCCAGAATCTCCAGACTCTTCGAGTGTTGGAATCCCAGGTTGAAATGTCCTGCAGCACCAATCAAAGATAAATATGTACTGAGGAAAGGGAAATCTTGAAATACTTGGATGTGTCTTGGATACGGGGCCATTAATAATGAAGGATATGGAGAATCATAATGGCACTCTTATTAGATCGGGGGATTTGGAATACATGCAACAAGCGAAGTCTTGTCCCAGGTTTGACTCCTGCTGTCTCCACTAGTTCTTGAATCCATCCAGTGATCAGTTTCCTGGTTTATGAATGTATAATCAAAACAGACATAATTGGTAGCTGGCACAGGGTTTTTGGCCTATGGCATGAGATCATGATATCAGCATGGCAAAGGGAAAGTATAAGCCTGTAATAATTCTGCCCCCAGCCTCAGCCAAATAAGTAAATTAAAAACAAAACAACAATAAAAAAATCAAATATATATTTTTTGTTAAGAGCATAAAATTTATTACCATTTTTAAGTATATAAAGCAAGCTCGTCCAACATATGGCCTGTAGGCCACGTGTGGCCCAGGAAGGTTTTGAATGCAGCCCAACATAAATTCATAAAATATCTTAAAACATTATGAGACTTTTTTTGCTATATATTTTTTTTAGCTCATCAGCTATCACTAGTGCTATCATATTTTATGTGTTGCCCAAAACAATTATTCTTCTTCCAATGTGGCCTGGGGATGCCCAAAGACTGGACGCCCATGAAAGAATGTAGGCATTATAGTTTTGGACATACGCTCAATTAATATTCAAGACAGATCCCGGAGAATAATGGTAGATTATCACAGTCATAACGAAATAACATCCCCAATCGCAGCCACGATGCCAGATGCAGTGCCTTTGCCAGAGTATACTAACAAATACAACCTCAGGTAAACGGTATGTGGCCATTCATTTGTTGAAGGTGTTTTTTGTTTGTTTTCTGGCTTGCTTGCTTATCTTTGCTTTTATCTCCTTATCAGAAAAAAGGATCACAAGCAGTTTACGTTCACATAGAATGGAAAATAGTATATGCTATATATTAACATCAGGGGTATGCTTACTCTCTTACCATTTGTATTAAGAAAGTCTATAGAGAGCTGCACTGCCTGGTTCTTCTGAAAATCACATTGATCCACTTTACTGTTCATATCATGTTAATTGGTCCAAATGAATAAGAAAGGACTGCTAAATTAGAGACCTTATTATGACCCAAGCCTCAGAGGGTGTAAAATAAGCCCTATGCTGATGTGCCTACAAAATCAGTTAAATTATCAAGAGACCAGTGGTCAGAGGCATGTTGAAATACTCTTCCAAAGGAAAAATTAATATATTTTACATTTTACACCATGAAGAAGCAGTAGTGCCTGGTAGCCTATTCAAGCACTGGAGGCAGCATACGCAACATCTGGGGACGCTGCTCCACACCATACATTGGGTGATTTGAAAAGCTGCCGGGTTTGTGTGAGATACAGAGCAGGAAAGGACTCTGCATCAGGACCAGGCTAAAGTGAAAGCAGCTCCAAAGCTTGATCCATAAATTTCAGACACTGTGCCATTAGAAATGGAAGTGATAGAAAAAGATGCTGTGTGGAGTTTATGGGCATCCCGGATGAAAACATCAAATCTGAGGGGGCTGTCAGTAGGCAACTGCAGCTTATAGCTTTTTCATGGATGCCTCAGCTTCAGAGAGCTTCTGGAAGCAACCAGCATCAAATGACCATGAGGTATAACCCAGGACAACTATGAAGGATTTGATAAAGGCTGCCATTAAGCTTGAATTGCAGCACATTTCCATTTTAGAGTCAGTTTCCTAGGGAATTACACCATCAATATTAATAATTTTGTGGGCTTTTTAAATGTTATTTTTTTAGTGCAGTTGATTAAAATAATTGATATTAAACCCAATATATAATTGACTGATATGGTTTGGCTCTGTGTCTCCACCCAAGTCTCATCTTGTAGCTCCCACTGGAAGGGACCCAGTGGGGGATGATTGAATCATGGAAGCAGGTCTTTCCTATGCTCTTCTCATGATAGTGGATGGGTCTCACGAGATCTGATGGTTTTAAAAATGGGGGTTTCTCTGCACAAGCCCTCTCTTTGCCTGCTACCATGTGTGTAAGATGTGACTTGCTCCTCTTTGCTTTCTGCCATGATTGTGAGGCTATTCAGGCCATGTGGAACTGTAAATAAATCTCTTTTTTCTGTAAATTGCCCCATCTTGGGTATGTCTTTATCAGCATTTTAAAAATGGACTAATAAATTGACCCAAGATTAGTTTATAGAAAACTAAATTCTATTAATTGGAAATAAACACAATTTTCCATATAGCTGGATTTTTCTTTGCTAATATGTTAAGATACTTGAGGTAGGCCTATTAACAATCTTACTACTATTGCCATTATTAGATTTTGATTTCTAGTTTTTATAATCCTGTAAAGTAATTTGGAATAATTGCCTCTTCTTCTGGTCTCAGGAAGGTGTGATGTTTTATTGTTTTGTTTTTTTTTTAAGTTGTGAAGCTCGGATTTATTTATTTATTTTTTAAATTTTTTTAATTATTATTACACTTTTAAGTTTTAGGGTACATGTGCACAATATGCAGGTTTGTTACATATGTATACATGTGCCATGTTGGTGTG
The DNA here is from genome assembly GCF_000001405.40 of Homo sapiens. Classification (NCBI taxonomy): domain Eukaryota; kingdom Metazoa; phylum Chordata; class Mammalia; order Primates; family Hominidae; genus Homo; species Homo sapiens. The sequence goes on along the minus strand of NC_000013.11, from coordinate 67,848,549 downwards.
CTGCACCCATTAACTCGTCATTTAACATTAGGTATATCTGCTAATGCTATCCCTCCCCTCTCCCTCAACCCCACAACAGGCCCCGGAGTGTGATGTTCCCCTTCCTGTGTCCAAGTGTTCTCATTGTTCAGTTCCCACCTATGAGTGAGAACATGTGGTGTTTGGTTTTTTGTCCTTGCGATAGTTTGCTGAGAATGATGGTTTCCAGTTTCATCCATGTCCCTACAAAGGACATGAACTCATCATTTTTTATGGCTGCATAGTATTCCATGGTGTATATGTGCCACATTTTCTTAATCCAGTCTATCATTGTTGGACATCTGGGTTGGTTCCAAGTCTTTGCTATTGTGAATAGTGCCGCAATAAACATACGTGTGCATGTGTCTTTATAGCAGCATGATTTATAATCCTTTGGGTATATACCCAGTAATGGGATGGCTGGGTCAAATGGTATTTCTAGTTCTAGATCCCTGAGGAATCGACACACTGACTTCCACAATGGTTAAACTAGTTTACAGTCCCACCAACAGTGTAAAAGTGTTCCTATTTCTCCACATCCTCTCCAGCACCTGTTGTTTCCTGACTTTTTAATGATCGCCATTCTAACTGGTGTGAGATGGTATCTCATTGTGGTTTTGATTTGCATTTCTCTGATGGCCAGCGATGTGAGCATTTTTTCATGTGTTTTTTGGCGCATAAATGTCTTCTTTGGAGAAGTGTCTGTTCATATCCTTCGCCCACTTTTTGATGGGGTTGTTTGTTTTCTTGTAAATTTGTTTGAGTTCATTGTAGATTCTGGATATTAGCCCTTTGTCAGATGAGTAGGTTGTGAAAATTTTCTCCCATTTTGTATGTTGCCTGTTCACCTTGATAGTAGTTTCTTTTGCTGTGCAGAAGCTCTTTAGTTTAATTAGATCCCATTTGTCAATTTTGGCTTTTGTTGCCATTGTTTTGGTGTTTTAGACATGAAGTTCTTGCCCATGCCTATGTCCTGAATGGTATTGCCTAGGTTTTCTTCTAGGGTTTTTATGGTTTTAGGTCTAACATGTAAGTCTTTAATCCATCTTGAATTAATTTTTGCATAAGGTGTAAGGAAGGGATCCAGTTTCAGCTTTCTACATATGGCTAGCCAGTTTTCCCAGCACCATTTATTAAATAGGGAATTCTTTCCCCATTGCTTGTTTTTGTCAGGTTTGTCAAAGATCAGATAGTTGTAGATATGCAGCATTATTTCTGAGGGCTCTGTTCTGTTCCATTGATCTATATCTCTGTTTTGGTACCAGTACCATGCTGTTTTGGTTACTGTAGCCTTGTAGTATAGTTTGAAGTTAGGTAGTGTGATGCCTCCGGCTTTGCTCTTTTGGCTTAGGATTGACTTGGTGATGAGGGCTCTTTTTTGGTTCCATATGAACTTTAAAGTAGTTTCTTCCAATTCTGTGAAGAAAGTCATTGGTAGCTTGATGGGGATGGCATTGAATCTATAAATTACCTTGGGCAGTATGGCCATTTTCACAATATTGATTCTTCCTACCCATAAGCATGGAATGTTCTTCCATTTGTTTGTATCCTCTTTTATTTCCTTGAGCAGTGGTTTGTAGTTCTCCTTGAAGAGGTCCTTCACATCCCTTGTAAGTTGGATTCCCAGGTATTTTATTCTCTTTGAAGCAATTGTGAATGGGAGTTCACTCATGATTTGGCTCTCTGTTTGTCTGTTATTGGTGTATAAGAATGGTTGTGATTTTTGTACATTGATTTTGTATCCTGAGACTTTGCTGAAGTTGTTTAACAGCTTAAGGAGATTTTGGGCTGATACAATGGTGTTTTCTAGATATACAATCATGTCATCTGCAAACAAGGACAATTTGACTTCCTCTTTTCCTAATTGAATACCCTTTATTTCCTTCTCCTGCCTAAATGCCCTGGCCAGAACTTCCAACACTATGTTGAATAGGAGCAGTGTGAGAGGGCATCCCTGTCTTGTGCCAGTTTTCAAAGGGAATGCTTCCAGTTTTTGCCTATTCAGTATGATATTGGCTGTGGGTTTGTCATAGATAGCTTTTATTATTTTGAGATACATCCCATCAATACCTAATTTATTGAGAGTTTTTAGCCTGAAGGGTTGTTGAATTTTGTCAAAGGCCTTTTCTGCATCTATTGAGATAATCATGTGGTTTTTGTCTTTGGTTCTGTTTATATGCTGGATTACATTTATTGATTTGCGAATGTTGAACCAGCCTTGCATCCCAGGGATGAAGCCCAATTGATCACGGTGGATAAGCTTTTTGATGTGCTGCTGGATTCGGTTTGCCAGTATTTTATTGAGGATTTTTGCATCAATGTTCATCAAGGATATTGGTCTAAAATTCTCTTTTTTGGTTGTGTCTCTGCCCAGCTTTGGTATCAGGATGATGCTGGCCTCATAAAATGAGTTAGGGAGGATTCCCTCTTTTTCTATTGATTGGAATAGTTTCAGAAGGAATGGTACCAGCTCCTCCTTGTACCTCTGGTAGAATTCGGCTGTGAATCCATCTGGTCCTGGACTTTTTTTGGTTGGTAAGCTATTGATTATTGCCTCAATTTCAGAGCCTGTTATTGGTCTATTCAGAGATTCAACTTCTTCCTGGTTTAGTCTTGGGAGAGTGTATGTGTCGAGGAATTTATCCATTTCTTCTAGATTTTCTAGTTTATTTGCATAGAGGTGTTTGTAGTATTCTCTGATGGTAGTTTGTATTTCTGTGGGATTGGTGGTGATATCCCCTTTATAATTTTTTATTGTGTCTATTTGATTCTTCTCTCTTTTCTTCTTTATTAGTCTTGCTAACGGTCTATCAATTTTGTTGAAATTTTCAAAAAACCAGCTCCTGGATTCATTAATTTTTTTGAAGGGTTTTTTGTGTCTCTATTTCCTTCAGTTCTGCTCTGATTTTAGTTATTTCTTGCCTTCTGCTAGCTTTTTTTTTTTAAAGTTTATCTATTTTTTCTTTAAAATCAGAAGTAATTAACAGCATTACTTTAGTGAACAATGTTTATTTATATAGATCTAAGTATTTACTTTGTATTATTTGTTTTTTATGTTTTTGATGGAGTCTCCCTCTGTCACCCAGGCTGGAGCATGGTGGCGCGATCTTGGCTCACTGCAACCTCCACCTCCCGGGGTTCAAGCAATTCTGCTGCCTCAGCCTCCCAAGTAGCTGGGACTACATGCATCCGCCACCGTACCCAGCTAATTTTTGTATTTTTAGTAGAGACGGTGTTTCACCATGTTGGCCAGGATGGTCTTGATCTCTTGACTTCATGATCCACCCACCTCAGCCTCCCAAAGTGCTGTAATTACAGGTGTGAGCCTGTATTATTCATCTCTTACATATCAGGTATTCATTCTGTGATTTGTATTTTATTGCCTAAAACATATCTGTTACAATTTCTTTTGTTTGTTTTTTTTTTTTTTGCCAGTAGTACAACCTATCAACTTTTGTTTTATGAAAATATTTCAAATTTCTCCTGGTTTTTGAGGATGATTTTTCTGTGTATAGATTTCTAAGTCTGGAGTTATTTATATTATTACATTGACTATATTACTTCACTCTTATGAATTTTTATTTTACATGTGTCTGATAATTCCAATAGCAGAAGGTCTTTTCTTTCCTTCCTGTTGTTATATGCAGATACACCTACATATATTAATATATAAATGAATATGCATTTATATGTGAACACAGAAACGCAGACACACATACATACATATTCATTTATTTATTTTCTTCCTTGTCTTTGTGCCAAATGGCTTTTGAGTGAGTGATTCATTTCCAAAAAATTTTTGTGTCAGACCATTTTCGGGCTCAGAATGAAGGAGTAACTCTAGCAGGTATTTGTGTATACTTCTATGCTTCAGAAGGCACTAATTTTAGGATCTACTTTAAACTAAATCAATGATTGGATGGTTTTCCCCACCTAGGTATGGTGAACTTCAGCTCAGTGTCTGCCAGAGAGGCGCTATATTTACACTTTCTCAACATCATTTCCCCATGCTCTGCTTAGCACCAAAGAGACTTCCGCTTAATTTAAAGCCACATTCCCTGAAGGCTGATGATAAAATTTTATTCTGGGTTTACGTTTACACTGAGAGTGTATCCTTTGGATGGTCACATCATTAGGAGAAAGGAATCTTTTATTAGACTCCACAATTTAGGTGGCTCTGAAATTTGTCTTCTGGTCCCGGTATTTTTCCTGATCTTGAAAATCAATATTTGTAGAAGTATCCATGATAGTCAAACTCAAAGAAGCAGAAAAGGCAATAGTGGTTGCCAGGGCCTAAAGAAAAGAGAAATGGTTGTTTTTGAATAACTCTGAAGTTCCAGTTCTGCTATATGAAAAAGTAGAGATTTGCTCTTTCACGTAGTGGCTATAGTTAACAATAGACAACATGTACTTAAGAATTTATGAGAGTAGATCTCACGTTAAGTGCTCTTACCACAAGAAAAAACAAAAACAAAATAAAAAACAAAAGGACGCTTTGAGAGGTGTTAGACATGTCTATTACTTTGATTGTGGTAGTGCTATCACAAATGTTTGCATTTGTCCACACTCATCAGATGGTTCACATTAAATATGTTTCGTTCTTATATATGTTCTACCTTAATAAAACTGAAAGAAAAAGAAAAACATCAATGCTCCATTTCCCTTATTTTGTAAAATAATTTCATAAAAAAACAGCTTCAGTAATATTTATATCTCTTGGTTGCTACTATCACAAATATTTTTGGCTTGATAATTACTCACTATCTTGCTAGTTTTATGCTTTTAAAATAAGTTAAAATTTTTTTACCAAACAATTTTTATTAATTTCACCAGAAGATTTGAACAGGACTACTGTGTTTTTACATTACTAGTTTTCCTAATTGTTTTTAAGATTTTTAACATTGCAATTTTTTTCCTAAATGCTTATTACCTAATTAACACTTTTAAATGTTCTTTGAGAGTCTAAATGAAATGTGTATACTGTCTTGGGAATAATGCTATATATGTCCATTAATTTGAACTTGTCATTTTCATCATCTCAATCAATACTTCATATCCTAATTAATGTTTCATCAAATTAATCTTTAAATTTCTAAAAGAAATAAGTTAAATTATTTCACTAGAATTGTGAATTTATTATTCTTATATTAATCAATAGTGCTTGCTTTATACACTGTAAAGCCATGAGGGTCAGTGGATTTTTTTTTATTTCAGATTACATGTCTTCCTTGTGGTGTTTGATCTTACATAAATTTGAAATACCTTTTTGGGGTTATTTTCCATTGTTTTTATTGTTGTAAATTGCCAGCGCTATTTTCCTCATGCTTTTATTTTTAAAATTCCAGAGTAATTTTGATATATAATACATAAACTTTCTAAAAAATGTTATTTTCTTGAGAATAACTTAGCTTTCTATACAGGGAACCCAGAGACTCAATATCTACCTGGCGTTGAGCTCTGGCTCAAACTAAAAAATTTAGCTTCTATGAAAAAGGAGCAAGGAAAGAGTCTTTAAGTAACCTGGCTCCCCAAACAGAGCTTTCTAATTAATAAGCTCATTAATTTTACTCAGGTTTTTGTTGTATTCTTTGGATCTGTGGACTTGCTACACTCTATTTTTTATAAAATGCCATTCCCAATCTTTGATTTTCATTACAAAGAAAGTACTTAAACTGTTTCATGTACTTATGATACTCTGCTTACCACATCAATAAATGTTTATATATAATTTTGTAATATATATATGCAGAGTATATATGTATCTGTACGCATGCTTATATATGTATATGTGTGTGTGTATATAGTTGGCCCTCCATATCCATAGGTTTCACATCCATGAATTCAACCAAATATTAACTAAAAAATATTCAGAAAAACCCTCCACAAAGTTCCAAAAAGCAAAAGTTAAATTTGTTGAACCCAGAGTGCTATGTTAAATCCATGAGACTGAAGTAATGTGTAGGCATTATATTAGGTATTATAAGTAATCTAGAAATGATTTAAAGTATAGCATAGGATATATGTAAGCTGTGTGCAAACACTGTACCATTTTATATGAGACTTGAGCATTCATGAATTTTGGTATCATTGGGGGTCCCGAAACCAATTTCCCACAGATACCAAGAGATAACTCCATATGTGTGTGTGTATGTATGTATTAATATGTAATTTTGAGGCATTCAACACATTAAAGTAGTTATAAGTTTTCACAGCTGTCATTTTGATTTAATATTTAATTATTTTAATATTTGGAAAACCATTCATAATGTATGTGGTAAATTATATGGTTTCCTTTTAACACCATAAATATAAATGTTATAATTTTGTTTATTAACAAATACTTTTGTTCACATTTACTACTAAATGCTCAGCAGATAATTTTCCTGGATTACAGAAGTTTATAATATTTAGAGAAACTTTATTGGTTTGCATTAATGACATAATAGCATTTTAACTGCATTTATGGACGCTTTCTATTATTACTTGCTTTTCAAAACAATATAAATAGGCCACTATAAAATTCCTGGTATATATTCTTAACTATTGAGTTATCTGTAGGGTTTTTAATGTTTTTTCCCTCTTAGAATCAATCAGTTTCATTGAAGTATTACAATTCATCTGTATATATAAAGCGTTTATTGAAAAATACTTAGATTAGAATTTCTGTGTTAATAGTAGATATTTTTATGAAGATCTAGAGAAATAAGGCAGTTATTTTTAGCAAAGTAATCCTAGTAGAATTGGTGAATCTTCTGAGGAGATTAAGGAGCATAAATAAATTAAGTAATAGTTGGGATAAATGTTGTCAGCAAAATGGCATAGTAGATGATCCCAGCTTTGTCCCCCAACAACATCAAGAAGACAACAGCTAGACAGTATTTACAAAAACAGCACTGGAGAGCTCAGGATTCCATTTAAGAAGCTGCAGCAGCATGGTAGAGCAAAAAACCTGGGAATAGCTGTTAAAAGTAAGTCAGATGAAAATTTTCATTTTACCTATATTATGCCATCCCGCAGACTGGCACTGCTCAGCATGAAAAAGGAAAGTCCTGTTCTGTGGGTTTTCCTTGCAAGGAAAGGGAGAGCAAATGGATCAGCAGCTTTTCCACTCTTTTAAGGCACTGTCCAAAGAACCTGCCTCACTTTCAGGGCACCCGGATTGCTGGGGAGATCAGCATAGCTGAGACATCTGGAGATGGCTTGCAACAAAGAAGAAGGACAAGGGCTATCAGTATCAGCCACAAGAGGGTGCCACCGTGGTCCCTGGTGACTTGCTCTGCACAGGACGCCAGCGGCCTTCACCACTGAGAACATCGACAGCGGTTGGGCTGCAACACACACTTTTCTGCAGCTTTCACCACTAAAGACTCTGCAGCATCAACCACCACAGCTTTGCCACCAAAAGATCCAGTCGTCTGCCTTTGCAGGCTCCAGCTGCCTGAGCCTCCATGCCTCTTCCTTACTCTACCCAAGAGCTGTCCAGCTGGTGCCACTACAGATACCCTGGCCTCAAGATTCAGCATGGCCACTGCTTATGCACCTGAAAATGGCTCATACCCACACCACCAGCCCTGGCCTACAGCTGGTCCCTGCAAGCACTTGCATACACATTTTCAGCCCCAAACCCCATAGTCATGGTTATGATTGCTGCTGGCATCTGCCTCCATGGATGTACCTACAGTAGGCCCCAGCCCCTGCCACCATGTTCATGCACACTGCTAATCCAAGCCACTCTTGCCTTTAGCCTTAGTTCTCCACTGCTGGGCCCAGAGGCACTGTGGAGGACTCCAACAGCCCTCACATTCCCTACAGACCCTCCATAGCTCTCACCAACAAGGACCTCACAGTTGCCAACATCATAAACATCAGTTGCGTGAGCTGACAAGGCACCATGTTCCTCCAGACCTAGAAGCAACCACATCCCTCCACACATGGTATAAGGTGCTATAGCACTCTCTAGCATGCCTCCCAACCCCTGCAGTTGAAGGTCTTTCTTTACCAAGCCCAGTCCGTAAGTCAGGAAGAGGTGACTGCTTCTTCAAATGTGCAGATACCTATGCAAGGCCATGATCAGGAAGAATCAGGAAAACATGACACCAGCAAAAGAACACAGTAAACTTCTAATAACTGACACCAAAGAAATGAAGATTTGGCCAGGCATCATGGCTCACACCTGTAATCCCCAGCAGTTTGGGAAGCTGAGGCGGGTAGATCATGAGGTCAGGAGTTCAAGACCAGCCTGGCCAACATAGTGAAACCACTTCTCTACTAAAAATACAAAAATTAGCTGGGCCTGGTGGCAGGCACCTATAATACCGGCTACTCAGGAGGCTGAGGCAGGAGAATCATTTGAACCTGGGAGGCAGAGGTTGCAGTGAGTCGAGATCACACCATTGCACTCCAGCCTGGGCGACAGAGCAAGACTCCATCTCAAAAACAAAAAAACAGAAAAACAAAAAAAAAAACAAAACAAAAAAAAAGAAAAAGAAAAGAAACGAAGATTCACAAATTGCATCACAAATAATTTAAAATAATAGGTCTAAAGAAGTTCAGTGAGCTACAAGGGAACACAGATTAACAATTTAACAAAACCTGGAACACAACAAAAGAACAAAATGAGAAGTTCAACAAAAAAAATAAAACATAAAGAAGAAGCAAACAAATTTCTGAGCTGCAGAATACAACTGAGTTAGAAAATGAGAGCATCAATAGCAGACTCAAAGCAATATAATAAATAATAGAGAATTTCAATACCCTACTTTCAACAATAGATAGATCATCCAGACAGAAAATCAATAGAAAACACTTGATTTACCCTACACCACAGACCAAATGAACCTAACAGGCGTATACAGAATATTCCAAAAGCAAGAGAATATTTTCCCAGATAGATCATATGTTAGGCCACAAAACAAGTCTTATGAAATCTGAGAATATTGAAATCATATCAAGCATCTTTCTAAATAAAATGGTATGAAACTAGAAATCAATAGCAGACAGAAAAATTGAAAAATAAGCAAATATGTGGAAATTAAACCACATGCTTCAAAAGGCTAATGTGTCAAAAAGGAATCAAAATGGAAATAAACAGAAGTCTTGAGACAAATGAAAATGGAAACATAACATACCAAAACTTATGAGATGCAGGAAAAGCAGATATATTACTAAAAGCTAGGTTCATAGTGAAAAACACCTAAGTGAAGAAAAAAGAAAGTACTCAAAAAAATGAAAAACCTAGCTTTACATTGCAAGAAACAAAACAAAGGAGAGCAAAACTAAGCTCAAAGTTAGCAGAAGGAAGAAAATGATCAACATAGGAACAGAAATTAATAGAGACTAAAAAGACAATACAAACTGTCAATGAAACTACAAATTGGTGTTTAAAAATATAAACAAAAATGGCAAACTTTTAGCTAAACTAAGAAAAAAATTGAAAAAACTCACATAAATAAAATCAGAAATGAAAGAGGAGACATCATGAATGATACCACAGAAATACAAGGAATCATAGGCAACTGCTGTGAACAATACACGTAAAATTGGATAGCCTAGTAGAAATGAATGAATTCCTAGACCCATTTAACCTAACCAGACTAAATCATAATGAAGTAGAAAATCTGAATAGACCAATAGTGACTAAGGAGATAGAATCAGAAATGAAAAAATCTCTCAACAAAGTAAAGCCCAGGACCAGATGGCTTCACTTATGAAGTCTACCAATTCTTTAAAGAAACAGATATTAATTCTCAAGTTCTTCCAAATAATTGAAGAGGAGGGAATACTTTCAAACTTATTTTTCAAGGCTAGCATTATCCTGATAACAAAGCCAGACAAGGAAACTACAAGAAAAGAAAATTGCAGACGTATATCGTTGATGAACATAGATGCAAAAATTCTCAACAAATACTATAAAGTGAATTCAGTAGCACATTAACAGGATCATCCAGAAAGATCAAGTGGGATTTATCCCAGGGATGCAAAGATGCTTTAACATATGCTAATCAGAAAATGTAATAGACTACATTAAAATATTGAAGAATAAAAATTGTATGATCATCTTAATGTGCAAATTTAACATCCTTTCATAATAAAAGTTATCAACAAATTAGTTACAGAAGGAATGTAAATGTACGTCAACACAGTAAAGGCCATATACGACAAGCACACAGCTAACAGCATACTTAATAGTGAAAAGTTCGCTGAAAGGTTTTCCTCTAAGATCCCAAACAAGACAAGGATGCCCACTGTAGCCATTTTTATTCAACAAGACAACCTAGCCAAATAAATTAGGTGGGAAAAAGAAGTAACAGACATCAAAAAGAGAAGAGCAAAGGTAAAGTTATTCCATTTGCAGATGACCTGATCTCATATATAGAATCCTCTAAAAACTCCACAATAAAATCTGTTTGAACTAATAAAATAATTCAATAAAATTGCAGAATACAAAATCAGTGTGCAAAAATCAGTTGTATTTCTATACACTAATAACACTAATAGTGACCTCTCTGAGAGATAAGGAAAACAATCCCATTGCAAACAGCATAAAATGCAATACAATATTTAGAAATATATTTAACCAAGGAAATAAAAGATCTGTACTCTAAAAACTATAAGATGTACTACCCAAATAAATCTACAGATTAAATGCAATCCCTTTCAGAATTCCCATGGCATTTTTCACAAAGCAGAATAAAATAATCCTAAAATTAATTTGGAACTACAAAAAAAATCCAAATAGGAAAATTAATCTTTAGACACATAGAATAAAGCTAAGGACATCACATTTCCTGATTTGAAACTATACTTTAAAGCTATGGCACTCAAAACAATATATTACTGGCATAAAAACAGGCACATATATGAATGAAACAAAATAGAGCATTTAGAAATAAACTCACTCATAAGGTCAACTAATCATTTACAAAGGTGCTGAAAACATATAGTAGGTAAAGATAGTCACTTCAAGAAATAGTGTTTGGACAACTGGATGTCCATAAGCAAAAGAGTAAAACTGGAATCTTAGTTTGCACCACACTCAAAAATCAACTAAAAATGAATTAAAGGCTTGAATCATAAAAGCCCTGGAAGACATATGGAAAAGTCCCCCTGATATTGATCTTGATACTGATTTTTTTGTATGACACCAGTAGCGCAAGGAACAAAAGCAAAATTAATCAATGGGCTTACATCAAACTCAAAAGCTACTGCACAGAAAACAGTTAATAAAATGAAAAGGCAATCTTCAGAATGGGAAGAAACTATTTGTAAACTATATATCTGATGAGTTAATAACAAAAATATACAAAGGACTCATACAACTGAATAGCAAAAAAAATAAAAAAAAATAAAAAAACTTATTTAAAAATAGCAAAGGACCTGAATAGACATTTCTCCAAAGACTAACAAAAAGCCAACAGGTATACCACAGAATGAACATTTTATTTTTTTGCTTAGCAAATTTATTCACTGTTGGATTTTTTTAATGGAAAAACATATCAGCTATTTCTTTTTCCCCTCATTGTTTCCTTCTGGAGTGCTTTTTTCCCAGTATTACTGAGGTATGATTGAAAAATAAAAATTGAATATATTTATGATGTATAACAATGTTTTGATATACATATACATTGCAAAATGATTAACACAATAAAGTTAATTAACATCCATCAATTCAATAATTACTATTTTGTATGTATGTGTATGTTTGGGGAGTGGGGAGTAAGAACACTTGAGATCTACTCTCTTAGCATATTTTAAGTATACAATACAGTATTAACTATAGTTATTACACTGTAGGTTAGGCCTCCAGAACTTATTCATTTTATAATTGAAAGTTTCTTTGACTCTTTGACCAATATCTTCTCTTTTCTGCCACATCCCAGGCCCTAACAACCCAAATTCTACTCTCTGTTACTTATGCATTTAACACTTTTTTAGATTTTATGTGCAAATGATATCATGCTGTATCTCTCTTTCTATGTCTAGCTTATTTCACTTAACATAATGTTCTATGGGTTTATCCATGTTGTTGGCAAATGGCAGTATTTCCTTTTTTAAGGCTGAATAACAATGCATTGTGTTCTTTATCCATTCATTTGTTGTGTGACACATAGCTTGTTTCTATATTTTAGCTATTGTGAATAATGTTGCAATGAACACGAGAGTGCAGATAACTCTGCAAGTATGTGATTCCTTTTCCCTTTTTGGATATATACCTAGAAGTGGAATTGCTAGATCATAGGGTAGTTCTAGTCTTAATTTTTAAAGGACTTTAATACTGTTTTCCATAATGGTTGTGCATTCTCATCTACAGTAACAAGGGTTCCTTTTTGTCCAGTTTTCTCCAACTTTTTTTCTTTTTGATAATAGCCATTCTAACAGCTGTGGGGTAATATCTCAATTTGGTTTTGATTTGCATTTCTCTGATAATTAGTGATGTTGAGCACTAATCACATCACATTTTTTAATGGTGCTGGGATAACTGGCCTATTGTTTTTGATAGCTTTGTCAAAGATCTGATGACTGTAGATGTGCAGAATTATTTCTGGGCTCTTATTCGGTTGTATTGGTCTATGTGCCTGTTTTTGTACCAGTACCATACTGTTTTGGTTACTGTAGCACTGTAGTATAGTTTGAACTTGGGTAACATAATGCTTTCAGCTTATACTTTTGGCTTAGGATTGCCTTGCCTATTTGGGCTCTTTATCTGGTTCCATATAAATTTTAAAATAGTTTTATCTTTTTAGTTTTGTGAAGAATGTTATTGGTAGTTTGATAGGAATAGCATTGAATCTGTAATATGCTTTGGGCAGTATGGCCATTTTATTCATATTGATTCTGCATATCCATGAGCATGGAATGTTTCTCCATTTGTTTGTGTCATCTCTGATTTCTTTGGGCAATGTTTTGTAATTCTCACTGTAGAAATCTTTCACCTTCCTGGTGAACTGTATTCCTAGGTATTTTATTCTTTTTGTGGCTACTGTGAATGGGATTGCATTCTTGATTTGGTTCGCAGCTTGACTGCTGTTGGTGTCAAGGGATGCTAGCGATTTTTGTATATTTATTCAAAAGTTCCTTTAATGAATCAGCAAACATACAACTTAAAACTGCAGTATTGTATGAAATTAATTTAGTATGTTATTCTTTTTGAGTATTTGTGCTTATGTATTTCTATTCACATATCAATATACATGGCAATTATACGTGGCATTTGCTTTCTTCACAACTTTCATTTGAATATTATAATTCAAATGTTGAAGTATTATTTAATTTATAATTTAATGCAATTGTAAGTACATGAACATATTTTCAAATTAATAAGTTTTGTAAATGTTACAAATTTCAATGAAAGTACCGATCAAATAATGGATAGAAGTGTAAAAACTTGCTTGTGATATATTACAGTTTAAAATACACCTTTATGTATAATAATGGTAATACAATTACATTGTCACAGAATCATTAGTTTTGTTTTGCCCATTGTCCCTATGCTTTAGAGAAAACAACACCAGATTTCTGACACTCACTCAGTAGTGAGTGTCATTACACTACTAAACATAGCATTCAAGCCTCGAAAATGGAATCTTGAAATCCACTAGTTTTGTTGCATGTACTTGTAAGACTTAATGCAATGCATGCTACTAAAAAGTTTTCTATGCTTAAGAAATTAACTTATAAAATAAAAAGTTTAAAGACAAGCAATCATTTAAGAAAAAAGTAGATTTTTATATTTTTTTCCCAAAAATATTTGAGTATAAATTAAGGGACACTTTACTTTTAATATCTTTAGTTTTTTTTAAAAAAAAGTGTGCTTGATATACACATAGATATGTATTATTAAAAGTAATTCTTCTAGCTATATGCTGGAATCTTAATTTCTGATACTTTATAGAAATATTTATTCATCAACAGTATTACTATGTAACATTAAATAGGTGATAACATTAGTTTCTTTTAATTTTTCTTTTTACTTGCTGTTATGCTTTCTCTCCTTGTGAATACTGAAGATGTACCAATACAAATATTTGTATTTTTCTTTAATCCAGTTCAGCTAGACAATGTCTTAATCTATAGTTTTGGTTTGTTTTACCAAAATCCTACTAAGTTTTAGAAAGCATGATTTTCTGAAATCTCAAATAGGTAAAAATGGCCAATTACTTGGTTTTAGCTTTTCTTCAGTAAATTTCATATAATACAGATAAGATTATGGATATTAAAGTAGACTAATTTTAATTAAAATATCTATACTTCTTGAAATACAAATTATATAAAGGAGAATAAGATAAAGCTCTCATTTACAATATGATGTCAGTATATGATTTTGCATATTATATAGGCAAACATGAAATCTAAGGTATCACAACAAATTTTAAAGTAATACACGTACTTTAAATAATTAATATGGATATATGTGGCTAAAGGACAAACACTAAAAGAAGTAAAGTAATAAACACGGTTATTTTGCTTAAAGAATAACAGAATATAGCTAGACTCTTGAATTTGTAGGTTCAAGATATGAAAGATATTTATACTATCAATGTTAATTAAGAATTTGCATTGCTTTTGATGTTCTTTAAAATTCAAAATATATAATGTAAATATCTAAAGAGTATATAATTTTAATTATCAATAGTTTACTTATTCTAAATGCTAGATATTCAAATGCCTCCCTACTTCATTCAATCTAAGAAATTAATTCTACTTTTAGCAGCATGTTTACAGAAATCCATGCTATAAAGGCACCAGCTTATAAGACAGGTGGTGCTATCTGCTTATATATGAGGAATAGGATCAAGAATAAAAGGTTGAATTTATTAAAGAACAGCAATGTACAATTTGTCCTCAAAAGTAAGTAGCCCTACATTTTAAAAAAAGCTGTGCTTTAGGGGAGCTCAGGGAATAATGGGTGAAATGTGTGAAATGTCAAGAATAATTAAGAAAAATGATAGTGTTAAATATCAGCAAAGGAAATACATCTTTCCTCCTACAATCTTCTCTTCCTATTTTCTTCTTTACTTTTAAATGTCATCTCTGTTCTCAAATTATTTAGGATAGTGCTTGCAAAAGGGTAGTGTAATTTCTAGGTAATTTGACATATCCCCTTGATAAAATTGTTGTTTGGATATTTCTTTATTTGTGCTTCATTTAATATGAGTCCACTATTTTGTATGACTTAAATGGGTCAAAATTTAATAAAATCATATGAAAGGTGTCAGCTTTCCAAGGGAAGTAGCTTGATTTATCTTTGGATTTTTTTAACCTCATTTCATAAAGTCTTTTTTTATAAGTGATTTACATGCAATTCTTTCATTTTATATATGCATATATATAATTATAAATTTAAATTGTAAATTTAAATTTAGACTAACACCATAATGAGATATGCCACAGAGTAATTTACATTCATTACTAGTTAATTGTACCAGTTAATCCATATATTAGGGAAAGTTTTGATTTTGTTCTTTAACATAAATATTAAAACCACACATTTTTAACTTATTTTCTCTAATGAGTAATTAGAGCTGAAAGCATGTATTTAAACAATTGAAATTCTTCTGCTTTGATGAAAAAGGACAAAACTGTTCACACATTTCTTAGAACTAATTCAGACACTTGGAAAGAAACAATTTAAAAATCAATTTTTATAAGCTTATATAAGATTAAAATATGCGATATTAAAAACTCAATGTCCCTGATGTGATTCTGTCCTGAGCGACTGTTCTCCTGAGCAGTGGTCGTTTATCTCCATCTGCCTTCTCCCCTACCTAAGTGCGTGCCGCCACGCGATGGAAGATTCGATGGACATGGACATGTCCCCCCTGAGGCCCTAGAATTATCTTTTCAGTAGTGAACTAAAGGCCAACAAAGATGATCACTTTAAGGTGGATAATGATGAAAATGAGCACCAGTTATCTTTAAGAACGGTGAGTTTAGCAGCTGGTGCAAAGGACGAATTGCACGTTGTTGAAGCAGAGGCCATGAATTACGAAGGGATTCCAATTAAAGTAACGCTGACAACTTTGACAATGCCTGTACATCCAATGGTTTCCCTTGGGGGCTTTGAAATAACACCACCAGTGCTCTTACGGTTGAAGTGGGGTTCAGGGCCAGTGCATATTAGTGGACAGCACTTAGTAGCTGGGGAGGAAAATGCAGAGTCAGAAGATGAAGAGGAGGAGGATTTGAAACTCTTAAGTATATCTGGAAAGCCTTCTCCCCCTGGAGGTGGTAGCAAGTTTCCACAGAAAAAAGTAAAACTTGCTAGTGATGAAGATGATGATGAAGCTGATGATGATGAAGATGATGGTGATGATTTTGATGATGAGGAAACTGAAGAAAAAGCGCCAGTGAAGAAATCTATATGAGATACTCCAGCCAAAAATGCACAAAATTCAAATCAGAATGGAAAAGACTCAAAACCAGCATCGACACCAAGATCAAAGAACAAAAATCCTACAAAAAACGGGAAAGAACTCCTAAAACACCAAAAGAACCAAGTGCTGTAGAGGACATTAAAGCAAAAATGCAAGCAAGTATAGAAAAAGTGGTTCCCTTCCCAAAGTGGAAGCCAAGTTCATGATTTATGTGAAGAATTGCTTCCGGATGACTGAGGAGGAGGCTGTTCAAGATCTCTGGCAGTGGAGGAAGTCTCTTTAAGAAAATAGTTCAAACAATTTGTTAAAGTTTTCCCTCTTATTTTATTTCTGTAACAGTTGATATCTGGCTGTCCTTTTTATAATGCAGAGTGAGAATTTTCCCTACCATGTTTGATAAATGTTGTCCAGATTCTACTGCCAAGGATGTGTTGTCCAAAATGCCTGTTTAGTTTTTAAAGATGGAACTCCACCCTTTGCTTGGTTTTAAGTATGTATGGAGTGGTATGATAGGACATAGTAGTAGTGGTAGTCAAACATGGAAATGGTGGGGAGACAAAAATATACATGTGAAATAAAACTCAGTATTAAAAAGAAAAACTCAATGTATTACCTTTAAAATTTAATCACCATGCCAAACAATTCAAAGAAACAACATAAATTATTTGAAAATGAAAATTTTGTCACAGATGAGAAATGAAGCCACAAGTAAATTGGCAGTAAGCAATGAAGGAAAGAAAGTGTGATGGCAGAATTATTTGTTTCAACTAGATGTTGGTTTTAACTTGCTGAAAAGTTATTGCCAGAGTCAAAAGATATGCAAATTATTTGTAATTATTATGGGTGTATAATAGTTTTATGTAGTTATGGGGTATTTGTGAAATTTTGATACAAGCAAACAATGTGTAATAACCAAATCAGGATAATTGGAGTATCTATCACCTCAAGTATTACCATTTCTTTTCTTTGTGTTAGGAACATTGTAATTCCACTCTATTAGTTATTTTAAAATATGCAATGAATTATTGTTAACCATAGTCTATTGTGCTACCAAACACTAGGTATTCATTCTATCTGACTGAATCCTGGTACCCATTAACCATCCTCTCTTTTTTCCCTGCTCTCCACACTCCTTTCCAGCCTCTGGGACCCATCATTCTCTGGGCTTAATGCACAAATCTGAATATTTGTTTAAAACTATATTTAAGTGTGGTAAGTTTTACCAACACGTGTATGCAGTGTTTATTAATTCATAAATATATGATAAATTTAGGACTTAAATAAACAAGAATAATGCCATGAAAGGTCTCCTATTTCATGGCAAGTAATTAGATTTTTTCCATGTATTTCATGAGATATTTAAGAGGTTTTAGAGTATGGAGATTGTGGTAGAGGTGAAGGGTATATATTTTTTTCTCTAGGTCACGTTTGTGACCTTGTGTGTCACAAAATTGACACACAAGTTCTAAACATGTAACTATGTGGATGAGAAATGAACAAAGCCTGAATTATATTTTTAGAGGGTGACTTAGAGAAAAATATATACATTCGTGCCCAGAGGGAGTCTATAGAGACATTTTTCTACAGAGGAATGCACCACATAATGATTTTTCAGTCAACAACAGATTGTATATACTATGGTGGTCCCTAAAATTATAATGGAGCTGGAAAATTCCTATCACCTAGTGATACTGTAACAGCCATAATGTCCTAATACAATGCATCACTCATGTTTGTGATCATGCTGTTGTAAACAAACCTACTTTGATACCAGTCCTATAAAATATATAGCACATACAATTATGTACAATTCATAATGCTTGATGATAATGAGACTATGTTATTGGTTTATATATTTGTCATATTTTATGTTTTTATTTTATGGGTATTCCTTGTACTATTTTTTTTTTTAAAGTTAACTTAAAACAGTCTCAGGCAGGTCCTTTGGGAGGTATTCCAGAAGAAGGCATTGTTATCATAGGACATGACAGCTTCATGCATATTATTGGCCCTGAAGACTTTCCAGTGACACAAGACGTGGAATTAGAAAACAGTGACATTGATTATCTTGATACTGTGTAGTCCTAGGCTAAGATGTGTTTGTGTCTTTGTTTTTAACAAAAAAGTTTAAAATTAAAAAGAAATAAAAATTTAGAAAGACAAAACCTTATAAAATAAGAATATAAAGAAATGAAGTATTTTAGTACAGCTGTACAATGTATTTGTGTTTTAAGTGAAGTATTATTATAACAGAGCCAAAAAAGTTAGAGAAAAAAAAAAAAAAGGCCAGGCACGGTGACTCATTCATGCCTATAATCCCAGCACTTTGGGATGCTGAGGTGGGTAGAAGACTTGAGCTCAGGAATTCAAGACTGGCCTGGGCAACATGGCTAAACCCTGTCTCTGCTAAAGAACACAAAAAAGCCAGACCCGGTGGCTCATGCCTGTAATCGCAGCATTTTGGGAGGCTGAGGCTGGCAGATCACTTGTGGTCAGGAGTTTGAGTCCAGCCTGGCCAACATGGTGAAACCCTATCTCCACCAAGCATAGAAAAACCATCCAGGCACGGTGACACATGCCTGCAATCCCAGCTACTGGGGAGGCTGAGACAGGAGAATCACTTGAACTTGTGAGGTGGAGGTTGCAGTGAGCTGAGACCACACCATTGCACTCCAGCCTGGGCAACAGAGTGAGACTTTTGACAGAGCAAGACTCCATCTCAAAAATAAATAAATAAATAAATAAATATAAAAAACACAAACATTAGCCAGGCCTGGTGTTGCATGCCTGTCCCAGGTACTTGGGAGGCTGAGACAGGAGGATCGCTTGAAACTGGGAGGTGGAGGTTGCAGTGAGCCATGATCATGCCACTTCATTCCAGCCTGGACAACAGGATGAGACTCTGTCACAAAATAAATAAATAAATAAATAAATAAAGTTACAGAAAACAAATTTATAAAGAAAAAAAAATTAAAGTAAGCTAAGGTTAATTTACTATTGGAGAAAGAAATTTAAAAAAATAAATTTAGTGTAGGCAAAATGAAGTAGTGTATAGCAATGTGCTAGGCCTTCACCTTCACTCCCCACTCACTCACTGACTCACCTAGAGCAGCTTCTAGTCCTGCAAGCTCCATTCATGGTAGGTGTCCTATAAAGTAGTACCATTTTGTATCTTTTGTATTGTATTTTTATTGTATCTTTTCTATGTTTATACATATTTAGATACACAAACACAAATTGTATTATAATTGCTTCAATATTCCATGCAGTACATGTGGAACAGGTTTGCAGGCTAAGAGCAATGGGTTGTACAATATAGCCTAGATGAGTGACAAACTATACCATCTAGGATTGTGTAAGTGCACTCTGTGATGTGTGCACAGTGACAAAATCACCTAAGGATGCATTCCTCAGAATGTATCCCCATCATTAAGCGACAAATGACTGTATTTGTCTTGTCGCTAATTGGACTGAGAAAAAAATTAAGGAATTAATGGAAGAGAAAAAAATAACTAATATTCATTTCTTTTAAATGATAGTATTAAGAAATAGTACCTCAGGCAGAGAATGATGATATCATTATCTTTAAGCCTTCATGGTTGCAGGTTTATGTGCCCCTTCAATTTTGTAAAAATGCATAAATATGATCATATCATACAAAATGAGTTTCTTTTAATTGTAGTTTTATCTTTATATTTTTATTTGACTCTCCCATTTCTCACTCTCCTCTCAAGCAAATCATCACTTTCCCTACACCTGTCCCTTAACCTATTTAACAATTTTCAAAATGTAAATATGCATATACACACATAAGCATACAAAGATGGATGCTCATCTACATATACAAGGTTCATTTTATGTCATTGTTTTTAAAAAATGAGAAGTATGCACACTATTCTGAATCCTACTTTTTCTCTCTTAGTAACACCTTTGGAATCCTTCCAAGTCAATTCTAAAACCTTTTAGTCATGGTTTTAAGGGGTCCATTATCTCTCTATGGCTGCCTTTTGTGAAATGTGTCATACTTTTAAAAACATACATTCCTCCATTGATTAGCATTGACATTATTTTCTATTATTCCACATTACTAGGGTGGCTGTATGTATTTGTGTGTACATGCTAGCCTAATTTTACAGTGGAAGTTGCATTTTTTTACTCTCAAAATATCCCACTGCCTAACTCTGTTGCTGGGGAGATGTAGTAGTGTTTTGAAAGGTAAAAAAAATAAAACTAGCTAGGAGCTTTAAAATCTGAAGATGGGCATGGCAGAGAAGCCTCTGAGTTTTCTTTTTACTACTATATCATAGAATAAATGCTGGAGAAGCCAGTAACCTGGAACAATAATAGCTACAGACACACTCATACACACACACACACACACACACACAAACACACACACAAACAGCCAACTAAACATAAGTCTACT
Source organism: Homo sapiens (assembly GCF_000001405.40). Classification (NCBI taxonomy): domain Eukaryota; kingdom Metazoa; phylum Chordata; class Mammalia; order Primates; family Hominidae; genus Homo; species Homo sapiens. The sequence goes on along the minus strand of NC_000013.11, from coordinate 67,827,732 downwards.
CTTTCCAGCCAAAAGAACAGAAAACGGGTAATCTAACAAGATACAAAACCTTTAGACCATAATTGCTTTCCAGCAGCCAAAGCCCACAGAAATAACAGTGGTCCTACACTCAATTTCACCACAAAATGTCAAGTGTTGAGGCTAGATTTCCAGCCATGCCACATTTCAAGGAGACACTCAACCACTCCTCGCCCTACCTCCCAAACCAAGGCGTTATCTGAGAAAATCAAGTAGGGAGTCAGGACTATCATCCAAATGTGTAATGAAGCCCCCCACTGTGGAATCAGTGGAGACCACATGGGAAATAGTAACAAGGTGTCTTCCAGGCAGGGAGGTATCAGTGAAGTCTTCATGGAGAGGAGTACTCACACTGTGCCAGAAATAATGAAAAGTCCATCACTTATAATGTCAACAGAAGCTGAGTAGGGAACCAGGAATTCCACCTGTCCTCAGCATTAACAAAGCACCACCCTCTACCTGCTACCAATGTGCTATCAAAAGAAGGCAGCTAAAATTAAAATTTTACTTAAGATCCAGAGTCTCATAACACAGTACCACCTTTCACTTCCCCCATCCCCTGCTCTGCTGCCAAAAAAAAAATTAACAGTGACACTTGGACCTTTGGGACTACAACCAAAAAAAAAAAAAAACCAACTTCTGTGTCATCCCAGTTCTTAAAGGAGAGGAGAAAAAGAGCAGGGACAATAAAGCATAGGAAGAAATCACAGCTAAAAATTTCACACATTTGAAAGAGACATAGACCTATAGTTTCAAAAATCAGAACAAAACCCAAACAGAATAAACCTAAAGAAATCCACACCAACGCACTTATTAGTCAAACTTCTGAAAACTAAAAACAAAGAAAAAATCGTGAAAGTAGCAAGGGAGAAATGACAGCTTACCTTTAGTGGAAAAAAATAAGTTAAATTACAGAGGATTTCTCATCAGAAACCATGGAGGCTAGAAGGAAATGGCATGACATTTTTTAAATGATGAAAGGAAATAACTGTCAACCCAGATCCTATATGCAGCGAAAATATCTTTCAGGAATAAAGAGAAAATCAAGAAATTCTAAGATAAAGAAAACCATAATTCAACACACATTCATGATAAAACTCAGTGAACTATAGAGGATAACTTTTCCAAATTAATGAAAAGCACCTACAAAAACATACAGCTAAGATTATTCTTTTTTTTTCTTTTTTTAATTATACTTTAAGTTCTAGGGTACATGTGCACAATGTACAGGTTTGTTACATATGTATACATGTGCCATGTTGGTGTGCTGCACCCATTAACTCGTCATTTAACATTAGGTATATCTCCTAATGCCATCCCTCCCCCCTCCCCCCCACCCCACGGCAGGCCCCGGTGCGTGATGTTCCCCACCCTGTGACCAAGTGTTCTCATTGTTCAATTCCCACCTATGAGTGAGAACATGTGGTGCTTGGTTTTCTGTCCTTGTGACAGTTTGCTCACAATATTGCTTTCCAGCTTCATCCATGTCCCTACAAAGGACATGAACTCACCCTTTTTTATGGCTGCATAGTATTCCATGGCGTATATGTGCCACATTTTCTTAATCCAGTCTATCATTGATGGACATTTGGGTTGGTTCCAAGTCTTTGCTATTGTGAATAGTGCCGCAATAAACATATGTGTGCATGTGTCTTTATAACAGCATGATTTATAATCCTTTGGGTATATAACCAGTAATGGGACGGCTGGGTCTAATTCTAGATCCTTGAGGAATCGTCACACTGTCTTCCACAATGGTTGAACTAGTTTACAGTCCCACCAACAGTGTAAAAGTGTTCCTATTTCTCCACATCCTCTCCAGCACCTGTTCTTTCCTGACTTTTTAATGATTGCCATTCTAACTGGTGTGAGATGGTATCTCATTGTGGTTTTGATTTGCATTTCTCTGATGGCCAGTGATGATGAGCATTTTTTCATGTGTCTGTTGGCTGCATAAATGTCTTCTTTTGAGAAGTGTCTGTTCATATCCTTCGCCCACTTTTTTATGGGGTTGTTTGAATTTTTCTTGTAAATTTGTTTAATTCTGGATATTAGCCCTTCGTCAGAAGGGTAGATTGTAAAAATTTTCTCCCATTATGTAGGTTGCCTGTTCACTCTGATGGTAGAGTTTCTTTTGCTGTGCAGAAGCTCTTTAGTTTAATTAGATCCCATTTAATACCACACATCTACAACCATCTGATCTTTGACAAACCTGACAAAAACAAGAAATGGGGAAAGGATTCCCTATTTAATAAATGGTGCTGGGAAAACTGGCTAAGATTATTCTTAATGGTGAAAAACTGAATGCTTTCTCCCTAAGACAGGGAGCAAGGCAGGATGAACCCGAAAATGGACCAGACAAATAGGCCAAAGCAATGTAATGGAGAAAGGACAATCTTTTCAAAAATTGATGCTACAGCAATTGAATATCCAAGCGCAACAATAATAACAGCAACAACCTCAACCTAATTTTTATGATTTATACAAAATTTAACTCAAAATTGACCACAAACAGAAATATGTCTTTTGCGGCAACATGGATGGAGTTGGAGTCCATTATCCTAAGTGAACTAACACAGGAACAAAAAACAAAAAAACGAATACCACATGTTCTCACTTATAAGTGGGAGCTAAACATTGAGTACATATGGACACAGGGGGATACTACAGACACTGGGATCTACTTGAGGGTTGAGGATGGGAGGAGAGGGAGAATCAAAAAAACTACCTATCAGATACTATGCTTATTACCTGGGTGATGAAATAATCTGTACACCAAACTCCCATGACACATAATTTACCTGTATAACAAACCTGCACATGTATCCATGAACCTAAAATTAAAATTAAAAAACTAAAATTGGATACTGGTAGAGAGAAATAAAATTTTAAAATTATATCTATTAGGAATAAATAGGAGAGCATTTTTAGGATCTAAAGTCAGGCAATGCTGTTAGACATCATGTCAAAAACATGATTCATAAAAAGAAAAAAATGGCAAATTGAACATCAAAATTATATACTCTGCTCTGCAAAATCCCTTTTAATAAAATGAAAAGACTACCTAGAGACATAGAAACCGCATGGCCAACAAAAGACTAGTATCTAGTATATATTTTACAAATTCTTACTATGCAAAACTTAAGTTAGAAAATGAGAAAAAACATGAACAGATATTTTAGAAGTGGATATTCTGACAAGCACAGGTAATGGTCTTCAATATCATTAATCATTAGAAAATTGCAAATTAAAACCAAAATTTAATATCACAACACACCTACCTAAACAGATAAAGTAAAAAACAACGACAATACTAAATGCCAGCATCTATATGGAGACACTGATCACGCAGATATTGCTGATGGGAATGTAAAATGTTATAATTATTCTGGGAAACAGTTTGACATTAAACATGCAACTACCATGTAATACAGCATTTGTACTCCTGAGCATTTATCCCAAAGAAATGAAGGCTTATATTTACCTAAACACTTGTACCTGAGTGCTTATAGAAGCTTCATTTATAACAAAGGTAGTTCAAAAACTAGCAACAACCCAAATGTCTTTCCAATAAACTGTGGTACATCCATATCACGGAATACTACTCAGCTTTAAAAGGAATTAGTGATACGACAACTTGCATGGATCTTCAGAGAATTATGCTGACAGAAAAAAAAATCAACCCCAAAAGTTTAACAACTATACGATTCCATGAATATAAAATATTTTTAGGCCGGGTGCGGTGGCTCATGCCTGTAATCCCAGCACTTTGGGAGGCCGAGGAGGGCGGATCACGAGGTCAAGAGATTGAGACCATCCTGGCCAACATGGTGAAACCCCGTCTCTACTAAAAATACAAAAATTAGCTGGGCGTGGTGGCACATGCCTGTAGTCCCAGCTACGCGGGAGGCTGAGGCAGGAGAATGGCTTGAACCCGGGAGGCAGAGGTTGCAGTGAGCTGAGATCGCACTACTGCACTCCAGCCTAGGCTACTAGGGGAAAACTCCACCTCAAAAAAGAAAAAAAGAAAGAAAAAAATTTAAATGGCAAAATTATAAAAATTAGAAACCAATTACAGCAGCTAGGGGTCAAACAAGGTGTGTGGATGGGAGTTAAGCAGGTGTGACTAAGAAACTACAACATATCTGATCTTTCTGGTGAAGGAAATGTTCTGTATCTTTGTTGTTTCTATGTTAGTATCATGGTTGTAATCTTGTATTATGCTTATGAAAGAAGTTACCATGGAGGAAATGGGGTAAAGAGTACAAAGGACCTTTGTACATTTTTCACGAGTGTGTGTGAATCAACATTTGTATGAAATAAAACACTTAACTAAAAAAAAAAAGTCAATACTTGGTTTTGATACATATCAAGGGAAAAAAATATATTAATAAGAGGCCAGGCAAGCTGGCTCATGCCTGTAATCCCAACACTTTGGGAGGCCGAATCAGGCAGATGGCTTGAGTCTAGGAGTTCAAGACCAGTCTGGCCAACATGGCAAAAAATACAAAAATTAGCCAGGTGTGGTGTCACATACCTGTAATCCCAGCTACTTGGGAGGCTGAGGCAAGAGAACCACTTGAACTGAGGGGGCAAAGGTTGCAGTGAGCCAAGATTGCACCAGTGCACTCCAGCCTGGGCAACAGAGCCAGAACCTGTCTCAAAAAAAAAAAAAAAAGAAAAGAATAGTTTCTCTGTGTGGATGGTCACTCAGTCATATTCTTATACTACTTCTAAACTATTTTGCAAAGAGAGGCCTTGTCTGTTATTTCCATGATGTAGATTTCTACAAGTGGGATCAGTAAATTAAACTTGTTATATTTTAATTGATTTTAATAAATTGCTTTCCAACACTTAGTTTCCCTGTAGCAATGTATAAATATACCCCCTACCATCTTCACACTATGCAAAATAAAGTTTGTTATTCATTCTTATAATCTGCTAATCTGACTGTTTTCTTGTCTAAATGTTTTAAATTTTCTATTCTTATGTTTGATGGCCAGATGGATTGCCTTTCTGTATCTTAGTCATAGCGCTGCCCATTCTATGTTTAATTTTGTCTTCTCTTTTATTAACTTGTAAGTGCTTTCTGTATATTATAGATTTTGTCCTCTTTGCATGAATATGTACTATATGTAATTTTTTAATCCAAGTTTATTACTCACATACTGCTTTTGTTTATGCTATCTTTTACCAAACTAAAGTTGAAATTTGTACACAATAAATATTTTTTTCTTCTTATTTTACAGTTTTTAGGCTTCAGGTTTTGGATAAGAGATCTTCCTTCTTACACCACCCTCAAACAACCACTCATAGATTTATTAAAATATTTATGTTATACATTTAAAATTGTATTTTAAAAACTATATATATAGATAGGTAAAATTTTACCTTTTTCTGGGTAAATATTAAGTTGTGCAAAAAAATCACTAAATAAATCACACATTATTTTCTCATTGTATTGAAATGCCTTGTTTGTAGTATCTTATTTTAGTACTATAATTAATTTCTGAATTTTCTGTTCTGATAATCTATTCATATAACAAATTCATATTTATTTGATTACATTTCCAAACATTCTAGTATCTTGCAAATCAAGTCTTCTCTCCATTGGTTTTTAACTTTTTTTACTCTCATTCTCTTTCAATTTCACAATAAATAAGTTACATTAATTCTATATGAACTTGAATTCAATTCATACAATCATGTAAGTACCTCTAAAATTAACATTTCAAGAACTGGTAAATTTGGACTTTTTTTTTTTTTGCTCAAATAATATTTTTTTCTGGAAACATTAAAAAAAGAAGTTTCTGCCCCTAGTGTTACACAAGTATCTCCTTTCAAACCAATCATTCTGTAGATAACATCTCAACTCCAGACAAACAAACAGCTGTCTAAGGGCATTGGACAGCAACCAAGGGAAGGCAGATACTGGAAGGAAGTTGAAACCTCGAAGAAGGAAAACATCACTGGATATATTTTTGTGTGGTTTTTATTTTTTTAATGGCTTTTAGTCTTAAACTACAACCCAGAATATGTCATGTGGGTGGCTAAAACTTGGATATAAAATCAGCGGTCTTGCTTTTGGAGTACTAGAGAACAAAGTTGAGTTTCTCACTGAAACATAAGAGAGAAATGCCAGATAGGAGGTAAACAGAGAGGGGCACTCCAAATTCTGAGCATAAATTCAGTCCATCCCTGAGATTATGAATCAGTCACACATGTTTATGGCAGTTTCAAGCAACCCAGATAAAGCTAAGGCTAATTAACAAAACAGATTTTTGCTGCCACTCACTTCACAAGGGTCAGGAGTTTGCAATTTGAGTTCTGTCAATTGTATCTGGATTTTGTTTATGATATTTTGGAGAGTCATAAGATTCTGTTATGTTCCTCCAAACAGCACCCCAGTGTGTGTGTGTGTGTGTGTGTGTGTGTGTGTGTCTTTTTCTCCTCTTTCACATACACTCCTTGGAGAAACATTACAGAATTTTGAGTGCCATTTATGTACCTAAATATAATTTTATAAACTATTTTTCCTTTGACTTTGTGTTTACTTTATTACTTGAAATTATTTAGCTTTGCCGTTGATAATATACTGGTATCAATATTACCTCCTTGTCTTTAAGATAATTATTCCTGTAATAGAAATGTATTACCTGTTTTTTATATATATTTCATAATTACCTAACCATATTATGAAATATTTTATTGCTTTATTTAAAAAAAAAAACTTTGTCTGCTGAGTTGTGTAGTTATATGATTCTAATATTAGCATAAATGATTATTTTGTTAATGTATGCATGAGATAGTTTTTTTTTTAGCCTTTCCAAAGTTGTTATAATACTGACGAACCTGTTTACTGTTATTGTGACTAGAGGCAACCTTCAAACGTTTCTGATTGTAACAGATCATTTTATTGTTTTGCTTTTTACAATAAATATTTTTTACTCTTATGGAAGATAATCTTCTATTCCTATTTTTCATAGTTCATTCATTGAGAAAGCTTATCTTTGTCAAATTGCATTATTGAGTTTATTATCATATGAATTTTCATCTTTAATTGTTGGAGAGAAATAGATAAACAGATAGATTTCTGATAGGTAACCAAATTATACTCAGATAATAAATTCTGCTTGAAACTAGTATATTACATGCTGTCTTGCGTTACCTGTACTGGTTTCTTAATAATCAGGAAATTGTACTCATTTTGGTTCATTTTTATTGACTTTATTGAGGTACAATTTACCTAAAATAAAATTCACACATATTGTGTGTAACAGTTCAGTGGGCTTGAAAAAATTTATTTACCAGGGTTATATTATATCAAGTTATAACACTTTTCCATCAACACATTAAGTTTTCATTTACATTTTGGTAGTAAATCTTCATCCCCAATCTCTACTTCAAACACCATTGACTGGATCTCTACCATAGTTAAGTAAATCTACTTACAGAAATTCAGAAAAGATAATCCTACCAAGATAAAATCTTGGTAGATTTTACACAGCGTATTCCTTTTGGAATTCAGACACTTAGTTTTGTGTATCAGTAGTTCGTTTTTTTTATTCATGGCTTATTAGCATCCCTCAATATTAATATACCATGGCTTATGTATTCCTTTGTTATTTTTGTTATTTAGGTTGTTTCCAGTTTCAACTGTTAAATATAAAACTTATAAATAATTATGCATAGGTATAGTTTGGCCAAATGTTTTCATTTTAAAAATTATTCCTAGGAGTGCAATTGCTGGGTCCTATCTGCCAAACTGTTTCCCAAAGTACTCATGTCATTGTCTACTTACTTTTACATTGGTGAGAGTTCTAGTTGCTCCACATGCAAGCAAACAATTATCATCAGAATTTTTAATTTTTGCCATCTAATGAATGAAGATGATATTTTATTGCTTTTTAATTTGCATTTCCCTTATATAATTTATATTACACATTCATTCATTTGGTTACTGGACATTTATTCGTAATGTATTTTTTGTAGTTATTGGTTCAAGTCTTTCATTCATTCCTAGTTTTTTTTTCACTTACTGATATTTAGCCATAAAAATGTTTCATGTACTCTGGACACAAGTCCTTTAACAGATATATGTATGGAGAAGGTTTATCACTGGCTGTGACTTGTCTTTTCATTTATTTTAAAATTGTATCTTTTGAAAAGCAGGTGGTTTGAATGTTTATGTTAGTTCAGTTTATCATTTTAAAACGTTAATGTTGTATTCTGTCTAAATAATCTTTGTCTGCCATATGTGGTGAAGATTTCTTCCTCTATTTTCTTCTAGAAATTATAGCATTTTTCCTGAAGTATGGGTTGAGGTACATTTTCTTAACCATATGATCCAGTTGTTTCATTTAAATGTTTTTATAAAGATTTTTCTATCTTCATGAAATTCTATTGGCATCTTTTACATACATCTATTATGTTTTGGTTTATTATTAATTATGTTGGATTATAGTCAAAGAGAAACACCTTAGAATACTAGATGACTCTTTCACTATTTTTCTCTCTTTTAATTTTGTTGCATTTTTTATAACTATCTAATTGACTTATCATAAATCTCCCATGGGTTTTTGATGAAGTTGATTATTCTGTTCAAGTAATTTCTCCATAAGAAAGTAACTAGAGGAAACAATCAGTTAACTATATTGTCAAATCCTTCCATTTCTTTTCTTTTTGTGTACAGTGTTTCTTAAATTCTTAGAAAAATGTATCAAAATCTTGCATTTATAAAATTTTTATTTTAGATATTTAGCATCTGTGTTTTTCTACATATATTATATTATGTGTGTTCTAATATCCTCAAAATCTACATCTCTTATCACAACATATTATTATTTATACTATTTGATATTTTTAACTTTAATTTCACTCTGATATTGATTTCACAATTATCTTTCGTATTCACATATCTTTTAATTTCTTCATTTATATATTTTAAAACATTGTCAATTATGTCTGATGTAGCACTTAACTATCTTCTTTTGCTATATTATTTAGGATAGCTAACACTGTATTTCCATCTATTATACATAGGTAAAAGTAGGGGACAATTTCTTACATAATTTTGTCTTCCAGAGCTACAAGATATGTCTATATGCCTCCTCTTATTTTTAAGAACTTGCCCCCTTCTGTCAAACTTAAATTGTCCTCTGCCTTAAAATTACAGTCAACATAAAATATACCGAAATACATGACTAGATCCTTATGGTAGTGACTCAGTTCTTTCAACTCACCAGTTAATTTGAGATGGAATCCAAGCATTCCCTATGACAATATTTTTCACATTTTATTAATTAATTGTTAATTAATGCTCTTAATCTGTGGAAAATGTTAAATAAATAAATGTTAAATCAAAGTCTCTGACAACTTATGTGGAAAGTAAAACTTCAAAATTTTTGAATTTATACACTGTCAGACAAACTGCAATATCACCAGAGACTTCTTCAGTCATATTCAGAAGCTCAAAAGATTTTCAAGGTTTTTGGTTCTCTAAATAGGGTTGACATCAAGTTGCAATAATACTGAATGTTCACATGCTTTTGAATACATCACAGGAAAGAATCCACACCCTGATTACTAAATGCTTAATTTTAATACTTATCTTGTCCTTCTTTAAATGTCTTCTTTCTTCAGAATTGAAAGTGTCTCAAAAAGTCATTTGGGTTTTTAAATAACGCTAGATGAATAAAAGCTTTCCTCAAAAGGTTAAAAGAACCCATAACTTCTCAAGTTGAGAAAACACAGATGATTCCTTTTGGTAATTGTTAAAGGTCATATTTTAACCTAGTGCCTCAAACTGATAATAGGGAACAGCAATAAGACTATAGCTGAAGGTCATAACATCACACGGAACTCAAAGTACATTACAATAAAATCAATTAAATGTGATATTTTTCTTTGGAAATTATTGGGTTTAACCAAGTTGAAACCTCCATGTTTGATGTGAGTGTTTTGAAGGAGATATGTAGCTGACAGTATTGTGGCAATTACAGTAAAGAAGAGAAAGAAGTTTGGTGGATTATAATATTATTCAGTCATTTTTGTATTTATATAATTTATTTAGTTTATATGGAATAAAAGTATTTATATTTTTTAATTTTAAAACAATATCTTGATCAGTTTTTTTATTTTAAAAATTTTTTTATAGTTTTTTTTCTTTCTTCCATAACATTTGCTTCCTGCCAGATACAATATCTGATTAACTGCTCTGGCAAAAGCTCTCCAAAGTGCAAATAAAAAAATTCCAAACTCCAATTATGATGCGGCTTTTCTCTTGGCACATATGTTCTAGTGTTTGACAGCACAGTAGGGTGACTATAGTTAACAGTCATTTCTTTTCAAAATAGCTAAAACAGAAGATTTGAAATGTTCCCAACACAAAGATATAATGAATATTTGAGGTTATTTGATGATTACACATTGTATACGTGTATCAAAATAGCACACGTACCCCACAAATATGTAAAATTACTATTCATCAATAAAAAATAAAATTAAAAAACATACAATAAAAATTAAAAACATAATATTCAACTAAACTCAACCCCAAAATGAAGAATTGTGTTAAAGTTGTGACATTTTATGTTCTTAATACAGAATTTATTATTAATTTTGATACCAATGAAAAGGTTACAAGTGGAAAAGTAATAGTGAAATAGATATTTTCTCAAAATACTTGATAATTTGTTGTATCTACAGCAGAAGAGTCTAATAATTTTACTGGCTTATAATTATTCTTTATGTATCCAGTGAGACAGGCATTTTTATGAGAACATGTGATGATGTCAAACTAGGGCTTTGTTGTCAAAGTTTACCATATAAATTGGAAATAGATAAGGACTAACACATATCTTCTTGGCTTTCCTTACCTAGCTTGCCATATTTTAGTCTATAATATACTTCAAAAACTAGCTTCAGAGGCCCTGAAAGTGTCTTAAAATAATTGTCAAAGAATAGGTGCAGAATGGCTTGTAGCAAATGATTTGAAAATGAAATGGGGGGAAAAGAGACATAATGACATGATATTATCCAAAATATAAGAGAGAAAAATAAGAGAGCAATGCAAATAAGATGAAATTAATTACTTTCTAGTCCTCAAGTCTTAGCTAAAAAGCAGATCTTTAGTAATACAATTGTTACTAAAGGAAAGGCAAGGGGAAACTTTTTATGGGAATTTTTTTTCTATTTTAGTGCTAACATGAAGAAATCCACGTCGTAGTCTCCAAATTATAGGATAGCATGTGGTCAGCAATCATCTCTGGGGAAGGGAGAGAATAAACAAATACTTTCCATTATGTGTTAGAAACATCCCTGGATACTTAAAAAGTTTTCAAGTTTTACTGACTGAGCGCTTATTTCACAGAATTTTATTTAAATTATAGTATTTTCTTCTCACAAAATCCCAGGTCAGAAGAAATTGAGACTAACAGGAGTCAATATTTCAAAGTTTACATAGCTAATAAATAGAAGAATAATTACTCAACCCAGTTATATATTTTTAAAACTTTTCATTGTGGAGTTGCAAGGACCAAATGCCAGGAGCTTACTTTTGAAGCAGGAAGGAAACCCTCAGAGCAAAAGTTAGTGCCTGCAATTATATGCTGATTGTTTCTGTCTCTTCTAATGGCTCAATCAACACCATTTCTCCTGTTTTAACCTGTGCGCAGACATGACCTTGTGGGTTGAAATTGGGAGTTCATTAAAAAAATTATTGGTAGAGGGAAGTTACTATGACCTAAATATATCATGGTCAAAATGTATAACTGTGAGGCAGATTTGATACACCACATTTTTTATCTTGCTTGTGATTTTTAGTTCCAAAATTATTTATAGATTGATATTTTTGTCTGGTCTCAGAAAGCCAAATTTTAAGGATTGCCAATAAAGTTGTATTAATACTAGTAATAATAAAATAATAACATACTACTAATAAAAGTCATCAAATAATAAACTCCTCTAATAAATCCAGAAAAAATAAAAGTAGAAAAAATAAAAATTTCTACTCCCAATAATGAGGGTACATTTTATATCAGACCAATTGTGTTTTGCCAAACACAATTGCAAATTCTGGATAGAAACAACTATTTGAAGTGACTAAGAGTAAATTAATGCAGGAGAAACCAGAAAGGACTCCACCGTGACAGAAAGAAAACTGCACGGGGTAAAATTTTTACACAGCACTTTGCTTGAAGGCGCTCTCCAAACCAAGCAATACAAGATGTATAGATGAAGAAAGTACAACATTATTACTTGTTTAAAGATCCAAAGGATGAAATTTAAGATTCCCAGGGAATCTAAAAAGTAAGAGAAAAAACTAAGGAAGAAATTGAAACAAGAGGAAGAAACCCCATGTTCTGCCTTCAAACATTTCTCTAGTCCTTTGTTAACATCAGAAGTGTGCAAGCATGGGAGAGACTCCAATCGTCCAGGCAAAACAGCTACAGCCAGAATTTAAAAGAATTGAATAGTTTCAACTGCTGCCCATATTAAGCAAGACAATTTGGAGTGGAGAAATTAGGTCAAGTAAACTACTAGCTAGAAAAGAAATCAGCACTCCTCAGAGAAGGAACAAATCCAGAATCTCTATGATGTGTCCTTTTCAAAGAAAAAGAGTTTAAAAATATGGAATATAATCATTCATAGAGATTAGCATAAATTAAAAATAACTATTATACTCAAGGACTTGAAAAATGTTTATTTGAATAAACATATTTGGAATCTCTGCAGAAAAATGCAAACAAAAAAAGAAAATGATCCTCTCACTTTAATAGACTTCAACTTTTAAAGCAGTATTACATTTATAGGAAAATTGAGAATATAGTACAGAGATTTCCCACATACCACCTTACCCCTCTCACAATACCCCCCATTTTCTTAACATCTTGTGTTATTGTAGTACATTTGTTAAAATTGATGAACCCATATTGATACACTATTATTAACTAAAGTACGTAGCTTACACTAGGGTTCGCTCTGTTGTACAGGTCTATTGGTTTTGACAAATGCATAATTTCATATATTCACCACTAAAGTCTCACACAGAATAGTTTCAGTGTCCCCAAATTTCTTGAATTTTACCTATTTATCCCTTCCTTTTTCTCCCTACAACTCCTAGCAACCACTAATCTTTTTGTTGATCCATATGTATTTTTCCTTTTCCAGGATGTCATATAGATAAAATCATACATTATATAGCCTTTTCAGACCTTTTCTTTTAACTTAGCAATATGCATTTTTGGTTCCTCCACATCTTCTTGTACATTGATAGTTCATTTCTTTTTATCATCTTTTTATCCTTTTATCATTGATAGCTCATTTCTATTTTGTGAATGTACCACAGTGTGCTTATTCATTCGTCTATATATGAGGGATATTTTGGTTGCCTCCAGTTTTGAGCAACTATGAATAAAACCACTATAAAAAATCATGTGCATGTTTCTGTGAGCAAAATAAGATATAAAAATGGCCAGGTCCGGTGGCTCATGCCTGTAATCCCAGCACTTTGGGAGGCCAAGGCAGGTGGATCACGAGGTCAAGAGATTGAGACCATCTTGGCCAACATGGTGAAACCCTGTCTCTACTAAAAATACAAAAAATAGCTGGTCTTGGTGGCAGAAGCCTGTAGTTCCAGCTACTCAGGAGGCTGAGTCAGGAGAATTGCCTGAACCTGGGAAGTGGAGGTTGCAGTGAGCCAAGATTGTGCCACTGCACGCCTGCCTAGTGACAGACCGAGACTCCGTCTCAAAAAAAAGTATATATATAATAAAAATTTTATAAATAAAAATTATAGTAGCTGAAATAAACCTAAAATCAATAAACAGCTGTAACTGTACAGAAAGACAGAAGACATTTTTAGTGAGTTTGAATAGACATATAGTTGTTACTGGATCTGAAGAACAAAGAGGAAAATAATTTTAAGTAGAGACTCAAGCTCCTATAAGACAATATAAATGTATCTAACTTATATGTAATTTGATTATCAGAAAGAGAGTTAAACTGAGATAGAAATATATCTGAAAAAATAATGATGAAAATTTCTTCACGTATGGTTAAAAAAAAAAAATCAATTTACAAACTCAATAAGCTCAGTTAACCCCAAGCCGAATTAAGAAAAAAAAAAAAAAAAAGAAAAGAAAGTCCCATCTAGGCATAATAACCAAATTACTGATAACCACAGATGAAAAGGAGAAGATATTGAAAGGAACCAAAAAAAAAATGCAACATTACACAAATGGGAAAAATGGTAAGAAAGATGGTCGAATTTTCACTAGGGACATGGGATCAAATGACAATAAAAAATGCTGAAATAAACGGTTAATGCCAAATTCTGTGCCCAACTAAAAATGTTTTAAAAATAAGACTTGATATGGTTTGGCTGTGTCTCCACCCAAATCTCACCTTGAATTGCAATAAACTCCACATGTCAAGCGTGGGGCCTGGTAGAGATAATTGAATCATGGGGGCCGTTTCCCCATACTTTTCTCCTCATAGTGAATAAGTCTCACAAGATGTGATGGTTTTATAAATCGAAGTTCCCCTTCACAAGCTCTCTTGCCTGCTGCCATGTAAGATGTGACTTTGCTCCTATTTGCCTTCCACCATGGTTGTGAGGTTTCCCCAGCCACATAAAACTGAATCAAGTAAACCTTTTTTCTTTATAAATTACCCAGTATGGGGTATGTCTGTATTAGTAGCGTGGGAACAAACTAATACAGTAAATTGGTACCAAGAGTGAGGTGTTGGTGTAAAGATACCTGAAAATGTGGGAGCAACTTTGGAACTGGGTAATAGGCAGAGGTTGGAACAGTTTGTAGGGCTCAGAAGAAGACAGGAAAATACGGGAAAGTCTGGAACTTCCTAGAGACTTGTTGAATGGTTTTGACCAAAATGCTGATAGTGATATGGACAATAAAGTCCAAGCTGAGTGGTCTCAGATGGTGATGAGAAACTTATTGGGAACTGGAGCAAAAATGGCTTTTGTTGTACTTTAGCAAAGAGATTGGTAGCATTTTGCCCCTGCCCTAGACATTTGTGGAAATTTGAACTTGAGAGAGGTGATTTAAGGTATCTGGCAGAAGAAATTTCTAAGCAGCAAAGCATTCAAGATGTGACTTGGGTGCTGTTAAAAGCATTCAGTTTTATAGATTCACAAATATATGGTTTGGAATTGGAACTTATGTTTAAAAGGGAAGAAGAACATAAAATTTGAAAAATTTGCAGCCTGATGATACAATAGAAAAGAAAAACCCATTTTCTGGGAAGAAATTCAAACTTGCTGTAGAAATTTGCATGAGTAGCAAGGAGCTGAAGGTTAATCATCAAGACAATGAGGAAATGTCTCCAGAGCATGTCAGAAAGCTTCATGGCAGCCCTTCCCATCACAAGACCAGTGGCAGAGCTGTCCAAGGCCATAGGAACCCACCTCTTACATCAGTGTGACCTGAATGTGAGACAAAGAATCAAAAGAGATCATTTTTGAGCTTTAAGATTTGACTGTTCCACTGGATTTCAGACTTGCATGGGGACTGCAACACCTTCATTTTGGCCAATTTCTCCCATTTGGAATGGGTGTATATACCAACTGCCTGTACCCCCATTCTATCTAGGAAGTAACTAACTTGCTTTTGATTTTACAGGCTCATAGGCAGAAGGGACTTGCCTTGTCTCAGATGAGACTTTGGACTATGGACTTTTGAGTTAATGCTGAAATGAGTTAAGACTTTGGGGGACTGTTGGGTAGGTATGATTGGTTTTTAAACGTGAGGACATGAGATTTGGGAGGGGGCAGGGGCAGAATGATATGGTTTGGCTGTGTCCTCATCCAAATATTACCTTGAATTGTAATAATCCCCACATGTCAAAAGTGGGGCCAGGTGGAGATAATTAAATTATGGTGGCCATTTTCTCCATACTGTTCTTGTGGTAGTGAATAAGTCTCATGAGAGCTGATGGTTTTATAAATAGGAATTCCCCTGCAGAAACTCTCTTGCCTGCTACCATATGAGACATGACTTTGCTCCTCATTCACCTTCTGCCATGATTGTGAGGCTTTCCCAGCCATGTAGAACTGTGAGTCAATTAAACCTCTTTCCTTTATAAATTAGTTAGTCTCAGGTATGTCTTTATTAGCAGTATGGGAACAGACTAATACAAGAATGAAATTCTGATATTTTCAGAAAAAATTAAGTCTTGGAGAAATTTATCAGCAGCAAATATATGATACAAAATATTAAAGTAATTTCTTCAAGTTGAAGGGAATTGAAGGCAAATTGAATGTCAAATATAAAGGAAGAAATATCAAGCACAAGAAATGATATAGTTTGTGTTTAAACTATAAAATACTGTCACTTTCCTCTTTAAAAGCATAAGACTAATTGAATCAATAACTACATTGTGGTTTAAAGTTAGTAGATAGATATAATGTATATGGAAATAAGAGCACAAGGATGTGAGGCAAATGGGTTATACCATTTCAAATACCTTATACTTTGAGTAAAGTAGGCTTCTATTAACTCTATATGGTAGGCTTACAGCATGTGATCCTTACAGCATCTATCAAAAGACCAAACAAAAGAAATCCCTAAAACAAAAGATTAAATTTAAAGCCACAGTAAAAAAAACCTAATAAAAAAAGTATACAAAAATCAAAGAAATAACCCAATTTCTAAATTTTTTTAAATTTTTTCTCAAAAAAATCTAAACATATTAAAGCAGAGTTTCATACACTTTTCTTGGTCTTCTAATATTATATGTTCTTTATGACAATTAAAATAATAGAGCAAAAGGGTTTTGTTTTATCTTTTGAAAGATATTGTTCATTATAAATTACCATTGTCTTGAAGTAGTTGGAGCTCTGTAAATATGTTATGCCAAAGTTGTCAATACAAAGATTTGTAAGACAATTATTGGAATACGATGTAACAATATATGATATATAATTGCAATTGACTCCAAATTAAATCTCATAAGCTATTTTTAATATAACCCTGAGTACCAACACAGAAATGTAAGAGTACCCTTTTCTCACCTAACACTAAAGCATCCAGATTTAGTACCAGAGTACTAACACAATTTTTGAGTATAAAAAGTAGGTAAAAATGTTTTTTAAATAAAAGCAACTAATGTAAGTTGTATTTATATGCTCAATAGCTATGGTTTTATAAATTTGACAGATATTATGTTTATTTTATTGAAAAATAATGCATTATGTTTCCAGACAAGGTAAAGTTGGCTGTCTCAATGATTATTTCATTTAATTCTGTTTCTGCTCATTCCTTCCTTTCTACTTTAACAGATAGAAATTTTTCACTAGGTAAACCTAAATAGAATGCCAACTTCCTATTGGGAAGAATTTATAGTCATTTAAATTTCCAAATGACTTCTGCATTTTTCCAGTCTTTCCCCAACCAACATTAAATTCAGTAAAATGCATTTGAATGCATTTGCAATATACTATGTAAATGTAAATCAAGAACATTTCATTGTTCTTATCATATTTATGATATTCTTGCCATAACATACTTCCAATACAGCTATAACTTCTAGTAACCTGTGGTAGCACTTATAGTCTCTATTACCATAAACCCTAAAGAAGCATCCACAAAAAAATACAAGTTATTTCTGCTAAGAAATGGAAAGCTTCTTTTCTAAATAACCTTGGTGCCAGCCTAAGACAGATACTCTATAAAACCAAAGTGAGATGTTTTATCAATTCACTGTTTTCATCTTACCATAGTTGCTTTATAAATATGAAAGAGTATATCTGCTTTATTTCTCTCCTCTCTCTGTCTTACTCTTGCTCTTCTCTCTTCCTATAAATGTAAGATTATTTGAAAAACACATAACTTCCCAAGAGTGATGAGTAAGTTTCTATTCACCTTTTATTGTACAGAAACATTAATAGACTCCAGAGGCAGTGTCATCTTCAGAATGGGTTTGATCTAAGATGGTGACAATGACAATTTTAGAGTTTACCATAGTGGTCAAAGTTTCAGAAAGATTTTTTTTTGTCTGTTAAGTTGCAACAAATGTTACTAATAATCTGCACAGTGATACCAGTATATTATTCTAATATTCTAAACAGCTGTTACGCTTTATTAACCTTTGAACTTCTACAAATGTTCTAACGTAACTAATTAATAAATTGCAATGTAATGGTAAGTAGAGACGAAAATAAAATCTGCAGCAAATTATTAAAATGCCCATTCATTAAAAAGAACCATAACAGAAAATTAAGAACATGCATTATATAACCATTTCAAACTTGACTTCGAATGAAAATATTTACCTGGCCAAACAATTTTGAAAAATAATCTTAAATTCTGAAGCCCTTGAAGTACAATTCAAAGTGATGCTCTAGAGAAATATGAACAGGCCAAAAGTTGGGTAAGATGAGTAAGATTTCAGAGGTCGCTGAGAAGAAACATAAAAGCTCAGTCTCTGGAGATAGACAGCCTGGATTTCTCCAAGCTCTGCTATTTATTAGTTGCATGATCTTGGGCAAATTATTTAATCTCTTTATGCCTCAATTTTCACATAAGTCAAATTAGGATAAAAGCAGTACCTCCTTCATATGGTTGTTGTAAGAATTAAATGAGTTAACAGTTTTTAAGCACGTGAACAGGAGCTGGCACATAGTAAGTACTGTGTAAGTATTTGTTACATGGTTTTTAAAAAAAAATTAAATGCAACATTTCATCAAATGCACAATTATATAAATAATTCCATTTGCCCTTTGTAGTTTTAGAAAATTGGATCTCAAACTAAACTAGTAAGTTAATTAGCAGCTGTGAGTAATTAAGATGCTCTTTAAGCTCTGAGGAAAAGTAGGGGAAGAGAGATCAATAGCAGGGAGTTGGTAGAGGCAGAATTCAGTGTTCTCTCAGACAATAATAAAAGGAAAAACAGCAGTGTCTTTTCAAAAGAAACACACTAGGAATTTGTCAACTCCGCAAGTCCTATTAAAAGTAAATTTAATGTCATAATTATACCTTTGAAAACAGCTGCCATTGAGAAATCATAACACATGGCCCTCTAGATGAATTTTATACCACTAGGGAACTTAGTAGCTATTTACTGCTGTAATCATTTATTCATCCATTGATTCAAACATGCATTTCACTATCACCTGAAAACACATGCCCTGAAAACACATGGTACGTGAATCACCATCCAGTATCCAAACATTTCAATGAACTGAACATTTTATCCCTTACAGAAAATGATGTTGGGCAAATGGATTCAAACATTTATTATAAACAGACAACTAAGGTAGGAGTAGGGAAGTAATATTAGAGGTACACCCTCTTCACCAGTTAAATAATATGAAGAGATAGCCCCTCACAGTGGTCATTTTGGGAAAAAAGTGATTTTTAGGCAGATCTTAGTAAAATGAGCATAGCTATATGCACCAATTATACCTGTCTGCATATAGAATTTATTTTCCTGTTTGATTGGTGGTACATTAACATATAGATGTGGCCATAGCCCATTGTTAAGGGGGTATTCATAATTTTACTTCATTGCCTTAGGTTTAGCTCTTATATATCACTAAACAGAGATTAGCACAAGGATCACTAAATAAGTAACCAAGAGACCCGAGGAGTAATCCAAGCTCTGCCAAAAACCAGCAGTGTGACATCAGGCATATTACATCAAATGTAAAACAGATTGAATTAAATATCTCCAGGTGTTTCAGGATTCAATATTTTTGATGAATTAGCAATGCTATTCCTATTGCCTATGGATTCTTGTTAGTGAAGTAAAATATAATTTTTATTACTGCTTCAAAAAGTACATGGTATATTATTAACCCGACTGTGTGCTTTTGTTATCAGACAAATAATATAAGTCCTGAAACGTATAGACGTAAGTTAAAAGCTTTTACGTTCAGTCATGTGTTGTTTTTAAAGTTGTTTTTTTTTTCCTGCATCTTACATTAAACGTTATCCTGAGTTTTCACCATGATGTTGTGTTTTAGCAATGACTTAAAATGATTTCACAGGTTTTTATCTTAGGAGATTATGTAACAATCTTTTGTCAACATAAATTTGTGAAAGCTATGTATAGTTTTTTGAGCCAATTATCTACCTTAAATACTAAAAAGTTTGCTCCTACCAAGTATTATGTCAGAATCTAAAATAACGATGCAACATATCAAAATATTCAAATAATATATATAATATTTACATTTCTCATGAAAGGGATATATATATACACACGTATATAATAAGCTATGGAAAACTGTGTTGGAAATTAAAAACATGAACACTATCTAGCTATTTGAAAATGAGATGACGTATCTATTCTAGATGTTAATATTCCCATTTATGTAACTTCAGTGTTCAAGATTTTTAGTTTCTCTGCCTGATTTCTGTAAACAGAAAAATCCAATGTATCAGCTGTATTGACCAATGTAAACTTCCCATACAAGGAAGATCAGTTATCTATTACTAAAATAATGCTGCATAGAAAACCACCCAAACATAATGACTTTAAAAAAGTAATTTATTATATTTTTGGAGACAATAGGAGAGAAGAGTAGTTGTGATGATTTGGGTCATTTTTGATAGAACTCAGCTGGGCTTGTTCATGCATTTTAGGTTGGTTGGCACTTGGATATGGCTGGCTGCTCTAGAATGGTCTCAGCTGGGACAACTGGGCCCTCTTCCATGTATTCCTCATATTCCTATAGCACTCTTGCCATATTCTCATCCTTGTGGCAGGGACCCAAGAGGAAGCAAGCCAAGTCATGCAGTAGGGATCAAGAGAACACATACACATACTTCTTAAGCCTCTGCTGTGTCATGCTTGCTGATAATATGTGGTTGGCCAAAACAAGTCATGTTCATGAGCCCATAGAATAAAAGGGCACTGCAGAGTTACAGTCAGGGAGGCCATTAATTGGCATCATTAATGCCAAACTGTAAAAAAAATCCTGAAAGTTCATTTTGAATTATATGAATTTTCAGAGTTACATGTGCTTTGACAAGCTTAATTATTTTAAATTAGTATCCAATGCAAGAGGATAAAGTCATTATAGTCACTTTATATTTTCTCATATTAATAATTACTTATTTTTAAAAAATTAAGAATGTAAATTTTTTTAAATAAATCCACATTCACAATGTTGCAAACCTTAAAATATTTTAGAAATTTCTTTAATTATGTATGGGTGTGTGATTACATTTTATAAACAAAATTGGAAATACATTTTATATAAAGATCATGGTTATGCTGCATTTATATGTATATAATTCATATATATACATATTTAATGTTATATGTTATATAAATATGTGTGAACATACACACACAAGCATATATATATAAATGCATATGTATCTATTGTCTTTTTACAGACATTTTCCCATATAGTTAAAAATTATTGAAACCCTTCTTTAATTCAATACATTAATTCAAATGGATTATTGGATCAAAACTATAAATGCTGATAAAGCCCTTAACATTTGATCTCATACTGCCCTTTAAAATGCTTTACAATTTACTCTTCCATCACCAGTGTCAGAAAATACAGACCCTTCACTCCCAAAAAAAACATGGTAATTAAATTCGCCAAAACAAAAGTCAATTTTTTTCTTTTTTTATTGCCATGGAATACAATTGTTACTAGTTGTATATCTTTTGTCAAATCATTCTGCCTTTCTCTGCTTCAGTTAACTCATCTTTAAAGTTTGTGTGACTCTAATTCCTAGAAAGTTTTAGTGAGGATTAAGTGCAGTGAGATTTGTAAAATGCTGAGTGTGTTGTCAGGCTCAAAGCAAATGCTCAAAAAGTGTTTGATATTTTTATTTAATATCATTAATAATACATTTATTTGTTTTATCTCTCATGAGTTAGATATTCAAGTATTTTAAATATCTTTCTGTTATGATGTTTCTAATTTTCTTCTCAACATAATAGAGATTTTTATGATAAGCTTATAATTTCTTTGTCATATGTATAACAATGATTCTTCCTGTTCAACATTTACCTTCTTCACAGTATTATTATACATAGAATTTTTAAATATTTGTCCAAATATGCTATTCTTTTAATGTATATACTTTTAAAATTCTTATACTTAGAAAGGACTGTTTCAAAGATTAAATACATATACATTAATATTTTTATCATCATATATTAACTTTTTCCATCAAACTTTTAAATTCATTTAGCTAGATTTTTGTGTACTATAGGCATATCATTTATATATTAAATCTCATAGAGCTATTGAATGACTTACTGAATTGTTCCTTGTAATGAGTTTAATACAACTGGTAAAAAAGTTCTCAGTGTATGTTAGCTATAAATCAGCATATGTTAACTAGATCAAGGCTTTACACATTGCAAATGTTTCTTTTATAACATGCAAAATTAGCTCCTACCAAGATTTTAGAGAAGCGCTACTCTAGACAATACAGAAAACAAATAGCAGGGATTGGCAGTGAATAAGAGGATAAAGCCTATAAAACTAACATTCAAATATGGGCTACTAAAAGTCCTTAACATGTGGACTCATCTTTTAAAACAGTTGATCCATGTGTGAAATACTAGAGAAAAAGACTACATAAGAGAACCATGGAGTTTACTTCTGGAAAAACAAACAAAACAAAATACAAAAAACAAACAAACAAACAAACAAAACAGTGGCAAGCAGTTATTCCCATACTGAGAAAAATTTCCTAGTATACACCTGACTTAAATGTTGCCTCAGGTTATCAGAGCTTGCCATACTTTCATGTAAAACGTTCATGGGCACATTCCTCTAGTACCAAGTAGTGCAGATATAAAAATATAGGACTTTATAAGAAAAAAGTCCAAGCAAAGCTCACCTAATCTTCCAAATTCTCATTATCCTCTGTTTAGGCTGAGCACAGATGGTCTATAAAAAGTCATGGCCAAGTTTCAGTACCTAGGCTTTCCATACACATAATGCAGTATATATTTTTAGTGTTGGGAGCAGAGACTATCCATGTAACCATGTAAGAATGGAAATTGCCTAGTCAGAGAATTGGCCTTGTTAAAACTGGGAAGACTCAGGAGCTCAGTATTTTAAACTAACCTATTTGTTTGTTGAACTAACTTAGACCTGCTGAACCAGCTCTCTGTGAAGCCACAGAAAAAGGAGAGAGAACCTTCCAGGCCATCCATCTGGACATGCTGATTGAATACATGCATTGTTACCCATATCTTTGGCTTCCACAAAAGTCAATCTTATCCTCAGCCAAGAATGTTTGGTATCCATAAAACCTCCCAAAACTGCACGATTGAAACAGTACCATAGACAGAAGATAAAGACCTTGATCTTCACATAAAATATGTATTAAAGCTATAATGCTATTCAATATATTATCCAAGTGTAATAACTGGCTGGCCCTTGAAGGCCAGTGGTTGTTGGCACATTCTGTAGACTGTAGAGGATTAGACAGTATTGACCCTTGTGACTTGTGAGTATGCTATCACTGCTGCAATTAGCATTTAGTTTGGGGGAGGGGTATTTCCAATGCTTTATTTTTTATAACCCTCCTGAAAAAAGGAAGCAAAAAGAAGATTCCCTGTATTTGGTTTAGCATGCCAACAATTGTCATCAGTGGGTTGTGCAAACCCTAGTACCACATAAACTACTGGTAGAAGTAAGGATATTCTATTGAAGATAAACTGCTGAACCTTCAGAACCAACTACGGATAAACTGGCCCAAGACCAATTAGCCTCTTTGAAAACTGAAGATAGCATATTGTACATCTGGGAATGCACTACAAACATTATATCAAATAAACAGACACATGTCCAAATCGAATGAAATCTTGAGACCAAGAACCTTTAAATACAGTCCAGACAACGTAAATTAAGCTCTTTTTTTGCAGTATATTAACTTGTTTTAGTCTCTGTGGAATTGCAGATATTATTAGTTGCCAACCCCACAGTTGACTAGAACTTTTGCCACTAAGACCCAACTGGTATTTGTCCAGCCTTTGTGTCTGTGGAATCCAGGCCTTCCTAACTTTGCTAAGTAGTTACTAACTGGGATGTTAGATGATTTCAATGGAGACCTGGTGCCTCCTTTAAAAAAAAAAATCATAATTTTTTCAACCTAACTATCTTATCCTGAAATTAGGCTTCTCTTGTTTAAAATCGCATAGTCTAGGACAAATCCCTAAAGTTTCTACTTTGTAAAGAAAAAGCTGCCTTTAACTGTGAGATAAATCTAATCCCTAAGGCCTTAGCCACTTTTGTAAACATGTAGCTAAACACCCCTCCGGAGCAGAGACAGTCTTGCCACGACCACCTCCGAGGCAGACAAAACAATGGCGTGCTGCAGCCATCCGTCATAATAATTGCTGAGAGCAAACACTGAATTCTTTAGTCGGCTGAATATCACCTGTTCTTCTTATCTTTGGAACACATGACCCAAGACAGATTGACAAGTAGCTTAACTGCACAAAAAGGCCAATGGATCTACAGGCATTGAATTACCAAGACACACCCACATGAGGTTTCTCCCTATGAAAACAGATAAACAGCCTATTCATATGCCGAATCTCCGCTGCAACCTCTGCCTCCTGGGTTCAAGTGATTCACCTTCCTCAGCCTCCCAAGTAGCTGGGATTACAGGTGACCACCACACCTGGTTTACAGGTGACCACCACACCTGGCTATTTTTTTTTTTTTTTTTTTAGTAGAGACAGGATTTCACCATATTGGCCAGACTGGTTTTGAACTCCTGACCTCAAGTGATCCATTCGCCTCGGCTCCCAAAGTGCTAGGATTACAGGCTTGAGCCACCACGCTGGGCCGTACATTCTCTTATAACTTGAGCACACTTAAAGAAAAATATTTGGATTGACAAAGCTAAATCAAATATTTGTGACCATTATCTCTATAGCCCACTGGATTAATAATAAAACCAACTATATTAAGGGACTCTAATGCCCAGTGGAAAATTATTTTTACGTGTGTGGGAGCCATGTTATCCCACAGACTGCACTTTTTGACAACCATACAAGCTTCTCTAGCAATGACCTTCATCGGAACCCCAATTTTAACAGTATTTATTTTTGTACTGGATATGACCCTGCCTTCTTGCCTTGGATGAACTTTCAGGTAACTGAAAGTCTCTCTGTCTCTCTTTCTCTCTCTTTCTTTCCACCACCCCCACCTGACCTTCATTGCATTGACCTGAGCATATGGATTGTCATTCATATAACCTTATGGAATATTGGGTAGCTCACATTGCTCAGATCAGGAAGTCCTGGAAAAATACGAGTTTGGACACTGACTTTTCTTCTGATGGTGCTAGAGGCCCTTCTTCTGCACCCAGAAGTTGTTTATGATGATGAATTTGAGACTCCCGGCTCCCTGTGAGGCTCTACACTCTAGAAAAAAAAATTAATGGAAAAGCAAGGCCTGGCTTATCCTTGAGAGGGATATCCTCCACTAGGGAGGATAACAGACTTCAACAGGTTAAACATAAACATGACAGACCATGAGGGAGGGTGAGATTGAAGGAGCAAATAAGTCCCACTTTCCCTATTTCACAGGTGTGGAGGAGCTACCAAAAACAGCCTCCCACAACTGTTTCAACATTGATTCATAATGTTAACTCTAGCATTTTGAGGATCTTATTGATGTTTAACTCTCAGAAAGTCTGCACAGCCTTCTCTATTAGGACACAAAAACCATTTTACAACCTGATGATCAATTAAATCAGATGTTTATATACACAGAGTTCTCAAAAGCTATAGGGTGAACTGAGTAATGCTATAGTTGGAGATCCATATCCTTTTTCTTTTAGTAGCTGAGCAGGTCTGAATTTGCTTAACAAAAAAAGAAGTTAGTGCCAGTAACTATGTTGCCAAGACACTCCTCTTTTTAAGAAAGTTGCACCACTAACCAAGGTGCTTCCACAGCTACATACACTGAAAATATATCCTGCCTTCTGTTCATTAAATATGTAGAGCATCACTTTGACTGGAACTCTTTATTGGAAAATAGGTCATGCTGTATACAGACCATCGGTGCTCCTCTTAAGTTTTAGGACATAAAGGGTCACTTTTAGTAAGGTCCTTTGTAAGTATTTGCATGTCTTGAATAAATGTCAAATGTGTCTCTTCTGAGGAAGATACTATCAGTGTGATGTCACATCTATACCTCTGTAAAGAGTTGAGTCAGAATAAGATTTTGCCTGAAAAGTTCGTGTGTGATGGTATGGCAGTTAGGGTGTCTAAAAAAGGTGTATTGTGCTCTTTGAACGTAAAGGCAAAACTGCAGCTAAGAGGTTGTTAAAATAGGCACTGGTCATAGCATGTTAGCCAACTCTATAATCTCAAAATATTAGTCAGGGGATGATTGCATGAAGACATTCATTTAAAAACACTGTGTGTATAGGCCTGAATGATTGAAATAATAGCATTAAGGTGTGATAAACCACAGTAAAGCACCCTTCATTCTTTCCCAGTTTAAGAACAGGCTAAAGCAGTGGAGATTATCACTGCTTCTATTAAATAGGTCTTGTATATAGATTTCAGTCTTTGAAGACCCGTTTTAAATTATATATGACTGCATTAACTCATAAAAACTCCTATTTTAACTGTGGAGGCAGAAGAAAATAATGTCTATTGGTCACTTTTTAAAAAAAAAATCCATTATATAAACATCAAAGATATAATTTTGTTTTAACGTATTATTCATTGGATCAGAAGGTTCCTGCCCATTTTTTTAAGGTAATGGGTGCTATGACCATGGGAAAATTTAAACAAGGAAATTGTTTGCATGGTTAAATTGAGGCAGACCATTTTATCCTCTATTTTGGTTCACTAAATCTCTTAATACTATGGAAGTTACTTTGGTTACATTTTGTGAGATCCCCAGACATAACAGTGACTGGAGCTTCAGTTTTAAATAAGGCAATGAAAGTTTGCAATTTGGTAAACGTTAACAGATTTAAAATTAATTCAGAACCTGGGTTGTAGAGGAGGAAAAAACCAATGAGCACTCTTTCATCCTTTTTTAAAGTTTTATTGAGATACTGACATATAAAGACCTGCATACATTTAATGTATACAATTTGATGAATTTGAACATATAAACAAACCCATGAAATCATAACCACAATCAAGGTAATAAAAATATTCATAGCTTCCAAAAGTTTCCTTGTGCCACACTTTTTTTTTTGTAAGAACACAACATGAGATTTATCCTGAAGCTAGGAGACATTATACAGTGAAATAAGCCAGTCACAGAAGGATTATTACTGCATGACTCCACTTATTTGAGGTGTCTAAAATAGTCAAACCCACAGAAACACAAAGTAAGGGGTTGAGGGAGGGGGAAATGAGGAGTTGTTCAGTGAGTACAGTATAAAGTTTCAGTTAAATGAAATGGCAAGATCTAGAGGTCTGCTATACCACATAGTGTCTATTTTACCAATATTCTGTTGTGCCCCATTTTCTTTTTGCTACATAAATTATTTTAGCAAATTTTGGATAATCTATTGGGTAAAATTATGGATTTCTGCTAAGGTAGTTTTTTAACCTGAATTTTCATATTCAGTTTTCTTTACTTTTTTCTTTTTATTTTTGGCATTTACTAAATAGACTTTGGGGATTCTTCTCCACCTTCCTCATATTTACAGGGTTTTTTTTTTTTTTCTTCCAGAAAAACTCAACTAAGTATTATCAGGGCTTAGGACAACCCTATGACAATGGTCGACTTGCTCACCAGCAGTCACAAGGTAAAGGTGAGACTTATTTTCTTGAACCCAGCCTCAGTCATGGTTTATCCATGAACCAGCAGACCTGGTTCAATCTAAGACACAGATAGGTCTTGGGCAAGACACACAATGCTAGACCGCTTTAAGGAGGACCAAAACTCTATACAACTGTTGCTAAATGCCAATTTTTGAACTTTCAACTTATTTCAGTTAAAACAGAATCTAGACAAAACTTAGAAAATGCAGAATAAAGCAGCACAGCCCAAAAGACAAGATAGCTATCAAGCGGTAGCTCAGAAAGCATGTTTGCCATCAGGCAGCAGACCATTTAACAAGACAAACAAATAAGAAAGACTTTTTGTAAATAGTGGTGGTCATTGTCTATACATCTTGCTTGTAGCAACAATTATTGTGAACATTTCTCAAATATAGAATTCACTGCCACCCAAAATTTGGTTTGGATGTTGAGACTGATGATGCCATACACATAACAATAGATTATAAAAAGGTTCATTACTCACATGATGAGGCTTTCTAGGGAGAGAAGGTAGGCTCCCAAGCAGGCCAAAAAATGGCTTGAGAGAGAGGGATAAGGAAAATGCATTGAGGTTTTTTTTTTTTTTTTTTTTTGAGACGGAGTCTCGCTCTGTCGCCCAGGCCAGACTGCGGACTGCAGTGGCGCAATCTCGGCTCACTGCAAGCTCCGCTTCCCGGGTTCACGCCATTCTCCTGCCTCAGCCTCCCGAGTAGCTGGGACTACAGGCGCCCGCCACCGCGCCCGGCTAATTTTTTTTGTATTTTTAGTAGAGACGGGGTTTCACCTTGTTAGCCAGGATGGTCTCGATCTCCTGACCTCATGATCCACCCGCCTCGGCCTCCCAAAGTGCTGGGATTACAGGCGTGAGCCACCGCGCCCGGCCCGCATTGAGGTTTTTATGGTGGTTAGACGATGGGGCAGGAATGAGTATTTCCCAAAAGCAAGGATTTCGTTGTATGAAATTCTCCCTGATGTCAAAGAGAAAACATCTGCATTTTCTTATCAGTGTACCCAGATGTGGGGCAGAAGGGGAAGAAGGTGGGGTGAAGCCTAAATACTGTCAGCAGTAAAACATCCCAAAATGGCATTATACACTTTATGAATTCACCTATTCAATTCTCT
Source organism: Homo sapiens (assembly GCF_000001405.40). Lineage (NCBI taxonomy): Eukaryota > Metazoa > Chordata > Mammalia > Primates > Hominidae > Homo > Homo sapiens. The sequence continues at coordinate 67,798,836 of NC_000013.11, read as the reverse complement.
TTCCCGCTCCCTTCCACCTGGCAATCAATGAAAAATTTACTGTCTGTAGAGTTTTGCCTCTTCCAAAACGGCATATTGTTAAAACGTTACAGTACGTAGACTTTTCAGATAGGCTTCCTTCACTTAGTAACATATAGTTAAGTTTCCTCCATGTCTTTTCATGGGCTGAGAGCTCATTTTTTTTTTTATTACTGAATAGTACACTTGTATGAATGCACTACACTTTATTTATTCATTCACCTATTGAATAATATCTTGGTTGCTTCCAATTTGGGGATATTATAAATAAAACTACTATAAACATATGTTTGCAAGTTTTTTTGTGGACATAAACTTGCAATTCAGTTGGGTAAAATCTAAGAGCATAATACTGCATCATTATGGTAAGATTATGTCTACTTTTTTAAGAAACTGACAAACTGTCTTCAACAGTGGCTGTAGGATTCTACATTCACGGGAACAATGAATGAGAGTAAGTAAACAGAGTATGTTCTCATCATTTACATTTCTATCTTGGTCACATAGAAAATTTGACTATTTGTTCCCAATATCTATATTTGTATATATGTCCTAATAGTATTTAAATGTGCATTGTTTTAAAATCTGAGTTTTTATAGGCATCTAAATAAGCCTTCCTCTTTGGGAGAAGACAAGTATTCATCAAGGATCCTTATCAACACTGAGGGGTGCAGAGACTTCACATCATTATCATAACAATACAACCTGAAAAGTAGGTGTGGTAATAAAATAGGAACTTATTGAGGTTTAATGTGTTATTTAAGGCCCTGTAGCTAATAAATGGCATTCAAACTTAAGGGTATACATCTTCAGAGTGGATACTTTTTTCACCTCATCCTATATCCTTTCTGTACTAATTAAGAGTCACTTTCTCATGGATTTGGAAAAGTGTTAAAGTGAAAGAAATAAATTGTAAGGATATTATAACTACACACCTAGGTAGAGTTGAAATAGGCCTTTACCATATTTATAACTTGACAACCACACTTGCAGCAAGTTTCTCTTCTTGGGATTTTTCTGAGCTACCTGGGAAAACTTTCCCTCCTTCACTCTTTATTTCACCCCACTTGACCAATAACAGGGGAATGTCCCTGTATGATACCCCCATTGCCTAAGCAGCTATTCAGCCTTTACTTTGGAGAAAAAGTTTGTTGCAAATGATGTAAAAACTTCTGCTACTTTTCCACAAAAAGAAAAATGTCATCAATGAGTAATTTAAGAGGCTTCACATGAAAACACAAACTAATGTTCATGAAATAAATGCAGTCAACAGAATATATTGTTTGTCCTTTAGCTTATCTTAAAGGTTTGAGCTGACGTAAAGAAATCAGTAGATTTCATATAGGAATACAGATATGTAGAAAAGTAAATCAGTCAAAATATCTTACATGTAAAACACAGATTACACATTCACAGATACTCTGCATATTGCTGTATCTATTTGTATTCATATTAATTAGTTTATGGTGGCATTAAGATAAAGAAATTTAGCCAAAGTCTCTTTATGTTTCAGTATGCTGTAGGAAATAGCCAAATATTAGAATCACTTTATTTTAACAGTGATATTTCACACTGAATGCTCCAGTGCCTTTTAATCATTGTCTACCAATATTCAAAATAGGTACCAATGCATGAAAACAGTTTCTCAATTATGTTCTTAATGCTCGTACTTAAACAGGCTAATTTAGTTCAGAAGCATGTCTATTTCACTTTTGAACATTTATTTTATATTGTGTGTACCTTCAGGGTTTATGATCACAAAAGCAAACCAAATCCTGTATACTGATAATTTGTGTGTTTTTATATAGTCATGTCTGTTAGTTGAAAACCTAGAAAATAACTTTTGATTATTGAATCATTGTCACAAACTAAAGAAGTTCATACCAAAAATCAATGGACTTCAAACTTTTATCTTTAATCCATAAAATTTCTTAAGCTACAACAGTAAAATATGCCTACTCATTTGCTTATTTTTCAAATTTTTTTACCCTATACTTTGAATGCTATGCTAAAGTATTTTTTACGTTATTAAAGATAATCAAAAATAGAAATTAAGGTGGATGAGATAAAAGTAATAGAACTTTTAAATATTTTCTATTATATAAGTTGCTTGTTTTCCAATCATAAAAATTTTATTGAATTTTAAAGCTTTGGATTAAGATGTGATTTATTATACTCCACATATCATTCTGTACATATATTCCAATTTATCTCCAAATGTATGTGGATTTTATAAATAAATAATGAAAATATGATTAAATATACTTTACTATTTTTTAAAGTTTGGGTATAAAACTTTACACTTCAGAGGTTTGTTTGGATAATTCTATTTGATGACTACCATACTTGAAAAACATATTTCAAAGATAATATATCCAAATGAAAGTACATGATTAGCTGTTCTTCCTGAATTGCGATGATCACATTCCAAATCAATCCACCCATTATGCCAAGGCTTTGGTTAAAGTTCAGCTTGTAAATTTTTATTCTCCCTAATGCCATTCAATTATTCTTTTAAACTAATTAAAATACAATGCTTTTTTGTTTTTACATTTAGAGTACACCATTCTTTGGAAGATTTTTAAATAAATGGAAAATCTTTTGTTGATAATTGTTAAATATGTGAATATCAGAGAGCCATTATAAGTGACACAAATATCATTGTAGAAAACAAAGTGAAATAGCAAAAAAAAAGTCTAAGCAACTCTATTCGAAGTTCTCTCTCTTCATAAAATGTATTTTTTCCTTAAAAATCTTGTTATTACGTTATTCATATTTTGAAATACTATCTAAATCTTATGAAGATAAAACATTTTAAAAACATTTATTGAGTAGCACAGTATAAATTTTCAGTACTTTTATCCTATAATTTTGCCAATGATACAGTCATGAAAATTTCAAGATTGTCAGGCTTTGCTATTTTTCGTGCTTATCTTCAAAGATGGTTTTATTGGAAAAGTTCTATAAATCTTTTGCCGATTTTATAAATTAGATTAATTACATGTTATATCTGTAAATTCTCAGAAACATAACAAGTCTAAAATTTTGAAAGCCAATGAATAAACGCCTCGACAATGTGAAAATTTTTCCCTTTTATGCTTACCGTAAGTGATATATCATATTCTATTGATAGGATATGAGAGGGTACCAATATAAATCTATGAGCAAAATGTTAGTAAATCTTAATATCCTCATGTTATTAAATGTATGTGTGTGTGTGTGTGTGAGAGAGAGAGATTTTGTTTTGGTATCACAATGTATAGTTTCCTGCTCTACCTTGGGGATACAAGAATCTAATTCGTAGTTTACTGCTCTAGGCTACTGAATAAAGGTACCACTTCAAAATCCCAAACCTAGAACATATTTCTGAGCTCTTAATAAAAATAACATAATTGTAAAACCCCTCAAGAATAATGAGTTTGCCTCACTGTTATATCTCCCATCATGCCTAATAATGTGCATTCCACATAGAGAATATTCTATTAAATACTGATTGAAAATTTAATCTAAAAAGGCTAAGGTATACTCCCAAACCATAGATTTTGAGTTTCTTGTATGCAGAACTCATACAATACAAATCGTCCAAGATAATTTTTTTGCTTTATTACTATTTGCTGATGGAAGCATTACTATATTTTTAGTATAAATCTACTTTTCCCAAGAGCAATTCCTTCAGCAGCTGACTTAGTAGATATTTAAATAATTCAAAATGGATCTGCTTCCTCAAAAGAGAAAAAAAATAAGTATAGCATAAAAAAACTAATCTTCAAATTTTGATATGGCTCTCCACTGCATCACAATCATCTTGACCTAGCGAAGCAAGGTGTGGTGATACAGACCAATGATTAACACATTTGACAATCTTTTCCAGGACATTTTTAATCACACTAAAGTTTATCAAGCACCATTTCACATGATTTCCAATCATAGCTAACTATATTATCAAGTTTGTACTTGGCAGAGCCAAAAAGGAACTTAACTCAAGCATTCTAACTTCAAGGTAGCATTCCTGCATCCCAATAATTTTGTTTTCTCTTACATAGAAAATTTCTGCTATCTCAACTTCCCTAACCTGGACCACTCCCTTTAAATTAAGCAGTCCACAAATTGCAGCTAATATAGTACATTGAATTAAGAATATTTTTAAGTGATTCAATGTGAAAAAATTAAGCCTCATCTAAAAATGTGTCTTATTTTCCTTGGATAAACATTCTCAAAATAGTCTCATATTGTGTACCAGACTTTTGCTATACAGTTGTAGTTTATTCTGTGTGTCAAATAAATTTTTCCTAATGATTTAACATTCTGTTCCAGGAGCCTAGTAGAATTTGCCTTAGTTCTTGACAAAATGACAATGCCCAGTGAAGTTCTAGGCTTCCTCTGATAAATAGTCTTTCTCTGAAGATAGCAAAGAATGCTGGAATCAGATATAAGACAGTGAAAGCAACAATAACGGAGCTGTCCTCTATCTGTCTATTCCAAACATACAATGCAATGCCTATATCAACTTACAGATTACCGTTACTCTTGGTCGCTCACCTCTGTCAGCTATCAACAAAACTGATTCTACTTGACCCTACATTCCTTAATGTCCTCTGCACATCCAAGTTCTTTGTTCCCCTGGAATGTAAACTTTCCTTTAAATTATTCTGTTGCCTTATGCCATATTATATTGTATTATATTGCATTGTACTATATTATTATTGGTGCTTCCAAATTACCAAAATGATAATAGACTCAGAAAAATTAATTTTTGTTAATGTTCCTGGAAGGAGGACAGGCCAGAACAGTTCCTGACAATTGATAATTGATTAATTTATGATAAAATATATAAATAAATAAGAGAACTGGCCTCTAATATTTCTTTACTGCTTCTCTGATAAAAGATAGGCATTTTAAACATAATGATTTGAATGTTTAGTGTCTGCCTTGGTAATTTGCCCTGTAAAAATATGACATCCTCTCTATAATGGTATTCTTTATACTGGGAGCACAGAGAACTCAACATTTTCGGCAATCTTTTTTCAGTGGTATGTAATTTTATATTCAATGTCCTTTAAGAGTCTAAACCAAAGAAGTGCCTTCTAAAATATGCTGAAGACAAACAAGTGTGTTATTTATGTGGGAAACTATGACCAGGCAATCAATTTTGATCAAGTTTTTAGTCTATACTTGAGAGAAACATTAACTAGAGAAAGAAATCTTAGTAGATGAATAAGGATTCACTTTATCTCCACATATAAATATTTTGGTACAATAGCACATGTGTCTCTATATCAATTAATTAATAGAGAGATAGATACGGATATATAAATATATAAAATAGAATTCTCAACTAGAAACTAAATTCAGAAATGCTCACTATATTCATCTATTTTAAGCAAAAAGAAAAATAAAGTTTCCTTATTAATTACATGCTCATTTATAAAGTAGTTCTATTTAATGAACAAAGTATTCTTTTATACTTTACCTATGTAGACTCAAACAGATTTAAGCTTTTTATAAGAAATGTTTCTTTAAACAAAGAAGACACATTTAGTTCACTGGAAAGTTCATAGGCATTTCAAATACTTTGGAATCTTAGTGAATACTTTCAAACTTCTATAGATTTTAATTTATACAAAATTGAAGAATTTTTAAATAATGAAGCACTTTTTTTACTTAGTAGGTTGCATCTATTAAATTTTGAGCAGAGTTTCTTTATTGAGTCTAATTGTAGTCAACCTACATCAGATAGCAATCAGAACTGTCAGGTATCTTTTATTTTTCTAGGAATTGAGGAAGATAGAAATGATATATGAGGTTGAAGAGATCAGGCATAATCTTTGTGCCCTGAAACCTCTACCCAATTGAACAGTTACAATGTGCTTTTGCCCATTTTATCTTAGGCAGTAATCCAAACCCAGATTTGAAAAAGTCAGTCTTGTCACCAACAATTTCTTCCATACATGACTTTAAACTTCTAAATTGACCCAGTTATACTTAATTCAATCATTCTGGCCCTTCACATCTCCATATACACTTATGCAGGGTATAATAATATTTTCTTAAATGTCATTCTGTGTATAGATATAACTTACATGATCTTGCTAAATGATTAAGTGCTGACAGGGTTTATAAAACAAGAACATACTTTTAACATAGAATCTTTTTACAACTGTTAAGATATTAAAATGTAGAGCAAGTTCAAAATCTAACTACTAATGTTTAAAAGGAAAGTTTGATACAGTATGCCACTTTTTCTCCTGTGTAAACATTTCTGTTAATTACATGGAGTTTAAAAAAGCTTTACTCCATCCTGGCAGTTCCCTAGAGCTAACAATTGTTGCTGAGCTTAGTGATTGTGGCAGAATGCCAATTACATTGTATGATGTGTGAAATATCTGCTACAACTGTCACAATGCAACAAAGGTCACAGAAAACATTTAAAAGCCAAAGGCTTAGAATTAGTTTTCTCATTGAATATGTAAATAACATTTTATGTCTCAAACTTATTTATATAACAATAAGAAAATATGTTCTCATATTAAATACCACCACAAATTATCATATTCCATTACTCCATCTTCACTACTATTTTATGGTCAATTAACAAAAGAATAGAGAACACACTAGACAGAGAAGTTGCTAGTATTATTTTTATTTACAGAATTTGTAAAATGAGTATAGCTTTCCCGTGTTCTTGGAAATGCATATATTAGTGTACATATAAGTAGTTATATGTATTGTACATTGTACAAGAGATTTAGCTAAAGAGTATTTGGTGATAAACATGGCTTAAGTAGGTTTAAGGAAGGAAGAGAGAAATTTCAGAGATAATTGGAAGATGTGTAATGTCATATGGCAATATGAATGAATCTCAGCAACATAATACCAAGTGAAAACAAAATCCCTAGACAAATGTCTATGTTATAATACTATTTAAGTTTAAAACAAATAATAAAATATTATGGATATGTGTTATGAATATATATCGTGGATGAAAAAAATTTAAAAAGGAAATTATTTTTAAACTAAGATTAGCAATTTCTTTTGGAGCTAAGGTGGAGGAAGAAAGTAATGGAATTGAGAGGCATGTACAGAAGACAATTTTATTGATAAAGTATTGTGGAGAGTTAAATAACTTGTTTTATGCAGAAAGTAAAAGAAGGGTCCCTGGAGAACCTCTGATGCACCCCACAAGTCTTACACCAGATATTTTTTTTTTTTTTTGGGGGATGGAGTCTCACCCTGTCGCCCAGGCTGGAGTTCTGTGGTGTGATCTAGGCTCACTGTAGTCTCCCTCTCCCGGGTTCAAGCAATTCTCTGGCCTCAGCTTCCCAAGTACGTGGAACTACAGGCACGTGCCACCATGCCTGGCTAATTTTTTGTATTTTTAATAGAGACAGGGTTTCACCATGTTAGCCAGTATGGTCTCGATCTCCTGACCTCATGATCCACTGGCCTCCTCCTCCCAAAGTTCTGGGATTACAGATGTGAGCCACCATGCCTAGCCTATACCAGATGCTTTATGCAGCTAAGGGAACTTGCACAAGAGGCTTGCCTAAACAGGCCTACAGTGGAAAATTTCATTCCTTAGCACATGAGCAGTAAGGGAAATAAATAAATATGGACAGGCTCAGACTAAGAGCCCGCATGTGCACTGGAAGGATGGGGTGGAGCTGCCAGGAATTTGCACCTTGTTACAAACAACGAACCCAGCCTCATCAGCTTATAAAAAAAATTCCCTGTATTCAACCGTGAAGGGGGTAACTGGCAACCTGCTTTCAGGACCACTCTCTCTGCTGAGAGCTTTCCTTTTGCTTAAAAAATTCTACTCCACTCACTCCAGTGTCCATGTGCCTAATTCTTCCGGGTCATGAGACAAAAACTTGGACCCAGCTGAGCTAAGGAGTAGAAAGATCACAATATATTTTATTTCTTATATTAAGTAATGTATATGCATGCATGTTGCATCTTCAATAGGCAATATATTTGTTGTTTATTTGAAATATTACCTTTCTCAAATTTTTAAGTATATATAATTGACAAAACACCAATAGAAATCTATCTCCAGGGTTCAGTACAGACATAAGCTCTGCTTTAGTCTGGTGGTGGAGTGGACTACAATATTCAGAAACCTGTAATACTCAGGAGATTCACCATCTTCTTTGTTGACAGTCATTAGAATGTTGTGAGCAGTCTGAAGTTTGACAGACATGTTGATCAACATCTGTAGCTCCACAAACATCAGAGAAAAGCTTTTGAAATACTTCTGCTGCTGCTTCCACAAGTTCTCCCTCTGTTAGACATATTCATAGTCAGAGGAAATCAGGAATGTGTAACTCTTGTCGTTGAGGTTATGTGCCCTGAGGAGCGACTCCTGCTTGGAGATATTCTTCTTTAGACTCTCAATGGCCTTGCTGCCATTGTCTATGTTCAAGAGAGAGAGGGAAAGCAAGATGTATTTGAAAAGGTTATAAATAGGTAGATATTTAAAAAGAGGTTATTAAAACGTACATATGCATAATTTAATTTATAACTGCAGTCATATGTTGCTTAATGATATGGGGGATAAGTTCTTTCTTTTCTTTCCTTTTTTTTTTTTTTTTTGAGACTGAGTCTGATTCTTGTTGCCCAGGCTGGAGTGCAATGGTGTGGTGCAATCTTGGCTCACTGCAACCTCCGCTTCCTGGGTTCAAGCAATTCTCATGCCTCAGCCTCCCAAGTAGCCGGGATTACAGACACCCACCACCACACCTGGCTAATTTTTGTATTTTTAGTAGAGACGGGGTGTCACCATGTTGGTCATGCTGGTCTCGAACTCCTGACCTCCAGTGATCCGTCTGCCTTTGCCTCCCAAAGTGCTGGGATTACAGGCATGAGCCAATGCGCCCAGCCATGATGGAGGATAAATTCTAAGAAATGTGTCAGTTAATTCTGTTCTTGTGTAAATATCATAGAGTGTACTTACACAAACCTAGATGTGATAGCCCACGACACACCTAGGCTATCTGTTCTAGCCTATTGCTTTGAGGCTACAAACCTGTACCATATGTTACTTTACTAAATACTGTAGGCAATTGTAATGCAATGGTATGTATTTGTGAATCTAAACATACAAAAGGTACAGCAAAAATACAATATAAAAGATAATAAATGGTGTACCTATATAAGGCATTTATCATGAATGAAGCTTTCCAGTTTGACAGTTGCTCTCCATGATTCAGTGAGTGAGTGGTGAGTTAATGTGAAGGCTTAGGACATTATTGTACATTACCATAGACTTTATAAGCACTGTACATTTAGGCTACAATAAATTTATAAGAATTTTTTTCAATAAGTTAACCTTAACTTACTGTAATTTCTCTATTTTATAAATTTTTATTTTTTTCTAACTTTTTGACTCTGTAATAACATGTAGCTGAAAAGGCAGACACATTGTACAGCTGTACAAAAATATTTTTCTTCTTTATATCATTATTCTATAAGGCTGTTTTATATTTAATTATATTTTTCCTTTTAAAGCTTTTTGTTAAAAATTAACACACAGACACACACATTAGCCTAGGCCTACACAAGCTCAGGTTCATCAGTGTCTCTGTCTCCTACTTTCACATCTTGTCCTACTGGAAGGTCTTTAAGGGCGGTAACATGCGTGGAGCTGTCACCTCTTATGATAACAATGCCTTCTTCCGGAAGACCTCCTGAAGGACTTGCCTGAGGCTGTTTTTTTCATAAATAGAAGAATTCCATTCTAAAATAATGATAAAAAGTATAGTATAATAAATACATAAATCAGTAACAGTCATTTATTATTATTATCAAGTATTCGGTACTGTGCATAATTATATGGGCTTATATTTCTATATGATTGGTATCCAAATATGTTTGTTTACACCAGCATCATCACGAATACATCGTGACGCATTTTTTAGGACATTATTGTGGTTACAATGTCACTAGGTGATAGGAATTTTTCAGCTCCATTAAAATTTTATGAGACTACTTTCATATATGTGGTCTGTCATTGACCAAAATGTTGTTATGCAGTGCATGACTGTATCAGAATTATTACAAGCATTCAAAATTAATTAATATCCAGGAGAAGAAAAAGTTAAAGAAATAAGCCAGATAAAAATTTATATATAGATTAAGAGTAGCTAAGGTTTATCAACTCTCAAATGTTTTCACTTAATAGTCATAATTAAATTTGTGGTAGTTATTTTAATTTCCATGTTTTAGATGCATAATTTGAATTCAGAGAAATTAAGCAATGTTCTCCTGTTCTGCCCTTCTGCATGTCTCTATGATTATCTACTGCACAGGTGTGATGGATCTAGCGGAGTGACTGTGGGCACATTGATTCCTGGATATGGAAACAGTTTAACTTTAATCTTGAGTAAATGAATGAGGAGAAATGGAGAAAAGACTTTTGGTTTTCCAGTAAGATTTTGGTGACTTATTTTTAAGGAATGATTTTTATATAAAATTGGGGCTAAAGTTGGACCTGAGAAAAGTAAGGTAACAGGTAAAAATCACGAGTTTATTTTCTTCTCCTTAAATTTAGCCTTGTGTTTTGCATGTTTTCTGTTTCAAACAATCTTGAGCAGAGATAAACTAACAATTTTTTGTATTCTATCTCTCCACAGAATGGCTAACTTGTTTAACTTTGGAAAAACTGAAATGACTAATTAGAATGTTTCCAATCTATGTGATATATATTTGAAAGAGCTACATGCCATTGGATGTTTTTGTAGCTGCTAACAAAAAAGGGTTCCCTCACAGATGAATGAACGGACTTCTTCATGGAGACTGTTTAGACACTACTTTAGAAAAGGCATTTTTTTTGGTGTTGCTACTAGGAAATTGTGTGTGTGTGTGTGTGTGTGTGTGTGTGTGTGTGTGTGTGTGTTTTCAGTGTCTCTAGCAGCTGAAAGTATGCAAGAGCTAAAATGCAGCTACAGCTGGAGCTAACTCCCATTCATTCATCATTGTCACTTCACGAATTAGGAGCCAGCAGACCATTTCTCTCACTTTACTTCAGCTCCTTTTCAGAACGAGGTAAGGTTCATAATGCTCAGATACGATAGTTCTTTCTTCTAGCCTATTATTTAGAGAGCTATTAATTTTGTTCTGTGTCACTCTACAAACTCTTGAGCTTTTCAAAAGGAAACTAAATTCTGACTGGTGTTCATATATAAATATGTGCATGTATGTGAACAGCACGTATAGTGATAGCATTTGCTTAACATTTTAATATCATCATATGGTTGTGGCATTTTTACGGGGTATGTTCTAAATTCTCTCAAACTTTCAAACAGCTTGCCTTTTCTCTCAGTCAAATAATCATCATCTATGTAAAGTTCCTTTTTGCGTGTGAAAAGCTTCACACTTTCCACATTCCAAAGCTTTTATTAAGACATTGATAGTAGTGGATTGAATGATTATGTATGTCTACTGAATTGCCAATAGGATAATTAGTCACAGCATCATAGAAGGGAAGTTTTCTCTTAAAATAAATTGTATTAGATCAATTTATTCTCTTTCAAGAGTTACAAGCATTAACCTTTGGAATGACCATTACCCTTTAATTGGCACTCTTATACTGTCTAATGTATCATTAGCCTTTGTACGTTGTGTCATTAAAGGTGGCAATCATAATATTCAGTAAATTATAACACTGTAACAAGTTGGGATCATCTTTTTAGCTCCCCAAAAGCCACTAATTAATTATGGGAATATGTCAAAAGATAAAACGAAGCTTTGTTGCAAGCCAATATTTTTCATCTGTTTAACCTATCACAAATAGAGTTATAGACCCATGCAATTGATAAAGACACAAAACATAATTATAACTTAACTTTGACAAGATTTCTAAAGAACTTTGTGTAACAAAACCATGACAGAAATGGTCTCTTATGAAATATACATCATGACTTGCAAATCTTTGGAATTTTTAAATACAAAATCCATGATAAGGATATAAAATTAAATAGAGAGGTTTCCTAGAGTAGTCAACACATAAAAAAATCAACTTTTCCAATGTGAACAGAGTAAAATCAATGTGGCCAAATTGTTCCATTAAAATGTATAGTGATACATAGATACATACACTAGCATTTTAAATTTGAAAAATAGATCATTATAACCCTAGTGTACTGATGGTTATAATACAAAATTCATTTGTAAACGCTTTAACACGAAGAAGTGCAGAACTTAATATTATTTTGCAGGTAAATTTTTACACACAGTTAAACAGAGGGATTCACATGCCTAGTGTAGAATTTGATGTCTATATAATATATACAATTTGGTTTAAACATTTATAGTGTTTAATATAAATATTTAAAAACAATTCTTATATAGTATTTTAAAAATGTAATAACTTTGTCTTAATATCATGTTTTGCTCTCTGACCTAAGTTATACACTCAGAACAAATGCAACATTTTCTGAAATAAGTTTGCTATGGGTTTCATTCTATTGACATTGAAGGAAACCTAGTAAAGCAACTCATTCTGAAATGCCTTCCTCCTCTACTCACTCTTGTAGAAATTATATATATATATATATATATATATATATATATATATATATATATATATATGTGTGGTGTGTGTATATATATATATATATATATATATGTTTTTTTTTTTTTTGAGACAGAGTCTCGCTCTGTTGCCCAGGCTGGAGTGCAGTGGCATGATCTCAGCTTACTGCAAGCTCTGCCTCCCAGGTTCACACCATTCTCCTGCCTCAGTCTCTCGAGTAGCTGGGACTACAGGCGCCTGCCACCATGCCTGGCCCGGCTAATTTTTGTGTTTTTAGTAGAGATGGGGTTTCACTGTGTTAGCCAGGATGGTCTCGATCTCCTGATCTCATGATCCACCCACCTCAGCCTCCCAAAGTGCTGGGATTACAGGCGTGAGCCACTGCGCCCGGCCGAAATTATGTATTTTTACACAAAGGAAAAACCTTAAGTCATCACTACTGATTTCAATCTGTGATTAACTTTGCAGTCTTTGCAGACTTCTCTAATACTCAGAAAAAGAACAGATTCTTCTTTCCTATCAGAGTTTTTCAAAATAAAATAACTCTCTTGGACCTGGCTTTCTCAAATTAGTGGATAAACTGAAAATAATTCCATCAAAGATTATTGTTGTTTTATTTAGTAGTACACATAATTGATAAAAATACTGTGACACCAAATTCTAATAAGAAACATTTTATGGAATCTAGTTTATTTAGTAGATAAAATATATCTTCCGAAGACATTATATCGAAAAAAATGTATAGACAAAGCTCCGTGAAAAGTTACTTAACTATTAGGGACTAAAGCATTCAGGATTTTTTTTTTTTTTACTCCAAATTGCAAATGCATTAACATGTTTGTGATAAAATATATCCACATTTAAAATTGCAGAGTCTTTTAGAACAGAAGTATTTTAGAGATATCTGTAGCCTCCTACTACTGTAAACATGAGGAAACTGACACCAAAAGATCTTCAAGCCTCTTCCAATTTTATGTAGATAGGCTATTGTAGAAAAAGCAGTAAGTCTCAGTCATCTGGTATTTGGACTATTGCTCTTTTTGCCTATTTGTCCTGTCTCTCTACTTACACATTCGAACCTTCTTGTCTCCTTTTCATCAAGGATTATCTGTTAAATGCATGCTTATCACTCAGTAAATACTGATAATCACTTTATTAGTTCCATTTATTTGTGCAAGAAGCCACTATTGGCTCTACTACATAAAGAGCTAAATGAGATGATACAAAGTAAATGAACATGAGTGGGATATGGAAGGAATTGAATTTTGTAAACAAAAAAATGAGGCTTTTTAGAGATAGCTGTACTTCAAAATAAAATATGTAAGATCATAATAGAAGACAAACAAAATTTAGAAACATTCAAAGGAATAAAGTAATATGTCTACATGACCTATCATCAAAATTTTAATCAGGAATCAGGTCACTAACATTGAGCTTTGGATATTCATAGAATTCAGAATGAACAGAAAAAGATATAGATAGATATAGATATAGATATAGATATAGATATAGATATAGATATAGATATAGATATAGATATAGAGAGAGTCTCGATCTGTCACCAAGTCTGGAGTGCAATGTTGTAATCTTGGCTCACTGCAACCTCCGCCTCTCAGGTTCAAGTGATTCTCTTGCCTCAGCCTCCTGAGTAGCTGGGATTACAGACAAACACCATCATGCCTGGCTAATTTTCTGTATTTTTAGTGGAGATGGGGTTTCCCCATGTTGGCCAAGCTGGTCTTGAACTCCTGACCTTGTGATCTGCCCACCTCGGCCTCCCAAAGTGCTAGGATTACAGGTTCAAGCCACCGTGCTCAGCATAATAATTTTTAAAAACAAAATTGTTATTTTAATAAAGAAAAGCAAGCTTTTCAGCACCAAGAAAAGTTTTAAGCACATGCTGATTTATTTATAGTATTTAACTCATTGATCAAAATATAAAAAATCTATACATTATTTACTTTAAAAGGGGAACTATTCATACGTATTGTCTGATCCTTCTCAGAACTATGGCAAAAGCGTACAATTAAATTGTATTTATTCTAGTTATCTGACACTGGATACAATACAATGTAATCTCTGCTCTAAAGTTACTTATGCCACTTTGGAAAGCTTACAATTTATACACACACACACACATATGGGTGGGTGATGGTGAGTGTGTGCACGGGCATAAGTGTGTGTATGCATGTTAGTATGTGTGTGTGTAACACATTACACATACACAAATATTAAAATTTATTTTGATCTCCATTTTTTAAAGAACATCTCTAACTCATGTCTGAGCTGCAGAGGTTTGATGAAGAACCACATTGTTCTTGTCATCTACAAAAGAGAAAGCAATTTAGATACTCTTCAATTTTTTTATGGTTAAGTATTTGTGCTGAGTTTTGTGTTTGCTGAGAGGATGATGCCATGAGAACACAGAGTACATGCAGCAGTAAACTGGTTGAAAAAGATCTCACTTCCATCTTGGGAAAATAAATTGCACCAGTAACCAGCAATATGCAACAAAAGTGTGAAAATAGCATATTGTATTCTACTAACTTAGAACTTTTACCAAATAATAATTAGAAATTTTATCAAATAATAATTGTAGATAAGAAAAATAAATTCTATGTTAAAATATTAGCATTTTTTTTACAATTGGTATTTTAGAAAACAATCTAAATGGATAATATAGAACAAAATTAAAATACTATAGGGGTTCTTTCTAAAGAATATTTTTTAAATGACCATATAAAATTTTTGTTCAATTGGAGACAATTTTAATGAGGATAATTTCAAGAGAGCCTATGCAACAGGTATAAACCGGAACTGACAGGCAAACTAAAACATAAGGTCACCTTAAATATTATGCACCTTTAAATATGAGGCTAAAATAATTTATTGGCTGGAAGTATTTGTATTATAAAATTAACTTCAAAATTACTAGGTCTAGAATAATCACAAATATATAAATTAAAACTGATTTGCTTGGTTGGAGTAGATATATCTTTATGGTAAGACATTCATTTTACATTTTTATAGAGAATATATATTGTTTTTATAATATAGTACACATTGTAAACATTGTAGCCTTATTTCAAATCTGGCAAGAATTGCCGTAGTAGAAAAGTAGTGTGACTTGTTCAAAATTCTCATAGAGATAAACTCAATAGATCAGCTGTACGGGAAAGAGAAATTGTAGATAGAATGTATGTGCTATTTTTCCCAGTTCATTTCCAAATATTTAACAGCTTAGAACATTATACCACTAACTTTAAGTCACATTCCAGGGAATCCATTATAGAAAGCTGACATTTGTTCTGCAAGTGACCTACAAAGTAGATAGAATGGCCAGTTGTGGTGGCTCACATCTGTAATCCAAGCATTCTGGAAGGCTGAGGCGGGCAGGTGACTTGAGGCCAGGAGTTGGAGGCCAGCTTGGGCAATGTGGTGAAACCCCGTCTCTACTAAAAATACAAAAATTAGCCGGGCGTGGTGGTGGGCACCTGTAGTCTCAGCTACTCAGGAAGCTGAGGCATGAGAATTGCTTGAACCCTGGAGGCCAAGGTTGCAGTGAGCCAAGATCGCACCAGTGCATTCTAGCCTGGGCAACAGAGCAAGACTCGGTCTCAAAACAAAAACAAAAACAAAAAACAAAAATTCAAAGTAGATAGAATGGATTATAATGGTATTCTGAGGGATTATAAGATTCCAGAGAATGTCTGGAAAGTATATTACTTTTTAGTCCAATTTGGGAATATAGTTTCATTATTTTAACATGCTGTTCAATTAAGTGTCTGTCTTTTAATGATAACTCACTAGTAATTACATATTACAAATGATGAGTTGATTTGGGGGGGGAAGTCACATTTTCTTAGACTACAGCCTATATAAGTAAATATGGAGGTTTTAGCTAATTCAATTATACACAATTTTTCCTGCCCTGAAGAAACTCGCCAGTAAAAGGGAGGATATAGCAAATCTCTAGAAATGAGAAGGGAAATATGCTTCCTAATTTTAAATGTATGTAGTTATAAATCTTCATCCATTTAGAATTCTTCACTTATCACATTAGGACAAACAGAAAAATTATTAAAATGTATTTGAAAGCACAGGACTTTTTAATAACAATACACAATGCTCTAATAGTTATGTGTTAACTCATACTTAAGATGACCACAATGAGACGCTGGGAGAGTGGCAGGCCTGCATTTGTGTCTTTTATAATCAACCAGTAAACATTAAGTAAAATGTTTCTAGCAAACTTGAGGTAGTTGAGAACCTACAGATTTGTAGCCAAGTTGAACAGAAATGTGTGTAAGCTGGGGGCCTGATACTTTAGACTGGCCTCTGGAGTGAGGACAGTCTTATGGAACTGAGCCTTTAAACCTGTGGAGTCTGACTCTAACTCTAGGTAGTTAGTATCAGAATTGAATTAAATTATTGAAGACACAGTTGGTATCTAGAGAATAGGAAAATTGGCTGATGGTAGGGAAAACACCCCAGAAAATTTTCACTTAGAACAGAATTCTCAAACTGAATGGTCACCAATCACCTGAGAGACAAACAGATATAAATTACTTGGACCTGTCCCTAGAGGTATTAATTCAGTAGGCCTAGGTGAAAACATACATTTTTAACAATCTCCTAATCTTCACCTTGAAATGACTGTGATAATGATAATCCTCCAGTCATTCATTAATCTAAGGGAACAGGAACAGAATTCTAAATCAACCTTACAAGAGTAGAGTCAGAAAGAAAAAAGAGAATGAAGATGATTAATGGCAAATGTAAAGTCATCCTATTGAAGACAATACTATAGGCAGGGGTATCCAATCCCTATGTCGTGGGCCAGTCCGTGGCCTGTTAGGAACTGGACTGCAAGGCAGGTGGAGAGAAATGCTTGTGCTAACATTACCACCTGAGCTCCATCTCTGTCAGATCAGTGGCAGCATTAAATTCTCATGGGAGCAAGAACCCTATCGTGAACTACACGTGTGAAGGATCTACACTGCACCCTCCTTATGATGATCTGAGGTGGAATGGTTTCATCCTGAAACTATCCTTCTCATCCGTAAAAAAAGTCTCCTCCATGAAACTGGTCTCTGGTCTCCAAAAAGATTGGGGACCACTGCTGTAGAGAAGGGTTGGCATTGCGTAAGTATTCAAGAAAAATGCCAGAAAGCCATAATCGATAAACTGTGAATTAGCCAAAATGGGGATAAATATTAGAGACAATTTAAGCAATGGTCTCCCCAAAAGAAAAACCTGAGGCTTATTTAACCATAAGAACAGATTAGCTAATTCACTGTATATAAACGTCACCAAGATTTTCAGAAGTAGGATTTTAAGAAAACAAGGAGGTTACAATTACCTACTTTTTGATTCTTTGAAGTGATAATTAACTGGAATCTGACATGCCCCCAAAGCTTACTTTAGGAACTTCTCCCTGCTATAGTAAGTAAACATGTGAGGAGAAATTATTACAAAATTTCCAGAAAGAAAAAAGAATATAACCGGCAGTTACTGAATGCCTGCTACTTTGGATATTGCAATAGATGGTTTTCATTCACCTTATTCCTTTCTGTAATCTTATGCGGTAGGTAGTGTAATCCCCTTTTGAAAATGAGTACATTGAGTCAAGGAGAGATTTTATATATATATATATAATATGTATAATATACATATATTGCTAAACAGTCTAAGAGTTGCAGATTAAGTATATTTTCCAACATAAACACCCAGTAAGAGTCCTCAGAAAAGTCCATGTTTTTCCAATTCAAAGTTCATATCCTTTTAACTCAATTACATTCATAGAAGTTTTCTTGTTAGAATTCACAATATAGATTAGATTTTGTATTCTTATTTAATAAACTCCTCTCTATATTTTAGTAAATATGTGCTAAATAAATAAAACTTACACTTATCTGTTATATATGTAATATTCATATCTCCCAAAGCCATTAAATAATTTCTTTAAGATAATTCTACTAAAAATTAAATATATATTGAAAGAGAAAAGAATTCTCTCAGCATAAAACTGGTCCTAGCACCTGCAACCTCTTTCATTCTACTTACTGTAAGGCATGTTGTATATATTATATAATTCATATAATTGTATATGCTCTATAATCTTGCCATTTGACCTGAGCTATTTTACAACTTTACTCCAAATTTGTCATCATGTTGCTTGATTAAAAGAAAATAACCAATAAACTGGATATATCCCTCACCTGCTAACTTCTTTTATATAATCCAATAGCACAGATCATGCTATCAAAAAGAAAATGCAGCTGATTTTTCACACATGTTCTATCCTTTTTTTCCTTAGCCTGTAAACTATGGCACTTGTTTCTTAGTAATAAATTCACACGCTTCTCTTGAATTTCTTTTCCTCTGCAACAGTCCAATGAGTCTTTATCTATTGCTCCAGACAGCCATCTTCTCAAATCACCTAGAGATGTGAATGATAACCCTATCACCTACTAGACAGAAACATCAAAATTCCGGCCAACATTCACTAAGATAGCTTTTTCTTATCTGAAGCTATCCATCTATAATGTGTAAGGACAGAGCCTGCTTTCAGTAATGCAGCTGGTTATAGCACCAAAGAATAGCACAAGTTTCCTTCCAGATGATGTAGAGTAACTCACCTTCATCAAAATGAACCAGAACAGGATGCTTGACCCCTGAAGGACAATTGGAAAAGTCTGTGTTGAGTATAAATTGCACAGAAAATATGGAGTAAAATAACTAATTGAAATATATTTTGAACCCAAATCTCTAAATAGGTATGATTTGACATCAATAAACAGTTTAACTAGTTTGTAATTGTAATGTTTAATAATGCAAGTAATTTTGCAGTTTTCATTACCTAATCAAAAGCAATAGCAATAATTGTGTGGAATTATGGAATAAATTAAATATGTTTGAGTGAAGCTGCAATTTTAGTGCCATGAAATCATTAAATTAAAAGCATTAAAAACTGTCTCATGCTATTTCTGTCAGATAACGTACCTTTCAAAAATGAATTTTTCTTTTTGACATTTCTTTTTTACATAGGATTATGTAAGCAGTTATGAGATCTCTATGATATAAATTAATCCTGAATAAGCCATCACAATGCAAAACTTACTTTGACAATTAAGACAAAAGAGATTATTCTAACAATTGCTTATATTATTTAATATAAAATGATTAATCTCAGTGAAATAGGGAAAAGCTATATACATATATGTGTATATCCTGTTCTAGTCAATATAACAATGCATTAACCTTGATAATAAAGTGATTTATTATTTTTAACTTAAATATTAATCATATTTTTTCACAGAGTTTTTTGCATTTGTAGAGTTCATTTTTCCTATGACTCATTCACTTCCTTGAGATTTCCTTCTACCTCATATGAAGCAGATCTCGTCAGATTTTGTGAAAGCCTGAGGTTAGCAAAATCATTTTGCTTGAGGTAAATTTAAAACTTGAGTCTCTAGGAGTAGAAGACAAATGCACCACTCCTGTTCCCAGGGTCTTTAAATCTTAATGAGTTGTGCACCAGAAATGGACTTATCCTTCACTGTCCTCCCTCCATTTTACAGCTCTTGTTAAGTGGTTAGGGCATTTGCAGTTAAAGGACACTGAACTACTCTAGATACATTACTCTCCCCCACCCTTTTAGAGTAAGGTGTGGGGTTTTGTGTAACTTACATAGACTTAAGGTATTAAAGGTATTAAAAGGGCTTTATTAAGTGGTGTCTGGGCAATTGAAGGTGCATCAAAGTGACATCTCCTAATTGCCTGTGGTATATTTTCATAAACTGCAGGGTCACATGTCAATCACAGGATAAAGGTAAGGCATATAGAAATGTTTGGATTAATTATTAATACCAATTGGCTATTAGAGCTCTTTAGTTTCTTGCTGTGGCAAAGCACATCGGTGAAAGTGCTGGATAGGAAGTAATTTGTTTGCATGCAGATAACTCTGGATTGTAATAAATCTTAACAAGTTCTAATTCTCACTTGACCTTCTGCAACTTCCCTTTGTGGCGCCAGTCACTGTGGGGATATTAGGATGCCTTAATCACCTTGGATCACATGTGAAGGATCTGAATCCTGTGCAAATGAAACATGTAGAAATACAGAAGCAGCACTGACTATAGCTTACATTCCTTATCCACTGACATTTTCCTCAAGTTTTGCATATTGTGTGATTATTATTTTAAAATTGTGCTTGTCAAAAGATAAAGTAATTTTGATGCTGTTCTTACCTGAGAAAGATCAAACACTATGATTTTTTCCTTTCTCAAACATTTGCCTCTCTCACATACACAGATATTTAAAATAAATGCACAGTGAACATTTTCTTGTCAAAAACAAAATAGCAACAACAACAAAAAGGAAACCTAGGCTTTTGAATTATTTGCATCATTATTTACCCATGATTATTACAAATCAAGAAAAACTGATCAGTGAAGAAATGAACAGCATTACAGAGAAAATACTACACAGATACTAATCTGTAGACTTTAGTTTGAGCTCCATTTTTGGTATATTTTCATTGATATATACTAATCATATATATTTTGGGGGTACATTGATATTTTGATATATGCATAGAATGTGTACTGATCAAATCAGGGTAATTGTAATATCCACTATCTCAAAAATTTTTCTTTTCTTTGTATTGGGAACATTACAATTCTTCCAACTATTTTGAAATACAAAATAAATGATTATTTACAGAAATCACTGTATTTCCCTACTGTACTATCAAATACTAGAATAAACTCTTTGTATCTAACTTTATTTTTGTATCCCTTAATCAACTTATGTTCATGCCCACCATTCCCCATTTCCTGTCTAGCCTCTGGTAACCACCATTCTACTCTATCTCCATGAAATCTACCTTTGTAGCTCCCATAGATGAGTAAGAACATGCAATATTTGTTTTTCTATTTCTGGCCAATTTCACTTAATCTAATGACCTCCAGTACCATCCATATTGCTGCAAATGACAAAATTTCATTCTTTTTATGGCTGAGTAATATTCCACTGTGTATATATAGCACATTTTTGTATTCATTCATCTGTTGATGAACACTTAGGTTGATTCCATACCTTGGCTGTTGCAAAAAGTGCCACAATAAACATGGAAGTGCAGATATATCTTCCATATACTGATTTCCTTTCTTTTGAATATATACCCAGCTGCGGGATTGCCAGATGAGCTCCATTCTCAATGCCTACTATTTTTATGTCTTTTGTGTGTTCAAATTCTCAATTTCCTCTTCTAAGTTCCCTATCTGTAAAATGGCAACACTTCTCCCCCCTTCAGTCAAAACCGCTAAGTAAATCATAAAGCCTATAGCTATATTAATCTATTGAAAAAAAGTATTTCTCAGGAAGTCTTATTTAACATTAATAAATTATGGCATAAACTATTCAAAAGTCATTAATAGTAAATCCATGCTTAGGCAGAAGTCTCAAGATATCATTAGCATTTAATGTTTTTATTTTAATAACTTAGTAAATTGGTGAGTTTCACTAACAACCAATGAGGATGGCATTTAATAGAAAAAAATTCTGGTGGTTGGCTTTCAGAGACATGTTTGTTGTATTTATGTTATTTAATTTATTTTACAAATATATCAGACATAAAACCTGAGGAAAGTTCTCTTCTTGTTCATCATTTATTACCCTCCTCTTTAGGGGAAAGTTTCATGTTGAATATATCTAATAATATGAGACATTTAACATCTAATAATTAAACTTTTTCTTTTTAGCATCTAAGGAAGTTGATAGATGTTTTCAAATACGTTTGTTCCCCTGGGAAAATTATTTCCTGTATTCTGGGTCTTCTCATCTTCTTTAAACAATGCAGAAGGACATTATCTCCTTGGCAGAGATCTGGAAGCTAGCATTTATTTTCAGCTCTAATGGTCTCATCTGAATCTGCATCCCAGGAGTTTTAGCTAAGAGAGACCCCATGCTGTGATTCACGCTGTTTAATGCCAAGTTGATGGGTAATAAAGTTATCATAATCCATAATTTAATTATAGATGAAAGACCCTATTCTGTGATTGTAACACTGAAACTCCGGCTTCATTTACACTTCTGGGATGCTTCACAAATTATTTGGGCTGATCTTTGATACAGGGTCAAGGGTGGAAAAAATTTTCATATAATTGCATTCTATCTTACTTGAAAGAAACATTCCACGTCCAAATTGGGTTTATTTTTGAGTTGTCATATGTCTGTAGTTTCAACGGTAAGTATAAATTTTAATAAGAATTTTTCGAGATGTTTCCTTGTTGCTACAGATATTTGTGTTGAACTTCTCATCCCATTTAAATGTAAAAATTGCTTCTTTTCTTGTTACTGTCCCAAACCTCAAAAACAGGACCAAAAATACTCTTTCCCTGAAATTAGAAAAAAAAAATGCACCATTGGAAATTGTTTTATTTTCCCCGGATTGTACTGTGCTCATGCAAATTTCATGTCAATTCATGAATTTGCTAAGGCTGTTCACTTAGCCGGGCATAGTACCTTCCTCTTTTCCTATTTTCAATTGGTGTCCAATTCTATCCCTCTTCTTCATGAATTTTTTTCCAGCAAGAAAATGTACTAGATGCTAAATTCATGGGCAGCCTGTAATGGTTGTCACTAAGGCATTCAACAAAAATTTCTAAATCTAAGTTATCTCAGTGATGGCAACTGAGCCTCTTTCAAAAAAATGTGATGATTAAGCAAAACAACACACAGATCTAGCAACCTCTCTGAAGGACATAATCAAAATGCTATAAAATATCTGAACAAAAAAAGAAACAGCTGCACTTTGTTTTTAATTCTTTATATGTGTGTGTGATATGTGTATAGAGAATGACTGTAATATATACATTTATTATATAATTTATTATGTAAGAAAAATGCTATATACTACAGGTCCTTTGTACTCTTACTTTCAGAATTAAAAAGATTAGCTTTAGTAGAAAATCCTTGGACACTGCAATGATATTTAGAAAGGAAAACCAATTGATTATGGGAAGGAAGAGACTAAAGCAAATATAATTTTATTTCCAATATTCTAAAGACTATGATAAGTCCTGTAATCGAATGAAAGAGCTAGGATCTTTTGTGATCTCATGCATCAATGCTGAAGAAATGATCACAAAATTTATGAAAGTTGGAGGTAAACATCTTTAGATTAGACTTCACTAAGCAATGATTTATAAATCTACAAGGTAGGTCCATCATGATGTGGGAAAATATTTACACAAAAAAGTTATGTATTCCCAACCACATTATTTTTATAGAAAAAAAGGCACTTTATATTAATAAAAATAAATAGGAAGAAATAAAATGATTCAGTAAGCCCAAGGCCAAAATTGTAACTGTTTTCTATGTTATTGAAATGTAAATATTACTTATATTACCTCATTAGTTAATCCAAATTAGATGAATCATAGACCTATACTCTATACATGTCACATTTATATAAAGAGCTGACAACCATTATAATTATACATAAAGTCTCAGTTCTATTGTCACACATTTAAAATTGTCATACTAAAATTTTATGTAAGTACATACATGTTTTCTTTTTATCTAAATTTAAAGATAGCCATTGCATCCCTGAGGCATGTTCAACAAAGAATATAAGTAATGTATGTTACAGGAATCAACGAAAACATTTGGGAATGCATCTTTTACTTTTTTATTCTCTTAACAATACATTTTGGCTGTTAAAAGAAACAGCAGCACATATGGGATTCTGGTTCAATGCATATACCATCCTATAAGAAAGCACCATAAGATTTATGTCCAATCTGGCTCTTAACTCAGTTTTCAAAAAGCCATTTCACACTCAGTAAGTCCAAGTATTTCTGGGCAATATGGAACATGATACAATCAGGGAATACAGTGTGTGTTAGTATATATTGCCTTACTTCATTCGCTGTAGAGTTAGAAGCAAAATTGTTTGGCATACCAAAGTGAAGAATGAGGTATTAGGTAAGTCAAAGAATGATTTTGCTGGAAAAGAATGGCTTATGAAGAAGATAAATGTATTTCCAAAATTTGTATCTCTAGTACTGAAGAAAAACTGTTGTCTCCAATAGATGATTTAGTGGCAGATTTGTACCCTGTAAAATAATATCTGCAAGGTACAAAAGATAGTTCACTGCTAACAACCAGTTTGGCACTCAGTTTTAGCCATAGCCTTGAGAAGAGGTAGGTATGCTGTTGCATCCATGCATAACCACTTGGTTCATCAGCCTATTGAGCAAACACAAATGTGTCTGAGAAAAGAGGCTGACCAAAATCCTCTGGGTGGGTCATAATGCCTACCTTATTGTTGACAGCCTTTTCAGTGGGTACAGGAGCAGCAAAATCCATTAATCTGAAAGGCCCATCCACATACCTTCATTTAGCTCTCCTAAATCTTCCACTTTTGCTTTTCCCAAGTTTTTGACCACTTAGAGAGTCATAATCATGTTGAAAGAGCAGTATGTATATGACTTCAGGCAATCACCATTATCAAGTAAAGTAAGCTATGAAATTATTTCTCAACATTTTTGTCCTCTAGCAAAAAATTTCTTCCCCTGCTTTTCTACAGGATCACTTCTGAGCGTGATTGTAGTCTACTTCTGGCTGGTCCCAATATGTCACGCAGAACTATTTGTTTTTTAACCTCATTCAATGTTTTTGCTTCAGTCAGCTTGTCACAGAGGCTTCCCATAGGTTTGCAGGCATGGTGGTTTCAGCAGGATGATGATGTAGCAAGAGAAGGCATGCTGAGAATTAAGTCACCAGCTCACCCAACTTTCTTGTTGAGAGGTGACAACGTACTGGCGGCCCTCGCTTGCTCTCAGCACCTCCTGGGCCTCGGCATCTGCTCTGGCCACGCTTGGGGAGCCCTTCAGCCCGCCACTGCACTGTGGGAGCCCTTCTCTGGGCTGGCCGAGGCCGGAGCTGGCTCCCTCTGCTTGCAGGGAAGTGAGGAGGGAGAGGCACGGGAACCGGGGCTGCGTGCAGCGCTTGCAGGCCAGCTCGAGTTCCGGGTGGGTGTGAGCTTGGCAGCCCCTGCACTTAGACCGGCCGCCCAGGCAGTGAGGGGCTTAGCACCCCGGCCAGCAGCTGCGGAGGGGGCGCTGGGTGCCCCAGCACTGCCAGCCACCCGTGCCACGCTCAAATTCTCGCCGGGCCTCAGCCGCCTCCCGGCAGCACAGGGCTGAGGACCTGCAGCCAGCCATGCCTGAGCCCCCGCCCCGCGGTGGGCTCCCGCGCACTGCCCGAGCATCCCCTACAGGTGCCACCCCCTGCTCTGCAGAGCCCGGTCCTATCAACCACCCAAGGGCTGAGGAGTGCGGTGGCACAGCGCGGGACTGGCGGGTAGCTCCACCCGCGGACCTGGTGCTGGATCCACTAGGTGAACCCAGCTGGGCTCCTCAGTCTGGTGGAGACTTGGAGAACTTTTATATCTAGCTGGAAGATTGTATATTTACCAGTCAGCACAGCTGTGTCTAGCTCAGGGATTGTAAATGCACCAATAAGCACTCTGTGTCTAGCTCAAGGTTTATAAATGCACCAATCAGCACCCTGTGTCTAGCTCAAGGTTTGTAAACACACCAATCAGTGCTCTGTGTCTAGCTAATCTAGTGGGGACTTGGAGAACTTTTGTGTCTAGCTAAAGGATTGTAAACGCACCAGTCAGCACTCTGTGTCTAGCTCAGGGATTGTAAATACACCAATCAGCACCCTGCGTCTAGTTCAAGGTTTGTAAATGCATCAATCAGTGCTATGTGTCTAGTTAATCTAACAGGGACTTGGAAAACTTTTACCTCTAGCTAGAGGATTGTAAATACACCAATCAGCACTCTGTGTCCAGCTCAGGGATTGTAAACACACCAATCAGCACCCTGTTGAAACGGACCAATCAGCTCTCTGTAAAATGGACCAATCAGCAGGATGTGGGTGCAGCCAGATAAGGGAATAAAAGAAGGCTGCTGGAGCCAGAAGCGGTAACCCACTGGGGTCCCCTTCCATACTGTGGAAGCTTTGTTCTTTTGCTCTTTGCAATAAATCTTGCTGCTGCTCACTCTTTGGGTCCACACTGCTTTTATGAGATGTAACACTCACTGCGAAGGTCTGCAGCTTCACTCCTGAAGCCAGAGACCACAAATCCACCAGAAGAAAGAAACTCTGAACACGTCCAAACATCAGAAGGAACAAACTCTGGACACACCATGTTTAAGAACTGTAACACTCACCACGAGGGTCTGCGGCTTCATTCTTGAAGTCAGTCAGACCAAGAACCCACCAATTCCGGACACATTGTGTCTTCAACATCTACTTGACTGTACGCCACTTCTATGTGATGTTGGAATGCTGCTGTGTTTATTTGTTCTGATTATAGCACTTACCCTATTGACTATTTTTACCAATCCCTTTGCCCATGTAATTTTCAGGGCCTTGATAGGGGAGTATGACCTGTAAACTGTGGGGTGAAGATCTTATAACGTGATCACTCATCATGATTTATTACATCTGTTTATCATATTTTTAACACAAGAATGTTCAGTACTTCAGCCTCTTTCACTGTAGACTTCTATTGAATTTTGGAAAGGTGGAAAACCAGAAGATCTGTTTTCTAATATTCTGACTTACAGATGGCAACCCTCTGAGCTAGAGATGAGGAAGAGGCCACTTTAACTGTTGGCTCCAGGGCCACACTATCACAGACACAATCCATGCTATTAAAATAGTTGCTTTATGCCCTCCACCTCAAGGTAAGAACTAAACATTGAGTCCTATGCATTGCTGCTGCAGATAACTCAAATTCATCCATGGCTGTGCTTGCCAGAAAAAAACAACTGGAAGAGAAAAAGCACATTTCTTACTCATTCCTGCTTTCCAAATATCATGTGGATCTAATGTTTGGTAAAAGCCAGAACACTTGCAAACCTGAGCTGATAAAATGGAAAGAGTAGACTTTAGCATGCCTGCTTCTGCTCTGAATTAAGTCATTCAAAAGGGGTTAGAGTAAGGTTAAGTGAGCAAATCTGTACATACTGCCAGAGAGTCTACAGTTTCACTAATATGTGCCTCAAGTATATTTAATAAAGCCTATATCAAGATACCAAATTTACTTAGGCTGCTGTGGCATCTCCTCATCAGCTGACAACTGGTAAGGCTTTAATTTGCATCTTCATGTGTAAAAATGGCACTTGTGAATTTCCCTTTCTTCAGAGTTCAGCTATATATTAGATTTTCCCTTTAATAAGATATTTGTATAGGTTTGTAGCAGGAGGAAAAAGCATCCAAATTAACCAATACCTTTCATGTAAATGTTTCAATGATTTGTTTCTTTAAATTAGTTTTGGCTTGCAATCTGCTAGGTATTTTATTTATTGTTTATATCTTTCTTCAGTTTAAGAATATTTTTCTTTTATTAATTTGGTATTCACTTATTCTAATTTTTACTTTGTCCCATTTTTTCAGATATGCCAATTAGGATTCATTGCTAATTCTTAATAGTAAAGAGACTTTTGAAAATCTATACTTAAGCTTTACTGGATTTTATTAATTAGCATAGTTAATGATGAGACTTTTCAGTTTTTCAAGGGTTTCTCACAGCTTGGCTTTTTTTCAGTTTAGAGTGTTATTTTCTTCTAAAAACACCTTTGAATGTGGTTTCTCTTCCATGTATTCTATTCCTTTTAAAAACATTTTAATTAGTATATGTCTATATATCATCTACCTATTCATCTGTTCGCTACTTTCGTGTGTATTCTGGGGACTTGTTTCCTATTTTTCTCTTTAGATGAAGCTTTGAGGGTTCATTTTCCCCTTTTTAAATTACCATCCGCTTTATTTTCAAATTTTTATTTTTTATATTATTAGGAGATAGGGGCATGCTTTTGATAGCAACAGGAGACAGACAAATTCCTAGGCAGACAAAGGCAGGTCCCTGGTGAAACCCGACCTTCAAGCCAAAGACAGTTTACAGCCTGAAAACAGAGGGGCCAGGTCCAGATAGAGCCCATGACCGGAATGAGAACTTCTATCCCGATCTTACCCTCTCTCTCCCTATTGGTTTATTCTGGATGACGCCTTTTAACCAATAGAATGCTGCTTTTCCAAAGACCACCTATGGACCAATGAGCATGCACGCCACCATTCAGAGCCCATAAAAAACTTGGAATTAGCCTCACAGGAGGCTACCCACTTTCGGTCCCCCTCTCACTGCCAAGGACAATCTGCTTTCAGGGTCCCCTCTCACAGTTCAGAGCTTTCCTTCTGTCGCTCAGTAAAATTCTTTGCCTTACTTACTCTCCGGTCTCTGCTCATCTTATATTTCTTAGTCACGCGGCAAGAACCTGGAACTCACCGAGCTGTGGGGCAGCGGGAGCAGGAAAGCTGTAACACGCGCCCATTCGCCAAGCTGCGGGTACCACGCCCTCCCGCTCGCCAAGCAGTAGGAGAGAAAAAGCCACTGGGCGCCATTCCCTGCTGCTCGCTGAACTACAGCAGCCATAACATTTCTTAGGGGCTCAGCTCTCAGGACTCCCCAGGCTTCACGGTTGCTGGCATCCCTGTTTTCAGGCACCACCAACTTCCGCTCATCTAGATGCGGGTGCCCAAGGTGGAAGCCGCTGGCGGCACGCCTGGTCCAGCCCGTGGGCTGAGTGCAGAGCCACAGCAGGCACAGGATCTGGGTTGGTGGCACGAGTCGAGTGCAGCCTGCAGGGCCGAGCGAGGAGAGCAACCCTGGTCGGTCAGCGTGAGAACCCAGGCAGAGGTAATGGCAGCCACAGAGATTTTCAGCTGGCGAAGGGGCACCGAAGGAATCCTATAACACTTTGTCATCCAGGGACAATCTCAGCTTGTACAGTGGTGCAGTCTTAGCTTACTGCATTCTGGAACTTCTGGGCTCAAGCAATTCTCTCGCCTCAGCTTCCTAAGCAGCTAGGATCACAGGCATGTGTCACCACACCTAGCTATTTTATTTTATTTTAATTTAATTTTATTTAATTTTATTTTATTTTAATTTAATTTTATTTTATTTTACTTCATTTCATTTCATTTAGACAGGGGGTCTTGCTTTATTGCCCAGGCTGCTCTTGAACTCCTGGCCTCAAGAGATTCTCCTGCCTCAATCTCCAAAATTGTTGGAATTACAGATGTGAGCCACTGCACCCAGCTTCATTTTCTGTTAAATTAATTTTATTAGTAATTGTTTGTTTCATTTTATGAAATTCAGAATAAATGCTTTAAGTTTATTCAGATTATAATAATGTCATTATATAAACCCTTATGAGGTAGAAAATTTCATCCAGTTTTCAATTATTGTGTATTAATCTTCCTTTTAGTGGCACTTTGGTATTTTTGATTGATGTTATAGTTTTCCTACTGCTTTAGCATGCTTATAATTGTCTGAGTGCACTGGAAACTCTTGTTTAGGCAACATTTAAATTCTCTCTTTATTTTATAAGTTTAGGCCTTCAGTTATCTGAAAGAGCACAAGGACCTTGGACACCTACTTTACCTCTAGGTGTTACCTGCATGAGTAAACAGTTTCCAGTTAAAGGCATGGGAAGTAAACTGTCCTCTTGAGGGATACTGCTCAAGTTTCAGTTTGTTCCATGGTGTAGGAAGGATGAACAAGTCACTTAAGTAAAGGAACTGGTAACTGCGGGAAATCCTAGCAGATCCTGGCTATACTTGGCAAGCACATTCATAATTTTTTCATGTATGTTTAACTTGGGTTTCTTCTTCTTTACCACACTTAAGAAGGGCAACTTGGAGATTACTGGTAATGTTTCTCATCATCTATGTTCAGATCTACACCTTGTCTCTCTTGATCATGGGACATTTTTTTCTTTATCACTCAATTGAGTGTATGCAACTCTAGAGAAATCTGATAAGAAAACACAGTAGAAAGATTTTGAAAAGTCAATTCTCTTCCAGATTTGTTACAGCTATGTATTGTAGCTCTCATTTCCCATGGAAACAGACCTTATCTACCTAAATTGGGAGACATTAGTTTAATGCTCTTCGTGTTTTCTTTTCTTTTATTCTTGTCTCATGTTCCATGATGATGTACTATCCCCTTGTGAAGTAGAATAGAGTTTGAACCAAATGTGTGCTTTCAATTTAATTGATTTTTTTCAATGTAATTAAAATTTATTCTGGGGGAAAATTCCCAACTTTTTTTCTGATAGAATTAAAACAAAGTTGAAATCTCAAGGTATTTTGATGGCATTAAAAGTGAATTTAAAAAAACAAAATTATTTAGACATATTTTTAATGAATCACCTCCATTAAAATATTCTAATGCCTGATATTGGTTATTTTGCTTTATAAATAACATTTTAATAGTTTCATGGAGGACCACCCCTAAATGGAATAAATAAGATTAATTAAAGTAGATTACTTAGCAGAAAAACAGAACAGTCATTTTATTATAACTGACAAAAATTTACTTAAGAATAAATTTTCAGTGTTTCTACAATAATAGCAAGAATTACTTTTAGTCACTTAAAAATAAAAATTAAACAAATGTATTGACTTAGGTCCTTTTGATTCTAAATTCTGTCACTGTGGTATTCTATAATTTTTGTCATTAAAACCCTGTATTTTATTTTTTATGGTGAATTTTTTTGTAATAATATTTTCAGGTTGACAATTCAAGAATTAATAAGAAAATATTCCTACCAGCCTTTTGAGGAAACTAATGAATATGTGCAAGTGCGTTATTAAAACTGATTTTTTGTAAATATATGCTACATAAATTACACTTGCAGTGCCTTAAAATTAAAGGCTAAAATTTATAGCCACTTTTATTAAGTACAAACTGGGAAAATGTTCAATACTTGAATTTTATTGTTCTACAATGAAATTATAATTCATTTAAGTCATTTAGATATATTTTGAATCCCTGGGAAATGTGCAATTTCCAACCTATTTCAAACTTCTGGTATCCACCTACACTCCATTAAGTTGTCATGAAGTTAAATCAGGACAGTATGATTGTTACATGGGCAGTTTATCAAATTCACCGGAAATTCACTGAAAAAACAGTATTCTCGTGGAAGCTTTAATTTCATTAACTTAGACTTTATGCAAGAAATTTGCTTGCTTGATCAAACATAACCTAAGAATATAAATTTCAAAACACTTTTGGTAAGAAAATAAAAATTATAATTATATAATCAAAAAGTTTAAGAAAAAATAATGTAACATTTGTGTCTAATGAATCAAAATTAAAACTAATTTATTGTATTTCCAAATAATAATAATTCACTTATTACATAATATTTTCTTCTTTATACATACATTAGTCAGTGCTAAGTTCAGCTTCAATTTAAAAACCTACATGACATAAAAAACAAAAAAAGACCTTCAATATGTCAAGCCAATAGAGGATAAATCTTAGTGCACTGTTTTTTACTTAGATATTTTCATCTATTTCTTATGTATTATACTATATTGACACAAAGATAAGTAAGACATCATTTATTCATGTCAAAGAACAGTGAAGTAAATATATGAGAGGAATGATCAATTCACTTTGTGGTAGCATACAAGTGTTGTCAGAGAAGTATAAAATACACTCTGTAGAAGGAGGTCAAAAAATTGGTAGATCACAGATGTTTTCAGGTGAATAATCAGGGTTTCTTGAGAAAGTAACATATGAAATAGAACTATGATACAGATAGGATGTTAACAGAGAGAAGAGGAGGCATTCAGAGGAGGCCAGGAAGAATGCTGGGAAGAAAACAGTGGCAATTGGGTATTGGGATAAGTCAAAACATTTGAAAGAAATAAACACAGAATACTTGCACAGTATGTTTGACACCTTTGTTACACATCAATCAAGAGCAGTTTAAATGGACTTGTATAGGCAAATGGAAAAGCCACATGCAAACACAGCTTTAGAAAGGTTTTATTGGCAGTGATTTTAAGGATAGATAAGCGTAAGGAAAAATTCTTTTGAGTAATAGTTGAAATCTTCTATGCCAGAAATAATTAGAGCTTGAGCTGATTTGTTGGTAGTGACCTTGGAAACAATGGAGCAGATGAAAGAGACTCAAAAAGAGGGAAACTGTACATAACTGGGCTATCAGTTGAGGAATGAGAGAGCATGGTAAAAATGGTGAATTCCGGCACAGCTGACTCCATGTTGTATTTTATTGTTAATAATTTCATCATTAATAAGTTTGTAGTATCGCTAAACTTAAAATAATTTCCATTCAAATTTGTTTTTTAAACCATCGTTAGATTAGAAACATTTTACCTAATTTTCAAACATTTCTCATTATATGTTTTGTAATAAATTTCCTACTTAGGTTCACTGTAATTAGAGATCTAACTCTACATAATATAAATCCTTAGAAAGGTGTTGAAATGCTGTTTTATGACTCAGTGTATGGTCAATTTTGGTAACAGTTCATGTGTACTTGAAAAAATATGTATTCCCCAATTGTTGGATGGATTGCTCTATACGTGTCAATTAGGGTACAGTTTGCTAATCATGTTATTCAACTCATCTATGTCTAATAATTTTATGTCTGCTTATTCTATCAGTTTTTAGAATAGTGCTAAAAACATCTCACAATGATTGTGTATTTCTCTATATTTCAGTTATTGCTCTTTTTGCCTGATATATTAATATTGTAAAAGTGTCACATTGGCTACATACAAATTTAGATTTATTTATTTATTGCTTTTTTCTAGCATTATACTTTTCACATTCCTGTGTACTTATGTTTAATGCATGTGTCTTGTATTCAACCTATTTATTATGTAACCCAGTACAACATTAGCCATGAAGTATCTTTATAAGGTCAGAGATTTTCTCTGTCTTCTTCATGACATACCCAGTTGTCTAGCAGTATATTTGGCATATAAGAAATGCTAATAAAAGACATTCAATTAATAGGTAAATAAATAATGAACTCCTATTTCAGTTATCTTAGCATCAATTATCACTTTCCTTGTTACAGTATTTCTTTTTTTTTCCTCCCAGGATGATAATCAGTTCTCTGCATGTGTCCTAAACTACCTAATGACAACCATTTTGCCACAGAATTCTTCTCTTTCCTATATAACATTTAGCTCAATTCTATCTCTGTATCTCTCTATCTATCTGCACATATACATATTACACACACATATATATCCATGTACTGGAATATGTGCATATCACATTTTCTATTACAGACCCCTATCTAGTTCCAAAATTAATACCAGAATGAGGATGTAAAGTTTAGGTTCATATATTCATAAAATATAGTTACTAATTTTACTATACATTATACCTATATAGCATATCCTATGTATTACTTATAGAATAAATTAATATGAAATTATGCCTTCATATTTTACAATCTAAATGTTGGGTTTCTTTGTTTAAATTTCCTAGACATAGTAAAATAGAATAGCATTTTCTTTTGGATAATCAATTGTTATAAAGTGAAATTGAAGAAAACCTCATGAGAGCTCCCCAAAGAAATAAAAAGACAGCACATCAAAACTTATATTTATCCTACACAGATATTTAAGTCATCGGATAGCTCAATAATTGCTTTTTATGGTACTCATGTCTGGATGACTTAAGAAGTCATATATGTTTACAGTTTACAATACCTTGGTATTTCACGAAATCAGCTTAGGTATCTCAATTTTTCTTCCTCTAAATGACACGAGTTTTATTTTGTAAGTGTTGTAAACTTTTTAAAAAAGGATATAAAACAAGAATATTAAATAGTTCACTAAGTACTAGGTAACGTATTTGCATTTTAGTGGAGACACTGGGAATAGTTCATAGTTAAGATGATAGATGGATTTAAATCTAAAAAATATTTTAATTAATTGGATTTGACAGAACTATTTTACATGGTTGCAAGTTTACTTTGCTATTTTAAAAGATAGTGACACTTGTGTTTAACCTAGAAACACCCAGTATGGAGTTTGGACGTGACATGCACATGCATCATTTATATTTTGATTACTTTCTAAGTGCCGACAAGGTACTGTGTTCATGAATAATTCAAATCACCTAAAAGAATGGGCTTTTTACATTCCATTTTAGAGTTTTGTTTTTCAGGCAGGATGTCTTAACAATGTAAAACACGTGTCACTGATGGAATATGATTAGCAATACACCATGATCTGACAGTTAACAATTATTCCCATAGGTATTATTCTTGCAGGCTATATAAATGATATAAAAATATGCACAGTAACTCAAAGTATAAGTCACAGATATTTAAAAAGTAAATAATATGTGTAATTTCTTTTGTATGACAGATAGAATAAAATTTAAATATAAGTGTATGATATTTTAGCCAATTAAATGCAATGAATTTAGTTAAGTATCACAGAAAAATTATTATTAAAAATGTTAAATAAAAATATGGAGTCCTGAGTGGCCATAAATCCAGAAATTTCAATAATTTGCTAGAACAACTCAGAGAGCCCAGGAAAGCCCTATACTTAGAAATACTTTACAGTTTTATTGTAAAAGATACACGTAGGCAAGGGCTAAAAAGGTCCATATTGCAGAGCTTCCGTGTTGTCTCCCTTGGAGTTGGAGTGTTCACAAGCCATCAATGTGTTCACAAACCAGGAAGCTACACTGAGCTCTGGGTCCATAATTTTTAATGGACTTTTATTACGTAGGCATGAATGATTAAATCACTGTCCATGTGATTGAACTCCATCTGCACACCACTTTCTCTACCTTGAGGTCAGGCAGCTGAAAGTTTCAATCCTCTAATCACAGGCTGTCTTTCTGGAGACCAGTCCCTATTCTGAAACTATTTAGGGGTCCACTATGAGTCACCTCATTAGCCTAACAAATAAACTTCAATCATTCAGGAAATTCCCAATTTTTTTTTGACTTTCTGAGCCAAGGAATGGGGTTAAAGACCAGATTTATTTTTTATTATACCATAGTACTCTAACACTGGGACCAACCTAATATTTCAAAATGGCATTTCATTGTTCTTTTCTTTTTTATATAACTTATAATTAGTAAGAATGTGCATGTATTTTCATCTGAACCATTTTTTTAATTTTCTATATTCTTTTCTTTAACCATTTAATTCTTGTTCATTGCCTATTTCTCCTAGGGATTTTTATTCTAGTCTTAATTGATTTATACTGCATGTGTGTGTGTGTGTATATATATATATATGCACACTTGTATATATACGTGCACATATACAAATTAGCATCTTGTCATAAGATACACTACATTATTATTGTCTTTTTTTATTTGTACACGGTATCCTTTTTCATGTGTAATTTTTAAAATGTAGTTGAATTTATCAATATTTATGTTGCTTTTCATCTTGAATTGGGTCACTCTTAGAAAAACATTTCTAGGCTTATGCCCAATTAAAAACATTCTTTCTTAGTACATTCTTGATACGCTTTTGGTTTAATCTTTTATACCTCTGGAATATACTTTATAAAGAATTATACTGAATATTACCAAATGTCTTTCTGGCATGATAATTAAATGACTTTTTAAAAATTCAGTAACTTAATAGTGTTTTAAAAGATATTTAATATTAAACCAACACTTCATTCCTAGTTTTGTTTTGTTACATTGTATTGTATTTGAGTTGCTCCTAGTTTGTGTTAAAAATTTAAGGTGAGTGCGGAAACATCTTCTCCCTGACTTTGTGTTTCCATCATTCAGTTAAAAACCCTTAACCTATTTACACCATCTAACCGAATATTCTTCAAAGGAGAAAGTAGTGAATTACCTTGTTCATAATGTTCTCATCCTGGATTACCCCCTGCAGGAGAACCTGAGACAAAGGCCCCCAGTTTAGTAAATAATTTAGTACATAGTCCCAGGGAGCTGCAAGGAGGATTTGGATGATAGGAACTGGGAAAGAGAAACAAACCATTTAGAAATATCTTATTATTGTCCATTGCAATGGGTGACAGAGGCTTGACCTTTTTAGGATCTTTGAAATTCACTTCATAATTATCCCAGGTGAGGACATGAGGGGAAATATTTTATCTTCTACCTTTATTCCGTTATCGGTTAATGAAAACCCTACACATTTTAAGCCCCTAACCTCTAAGATTGCATATGTACAGGTGCTAAGTGGATTCCCACAGACATTCCACACAGATACATCAGAGAAGTGAGAATTTATAGGGCTTAAAGCAAAAGGCAGGAGGAATCTCAGGTTGAGAAACTATTTT
Organism: Homo sapiens; assembly: GCF_000001405.40. Taxonomy (NCBI): domain Eukaryota; kingdom Metazoa; phylum Chordata; class Mammalia; order Primates; family Hominidae; genus Homo; species Homo sapiens. The sequence continues at coordinate 67,762,073 of NC_000013.11, read as the reverse complement.
ATCTGCAAAACTTTTCGGGAGACTACTTGGAAATTGTGGCTTCATCAATGCCTGGGGCAAGAAAAGGCCCTCAGACTTTACAGTAGTGACAAAAGCTGTCCAATGAAGTCATCTAGTCCACCACTCAGATACTTACATTAAAGCCAGTCAGCAATGGAGCCTCTTCTTGGTTGTAGCTCAATCTGTTAAAGGGCATAATACAAGTCAACTAATAGGAAAAAACAACAATTTCTTCTCCAGCAGCCGCAAACAACCCCAAGGATGTAATTAATAGTCATCGTCCTCTTCTTTCATCACTCATAATAGATTTTCTTCATTCTTGGCTTGTATTTTGGCTGATCTAGGTTGCTTACTAGGTGAGTTGACCTAGATCTTCTCCCCCAAAATTTATGGACTTTTGTTTGCCTTGTCCTTGTCTTTCTGTGGTTGTTGCAACTGCCCATTCGCTGTTACCCTCCCAAACAATATAGTTTATGGATCCTCTGGTAAATGGCCATTATCTTCCTCTATGTAGCAACTCTTTTTTTTATCTAATAGTTAACTGGAAGGAGAAACACAAAGTGGCCAAGTATAATGTAACTTCAATTTCTGTGGAACTCTTACTGGTCCTTGCCAGTAGTAGCAAGGACCTTTATCTAATTAGCAGAGCCTAATGTAATGCGGGAAGAAAGCATTTCCTAAGTTAGTTATTAAAAGTTATTGTGAGAGGGGCCAATAATGTTTCCATAATCCAGTTGATAGAGTTTGAATATTTTTCCCCTCCAAATCTCATGTTGAAATGTAATCCCCGATGCTGGAGGTGGGAACTGCTGGGAGGTGTTTGTATCATGGGGGCAGATCCCTCATGAATGGCTTGGTGCTGTTCTCATGGTAATGAGTGGATTCTCCCTCTTTGAGTTTACCTAAGATCTGGTTGTTTAAAAAAGCCTGGAACTTCCCCCTCTGTCTCTTGCTCCTTTTGTCATTATGTGATATGTCTGCTTCCTCCTTCACCTCCTGCCATGGTTGTAAGATTCCTGATGCCTCACCAGAAGCCAGGCAGATATTGGTACCATGCTTGTACAACCTGCAGAACCATGAACCAAAATAGACCTCTTTTCTTTATAAATTTCCCAGTCGCAGTATTCCTTTACAGTAATGCAAATGAACATACCATTTCTAAGACTCTTGTATTCTAGCCCTTAGGGACCCATCACCATTTATGAGCAATTGACAAAATACCACACATCCATAAATTGATATTCCTAAGCTGGTGTCTCATTTGAGCCTTTAAAAGGCTGTTTCACTATTATATTATGCTAGTTCCTTCAGATGTGTGGGAACTGTGGTAGGATCAGTGGAAACCATGATCATGTGGTCATAGTCACATCTTCTTTGCAGCAAAATGAACCCCTTACTCTGAATCATTGTATGATCTACCATGCCAATTGATCAAACATTTGCAACCATTTGGTTAACAAAAGTATTGTTGTGAAAATGTACTGTGGGTACGTGATCTGAAAGCGAGTTATAGGATACAGCAAATGAAGGAACATACAGATGGGAAGACTATTACTGCCAGGGATGTCCCCTTTCCTCTTAAGAATATTGACCCCATTGTAGGGAGCCCAAACAATTTCTTTAATTAAGAAATAAATGAATTAAGAACGCAACCAGATGGCTTAACACATCATCAATGTTATTGTTTTCTTTTTTCCCTTTCCATTTTCATAATTTAACTATGCAGGGATCTTTTATGTTAAATAGGCATAGGACAAATGGATGGCTTTTCTTGTAAACTGATGTTAGAGAAGTCATGGATATCAGGCATAAATCTACATCAGTTGGATCATTATGACAAATACTGAAGGGTTAAAATTGAATTCAGGAATGGTAATGTACAAAGATACATTTAAATGATACTTTGAGTACTAGAGTTTAATTGGAAGAAAAGAAAAACAGTTGTTCTGTAAAAGAAAATTTTAAAATACATGATTAAATAGATCCTAAAAATGTCTTCAATACCATGTAGGTAATAATCATATAAAAGTAATTTAATAGGATACTAATTGAGATTCAATTTTATAATTGAAAATAAAAATGTAATATTAAGAATATAGTTAACACTTTTTTCATTATCACCATGAGATGTCTAATTAAAATTCTCTCTTGATGATTTTTTAAACTTTTATTCATGTAGAATAGAAAAGAGTAAGAAAAGAAAATACCATTTGAATATATTTTTTAAACTAGATATTTATAATGAATTTTCAAAGGCCTCTTCACATTGACCTAAATCTATTATGTAGAATATTTTGTTATTTATTTAATATGTAAAGCACAATGTACATACTTTGCTAAATGTCCCAATTGAGGAAAATAAAATAAATAAATTTCTGACTTTAGTAATTTTGCTTAAGTATAGAAAAAGAGAAAGCCATAGTATTTTAATAGTACACAAAAGCTATTTGATATGAGTTTGATGGTTTCATACTCAAATAGAAACTACCAGTCAAGAAGTTAGAAAATATGGTATTAGAATTTTAATGTGTTGTTTTTTATTTTTAAAATTTATAAGGCAAAATATATGAGTGGCTTTGCTCTGTGCATTATAAGTACTAGAATATCTGCTCAACATTTGAATGCATATTTCATTCACATCTATTGTTTCTATCAAGTTTTCCAACACGGCCTCAAAGCTGCTGAATACAGGTTTAATTCCAAATTTCATTTCTTTCTAAATTGCACTATCCTTAAGCAATGCATCATCATCACAGGTCATTGCACCGATGAAATTAATCTGATAAAACACCTGTGTGACAGAGAAAATGATATATTAGTGTGATTCATCATTAATGAACATCATCGGCCCATGATCTATTAGTGTATTGCTCAAAGGATGGTGTCATTAGGAAAGAGTGAGTTCCCAGTGTTAAATTATGGTGTAGAAGGCGGTAGCTAGAGCGTGTCATAACCTATGAGGCAGCAAGTAGATGTGCCAATACAAAATCAAATTCCTTAGAACTTTTTTTTAATTTAAAAATGTCACATTTGCATCTTTGCTAATAACGTTTAGTGCCCAAGGGCAAAATTAAGTTTGTCTTGATAATTCAACTACTATTAATTGCTTATACATCCTCTATAAATTATATTATTTATAAGGAAGACTCACATATGCTTTATTACCAATGAAAAACACAAACAATTTTATCTGAAGATAAAGTACAGAAGAATTTGGAATATCTATGAAAAAAATTCTGCAAAATTGTCTCTTCTACTTATTTAAGCATAAATGTGGCACCAACGATACCTCAAGTGACTAGTTCATTATTTTCAAATTTAGTAGGAAATCATCCTAAAATGCCTTTGGTTGAGTAATCCCACCAGGAAACTTAAAATAAGTTTATTCAAGATAAAGTTAAGATCTGTGTGTGTATACAATAGAATTTTAAATTAGAGATTGATAAATAGGCAGCTAACATAAAAAATATGAAATAATCTAAATAAATTTTTTATATAAACTTGACTAGTTTGCTCTATTGGTTTAAAATAACTTTAAAATGTGACTGAAGGTTCAAAAATTGTATTAATATGAACAGAGATTGAAAACTGTACCTCTATCAAAAATACACCCTCAATGAGGGAAAGAGTTTTATTTGTTTAATTCATTGTTTTATCTCTATTATAGACTAGAGACCAGCACATGTTAGGCTCTAAAGTATTTCTCTAATTACTTAACTCATTTAATGTAAAAAAATTTTCAAACAGATTTAGATGCCTTAGATCGTGAATACATTTGAATAGCATCTGTATTCATGTGGTTTGAACCATAGTTTAAATGAGTCTCTTCCAAATGCTAAAAGTACCTTGTTGATACTGTCATTAATTTTCTTACCTATATGAAAAAAATGTTTATATTCTTTCATTGTACTCTTATAGATAAAGAAGCGACCACATGAAAACTTGAAATAGTCCAGGCAGGCATAGTTTGAGAGTAAAATGTTTATCAATTTTATGAATGTTTATGAATCAATTTATGATTCATATTGCTAGCAAGAAATAGTAAATAACCTTGTTGGAATTTTCAGTAGAGAGAAGATGGTACTTGCCCTCTGTTTTTTTACTTGCCCTTTCTTCCAACTAACTACAATTATAAACCTTTGAAATAATACTACAGGCAAGCCAAAAAAAAAAAAAAAAAAAGAAAAGAAAGAAAGAAAAGAAAAAAGTTGGAATGCTAATAGGAAGAGGATTAACTGGTTTTGCATCCCAAAACTAGAGGAACGACGGAGTGACTGGAGGTATTATATACATATACATTCATCCACCAGAAGAAGGCTAACCAGAGCCAGTGTTTCTCTACCCCAACTTTGAAATAGAAGGCAGTCCATGTAGGTCCATTATTTTTCCCAGAGAGAATGGGAGCCCTTCCAAAAACACTAGACTTGTTTGTAAACACATCGGGAAACTTTGTAACTATAAGGGGCCAGGGGAAGCGTTCTTCTTCACTACAAAGCCTGAGACTCTATGGTACGGGAACAAATACCAAGGCAGATGGGACTGCCAAGAGAGGCCACAACAACAGCCTTGCTGAGAAGCCTCAGTGGCCCCCTGAGCCTCCCTTCCCACCCTTCACTAGTGATATTGGGGTGAGCAGGATGAAGCCTGGGAAGGAACCAGTTGGAACAAGTAGCCTAGCTCTCATCCCTCCTAAGCAGAGGGAATCCTATAATAAATACCTGGAGAGAGTCTTCTTAGGCCTGATACTCCCTCCTCTAATGGGGAGTCAATGGCATGAGTATGAGGAACTGGCATAGCTGGTAGGCTGGGCCAGAGAGTCCCCTTGTTTCTTTGAGTCTGAGAATCCTCTCCTCTGTCTAGACACCTGGGGCAACAGTGGGCCATTTGTATGAAAATTCCACACAGCAAGCCTCTGACTAAAGAAATATCTTCATCTCCCAGGACCTGAGACTCTCTTCCCCAACAGAGAAACACCCAGAAGTCCAGCTCAGAAAAACTCCTTCTGCTCTGTCAGGGAGCAAACAGGGAACAATAGATGCCCTAAAGGCATCAGATAAACCAAGCCACACAAAATAATACCACAAAGACTGGAAAACTAAACTGCCATTTGAACCAGAATCCACAAAAGTAAGCCAGGATCTAAATGCTAAACCTAACAGAATAACTGCCTTCTAAAAGGAAAGAAATAGGACGTAGAGTCTCCTAACATAATAGACAAAATGCGCCATATGCAATTAAATCTCCTGTCATACCAAGAACAAAGAAAATTATCCTTTAAATAAGAAAAGATAAACTGTCATGAACACTGTGATAGATTAGATGTTTGGAATTATATGCCATTATAAAATGATCCAACAATCAATTGCACATTTTCTTGAAATAAATGAAAAAATAGAGAATCTCAGCAAAGAAATAGAAGTTAATTTTTAGAGCCAAGTGGAAATTATGGAACTGAATGATACATTAACCAAATTTTTAAAATTTGCTGGATCAACTCAGGAATAGATTAGAAAAGACAGAGAATAGAATCAGTGAACTTGATCGAATATACCCAGTTCAGAATTTACCCAACCTGAACAAAAGGAAGGAAATAGATCAGGAAAAAGATGAACAAAACTGCACAAACATGTGGGACAACAAAAGATATAACATTTGTTTCATCAGCTTCCTGAAGAACATGGAAAGAGTGTGAGACAAAAGAATACTGGAAGAAATAATGGCTTGGAAACTTTTCAAGTTTGGTTACAACACACACATACACACACACACACACACACACACACACACAGAGTTACAGCTACAAGAAACTTAGTGAAATTCAAAGGCATTACAGGCAAAGAAATTTATACCAAGAGATAACATAGTCAAACTTCTGAACATTTTGAAAGACAAAGAAATAAATCTTGAAAGCAGCCAGAGAGAAACAACTCAAAGAGGAATATAGAATGTAATGTCAGCAGATTTCTCATCTGAAACCATGGAGTCCAGAAGAAGTCCACATTTTTCAAGTGCTGGAATAAAAAGAAAACAAACCAAACAAACAAACAGGAAAAACCAGCCCTGTCAACCACAAATTTTATATTAGTTTAACCTTCAGGAATGAAGGGGAAATAAATATATCTCAACTTAAGGAAATTTTTAAAACTTTGTTGCCAGCAGATCTACTCTTATAGAGTGGCTAAAGGAAGTTGTTTGAGCAGTGTATTAGTCTGTTTTTATGCTGCTCATAAAGACATACCTGAGACTGGGTAATTTACAAAGGAAAGAGGTTTAATTGATTTACAGTTCCACATGGCTGGGGAGGCTTCACAACCATGGTGGAAGGCGAATGAGGAGCAAAGTCACGTTTTACATGGTGGCAGGAAACAGAGTGTGTGTGCAGGGGAACTCCCATTTATAAAACCATCAGATCTCATGAAATTTATTCACTATCAGGAGAACAGCATGGGAAAGACCCACTCCCATGATTCAGTTGTCTCCCACTGGGTCCTTCCCATGACGTGTGGGAATTATGGGAGCTACAATTCAAGATAAGATTTGGGTGGAGACAGAACCAAACCATATCAAACAGGCAGGAAATGATAATTTTGGAGCATCAGGAAGAAAGGAGAAATTATAAAAAGAACAGATACATGGGTATATAAAACAGACTGTTTTTTTCTTTCTGCATTTTAAATAACCTCACTCTACTGCTCCACCTCACCTCTGTTCACTATAATTTAGTATCCTTGGTTCTCTTTCCTTTCTTAACTATGTCAACCTCATTCGTACCCTGGGTAGGGCTTTTGCACAAGGTGTAAATACTGTGTGAGGAACTCTTCCTTCTCTTTTGTCCACTCCTATCCCTCTGCAAACCAGGCCTTGAGATGGAGCAGAGACTCCTATTAAGGGCTTCCAGGTCCCCCAGTCATCGAATAAAGGAAAGATCTTGAGTCCCTTCCAGGGAAATTTCAGGCCCCTAACTAGTCTTGAAAAGTAAATGAGCAATCTGATAAGAATGAAGATAGTAACTGGGAAAAGAAAATAAATCTTGGGGCCCCCAAATCACTGAGCTAAACAAAAAAGTCAAGTTGGGAACTGCTTAGGGCAAACCTGCCTCCCATTGTACTCAGTCACCCCTCTGTTCACTGAAATAGATGCATATCTGATTGCTTCCTTTGGAAAGGCTAATCAGAAACTCAAAGGAACACAACGCTTCATCTCTCACCTATCTGTGACCTGGAAGCCCCCTCCCTGCTTGGAGTCTTCCTGCCTTTGCTTCAAGTTGCCTTGCCTTTCCAAACTGAACCAATGTACTTCCTACCTATATTGATTGATGTCTCATGTCTCCCTAAAATGTATAAAAACTAAGCTGTGGCCCAACAACCTTGGGCACATGTCCTCAGGACTTCCTGAGGCTGTGGCACATGCACGTCCTAAACCTTGGCAAAATAAACTTTCTAAATTAACTGAGACTGATCTCAAATTTAAGATTTTGGGAGTTCACATAACAATAGTCTCCCAAGCAAAACACAGCAATAAAAAATTTTTTCTTAACATGTTTTCTTGAGCTGTTTTTCAGAAACTTTCACCAGATGGAAAATGCTGACTGCCATATCATAGACCACAGATAACTGAGAACTGACTACTCAACTCTGATTGCAGTTCTTTGTTCTACATTTCTTTCTAAGGGCCCTAAAGAGGGTCACACCCATAGACCAAACCAATGTTCAACCTATGTATCCTGTGTATTGGTTTAATACTTTGCCTACAACTTTGGCTTTCCTGAGATGTATCCCTGCCTTTAAAATCTCTTGCTTGTAAACACTGGGGAGTTTGGGTCTTAAGCCTTAGCTGTCCATTCTTCTTGCTCAGTACACTGGAATAAGTGACCTTTGTTCTCACTGCAAATCTTCCAGTCAGTGCCTGGCTTTACTGTGCTGGGTGAGTGAACCCATTAGGTATGGTAACAGCATTTCCAACTTTTGATCTAAATATCAATTTTCAGCATTTCTCAAAATATTCTATGTAAGGTGAATCATTTATTGATTTAGTTTATTTGTTGGTTTTCTAAATCCAGATACCGTTATCTCCTCAATAACACTGTTCTCATTGGTAATTATGTGTGAATTTAACTAATGTTAGTTGCCTCACTAGACCATAGGCTCCATTAAGGTATAGTTATTCTGATTTGTTTATTGCTCTGTGCCAATGCTCAGATGAAGCCTTGGCATGTAGTGATTCTATCTTTGCCTATCCTACTCCATTCCCCTCTTATGTAAAGCTTTTCTTCCATCTGCGCTTTGCTTCTTTTTCTTCCAAATCCTTGGGAACTACACAATTTTTCTTTTAAAAATAATCTCTTTTCCTTTACTAACTCTTTCCTATTAACTTTTAAATCTTTTCAGTTGGCCCTCAGTAAAACCAAACCAAGCTCAACTAAATCTAAACCCCAGATTCTTTACACTTGTCCAGCACTGTTCTTTTCTTTCACAGCCACATACCTGTAGGGAGCTGCCTGCATTTGCTGAATCCCACTTAGCCATCTGCTCATTGAATATCCAGTTCCCATCTAGCTATAAAAACAACATTGCTAAAATAATTATTACACCTGTCAGTTAAAAAAAAAAATAGGCCTTCTCTTATAAGACCTCTCAGCAATGTTCCGTGTCTGATCTCTTCCAATTTGGAGATATCCACCCTGGGTTCTCATTATTTCTCTAACCCATTTTCTTATTTACTCACCTTCCTCAACCTAAACATTAAATTTTGGATGTCTCCAAGTATATGTTTTAACACCATTCCCAAGCTCAGCATGCAAATACTTAAGAAAATTTATACCCACAGCTGCAACAACTGCCTAGATGTAGATTTTTCACAGACATGTTGCTAGTGTGTAATAAAATATCTGGCTGACCATTGTGCCTGGTTCCTGGATGGCATCCTCAAAATCTTTGAAATTTCCTGACTGATAGTTGTGACTTTATTATTCATTATGAGCTGTTTGGAAGACACTTGATGGTTAATGCAAATCAGGGTGGATCCTTAAATAGTTTATGCAAATTAGATAACTCAGGATGAGACCTGGCCATACCAGAAAGACCAGCCATGTGATTAGAGGATTGAGACATTGAGACAAGAGTCATCAGTCTCACCTCTGGAGAGGAGAGGAGAGCTGGAGTTTGAGCCCTGTGACAAATGATTCAATCAACATTACCTATGTAATAAAACTGCAATAACAACTCCGGATCCTGAAGCTTGGAAGAGTTTCCCTGGTTGGCAGTACTCTGTATTGTCACACATCAGTGTGCTGGGAGGTTAATGTGTCCTGATCCCATGAGGAGAGACAACAGAAACTTCATATTTGGAAACTTCCAAGACCTTGCTCTGTGTGCCTTTCCCCTTGGCACATTCTGATTTGAATAGTTTTCCTGTAACAAAACTGTAATTATAAATTTAGAACTTTCCTGAGTTCTGTGAACTCTGATACTAAATTATTGGACCTGAGGAGACATGGTTTACCCCAAGTTAGTAGCCAGCTGGTCCAAAGTGAGAGTGGAGTGTGGACCACTGAACTAGCAACTGGATGAACAGTAGTCTTGTGGAGGACTGTGCCCTTAAACTGTGAAGTTTGGCCTAAATCCGTGTAGTTGGCATCAGAAGTCATGGCAGGTAGCTAAGACTCTTTCTTCCATATAAAATAATTAGGTTCAACTGCCAACTAATAACTCTTCTTAAATAGCTGAAAGCCACCAGTTATTCTACCTGTGCCAACTAAATTTATGTTCTTTCCTTCCCAGTCTGTCTTTTTGCAGAGATGCCTGTGTTATTTGAATGATTTTAACACCTATGGACTACCCTATGAAAGAAGAGATGAAGTCTTTCTACACTAGTCCCATTCTTTTACCCAATCCTCCAAATATCTACTTTTGTGTTTTGAAGTTGAACTATTTACCTCGAGTGTATTTACCATGGCTATTTGCGTAAATAGGCATCATAATCAAGTTACTATTTTTACTCATTTGGATTTCTGTCATAGACACTTAGATGATTTCACTGTTTCACACTTCCAGTTTGCATTCTGTAGGAAATAGTCATTGCTTTTTTAAAATAAAAATATAGTCATATTCATTTCCTTACATCTTTTTCCTACATCTATCTTTTAATGATACATAGTTGCTCCTAAAATAAAGCCAAAATTATTTTAAAAGATCAGAAAGACCCAGCATGGAGCTCTCTACCACTACCCTGCAGCAATAGTCATACATCATACCGCATGCCCTATTTCAGTGTCTATTCTAGCGATACAGTGTGTCTTATAGTCCTGAAAATTCTACCTGTTCCTTCTTGTAGCAAAAACTTTATGCTTATCAGTCCCTTCCTTTGCAAATGTGCTTCTTTTTCTTCTTTATAAGTTACCTCTCATGTAACAGTCAGATTGAAATTCAGGCAAAATTTACTTGAAGACGCTTTCTCTGACTTTGTAAATTGGATTCTTTCATATCACATAAGTATTTTCTTTGTGGCTTTCAGCGAGGTTGCATTTTTCTAGTTTATTCTCTACTATATGGCTAATGTTTCTTTCAGCAAATAAGATCTCTATGAAACCAAAAATGATGCCTATTTTCTTCAAAATTTTATCAGCAGTTCTTTGTGTTTAGTAAGTCCTTAATATTTGTTGTATTATTTCTTCAATACTTTAATATAAAATATGCACTTATTTTTATTTTTAATAAATGACAAAATAAGAAAGTGAATAGATTAACAGATGCCAAATTTTATTCTCATATTATCCAACCAGACATTCAACTAGCAAGTACTAATATTTTATGAAAAAAATAATATTTTTAACACTGTAAGCAGAAAAATCATATATGCTAGAAACAGGTATAATGATTTTCTGCAGAACTGGATTTGGGAAAAGTTATCATTTTATGAAAAAAATTCAAATATCAGCCCAAAGTTCTTCAATATGATTGGGGTCACCTTGTCTTTTAAGATTAAAGTACAATTACATCAGCTCCATCCAGTACATTGAAAGGAAATTTGCTATCCTTACAAATAAATACGGGAATTCTAGAATGATTGACATTTACCCTCACCACCTGTTTTTATGTTCAAGCTGTTCCTGAATTCTCAATTTCCACTTTCGTAGTTAGTTTTCTTTTGCATATGATATTTCCTTTCCTTTTAGTTTTATTTCCACATAGAATTCCTTACAAATCATTTTCTTTAAAAATAAAACTGTCAGTAAGCATGGTTAGCTGACTTTTACTTAAATGAGTTTGTGTGGCAGATAACATGGATGCCTTTATATTGAAACATTCTCACTTACATCAACTTTGCATTAAAAACAACTGAATTGTGCTTTTCTCATTTTGCGCCAACCTTCTGTCTCTCTCTGGGTTCTACCTACCTCTTCTCCTGCAAGCGTCTTTAATTTTTTTGAGCCACAGATAGACTTATCCTGCTGTAAAACGTAATAATGATGATAAATCTTGCACAATTTCACGCCATTGTTCAGTCGTTTGACTGAGGCTGTACTGAATAAGCCCGCTCCCCTGTGAACCTGCCTAATGTCCTAACTTTTCATGGTCATACATCCCATCAGGTTATTCTATTTTTAAGAGATAGTCCACTTGTCTAGAAGAATTAGGAACCTGACTTCAGGAATGATGAGTTTTGTCATGCAATACTTACCTCTTAAAGGAGAAGTTAATGATGGAGTCAAATAGAGTTATAAGAAAGATATTTTTAAAAAGTGAATTTCATTTAAAAAATGTAGGTGGTCCCCAAATTACTTAACACTGAATGTATATGACTTTCACAGAAATATTAACTCAACATCATTGCTACAAACTAGAAATTCCCAAGAATATGCTAGAGGGCTTATCTCAATTTAGTTTCCAGTTCTACTTTCCAGAACATACTAAATTACATAAAAGCTAATCTTGCCCCACAAATGTGAAATTATCATTACATGGCTTAGTGGTATCTTTGATTAATTTGGTGCATACAATTCATAAGTAATTAGTTCCTAAAATGATAAACAGATATCCATTTTTGGAAAAGTATTAATACATATTGGCTTTGCCACTTTTTATAATTTTATTTTCAATGAATTGGTACATAAACTTTTTTTTTAGCTCCTAATGGAAAGTTAATTTTGGAGAGCAATAGATGAAAGTAGTTTCAGAATAGTGACATAAGCACACAAAATAATTGTATCCCAAAAGACTAAAGTTATTGCTCAAATAGATTTCAAGGTTTCAGGTTTTCCAACTTCCAAAATACTTTTCATATGGCAAGTTTAGTCTTTTGGCACTAACTTGATAGTCATTTTAGTGATAGAAATATTTTAAATCTAAGCTTGATAAAAGTGGATATAAATAAGTGTGCATAGTTTGCTAAATTTGGCATATTAAATCACTTTGGGATTTTAAAAGATGAATTTAAATCTCTCAATTTCAGGAAAACTTTCCTTGTGGCTTTAAATTTATAATTCCATGAAAATAAATACTAAGATACAAGTAAATAAAAAAAAAACATTCTTTCCTGCTCTAATAAATGACAAGACTTGCATAATACATAGAAAATTATGTGAATGATCTTCACAGCTTTGACATTCGGTAGAATAATTTACATGAGTCCAGAGTAGCTGCCAGAAAGGAAAAGAACAAAAGAAAGACAAATGACGGTCTGTTCTAAATGGCAAAAATCAGGTCGAGAATGTTAACTAAAGAGACAGGACAATATTCCTGAAAGGCAGTTTGATATCATGTATAAAAATTTTTGAAAATGTACATATCCACTAGTCTAGGAATTTAACTTTCGGAAATGAGATACATCTTTTTCTAAGAAGTATATAATCAGAATTAGAAAAAGCAACCCTAAAATGTATATGGAACCAAAAAAAAAAAATAGTACAAACAGCCAAAGCAATTCTAAGCAAAAAGAATAAAGCTGGAGGTATCACATTACCTGACCTCAAATTATACTATAAGGCAATAGTAACCAAAACAGCATGGTACTGGTAAAAAATAGACACTCAGATCCACAGAATAAAACAGAGAACTCAGAATTAAGGACACATATCTACAACTAACTGATGTTTGATAAAGTTCAACAACATGTACTCCAGGGAAAGGACACCATATTCAATCTTAATGGTTTTAGGAAAATTGGGGAGCCATAAGAACAAGAATTAAACTGGACCCCTATCCCTACCATATACAAAAATTAATTCAAGATGGATTAAAGACTTACATTTAAGACCTGTAACTATAAAAATCCTAGAAGGCAAATCATTTATGACTACGTTCTCAAAAAGAAATGCAACGAAACCAAAAATAGACAACTAGCACTAAACTAAAAAGCTTCTGCACAGCAAAAGAAATAATCAACAGAGTAAACAGACACCCTACAGAATGAGAGGAAATATTTGCAAACAATGCATCCAACAAAGGGCTAATATCCAGAATATAGAAGGAACTCAAACAAATCAACAAGAAAAATGCATAAATAACTCCATTAAAAAGTGAGCAAGGAACACTAACAACCATTTCTCAAAGAAGAAATAGAAGTGACCAACAAATGTATAAAAAATGTTCAACAGCACTAATCATCAACGCAATGCAAACTAAAACTGTGATGGAATATCATCCTACACCAGTCAGAATGCCTATTATTAAAAAGTCAAAAACAACAGATGTTGGTGAGAATGCAGAGAAAATGGAATGCCTATACACTGTTGGTGGGAATATAAATTAGTACAACCTCTACGGAAAATGGTATGAAGATTTCTGAAAGAACTAAAAATAGAACTACCATTCCATCCAGTAATCCCACTACTAGGTCTCTCTACCAAAGGAAAAGAAACCATTAAATCTAAAAGACACCTGTCGTCATGTTTATTGTAGAACTATTTACAATAGCGAAGTCATGAAATCAACCTAAGTGCCCATCAACAGATGATTGGATTTAAAAATGTAGTATATATCATGGACTACTACTTAGCCACAAAAAAAGAATGAAATCATGTATTTTGCAGCAACATGTATGGAACAGGAGGTCATTGTTTTTAGTGAAATGACTCAGACAGAAAGTAAAAAACTGCATGTTCTCACTTATAAGTGGGAGCTAAACAGTGGGTACACGTGGACATACAGAGTGGAATAATAGACATTAAAGACTTTAAAAGGGGGAAGCGTGGCAGGGCAGTGAGGGATGAAATATTACCTATGGTGTCCAGTGTACACGATTCGGGTGATGGGAATATGAAATGCCCAGGCTTCACCACTATGCAGTATATCCATGTAGCACAACTGCATTTATATCCCTAAATCCATAAACATAAAAAAAAATTTTTTAAAGAAGAAAAGGGAAAAAGGTATACAGTCAGGAAGAAGGGCCCAATATTTCCTCTTGATTCCATTATTTCTCATTTTAAAATATTCAAATAATTCAAATGCTTAAGAATAAATGATAACTTAATTAAACTAGTATGTTGTATATAACAATTTAATGTCATGAGAAATAAATACTGTTAAATTGTTAAGTAAAAAATTCATTTGAATCAATAATATGATATAACAATTGTATATATGTGTGTCATCTATATTAGACTATCCCTGTGTTGAAATTCATTTTCTTTCAATTAACTCCATACAGAAATCATGAATTTATATATATAAATATAATTTAAAACAGGATGTCCAAACTGATAAAATATTCTTATTGCTAGCATTAATATAGAGCTGCATGGCCCTTGAGTTAATATTTATCAAGTAGTTGCTCTGCATTAGGCAATGTGTGGTAACTTTATATAAATATGTGGGTATGTGGTAGAAGTGAGTGGGTGCATGTGGGTATAAAATTATATACATATTTATGTGTATATATAAAACTTTTTGTAATAGTGGTACTTTTATCTCAATATCTAAATGCCTATGTTACAAAACACTGTCATCATTTGCCTTATCTATTTTAATCCCCAAAATAATCTTAAGGAGAAAATGATATTATCACTGCTTGACAGAATGTTCATTAAATTTTATCATGTATTATTTCTAA
The DNA here is from genome assembly GCF_000001405.40 of Homo sapiens. Classification (NCBI taxonomy): domain Eukaryota; kingdom Metazoa; phylum Chordata; class Mammalia; order Primates; family Hominidae; genus Homo; species Homo sapiens. The sequence goes on along the minus strand of NC_000013.11, from coordinate 67,747,022 downwards.
TCTTCATAAAATAATAAATGAAAAATAACATTATCAAAACTATATAGACACAGAAAATGAAGTTCAGAAAGTTTTAAAAATTGCCCAGGGCCACACATCTCTAACTGTCATCAGGAATTAAACCAAGATCTCCCTGACTTTACAACTAAAATATGATTATCAAATTTGTGCAGATAGAAAAATGAGACAAGATGTAGAGAGAGACCCAAAGTCACACAGTGATTCAAAGAATGCTAACCACGGTCATCTGGGTCTATATTATCTGAAGGCAAAGTCCGTTCTAGCCTAGCCCTTTATGAATGGAGTTAAGATCAAAGAGATCCAGAACCCCTTTCTCCAGGAAAATTCAACTGTTCTCTGATTCTTGTTGACTTCCCACCCAATCCCTAGACCCTCAGGACCTAAAAGACAAGGCTGGACAGTAATACTTACCCTGGCACATCCAGTTTTCTCATTACTAAACCAAGTGTCTTATCTTCTTTTAATTTCATTTTCCTCCTTTCTAAAATGATACTTACTTTATAGAAATGGAAGAATGTAGACATGTGCAAACAGGACAGTGCCCCACACGGAGGAAAAAAATGAGTACAAATCTTGCTTTCCTGCATATTCCCTTTGCTTTCACTAGCCTCTATTCCTGTTTCTCTATTTCTGTTTTTACTTATGCTTTAATACTCCACTTATATTCCTTCTTCCTTCAGAAAATGTTGTTTTATGCCCTAGGAGAGATCTTACCCACTGCTGAATTCTGAAAGCCTTTTCGCCGTACCTTTATGGTGACCATATTTTTACTTTGTATCAGAATCAGATTGATACATTTCTTAACCTCCTACTTGGCTATTGGCTCCTCAGGAAAACTTAGTTTTGTTCAAAATTCATGAGGTACTTCTTAAGAGTCACTACTTATTAAGTCATTAGATATTCAGAGAAAAAAGGCAGAATCCATGCTATAAAATGTCTTACAGTCTGGTAAGATTGAGCCAGCTTTATAGCCTTCATACTCCCAGCAAGATGTTAGTAGTAACACATTACTGAAATACTCCCCTGTGGATGAACAAAGAAATGAATTAGTTGGTTATTTGGCTTATTTATTGCCAGGAATTTTACACTCTTTATCAACCAGCTAATTGTTAAGTAATTAAGTTTTTACAAATATATTTGGAAATGTATGTGTAAATATGTTATAAATACAGACGATTCTTGACATAATGAAGTTACATACCAATAAACCATCATAAATTGAAAACATTATAAGTTGGAAATGAACGTAATACACCTAATCTACTGAATATTGTAACTTAGCCTAGCCCACCTTGAATATGCTCAGAACACATACATTAGCCTACAATTGGGCAAAGCCATCTAACACAAAGCCTCTTTTATAATGAAGTATTGAACTCTAATGTCATTTATTCAATACTGTACTGGAAGTGAAAACCAGAATGGTTGTACGGGTATTCACCATTATTGTACACAGCTGAGGGCACACTGGGCCTGAGGAATCTTCGTAGTGTTTAACTAAAATTAATTGCTAGATGACGGGGATGCTACAGCCACAGGGTCATCAATTTCTCACTCTTCAGATGAGTCTCGAGAATAGCCGGTAGAAGCCACTGAGGATCACTTGTTGATGGCTTAGCAGGCATATTATTCTTTAGGAAGGCATCAAGTTTTGACTGTATAGCTTGTTTCTTCTTTTTATTATTATCCCAAAAAAATGCTAGCAACACAGTCCTCTGTATAGTTTCAAGTTGTTTATGCTTGTGACCATGAGGCTGACTGGGAGCTGCAGCTCACTGTTGCTGCCCAGCAGCATGAGAGAGTATTTTACTACATATCGTTAGCCTGAAAAAGGATCAAGATTCATAATTTGAAATACAGTCTCTGTTAAGTGTGTACTGCTTCCAAACCATCATAAAGTCAAAAAATTGTAAGTCAGAGCATTGTAAGTAGTTTGTAATAAATATGCATACATATCTATGCATGTATATTGACAAATAAAGCAAATTTCTCAACAAGAACTTTACCCAGTAATCTTAGCTACCTCAAAGGAAGATAAAAAGAAAATGATGAATTGCCTGTTCTTCCTAACAATAACTTCTTTGTTGACACCTTAAAACTTAGCTAAAGACTTTGAAGCAGCTGAAATTTGGGCTTTGGACAAACTTGCCTCAAAATTGTGCCTCTACCTACTACACATATTACCTAGGAAAATAAACCAGCAAATTAACTATGTCCTCAATCACAATCATCACCAAAAAGCTACGGATTACCAAATGTTTAACATGCCAGATATTACATTAAGCACCTACAACATATTATCTAGTTTAATCTTCATTAAATCATTGAAATAAATATTATTAGAAACACATAGACAATTGAGGTCTAGGGAAATGAATTAATTGAATTCAATCCCATGTCTGACTCCAGTGGCTGGACCCTTAAGTACAAGCAACATGGTGCTTCCTGTTTGAATTCATTTCCTTTATCAATAAAAAGAGGTAATTACATTTAAAGAAGACTGTTAAGAAAATCGAATATATAAAATCATATGAAAGATTTGGAACACCAGGTTGACATTCAATAAACTAATGAAAAATAAAAAACAAAATTATATAGCAATGTAAGATGTGAGTGTCAGAATCAACCCTTATGATTTGTCCTACCTTTTTAGGTTGCCAATAAATTAACTAAGCAATTGGAAAGTTCAGTGACTTCCAAAGAATTCAAACAATTAGGTGGTACACCTAATAGAAGCTGTATTGGGGTTAGGTGCAGTGGCTCATTCCTGTAATCTTATCACATTGGGAGGCCAAAGCTGGAGGATTGCTTGAGGACAGGACTTCGAGACCAGCCTGAGCAACATAGGGAGACCCCGTCTCTACAAAAAAAATTTAAATAGTTAGCTGGGCGAGTGACACGCACTCTAGTCCCAGCTACTCAAGAGGTTGAGATGGAAAGATCACTTGAGTCCAGGTAGAGGCTGCAGTGAGCTATGATTGCACCACTGCACTCCAGCCAGGGTAACAGAGTGAGGCTCCATTTCTTAAAAAAAAAAAAAAAAAAAAAAAAAAAAAAGTGGCCAGGCATGGTGGCTCACATCTGTAATCCCAACACTTTGGGAGGCCGAGGAAGGTGGATCACCTGAGATCAGGAGTTCAAGACCAGCCTGGTCAACATGGCGAAACCATGTCTCTACTAAAAATACAAAAATTAGCCAGGCGTGGTGGCGCGCACCTGTAATCCCAGCTACTCAGGAGGCTGAGGCAGGAGAATTGTTTGAACCCAGGAGGTGAAGGTTGCAGTGAGCAGAGATCGCAGCATTGCCCTACAGCCTGGGCAACAAGAGTGAAACTCTGTCTCAAAAAAAAAAAAAAAGTTTAAAAAAGCGATATTTCTTCACAGCTTGGACCTTGCAATACTAAACATATTGCAAAATACAGAATGAGATTCAGAGAGAAAAGAAACAGCAATATCACTAAAGGTGGACCTCTGAAGAATAATGGAAAGTGATAGGGCTATTTAGCATTGAGAGAAAAATATCACTTAGTAACTCTCCTTAAACATACAGAAGTTTAATATGATATGTAAAATCACTATTCTCTTTTCCATTGAGAATAAAAAATATTGCCGTTAAATTCAGCATGAACTATTTACTTAATGTGAAAGCCTGTTTTGCTAAAAATAGAGCAGGTTAGTAGAAGAGGTATTAGAAGTAGTCTTTTAGGGCTCTAAGAATATAATAGATAACTATCTTCCCAAGATGAATTAGGCTTAGTGCTACATAGGCAGTAGAATAAATTTGAGGCCATCTGACGCTCAATATTTAGTAATTTGCATTCTGCCAAAGTACCAAATTGGCTTACTCCTCAGATCTATTATATTGAAAATCTGATATTTTATATAATTAAGAGAAATTCTTGAAAAATTAAAGCATTTTAAATAAGCCACTTGGCTTTAAGATTCTACCAAATCCTGCGTTAGTTGAAATAACTCCTACTGAAGAAGATAAAATAATGGTTTCCTTTTACTGTCTTTTACATTCAGTAATAATGGCTTGTAATTATAGAGCACCTCTCTTCCGTGGAGCTTAATGTGTTTTGCAGACATTGCTCATTAATCCTTTTCCCTTACTTTTAAGGTAGGTATCACAGTCCTCATTATACAGATGGAGAACCCGAGGCACAGAGAAGTTAATTGATTTGCCCAAGGTCACACAGCAAGAAAGTGACAAGGCTATGACTTCTGATTCACCATCTAATGCCTTGCACACCAGGTCGTTCAGCTTTTCCCATTGGGGAGAAGTAATCCATTCATTTTTATCAAAGTTCAACTCCAGGCTGCTAAATTCCTGGGGGCAGAGTTGCATACTTCAATTTCACACCACAGCATTGGCACCTTGTGAATTCACACAGAGAAGCTCTCATACTGAGCTGCAAGGTTACTAATAAAAATAGAGAAGAAAAGAAGTCTAAAAATGGCTTTCTGAGATGTCTGAGTTTGCACTGCTAACAACACATGCTATCCTTCTCCAACAACCAACAGCATAAAACCCTGCAAACTTCAGATATCAAATTCTAATGATCGTAAATGTTTTGAAAACACTTTACCAGTGATAAAACAAAAGCCCTTAACTAGGTCACAGTAAAAGTGTTTTACAGATGTGCTTCATTTATTTATGTGTGTGTTTTTTAATTGATTTGTCTAAGACACACAAACGCCTCTATCTGGTCTTCAGAAAACATTCATAAATAAGCACCCTCATCCAAACAAGACAACCAGCACTTAAAATGTTATCACTTCAAAACAACAGCAAAACATTATGTGAAACCACTGTCTAATGGGCAAAATAAATCGCTGATTGTGTAAAACCTGAAGGAAGATATTCCAGACGCAAAGGTTGTCTGATTATTTCATATCCCAATATTCTATGTAAGTGAGCAGCACAGAATACCATTTTCTTGCTGGCTGAAGATGCAATAACAACATTCAGGAGCCCATTTGTCCTGCTTAATTCAAAATGGGAGAAATTCAGAGAAGTGCCAAAATGTAGCTTTCTTCATTCCACGTAAGCCTTCAAAGATTATTGTCATTAATGATTTTTCCTCTGAAGCATAACCAAGCAAGTGCTATAGAATTCTTAGCTGACTTAATGTTCTGTAGATGCTGTGAAGTGTTAGTGAAAGAGAAACAAAAACAAAAATCCTTTCCCATGAAATGATACTGGGATTTAATTAGTGAATTGCCTCCTTCAGTGCAGTTCTCTTAGATTTCCAGTGGGTTAAAACTTCAGTTTACTTTTGCAGGCACTAAAAATCAATCATCACCAGCTTGTAAAGGTGTGGTATTGTTACCAGAAAGGGGTCTGGATCCAGACACCAAGAGACGCTTCTTGGATCTCATGCAAAAAATAATTTGAGAAGAATCCATAAAGTAAATTGAAAGCAAGTTTATTAACAAAGTAAAGATATAAAGAATAGCTACTCCATAGGTAGAGCAGCCCCAGGGGGCTGTTGGTTGCTATTTTCATGGTTATTTCTTGATTATATGTTAAACAAGGAGTAGATTATTCATGAGGAATGGTGGGAAATTATTCATGAGGAAATGGGTGGGTAATTCCCAGAACTGAGGGTTCCTCTCCTTTTTAGACCATATAGGGTAACTTCCAGTCATTGCCATGGCATCTGTAAACTGTCATAGCACTGGTGGGAGTGTCTCTTAGCATGCTAATGCATTATAATTAATGTATAATGAGCAGTGAAGGCAAACAGAGGTCACTCTTGTTGCTATCTTGGTTTTGGTTCGTTTTCTTTACTGCATCCTATTTTATCAGCCAGGTCTTTATGATCTGTATCTTGTGCCAACCTCTGATCTCATCCCGTGACTTAGAATGACTTAACCCCCTGGGAATGGACCCCAGTAGGTCTCAGCTTTGTTTTCCCCAGCCCCTATTCAAGATGGAGTTGCTGTGGCTCAAAGGCCTCTGACAGTATAGCCAAAAAAATAAATTATGCCTAAACGTTCTGAGACATATATGGTCATATCACTCTTGGGCTAGGATCCTCTTCACACTCACTGTTAGGTCAACGATGTTTATTCCTTGTCTGTTAGGCAAAAGATAAAAAATAAGCAAAATATTGTCTCAAAAATTTCTGCCTTTAGAAAGTAAACTCAGTGAAGGTGAGATTTGATGTCTTTCTGTTCACTGTTGAATTACAAAATCCTACAACAAGCATTTCAGTAAACATTTGTAAACTGAATAAATAAAAAGAAAAGAATCAATTGTTAAAAACAAAATCATACTAATATCTATGTGCACATATTACAGAATGATATTTTATATTTTTACAACTGAAATATGTCATGTTTATGAGGTTTTTTTTTTAAGAAAGGTGTCTTCAAACTTGTGCTAGCTTGCTGTTTAATGTTTCTAGGTGTCATAGTGGTTAAGAGTGCTGGGTTTTATTCACAGTTCTAAAACTTAATAGCCGTGTAACTTGCACAGGTTATTTGACCTTGTCTGTGCTTCCATTTCTTCTTGTCTAAAATTGGAATAATAATGCCTATCTCCTACAGTTATTATAAGGATTAAGTGAGTTAACATATATGGAAATCACATAAGAATCCTTGAAAAATATTAAATCCTATGTAAGTGTTGACTATTATTAATTAATAATTGAAATCTTCTGTTGACATGCTACTTCAAATGATGTTATCAAGTTGGAATTAGATCTCACCATTGCTAACAATTTTTGTCTCCATAACAGGTATGAAGGGAACTTGTGATCCTCTCTCCTTTAAAGCTTCTGGTCTCTCCTCTCCCCCTAACCAATAACAGCAAGCAACAAATTTCACAATGCATACAAAATAGCCTAATATTGTAAATCATAAATCATGAGTAAAATCTGGATCTTATGCAAAATATCTCTGTGCAAAGTCACTAGATCTTATGATTTCCTGAGAATTTAGATCATTGCTTATTTGAAAAGAAAAATTAGGCCTGAGCTAGAGAATACATCAACTAAGATTCTCAGCAAACACATATATCAAAGTAACCTTCAGAATGTGTACTCATCAGCACTTGCATATATCTTCTTGGTTATGGCTGTTGCTATTGGGTCATGGAAAAGACTTCAGTCTAGAACTCATATAGTTTACAAATGTCTCCCAGAAAGAGGCATTTACATGCTTAATGATTTATTTTTTCTTGCAACATCAGACTAAATTGGTTGCCCAGAGAAGCCTCTGGCTTTGGACCTCCCAACCAGCTCACAGGATTAGAGCCATGGGATCAGAAGAAATGTCAGGGCAGGTGCAATATTTCAGACTTTAAAAATCATCAATATCTGTATTTGTAACACATACCACAAAGGAAAAGCTAAACAAAATGAAAGAAATGAAAGGGAAGGCAAGGAAATGCAAGGAAATGAAGACTAACTAAAGTGACTATAGCAGGGAAATGACATATTTACCTGTCTCATAATGATGAAAGTACAATAGGAATTGTCATTCAGATTTATTCTAAATCCTCACCTGTACTTTGCTAGCTGGTAATAAAACACCTTCTCATGATAAAAATTGATGACTGCCCAATACCCTCACAATCTCCCTACCAAGAATTTTTTCCTAATCCCGAAACTAAAGCTGTTATCCAGAAATACATACTCATAGTTGTTCTGGAATCTTCTATTTCCACTACCCTTCGCAGGGAATCCAAGAGATAATTCCATAAACTCTACCTATAAAATATATTCTTTTTTTTTTTCTCTTGAGATGGAGTCTCAATCTGTCACCCAGGCTGGAGTGCAGTGGCACAATCTCGGCTCACTGCATCCTCCGCCTTCTGGGCTCAAGCAATTCTCCTGCCTCAGCCTCCCTAGTAGCTGAGACTACAGGCAAATGCCACCATGCCTGGCTAATTTTTGTATTTTTAGTAGAGATTGGGTTTCACCATGTTGACCAGGTTGGTCTCAAACTCCTGACCTCAAGTGATCTGCCAGCCTTGGCCTCCCAAAGTGCTGGGATTACAGATGTGAGCCACTGCACTGGCCTTATAAAATATATTCTAAATAGATCACCTCTCACCATCTTCACTGCTATCTCCCTCGCTTATACTCTATTGCAATAACCTCCTAACTAGTCTCTCTGTTTCTCTTCTTGCCTACCTATAATCGATTCTACTTAGCTACCAAAAGTGACTCTCCACCTATTAAAACATGCCCAATGGCTTATGTTCACATTTAAAATAAACCTGTAACTTCCATTTCTAGAGTAGAAAGCCCAAGATGGCCTGACCCTGCCTACCTTTCACAATTACCACTACTATACTCTGCATCAACTGTACTGACTTTTTCTTTTCTTCGAATACTCTGAGCTTATTCCTATTCCAGGCCTTTAGAATTTGTTGTTTCTTCAACCTGAAATATTATTTTCCCTAAAATCTTCACACAACCTCATCATTCCAGGCTCATATCAAATGTTACCTCTTCATATGCCTTCTGACATTATCCACACTAAACTAATCTCTACACACATTACGCCCTTATTCTGATTTATTTTCATCACTACTCTTTTATATATTTGTTTATGTTTTTAATATTATTTCCCTTGACTATAGGTTAGATTTATTTCTAGCTTATTCACTATTTTTAGGTCATCAACAAATAGCAGATTCTTACTAAATATTTGTTGAAAGTGAAAGTAGATGAACGAATGAGTATAAAAAGTCAAGAATCAAGAAAAGTTAGAAATATATTAAGGATCAACAAGTCCAAATCTCTGTTTCAAGAGATGGGGCAATAAAATGATATGCCCCAAACAACAAAAGTAGTTCATATTCTACATGTGTTTACAATTCTGGTGTTGGCACTCAGGTTATTATCATTTCTATTAGCCAACGCTGTCTCCCAAAATCATAAATATTGTGATGGAACCACAAAAGTCTAACAAGTATATTACACAATTGACATAAAAAGATTAAAAAAACTAATTCTAAATTAATTAATTATGTTTTCAAAAATTAACCTGCCTTGGAATCCGCATTAAATCCCGAAACATCTGTATACTCCTCATTCTTGTAATTCTCACAGTAATCTTTCTCTGAATCAGAACCTGTCTGTTTTTTGAAAGCCTGAAGATATTCTGATTAAAAAATAAAAAAAAGTAAAAATAGTATGTCACATTAAGATCATTTTTATGGTTAAAATTAAAAGCAAGAAAGGGGGATAGAAAGTACCTGAGAATGGAGTACATGGCCATAAGCAAAAGCCTCAAAGAGTTGTTCGTGAAAAAAGAAGTTTTTGATGTTTTCAGTTATTTTAAATAAAAGAATAAATTTAATATTGGTTGTTATTACTACCATGGAGTATAACCTTTATCATTTAAAAATATTCTAAAGACTTTTCTCATATTTTACTATAAAAAGCATACTGTTAAATTCAGGAAGATCTATGTTCATCAAGTTAATGATTAAACACTGGTAAATTTCCCCTTTTATTCTAATTCATTTGAAGTTTGCATTGTCAAGAATCACTTTTTAAAAATATATTGTGTAGCATGTTTTAGATTTGTTTTGATAGCATCCTTTTCTTTCCTCCAAACACAGTCTCAGTCACTCTCCATCCAGTCATTTTCAAGTATTTTATATATACTTTATGAAACCTCGTAAAACATCTTAATGGCCCAGGACGGTAAAAATGTGAGGTTGAAATGTGATATGGGTTATGATGTTTATAAAATACAGTTAAAGATTAATCTGGCAGCCTCAAATGTCTTTTTAAAAAATGGCAGTCTGCTGCTGAAATAAACACGCACACAATTTGAGGCAAAAACTTTTTTGTTTTAACTTTTTTTTTAACTACACAAGCTATTTACCAAAAAAAAAATACTTCATTCTGTGTTCTGTCTTACATTATATTCAGTATGCATCATGATGATCTCCCAGGGGACTTTTCAGGATTACTCATTCTTTGAATAATGGCTTGTATGTGGGCTTCAAAGAAATGCAGTAGGAGTGGGAAGAAAAACATTTGCATTTCCAAAGAAATGTTCTGAACTTCCCAGGGGACAGGGGACACTGAGAAAAGATTTTGTTGAACTGAGGGACACCTGACAGCCACTTAAGTGGCTCAGTGCATTCACAGTAAAAACTATTTTGCCTTCTCCCCATACCCTGGTTTTATGCATGAGAACAACTTGGTATTCAAATAATGCATAATCTCACTTACAGCACAGGGAATTCATTAATGGGTAATGCAGAGGAAAAGTGGGACAAGGTCATCCACAGAAAAAAGCAAAGCGCTCCCTTGTGGCAGGATAAGGTTTTATACAGTCTGATCTGAATTGAAAGACTTTGAGCCCCTTCTCTGCTTAGAGACAGTTTTGCTTTTCAACAGGAGCTGCTGAAGAAATGTAGAGTTTTGAAAAAAAGAAAATATGTTTTGATCAGCATTAAATTCAGGGCACTACTCTTCTGCTACTCGCTAATCATGAGTCTGACATTACCTTTCTTGGCCAAAGAAAAGTGGGGTCAATTCAATGGAAAACAAATGGCTTGAGCATGAAGCCACAATGCACTTGAGTCAGCTTTGTAAGGAAAAACTCTACCTTTATTTTCACTTAAGGGTTTGCAAAAATTTAAATATGAACCTAATGGCATGAGCATATAATGCACTATCCTCTTATACATAAATCTTGAAATTACATAGATTGTAGAACCATTAGAATTTTTTTCGTATAAAGTCTTTTATATTTTATACTCTATATTAATGCATTCATGTTTAATACTAAATATATTAATATATTTAATATATGAAATAATTTTATATTTTATAATGAAGTCTATAAATAAGTCTTTAGTAAGTCTTATAATCCTCAATATTTTCATTTAATATCAAAGTCACACAGGTAACAGATGACATCTTTTGCAAAATCTTTTTTTTTTAAATCATAGATATAGTTTTCTACTCTTACAGAATTTTCCCCTAAATGAACATATAAGTGTTCCTTGTAAAGGGTACGCATTCTGATCACTGGTAACTTTGCCCCTTGGTTCACTGACTGTATCTCCTCATTAGCATACAGATATTTAAATTTTCTCTAAATTGTCAAGAACTATAATCCACTCAGTCAGTTACTCATTGACTTTAATGATGAGTTTAACAACTTGTTGAGTTCCTGCTATGTGCCAAATACTGCATTCAGTGTGGGAAATTCAGCATAAATAAGGCAGATACTGAAACATTGTGGGGATTTTACAAGAGGATGTGTTAGTATTTTTAAGAGAGGATTCAGTTGGCATTTTAAAAGATGGTTGGCCTACTCTATGAAGATGGGTGTGAAACAAATACAGAGGCTTCAAAACCAGAGAAAAGCACTTTCTCCCCATTAGGGTAGATGTGATGGTTTTGCTTAGACTAGTGGCAGTGGAGGTAAAGTCTAGTGAATGGTCAGAGGGAAAGGACACAACTGGATAGAGAGAGAAGGAGATGTCATATTTCTTGCTACCAAGATCTCCGGGGGGCAGTTTATTTACTAAGATAGGTTAACTGGAGAAAAAATTTGTGGGGAACTACGTCTTCAATTCTGAACATGTCAAGATTTTGTTATTTCTTTGGCAAAAGAAAAAAAATCCGTTTAAAAAAGCACACACTAGGCTGGGCACGGTGGCTCACACCTATAATCCCAGCACTTTGGGAGGCTGAGGCCAGCGGATCACTTGAGGTCAAGAGATTGAGACCATCCTGGCCAACATGGTGAAACCCTGTCTCTACTAAAAACACAAAAATTAGCTGGGCTTGGTGGTGCATGCCTGTAGTCCCTGCTATTCGGGAGGCTGAGGAAGGAGAATCACTTGAACCCTGGAGGCAGAGGTTGCACTGAGCCTAGATTGCACCACTGCACTCCAGCCTGGTGACAAAGCAAGACTCCGTCTCAAACACACACACACACACACACACACACACACACACACACACACACGACACATGATTTTGGGGGTCAATGTGAAGGACTGCTCTGGATATACATTTTTTGTGATCCATTGAGATTTATATTATACCAGAACCACTGAGATTTATTTTATACTGGAAATTATGAAAATGAGTAAGGCATCTTAGAAAGAATGATTAAAATGACAATATAGCCATGATAAAGGCAAGTCTAGAAGAAGTCAAAATATAAGAATCATATAAAAAAGATAAAACCAAAAAGTAGAAACCAAAACAGTAGCCAAAAGGTGGAAACAAGAAAAGTGTGATATTGTTTATTCCATAAAGAAATGCTTTAATGAAAGAGTGTCTTGTATTGTCCAATAATTCAAATAACCTAACAAAAAGTAAAGTGAAATAAAAAAATAATTAATCCTGTGTTTAAATAAACAAGGAGATCTGAAAGAATAAAGTTTCCCCTTTATAAATTGATGCACAGCAGGGATAACAGCCTCTGAAGAAACAGTTTCAAAGAGATTAAACTGGATAGGGGATTTATAGGGATTTTGCTGATGAAGCCATGCTTGGGACAAGTGGTAGTGATTCCGGGAAAAGAAACTGCCAGGTTTTCAGTATCCTGACATTCAAGTTTTCAGCAAAATAGAACAGTTGTTGATTTGAGCAAAACGAAAGCACCTCTTCAGTTTCCTTGAGAAAGGCACAAGTTGTTACTTCTGGTAATTTTGCTTTTACTTAGAGTGGACTGGAATTTTCCATCTGGGATAAATGGGGCCTGCAAAAATGTTCTAAACATGGAAAGAGTCAAGTAAGTTGAGGAAAATACAGGTTTTAAGCTAAAATACACTTATTAAATATATCAACATGGGTGTCATTGATGACTTTAACAGAGATATATAAATTGCAATATGTTCAGAAGTTAATTACAGAAGATAAACTTTTATTAGGACTTTGGAAAGTTCTTCTGAGAAAGTTAATACTAAATAAAAGGCAAGAGGAAGGGAAAAGTAGAGCTGTGTGTGGAATAGATGGACGACTGTATATGGATGAATGATTTCTGTTTTACTTGTTTTTGTTAATTTATTACTAATAGTATTAATTTTAATGTGTAATTAATTTGTTATTTATTAATTTTATTTATCTATTGACTGATGTGATAAATCAGAATGTGTGTCAATGAAAAGATACAGTAGAGGGGAAAATGTTGAACATGGATGAGAGTTAGAGAATAACCAACAGTACAAGGTTTTAATATGTGAGAAGGAAAAGAAGTGAAACAAAGGTAATGCACAAGACTTTGAAGGAACACTTTTGTCTAATTGTATCAGGATAGAAGGATAATCACAGATGAAAAATGATTCTAAATTGGCATCAAGGAGACTAAGAAATGGTCATTTGATGACTTCCATTTTTGTCTACGATGAAAACAAAACTCTTCTGACAAGAGAGTGGGAAGAGACGTGAGATATATGAGAAGGGTGAAAATGTTTTTGTATTGTTTTTCAGGGGAGTGGAAGAAAAAGCTGTCAAGAGAAAGAGTAAAATTGATTGCAAATAATGAAAGCCCGATAAATATTAATCACCATTCACTACTATACACCCAAATGCTCAGAGAAGAAGGTGTAATCTTTCCCAACTTTAAAAATCAAATGCACAGAAACATTGAAGTGAATATCTAAAACTGGAGCAGTAGCTCTAAAGGATAGATAAAATTTTAAAAATGAAAATAAACATTATTGGGAAAACATTAAAAAGTAGAATTTTCTCAGACTCACTTAAATCATCGGCCCACCTGACATAATTTTACATATGATTTACAAATCCAGATCAGTTATCAGCAAACTAGAGCTCATGGGCTAAATCTGGCCTGTCAGCAACATTTGTAAATAAGGTTTTACTGGAACACATCCATGTCTATTCATTCACATATTGTCCATGGCAACTTTTGCAATACAATGCTGAAACTGAACAATTACAACAAAAATTATATGGGCCACAGAGCCTAAAATATTTACTATCTGGAAATAGAGACAAAACGTTTTCTGATAAACTGTCTAAATTAAAACAGTGAGAATAATAAATTTATAGAATATTTTAGATACGTAATTAATTCTTCACATAAACTCTTGTAATTCATTCATTCAGCATATATTTTTAAGCCAAATTGAAGTGTCAGGCACTTTTTCAGACACTGAATAGTTAACAGTGAACAGGACAGGCAAAGTGTCTGTACTTAACAAGTTTACATTTTGGTAGAAAGAGGAAAACTCAGTAAATATACCAGATAATTAGCCATGAATACATGCTAAACAGAAAATTAAAAACTAATAACAGAGAGAAGTGACCGGTTAGTTACTTTAGTTTGGGTTTCAGGGAGACCTCCCCAGCAGAGGAGATGAAAGTTCAGGGGCTCAGTGGGCTGGGAGCACCTTCCAGGCAGAGGGGCCAGCTAGAGCAAAGGCCCTGAAACTAAAACAAGCTTGGTAGATTCAAGAAACAGAAAGCAGATCTGTTCCTTGGAATTACCAGACAAGGAGCTCAGTGGGCTGGGAGCACCTTCCAGGCAGAGGGGCCAGCTAGAGCAAAGGCCCTGAAGCTAAAACAAGCTTCGTAGATTCAAGAAACAGAAAGCAGATCTGTTCCTTGGAATTACCAGACAAATGCGAGAGTAGCTGTAGAGGAGTTTAGTCAGATAGATAAAAGTTAATTCATGTAGTAATTAGTATATCAGGATAGCCGACAGAATTTTAATTCAGTTAAAATGGAAAGCCACTGGATTAAAGTAAGCAAGCAAAGTGGTCTGATTGAATTTGAGGTTATTTGCTGGGGCTGCTATGTAGAGTTGTAGGGGGTTAGGTGGAGAACAGACTGCTGGTGCCAAGAGGAGAAGCAGAGAGAAGTTAGAAAGCTATTACAATTTCTGAGGCTATAGTTGAGTTTGGTGCAGAATAAGTGTTTTGTAGAGATGGAGAAAATTGAACCACTTCGAGATTTGTTTTTAAGACATAGCGGTAATAGGATTTCCTGATGAAATGAAGTAGGGATGAGAACTATACACAAATAATAACATATGGTTTTGACATGAGCAATTTAGAAATCAGGGGTTTTCTGTTAATAATATTGAGCCAGAAAAGCCTGCTTTATATCATAGTAGGGGAGTTGCATAAGATATTTGTTATCCATCTGCAGTTCCAAAGAGATCTGTGTCAGAGACATAGATTGTGATTGTATTGGAAGATGTGGGGCTAGATGAGATAAAATCAAATTTATACTAGGATGGAAAATAGAAGGAGCACCAGAATGACACATACAACATTTAAGGATCAAAAGAAAAAAACTCAGTACAAAAATTGGGGTCAAAGTGCAAGAAATATAACAGTTTAAATTGTGAATTTGGTGTGAAGAAAGCCAGGAGAATAAAGATTTTTTAAAAAGAAAAGAGTTAGCTGTTTCTAATGCTCATGGTAGATTAAGAATAAAAACCAAGAATTAACTTTTGAATTTGGAAACATAGAGTTCTTTGATTTTGATAGAATGGAAGGGTGATTATAGAAGATTAAGAAGAGGATGTGAAATGAGGACATGGATATAATTTCTATAGTTAACTTTTTTATGAACTTTTTTTTTTAAATACAGGAGTACAAAGGTATATAGTGGTAGGCAAAGAAGGGATCTAGTATGAAAGGACATTGTTCATATAGGAAATTTTACCGTATGTTGTATTCCATATGAGAATAACTCAGTAAAGAGGAATTAAAATATTGATAATGGGGATAATTGAAGGAGGCTGTGCTGTATGGCAGCAGAGAAGGAATTGAGCTAAAATTATATCTAGGATGGTTCTTACACTGTAAAAAGAAGGAATGGAAGATCATGAATAAGGATGGTCATAGGTTGATGCATTTTTGGTAGGCATATAAAGTAGTTCATATCTGATTACTTTTGTTTTCACCATGATAGATAAAATTGTGTCAATTGAGATTAGGAGGTAGGATTGAAACCATATTATTTCCTGGCCTTTCAGCACAATTCTTCCCTTTCTCAATGCTCTTTTCTGTATTGCAGGTGTTATAACCCCAGAAATGTCATTTTCCAGCATCTTTGCCATCACAGTTTTGGTATGTTTTGGCAGTGGGAGATCCCCAATACTGGTGACAAGAGCAGGCAGCAGTAGAAAAGAAGTAGAGCTTTTGAAGGCACAAAATATAAGCTTGGGTTCCTTTGGCAACTGCACCAGACAAATTTCTGCTCCTTCAGGAGTATAGCAGTTTCCCATTGACTACCCTCCCTTTTTAAGTATTTCAGTTCTTCCTACAATGTTGTAACCTAGTCCCTCACAAAAAAAAAAAAAAAAAAAAAAAAAAAATCCCTTCTGCCCGAAATACTTGAGAGTGGTAGCTTCTGTTTTGTCACCCAAATCCTGAGAGATACAATAATGTATGAAGTCTGAGGAAGAGAAGCAAGTGTGATATAGTCATATTCAGAAGCCTGATATGCAATGCATATAAAATCTAGCCTGTTATGTTTTAAATAAGACAAATTTGAGAAATAAGAACTCAAATTACTTGCCCATTTCGTATTGCTTCTGTGGTAGTGTATAGTTTGTTAAGCAACTCCACAAAATCACTCGTGTCGTGCTGCATAATTTAAAATCCTCAGTGGATGTTTCAATGTACCTTTGAAACTGAGCAACAATGTTGTCCAATGACAATTTGAGTCCTGCCAGTGGAAAAAATTCTTACTTCTTAACTCCTTCGACCATTTTATTCTTTAAGCAAATGTCTTTTTTTTTTGAGACAGGGTCTCCCTCTGTCACCCAGGCTAGACTCTGCAGTGGTGTGATCTCAGTTCGCTCACTGCAGCCTCTGCCTCCCAGGCTCAAGTGATTGAGTAGCTGGAATTACAGGTGTGCGCCACCATTTCCAGCTAATTTTGTATTTTTAGTAGAGGCAGGGTTTCACCATGTTGGCCAGGCTTGTCTTGAACTCCTGGCCTCAAGTGATCCGCCCACCTCAGCCTCCCAAAGTGCTGGAAATATTTCTTAATAAACTCTTAAATATACCATTCTACTATAATAAGATTTCCCTATAGGTCTAAAGATTTGTTTTATGACTGCTTAGAAAAAAAAATTGGATTTCTTTCTTGAATAAAGACCCTTAAATATTTCAAGATACCTGTTATGGAGATACTTTATTTTTTTCATCTTTAATACAAAATTACCCTAGATCTTTCCTTGCATACAATGGTATTGAGTCTACTCAATTAGTCTTCTGACTGCTTGCTTGCTCAAGCCATTAATCTCTCCCTCTCTTTTTATTCTTCTTCTCTACCTTATTTTATTTCTGTAATTCTCTAGCTTCACATTCTGTTGTCCACCTTAGGACTTATTACGGGCTGAATTTTGTCCATCCAAAATTCATGTTAAAGCCGTACCTCCTAGTACCAGTAGGCCTGTCATCTCGACCTCATCAGGTTAGTTAATATCTCTCTTAAAGTCTGAAAGCTAGAATTATTTAAGTACAGCATGAGCAGCCTAGAAAATGCTGAGAAAATTACTTTTCTTGCATCTAAGTTTATATCAACCTTTATTGCAAACTTAACAGCATTGATAAATATTTCAATGACAGTTAATTAAAATGTCCAAGTCTGTTTTAGTTTTTTGTTTTGTTTTTTTTTTTTGCATCACATGTGGTGTTTTGGTTGTATCCTCTCTCCTTTATATTAGAAATTCAGTTTTGAGACTTAAATGTAAGGTTTTACATTCATTCTTATTTAATATTACTTTATTGCATTTGGCTTCTTCCCAGGTTGGATACCTCTTCAGTCACGTAGCCTATTCCCTACATTGCCATATCTAAATACATAAATCAGTAGATTTTATCAGCATGGAATTATTACCATAATATAGTCAATATAGTCAATATCTAAAATATTTATGGATGGTTACCTTCAGATGACATCAGGGACTTAAAATCTGTATTTCTCAAAACACCAGTGCAGATTCAGAGAAGAAGGTGGAGCAAGATGGCAGAATAATTGTCCCTCCAATAAGGACATCAAGTTAACGACTACCTACACAGAAAAACAGCTTCATAAGAACGAAAATCAGGTGAGCATTCGTAGTTCTTGGTTTTAACTACATATTGCTGAAACACTGAAGAGATTAAAAAAAAAAACAGTTTTGAATTCTCAGCACCACTCCTCTCTCACCTCTTCCTCTGCAGGTGGGACATGGTGTGGAGAGCATTTCTGGCACTGGGAGAGGGAGAGCAAAACAATTGTGAGGCATTGAACTTACCGCTGTCCTGTTAGAGCAGAAAGAAAAACCAGACCAAACATAGCTGATGTCCGCACGCACAGGAAACATTTAAAACAGCCCTAGTCAGAGAGACTTTGCTAATCCCATTGGTCTGAATTTGAGTGCCTGCAAACCCAGAGCCAAAGTGCTTCTAGTCTCTAAGTAAACTTGAAACTTGCAACAATTCTTAGGTAAGTCTAGACCCAGAAACAGTGGACTCGGGGGACACATGACATACTGAGACACCAGCTGGGGCAGCCAAGGAAGTGCTGGCATCACCCTTCCCCTAACCCCAGACTGCAGAGTCTATGGCTCCAAAATTGACCCTTTCTTTACACTTAAAGAGAGGAGAGGGAAGACTGGAGAGAACTTTGTCTTGCATCTTGGATACCAGCTAACCCACAGCAAACAGGGCACTGATCAGTCATGAGGCCCCTGTTATAGGCCCTAGCTGCCAGATGACATTTCCAAACACACCCTGGGTGAGAAGGGAATCCACTGCCTTGAAAGAAAAGATCCAGTCCTGGAAACATTCATCACCTGCTAATAGAAGAGCCCTTGGGCCCTGAATAACCAGCAGTAATACCCAGGTACCACAAGGACCTTGGTAAGCCTCTAAGACTTGCTCGCTTCAAGTGAGACTCAGCACATTCCCAGCTGTGCTTGCTATGGGACAAAACTCCTTCTGCTTGAGAAAAGCAGAGGGAAAAGTAAAGGAGACTTTGTCTTGTACCTTAGGTACCAACACAATCACAGGAAGGTAGAGCACTCACCAGGCTCTTGGGGTACCCGACTCCAGGACTCAACTCTTAGACGGCATTTCTGGACCTGCCCTGGGCCAGAGGAAAACCCACAGGCCTGAAGGGTGAGTCCCAGGCCAGGCAGCATTTACCACCAGCTGACATAAGAGACCTTGGGCCTTAAAGAAACAGTGGTGGTAGTCTGGCCATAGTCCTCATGGCCATGAGTGTCAGTGGCTATGGCGTGATGCTCCCATGCCTTTGGAAAAGGGAGGGAAGAGTGGTTTTTTTGTTTGTTTGTTTGTTTGTTTTTGTGGTTTGAGTGCAGCTCAGTCACAATACAACAGAATACCAGTGAAATGGTTTGGCTCTGTGTCCCCACCTAAATGTCATCTCAAATTATATTCCCCATATGTTGAGGGAGGAGCCTGTTAGGAGGTGATTGGTTTATGGGGATGGTTTCCCTCATGCTTTTCTCATGATGTGAGTGAGTTCTCACGAGATCTGATGGTTTAAAAGTGTTTGGAAGTTATCCCCTTGCTCTCACTCTCTCCCTTGCCACCATGTAAGATGTGCCTTGTTTCCTCTTCACCTTCCACCATGATTGTAAGTTTCCTGAAGCCTCCCCAGCCATGCAGAACTGTGAGTCATTTAATGCTCTTTTCTTTATAAATGACTCAGTCTCAAATAGTTCTTTATAGCAGTGTGAAAATGGCCTAACACAATCAGGTAGACGTGTAAGGTTTATGGCTCTATTCCCTGACTCCTGGAAGGCACTCTGGACCCACCTGGGGCCTTGACAACCTTGCTGCCCTCAAGGGAAAGACACAGGCCTGGCTCGCTTTGCCACCTGCTGATTGCATAACGCTATGGCCTTGAACAAACATAGGCAGTAGCCAGGGAGTGGTTACAGCAGGCCTTGGGCAAGACCCAGAACTGTGCTGGCTTCAGGTCTGATCCAGCACAGTCATAGTGGTGAAAAGGAGCTTCAATATGTCTGGCAGCAGACTTTTTAATGAAAACCTTACAGGTCAGGAGAGAATAATGTAACATATTTAAAGTACTGAAGGAAAAAAATTACCCTAGAGTACCATATTTGGCAAAAATATCCTTTAAACATGAAGAAGAAATAAAGACTTTCCCAGACAAACAAAAGCTGAAGGATTTTATGAATACCAGACTCATCCTAAAGAAATGCTAAATGGACTACTTCGATGAGAAAGAAAAAGATATTAATGAGCAATAAATAATACCCTGAAGGTATAAAACTTACTGGTAATAGTACACAGAAAAACACATAACATTATAACCCTGTAACTGTGGTATTACTTTCTACTTAGGATAACTTTCATCCTAAGTAGAAAGGTGAAACGATGATCCAATCAAAAATAATAACTAAAGCAACGTTTCAAGACATAGTATAATAAGATATAAATAGAAACAACATAAAGTTAAGAAGCAGAGGGACAAAGTTAAGGCAAGCTTTTATTAGTTTTCCTTTGGCTTATTTGTTTAGGCAAATAGTGTTGTTATTATCAGGTTAAAATAATAGTTTAAAAGATAGTATTTGCAAGCTTTATGGTAACCTCAAACCAAAAAACATACAATGAATACACAAAAAATTAAAAGCAAGAAACTAAATCATATCAGAGAAAATCACCTTCACTGAAGGAAGAGAAGAATGAAAGAAAGAAGGAAGAGAAAACTACAAAATAACCCGAAAACAAATAACAAAAAAGGTCAGGTTTAAGTCATTACTTATCAATAATAACATTGATTGGAAATGGATTAAACTGATTAATAAAAAGACATAGACTGGCTGAATGGATGAAAATACCAGACCCATTGATCTGTTGTCTACAAGGAACAGACTTCATCTATAAAGACACAAATAGACTGAAAATAAAGAGATGGCATAAGATATACCATACCACCGGAAATCAAAAAAGAGCAGGAGTCACTATACTTTGACAAGATAAATTCCAAGACAGAAACTATAAGAAAAGACAAAGAAGATTACCATAGAATGATGAAAGGGTCAATTCAGCAAGAGGATACAAAAATTTTAAATATATATATGTACCGCAAACTGGAGCATAATATAAATGAAATATTATTACAGCCAGCCAAAGAGAGAATTGCTTGAACCTGGGAGGTGGAGATTGCAGTGAGCTGAGATCACCCCATTGCACTCCAGCCTGGGTAACAGGCAAGACTCTGTCTCAAAACAAAACAAAACAAAAAAACCCTCAGACCCAATGGCTTCACTGCTGAATTCTACCAAACATTTAAAGAAGAACTAATAATACCAATCCTACTCAAACTATTCCACAAAACAGAGGAAAAGGGCATATTCCCAAACACATTCTATGAGGCAAGTATTACCCTGATAACGAAACCAAAGACACATCAAAAAAAAAGAATACTACAGGCCAATGTTGCTGATGAATACTGATGCAAAAATCCTCAACAAAATTCTAGCAAACTGAATTCAACAATACATTAGAAAGATCATTTATCATGGCCAAGTGGGGTTTATCCCTGAGATGCAAGGATGGTTCAATGTATGCAAATCAATACATGTGATACATTATCAGAATAAAGAATAAAAACCATATAATCATTTTAATTGATGCTGAAAAAGAATTTGATAAAATTCAACATCCCTTAATGTTAAAAACCCTCAGAAAACTTGGCATACAGGAAACATATTTTAAAATAATAAAGCCATATATGACAGATACACATCTAGTATTATACTAAATGAAGAAAAACTGAAAGATATTAGAGGAAAGACTTTCAGTTTTTCTTTGTCTTTTCTTATAGTTTCTCATCCTTGTTTGCAGGTGATATGGTCTTATATTTGAAAAATCCTGAAGACTCCACAAGAAAGCTATTAGAACTGCTAAACAAATTCAGTAAAGTTGCAGGATACAAAACCAAAATACAAAAATCAATAGCATTTCTATATGCCAACGGTGAACAATGTGAAAAGGAAATTTAAAAATCCCATTTACAATAGGCATACATAAAATTAAATATCTAGAAATTAACTTAACCAAGTAAGTGAGAGATCTTCATGACTTAAGCTATAAAACACTGATGAAAGAAATTTAAGAAGATAAGAAAAGGAAAAATATTCCAGGTTCATGGATTGAAAAATAGATATTGTTAAAATGTCCATCTACCCACAGCAATCTACAGATTCAATGCAATCTCTATCAAAATACCATGACATTCGTCACAGAAATGGAAAAAAACCCCATAAAATTTATATGAAAGTGCAAAAGACTCAGAATAGCCAGAGCTATTCTAAGTAAAGAGGAACAAAACTGGAAGAATCACATTGCCTAACTTTAAATTATACTACAGAGTTATAGTAATCAAAACAGTGTGGTACTGGCATAAAAACAGACAGACAATGGAACAGAACAGAGAAGTCAGAGACAAATCCATACACCTAAGGTGAACTCATTTTTGACAAAGGTTCCAAGAGCATACATTGGGGAAAGATAGTCTATTCAAGAAATGTTTCTGGGAAAATTGGATATCCATGTGCAGAAGAATAAAACTAGACCCCTATTTCTCACCATATACAAAAATAAAATAGAAATGGATTAAAGACTTAAATCTAAGAACTTAAACCATGAACACACTACAAAACATTGGGGAAAGTCTCCAGACATTGTTCTGTGCAAACATTTCTTGAACAATACCCCACAAGCATAGGCAACCAAAGCAAACATTGACAAATGGGATCACATCAAGTTAAAAAACTTCTGCGCAGCAAAGGAAACAATCAACAAAGTCAAGAGACAAACCACAGAATGGGAGAAAATATTTGCAAACTACCCATCTGACAAGAGATTAATAACCAGAATATATAAGGAGCTCAAACTACTCTATAGAAAAAAAAAACCAAAAACTAATAATCTGGTCAAAAGACAGTCAAAAGATTTGAATATACATTTATCAAAAGAAGACAAGTAGCAAACAGGCATATGTAAAGGTGATCACTATCATTGATCACCAGAAAAATGAAAATTAGGACTACAATGAGATATCTTCTCACTCCAGATAAAATGGCTTATATCCAAAAGATTGGCAATAATAAATCCTGGCAAGGATGTGGAGAAAGGGGAGCTCTGGTATGCTATTGAAGGGAATGTAAATTAGTACAACCACTATGGAGAACAGTTTGGGGGTATCTCAAAAAACTGAAAATAGAGCTACCATGTGATCCAGCAATCCCAATTGCTGGGTATATAACTAAAAGAAATAAAATCACCAGGTGTGGTGGCTCACACCTGTAATCCTAGCACTTTGGGAGGCCCAAGTGGGTGGATCACTTGAGGCCAGGAGTTGAAGACCAGCCTGGCCAACTTGTCAAAACCCAATCTCTACAAAAAAGAAAAAGAAAAAGAAAGAAAAGTAAAGGAAAAGGAAAGGAAAGGAAAGGATAGAAAAGAAGGAAGGAAGGAAGGAAGAAAGGAAGGAAGGAAAAGAAAAAGAAAGAAAGAAAGAGAAAATCAGCATATTGAAGACAGATCTGCACTCCCATGTTTGTGGCAGCACTATTCACAATAGCCAAGATTTGGAAGCAACTGAAGTTTCCATCAACAGATGAATGGATAAAGAAAATGGGGTACATATACAGAATGGAGTACTATTCAGCCATAAAAAAGAATGAGTTCTAGTCATTTGCAACAACATGAATGGAACAGGAGATTATTATGTTAAGTGAAATAAACCAGGCATAGAAAGACAAACGTCACACATTTTCACTTACATGTGGGGTCTAAAAACCAAAACAATTGAACTCATGGATATAGAGTAGAAGGATGGTTACCAAAACCTGGGAAGGGTAGTAGGGGACTGGATAAGAAGGTGGGGATGGTTAATGGGCACAAAATGATTAAGGGGATGGATACCCCATTCTTCAGGATGTGCTTATTTCACATTGCCTGCCTTTATCAAAATGTCTCATGTACCCTATAAATATATATACCTACTATGTAACCACAAATATAAATGAAAAATTTAGAAAATATATAAAAATTACTGCAAATATTTAGGATTATCAGAATTAACTAACATGCAGAATAGAAAACACAGAAGAGGGAGGCAAGTGGGGAAAAATATGGGCTGAAACCAGAGACAATAATACAAAAAATCACACAAACAAGGAAGGACACTGTACTAGTTTTCCAGGGCTGCCATAACAGAATGCTATAGGCTGAGTGACTGAAACAAGAAAAATTTATTTTCTTACAGTTCTGGAGCCTTGAATTCCAAGGAGCCAGCAAAGTCGATTTCCTCTGAGGCCTCTCTCTTTGGCTTGCAGATGGCCACCCTCTTGTGCTGCCTCTTCAAGTGGCCTGTCCCCTGTGCATGCATCCCTGGTGTCTCTCCGTTGTCTCTTCTTATTAGGATATCAGAGAGAGAGGTTTAGGTCCCACCCTAATGGCTTTATTTTAACATAATCACATCTTTAAAGGCCCTAGCTCAAAATTGGGTAACATTGTGCAGTATCAGGGTTTAAGGCTTTAATATATGAATTTTGAAGGGAAAAATTCAGCCCATAACAGGTATTTAGATTGACAACAAAATATAAAGCTAGAGAATTACTGAAATAGAAGAAGTGGGAGTAGAAGGGAGAGTGGAAAAAATATATATATGTGTGTTTGTGTGTGTGTGTGTGCGCACTCACATGTGTGTATGTGTGTGTATATATATACATGGTTTAAGCAAGCAAGCAGAGTGAGACTACTAATTATACTTAAGACATATATTGACATCCTTTTAGTTTTCATAATCTCTATACCATCATGCAGAAGCAGGCTTGCTACATTCCGAAGGCCAGGAAGCAGCTCTCTCCATATCTATCCCATGTTCTCTGTCTTAGATGAAACAGACACAGAAATCTTCTGGATTTCCCTATGAATTTTAAAAAGTTCTGAAAATTTTCTGAAGAAGTGATATTTTAGATTATTATTAATGACTGTACCTTCATAAAATACCTAAACTCACTCCTGATCCTCTTTCCATTACCAAAATTGGCAAATAATATTTGCCTTATCTAATTTAAAATTTCTTTAGCTTTTAACACCTTTTATATTTTTTAAAATGTATTTGTTTTCAGTATTTCTTCACTCTGCACACTCTAGTTATTTTTTTTTACCTCCTTCGACAGTTAACACTTCATTTCTTTTGATATTCCTTACAATTGGATCCCTGAAAGTGTCACCCTCAGACCTCATTCCTTGGGTATTTGCTTACAATTCCAAAATTTCATACTTCATTCCTTGTGATACAGACCTACAAAGTATGTAATTTCTCCTTAGAAGATCTCCAGCTAATTGCCTCAGTTGCACTTAAAATTCAATATATTCAAAACAACTCATTTTCTTTGTTGTTAACCTACAAATATCATCATGGATCTAATCTGCTCTTCTCCCTGTGTTACTTCTGATTGATGAGTTTTATCATAATACCTAGTGGCTGAGGAAAGTGGAGCCATTGAGAAACCATCATCGCCAGTGTTTTTCACTCCAAACTCCATGCTGCTAGGGTGTCTACAAGAACATATACATGACCTACCTTCTCCTTCCTCTCAGACATCACATCATATTATATTTCCTCTCTTTCATTGTCTTTTGTGTGTACTGGGCATCTGCTTGTTCTTAAAGTACACTAACCTTTTCTTAGTTTCAGCATATTTGATCTTGCCCTTGACCTTGACCTCTACTTACAACTTTATTGAACGAAATTTTTAGGTGACTTATTCCTTCCCAATATTCAGTTCTCAGCTCAAATGTCTCTCATCATTAAAGTCTCTGCTAAAATGTCACCTCTTCAAAGATTCCTTCTTCACTACAATATCCAAATTATGTTCCCTGATGTCATCACCATTTGTCACTCTCTCTACTATTGCCTGCTTTATTTTCTTCATGGAACTTATCATTTTTTAATATTATGGACTCGATTTGTCTTGTTCATTAAAATCTAATCCTACAACTCCATTTTTTCACATCCCTAAAATAGCTTTTCATCATCTGCAGAATGATAGCTGACATTTTTACCACGGTATATGAGCCCATTATTATCTGGCCCTACCTACCTTTCTGTCTAACTTTAGTTAATCGCCATTCTTCCTTATCTCAAACTCTTTCACTTTATAATACAATTATTCAAAATCAACTTCCCTGCTTGCCCCATAACACAATAATTCTGTTTACCTGTGTTAACCTCAATATTCTCATACATAAAGCAGTTGGGGGAGGTAGCAAAAATTGAAAGAAATAATTTCTTTATAAATTATCTTGGGGAATGTGATAATATGTGTATAGTGCTATATATAGTGACTATCACATAATAAACACTCAGTAAGAGCTAGCTGTGATTATTGTCACTACTTCATTCCTGTGAAATGCTGTTAGAGATAAAATTTACACAACTAATCTGGCGATTGTAACTTTCAAAGAGTTTATCACCTCAAAAAGCACAATTTTGTCATTGTTAGCACCCTACATTAAAATTTTCTCAACTTTATTATATTTGCGTGTCTGCTTCATAGTGACAAAGTGTCAAAAGCTTAAGTTGAAAATGTGACAAACATGATATTTCTATTAAAATATAACATTTCAAGCCAAATTGCATTCAACTTTACAATGTGTTTACTTACGTTTTCTTGCCATTATGAAGCTATTTGACTATGTAATCTCAAGAAATTATGTATAAGAACACTGAAATATGATTTATTCTTAAAATTTATTTATAGTACGTCACTACCATCCAACTCATATTAAAAATTTGACTATTTTAAATACTTTTAAAATTTTGATTTAATAATATAAACAAATGTTACCTAATGAATTATAATGACTAAACCTAACAGTAGGACTTTATAGTCATTAACTGAAACTATACAAATTCAAAAGGAATATTAGAGCCAATTCACATAATAACTGTATTACTTAATATATTTAAAGTGGTGGTAAACAAATAACAGAGTAATAATACTTGGGCTTTCAGGTGGTCTTTACACTTTATTGGTCAGGGAACTAATGAGAATCATACCTGGTTGTTTTTATGTTTAATAAAAGCAGTAGTTAAGCTTAACACAGTTACTTACATAATGGACTGTGGCTGTCTAGCACAACTGAGTCATTGCGTTTGCCTCATGACGAAGTATTGAAACGTTCATTCAAAAACTATGTAAGCCAGGTGGTATACTAATTTTCATGTTGGTATATCATTGGCTACATAGTAATAGAATCTTATGGCAGATGGTGTTTTGAAAAATGATGACATACGGAAAGTCTCTCATCAGGTGGTATATGTAATATCTGCAACATATCCATTTCTATAAACTAAAAGATCATGAAATTTGAATTCTGATATTGGAGGAAACTTAGACATCATCCAGTTCAATATTCCACCAAATGGCA
The DNA here is from genome assembly GCF_000001405.40 of Homo sapiens. Classification (NCBI taxonomy): domain Eukaryota; kingdom Metazoa; phylum Chordata; class Mammalia; order Primates; family Hominidae; genus Homo; species Homo sapiens. The sequence continues at coordinate 67,719,589 of NC_000013.11, read as the reverse complement.
AAATTCTGACACAAAATTCATAAAGTATCTCACTCATCCTTTCCTTAAAACCTTCTAATAATAAGTAATGTGGTCTTTCACATGTCATCTCATTCTTTAAAAACAAAATGAAACATAACAAAAACACCTCCAATAATGAAACATTATTACAAGTTGAATTAAATGTCCCTTCTAGTTCTTACTCCTAGAGTGATGGATAAGCCTCCTGTTCCACAGAGCAGTCCTTTTTTTTTTGCTTTGATGGTGGATATCATACTCTAATCTCTTCTAATTCAATATAAATCATTCTAGATTCTATAATACTTTACTTTTTGCCCCTATTCCCAATCCCAATGTTATTCCAATTCTTGTCCCATAGAATTGCTCAAAGTTTATTTGGTTGATACCTTCCTGAAAAGAACAAAATATAATAGAAGTAACTTGAATAGTTGAGCAAGACAGTGTGAATCACAGAACGAACAAATTATAAACCTAAAAGAACACATTTAGGTACTTCTCTAGTCTATTTTCCATTCTATCCTATAATCTGTGGTCAAAATTAAGTATGAATACCTCTAATAATAGAGACATGTCTATCTCCCAAAGATAACTATTTGTATTTTTAGACAATGAATCAATTTTTAAGCCTTTGGTTTTAGTAGAAATCAAATATTCTGTAGTTAGCATATTTATTTTTTCTTCTGATATGTTTAGATCTATATTATTAATGTAATTGCTTTCACGTAACAAATAGTTAAACATTTAAAGATAGTTATAAATTGTCTTCCACTCCCATCTTTCAAGTCTGCATTTATTTTTTTCTTATTCTAAATACTACACTGTACACAACCTAAATTTTAGAAAGATTTTTGGCACTGAATTACACCTACATTTAGCTTATGGTTTAATAATATTATTACTGTTAGTTGCTATAGACAACAGTCTTTTTCACTTATGTTCTTTTCTACAGTTTTATATTTTCTCAGTTTCAAATTATTGAGATCAAGACATTTAAGTATAGGATGAGGATCTGAGAAGACTGACACGGAATGCTGTTAGATCTATTTTTAGAGTTATAAGAATCAGGTAGACATATCCCAGACCATTATTTCTTTAAGTCTTGTACACTTACCTCTAGTAGGTCATTCGCTGATCCTATTTTATGTTTATTTAGGTACCTATAATATTAACATTTCAAACAGGAAACAAATTAGGCAAAAATACTCTTCTTTGATGAATAGAATCCTGAGAGTAAGTTGACAGAGAGAAAGAAGTGAATAGATTGTCCAAATAAGTTAATAATAATATAACTACCAACTGAAAAATTGATATGGAAAAAAATGTGAAGGCAGAATAGAAATGTCTTATATTAAGTAAACTTTAATTGACTCTTTCCAGCTTCATTTGACCTAGACTGGTTTACCAGAACTAGGTGTATGTGGCGAATGTACAACTGATAATACATGTTCCATTAGCTCTGGTATCAAATACCTGGGTTTGAACCTTGGCTCTGACACCTACGTTTTAGTGAATGTGGATGAATTTTTTAAATTCAGTATTTCTATTGGAAAATGGGAATTAAAATACTCACTACCTCAATGATTTATTTTAAATAATACATTAAAGAATCCATGTAAACAGCTTAGTGCAATGCTTAATACAAAGAAATCAATAAATCAGCCTTTCCATTATCACTATCATTGCTATTACTTTTGCTTTAATCTTAAGACTTCTCTTTAGGTTGCTGTGGTGAACAAATTTGGAGAGACCAGATACTAGCTTTGATCAGTACGGCCTCAATAATTCTCAGCTTCACTAAACATTAGACAGGTTTCTTCCTGACTACAGACCCAGATTTCTATTTTCTTAGAGCATTTACTATAGAAAACTTACAATTGTAAATATTTTTCTGTCTCTTTGAGATGTAAAACTTTTCCCAAACTCATCAGTTTTTTAACTCAGGAATGTCTTTGTCAAGGGCCTTGATGCCATGTTTTTGAGATGCAACTATCAATAAAGATAGTGCCCTCTCAGTCTCTGTAGGAATGTAGGAGCCTAACTTCTATAAGGGACAATTAGCAAACACAGATGATGTAATCACATTGACCAACTTTTTTGTAATACTCCCCAGTACATTTCCACTTGTTCACCCCAACACTTAAAAACTCTCCTACTATTGTTTCAGCAGAGTTGAGTTCAATCTTTCTCCCTTGTACCAATAATCTTGATTAAAGTGTTTCTTGACTATTTAACATGGTTTAATGCAAATTTTCTTTAACAGCTCACAAATAAAATCGTGTTCTCTGAATAAAACCATTAATGTAGAGTTCAAATTTGAGCATAACTAGGGCTTTTCCTAGGGTTCCAACACGCCTGGAGATGTCTAAAAGACTGGTTGGGTATGTCTATTTGGAAACTATTTGCATCATAGACTAAGCTGCTTCTTGGGAAAGGCTTTACTAAGTGAAGAGGGAGGAAAGGCTCAGAAGCTGAATGTCACAGCAACGCCTCAGTGCTATAGGAGTTAAAAAGAAATTATTTAGGCAGGTAGTGAGGGTAAGGAAGTCCTTGGTAAGGTTTTCCTTTTATTGAAAAGAAGCCCCCAAATCATTTCTTTTCTAACAAAGAGCAGCCTATAAAGTTGAGTTGCAAACATAGATAAGCAAGCTAAAAACTTGCATAGGTAAATGCTGACAGCTGTGGCAATAGGAGACAGATACCTGGAGGCCAGGGATGTTCAACATGGCAGCTCCATCTTCTCTTTTCTTTATCAACCACATGTACAGTAAGAAAAGACAACATGGCACCGGCTGGGTAGAGACCCCATCCGCATAATAAAAGATTAGGGCAGATGGCTGGCTTCTTTACACGTTATGCGAACTTCATACCTGGTCTGATCCATCTCTCAGGCCCTGTGTAAATCAGACACAACCTCCTCAAGCTTGTCTATAAAACCTTGTGCATTTCATCATGAAACTGGAAGACCCACTCTGGTGCTTCTCTCTCTCTGCAGGACAGTTATTCTCTATTCTTTTTCTTTTGCCTACTAAACCTTCACTCTTAAACTCACTACCTGCGTGTCCCCATTCTTGATTTCCTTGGCATGAGACAATGAACCTTGGGTATTACCCCAGACAATGACACCGCTTCATTTGTATTGTTGGGGGGCTGGGACCATTTGGAATCCATGATGGTTCCTTGTGGACTGACCTCAGACTCAGGCCCTGCCGCCTCTTGTTTGAGTCCTAAAGAGAAGGAACTGCAAATGAAATTGAAAGAACTGTTTCACCAACGATTCTGCAAGATTCTAAAACATCCTTCAGAGTCAAAGATGTGAATTAGAAGTAAGGCAAAAATGCCTCTGTACTTGCATGGAAAAAAATAGCATGACCCCAGTGAGGATGTCAACTGACTAGCTGCTTGAATGATACTAGTTGGCAGAGCTCAGAAGCCTGATCACAGAGTTGTCCTATTTCTACACTTCAACACAGTGACATTTTGGTAGTATTATCAGGAGACAAAACTGCAGACAATTCATAAACTTGACATAATAACCTGACTTTGTATGTATCTAAAGTTTCAGAATCAGATATCAAAACAAAAAGATAGAACCAGACAGGAGAAAAACACTACGTATCACATTGTAGATAAATAGGCTGTTTTCTGGGGCATTCTCTTGAGTCTTCCAGAAATAGTTAGTTGAAACTTTTCTTTGAAACTGCAATGATGTCCTGCCATTCTCCATATATGTGACTTTCACAAGCATTCTAGTCATGGATCAATATATGATAATTACAATTATAAATACTTTTGAATAGTGAAATTAAAATATATGTCAAGTTTTTACATATAAGAAAACTACTACATTTTAAATTTATCAATATCATATTCTTGCTGAATTTTGGAGGCCTACTGAATGGAATACTTCTGGCTAAAGCCTAAATATTTACAACATCTAGGCTACAGATAGCATTAATGAGAATATATTCAACAAGTCATTAGAAAAAAGTAGGGGATGGAATCTCTTCATAGCAGTTTAAAAAACAGTTCCTTCTTTATGTAACATTAACTTTATTTATTTTAGGTAAAATTGCAATTACCAGTTCCACAGTTCTATTTCATTTGACTCCTGACTGCTTTTGTTATTAAAACCTACCTGTTGTTCAATATGTAATTTGAAAAATTGACTCTGATATTTAAACAGTTAGCAATCATTTTGTCAATAATTTGTCAATCTATTACTTAAATATGTATATGATTACTTTATTGTTTTGATATTAATTAAATCTGTTATGAGAGTCCCTAATTTTAAGGGATAAAAGTATAAAATAAATGTCATACATTAGATATTTAGAATTGTTCATTCTTCATATCTGCTACTTTGTAATCTTTGACCTCCATTCCATTGCCTTCGTCTCCACCACCCCAACCGTGGTACACAACCACTGTGTTCTCTATTTCTATGTATTTAACTTAATTTTTCCTTTAGATTCTGCATATATGTGGGCTTTTGTAATATTTTCTGAGTCTCACTTATTTCTCTTAGCATAATGTCTTCCAGGTCTATTCATATTGTGGCCTGTAGCAGAATCTTCTTTTCTTCTTTTTTAAGTCTGAATAATATTACATTGACATACATATATATGCATTATATATTGTCATATTGACACACATATATATGTATGTGCATAATATTTCCTAATGTACAGAAGTTTCTTTATCCATTTATCCATTGATGGACATCTAGGTTGATTCCATATCTTGCTATTGTGAATAATGCTGCAATGAACATGGGTATACAGTTATATTCATGAGGTGGTGATTTTATTCCTTCTGAGTATTATACCCAAGAGATGTAATCCAAAACATAAGGACTATATTTAATAACAGTGTATTGTATTCAGGATTTTTGCTAAATGAGTTAATTGTAGCTGCTCTTGCCACAGGGGAAATGGGTAGCTACGTGAGATGATAAATATGTAAATTTGTTTACTATAGTTAACCATTTTACTATATATATGTATCTCATAACATCATGTTGTATACCTTAAATACACATAGTAAATACAATTATTAATTATTATTTTATTAAAATAATATGTCAAGAGTGTAAATATATGAGAGCATAGTCCGTGGGTATCTATAAATGAAAGAGTATATTATTTTCAAATGTTAGTCATTTTGATAATCGATAGCTTTATATAATCCAAATTATAATTTATATTGTATTATCAACTCATAGTAAATCATGTTTCTTTATTTTTTATTTTGTTTCCAGAAATTAGCAGATATACTTACAGAAACATTTGGAGAAACTTATCCAAATAAAATCTGAAATAGTTTAACTTGAAGAAATTTACATGTGACACAATTTATTCTCAGAAAACTTATCAAATATTATATGTTTAAAAACTTAATTATTTGCATCAGACTTAATGTGTGTTTTTTTGTGTGAGATTTGAGTGACTCCAGACATAATTCTGTAGCCAAACTAAATATATGTAAGAATAAATTCAATCATCTTAGGTGAAATTATAAATTGTAGTTAAAGAGTATTGTTTGAAATTAGAATAGATTATACCTGCCCTATGTCAAAAGCATTATCTGTATTCTTTTATTTCAACATTCTTTTACTCTCTGCTTAAGTAGTTTTACTGTCTCCTTTTTCTTTAGTATACTTTAAAGAAAAATATCTTCCTTACTGGCTTTAGAACAGGAAATTTGAATGCTAAGATTCTGCTAAGATTTTATTCATGACAACATCATATTGTCTCTGATATGCTTATAGTATTAACAACTTGCCATAAAACAAGTTATAGCTGAAAGCCTTAAAATCCATTCCCTGTGAAACACACCTGCTGATGACTCACTCTTAAATGATGTAATTTTCAGGGTTATTTCATTTCCCTTATTGAACATTTTATATTGGGTCTATCTTTTAATCAGAGCATATAGCATGTCATATCTATGAACTGTGACCAATAAGTGTTTGCATATTGATTGTTCAGAATTCAAGACACATTTTCTCATGAAACGGTACTTTGGTTTCAGGATTTGGGGTGCACAAAATCATATTTGAGCTATAAAGTGGCAAAAATAATAATGCAATTGTATTAACCCACATTTTCGTTACTGTGACCAGAATAATTTGGGAAGGGAGGTAAAAAGTGAAGGAAAGAAAATAGCCAAAGATAAATTTTAAAATTTCCTACATTTGTCCTTGTCTTAAATCCTTTTACCTGTTAGCTGTGTGAGTTTGAGAAAATTAGCCAAATTTTTCTGGTCTGATTTATAAAAATAGGTTTATTATTACTACATTGATTATTTTTAAAATTATTAATGCATCTTGATGTACTTGCCTAAAGTTTTTATATCTGCATCTTCTGCTGTAAATCTTCCCTTCATAAATGAAAATTTTAATAAAATCAACTATGTGGAAATATATAATTAAAGGAATTCACTAACTGTGATTTTCATAATTTAGGGACATTCTCTTCTAGTAAGCATGGTGCATTATTTACTAGAGATATAATATGCATTAAAACAAAAAATGTTTTCTATCATCATAGAAAAGTTTGAGGTCCAGGGATAATCATCTCTGGATACATTATTTCCTACCGTCGTGGTACGTTACCACTAAAAGACTGGGCTGTAGAGAATGGTGGCACCCTGAGATCCTCATATTTAACATTCAAAAAAAAGTTTGTTAGCTCTCCAAGGATTTTTAGAGCTCACATATGGGAGCTGTCACCAAAGCCAATGCAGTTTTTATTCCTCCTCTATGTATGATACTAAATCTCAAATCAGCATCAGCATCAGCAGCAGCATCATCATCATCATCATCTACAAATCTGAAATTATTTGAAAATCACACGATAGCATTTGAAAAATAAGATTCAACAAAGTAAGGAATATATTTTGCAAACACAAAATAAATTTTGTAACAATTGGGTTTTTTTTTATCTTGGCAAAAACATTTATAGTGGATTTATTTTGGTTGTTTCAGCATGCTAACACACAAAACAAGTTTTATTGTTGCTGCTTATGGCTGCGTTTTTTTTTCACCACATCATACCTCTGACTAATAGGTACAAAGAGATTGATTTAAAAAATAAGTGTTAATAAGAGTGACATGTAAAACTCTTGAAGGAGATCAAACTCTTTAGCAGGGTAAATGGCCTATGGCAGTATCTGTAAATAGTTGTTATTTTGACTGGAGCATGCATCAGACACTTTAGAATGACATAAGGGGTACATTCCAAGGTGGTTTTATGATATGAAGTGCTCCATTGAAATCATTTCCTTTGAAACTGAAGCAGTCTACTTTTGTAAGATTTTATTCTCATTCTGAAGTGAATACATTTCAAACAGAGTGTTTTCTCCAATTATCAGTGCAGTGTATCATTCTATTTAGTTGCCTTTTTGTATTCAGTCATCTTTTATGCTTATTTTGGAAATTGGAGCTTGCAATATTCATAGTTTATTATGCTAACAAATTATAGTTAACAATAAAGACTTTTTGGCAGCCTAGTAGTCATTTTAAGTTTTCCTTACAATCAATAAGATGAGAGGAAAAACTCAATCAGCAGTAAGCTTTTTTAGTTCAATAACAATAAATACTCACAATGAATGTATAAACAGAATCAGGTCTGGGCCATGAAAAAGGAAAACGTTTTCTCATTATTTTTGTTTTTTTTAAAGGTGACTTTCCCTTTCAGATTCTAATTATCATTGCTCAAATTTTACACATTCTAGACATCCTACAAATGCTGCTATTTGATGAGCACAAGAGATTTTGTAAAGAATGTCAAAAAGATTGAAACTCAAATTCCCCCCTAACCGAGAAAACTTGAAGCAGACGTCATTATGCTGATGTCTCTATTTCAAAAAGAAAATAATCACCTAGATCTTATAGAAAAAGGTTGGATCTCAGTTTGTCATACCCCATCAGCCTTTATACAGTATAGATTTGTAGGTTGAAATAGTGATATTAATAATGTTAGAATTTGTATTTGCTCATTTTAAAAAACACAAGTAAGTTAAATATCAAGATTTCAAGGCTCAAGATATGGCTTTGCAATGGTTACAACTTTACACGAAGATAAATGCAACGTTCTTTGTCTTGGGAGATACACACACACACACACACACACACACACACAGGATACATATAAATAAGATACATTTTACATATACAGTATATATTTATATTAATAAATATAATTTTATATTACTTAGCATCTTGTGACATGAATATTCCTGAAGTCTTCTGCTAAATATATGCATGTGGATATATTTGAATTTATATATCAACATTAATTGTTCACTTGTTAGGAAACTGTATATAGTGCTCCTATAATGGTAAAAATACTAAAAATATCTGGGACTTCTGAAGATTAAAAATCACTTAAGGTAACATATATCATAATATTATTATCATATCTGATTTGAACTTCGAATGATAATATTCATAAAAATCATCAAACGTATTTACCAAAATTGACTACTGGTATTTTGGTATTTCCAAAAATTAAATTTCCACACAAAGGACTAAGCTTTGTTCCTATTTAACAAGAGTAAATACTAAAACTCTGTTATTAATTGTTGACTCCTCCTTGCTCCACAGGCTTTTTCAAACCATCTCTCTAATAATGTAACACTTTCATTTTGTTAAGGAGTATCTTCAGTTACTCCATTTTGACTGGTTCCATTATTTTTCTACTTATAATCATCTTCAGTTACCTCTCACCCAGTAATTACTAACTATAGTCATGTCTCTTATCAAGACACCATTTTCTTTTACTGTCTGACCAGATATCTTGAGAGGTTAATTAGTATCCGTAACTTTCACTTTCTCATTTCCCTTGGGTCCCCCACAGCAGCCGGGTCTCAGCCACCACCATACTTCTGATACTACTCTCACCAAATTTATTGATGACCTACAGCTGACTAGAAGGTGTTCTTTTTTCAGATTTCATTTTATTTTGACTTTCTGAAGCATTTTGGTCTTTAGGATAGATTCTATGGAGTCTGATAATCCTTGTGCAAAAGCCACCTGTATTACTATTTGTTCATAACTTCTAGGTACCTTAAACTTTTTGGATTCTCATTTTCCATATATGTAAATGAGAGTAGTGAGCCACAGTCATTGGGTGGTTTTGGTGATTAAATGAGATAATATATAGAAAGGATATTTTATACCACCTGACACATACTAAACACTCAAGAAATGTTAACTAAACTTTCTAAAATAATCCCTACATTTGACTTCTTTATGCTATTTACCTTCTCACCCAATATCTCTATTTTCTTCCATAGAACTAATTCGACTGTTGATGCCCATCGGACAAATACTATCAGGAACACAGGTATTGTCAACAAAGTTAGATATATTCATTGCTTTAACAAGCAAAAACCCGTAATGTAGTACCCGTGGGGCCTCTTACTAGGAGGAAAGTTAGGAAAGGATACTTTGTTTTTGTGCTAGAGGGTTATAGGAGAGTATTGAAATGTATGGTTTAGAATTTCCAATCACAGAAGTCAGTGTTCTTTCCTTTAAACCTGTAGTCATAAAGACCACTCAAATGAGAACAACAAAGATTGTTTTTTCAAAACTTGTTATAACAAGGGAGTCAGTCACCATCACTTGAGTTTTGCGGAGACTCAGAGATAGGCAGGGAAATGGGAAGGCGTTTCTTTAAACTTTTGAAAATAGGAAGGGGGAGGCTTAAGATGTTCTGTGATTGGAGATTGTTTTCAGGGGAACGCTAGAGGCAGAGTAACTGGAAGTGAGACATTCTTTATGATTGGTTTGGGAAACATATTTGTCTTTCTCTGCTTGGAGGTACGGACAAAAATTGTGGAAGCTGGCAGTCAGTGACCATTTTTGGCTGATTGCTGCAGAATTTGTGAGTTAACATTCTATAGTCATTCATGACTTGACCACTGTCCATTTTCATATTCAGTTTGTCAGAATCCATGCATTTGTACATAGTGAATTTTAGACTAATTTGTCTGTGAATATTTTGGACCATCTGGCTCTGAATGAATTGGTATTTTTTAAGAAGCAGTTTAGATATTTTATGAAAGCTATTATGTTTTTGTTTTATTTGGTTAATTTACTTTGAAAGTCAGGGTGCGTTGTACAGGTCATGGTTTATTTTTCAATTTTCAGTTATCCCCTAACAGCTAAGCAGTCAGAAGGTCATATTTTCACTTATCACAAACTACAAATAAGATACCTCCATCTGGATGTTTCAAAAGCATCTCAAAACAAAACAGCTAAAGTCTTTTCACCTGTACCTAGAAAGCATTTTTTACTTACATTTAATTGCTAAATACCTACTGATCTCCTTTTTCCTTGTGTTTTACTAGTATTGACTTGCTCTATGCTTTAAATATCTCTTGCCCAGGCAATTGTAATACACCCCTAATATCTATTCTATCCTTTCTCTCCTTCAGTCTACCTACTCCCAAGTTAGTAAGGTTACATTTCTAAAGTACAGAATGTGCCTTCTAACATAAGGTGAATTCCCATTTTCAACACACAAGAAGGCCCAGCTATGTCATAATAGACACTTCACCTCCTGGTTCAGCACACCTTTCCACTGGCTTCACCTTCCCATAGCCTTCCACCTTTCTCTGCCATATCTGTATTCTTAAGTCTGACAAGTGCTTTAACAGCACTATTTATGTGTTGCTCTTCCTCCCTTTTCTTGTCTGGTGATTTTATATTCATCTGAACCTTCATGGTTCAGATTTAATATAATCTCTTTATTAAGCTTTCTCAGACAAAATTAATTGCATTTTCCACTGTGCCCTATAGCATTTTATTTTAGTATTCCAATAGTATACCTATCACATTGTAACAATGTGGGGCCACACTCTATTAGGTGCCTCATACCTCACTTTCACTGTCTTATTTTACCCATTGTACAGATGAGGAGACTTAGTCTTAGAGAGATAACATTTTGTGAGCTAGCTTTAACATTTAGTTTTCTCATAAGTAAATTTGTTCTTACTGGCCTCAAAACACCTATTATTTAGTAGTATATTTACTTGTTCCTCTTTCCATTATAATGAGAGGTTTAAGTAAGTTTATGTCTCCCAACATTGTATCAGCTCCTCCAAGACAGGCGTCATGTGTAATTCATTTTTAAAATTCCCTATAGCACATTCCCTTCCATATATATATATATATGGATATATATATATATCCATATATATATGTGTGTGTGTGTATGTGTGTATATGTGTGTGTGTATATATATATATGTGGTGTGTGTATATATATGTATATAATCTGGGCAAAAGTCAAATGAATGTGACACAACTTCTAAATTTTAAATATTCCAAAATATCTTAAGAAATAAAAAATTTACATCAAAACATTTGCCAATATAGAGTTAAAGTTTTTCCTTACTTTCTCATATATCCATGGAATATAAAGCAAACTTTATAAAATACTGTATTAGTTCATTCTCATGCTGCTAATAAAGACATGCCTGATACTAGGTAATTTATAAAGTAAAAGAAGTTTAATGGACTCACAGTTCCACATGGCCAGGGAGGCCTCACAATCATGGCAGAAGGTAAAGGAGAAGCAAAGGCACAGCTTATATGGCGGCAAGCAAGAGAGTGTGTGCAGAGGAACTGCCCTTTATAGAATTATCAGATCTAGTGAGAACTAACTCACTATCATGAGAACAGGATGGGGGAAATCGCCCCCATGATTCAATTATCTCCACCGGGTCCCTCCGCTGATGTGTGGGGATTATGGTGACTAAAATTCAGTATGAGATTTGGGTGGGGACACAGCCAAACTATGTCAAATACTAACTTGTATTTTAACTTTATGATGGAAATTTAAGTGGTAAATCAATTTGCTAATTTTTTTACTTTCTCTAGTTAATTTTTAAAACAATGTATGTATTAGAATAAATTTGAAAACATAAAGTAGTGATTGTTTGTCAGTTATTGTTTTAACCAAATTTCAAAAGCTTTAAGTAAAGCATATTTAAGGATAAATTAATGTTTTGTGACAAATGTTGAAATTAGATAGCTGAAAAGAATAAATATAACAATTTGTAGCTAACTCCTTGAGTAACAACTATTTTTCAATCTTGTCATCACACAGAAAACAAACCCAACCAAAACTTAGTAAAAGACATTATTTGAAAGGATTATTCCAAGAGTGGGGAAAAATCTATTTCAATAGAGGGATGAGGAGTAGTGAAATAGGGAGAACGTTATTAACCTTTGCTGTTTTCCAGAATCACAAGGCTCAAGTAAAATTCTACATTGCCAGTATTCTTTTATATCAGTTTATGCTTTTTTATGTATTAATTCCTACCTGCCCTGACTGGGGATGATGATTTAAAGAAGCTAGAGTCCATCATAAACCCAGCTTTCTCATACAAAATAGCCCAAGCTACAAGTTACTAGTCAATTGGAAGGACAACTTTAGAGAGGTAACATGAAATGGTGTTCCATGGTGAAGTTTCATCAACAAATCCAAGGCTATTTCCATTAGTTTCTCCCTGTCTGTTTTCCAGTATCCTGCATTACTTATTACTGAAGCAAAAATCCAACTGCAACAGTGCTCTCTGACATGTTTTCTATGTTTACCTTAAAAATGATTGTTTCTTTAGAAATAGTATATACTACATTTATAAAATTAAGAAAGTCCATCAATATAGAAGAAGTGAATATTACACATAATCCTATCACCAATGAATAACCTCTTTTTAAAATTCAATTTTATCTATTTTTAATTTTTTATTTATTTTTTAAAAAAATTAAGTTCCAGAGTACATGTGTAGGATGTGCAAGTTTGTTACATAGGTAAACATGTGCCATGGTGATTTGCTGCACCTATCAACTCAACCCATTACCTAGGTATTAAGCCCAGCATGCACTAGCTATTTTTCCTGATGCTTTCCCTCCCCTCACCCACTTCTGACAGGTCCCAGTGTGTTGTTTCACTCCCTGTCTATGGGTTCATATGGTTCAGCTCCCCACAGAATACTATGCAGCTGTAAAAAGGAACAAGATCATGTCCTTTGCAAGGACATGGATAGAGCTGAAAATCATTATCCTCAGTAAATTAACACAGGAACAGAACACCAAACATGGCATGTTCTAAATTATAAATAACCACTTTTAACATAAGTGTATAGCATAGGACTGTGGTGTCTGCAAGAGCTGGGTTTATGTTGGATCGTGGCTTCTATAAACCATTGTCCTCAGCAGGGGCAACTTGGAATAAATATATAATGTGGTATAAACTAATATAATACATATATACTTAGTTTAAAATAATGCTGTGTTTACATTTTTGTATCCTGCTTTTCTTATATTTCACATGTGGTCATGCAAATAAAAAAGTTATAAAATATTTAAAATATGATACAATAGTTTATTCTATATAATAGTCCCATAAATAGGTATACCATATTTAACTATTATCATGTCCTTAAGATATTTATTTTTATTTTCCAGTTTCCCTGTAAAAATGAATGATGCTTAATAAATATCATAGTGTATAAGTACTTGACTTAAGTGTATAGGTAAATCTGATTGCTTATTAAAGTTATTGTCATGTAACCATAATTACTTACATAAAGGGTAGGAACATTTTAAGGTCAAAAATATTTAATTCTGAGTTGCCTTCCGAAAAAGCCATTAAAATGTATTATTGTACCATATTTTTAGCAGATATAGTTATATGTATATTCAAATATTCTCAAATATATAAACATTTAATGATAAAGATTTTTTTTAAGTTTTTTTAAAATTTCTGGTAGCATATTAGATGTATATGTTTATGGCTTACATGAGATATTTCGATACAGGCATGCAATGTGAAATAATCACAACAAGGTAAATGGGGTATTCACTTCAAGCATGTATTCTTTGTGTTACAAACAATCCTATTATACCCTTTTAATTGTAATATATAATTAAATTATTTTTGACTACAGTCAGCCTCTTGTGCTAGTAAATACTAGGTCTTATTTATTATTTCCTAATATTTTTTGTACTCCTTCACCATCCCCACTTTTCCCCCAACCTCCACCACGCTTCCCAGCCTCTGGTAACCATCCTTCTACTCTCTATCCCTATGAATTCAATTGTTTTGACTTTTAGCTCCCCAAAATAAGTGAGAGCATGCAAAGTTTGTCTTTCTGTTTCTGGCTTACTGCACTTAACATAATGATCACCAATTCCACTCACGTTGTTGCAAATGACTAGAACTCATTCTTTCTTATGGCTGAATAGTACTCCATTGCATATGTGTACCAGATTTTTCTTTATCCATTCATCTGTTGATGCACATTTAGATTGCTTCCAAATCTCCCTTATTATGAATTGTGCTGCAACAAACATGGGAGTGCAAATATCTCTTTAATATACTGATTTTCTTTATTTTGGGTATATACCCAGCAGTGGGATTTGCTGGATGATATCATAGCTCTATTTTTAGTTTTTGAGGAATCTTCAAACTGCTCTCCAGAGTAGTTGTACTAATTTACATTCCCACCAACAGCATACAGAGGTTGCCTTTTCTCCATATCCTTGCCAACATTTGTTATTTCCTGTCTTTTGAGTATAAGCCATTGTAACTGGGGTGAGATAATATCTCATTGTAGTTTTGATTTGATTTTCATTTCTCTGATGATCAATGATATTGAGCAACTTTTCTTATGTGTGTTTGCCATTTGAAATATCTTCTTTTGAGAAATGACTATTCAGATATTTGGCCCATTTTTTATCAGATTATTAGATGTTTTCTTATAGAGTTGTTTGAACTCCTTATATATTCTGGATATTAATCCCTTCTCAGATGGGTAGTTTGACAATATTTCTCTCTCATTCTATGAGTTGTCTCTTGACTTTGTTGATTGTTTCCTCTGCTGTGCAGAAGCTTTTTAATTTGATGTGATTCCATTTGTTCATTTATGCTTTGGTTGCCTATGCTTGTGGGGTATTGCTGAATAAAATATTTGCCCAGACTGATGTCCTGGAGCATTTTCCCAATGTTTTCTTGTAGTAGTTTTATAGTTTGAGGTCTTCAATTTAAGTCTTTAATACATGTGAATATGATTTTTCTATATGGCAAGAAATAGGAGTCCAGTTTTATTCATTGGCTTATGGATATCCAGTTTTCCCAGAAATATTTCTTGAACAGTCTGTCTCTCCCCAGTGTATGTTCTTAGCACCTTTGTCAAAATGAGATCACTAGGTCACTGGGCATGTATGGATTTATCTTTTTGTTCTGTATGCTATTCCACTATCTATGTGACTGTTTTTATGCCAGTACCATGCTCTTTTGGTTACTATAGCTCTGTAGTATAAAGTCAGGTAATGTGAAACTTCCAGTTTTGTGCTTTTTGCTTAGGATAGCTTTGGTTATTCTGGGCCTTTTCTGATTCCATATAAACTTTAGAATTGTTTTTTCTAGTTAAGTAAGCAATGCTCCCGGTATTTTGATAGAAATAACATTAAATCTGTAGATTGTTTTGGGTAGTATGGATATTTTAACAATATTGATTCTTTGAATTCATGAACATGGAATACATTTTGTTTTCTTTTTTTGTTGACCACTTCAACTTTTCGTACTGATGTTTTAGTTTTCATTGTAGAGATCATTCGCTTCTTTCCTTAATTCCTATGTATTTTGTTTATTTGTTCCTATTGCCTATTGTAAATGGAATTACTTTCTTGATTTCTTTTTCAGATTGTTTTCTGCTAGCATATAGAAATGCTACTGACTTTCATATGTTGATTTTTGTATCCTACAACTTTACTGACTTTGTTTATCAATTCTCATCATTTTTTGGTGGAATCTTTAGGTTTCTCCAAATATAAGATAATATTATCTGCAAACAAAAATAATTTGACTTTCTTCTTTTCAGTTAGGATGCCTTTTATTTTTTTCTTTAGTGTGAATGCTCTTTCTAGGACTTCCACTACTATGTTGAATAACAGTGGTGACAGTGGGCATCCTTGTCATACTCCAGATCTTAGAGGAAAGCCCTTCCATATTTCCCCACTGTGTGTAAAGCTAGCTATGAGTCTGTCATGTATAGCTTTTATTTTGTTGTGGTATGTTCCTTCTATACTCAGTTTTTGAGGGTTTTTATCATGAAGAGATGTAGAATTTTACCAAATGCCTTTTCAGCATGAATTGACATGATCATATGGTTTTTATCTTTCATACTGTTGATGTGAGGCATCACATTGATTGATTTGAACCATCTTAGCATCCCTGAGATAAATGGTACTTGGTCATGATAAATTATCTTTTTAATGTATTGTTGAATTAAGTTTGCTAATGTTTTGTTTAGGAATTTTGTATCAATATTTATCAGTAATATTGACCTATAATTTTTTTATGTCTTACTCTGGTTTTGGTATCAGGATAATACTTACTTTGTAGACCGTGTTTGAAAGTGTGTCCTTTATTTTTCAGAATGGCTTGAGTAGCCATTATTAGTTTGTTTTTAAACATTTGGTGGAATTCAGCAGTGAAGCCATTGGGTCCCAGGCTTGTTTCTGGGAGACATTTTTTGTTTGTAAATTCCAAATAATTATATTTATTAATTTTAAAATATTGTGGCAAATGTATTTATTACTAAAATGAGTAGGCTTTGGTTCCGATTAGGTTATGTATTTTTAAATAAATATCACTTACTATTAGAATGAGACAGAATTCAACATCACTTCTATTTCTTTCTCTTTGTTTTTTGGTCTTTCTTTATTTTTTAATTTTTTTTTATTTTAATAGGTTTTGGGGGAACAGTTGGTGTTTGGTTACATGAATAACTACTTTAGTGGTGATTTCTGGGATTTTGTTGCACCCATCACCTGAGCAGTGTACACTGTACCCAGTGTATAGTCTTTTATCCGTCATCCCTCTCCCACCCTTTCCCCTGAGTCCCCAAAGTCCATTGTATTATTCTTATGCCTTTTCATCTGCATAGTTTAGCTTCTGCTATGAGAGAAAATATATGATGTTTGGTTTTCCATTTCCAAGTTACTTTACTTAGAATAATGGTCTCCAAATCCATCCAGGTTTCTGCAAATGCCATTACTCTGTGTGTATGTGTTTGTGTGTGTGTGTGTGTGTGTGTGTGTGTGTGTGTCTGAGTAGTATTCCATGATATATATAGACCACATTTTCTTTATCCACTTGTAGGTTGATGCGCATTTGGGCTTGTCCCATATTTTTGCAGTTTCAAATTGTGCTGCTATAAACATGCATGTAAAAGTATCTTTTTCATGTAATGACTTATTTTCCTCTGAATAGACACCCAGTAGTAGGATTGCCAGATCAAATGGCAGATCTGCTTTTAGTCATTTAAGGAATCTCCACACTGTTTGTCATAGTGGTTGTATTAGCTTACATTCACACCAGCAGTGTAAAGATGTTTCCTTTTCACCAGATCCATGCCAACATCCACTATTTTCTGATTATGGCCATTCTTGCAGGAGTAAGGTGGTAAGGTGGTATTGAATTGCGGTTTTGACTTGCATTTTTCTGATCATTAGTGATGCTGAGCATTTTTCCATATGTTTTACGGCCATTTATTATCTTCTTATGAGAATTGTCTCTTCATGTCGTTAGTCCACTTTTTGATGAGATTGGATTTTTTTTTTTTTTTGCTGATTTGTTTGAGTTCGTTGTAGATTCTGGATATTAGTTCTTTGTCAGGTGTATAGATTAGGAAGATTTTCTCTCACTCTTTGGGTTGCAGAAGATTTTTAGTTTAATTAAGTCCCATCTATTTATCTTTGTTTTTGTTGCATTTGCTTTTGGGTTCTTGGTAATGAAGTCTTTGCCTAAGCCAATATCTACAAGGGTTTTTCTGATGTTATCTTCTAGAATTTTTATAGTTTCAGGTCTTAGATTTAAGTATTTGATTCATCTCAAGTTGATTTTTGTATAAGGTGAGAGTCCAGTTTCCTTCTTCTACATGTGGCTTGCCAATTATCCCAGCACCATTTGTTGAGTAGAGTGTCCTTTCCCCACATTATGTTTTAGTTTGCTTTGTTTTATGGCTGCATAGTATTCCATGGTGTATATGTGCCACATTTTCTTTATCCAGTCTATCATTGGTAGGCATTTGGGTTGGTTCCAAGTCTTTACTATTGTGAACAGTGCTGCAATAAACACACGTGTGCATGTGTCTTTATAGTAGAATGATTTATAATCCTTTGGGTATATACACAGTAATGGGATTGCTGGGCTTTCTTTGTTAAAGATCAGTTGGCTCTAAGTATTTGGCTTTATTTCTGGCTTCTCTATTCTCTTTAATTGGTCTATGTGCTCTATTTTTATGCCAGAACCATGTTATTTTGGTGACTATGGCCTTATAGTGTAGTTTGAAGTCTGTAATGTAATGCCTCCAGGTTTGTTCATTTTGTTTAGTCTTGCTTTGGCTATGCAGGTTCTTTTTTGCTAGTCCTGTCAAAATTTTAGGATTGTTTTTGCTAGTCCTGTCAATAATGATGATAGTATTTTGATGGAAATTACATTTAATTTGTAGATTGCTTTTGGCAGGATGGTTATGTTCACAATAGTTTCTACCGATCCATGAATATGGATGTGTTGCCATTTGTTTGTGTCATCTATAATTTCTTTCAACAGTGTTTTGTAGTTTTAATTCTAGAATTCTTTCACCTTCTTGGTTAGGTATATTTCTAAGTATTTTATTTTATTTTATTTTATTTTTGCAGCTATCATAAAAGGGGTTGCATTCTTGATTTGATTCTCAGTTTGGCCATTCTTGGCGTATAGCAGTGTTGTTGATTTGTGTACATTAATTTTGTATTCTAAAACTTTGCTGAATTCATTTATCAGTTCAAGGCGCTTTTTGGAAGAGTCTTTATGGTTTCTAGATATATGACCATATTGTCAGCAAACAGCGACAGTTTGGCTTTCTCTTTACCGATTTGGATGCCATTTATTTCTTTCTCTTGTCTGACTGCTCTGGCTATGACTTCCAGTATTATGTTGAGCAGAAGTAGTGAAAGTGGGCATCCTTTTCTTGATCCAATTATCAGGGGAAATGCTTTCAAAATTTCCCCATTCAGTACAATGTTGACCGTGGGTTTGTCATAGATGGCTTTTATTACCTTAAGGTATGTCCCTTCTATGCTGATTTTGCTGAGGATTTTAATCACAAATTTTTGCTGGATTGTGTCTAATGCTTTCTCTGAATCTATTGAGATGATCATGCGATTTTTGTTTATAATTTTGTTTATGTGGTGTATCACATTTATTGACTTATGTACATTAAGCCATCCCTGCATCCCTGGTATGAAATTGACTTGATCATGGTAGATTATCTTTGTGAGATGTTGTTGAATTAAGTTCGCTAGTATTTTGTTGAGGATTTTTGCACCTATGTTCATCAGGGATATTAGTTTGTAGTTTTTGTTGTTGTTGTTGTTGTTATGTCCTTTCCTGGTTTGGGTATTAGGGTGATACTGGCTTCATAGAATGACTTAGGGAGATTCCCTCTTTTTCTCTCTTTTGGATTAGTGTCAGTAGGATTGATATGACTTATTCTTTGAATGTCTGATAGAATTCAGCTGTGAATCCATCTGGTCCTGAACTATTTTTTGTTGTTGGCATTTTTTGTATTACCATCTCAATCTTTCTACTTGCTATTGGTCTGTTCAGAGTTTCTATTTATTCCTGGTTTTATCTAGGAGGGTTGTATATTTGCAAACATTTATGCATCTTCTCTAGGTTTTCTTATTTATGTGTATAAAGGTGTTCGTAGTAGGCTTGAATGATCTTTGACTTTTTTATGGTATCGGTTGTAATATCTCCTGTTTTGTTTCTAGTTGAGATTATTTGAATCTTCTCTCTTCTTTTCTTGATTAATCTCACTAATGGTTATTGATTTTGTTTATCTTTTCAAAAAGCCACCTCTTTGTTTAATTTATCTTTTGTATTTTTTTTTTGTTTCAATTTCATTTAGTTCTGCTCTGATCTTTGTTATTTATTTTCTTCTGCTGGGTTTGGGTTTAGTTTGTTCTTATTTCTCTAGTTCCATGAAATGTGACCTTAGATTTTCTTTCTGTGCCCTTTCAGGCTTTTTGATGTAGATATTTAATGCTGTGAACTTTCCTCTTAACATTGTCTTTGCTGTGTCCCAGAGGTTTCGATAGGTTGTGTCACTATTATTGTTCAGTTCAAAGAAGATTTAATTTCCATCTTGATTTCATTGTTGACTCAATAATTGTTCATGAGCAGGTTATTTAATTTTCAGGTATTTGCATGATTTGGGGGGTTCTTTTTAGAGCTGATTTCCAATTTTATCCCACTGTAGCCTGAGAGGGTACTTGATATAATTTCCATTTTTAAAAAATGTATTGAGACTTGTTTTGTGGCCTATCATATAGTCTATCTTGGAGAATGTTCTATGTGTTCATGAATAGAACGTATATTCTGCTGCTGTTTGGTAGAATGTTCTGTAAATATATGTTAAGTCCAATTGTTTTATGGTATAGTTTAAGTCCATTGTTTCTTTGTTGATTTTCTGTCTTGATGACCTGTCTAGTGCTGTCAGTGGAGTATTGAAGTCCATTGTGTTGCTGTCTGTCTCATTTCTTAGGTCTAGTAATAATTGTTTTATATATTTGGGAGTTCCAGTGTTAGATGCATATATATTTAGGATTTTGGTATTTTCCTGTTGGACAAGTCTTTTTATCATTACATAATGTCCCTCTTAGTCTTTTTTAACTGCTGTTTCTTTAAAGTTTGTTTTGTCTGATATAAGAATAGCTACTTCTGCTCGATTTTGGTATTCATTTGCATAAAACATCTTTTTCCACCCCTTTACCTTAAGTTTATGAGAGTCCTTATGTTTTAGGTGCATGTCTTGAAGACAGCAGATACTTGCTTGGTGAATTTTTGTCCATTCTTCCATTCTGTATCTTTTAAGTGGAGCATTTAGGCCATTTACATTCAGTGATGTGAAGTAATATTCTATTCATCAGGCTATGTTTTTTTTTTTTTGTTTTTTTTTCATCATGTTATTGTTTTATAGGTCCTGTGAGATTTATGCTTTAAGGAGGTTCTATTTTGGTGTATTTTGAGGATTTGTTTAAATATTTAGAGCTCCTTTTAGCAGTTCTTGTAGTGCTGGCTTGGTAGGGGCAAATTCTCTAAGCATTTGTTTGTATGAAAAACACTGTATCTTTTCTTCATTTATGAAGCTTAGTTTTACTGGATAGAAAATTCTTGGCAGATAATTGTTTCGTTTAAGGATGCTACAGCTAGGACCCCAATCCCATAGAGCTTGTAGGGTTTCTGCTAAGAAATCTGCTGTTTTCCTTTCTAGGTTACCTGATGCTTTTGCCTCATAGCTCCTAAAATTCTTTCTTTTGTCTTGACTTTAGATAACCTGATGTCTATGTGCCTAGGTGATGATCTTTTTGCAATACATTTCCCAGGTGTTCTTTGAGTTCTTGTATGTGGATGTCTAGATCTCTAGCAAGGCCAGGGAAGCTTTCCTCAATTATTCCCTCAAATATGTTTTCCAAATGTTTAGATTTCTCTTCTTCCTTGGGAACCCCAATTTTTTTTTTTTTTTTGAGACAGAGTCTCGCTCTGTTGCCCAGGCTGGAGCGCAGTGGCATGATCTCGGCTCACTGAGAGCTCTGCCTCCCAGGTTCATGCCATTCTCCTGCCTCAGCCTCCCAAGCAGCTGGGACTACAGGCACCCGCCACCACGCCTGGCTAATTTTTTTGTATTTTTAGTAGAGACGGGGTTTCACTGTGTTAGCCAGGATGGTCTTGATCTCCTGACCTCGTGATCCACCTGCCTCAGCCTCCCAAAGTGCTGGGATTACAGGCATGAGCCACCCCACACAGCTCAGTTATTTTTATATTTGGTTGTTTAACATAATCCCAAACTTCTTGGAGGCTTTGTTTATTTTTTTTAAATTCTTTTTTCTTTGTGTTTATTGAATTTGATTAATTTGAAAACCTTGTCTTCAAGCTCTGAAGTTCTTTCTTCTATTTGTTGCTGCTGGTTATTCAGAGGCCAAGGTCTCCTTTGTCAGCATGTGATAGATCCTTTCAGGACTTTATCCTTCCCATCAAGGCAGCGGATTCCCTTCCAGCCCAGGGTGTTTCTAGAAATGTCTTCCAGGAGCTTGGGCCTGGGAAAGGGGCCTCATGACTTTGACTGGTGCCCTGACCTACTTTGGGTGAGCTGGTATCCAAGTCACAAGACAATGTGCTCTCCCTTTTCTCTTATCATGTGGAAGGAAAGGGTATTTTATTGGAGCCTGGGTTTGGGAAAGGGGTGACACAAGCACTGCCTTAGCTACCTCAGCTGGTGTCTCAGTAGGTCCCATGCCCTTCAAGTCCACTGGCTCTGAGGCCAATTCAGCACGAGGACTCACCTACAAGCTGCTATCCTTATGGCCTAAACTGCCTTTCAAGTTTATTTGGGGCCCCCAATCACTCTAGACTGTGGTGGTGAGGCTTATCAGAACTCAAATTACAACTGCTGGGATGGACAGTTCCCCTCTGGCTATGGCTGATTTAAATACTCCATGGACTGGCTTTAACGGAGTTCAGCACAGTTTTGCTTTCTGTTGTGACAGGGAATCACTGAGTTCAATACAATGTCTCACAATTGCTGTGCTTTCCCTCTTCCAAGTGCATAGATTCTTTCTCGGGCTGCTGCCAGGCAATGGGAGGTGGATGACATCAGCAATTTAAGACTGTCTTTTCTACCTTCATTAGTGCCTCTTTCGACAATATGCAGTTAAAACCAGGTAATGTAAGTGCTCACCTGATTTTTGGTTCTCGTGAAGGTGCTTTATTTGTGTGTAGATAGTTGTTAAATATGGTGTTCCTACCGGGGACGAATGGTGCGGCTTTGTATTCAACTCTTTTGCTTTGCCGTTCTTCATATTTTATAATTTAACTTGCATTTACTGATAATATTGAACATAGTCATATTTTATTATTTATTTTTATTTACTGATTATGTTTCAACATTTGTTTTTTCTTTCTCTTTGAATTGTTGGGCCTCCTTTTATGTAAGAAATATGACCATATATCTTATAAATTACATGAGCTTTCCACAACTTGTTTCACTATTTAGTTCTATTTCTTTTTCGATACTTAGCCCTTCCTACACCCATTTATACTCCTTGGAATAAGCCTGCTGTCTTTACTCTTTAGCAAAATCTAACTTTCTCTTTTCTCCACCTCCATTCTGTGATTCATGCACTAATAATTTAAAATGTCCTTGCTTTCTTGTGCTCCTTTGAAAATGTTATTCTGGCAATAATGATTTGACTGTGAATCCCACACAATTCTTTTGCAACTCTTTTACGTATTATTATTTCTGTAACCTATCAAAATTCAGGTTACTATGCCTTTTCCATTTTTTTGTACTGCTTATATCTTTCCATTTGCCTGAATTTTTGTCTTATCATTTTATTTTCTGGAAAAATCTTACTTTATCTTCTGGAATTAATTCAAATGCCATTAACATCTCTATAAGTTTTTTCAATCAAGAGTAAATGACTCCTGTGTGCTTTGAGAATTGTTTGTCTTTCTAACCCCCAAGTTTAGAAGTCTCTTAAAAAATAGATGCTAAAAATTTTTTAAGTAAATGAATTTATATCATGCATAATATCATCTTCTATAGTTGTGTTCTTTGTATTTTTATGTGTACATTCATATCACATATACACAAACTCTTTTTATTCTTGATGGTTCATTCATTAGAGATAAAGACCAGGTATTTTTCATAGAATGTATGTAATAAACGTTTTTGAATAAATGGCTTCAGCGCATGCAACATGCATATACACAGAAACATGTACAATCAACTGGTAACATGGATGAGCTAATGTGGAGTTGGTTATTCAAGGTTAGCAGAAGATCATTAAAGAGACAGCAAATTCCGATAGAATATTTAAAACCAGAGGCAAGGAGAGACAAAAAAACAAGTTGTTCTTTAATTTGTTTAAAGCTGAATTTATAGTTGGATATTGATTAGCAATCATCAGAAATATCAGAGTAAAAGTATAGCAAGTAGTGTTAACAATATAATTTGAACTTAATTGAAAAATTTTTTTTTCAGATTTTCCACCACTTTTTGGAGTAGTTAGCATGAATCTACTGACAATCCAATAGCTGAATTTAAATGATCATTTCTCTGAAAATGTGTGTAGTCTCAGACACAGAATGTACAGATATTTGGACTGTCTTAAGATCTAACTGAGATAGTTTTATGCAAGATTAGATTGGCTATATAAAACCCAATAGAAAATAAAGCTAATTAAATGACACATACAGAATCAAAGATAAGTGCTGTGTAAAAAGTGAATGTTCAGAAGTGGTCCAGATAAGTGATTAATGCAGAGTGATATTCTGAAAAGTCAAAAGAATGCATTGCACTTTGGTGCTTTATGATCTACAATTGATAAAAATATCCAGGCTTAGTTTGCACTCCAGTTGGTGAAGTATATTCTCACTTTTAGCTATATTTTGCAATGAAATGCTAGATAGCAGTTGGATATAATTTTTCCATAATAGAAATAGCAAAACATCTTCCCTATTATCCCATAACAAACAATATTCATATCAAAATGAACCCATTTAATGAAAAGTGTAGCTGCTTTTACACACTTTTATAGCAGTTTGATCATATTTTGGCATAATCAGCATTGAAGTAAATCTAGTGTACGTCTCAATGGAAAATGTTAAAGCTGAATAAAAAACTGCACAGATCCAGTTTTCTCATGCACAATTTTTAAAACGATGCTCAAAATTATACAGAACTATGCTGCTTAGGCATTTCCTTAATGAATTGGAGTGAATGATGGTACTTTCTTATAAACAAACAGGCACATAGAAACATTAAAGTGGAAAGGAGAATTGAGAAAATTGCATTATGCTAATCCCAAGAAACTAATTCCTGTGATGTAGTACAAGAACAGTCTATATCCCATTCACTTCACATAAGAAATATACTGCAGAGGCCATTCAGAAGTTACTATTACTTCAGAGTGCATTCAGCAAGTCAACGTTATATGCATTCACTATTTTTTTTTTTTTTTGCAATAACGGTTGTATGGGTGCTGTCAGAGTTGTAAAACTCCATCAGTATTTTTGGAAAAAGCAATTTGATTTAAAAAAATGTAAAATTGGGGACTCATAATTGTGGCCTCATCTATAGGATACTAAACAGAGGAGTATACTTAAATAAAATAAAAAGACAATTTTATTCAAATTTTTATACCTCTTGTTACAAAATTTAGTTTTAAATACTAGTGTTATATGCCCTCCTAATGGAAAATAACTCATTTAAGTAGTTTAACAATATTAATTTTGTTAAAAGAAATGTATTATTACTTAGTGAAGTATTCCTCTGAAGAAACTTACAATGTTTGATTTTAAATATATTACCTTTATATTTCTGTGGAACCACCATGATAGTTTTTTCTTTCTGTGTCTTCTGTGAATATTTTGTTTGATAATTAAAATGGTTCTGCGTTCAAAGTCATGCCAATTGTGACTTTTTTGTTTGATATAATTAATATTGTCTGTATAAGATTCATGCTTATTCAGATAGCAAAAATGCTCAAATCCTGTTGGTTGTAGCAGAAAGACATGTTCAAGCCAACTGATAAATTTTATTAAGTTATTTAAAAAAACAATATGTTTGATTTGAAGAGGACTTCGTAGTAAAAAATATTTAAAGAATCTGGTGTAAGGTCAAGTACCAAACTCAATCATCAAATGTGACCTGTGCTTTTATAATTTCTCTTGCAAAATACTCTCAGAATCACATTAGAAACTAAGCTTAAAAATGTCCTTGACAGTCTAGCATATTATAACCATGTGCAGGGTGAAAATTTGGCAAACATGCCAGTTTTTTAATCCCAATTTTTTTCATTAGGATAGTATTATGAAATGTGTTCTGTGTTCTGAAGTGACTGTTGATTCATATTGATATGGTTTGGCTGTGTCCCCACTCAAATCTCAACTTGAATTGTATCTCCCAGAATTCCCACGTGTTGTGGGAGAGACCCCGTGGGAGGTAATTGAATCATGAGGGCCAGTCTTTCCTGTGCTATTCGCATGATAGTGAATAAGTCTCACAAGATCTGACGGTTTTATCAGGGGTTTCTGCTCTTGCTTCTTCCTCATTTTCTCTTGCTGCCACCACATAAGAAGTGCCTTTTACCTCCCGCCATGATTCTGAGGGCTCCTCAGCCATGTGGAAATGTAAGTCCAATTAAACCTCTTTTTCTTCCCAGTCTCAGGTATGTCTTCATCAGCAGCATGAAAATGCACTAATACAGTAAATTGGTACCAGTAGAGTGAGGCATTCATGAAGAGATACCCAAAAATGTGGAAGCGACTTTGGAATTGGGTAATAGGCAGAGGTTGAAACAATTTGGAGGGCTCAGAAGAACCCAGGAAAATGTGGAAAAGTTTGGAACTTCCTAGAGACTTGATGAATGGCTTTGCCCAAAATGCTGACAGTGATATGGACAATAGGGTCCAGGTTAAGGTGGTGTCAGTTGGAGGTGAGAAACTTGTTGTGAACTGGAGGAAAGGTGACCCTTGTTATGTTTTAGCAAACAGACTGGCAGCATTTTGCCTCTGCCCTAGAGATTTATGGAACTTTGAACTTGAGAAAGATGATTTAGGATATCTGACTGAAGAAATTTCTAAGCAGTAAAGCATTCATGAGGTGACTTGGGTACTGTTAAAGTCATTCCATTTTATAAGGGAGGAAGAGCATAAAAGTTTGAAAAATTTGCAGCCTGACTACATGATAGAAAAGAAAAACCCTTTTTCTGGGGAGAAATTCAAGCTGGCTGCAGAAATTTTATAAGTAGCAAGGAGTCTAATGTGAATCCTCAAGACCATAGGAGAAATATCGCCAGGAAATGTCAGAGACCTTCATGGCAGCCCCTCCCACCGCAGGTCCAGAGGCCCAGGGGGGAAAAAGTGGTTTTGTGGGCTGGGCCCAGGGTCCCCATGCTGTGTGTAGCCTAGGGACTTGGTGCCCTGTGTCATAGCTGCTCCAGCCATGGCTGAAAGGGGCAAACATACAGCTCAGGCTGTGGATTTAGAGGGTGAAAGCCCCAAGCCTTGGCAGCTTCCATGTGGTGTTGAGCCTGTGGTGCACAGAGGTCAAGAATTGAAGCTTGGGAACCTCAGCCTAGATTTCAGAAGATGTATAGAAATACCTGGAATCCCAGGCAAAGGTTGGCTGCAGGGACAAGGCCCTCATGGAGAACCTCTGCTGGGGCAGTGTGGAAGAGAAATGTGGGGTCAGAGCCCCCAGAGAGAGTTTCTACTGGGGCACTGCCTAGTGGAGCTGCGAGAAGAGGGCCACCAGCCTCCAGACCCCAGAATGGTAGATCTCCTGACAGCTTGCACTGTGCTCCTGAAAAAGCTGCAGACACTCAATGCTAGCCCATAAAAGCAGCCAAGAGGGAGGCTGTACCCTGCAAAGCCAGAGAGGCAGAGTTGCCCAAGACCATGGGAACCCACCTCTTGCTTTAGCATGACCAGATGTAAGACCTGGTGTCAAAGGAGATCATTTTGGAGCTTTAAAATTTAACTGTCCTGATAGATTTCAGACTTGCATGGTCCTGTAACCCCTTTGTTTTGGCCAATTTCTTCCATTCGGAATGGCTGTATTTACCCAATACCTGTATCCCCATTGTATCTAGGAGGTAACTAGCTTGCTTTTCATTTTACAGGCTTCATAGGTGGAAGGGACTTGCCTTGTCTCAGATGAGACTTTGGACTATGGACTTTTGGGTTAATGCTGAAATGAGTTAAGAGTTTGGGGGAATGTTGAGGAAACACAATTGGTTTTGAAATGTGAGGATGTGAAATTTGGAAGGGCCGGGGCAGAATTATTTGATTGGGTTGTGTCCCCACCCAAATCTCAACTTGAATTGTATCTTCCAGAATTCCCACGTGTTGTGGGAGAGACCCAGGAGGAGGTAATTGAATCATGGTATCTGGTCTTTCCTGTGCCATTCTCATGATAATAAATAAGTCTCACAAGATCTGATGGGTTTATCAGGGGTTCCTGCTTTTGCTTCTTCCTCATTTTCTCTTGCCACAACCATGTAAGAAGTGCCTTTTGCCTCACACCATGATTCTGAAGCCTCCTCAGCCATGTAGTACTGTAAGCATAATTAAACCTCTTTTTCTTCCTGGTCTCAGGTATGTCTTTATCAGCAGCATAAAAACAGAAAAATAGACATATAGAATGCTAAGGGTACATCCTATAGAACCAGATATCTTTATTAGAACCCTACCCAATCTAATCAGAAATATGTGAGCCTGAGCTAGTTGCAAAGCCTGACAATACATCAATGTATTTAACTTTGAAACCAGGATAATAATAAAATTTTTCTAACAGGATTTCTTAAAGTGTGATTTTCAAAAGGTTAGAAATTATGACTCTCATTCAAATATAAAATTAACATTTGTCAAAGTTTATATGTGACTCACTACTTAATGATGGAACCAGTAGCATGTTATGAATAGTTTAAAGAACATTTGAGAGTATATATAAAAATAAAGCTAGAGGTAAACACAGCATTTGATAGGTTGCTGAATTAAATGTGAAACTGGCTAATGTCAATGAGGCTATAAACCATAATATACTGCTCAGGAGATGGGTGCACCAAAATCTCACAAATCACCACTAAAGAACTTATTCATGTAAACAGATACCACCTGTTCCCCTAAAACCTATGGAAATAAAGAGTTAAAAAATAAATAAAAATTTTTTAAAAAAAATAATACTTTGGTTATCTCTTTTACTGGACAGACAGATATTACATCTCAACCAGACAGAATTCTACAGGTTAAGCACTACCTGTGGAAGGTTGAAAATCACTCAGAAAATAAGGCCAGTACTGCACTGAAAAATACACAGTAAACTCGTTTACCTGTATCCAAGCTGTGAACATTTTTGTTTTGACAGTTTTCTCTCTTATGGTCACAATCTCCAAAGATTATTCTTGATCACATAAAAAGCTGGTCTTATTAGATTTGGCTTGATTATTATCATAGATAAAGCAACAGTGTTACTGAACTTAATATGCCTTCTTGAATTTGTTCTGCAAATTAGACTCAAACAGTTTTGACAACTAATACTGCCAAATGTTTACTCTCTGTGTATAAGTTCAAAGGAAATCACAGATTGGCTCCCAAACACTGACTTATTCTAAGACTTCTGGGGCTGGGAAGCAAGCCCATGACACTCTTTCAGATTTCCAAATTATATATTTGTATAAATTTGTCTCAAATTGAGATTCTTCAAGTTTTTTTAAGGTCCTCAACTTGCTAGACAGTGAATTTCTTATCACCTGTGAGACTCACTTTGTAATCCAGGTAACAAGTTAATTTTAGATTTATGGAGTTTGTCTCCAAATATATAAAATTGATATCTATCTCTTAATATGAGCTTGAATACCTGATTAAACAATATTTTTCTCAAATTTAACACTCCAATTATGGCCTTGGATGAACTATTGATTTGATCAATTATATCCTAATAAGATGAAAGAAACAGTCATATTTCATCTATGCAAATAAGGGATTACCAATAAAAAACCTCAGCAAAATTATGTTTTTATCTTTAAGGAGATAGTAAAAATTACATATTAATTTTAAATAATTTATTTCAGCTTAAAAAAGAATAATCTGCTAAACTGTGTGTTAGAAAGTGGTTGAAAAGACAGAAAGAGCTTTGTATACTAACTTAAAATAAAACATTAAAAATAATGAAAACAATATTCCAAAATTTCACCTCTAGCCAAGATAGAAAATATTTGTGGTAATTTGTTACATCAACAATAGAAAACTAATATAAGTCTTATAAATTAAAGTACAGAACTTACCTTCCCATATTAAACAATTGTAAGTCCAGACAAAAAGTTTCAAAAAAGCTTTTAGGATATAAACAATTGGCAGCTAAGGACATTGATCTCTGAGTAAAAGAAAAACAAGGTAACTCCTGCATGTTCCACCAATGAGTTTCCAGGCTCAGCAAAGTACAATTCAGGTTGAGCCCTGTGGTCTCCCTGTCTTGGAGAGATGAAGTTGAGTATTCAAAAGGATGAAGCCAACCAGTATCGCAATGCCAAGTATTGAAGAGAGGAGAGCTGCACAGAGAGCTCTGAAGACATGCAGAGGATGTCCCTGAAGTCTTCTCAGTGATTATTAGACTATGAGTATAAGGATGGGAAAAACACACAGAAAGGGAGAAGACAAAACAATTTCTGGAGTTCATAAAGAGGTAGGGATAGACATCCAGTTTCCCAACTGCTCTATTGTTAAACTTCATAATATACAGCACTTGAGAAGAATACTCAATAGTAGGGACAAATTAGCCCTAATTTAAAGTTTGCTCTGGTTCCACTTTAAAGCTTAAAAGCTTCCCTTGAAAGTATGAAACTATTTCCAAGACAAATAACTGCATCTAAGCACAAAGTTCAAAATCATTTGAAGAAATACAATATCACAAATCTGCACTCAACAATAGAGAGTTCAGAATGCTCATCATCTACTGCCCAGGTATGAAAAGAAATGGAAAAACATGACCCATGATAAAAAAAAAAAATTAGTCAAAAGAAAGAGACTCAGATATGATACTTATGATACAGTTAATAGACATAGGTATTGATTAGCTAATACATGTATACTTCATATGTTCAATAAGTTAGCAGGAAGCATGAGCATGTTCAGAAAGATATGGGAACATAGAAAAATACCCAAATTGAACTCATAGAAATTAAAAATACAAGATCTGAGATGAAAAATACACTGAAGGGGCTAACAGTAGAAGAAAATGTTATTGTTGCAGGCAGGTTTTAAAATTATTATCATTAATTCCTGCCTCTTGGCATTCATAACAATGTGGAAAGTCTTATCCTTAAGTAGCTTACTTTTAAGACAAGATACAGCAATGTTGAGAGGCTATCATTTATGTGTTAGAAGATCGTGACTTCATTCAAGCTAGATTATTCACCATTGCCTTCTCAGCTTCCATGCATTGATAAAGCAAGCAATTGTGGTGCACAGGCCCACATGGCAAGAAACTGAGTGCAGCCTCTAGTGAACAGCCAGTTAGAGACTGAGGCCGATGACAAACAGACCTCTAGGAATTTAACTCCACCCACAACTATGTAAGATTGAAAGTAGACCCTTCCCACATTAAGCCTTCATGTGAGACCACTGACCTTGTCAACATCTTGATTTCAGGCTTGGGAGAGACCATAAAGCAACAGACTCATTTATTCCATGCCCATGGCTCCTAGCCACAGAACATATGAAATAATAAATGTATTTTTTTTTTTTTTTTGAGACGGAGTCTCGCTCTGTCCCCAGGCTGGAGTGCAGTGGCAGGATCTGGGCTCACTACTAGCTCTGCCTCCCAGGTTCACACTATTTTCCTGCCTCAGCCTCCGGAGTAGCTGGGACTACAGGCGCCCGCCACCACGTCTGGCTAATTTTTTGTATTTTTAGTAGAGACGGGGTTTCACCGTGTTAGCCAGGCTGGTCTCGATCTCCTGACCTCGGGATCCGCCCGCCTCGGCCTCCCAAAGTGTTGGGATTACAGGCGTGAGCCACAGCTTGGCCAAACGTAGCTTATTTTTAACTGCTAGCTTGTGGTAATTTCTTATGCATCAATGGTAACTAACATAACTAGAAACTTGATATAATTACAAATTTGCACAATTGTAACACATTTCATAGTTTATTTTCAGACCTAGGTCTTGTAATAGAAGAATTTCCACGTTCTAATCCCTAAACCTGTGAATATGTTACAACACATGGTAATAAAGACTTTTCGGTTTAATTATGAAATTTCAGATGCGGAGAGCATCCTGGATTATCCAGTTAGGCCCAATGCAATCCCAAGGGTCTTTACGAGGAAAAAAGCAAGTCAGAGAAGAAGATGTGAATATGGAAGCAGAGGTCAGAGTGAGGTGGTTGCTGGCTGCAATGGGCGCATGAGTGAAGGGATCGGGGGTAGCTTCTGTAAGCTGAGAAATACAAGTTAAATGAATGAGGTTATTCCTAGAACCTTCTGAAGGCATGCTTCCCTGCTGGCTCCTTTGTTTTAGCCCAGTGAGACCCAATTTGGAGCTCTGATTACAGAATTGTAAGATAATAAATTTGGGATTCTTTAAGTCACAAATTTTGTGGTAATTTGTTACAGCACCAATAGAAAACTAATACAAATCATATAAATTAAGGCAAATAATATCCACTCTTCTAAAATCTTTTATAATCTGTTATTCTTCCTCAAGTTTTGTCTTTCTTTATACTCATATATTCTGAGACAACCTAAATATACACTTTTCCACAAAATTATTTACTCTACGCTTGAAAAACAGTAATTTTTTTTATTATCTGTCATGCATGGTTCTATTTCTTGTCACTAGTACTCTGGGTATACTCTAAACCACTCAAATAAATAACTTTCCATCAAAGTCACTAACTTTTATTTCCCAGGAAAAAATGGGAGAGAGAAAGCTGTGAAGTGTGTCTTAATCAAATATTTTAGAAGATTAGCAAAATATAAAAATACACTTAACACAACTGTCTATAGCCACACATCTTTTACACCTTTTTTTAAGTGATTCATTAATGTGACTCAAAGATAAAACCACCATTCTGCACCATATAAAATGAAGCAAAAGTATAAAAATTTAAATCTATGCATTACAATAAATTTTCATTATTCAGTCTTACTAAGAATGTATGCAGATATGCAACATTATTTATTAATTAACTCAATTTAATAATGCAAAATTTTTAAGTTACCTAAAGCTCTTGGAAATTGTTTAAATTTACAAAGACAAGAACAATCTAAGCTAATAGAGAAAAACAATCTATCACTATAAAAATTTTTGTTGTAATTATTATTCTAATAAACATAATAAATTTAACTTTGTCATAACATTTGATAGTATGTGATAGCTTATGTAGTCCACTTGATCAGATAACCAGTATAGATTTAGAATGTCTGTCATAATCTTCCATGTTATGTGATGATTTATGTAGCTTACTAGATCAGATAACCAGTATAGGATTAGAAAGTTAATATTAACTGGTTTCTTCACTGGTAACAAGCACAAATTTGTTAAAGATAAATAAATAAAATGTACACTTGTATTATCTTCCCAAATGATAAGCTCCGGGAAAAGGCACATAACCATTTAATTTAAACACACATCCAATTATTACACTGCCCTAAGATGTAAGATTTACCTTCATTATGGGGGAGCCAAGATGGCCGAATAGGAACAGCTCCAGTCTACAGCTCCCAGCGTGAGCGATGCAGAAGACGGTGATTTCTGCATTTCCATCTGAGGTACCGGGTTCATCTCACTAGGAAGTGCCAGACAGTGGGCGCAGGTCAGTGGGTGTGCGCACCGTGCGCGAGCGGAAGCAGGGCGAGGCATTGCCTCACTTGGGAAGCGCAAGGGGTCAGGGAGTTCCCTTTCCGAGTCAAAGAAAGGGGTGACGGCCGGCACCTGGAAAATCTGGTCACTCCCACCTGAATACTGCGCTTTTCCGACGGGCTTAAAAAACGGCGCACCACGAGATTGTGTCCCGCACCTGGCTCGGAGGGTCCTATACCCACGGAGTCTCGCTGATTGCTAGCACAGCAGTCTGAGATCAAACTGCAAGGCGGCAGCGAGGCTGGGGGAGGGGTGCCCACCATTGCCCAGGCTTGCTGAGTTAAACAAAGCAGCCTGGAAGCTCCAACTGGGTGGAGCCCACCACACCTCAAGGAGGCCTGCCTGCCTTTGTAGGCTCCACCTCTGGGGGCAGGGCACAGACAAACAAAAAGACAGCAGTAACCTCTGCAGACTTAAATGTCCCTGTCTGACAGCTTTGAAGAGAGCAGTGGTTCTCCCAGCATGCAGCTGGAGATCTGAGAACTGGCAGACTGCCTCCTCAAGTGGGTCCCTGACCCCTGACCCCTGACCCCTGACCCCCGAGCAGCCTAACTGGGAGGCACCCCCCAGCAGGGGCACACTGACACCTCACACGGCAGGGTATTCCAACAGACCTGCAGCTGAGGGTCCTGTGTGTTAGAAGGAAAACTAACAAACAGAAAGGACATCCACACCAAAAACCCATCTGTACATCACCATCATCAAACACCAAAAGTAGATAAAAGCACAAAGATGGGGAAAAAACAGAACAGAAAAACTGGAAACTCTAAAAATCAGAGTGCCTCTCCTCCTCCAAAGGAACGCAGTTCCTCACCAGCAACGGAACAAAGCTGGATGGAGAATGACTTTGACGAGCTGAGAGAAGAAGGCTTCAGACGATCAAATTACTCTGAGCTACGGGAGGACATTCAAACCAAAGGCAAAGAAGTTGAAAACTTTGAAAAAAATTTAGAAGAATGTATAACTAGAAGAACCAATACAGAGAAGTGCTTAAAGGAGCTGATGGAGCTGAAAACCAAGGCTCGAGAACTACATGAAGAATGCAGAAGCCTCAGGAGCCGATGCGATCAACTGGAAGAAAGGGTATCAGCGATGGAAGATGAAATGAATGAAATGAAGTGAGAAGGGAAGTTTAGAGAAAAAAGAATAAAAAGAAATGAGCAAAGCCTCCAAGAAATATGGGACTATGTGAAAAGACCAAATCTACGTCTGATTGGTGTACATGAAAGTGATGGGGAGAATGGAACCAAGTTGGAAAACACTCTGCAGGATATTATCCAGGAGAACTTCCCCAATCTAGCAAGGCAGGCCAACGTTCAGATTCAGGAAATACAGAGAATGCCGCAAAGATACTCCTCAAGAAGAGCAACTCCAAGACACATAATTGTCAGATTCACCAAAGTTGAAATGAAGGAAAAAATGTTAAGGGCAGCCAGAGAGAAAGGTCGGGTTACCCTCAAAGGGAAGCCCATCAGACTAACAGCGGATCTCTCAGCAGAAACCCTACAAGCCAGAAGAGAGTGGGGACCAATATTCAACATTCTTAAAGAAAAGAATTTTCAACCCAGAATTTCATATCCAGCCAAACTAAGCTTCATAAGCGAAGGAGAAATAAAATACGTTACAGACAAGCAAATGCTGAGAGATTTTGTCACCATCAGGCCTGCCCTAAAAGAGCTCCTGAAGGAAGCGCTAAACATGGAAAGGAACAACCGGTACCAGCCGCTGCAAAATCATGCCAAAATGTAAAGACCATCAAGACTAGGAAGAAACTGCATCAACTAATGAGCAAAATAACCAGCTAACATCATAATGACAGGATCAAATTCACACATAACAATATTAACTTTAAATGTAAATGGACTAAATGCTCCAATTAAAAGACACAGACTGGCAAATTGGATAAAGAGTCAAGACCCATCAGTGTGCTGTATTCAGGAAACCCATCTCACGTGCAGAGACACACATAGGCTCAAAATAAAAGGATGGAGGAAGATCTACCAAGCAAATGGAAAACAAAAAAAGGCAGGGTTTGCAATCCTAGTCTCTGATAAAACAGACTTTAAACCAACAAAGATCAAAAGAGACAAAGAAGGCCATTACATAATGGTAAAGGGATCAATTCAACAAGAAGAGCTAACTATCCTAAATATCTATGTACCCAATACAGGAGCACCAAGATTCATAAAGCAAGTCCTGAGTGACCTACAAAGAGACTTAGACTCCCACACATTAATAATGGGAGACTTTAACACCCCACTGTCAACATTAGACAGATCAACGAGACAGAAAGTCAACAAGGATACCCAGAAATTGAACTCAGCTCTGCACCAAGCTGACCTAATAGACATCTACAGAACTCTCCACCCCAAATCAACAGAATATACGTTTTTTTCAGCACCACACCACACCTATTCCAAAATTGACCACATACTTGGAAGTAAAGCTCTCCTCAGCAAATGTAAAAGAACAGAAATTATAACAAACTATCTCTCAGACCACAGTGCAATCAAACTAGAACTCAGGATTAAGAATCTCACTCAAAACTGCTCAACTACATGGAAACTGAACAACCTGCTCCTGAATGACTACTGGGTACATAACGAAATGAAGGCAGAAATAAAGATGTTCTTTGAAACCAACGAGAACAAAGACACAACATACCAGAATCTCTGGGACGCATTCAAAGCAGTGTGTAGAGGGAAATTTATAGCACTAAATGCCCTCAAGAGAAAGCAGGAAAGATCCAAAATTGACACCCTAACATCACAATTAAAAGAACTAGAAAAGCAAGAGCAAACACATTCAAAAGCTAGCAGAAGGCAAGAAATAACTAAAATCAGAGCAGAACTGAAGGAAATAGACACACAAAAAACCCTTCAAAAAATTAATGAATCCAGGAGCTGGTTTTTTGAAAGGATCAACAAAATTGATAGACCGCTAGCAAGACTAATAAAGAAAAAAAGAGAGAAGAATCTAATAGATGCAATAAAAAATGATAAAGGGGATATCACCACCGATCCCACAGAAATACAAACTACCATCAGAGAATACTACAAACACCTCTACGCAAATAAACTAGAAAATCTAGAAGAAATGGATAAATTCCTCGACACATACACTCTCCCAAGACTAAACCAGGAAGAAGTTGAATCTCTGAATAGACCAATAACAGGATCTGAAATTGTGGCAATAATCAATAGCTTACCAACCAAAAAGCATCCAGGACCAGATGGATTCACAGCCGAATTCTACCACAGGTACAAGGAGGAACTGGGACCATTCCTTCTGAAACTATTCCAGTCAATAGAAAAAGAGGGAATCCTCCCTAACTCATTTTATGAGGCCAGCATCATTCTGATACCAAAGCCAGGCAGAGACACAACAAAAAAAGAGAATTTTAGACCAATATCCTTGATGAACATTGATGCAAAAATCCTCAATAAAATACTGGCAAAACGAATCCAGCAGCACATCAAAAAGCTTATCCACTATGATCAAGTGGGCTTCATCCCTGGGATTCAAGGCTGGTTCAATATACACAAATCAATAAATGTAATCCAGCATATAAACAGAGCCAAAGACAAAAACCACATGATTATCTCAATAGATGCAGAAAAAGCCTTTGACAAAATTCAACAACCCTTCATGCTAAAAACTCTCAATAAATTAGGTATTGATGGGATGTATTTCAAAATAATAAGAGCTATCTATGACAAACCCACAGCCAATATCATACTGAATGGGCAAAAACTGGAAGCATTCCCTTTGAAAACTGGCACAAGACAGGGATGCCCTCTCTCACCACTCCTATTCAACATAGTGTTGGAAGTTCTGGCCAGGGCAATTAGGCAGGAGAAGGAAATAAAGGGTATTCAATTAGGAAAAGAGGAAGTCAAATTGTCCCTGTTTGCAGACGACATGATTGTATATCTAGAAAACCCCATTGTCTCAGCCCAAAATCTCCTTAAGCTGATAAGCAACTTCAGCAAAGTCTCAGGATACAAAATCAATGTACAAAAATCACAAGCATTCTTATACACCAACAACAGATAAACAGAGAGCCAAATCATGAGTGAACTCCCATTCACAATTGCTTCAAAGAGAATAAAATACCTAGGAATCCAACTTACAAGGGATGTGAAAGACCTCTTCAAGGAGAACTACAAACCACTGCTCAAGGAAATAAAAGAGGATACAAAGAAATGGAAGAACATTCCATGCTCATGGGTAGGAAGAATCAATATCGTGAAAATGGCCATACTGCCCAAGGTAATTTACAGATTCAATGCCATCCCCATCAAGCTACCAATGCCTTTCTTCACAGAATTGGAAAAAACTACTTTAAAGTTCATATGGAACTAAAAAAGAGCCCGCATCGCCAAGCCAATCCTAAGCCAAAAGAACAAAGCTGGAGGCATCACACTACCTTACTTCAAACTATACTACAAGGCTACAGTAACCAAAACAGCATGGTACTGGTACCAAAACAGAGATATAGATCAATGGAACAGAACAGAGCCCTCAGAAATAATGCTGCATATCTACAACTATCTGATCTTTGACAAACCTGAGAAAAACGAGCAATGGGGAAAGATTCCCTATTTAATAAATGGTGCTGGGAAAACTGGCTAGCCATATGTAGAAAGCTGAAACTGGATCCCTTCCTTACACCTTATACAAAAATCAATTCAAGATGGATTAAAGACTTAAACGTTAGACCTAAAACCATAAAAACCCTAGAAGAAAACCTAGGCAATACCATTCAGGACATAGGCATGGGCAAGGACTTCATGTCTAAAACACCAAAAGCAATGGCAACAAAAGCCAAAATTGACAAATGGGATCTAATTAAACTAAAGAGCTTCTGCACAGCAAAAGAAACTACCATCAGAGTGAACAGGCAACCTACAAAATGGGAGACAATTTTCGCAACCTACTCATCTGACAAAGGGCTAATATCCAGAATCTACAATGAACTCAAACAAATTTACAAGAAACAAACAAACAACCCCATCAAAAAGTGGGTGAAGGACATGAACAGACACTTCTGAAAAGAAGACATTTATGCAGCCAAAAAACACATGAAAAAATGCTCATCATCACTGGTCATCAGAGAAATGCAAATCAAAACCACAATGAGATACCATCTCACACCAGTTAGAATGGCAATCATTAAAAAGTCAGGAAACTACAGGTGCTGGAGAGGATGTGGAGAAATAGGAACACTTTTACATTGTTGGTGGGACTGTAAACTAGTTCAACCATTGTGGAAGTCAGTGTGGCGATTCCTCAGGGATCTAGAACTGGAAATACCATTTGACCCAGCCATCCCATTACTGGGTATATACCCAAATGACTATAAATCATGCTGCTATAAAGACACATGCACACGTATGTTTATTGTGGCATTATTCACAACAGCCAAGACTTGGAACCAACCCAAATGTCCAACAATGATAGACTGGATTAAGAAAATGTGGCACATATACACATGGAATACTATGCAGCCATAAAAAATGATGAGTTCATGTCCTTTGTAGGGACATGGATGAAATTGGAAAACATCATTCTCAGTAAACTATCGCAAGAACAAAAAACCAAACACTGCATGTTCTCACTCATAGGTGGGAATTGAACAATGAGATCACATGGACACAGGAAGGGGAATATCACACTCTGGGGCCTGTTGTTGGGTGGGGGGAGGGGGGAGGGACAGCATCGGGAGTTATACCTAATGCTAGATGACGAGTTAGTGGGTGCAGTGCACCAGCATGGCACATGTATACATATGTAACTAACCCGCACAATGTGCACATGTACCCTAAAACTTAAAGTATAATAAAAAAAAAAAAAAAAGATTTACCTTCATTATGCAAACATACATTCTGAAAATTTTCCTGAGCCAGGAGTTCCTCACAATAGAATTTTTTTTAAATCCTGTGCATTTAATGTATTAAAATTTAGTTTCTTTATTTTCTGGAAACTATGAGAATATTTTATTTACTTAAGCATCATGTTATCTTTATAAATCATTGACAACAGAGCTGGTTTAAGGGATGTTACAGTTAATTTAGTAATATTTTTCAGAAGTAGAAACGCATGTTACACTAATATTAAAAGGAAAGTCCTTCTCACGTACAAATACGCAGACCCATAGACATGCAGAAATTTATATTTGCACTAAATATATACATTTATACAACAGTTATACAACATTATCCAGAGGTGAAGAGTAAACATAGAAACATAATAACTGCTCCCTCCATATCTCAAGGGTTGTCCTCCTCTCCTGCCCCAGTGAACAAGAAACTGCTAATTGATTTGAGCTGATAAATAGACAAAAAACCCACAAAGACTCACAAAACAGGTTCTCTGTCATCTTTTACCTAACAGAATTGTTCTCAATCATTTGTCCTACAGAGAGGACTGATATTCAGATCATAAAACCAAACCCCAATTATTGCTCTTATCAATATGGAATAAGTTACCAAGAGCATGTAAGTCCAAAAGAAAAGCAAAGCAGAAAAGGACTGGGGAGGGGAAAAGAGGGTGGGCAGAGAGACAAAGTTCAAGTGCTATTACTTCTGGAGATGAAAATCTGCTTGTGCTAAACAGTCTATTAGGAGTATGTTGGGAAAAAATTCTCCATGGATATCCCAAAGTCCTTCAGCAAAGGCAACAGCTTTTTGTCTAGACTAATGCTTTAGAGTATTTGTATAGTCAATAGCTTTGGCACATACAGTGTCTCCCTCACTCACAGCCAGGAAACAGACTTATTTGTTGTGGAGGATAATGAAGATAATGCCTCTCTTTAGTGCAAAGTTTGAACAGCTTTGCTAGGAGCCTAGTTAAAAGATTAGAATTACCTAAAATCATAGCTCCTCATCTGTGACACACACTTGCTGTATGTGCAAAATTCACCCAGGCTTCTCTCTGCATTGTTCCATGGACTTGGAAGATGCAAGGACAACCCATGCAAACCTGACATTTACTCTGCCTGCTATGCTGCAATGAAGTCCTTTGCTCTGACCCAGAAATCTCCTATGTTCTGCTAGCATCAATGAAATGTGACCAGCTAACAAGTTAACTTGTACGGTAAAATCTCACACCCTTCACAGTTCCTGCCAGTACACTTCTTTAACCATATAATTTCCTTATGTCTTTTAGGTATGACTACTTGGGCATGTTCATGTATGATCTCCAAAACTGTTAAAGCATAAGTTTCAAAAATTTAAAAACATACCTCTGCTACCCGTATAAAATGAACATGCGTGAAATATTATATTTGATTCATGAATTAATGAGTTAATAGGTATATTAATGTGACTCCTTCAAAGAGCATTTGAGAAGCTACATTATTTATAAAGGAATAAGATTACTGGGCTGGATACAAAACTAGTTAATATTCAATAAGAATAGAAACCATAACACTTGGGCCTCTACCAGAACAAAATGGTCACGATGAACTCTGTCACTAAAAATTTGTAAAATAGGCCAGTACATAGAAAGTCTAGTAAAGCACTGCACTGAAAGACCATCCAGTGATCTTTTGTGTATTTTTACTTTCCGATAATGTTTTTCACTTACGTTTGGCAGGATTATATAAACTAATGTATTTAACACTCTTAGAACAGTTTCTGGCACATAATTAAATGCTAAAATAGTGTTTGCTTTTATAAAAATATTTATTTCTGTGATTTTTAGAAAACCAAGTATAAAATAATTTTCTCTTCTCCTAATCAGGAAAGAGAGCTGAATTTTAGCTTAACAATGACCTACTCATAGGTCATTAAGTTTGATACTTCTACTCCACCCAAATCAACATATACATCATGTCATCAAAATCTTAGGCCACTTATCTTTTTCTGTGTCCCCTTTCTTATTTTACCATTCTAACAAAGTTAGAATGGAGCACTGTCAGGATTCTGTAACAACCGTTTTAGTCATGCAATCTCCCTCAATCATGGTCCCCCTAATTTTCCATAGTATGTTATGAATTAACTTATCTTACTTGCATTTGGAAGATAATAAAATCATTCTCAGCAGTTTTCAATTTTCTTGAGGAAACTTGATTCAGAAAGGCTAGAGCTGGATCAGCAACATCAGTAACATTTGGGAGCTTGTCAGAAATGTAAATTCTCAGGATCTACCTCACACTTACTGAGTTAGGATTGGGATTTTATCGAGATCCAAAGATAATTCATATGGATATTAAGTTTGTGAAGTACTCTCTGTAGTATCCATCTTTAGGTAGAAACTAGACTGGAGGGTAAATCTTCTTTTGGGGGGAAATTTATGTAGCAGTCAGTTGTGAGGACTTTGAAGCCTGATGACTGGTTTAAAACCTAGTTCCAACATTGAATAGTATTCTATTAGTCTATTACTTGGAGAAGTAATAGACTTCTCCAAGTAAAATAACCATTTTGTACTTTAATTTCCCTATCAGTAAAGTGGGTATAAAGATACTGCCCAATTTATAGGGTTATAGAATGAAATTCTACGTGTGTAAATGTTTTATATCAGCCCCAGCACATAGTAAGCTCTCAATAAATGAGATCTATTGTTATTTATATCAGTGTCTTCAATATAACATTTAAAAGCTGCAGAATTACATTTATGGCCAAATAAAGTAAATTTTCATTTTATAACATAGTCTTCTGTGATATTCAATTGCTATATTACATTTGTTTGAATTAATAAATTATTCACATACGCTTTAATGTATCACTCAAAACCTTGTAATAAAGGAATGAATGAGATATTTAATAATTTTATCTATGAAGGTAGAAGAATTGGGGCTTCAAAAGAACTTAGCCTAAGTTGTTTGTTTTTTAATTTTTTATTTCTGTAGGTTTTGGGGGGAACAAGTGGTATTTGGTTACATGAGGAAGTTTTTTAATGGTGATTTGTGAGATTTTGGTGCACCCATCAACTGACCAGTATACACTGAACCCAATTTGTAGCCTTTTATCCCTCACCCTCTTCCCATCTTTTCTCTCAAGTCCCCAAAGTCCATTGTATCATTCATATGCTTTTGCATCCTCATAGCTTAGCTCCCACTTATGACTGAGAACATGCAATGTTTGGTTTTCCATTCCTGAGTTACTTCACTTGGAATAATAGTCTCCTGTTCCATCCAAGTTGCTGCAAATGTCATTAATTTGTTTTGCTTTTATGGGTGACTAGTATTCCATTACATATATATATACACATATACACATATACATATATATGTATATGTATGTATACATATATATACGTATATATGTATATGTGTATATGTGTGTGTGTGTGTGTGTATATATATATATATATATATGTATATACCTCAATTTCTTTATCCACTCATTGATTGATGAGCATTTGGGCTGGTTCCATATTTTTGCAATTGTGAATTGTGCTGCCATAGACATGCATGTGCAAGTATCTTTTTTGTATGATGACTTCTCTTCCTCTGGTTAGATACCTAGTAATGGGATTGTTAGATCAAATGTTAGTTCTACTTTCAGTTCTTTAAGGAATCTCACACTGTTTTCCATAGTGGTTGTACTAGTTTACGTTCCCACAGCAGTGTAGAAGTGTTCCCTTTTCACCACATCCATGCCAAAATCTATAATTTTTTAATTTTTTTATTATGGCCATTCTTGCAGGAGTAAGGTGGTATCACATTGTGGTTTTGATTTGCATTTCCATGGTCATTACTAATGTTGAGTCTTTTTTCATGTGTTTGTTTGCCACTTGTGTATCTTCTTTTGAGAATTGTCTATTCATGTCCTAGCCCACTTTTTGATGGGATTGTTTGTTCTTTTCTGGTTAATTTATTTGAGTTCCTGGGAAATTCATCACAAAAAGATCATTGCCTAGGCACATAGTCAACAGGTTATCAAAAGTCAAGATGAAGGAAAGAATCTTAAGAACTGTGAGGCAAAAGCACCAGGTAACCTATAAAGGAAAACGCATCAAATTAACAGCAGCTTTCTCAGCAGAAACCCTGCAAGCTAGAAGGGATTGGGGCACTGTCTTTAACCTCCTATTTTGTATCTAGGGAAGCTAAACTTAATGAATGAAGGAAAGATACAGTCTTTTTCAGAGAAACAAATGCTGAGAGAATTCACCACTACCAAGCAAGGACTACAGTAACTGCTAAAAGGAGCTCTAAATCTTAAAACAAATACTGAAAACACATCAAAACGGAACCTCTTTAAACCATGAATCTCACAGGACCTATAAAACAAAAATACAGCAACAACAACAACAGAAACAACAAAGTATTCAGGCAACAAATAGCATGAAGAATGGAATAGTACCTCATATCTCAATACTAACATTGAATGTAAATGGTCTAAATGCTCCATTTAAAAGATACAGAATTGCAGAAAGGATAAGAATTCACCAACCAACTATCTGCTGACTTCAAGATACTCACCTAACACAAAAGGACTCTCATGAACTTAAGGTAAAGGGGTGGAAAAAGACATTCCATGCAAATGGACACTAGCAGCGAGCAGGAGTAGCTACTCTCATATCAGAAAAAACAAACTTTAAAACAACAGCAGTTAAAAAAAGACCAAGAGGGACATTATATAATGATAAAAAGGTCTTGTCCAACAGGAAAATATCACAATACTACATATATATGCATCTAGCATTTGAACTCCCAAATATATAAAACAATTACTACCAGACCTAAGAAATGAGATAGACACAACACTAGTGGGGGACTTCAATCCTCTACTGACAGCACTGGACACGTCATCAAGACAGAAAGTCAACAAAGGAACAATGTACCTAAACTATATCCTAGAACAAGGGACTTAACAGGTATTTACAGACCATTCTACCCCACAACCACAGAATATACATTCTATTCCTCAGAGCATGGAACTTTTTCCAAGATAGACCATATGATAGGCCACAAACAAGTCTCAATACATTTAAGAAAACTGAAATCATATTAAGTACTCTCTCAGACCACAGTGGAAAAAAATTGGAAGTCAACTCCAAAAGCAACCCTCAAAACCATGCAAATAATGGAA
Source organism: Homo sapiens (assembly GCF_000001405.40). Classification (NCBI taxonomy): domain Eukaryota; kingdom Metazoa; phylum Chordata; class Mammalia; order Primates; family Hominidae; genus Homo; species Homo sapiens. Next base: position 67,675,064 of record NC_000013.11, on the reverse strand, counting down.
ATTAATAACTTGCTCATGAATGATCATTGGGTCAACAATGAAATCAAGATGGAGATTAGAAATTCTTTGAACTGAATGATAATAGTGACACAACCTATCAAAACCTCTGGGATACAGCAAAGGTGATGCCAGGAGGAAAGTTCACAGCCTTAAAGGCCTACATCAAAAAATCTGAAAGAGCACAATTAGACAATCTAAGGCTGCACCTCAAGGAATTAGAGAATCAAGGATAAACCGCACTCAAACCCAGCAGAAGAAAAGAAATAACCAAGATCAGAACAGAACTAAATGAAATTGAAATAAAAAAAGTACAAAAGATAAATGAAACAGTAAGCTGGTTTTTTGAAAACATAAAATGTTTTCAAGAACGTGATAGACCATTAGCAAGATTAACCAAGAAAAAAAGACAGAAGATCCAGATAAGATCAACTAGAAATGAAATGGGAGGTATTACAACCAACACCACAAAAATAGAAAAGATCATTCAAAGTTACTATGTGCATAAACTAGAAAACCTATAGGAGATGGGTAAAAATTCCTGGAAATACATAATTCTCCTAGCTCAATATTTGTTGAGTTAATAAGTAACAAGAAACCAGATCAAAATTACTCACAGATCAATCCCTATATACTCCATCCTCCAATTTTTGATAGCAAAAGCACTATTTTATTTTTCTTATGTTTACATTTTCAATTCATATAATCTATCTAAACTAAGTGCCTTACTTCTTGAATGAGAAAACTTCTGGTCTTCTAATGATTAAATCCTTCAATTTTTTTCTGTTACCTTCTCACTACTCATAGATATTTCCTCTACAATTTCATTCATATTCATACTCTTCATTTTGATGGCTTCCAAATTTATATCCTTATTTAAAACATGACCTATGAGATACACACTGCCATACTCAACTGCCTCATTGATTATTCCACTGGGCTATCTATAAGTAAATACAAGTGTTTTAGTGTAATATTTACAGATGAGGTTTCATAGGTTAGAGTATTTGTTAAGATGATCTTTTAGACTGGCTACTTTATTTAGAAATATGTCCCTCTATTTTCCTTTCTTTATTACTCTGGCAAACACATTAATTGAGGCTGTCATTATATTTTGCCTATACTAATGCAACAGCCTACTATTTTATATATTCTATACACTGCTATCAGTTTGTCACATCAACTTTGCCAATTACTCTATGGGCTTTTAGTCATGTATGCCTAAAATATTTTCCTAATTTAATCTACCAGCATTCTCATGTACAAACCATAAAGTCAAAAATACTTGAAACTACAAGGAATTCCCCAAGCAAAACACCATGTGCTATGTCTTAATGACACTATTACTTTCAGGAATTCTGTTAGACTCCATGACAACCCAAATTAAGAAAATTCCTTCATTATCTGACATGATGAAATCCATATATTTTAAAGTTCTAGAGATTTGATTTTTACATTTAAGTTGCAATTTACTTGAAGTGATTTTTTGTATAAACAATGAGGTAGAGTTCCACTCTTTCATTTATTAAAGGATAACAATTAAGCCTGAAACTGTGGAAAGTGTGACATATTATTCTACTTGTAAGTCTATTACCTTTGGAACTTGAACAAATGGAGGAGATGAGCCTTTAAACCTCTCCTGAGCAATGCATTGTCTCTAAATTCTAAGGCATGTGTCCCATTCAATAATAAAGTCTGAACTGTGCATAAATGTGAAAATAATCACAGAGCATTGTTTCCTAAAAGTAATTTTTCTCAATATCATTTAGTGAATAGATATCCTCTCCCCAATGAACTGCAAAGCAACTTGGTTGTGTAACATATTTTCATATAGTCATGGTTCCCAGTTCTCTTTAAATGCTTTATTTCTGTTTTATATTAATATCTTAATTTCATGTTATTCACATTAATACTGTAGCATGTTATAACATTTTTGACAAATCATGTTGTGTGCCAGGAAAATTGCTCTGCTTCTTTTCCTTTAGGATTCTCTGGATTATTTTTGACCATTTGGACTTCTAAAAGAAGCTTAGAATCAGTTGGTCAAGTATCATGAATAAACTTTTTGGAATTGTACTGAAATTGAATTAAACTTATGAATCAAATTTTGTAGAATTGATGCCTTATAATATCCAGTAATTATACATGTAAGCATCATGTATCTTTAAGCTTTTAATGTTTTATTTAATATAAAATATTCAAACCATAGATAAATTAATTCACGTTAGACTCTCTATCACAAATAGAGGGTATTAAAAAATAAGGCTAATCTAGACTAAGAAACTCCATATAGGAGTGAAAAAAAGAAAAAAAAACTACAGTCACATTCCTAAGCACAGGTTAATCTCAAAAAAATGATATTGAGAAATAAAAACAATTCCTGAGGGAATATATATATATATATATACAATTTTTAACGTAAGTATATTTTATGCTATATTTCAGACGAATTTGGTAAATCTGGCAGTCCTTTTTCCAGATTATGTGTTGACATGATATCTCCCTTAATAGATATATAACTGTATACATACAAGTCATTTATACAAAATGCAAAAATGAATAGAACCAGGCAATATAATATTAGAGATACACATACATGGAGTAAATCTATAATTTTTTTTAAAAAGAGAATGTGTAGTACCAAATTCAGTGCTAGATTTGACCACCACACTATAGTAAATATTGCAATAAAGCAAGTCACATGACTTTTTTGGTTTCCCAGTGCATATGAAGTTATATTTACTCTATATTGCAGTCTATTCATTGTGGAATAGCATTATGTCTAAAAACAAGTGCACATACTTTAATTAAAAATACTTTATTGCTAAAAATACTAATGATAATCTTAGCCTGCAGTATCATATTCTTTTTGCTGGTAGACAGTTGGATCTCCATGTTGACAGCTGATTACTGATCAGGGTGGTGGTTACTGAAGGGTGAGTTTGCTACGCCAATTTCTTATAAAAAGATAATGAAGTTGGCCCCATTTACAGACTCTGCCTTTCATGAAAGACTTCTATGTAGCATGCAATGCTGTTTAATAACATTTTAGCCACAGCAAAGCTTTAAAAATTGGAGTCAATTCTGTCAAACTCCACCACTTCTTTATTAGCTATGTTTATCTAATATTCTAAATCTTTTGCTGTTATTCCAAGAGTGTTCACAGTATCTTCACCAGAAGTATATTCCATCTCAATAAACTACTTTCTTTGCTCATCCAAGAAGCAGCTTCTCATCCCTTCAAGTTTTATCATGAGAGTGCAGTAATTTAGTCAAATCTTCAGGCTCTAGAACAAGAGAATTCTAGATCTCTTGCTATTTCTACCACATCTGCAGTTACTTCCTTCATTTAAATCTTAAGTCTTGAAAGCTCTAAAGTCATCCATGAGGATCAGGATTAACTTCTTCCAACTCCTGTTAATGTTGATAGGTTGACCTCCTCCCATGAATCATGAATGCTCTTAATGACATCTACAATAGTGAAACCTTCCAAAAGGTTTTCAATTTTCTTTGCCCAGATTTATCAGTGGAATCATTATTTATGGCAGCCACAGCCTTATGAAATGTACTTTTTAAATAATAAGACTTGAAAGTCAAAATTACTCCATAACCTTCGGGCTGCAGAATTGATGTTGTGTTAGCAGGCAGGGAAACATTAATCTCCTTGCACATCTCTATCAGTGCTTGTAGCTGACCAGGCGCATTGCCATTGGACAGCAATATTTTGAAAGGAATCTTTATCTAAGCATTAAGTCACAATATTGGGCTTAAAATACCCAGTAAACCATGCTGTAAACAGATGTGTTGTCATCCAGGTTTTGTTGTTCCATTGATAGAGCAGAGAGTAGATTCAGCATAATTCTTAAGGGTCCTGGGATTTTCAGAATGGTCTAATTTTGACCATTCTAATTTGACTAAGCTTCAGCTTAGTAACTAGCTGTGTTAGCTCCTAACAGAAGAGTCAGTCTGTCCTTTGAAGCTTTGAAGCCAGGCATTGACTTTTCTTTTCTAGCTATGAAAGTCTTAGATGGCATCTTTGTCCAAAAAAATGGCTGTTTTGTCTACATTCTCTTGTTTAGGATAGGCACCTATAACAATTATGTTGACTAGATTTTCTGCATAACTTGCTGCACTTCTATACCAGCACTTGGTACTTAAATTTGCACTTTTATGTTATGGAGATGGTTTCTTTCCTTAAACCTCATGAATCAAACTCTGCTAGCTTCAAACTTTTATTCTGCAACTTCTTCGCCTTTCTCAGCCTTCATAGAATTGAAGAGTGTTAGGTCCTTGCTCTGTATTAGGCTTTGGGTTAAGGGAATGTTGTGGTTGGTTTGATCTTCTATCCAGGCAACTAAAACTTTCTTCATGTCAGCAATGAGGCTGATTTGCTTCTTTATCATTTGTGTGTTCACTGGTGTAGCATTTTTAATTTCTTTCAAGAAGTTTTTATTTGCAGTCACAACTTGGCTAACTGTTTGGCACAAGAGGCCTAGCTGTTAGCCTGTCTAAGGTTTCAACATGCCTTCCTCAATTTAATCATTGTTACTTTTTTATTTAACGTGAGAGACATGCAACTCTTCCTTGCAATTGAACAATTAGTGGTGTGTGTTGAGTTATTAAATGGCTGAATGTTATTTTATTTTAATGGGAGGCCCAAGGAGAGGGAAAGAGATAAGGAATTAGCTTGCTGGTGGAGCAGGTAAAGCTTGCAAAACACTTATTGATTAACTTTGCCATTCATAGGGCTGAAAATAATTGCAATAGTAATATTAAAGATCACCAATCACAGATCACCATAACAGAAATAATAATAATTTAAAAAGTTGAAATACTTTGAGAATGAACAAAATGGGACACTGAGACATGAAGTGAGCACATACAGTTGGGAAAATGGCACCTATAGAATTATTCAAAGCAAGGTTGTCACAAACCTTCAATTTGTAAAAATTGCAGTATCTGTGAAGCATAATGAAGGCATCACCATAAAATGAAGGTATGCCTGTAATATTTTGAAACTATGACATGTTTGTTCTACAATTAAAAATTTAAAATTTTGGGAGGCCGAGGTGGGCAGATCACAAGGTCAGGAGATTGAGACCATCCTGGCTAACATGATGAAACCCCGTCTCTACTAAAAATACAAAAAATTAGCCGGGCAAGGTGGCGGGCGCCTGTAGTCCCAGCTACTCGGGAGGCTGAGGCAGGAGAATGGCGTGGACCCCCGGGGGCGGAGCCTGCAGTGAGCCGAGATCGCGCCACTGCACTCCAGCCTGGGCGACAGAGAGACTCCATCTCAAAAATGAAAACAAAAACAAAAACAAAAAAAATTAGCCAGGTGTGGTGGTGGTGGGCGCCTGTAGTCCCAGCTACTTGGGAGGCTGAGGCAGGAAAATGGCGTGAATACGGGAAGCGGAGCTTGCAGTGAGCCGAAATCGCGCCACTGCACTCCAGCCTGGGTGACAGAGTGAGACTCTGTCTCGAAAAAAAAAATTAAAATTTTGCCAACTGTATATATAGTTTTTAGATTTTGCTGTCCTTGAGATATAAACTAGCTCATCCTGGATAGAAGGAAATGTTCCAATTTAAGTAAAATTTTCTAAGCAATTACTATTGTAGGTCAGATAATTTGGAGGGGATTTTGACTTAACTGGCTTCTTTTGAGATTGCATTATACAATTAAAAAATGTCCTCTTTAGCTATAGAACCATATTCAGGTCAAATTAGTTCTAAGTAGGTGAAAAGACCCTTAAAGAAGTTTGAGAACAAAGGCATCAAACCCCTTTTGAGTTGATCATTAGCTCTTTATTGAGGAACTTTTTATTCATAAATTCTGTTCCTTATTCAACATAATAAATATTATGATAAATAAAAAAGTACAAGAAAATTAGTGGTATTGTATTATGATAAGCCTCCAATTAGAGTCAATCTCACCTATACAATAATTATATTCAAAGTCTAAAATGAAAACTCATCTGAATTTAGTATTTCAGGTATGATTGTGTTGGGGAAGTATAATTAAAACCTGAATCTTTTTCTAACCCAGAAAAGCCTCTCCACAATGGTAGTAGAGAAAAAAGAAGCTTTAGTTATTGAATAAGCATTAAAACAGAATGTGATGTGCATTTCAGCCATCCGTTAACAGATTGCAAAGACAGAAAGAAATCTCCCCCTTTCATGTAGGCAAGCAAAAATATTCCATTATATGCATTTTTTTCAAGATAAATGATAACTAGACCTAAAATAAGAGGACTTGATAATACCATTTATAGCACATAGTTCATCCTAGAGTCGCCTAGTAATTGAGGTGACCATCTGTATTAGTTAATTGGCTTTTTCTAGAAATAAAAAAAATTATTATATCTTTATACCAGAAGGTCGCTTTGCAACTTGGAGCAAAATGTGCACTAAAGTTAGACTCCTACCCTCCCACAGAAACTGAGAGATAAGTGTGCTGTTATTGTTCTTTTACTTCTGTAGTTTGGTGAGTTCTGAGTTCTTGTTCCACCACCGAGAAGAATGATGTATGTGGACACTGGAGAGTAAGGCAGAGTGGAATTTACTGAGTGACAGAAAACCTCTTGGCAGTAAGAGGGGACCCAAAAGTGGGTTGCTGGCCATGATGCTGAGACCAGAGGTTTTTATGGGCTTGGAATGGGGAAGTGCATGCTGATTGGTTTATGGGTAGGCTGGGAAAAAGCACCATTCAGAAAGAGGCATGATAGTGTAAAAGACCAACCCAGGGAGGGTAGGTATATGTCAAATAGGTGAAGGATAAGGACCAATTGGGAGGCAGCATGCCAAATGGGAATGGGAGTTCTCAATCCAGCCCGTGGATTTTATCCAGAATTTGTAGCTTGGTTTCCAGGCTTTAGACTGTCCTTGGCTTGAAGACTGAGTTTCACTGGGGACCTGACCCTGTCTGTCTAAAGAATCTGTCTGCCTCCTATTGCTATCACCGCTCTCTCTCCTGTTGTTTGTATTCCAGAGAGGTGACTCCCAAGTTTTTAGGAAGACATTTCTGGGCCATAAAAGTCACAAAAGGCCAGCTGGAAAAGACCTATCTCATCTTTAAAACTATTTATATATATTTTAAAAAGATTGGAAAGTACTTACAAGTTTTCTAAGATAAATACTCTAGAAAATGGAAGACAGAAACCTCCCTCTTTATTTTCCCAGTGAGAATGAAGCCTCTTATTTTACATTTGTAGTTTTTTGTTTTTGTTTTTTTTTTTACATTTATCACATAGAATACAGGATGCCTAACCCTTGTCATACTTGAGAGAAATTTGGGAAATCTAGCAGTCTTTTTTCAGATCAGGTTAATTATTAATATGGTATCTAGAAGAAAATTCCTAACAGAGCAGTGCTCCATGCTCACTCAGCTGTATCAGGCAGAAGATCCCATAGCCACATCCAGAAGGTTCTGGAGATTAGACGGCAAGCACCCAGGCTCTGCTTTGCCACATATGCTTCTTTTGTGAGAGCTCTGATCCACATGAATTCATAAGAGGAGAAGGCAATTAAAGGCAGCTAGACCTGGGTATGGCTGTAAGACACTCCACACAAGAACCTCATCAAATGATAAATAAATGTAAATAATCTTTGTTGGATAAACATGTTAGTAGTGTAGTAGTGGAACTTGAACTTTACCAAAAAAAAAGTCAGTTAAATTGAGCAGATTTAACAAAATAATTTAAAACGTCCGTAGCTATTTGGTACATCGCAGTCATTCTAATACAACTAGGATACTTAAAATGAGGATCATTATCTCTGTGAGGATGAAAAGACCAATGAATAACTAACTAACTGCCCATCACAAGCTGAACACAATTTATGCTTGTTCTTTGATATGCAACTGGAGCTGCTCTTCACAGACTCTGATCACTTAAACTCACAATTATCTTAAGACTTTGCTCAATAACACTTATTTCATTTGTAATTGTAAAGCCTTACCTCACTGATCTTAGCAATTGGCATTATTTCTCTCAAATCAAAATTTCCTATGTGTGCACTTGTCTTACGAATAAAAAGCATAGGGGCTTGTGAACAGTTCTGTCTTGTACAGTCTTCTCTGTAGTTTTGCTACCTAAGTTCTTATAATTCAGTTAGAAAATGGAACAGTGATGCTTTCAAGGTTTGCATGCCTTGTATTTAAAAAAGAAATTATTGTCAACATGAAACATTTTCTGTATTGGCAAATACAAACTATGGGTTTGCTTATTCTCTTCAATTGACCCAATGAAGGGGAAATTGCGGGACCATCACTATATTTCCCAAGGGACAATCTTAAGGAATCTCAGAAATGTAGTAGTTTAATTAAACTGCCATAAAAAGAAAAAAATAGTATGTGTCATCAAATCACATTTCTTAGTTAAACTCATTACATATGCAATACGCATATAATTTAATGAGCTTAACTAAGAAATATGGAATGTATATATATATATATATATATATATCCACATCTGGCCAGGGATGCTACAGCTGGTTGGAACATTTTGACTCATGCCTCAACAAAGGTTTATATAAAGTTGAGGCTGGGTGCAGTGGCTCACTCCTGTAATCCTAGCACTTTGGGCAGCCAAGGCGGGTGAATCACTTGAGCTCAGGAGTTCGAGAACAGCCTGGATGACATGGCGGAACCCCATCTCTACTAGGAATACAAAAATTAGCCAGGTATGGTGGCACGCACTTGTAGTCCAGATACTTGGGGGACTGAAACAGGAGGATTGCTTGAACTCTGGAGATCAAGGCTGCAGAGAGCAGAGATGGCACCATTCCACTCCAGCCTGTGTGACAAAGTGAGACCCTGTCTCAAAAAAAAAAAAACCAAAACACAACAACAACAAAAAGTTGATTGATAACCTAACCTATCCCTTGCTTCCTTTGATCTCCCATCACTGCTGGAGCATCTGATGACTGACATCATCAGCAGGGGCACATCACTAGATAGAGAGCAAGCCTGGAGAATTAGGAAAAGAAACAAAACTGTCTGTCAAAGATACGAGATCAAAAAGCAATATTTTACAGGCATATTATCACTGTCAGATAAATGAATATGTAAGTGAAATAAATGTGGTCTGAAATTAAAGAAGAAAAGAGATTTTTCAACTTAAATTTTGAAAGACTGAGTAATGCTGAAGGTAAAATTATTTATGAGTGCCACATTGTTTTACAGTCCAAAGCATAGAAACAATTTTCAGATAATTTATGTATTTGCTCTTCTGTCATAGTTATGCAGTTTGGAAGCTGAGTAGATGTTTTTAATGATTTAACAACTCTTGCTTTTTTTTTTTATCTGTAAAGCAACACACAAAAGCTATCATAAGATTAGAGCATTTTAGATCAGTATATGGCTATCAATCAACCATGTTTTCTTATCAGTTACACCAATTACTTCCCACTGTATATGAAGGAAAAGAAATTATACCACCTTGATATCTTTGAGCAGTATGAACTTAAAGGTTAGTTTAAAATTGAATTTATAGTTTAATGATCTGTCTTTTATTCATTATGGATCATGGCAACGATCCGAAATAGCATCCTACTATTTTGTTGTTGTTGTTGAGACAGGGTCTCATTTTGTTGCCCAGGTTAGAGTGCAAACATGGCTCACTGCAACCTCTGTCTCCTGGGCTCAAGTAAACCTCCTGCCTCAGCCTTCCGAGTAGCTTGGACAGGGTTTGTGCCACCATGCCCTGCTAAATTCTTAAAATTTATTTTTTGTAGACACATGATCTTGCCATGTTGCCTAGGCTGGTCCTGAATTCATGCACTCAAGCAATCCTTCCCCTCGGCCTCCCAAAGTGCTGGCATGACAGAGATGAACCACTGCCCCCGACCCTTACTGCTATTTTTAGTGGCAACCCTGGCAGAAAAAGCTTACGTATCTTTATCAAAGTTAAAAAGTAAGTAAGTCTCTTTTCTGTGAGACCTTGCCTTATCCTGCCATTTACCATTCCTACTATGTGGTCCTAAAGCACTCAAACACTTGTTCAGTCACAGACTTTGTGGAAGAGTTCTGTGCCCAAATAACTCAATTTTTTTAAAAAATAAAAACAGAACATTTTACTTTTTAAAGATTTTTAAAGAAAAAGTAGTTCCATATTTTCCACATCTATGTTAAGTTATGCATTCTTATCTGTGAGAGACATTGTTTATATTTTGCACTGGAGTGACAAGCACTATGACCTAAGAGGTCTTTTGCCCTTCCAATTTCTAAGATTGAACTGAAATGTAACGACAGGTTATTTGTGCAGAAACACTTATACTAATGAAAGTAGCTTGTATTGAACTTTGGGTTTTCAGAGTGCAATTCCTAAGGGAGTCATTGCCAACCTTTCATCCCCAGAGCCTCCCTCTGACGAACTCTTCTGGCTATTCAGCTTTTTTTGTGTCAAGTGCATGAGTCTCCCCTCTTCTCTCTGCCCTTCAGGAGTCCTCATCATCTTAATTGTGGTGAGTTATTTGACTTACCCTACACAGAAAACTCTCTTTCTCTTTTCCATTGTTTGCATGCTAAATTCTAACCTGGGTTCAGAACATTTTAAAGTAATCTGATTAAAAACCAGTGAAACTAAACACAAGGGAGAGAATGGAATACAAAAGAAGCCAGATAACCTAAAGGAAATCAATTGAAATCTGTTGGTAAGCTTATTAATAATGTGGGGCTTGCCTTCTTCCTATGTTAATGCACCTTCTGGGATTTGCAGGAATAGGCCAGCAGGAATGTTTCCTTCTGACATGTTTTGTCTTTGAGCACCTCAGCCTTCCATCTGGAAAACCTCAAACTTTCTGTAGCAAACATATTACTGCCTCCAATTTTCTTCAGTTTTTCTGGCCCTCCCTGAATACTTGTTCCTTACGCCCTCTGAAAGCCCAGTGTTACCCTAGAAAATATATATTTATTTACTTATTTATTTGCAATAAACATTTATTTATTTCCATATATATATATATATATATATATATATATATATATAAAACATTGGATATATACCCACACGTCATAGCTAGTCAAATACTACTAACATTAAGATCCTACAGAGTAAGTTTTGAAGAAGCAGGATCTGTAATGTGCTTATAGAACTCTGTTCTTGTTTATTTCTTTGAAAGTAGTTCATATATACTTACTAGAAAAACTGATTAGTATACTACTTTTCTCTTTCAGATATAAATAATTTTTAAAAGTAAAGTTACATATAGGATTCTCCATATGTAGCAGGAAAAGGTGCTAGACAGTGTTTATTTTAAATGTTTAACAAGTTTAAATGAAACTTTTAAGATTATGTTTATTAATTAAGGATTGTTAGTGTACATCTTATTATACTGTTAGCTTACTTAAAAATTATTTGCATTTTAAAGGATGATAATCTACTGTAGAATTAGTCACACAGAAGATGTCAAATATAAGAACTAATGTCAATGAAATAAATAAAAAAGCATTTAAAAAATCATTGCCCACGTGCTATTAATTATTTCCAATAGGGCTTTACTCTAGATGCCTCTGTTTCATTATTTGATGATTAAAATATTCTTTGGTTTCCAGGAATATCTGTTATACTTTCTTCTAGTTTGATTTACAATCACTTTCTGCTTATATAACTTGCCAAAAAAAAAAAAAATTCTGCTGCATGTCAGTGATGGTTTTTGAGGGCAGAGCCTGTAAAAATTGAGAACAATGATTTTAGAAAGAAAAACACCACCCCTCGGGTCCACTAGAAATGCTTCTCAATTTTGCTGCTACAATGAAAATTCCAACTCACATTCAATAAAAGTTCTCCTTGAAGTAGCCCTTCATTGTAACAGATGGCACTCAATTTGGTCATTTCTAAGGGAGATATCAATTTGTCTCCCAAAATGATGAGAATGCTGACAACACAGAAAAGATACAAGGCCAAGCATTTATGAATTTACACACTGTGAAGTGGAATAAAAGTGCTCAAAGGTGCTCATTATGGAACTGCTGTAACCAGACCCAGCAGAAACATGGTTTGAGATTTTTTTTAAACTCCGTTACCATGCAATTGACATTTAGATGTGCATATGGACGCAGAATGGGACATACTTATATAATTGAAACCCAAAGGCCAGAACATGTCTAAACTTTTTGGAGATGATTACAACTATGGAATCATCTTATAATTAGCCAAAGTCTGGATTAGACATTCACTGTGAACTCTCACCCCTAGTGTGACTGACTTCCCAAAGACAGAGAAACACAGGGTAAACACTTTAAAAAGAAAAATACTTCTTAATATTTTCTTAATATTCATTAGTTCGCTCTACTAGGAGGAAAAATGAGCTGTGCACACAAATCCTATTCTTCATTTCCATTTCCCATATACACAGCTTAATTCTATCCGTGAAAAACTGGGATGAACACCTTGACCTGGCACCCTTCACAATCACCGTGTCCGTATTTTCAGAATAGACTACCACTGGCTTAGCATTTTTAAGTCTTTGTTTACCTTTTGATTTAGCCTCATCTTTCCCCTTTAACTTAAAATTCTCCCTTTATTAAGTGTAAATTTGTATACAACAGAATATGCTAAAAATAATTTGAGGTACTACGAATTGTCAGTGTACAAACACATACTGACAATGATATACAATTATGTATATGCACGATACATATTAGTCCTCTATACACATACTTATGCATTTATAGATATATAATTGTAAGATGTTTTTGCTTTCTTTGAATATCTTAACAGTCAATCAAGAAGCATATCTAAAGTAAGCTACTTTGTGGCTATCTTTGTATGCACCATTGTATTACCTTGTTCAACAAGGAAGAGCCCGGGTGACATAACAAAATAAATAGACACGATGCTGCTGCTTAATTCAAGTACTTAAAGTTCATTTTCTTCTCCTTTTTGAACATACTCTGATTAGTTTAAAAACATTTCAGAGGATTTAAGTAATACAATCATATATCAACGGAGAATACAAATCATTAAATAAAGGATAACAAAAATAAATGAAAATCAACCTATGTACATGTCCTATTTTTCAAAGATACATAATTTGAAGGCAAATGGAGTGTAAGTATAACTAATCATCCTGCACATCTGGCCCTGCTAGTGAAAAGCAGTTTTGTTTCCCATTAGGTCAATATTATAATAAAAATATGTATACAAAAATCACCCTGAAAATTATTTAACTCTCACAAAAATATTGCTTTAAATTTCTAGGAATAATAGGTAGGTTATAATTTTACCTCTGGTGGATCACATTTTGTTTAAATCATGACATTCTATTATATGAATTTAGTCCTCTAATCTGTCAGAATCATTGCCTTAAAGTTGAATATATTTATATTGATACAATAGCCTTAGGCTTTGTGCAACATTTGGTTTTTCTGTATTGGTAGTAATTTATTGAGTTGAATAAATACTATATTTATCAAAGCAGGAAATGGCATATAAAATTAATAATATATTGTTACAACAGAGTACTTCATTCACAAGGCATTATATATTATTGTTAATTTTTATGAACACAGTTATGTAAGTATGTCACTGTAGAAAGAAGCATCTTGAGATTACTTATATTTTTATCTCCTCCTTATCATCATAAATTATTATTAATTAACTGTAGTATGACTTTGTTCATGAAATGGTCATTAAAAAAATTAGTTATTCTGATCACTTAAGACAATTGGATCTTTTACGTCATTCTTCTTGCTATTATAATTAAAAATTACTTACTATTACCTGCAGTGTAATTAGTTTCATTAGTGATTTTTAAAATTAAAGATTTTCTAATCCTTCATGAGACAATTAAGTCATTTATTTATACCTTCTAAAATTAGAGATATATAAACATGAGGATGTTTATATTTATTCTGTTTTTAAGCATGACAAATAACAATAATATATATTGTATGTTGGATATGTAATCTCTAAATAGCACCAATATGTTGCCACATTCCATATGAAACAGAAATTCACTTAAGGAAATATTCTACTCTTATTCCTTCATTGGATAATCAAAGATATAACACATAATGCAATAGTGCAATTGCCAAGAGCAGGATTAATCAAGTTAAAGTTTGGGAATATTGACTGTCAATTTGTTTTAACAGTTTTATTATAGAGAAGGACTTCAATTTGGTAACTCTTCTTTAAAATGAAAACAAACTGTAGCCTTGCTAGATGTGTAAAGTAAGCATGCTATTTTGGCCTTGACACATACAAAATAAGAACATTATTCAACAGCAGCAAACTTGTCTATGTATCAGTTGGAACTACTGGTGCTTAGTGTCCTCCGTAGACATTGAACGCAATTACCCGATGAGTGGACAAGGTGATTGTTTTACACTGACTTGAAAGGGCATATGCAATAATTTAAAAATTCTTTTTTAAAAAACTGACTTTGGCCTTTTGAACTTGGCTTGGGAGAATGATGACTGAGCAGTCTTTAATGGAATTGCATTTGGACACCCTCAGTTAGACTTTAGGAAGTGTTCGTTGGCTCCTGGGTATTTGATAAGCATTTGACAATTGAAGATTCTTTCCCATTACACATAGGTATTTTCATTCACATGTTTACATAGATTATGAATGCAAAAAAGTGGTAATAAATATCACATGCTACATTTTAATTTTTTAAATTAACTGAATTTTTTTACTTATGTAGAAATGCAAATGAGAAATCAGGCTGCTTGAGATTATCCTACCACCACCACCACCACCACCACCACCATTTGTATATTAGTGAACTCAATACAGTATTTTATTTGTAGGAAGACTGACAGTGACAATGTGCAATTAAATTTCTTTGACTTATAAGTCTCTTATTAAATAATGTCTAAATAGTATGTATGAAATCTCTCTCCTTCCGTGGGGAGTATAATGGTAAGAAACAATAAATAACTGTCAATCTTTCTGGTTATCATCACTAATAACTATTGAGGTATAGTTTAGAACAAGCACTGCAGGATGCATTTCATATTATGGAAAGAGTCATAATCTATGGTCATGCAATTAGAAAGTCAGAAAGTTCTCTACATCTCTAGAAACTTAAAAAAAAAAGGAATATTTCTAAACTTGTCATATGTAGCAAAAGTCTTGTGAATGCCTAATTGGCTGATGATATTGAAAGCTCCTAAGGCTTTAAAAGTACTATTGAGGACCTGTCCTAAAACAGCAGGAAGTTGCTCATTCATGTCAGATTAAAATGTAACAGAAAAAGTACTTTGATTTTCAGATGCGGAGAAATGGTGGACTTCAAAAGCTGAAATCAGAAAGGAAACAAAGCTTATTAGAAAGGTTTATTATTGCATACCAAAGTCATCTTAGTTCTTGTTTCATCAATAAGAAGTTTTCAGGATTGTCCAAATGATGCATATGTCTTAAAAATAAAATGTAGAAACTGTGTTCATCAGTAAATGAACAGGGAAGCAGAAAAAAACATCGACTCCATTCTTTGGCATGGGTGCTCACTGATACAAAGGTGTACTGGTCATACAATTGTGCAAATGCTAAGTATAATGTGAATACAGAGATTTCCTCATGCCTAGTTACTTAGATTGTCTCTCTGCATTTGCCTGTAGTGAATCCTTCTCTGTTCCCTCTCCACATGTCTACCTCCTAAACAGCTTATCATCCTTTCCAGTTAAATATTTGTTATCAAAACATTTCCAGATGCTCCCAAGAAGATTTAAATGCTGTTTTGAATATTATTGTATTAAATAATACAAGAAGTTTTCAGGAATATTCATATAATGCTCATATTTTAAAAGTAAAATGTAGGAACTGTGTTCATCAGTAAATAAACAGGGAGTCCAAAAAAATTATCGACTCCATTCTTTGGCGTGGGTGCTATGATGATTTATTTTCATTATTAAATTATCTAGTATTAGGCATGCATACACACATGCACACACACACATACTCAACTTTGTGTTAATAAACAATATAGAAAAAATATAGGTGGGTGAATATGGAGGTGAAAGGCAATAGAAACTTTCTGTAGAAACCTTCCTCTGGCTACTCCATAGCCATGTAAATCCTTCTATCTATGTTGAAACTTTCCTACAACAATTGTCTCAACAATACCGTGCTTAGACCTCAAACTATGCAATTTTCACACTTAAAAATGAAGATGTACACATTTTCCCAAAAAGAGGTACATGAGGTCATATCAGTTACTATATTCTTCTCCAAATGAAGTAATTTCTTTTTCTGTGATAATTGTAGTCCTGCTTTAATATGCTATAAAGATCAAATACCATATTTTAACATCATTACAAGATCTCCTCATTATATGGTCATCATTAAAATGTTAACTGGCTCAGTTCTGGCTCATTTTCCAATGTGGTAACTTAGGGGTGTTCTGCTTACCAGATGTACAGTTTTTCTGATTATATATGCAAAAAATACAATAATAGACTCTCCATTGAGAACACCATAGTTAATTACCTGTTAATAATTATCCCTGCAGATAAAAATATTGTAATTGTCAGTCTCATCCTATGTCCACTCAGTCACTGCATCTGCCACCTCAGGATTAGAATTAAACCCATTGAAATAAGAAAGCTGAAGGTCAATGACAGCCACTGCCATCATCCTCCCAGGCCTATGAAGAACAGACACCAAAGAACTTTGTAAGGATGTTGAAGCCCTCCTTATCAGCACATTTTATAGACATTTAAAAAGACATTTAAAGGTAGCATTCTTTAAATCTTCACATGGGACATATCATTCATAACTCAAAATACACCAAACAGCTATCTCTAAAGATCCGGATTTCTTCTTCTGCAGTATAGCAGGGGAATTTTGTCAATCAAATCCATTTAATGTAGGCCACTGTTGAGACCAGCTTTCAGCCATCAAACCCAGAAAAGTGTTAAAGCCAGGCTGCTTGAGTTAACATTTTGAATCAAAAACTGATTGAATCAGAAATTGTTCCATGCACCTGTAGAGAAAAATTTTGCTTGATCTAATATTATGTTCTATCCTTGTTGATCTCGCACTCTTAAAAAAAATCCATCCCCACAAATAATATCTAGATTTCTTTTCACAGAAACTAGCAAAGGTTTGTAAATCCTTTAGTGCATAAGTTCTTTTCTCTCCATTCATTCTTTGTGTTGGTTCTCCAGAGTATTTGTAGATTTGCTCTAGTTATGGTTCTGAAGAATAAGGGTAAGTAGGATGTGGAAATGGAGAATGAATAAACCTTATAAGGCAACTACTTAAAATAAGATTTTTATAGAAATTTTAAGCAATAAATAGCTAGTATGTTCTGAAGGGTAGAGGATCTTCTCTTGATAAACAAACAAAAAGTGGCTTGAAGTTTGAAAGGTTCTTAGACTCATTGAAATCTATCCAAGTGTCTTCAATTTGGCAATATGAGACACCACATTTGGTATTTCAAGTAGAAAGATAATTGGCCATAACAGTGTTATCTGCAGGTGGAAATAACTAAACCAAAGGTGGAAAAAAGAAAAGAGGCAGTTACATCAAACTCAGGAAGCTGCCATATTCAAGATCCCAGTTCTTACCAAATAGTATTTCACATAAGTCACTAAATGAGGCTCTGTATTCTATCTGTGTTGCAGGATTGCATTTTTGTCTTATTTAACTAATTTGTTCTCTGATCAGGCTTTAATCTGAAAGTGTAACAACCTGACCTCATGGTATTATTTTTTAGTGAACTGTCCGGTATAGGTCAGTAGTCAACACATTCCATAATCCTTATAGCCATTACTGCCATAACAGTCAAGTGAACTGTACCCTTTCTAATAATTTCATCCTAGGCAACAGGTAGTAGTTTAAATAGCCATCTGCCTTTGCATGCCATGGATTACCTGAGTCTCATTTTCCAAATGTGATGAGATCAACATTTATAATCAGGTCAAATAACCATTCTCAGATTAACAATTGAAAGGTCTGTTTCCTGGTGCCACTTCTATTAGCACACGTATCAGTTGATGTTTGCTCAGGTCAGTATGAGACACCACTTTGGATATTTCATGCAGGAAGATAATTGGCCATATTGGTGTTATCTGCAGGGACAAACCAAAGGTGGAATAGGGAAAGTAAGCAGTTATATCAAACTCAGGAAGCTGTGATATACCCCGAACATGCCACAAGTCCTGCTTAAGTTGCTGGAGATTATATAAGGCTGTCATGGCTGCAGTTGTTTCACACCACAGCTACTGAGCGGGAATCCAGGATCCTGTTTTCCTGCTGCTGCTGCTGCTGCTGCTGCTGCTGCTGCTGCTGCTGCTGCTCCAATTACTGCTAATATTGTTGGAGTCTGCAGCCACCTGCAATCAACTTTGGTTACCCTATTCAACTGTTGCTATTGTCAAGGACACCTCCAGAGGTGGAAAAATAACCTTACATTTTCCCAAACTCTCACTTGTGCCTCCCAATGGTGGCATATTTTCTGTACATATTTTGTTTACAATATATTTCAGACTTTTTAAACAAATAAGAGATTTAAATATCTATTTTTAAATAAGTGAAGTGAAGTTTAATAATGTAAATTAAATTTTGAAAAGCAATTACAAAGATCAATCTGAGGGCTTATAAGGAAGGGGAAAATCGTCATAAACTTTGTCATAAATTCAGAGGAGAAATCATGTTTTCCATAGATATGAGCATCAGGGCATTTTGACCTCCTATAATCAGTTACTTCCTTTTTCGCAAAGTACTGCTTCTTCAAGTGATACCAGAATAGTCACCCCCATATCATCATCAAAAATGATATTCTCTGAACATTTTCTGTATTTGAAAATGATGCCTCTGTAGAAATTCTATATGTGAAGACATTTTGCAAACTGTTAAGCAGAATAGAAATGCTATGTTGTACAACTGTATATAGCACAGTACTAGAAATGTCTGAATTCTTTGGAATATTAAAATTAATTACTATTTTGAAACATAAGAGATGAAATAGTTGAAACATTTCAATTTTCTTCATGTAGAGGAGAAACATTGCTTCTGGAGAAAACTTTAAAAAACACATACACTCACATTTCACTAGAGAGGAAAAATTATATAAAATCATGCAAAAGTAATTGTTTTTGAAGTAGAATAATAGAAGAAATTAATCAAAACATCATATTTTTTCTATTATGTAAGATATTTTATTCTATAAATGTCATTGCTGACAGTATTTAGAGGTCAAAACATTTTTAAGGTCAGTAGACAGCCCTGCTTTCATAAAAACATCTAAAATTTCGAAAAAAATAATCTACATAATTCTCTGAAAAACTGAGAAATGTATCGGCACCCAAAATTTATGAAATGTTTAATGTCAGAAAGCACTGCAAACAGGTAAACATAGATTTCTCAATAATTTCAAAGCATTATGATCCACAATTTTAATTTATTCTGAAATATACCAGTAAGTTTGGCCACTATGCTTGGGGACTAATATCTGTCCAATAATCTTTTATCTGTGTAGTTGATGTTTGCCTTATTTTAATTTTATATATATGTGTATATGTTTGGTTTTATTATTCTTTAGTCAATTTTTATTTTATACTTTCCAATCTTTTTATACTCTCATTAGATTATTTTAAATTTTTAAAATACTGCTTTTAACTTATCTTATTCTTAATTATATAGATAAGGCATTTGAGAAAAATATATTAGATGGTCAATATCCGTAAGCTATCCTGTTAGATATCAGGAAAAATTTAAAGATATTTGGATTCCCACCCCCTCACCCTTTTTCTGCATAAAGACATGCATCTATGGGAGAAATGATGAGACAAGTACAAAAACTACAGGAATACAGATTAGAATACTACAATTGCCATAAAGCTAAAGAGAAAAGATATTTTGGAGATTCTGACACACCTTTCTCTTAACCAATAAAAAATCCACTGTAATATGTCCTTAATAGATTCTGAGTCTGTGTTGATATTGCATAAGCATCCCAATTTCCTGACTTGAAAACTTTATTTATTAAAAAAAATATATCTCCAGTATGAAGCTGGAGTCTACCTCCCTGTCTTAGCTCACAATGGGTAGATGCAGGTAAAGCTTCTTAGGGAGAGAATGGTCATTCCCAACCACAATTTATTGTAGAGTTTTAAATTGTACAATATATTTTACTTGTATTTAAATATATATGATTCATAAGATATTACCACTTTCAGTGACTATAAAACTTGTCATTGTACATTTTATTGAGGGTGCAATAACAAATTCTTCTTGCTTTGACTTTGATGAATGATTTCTTCATAGTTAGGAAGAAACCGGGTTCTGTACTGTGTGAGGAAGAGTGCAAAATATAAGTAATATAAAGTAATCTACCATCTATGGTTAAAATTGATCAACATTTATGAGTATATTATACAGGCCTGGGGTCCATACTACAAAAGAATTTTTTTTTAATTTTAAAGAATTTTTAAAACGCTGGAAATGTAATAAAAAACTATAAGTTCTATATTTAAAAAAACCGAGGGGCATGAATTTGTTGTCATTTTATTTACCTATTTACTTTTGTGGTGCAAAGAAAAAAATCTCAGGAGAAGTTGAATAAATCTATATAAACAGATTACAGATCACTTTATTACTACTCATGCACTATCTCTAGTACTGAAAAATACGGAGAAAATAGGTTAAAGTGTACACAAAAGTATTTAGGTGAGAATAAAAAAGATAGAGTGTAATACTCTGAAAGCAATTGGCCCTAGGTAAGAACTGGAGCGTTTATGAAAAAATCAGAAAGAGAAATTATTGGCTACAAGTTGGTTTCTAATCAACAGTATTTTAAGCTGAGGAAGGTAGAAAAGTGTATCCAGATAGAAGTGTACCCAGATAAAATCAGAAATGCAAGTGGGGAGAAATGATGATTTTGCTCAGTGATTTTGGGTGAAAATAACAGAAAAAATAAAATATTCTGTAGTTCAGATGTCTATATTTCTGTGTATAGAAATTTTAACAGCTTCATAGAAAATAAAAATATTAATATTTTATGTCATAAAAAGTAATATGGCATCCTACACACTTTACACATTTCTATAATTTATTGATATAAACATATTCACTATATATGTGGGTATGTGTATATATTTATTTAATATGTGAATATGTATATATCATATATACTTATATATGATATATACTTATTTATATATATGTAATATATATATATTTACCCACATAGTAGCTTAGAGAGGATCAGTAACTTATTTAATGCTCATAATTAGTCAAGGGTTGGTGCCAAAGCTAATGGGTCAATTCACCCTGGTGTCTTGCAAATGGTTCTAGTATATGGAATTCATAACAGAAAGATACAGACACGTGAATGTTCTCTAAAGAATAATTCATCCAGTATTTGGGTAAGGGCATAAGCACACACAAACCTGCACAAAGAGTATTAATATGAAAATTCACAAGCATAAAGCATTCTGTAAGTTATTAAAAAGGACAAAAGGAAAAAGATGTGAGCTATAGAACATTATTGTGTACTGACTGCTTGGCTAGACAAAGTGCATGCTTTTCTGCCACAGTTAAAAAATATATATGTAATTATATGTTCTTTGAACAAAATGAGAGGTTTTAAATATCTACATGTTCTGTGGTAGTTTCAACAAGCTAAAAACAAGGTTTGCCAACACTACAAAATTGAATAAATGGTAGTTGGTAACTCAAAATTTAGAAGAAGCAAAAATGAACAATCATAAATTGGACTTAATCCTGAACAAAAAGACAAAAAAAATTAGTGGTAATAAAGTAAAATAAATGCAACAAGTAATAGTCATATTATCTTAGAAGTTACAATAGTAAAGTAAAAAAGAACAATGTCCAACAGACAAAATATCCCTTGTAATTGAGTTATAGAGTTTTCTAAAGGTTCAGATAAAAGAAGTTGTGTTTTAAGTTCTGAATTTTTTAAGTTTCAAAAGGAATACGGTGTGTTAAAGAAAACAAAAACAAAAACTAATCTCCGGCAATAAATTACAAATGTTCACAAATAAATGTGAAATATGGCATGGATGACATGCTTCAAATAACACACCCATATCACTATAAAGGCACCAACTTTTAAGACAAAATCTTCAAAGACTATTTGTAAGGCAAACGAGCAACATAAAACAAAAACAAAACAGACATATAAGGTCACCTAGAATAGTACTAGAAAAAAACCTTCTGAGGCTTTTATAACATGTTACTAAATGTCATCTAATTTAGGAATGCTTCTATTTAGAGATGAATGACAAGAATTTATGACCTCCCTGTGGATGGCAACAATAGTAAAAGTTCTTTCACAGTTCCTACAGTGGATAAATATTTTCAGATTGTGTGGGGGCAAAGACAAGCTTATTCTTTTTGGAGAGTAAAATTAATTAACATTAATGATACTGATCTAACTTTAAATTAATTTGGGGGCTGTTTAACAGTATTATACAGGAGATATTTGTACATTTTCATATGCAGATGGATTTTGTTTGGGGTAGCCTTCAACAGAGAAATGACTACTGAGAACTCCTCAAAAACATTTTTAAAAATCATCTTTTAAATACCATAATCAAACAAAAAATTTAGTACCTAATAAAAGGTTGAAGTTGCCAAAAGACACACAACTTTCAGGTTAAACAGTTCATTTATCAAGATAAGCTAGCATCTGATAACAATATCTCAAATACGTAAAGGTTCAACCTAAGAGCAGTCTGCCTCTTGTGTATTTAACAATAGTGAGCCAATAAACAGGTCCACGAGGCAAGTCTTTACAGAGTAATTCAGAGACTCTCACTGCTATAGCCTCTGGCATCTGCAACATGTGACTTTCAAGGGTTCCAGCATCTTCTATATCTCACAGAACTGATTGTTATGGGTCAGAGGACAAACTCACATAAGTAAGTGGGAGCTGAAGGCAGAAATCTCTGAATACTATGAGAAGAAGATAAAACGGGCTGGAACTTCAATCCTGGCAGGAAAACAGGATGAAACAGGCCCCACATATAGTGAGAGAATGGAGGCAAAAGCCCCCTAGGGGAAGTCTAGGACTGGTACTATCTCTGGCCACATGTGAAAGCAGGCAAGAGATTTTCTGAATATCTTCATTTTGGGGGACTATGATTCAGGATTTGCCTTTGGGAATGAAAGAGAAGAAAACTAATTTATTGTGCAGAAGCCTGGTGCATGTTCTGCACTGTTGAAGATTATTATGCAGTCCTCTTGTAGGTGTCCACAAGCAATACTGCCTCTGAGTCATGATCCTTAAGAAGGAGTTGAGGTGTGAGATAACTGTAAAAATGCCTGAGAGTTGAAATGAGTGTACAGAAAGGAAAGCATAAGAAAAAAATCATATGAATTGTAGGCCCTCAGAACAAAATGACAATATATGGAAAGAAATACAGGCTATGAGAAGAACTAATAAAACTAAACAAACTTACTTGTTATCAATTAATAATGTTGAACTGGAAATATCAGAGTACACCAAAGATGTTAACATAAGTGTATTTTTAATGCTCAGAGTGAATATGAAAAAAAAAAAGCATCTATAAAACAAAACTAAGGCTGGACGTGGTGGCTCATGCTTATATTCCCAGGACTTTGGGAGGCCAATGCCGGTGGATCACGAGGTCAGGAGATCGAGACCATCCTGGCTGACACAGTGAAACCCTGTCTCTACTAAAAATACAAAAAAATTAGCCGGACGTGGTAGGATGCACCTGTAGTCCCAGCTACTCGGGAGGCTGAGGCAGGAGAATGACTTGAACCCGAAAGGTGGAGGTTGCAGTGAGCTGAAATCGCGCCACTGCACTCCAAGGTGGGCGACAGAGTGAGTCTCTGTCAAAAAAAAAAAAAAATCAGAAAAGAAGATGGAGACAAAAATAAAAAAATTGTGGAAATGGAAAAATGTAGTTAGTAAAATGAAAACAAATGTCCGCTGAAAACAGAGAAAGAGATAATTAGTGAATCAAAAGTTATAATTGAGAAAGTACATATGAAATGAAAAATCTGAAAAGCAGATTGGGTAATTCTAAATTATATTTAATGGAAGTTCTTGAAGAAGATAATAAAATAATTGGGGAAGCATCAAAATTAAAATAGAAAATGATTCAAAATTTTTGGTAATTAACCAAAAAAATTCCATATATTAGAATGAAAGTATATTCCATTGCTGAATGGTACCAACCTACAAACAAACATAGCTATATATATATATATATATATATATATATATATATATATATATACACACACACACACATACAACTCAATAGCCATACATTATATATACACACACACACACAAAACTCAATGGCTATATTATATATATATATATACACACACACACATATATATATCTCCCAATTTCAAAATGTGTAAAGAATGTGAACAAGCATTTCTTTGAAGACATAAAAATGACCAACATGTGTATGAAAAAATGCTCATCATCATGACTCATTATGAAAATGTGAATCAAAACCGCTATGAAATATTACCTCACATCTAGTAGTATGGCTCTTATGAAAAAGACAGGAGATAACAATTGTTAAGGAGGGTGTGGAGAAAAGAAAACTTTCATATGCTGTTGGTGGAAATCCAAATTGATGCAACCATTATGGAAAACAGTATGGAGGTTCCTTAAAAAATTAAAAATAGAAGTTCCTATGATGCATCAATTCCTCTTCTAGGTACATACATACCCCAAAAAGATGAAATCTGCAGTTCCTCAAGGTATCTGGCCTCGCCATGTTCACTGCGGTATTAATCACAATAGTCAGATATGAATACAACCTAAGTGTCTATTGACAGAAATTTGAATAAAGAAATTGTGATATATATACACACTGAAATATTATTCAACCTTGAAAAATAAAAAAATCCTACCTTTTGTGACATTGATGAATCAGGAAGATTATGCTAAGTGATGTAAACCAAACATAGAAAGAAAAATACTACATAATCTCACTTATATTTGAACTCTTTTTTTTTAAAAAAGTGAAAGAAACTGAAAGTAGAACTGTGATTTGGCTGGGGGATGGGCCAGGGAGTATTAGGTAATGTAAATCAAAGAGTACAAAGTTGCAGCTATATAGGTTGAGTAAGTCTAGAGATCTAATGTATAGCATGAGGATTACAGTTAATAATATAGTATTGTATACTGGAAGTTGCTAAGAGAGTTAACTTTAGGTGCTCTTACCACACACAAAAGTAACTATGTGAGATGGTATATACATTAATTTACTTGACTGTAGTAACCTTTTCATTATGTACAGTCAGCCCTCCATATCCATAGCTTCCAGGTACACAGGTTCAACCAACTTCAGATGGAAAATATTTGAAAATAATTAAAAATAACTATACAATAAAAATAATATAAATAAAAAATGAGACAGTATAGCAACTATTTACATAAGATTTATTTGAATTGAGTGTTATAAGTAATCTCAAAATGATTTAAAGTCTAAGGGAGAATGTGTGTAGGATACATGCAAATACTAAATGATTTTAAATAAGGGACTTGAACATTTGCAAGTTTTGGTATACATGAGGTCCTAGAACAAATCGCCTGCAGAGACTGAGGGATGACTATATATATATATATATATATATATATATATATATATATATATATATATATATAAAATAGAAAAATTACATTGCATACTTTAAATATATACAATTTTTGAAAAATGCTTAGAAAAAATAAATTATTAAAAAATTAAGGAAAATGGAAAAATATTAAAAAGTACAAAAGTGAAAAGATTATAATCTGACATAAGACTTCCTATCAGGAGTAATAGGTGCTATAAGTCACTATAGTGACAGAAAATAAATGCATCTTTTCTTCTACATCTTGCTAAACTACCATTACTGAGTTTAAAAAAAAAAAGAAAGAAAAAACAAAGAAAATAAAAGAAAGAAAAGAGAAGAGAAAAAAAGAAAAGAAAACCGAAACAGTTTCACCAATAGTTTACGGCTCCAGATGTTTGCTACAAACATTGAATGACAAACTTGGACAACAAGATATGTAAACACAAAAAGTGAAGAGAAAAAAACAATAATGAGCAAAAACATAAGTAAAACATGTCAATAAATCATCACGTATGAAAAGATTATAAAATAAGCTATTTTTGTTTTAAAACAAGGTAGAAATTTTACAAAATCAAAACTTCGCAGATTGTTGGAGAATATTTAGACAAATTTCATAACGTGTTTACCTCAGTAACTTGGATGGGTTAGAAATATATAAAAGAATAAGCAAGCTTGTTAAAATTGTAGGAAAACTTACTTAAAGAATATACCTAGAGTACATAGCTTTCCAACACAGCAAAAATAAAAGGAGAAAAAAACAATGTTTAATCCAAGAGGAGGCAAAAGAAAAAAAGTCATTGGTAGTGTTTTGCTGTTTTGGAAACTGAATAAAAACTGAGTGACATTTTTATCAAGTCCTTAAGGATGTCACTTTATCAATTATGAGAGACATATTGGAGGAATTTCTAATAGCATGACAATCTGAAATCAAAAACATATTTATAAGCTAAAGTGAGCATATAAAATCAATAATTTATTAGACAAAAATGATAAAGTTTAAATTCCTAGCTTTAAGTTGTAAATACTTCTGTGATAAGCAATTTGCAATATAAGTTATGCTCAAAAATGATTTATAACATTTAGTTAGCACTTACAATCCCTCAAGAGCTAGACCAAGCACTTCATATATTATACATTAGCTCATTTAATCCTCACAGCGACCCAACAAGCTATACAACTATTAAATGAAGAAACCAAGAATCACACCTAGGCAGATTCATTCTAAACTCTGCAGTCTTGACCACAACACTCCACAGCTTTAAATATTATTCTCTTGTTAGTTGTCAGGCTCCAGTATCTTCATGTGTTCACTCTCAATCACTCTTCTGTCCTTTACTGTATGATGTCATTCTGCTTTATAAAGTGTGCTGATCAAAGAGGTTGTGGTGGATTGATTTGTCACTTTTTTTGGCCTCCCTGCCACAGTGGGTGACATCTATTTCCTTCCCCTTTCTTTTTTTTCAAATTTATTTATGTATTTATTTACTATAAATTAACATATAGAATTGCATGTATTTATCACAAACAACATAATGTTGTAAATTGGATATACCTGTGGATAAGTTAAATCTAGCTAATTAACAAATGCATCCCTTCACATCATTATCATTTTGTGGTGAGAACACTTAATAGGTATACTCAACATTTTTCAAAATTACAATATGTTGTCATTAACTATAGTCACCATGCTATCCAATAAATCTATTCCCTTTCCTTTTGAATCTTGGATGGCATTCTTTAACCAATAGAATATGCCCTTTTAGAATCCCAACACTCTTATTCTGCAAATAAGCACAGTTTAGCCTCCTTGAAGATGATAAATCACATGGAGAGAGACACTGCACAGACAAAGAATGTCCAGACACTCCAGCGAAGGTCCAGACATGTAATTGAGGTCATCTAGGATCATTCCGTCTCACATAGCTGCATAAGGTACTACAGGCAAGACCTGCAAAAGAAATACCCAATTGAGAGTCCAAACTGACAACCGTTAGAAATATGAACAAATAAATGGTGGTTGTTTGAAGGTAGAAAGTTTTGGAGTGGCTTGATGTGCAGAAAATTGTCCCTGAAACTGGGGTTAATAAGCTTTCTGTTTTTTTGCTAGTCAGACACATCTTGAATATTGAGTCTATTTCTGAACTCCCTAACTTCAAAATATCTTTGACAAATATATCTTAAGATAAATAACCATAATAATGATGGTAGAGGAAAATAAAATATCTGGACCCCAAACTCACTAAGCCAAAAGGAAAAGTCAAATTTGGGAAGTGAATCAGGCTAAACAGCCTCTCATTTTTGTTCCTACAAAGATAAAAGGCCACATACTACCCTAGGAATCCACTCTCACAACTTGCTCCTGAGGAAATGTCTTGTAGGCCCCAAGATCTTTACCATAAAACAGTTCTGTTGAATTCACACTTACAATGTGAATCAACAGCTTATCTTCACAGGTACAAGACAAGACAGGCCCAGGAGTCATCCCTCTACCCACCTGAGACAAATGTATATTAATGTAGATTAACTGAGCTAACCAGAAAAATACATAATAGACTATTCTTCTACCCCATCATTTCACATGTAAAACATGTGGATTCAGTAACCGCTGATCAAAGCTTCAGAAGAATGCAAACACTTGCCCCTTTTTATCTACGCTCCCTGGTTTTTTTTTTCCTCTTTCCTCTGTTACCTGCTCTTTTGCCCTTAAATATTGAAAATATTTAAGTCCCCAAACCCTCTTTGGAAAAAACATAGATTACAAATATTCCTGTGGTTTTGTGTTTCTTTTACCTGTGTGTACCCTCAATCTTGGCCAGATAAACCTCTACGTTCACTGAGACCCGTCACAGAGACTTTTTGGTTTACAATGACGTATTCAGATACTACACGCAAATAAAAAGACAATGGATGCTCAAAACTATTAAGCTAGACTCAGAAAGTCCTGTAAATATGATCCAAGACTACTTCAAAGATAAATGTGGAATGATGCCTCATTTATGTTCTACCAAGATGAGCAACTGCATGTCATTGTCAGAATTATTTATTATGAAATTCTGACTGGTAGATTCCAGCTGCAATAGAAAGCATGTGCCTTGACATATATTGCTTGATAGGCTGCTTGACAAGCAGAGTTTAAGACAGGAAACAAATGGCAGGGATACATTTAATGAATTAAAATGGACAAAACCATCGTCAACTTTGTCTTTTATAGTGACATGGACCTGTGCAGTGAAGCCAGCAAATTGTGCTTGAGATGGAACTTTACCTCCCAAAGCAACTGCAGGTCAGTGTACTGTATTGCCTATTGTGAGTCATTCAATGGAAGTAAAATAGGTTGAAGACATAACATTTCTTGTGAATGTTGGATCAATGATTGTGTAGCAGGCAGATTAATGGCAGAAGTGGAATTGACACAATGACCTCTACTCGATATAGCAAAAGATTTATGAGGTGAGAGACAAAATAGGGAGAAAGGAACTGATAAGTATTTGATCCCTAGGTGATTGCCAATCCATCTGCGGTCTGAGATGGTGAAAATATTGCCACATGTGATCAGGGATTTGTCTTTTTAATGCAAGTTATATAATATAAGTTTGACTGCAATTGAGTAGAAAACAAATAGCGAAAATCCCCCCTCCCCAAAACTACAGTGATTGCTGTTGACTGCATTGGAAAATTGAAACCATTAACTAGGGACTGAGTAATTAATTTGATTATTTGAAAAAAAAGGATTCATTTTTACCAACATCTGGTGATGGATATATTGCTTAATTGTGGTAATAATTTCATAATGCATACGTTTTTGAATATATACAATTTTTATGTCAATTATACTACAATAAAGCTGAAAAGGTTTTCATATTGATGTTTCAGTACTCTTTGGAAGAATTTGAAAGAAAATTAAGGTTAATCTACTAGTTTGATGCTTAGGTGTTAAAGAATAAAGAAATCCATTTGGAATGAGTACCTAGTTAAAATTAGCTGTGGTTTTGGCATTCAATTCATTCATGGCAAAAATGTAGCACATCTGCCCCCCTTTAAGGTGGTAAAATCCAGAG
This sequence comes from Homo sapiens, assembly GCF_000001405.40. Taxonomy (NCBI): domain Eukaryota; kingdom Metazoa; phylum Chordata; class Mammalia; order Primates; family Hominidae; genus Homo; species Homo sapiens. The sequence continues at coordinate 67,645,486 of NC_000013.11, read as the reverse complement.
TCAGGGGGAAAATGAGAATTGTCCTCTTCCCTTTTTATGTTAAAATGGAACAAGCCCATTGAACAATTAAAGTGCTAAAGGGAGCAACCCCATTGGGTTGGTTATACAATAATCAAAATAGAGCTATCTCCAATGATGTGCTGCTTCTTCAAACAATGATGGAAACAATAATTCAAGGAAACTTCAATCTTTCATTTCAGGGGACAAAAGAACATTATAACTCAGTAGCAGAATAGCATCCTCAATTATTTTTGATGGAGTTTAAGTAAGCACAAAAAGTTAGAGCAATTTGAAAAACAACAAAGAAAAAGGGAAACTCTGAGCCTAAGGGCAATGTTGGGGAAAAAAAGATTAAGTCATTTGGGATTGTTCTGTTGTATATTAAATAGGGCGGGGAGTGATTAAAGTGAAAAAAATAGATGGGTGCCCACAAAGCATCTACTTTACAAATCATCTCCCTTAAAGGATTTTTGACACATTAAATCTATCTTTTCTGGATGAATTTAAAATAGATAAACTGAAAGAAGAACTAAATGGGAGAGCTGAAACATGTTGCAGAATTTCATCTAATCTATGAAGTATAATTTAGTCCAGGAATTCCCAACTGAAACTTCCAGCATGAACATCAAGTCTCTGTGAAACTTTTAGGTTAAATATAAAGGAATATGGAGCAATTCTTCTTTGGCTTATTGGATAAAGGTCCCCAGTACCATAGCATCTCTGCCAGTGACAGTGAAAAGAAACTGCAGGGATTTCAGTAGAATTGGGTGGTTAGAGAGATGCTTTCTTGAACGGCATTCAGTTAAAAATGAAGTTACAGATTGAAATGCTAGAAACTACAAGGTATTCACCTCAATCCATATTAGCAATGATTGTGACATAAGTGGTAAATATTGCTGTTATCTCCTTCAGGTCAAATTTCAGCCAAGTCTGTCCTCTGCCAGAATAAATTGAACATAAAAAGTGAAACTTCCTCAGCCTTATTTAGTGATATATATAGAATTCCCTAAGGGTAGCAGAAAATTTCTACTTTGACTTAAAATGGTAGAAGTAGGGGTAATAATATCAATGCACCTATTTTATAACAGTCTGAAATTGTTAAGCAAATTTTGGAGTCTGATGGGAGACTAATGGTGAATGAATGATATAGTAAACTTTATAAGGGCTGTAGTACCTGATAAGCTATCCAAAAGATGCAGCAGACAAAGAACAGTGAAAGGTGACTGGGCTGATGCCTTGTTTTTGTACCTACGGCAAAAGAAAGTAAAGCTCAGTTCGTCTTTAGGTGGGTACAAAGTCAACATAATTTTACTATAATTGTTAGAGTAGGCAGATAGCTAGACATGAGCAGGAGAGGGAGTCCCTGAGAAAAGGAGCTCTGGAAAATTTCACACCCCAGAGACCACCCAAAACATGCATTCTAGATATGAGCAGAGAGGAAGATAAATGCCTGTGTAAAAAGGAATGACCCAAAACACCCCTTAAGAAGCTCACTCCACAGTTACCTTGTCAGAATGCATCTAGCTACACGCTGATAAGAGAGAAAGGAGGGCCAAGGAGCAATTCCTAAGAGAAACACAGGCAGAGTAAGTAAAGATCTAACCACAATACATCCTTCCTGGGGTGGCAGTAATGAGCAGGGCTGCCAGTAGGTAGAATTTGTAGCCAACCCTGGGCCCATACTTGTGCAGCCACTGACAGTAAGGGAGAATCCCACAAACCTATGGGTGGGAACTAGCTGGGGAAAATGGTGAGGATTTAAGGCACAAGTGGGAAACTAGACAAAGACAAAGTCCTTGAGACAGAGGAGGGAGCTTAAAGCAAGAGTCCCACATAATAAAAAACACAATGGAGAACTCTTGGGACTGCTGACTCCTTTTCTTTCAAGCTGCCTGCTCTGCCTTGTCTTTCAGAGTGTTCTGTCTCTTTTGCTATGTAACCCTTGCTGCTACTACTGCTATTTACCAGCCAGACCAGCCTGTTCCTCTCATGGAGTGTATGTCCTTCAATCAAATCTCTGCTCTCTATTTTCCTTCAGTAAACTCCCTTCAATTGACTTTTCTTCAATAAATTCTCTGCTCTCTTTGCTAAATTCGTCTCTTGGCCTAATTCTTTTTCCCAAGTAAGACAAGAACCAAGGACTTCCGCACTTCCCGGTAACACAATGTCAAAGGTATTTAAATTGCACCATGGGCTGCTGTAATTTTATGAGGAGAGTTTGGGGCATGATATTGGTGAAAAGCAGGCTGAATCATTGTGTTGTTGGCATTAAACAGTAGAAGAATTGGAAAAGGAAGCAAAAGAAAACTTGACAAAAAAGCCACATGAGTCTTATAGAGAATTCTTGAAGGTAAACATTTCAAAAATTCAGGAGTTTGCCAAGAATCCTGTGAAATTTTGAGAATCATTTGCCTGGTACCTCAAAAAATCTTTCCAAAAATAGAGATGAACTACTGTTTCTAAAGAATCTGAATATGAAGAAGACAGTTCAACATCTAGTAGTTGTTTTTCACTCTAGATTATACAACTTCCTAATTTTTGCAATCTCATTGCCTACTTAAAATAGGTACAGTGAAAGGAGGACTAAGTGACTAGGAAGAAGACAATTCAAATGCAGAACTGAATAGAGTTTCACAACTTGGAATATAAAAAGTGCTGCACCACTGAGGCCATAAGACCCAAATGAGCACATGCTATTAGACATTCTATAAATTTGTCCACCATACTCATCTGGCTTTTTAATAGAAGTCAGATCTTGCCTCCACAATCCTCTGCTACAGGTTACTAAGGATATACATCTGGGAGCTACCAAATGCTGCTTCTCCTTTCAATAAAAACAATTGATTTGATGTTAGGCTCTAGTGGAAACAGCAATCATCACTAATAGAATACAGGATACAGTAGGGAGTTTGCTTTTTAAATTATGTTGCATGGGATTTGAAGATGGCAAAAGGTTAGAAAATTTCAGAAAAAGGACACTCTGAGCCTATGATGAAAATAATGGCTAGTCTAAGGAAGAGGCTTCCAACAGTTAATTTATCAAGTAAAAGTGTGTGTGTGTGTGTGTGTGTGTGTGTGTGTGTGTGTGTGTGTGTGTGTGTGTGCATGTCTACTGTATACACACAGACATACTGAAGCAGTGCCTCAGGAGGAAAATCACATGATTTGGCTACCATTTACCTCATCTTCAACCAACCCAAGGACCCCTTCAATCTCCCATATCCAATTGCAGAATAACCTGACCATATAACTCTCATCTTGATGAAACAATGCTGGAAGCATGGTATATGGCAGGGTGTGTAGAACTTCTCAGAAAATTTGGGATTTTAGCAATTCATCTAGTGAAGGAAAAAAGTCATGGAAAAAGCAGAAGAGTAGTACAAGCGGCTGAATTACTTGCAGTAGTACATTTTGTTTTATGGCAAAACTGTACTGAGTGGTGTGTGGGTTTTTACAGCTTCTTGGGCAGTAGTGACAGCCACCTGTATGATTGATTAACAAGGTGATAGACACTTGGAAAATTAAAAATGCCTGAATGTGGAGTTCTCTAATTTTGGGAGGACTTCTGAAGCCTCAGAGAATAAAGACAGGATAGGATGTGTTGGATGCTCCCTAAAAAATCTAGCAGGAATTTCTAAAGAGAGTGAAGTGTGACATTTCAAACAATACTTGAAGTTGCATAGTGAGTATAAGAAATGCATTGTCATAGGGACTACCGGACTATAAAACTGGGTTGGATGAAGATATATTTCCTTATTTCTATTGTACCAATAGTTGCCTATGACTCTTCAGAATAACACAGGACTTAAGAAAAAAAAATTATCATGGAATTAATTTCACAGGGATAGAGCCCAGTCCATGATTATCAGGTGGATCAATTAGACCATTACCTATAGCCTCGAGAGGATTTTTAAGGATTTGATAGACAATGGTACATTCTCCACTTTTCTGTTGTAATTCTCATTACTGAAGCAATGGTTGAGAAAGTTTTAGAAGAATAGGGATAATGTGGACTATTTCAATTTGGGGCACCCATATATATTTTATCACCTTAGCAGACCTACTTCCCAGTGACTGAGATATGGTTATGGGCTAAAAGCACCATATTGTTTGGCTATGTTTCATTCTCACTCTCAAAGTAGTGGTTTGAGAGGAACTTGGAAGGAGCAATACAAACATTTGCTAAAAAATGAAAAAAAGGAATAGAGAACTTGCCTGCAGGATTAGACAACTGGGTTTAAGACTTGAGAGATCTAAATTAGAATCTTTGGCAGTGCAGAAGTGAGAATTAATGTGTAGGGCATTATGTCATAATAAAACTCTTTGTCTTTATCATTTGACAAGTTATTTCTGTTTTATTGTAGGATCCCATAGTACCATCACCTTGCTTCAATTGGTTAGCTACTATCAGGAAAGACATTTTGGCACAAGTCATTGTCTCTAAGCCTTTAAACCTTGTAGTACTTATTCCAAAGGAATTCATGGGTTGAAAAGACTTTCTGTTGGCCTGCATTGCTTGGTCGGAAGAATGGCTGTTGCTCAGAAATCCAAGAGTGAGAATAAACGCAAGAGAATTCCTTCTGCTAGTTTTACGATTGAGCACCGTACTTGAACCCCTCAGTGCAATCTAGGTAGAAAGAGTCAGGAGATAAGTAAAAATAGAGAACATTGTAGTTTAAAGGAAAGGAACCTGGAAATGAGTGATAATACCAGGAAAGTTGCTAATTTTTTGTTCCCTCAAGATTGTATCAGTACAAGAGAACGATCGAAGTTTGTTTGTGTTCCCTGGGGAAGATCAGCGATCTTGTTTCTTTTTGAGAAATGTCAGTTAGACTGAAGATGATGTAGGAACCTTACCAAAAATTAATTCTGGTTATTCTGGATGAAAAAAACAAAAACAAAAACAAAAAAATCCATGTCATGTAGCACTGTCCAATGGCCTTACTGAATTTCGGTCACTGGAACCTTCTTTTGGTTAAATGTTTATAGATTATGTTCACTAATCCATTTTTCATGCTTAAATCTGAAGACATTATATTTGAATTGCACAGATTTATGATTATACAATAATTGATCTCATGTACACATGTGATCTGTGCACCAGCGTGACACATTGTTGAAGCAGTTGCCTATATATGAGGGATTTTGTATTGCTGCAGCTTGCCTGATATGCCAGAGCCTGCTTTGCTGTTTCAAATGTAATAAATGTGAATGTGCATGAACTTAATAACATGATTTGAAACATAATGAGGAAGATAATGGGTTGATCATAATGACAGGGACTAATATAGGGATAATACAGAGTACACCCTCACTGCTGTTCTCTTTTAGAACTCCAAAAAAACTCTAATTATGCAGTTCTTATGGCACACATAGACTGAGTAGATTTTAGGAGTGGAATGTGCAAATTAATGATTTATTAATAAATAAAAATGGGGGATGCAAATACAATTTTTCTAGACTATACTTATACTCAATAGTAGCAATGGCAAGTGTAGTGGCAAAGTCAACACCAGCCCCAGTGATCTTGTAGGGGTTCAGGAACCATTGATTTGTAGCTATCTGTTTTGAGCCAGGCAGAAAAAACGTTTTTAGAAGTATTACACAACGTTGAAAAGTACATAATATATTACAATATAGAAATTTTAGAGGGATGACTTTGGCAAGAAACTAGTCAAACCTGGCAATACTTGGAAAGATGATAAACAATAAGTGTTTAGAGAAAATCTATCCATAAAATAATAAGGCAATTTTGCTGAGTGACACTTAGCCATTTGTGTTGCTATAAATAAATATTTGAATTTGGCAATTTATAAAGAATAGAGGATTATGTGGCTGATAATTCTGCAGGATTTCCAAGAAGAATGGCACTACTCTCATTGGTTTCTAGTGAGAGTCTCAGGCTGCTTTCACTCATGGTGGAAAGCAAAGGAGAGCTGTTATGTGCAGAGATCACATGGTGAGTAAGGAAGCAAGAGACAGAGACAAGGAAGGTGCTAGACTCTTAAACAACCAGCTCTGGCAGGAAGTAATAACTATTAGAGCAAGAACTCACTCACACTCACCCTTATGAGGTCATTAATCTATTCACTAGGAAACTGCCTCATGACTCAAACACCTCCCATTAGGCCCCACCTTCAACATTGGGGTCAAACTTCAACATGAGATTTAGAGGGGACAAACATCCAAACTACAGCATTCCGCCAAACTATAGCATTCTCATAGTGCAAAATACAATCATTCCATCCCAATAGTTCTCAAAATTGTTAACTTATTCCACCATCAACTCAAAAGCCTAAAGTCAACAGTCTCATCTCAGACTCAAAGTAAGTTCCTTAGAGTTGTGAGCTTGTAAAATAAAAACTAAGTTATTTATTTCCAAGATGCAAAGGCTTACAGGCACTTAGGTAACCATTTATATTACCAAAGGGAAAAATCAGCCAAAGGAAAGGGGTAATAGGTCCCACACTAGTATAAAACCCAGCAATGTAGGCCTTAAATCTTAAAGCCCCCAAATAATATTTGACCTCATATCCCACATTCCAGGCACACTGGTGCCAGTCGTGGGCTCTTAAAGCCTTGGGTGCCCTGCCACCATTGTCTTGCTGGGCACAGACCTCACAGCTGCTCTCATGGGTTGGAGTCAAATGCTTAACAGCTTTTTGAGGCTGATGTCACAAGCTGCCAGTGGCTTTACAATTCTGGGATCTGGAGGTTGGCAATTCTGCTCTCACGGTTCCACTAGGCATTACCCTAGTAGAGGCTCTCAGGAGGCTCTGCCCCTGTGATAGGCTTCTGCCTAGGAGTTAAGGCTTTCTGATACATCAGCTGAAAGTAGATGAAAGCTGCCACGCTCCCATGGCTCTTGCATTCTGGGCACCTGCAGACTTAATACCATGTGGATGCCACCAAGGCCTATAAATTCTCCCCCAAGAGTGGTGGCTTAAGTCATACCTGGGGTCATTTAAGCCATAGGTGATCCAAACTGAAGGACCGGAATGCAGAGAGAAGCTTCCCCAGGTAGTATAGTGCAGTAGCACCTAGGCCTGTCCCCCGAAACTTTTCTGTCTTCCTAGGTCTCTGGAACTGTGATAGGAGAGGTGGCCTCAAAAATTGCTGAAATATCTTCAGGGTCTTTTTCCCATTGTTTTGACTATTAGCACCTGGCACTCTTTTATGCTTGCTATTTTCTCTAGCAACTGGTTGCTCCACAGCACCCTTGGAGTCATCTCTTAAAAACATTCTTCTTGTCAATATCACATGGTCAGGCTGTGAATTTTAGAAATGTTTATGCTCTGCTTTTCTTCTAATAATACATTCCACCTTTAGATTGTTCCTTTTCTCCCACATCTGAATTAGGTTGTTAGAAGCAGACATACCACATCTTAAATGCTTTGCTGCTTAGAAGTTTTTTCTGCCAGATACCCTAGGTCATCACTCTTAAGGTTGGCATTTAACAAAGCCTTAAGGTATGAACAAAATGCAGCCAAGTTCTTTGGTATGGCATAATAAGGGTAACCTTTACTCCATTTCTCAATAAGTCTTTCATTTTTATCTGAGACCTCATTAGCATGGGCCTTACTGTCTGTCAACATTTTGGTCACACCCACTTAACCAATCTCTGAGAAGTTCCAATCTTTCTTTCAATTTCCTGTCTTCCTCTGAGCCCCCAAAGTCTTCCAACCTCTGTCCACTACCCAGTTGCAAAACGATTTTAACATTTTCAGGTATCCTTATATGAACATCTCATTTCTCAGTATCAGTTTTCCATATTAGTCCACTATTTGTATTGCTATTTACTTACATTTTTTTTTAAGTTTATTTGGCTTATAGTCCTTTAGGCTGTACAAAAAAAAAAAAAAAACATAGCATGAACATCTGCCTCTGTTGAGGGCCTTGGACTACCTCCACTCATAGTGGAAGGCGATGGGGCCTGGCATGTGCAGATTTCACACGGTGAATAAAGAAGCAAAAGAGAGCAAGCCTGAATGTGCCAGGCTCCTTTTAACAACCAGCTCTTGTGGGAACTAATAGAGTTTCCACAAGAGAATTTACTCAGATAATTTACTCAGCCATCCTGCCCCTCCAGGGAGGGAATTAATCTATTCATGAGTCATCTACCCCTGTGACCCAAATGCCTCCCATTAAGCTCAACCTCCAACATGGGGGATTAAATTTTAGCATGAGATTTGGAGGAGACAACCATCCAAATTACAGTTTGGATGACCCAGGATGAGCTGTCATCTTATATGTTGACAACCATGGAATCAAATATGTTGTGAAGCCAGTAACTGGAATCCGTGCTAGAGGAGCTCACACCAGTTCAAGCTGTGAAGGACATCACCAGAGAAGAATTAATTAAGAAAGACTTCCTGTTAAGACAATTGGTGGGAACTGGGCAAAATATAATAAGCAACATCTCATCCCAGTGGGAAGTAGATGTACCATGGAACACAATGATGTTTATAATACAATATTTGTCAAAGCTGATTTGTTTTGTAGCTGGATATGGCTGAGCTGTAAACTTAACAGGCCCCCAATTAATGCACAGTGACTTGAAATAACTACTTGTCTTACTGAACATAATATAAATTAGACACCATTGGCATATTGTTAATATACATTTTGTATACAAATCATTATTTTAATAACACATCTACTGGTTAATTGGTGTAATAAAGGATTTGTGGTTGTTTGAAAAAAGTAAGGAGAAGAGGAAATATTCTAATGAGAAACCACAGAATGGAAAGTTAGTTGGAAAAACTGATTTGCAATTCCTAATTGTTGTAGCTGTCATGAAAACTGACTTAAGAGGAAATGAATTTAGTTTCAGAATAACTTGATATGCATCTTTCATCTTTATCTGTTGAAAAGTATAACGGCTAATAAATGAAGAGATAAAAAGTAAAATAAAATTGGTTAAAAATTACTTAAAACTTGTAAAAACTGTGGTTAAGACCAAAATATTTTGTCACTCATACTAATATTACTTGAATTTTACATACTTCATCAGCTATAGACATAAAAATCTTTTCTGTTTACAACATCAAAAATAGACATTTTTGAAAAGAGATATAAAATTGTATTAAAATGATATATGACTTGACTTATCCAGAATGCAAAGTTAGATTGGTGTTAAAGGGTTCACAGTGGGAATGAATTTTTACACCATATCCAGAAGCAGCAGAGAATATGACTCTGGATTTGCCATCTTGCAACTTTGTCCCCTGCAAACCTCTGGCATTCAGCTCAATGACATACCAGGCAAATTGTACTTGGTTATCAGAATTCTTTATTGTTAAACTCCATGAATGAGTTGTGGCTGCCCTGGAAAGGATATGACGTGACCCATATTGCTAGAGTAGCTTTAGGAAAAGCTAGGTGAAGAAGGAAAGTGGTTGCTTCCCTAAGTTCTAGTAGTCTGTGAGTTCAGCCTCTACTTTTGCAGTCAAACATTGCCTGTACAGAGGAGATCCTGGAGAGCCATGAATATTATGAAATCTATGGGTGAAAGTGATACTTTTTTATGGGTCATATGCGCTGCTTTGTTCCCTTGAGAGCTAACTAAACTTGTATTGGAAACATATTTTCTTGTGAGTCATTCAAATAAATCTGAGTTTACGAACAAATGATACTGAGTCAGTGACTGGGTTGTATAAAACACCATATTTTTAAAGAATTAAATCAGTTGAAGTTATCTTAGAAAGGAGAAAATTTAAATATGGTCTAAAAAGTTCAATAATTAAGAGCTTCTATGCATAAAATGAAAAAGACTAATAGATGTAACATAATGTAGTAGCAGATACAAGGGCTTTTAAATTAAACATTTCTGTTTGAAAACAAGCGTCAATACGTGCTAATTATTTGATCTTGGGTAATTTATTTAACTGCATTGACCCCATTTACACAATAATAAAATGAATTTGGTGTGCATTCTACAGAAGGTACATGTGCTTATTAGAAAAAATGATACATAAAACTCTACCAACAAAATGGGTGCTCAGAAAATATGAGTATATCATGTCTTTCTTTTAAATTTTGTCTGGTTGATAATATTTTGAGAAATGTATTCCAGTTTAGTTTTATTAAAAGATTATAAAATATATGAATTATATAATAATTACTTTGTCAAATATATTTTTTAGTTTTACTTGTGATCTGTTGTTGCATAGCAGATTACCCTCAAACTTAGTAGCTTAAACAACAAATATTTGGTATCTCATGGTTTCTGTGGATCATAGATCAGCACAGTTTAGCTTAGAGCTTCCCATTCAGGATCCCTTACCAAGCTGCATTCAGGAGGTTGATTAGTGCTGTGGTCATCTAGCCATCTCAATGCTCAAGTGAGAGAGTCTCAAGTAAAGTCATGTGAACTTTGGCAGGCCTTAGGTTGGATGGAAACCTGGCAGTGGAATGGAAATATTAGTTTCTTACCATGTGGGCCTCTCTGTTAGGCAGCTTAAAATATGGCATCTGGCTTTTCCCTAAGGGAGGGAACTCCAGCAAGTCAGAGGTAATAGTATCTTTATAACCTAATCACAGAAGTGACATTTAATCACTTTTGCCATATTCTATTTGTTACAGGTAAATCACTAGATATTGCCTGCAATTAAATATAGGAGATTATACAAGTGTATGAATACCAATATATGGAATTATTAGAGGCCATCTTATAAACTGTCTTCACAGTTGAATGTCTGGATCCCAATAATTCATGTTTTTTTTTTCACATATTAAATGTACTCCACCCCTTCATGGTCACCAAAAGTGACATACCATTATACCAGCAGCTCAAAGTCCAGAATCTTGCCATCTAAATCAGGTCCAATTCTGCACAAGACTCTTAAGATAATTCCCTAACTACAGCACTTTGAGTGTAATTTCTCTCATAGTGAGCAGGATTACCATGGTTATAGCTATCATTCCGCCTGGGAGGAATTCTTATTTTGAGGTTTAAGTCATAATTTCATAGATTGTAGCTCCATTTCATTGTCATCTAAACACATGTCTGTCTGTGGTTCCTCTTAATTTGTGAAACCAAGGAAACAAATTGTCTTATGCCCCATACATCTAACATAAAATAATGGGACAAACAGAGGACAACTTCTAAAAACATTCCTATTCAAAAAGAGTGAATAAGGAGGACACAAATGAGTCTCTGGTCCGTGGCAATTCTGAAATCTAGCCAGGGAAATAATGAAAGTTCTCTGATTAGATATCAAGGCCTGGGAATAAATCTTCATGCCTGTCAATTCTGCTTCCTGGGATCTTGGTTCTGCCTTCTGAGTCATCTCTCGATTCTCATAAAAAATAGCATTTGTTTGCAGGTGAATAGTTTTCTCTCTTCCTCTTGACAGCAGAATTTTGGAGGTACAACAAACTATTTTCATTCTGTACTTTCCGTTTTTTTTCTTTTTTCCCAGTCCAAGCTAGCAATGTTTCTACTATCAATTTTTCAAGAACTTTTTCAACCGCTGGTGAATCTCACTGGGTTAAACTCCATTAGACAAAGCCACATCCATAAATGCCTTTGAGATAGCCTTTCAGTACCCCGGGCTTCTGCTAGGAGAGCTGAAGACAAACACTTTAACTTTCTTAGAGGGTCTGCTGTTGATTGGGAGGAACTGTGAGGTACACTCTTAATCTTTTTAAGGGCCTTTTGTAGAAATAATGAGTACTTTGAGGCACCACCTTCGAACTTCTAAGAACTTAACTTAAGAAAAGATTTTTCAGATACATCCTTGAGTCCCTTTTCTTGTTCATATTTTCCTGGCAGGCTCCTGGATTTGAACTTTTTAAAAAAACATTTAACTTTGGCATCTTTTGCCATCAGAAGAGGATAAGGATGTTTTGTTTTGTTTCAAAATAACAAAGATAGGATTCATTTCTATGTAACAGTTTTTCCATCAGTTTATATCTTCTTTATATCATTTTACTATTAGCAGTAAGGAAAACCCAGATGGCAACCTCAGCACTTTGCTTGAGAACTTGCTTAGGTAGATCCTTAGTTCATGGTTTATTAGGCACATCTTTCCACATAACTACAAATGACAGTGTTGTCAACTTTTCTGCCACTATATAACAGGGATTCCCCTTTCTCCAGTTTTCAATAATTTTAATCATTTCCTTTTGAGTTCTCATCAACAATCTCCTCAAAGTCCAGATTTCTACTGAGAGTCTCATCAAAGAAACTTGGCTTTTCCAAAGAAACCTCAAAATCTTTCCAGTCTTAACCCACTTCCTGATTCAAAAACTACTCTCACGGTTTTAGATATTTATTACGGCAGCACAACACTTCTAGGTAGCAAAACTTGTACTGGTATCTAATATTATATAACCAACAACTCCAGCATTTAGCAGCTTAAAACGACAACCATTTGTCATTTTCTTGTTTCCATGGGTTTGGAATCTAGGGATGGCTTACCTAGGCACCTTTGATTCAGAGTATTTCAAACGCTACAATCAAGGCTCAACTGGGAATGAAATACTTTCAAGCTCATTCATGTGACTTTTTGCAGGCCTCAGATTTCTGTGACACATGTTATTTGTAGACAGCATTATTTAGCCTATGGTTTCTCAATAGGGTAGCTCTTAACATGGCAATTTACTCTCCCCAGAGCAAGTGAATGAGAGGGCAAGCAAGATAAAAGTCATCTTTTTGTAACCTAATTTTAGAAGTGGCATCCACAACTTTTGCCATATTCTATTCATTAGAAGTGAGTCACTCAGTCTAGCACATAATCAAAGGAAGGAAATTGCATAAGGGCATGCATACTGGGATGTGAAATTATCAGGGGCTGTTTTAGAGGCTACCTACCGCACTTGTGATAGAAAATATTCAAGTATTAAATTCACATTTTTCACATTTGTCTGAAAGTGAATTCATATGACTTCCAAGTTTATTGCGATTCTATGTTTCTATAAATATTATCATTTACAGTCAGAGTGTAGAATTATTTTTTAATACATTGTTAAAAATCGAATGGATTTTGCTGGGTGCCATGGCTCACGCCTGTAATCCTAGCACTTTGGGAGGCCAAGGCAGGTGGATCACTTGAGGTCAGAAGTTCAAGACCAGCCTGGCCAACATGGCGAAACCCTGTCTCTACTAAAAATACAAAAAATAGCCGGGCGTGGTGATGAGCGCCAGTAATCCCAGCTACTCGGGAGGCTGACGCAGGAAAATCGCTTGAACCCAGGAGGCGGAGGTTGCAGTGAGCCGAGTTCGCACCACTGCACTCCAGCCTGGGCAACAGAGGGAGTCTCTGTCTCAAGAAAAAATAACAAATAAGAAAAATTGAATGGATTTTGATATTTTTAGCTTATTTTCTCCCTCAATAATACTCAGTAGATGAGAATTAATTTTTTTGTCAAAATTCTGAATATTTTTGTGATTTTAAAGTATTTTAAGCTCCTATATCTTCTACAAACTTATTTTAAATTTGAAGTAAGGTTTTCTATTTAAAGAAGTTTTCAAATATTATCGTAAATTGTCAAAAAATGTACCAAAATCTTCTCTGTTTCATGGTTGTTGTTGTTTAAATGTGGTTTTCTCAGGGCAGGCAAACTTTTTTAAAAAACTAATTTCATAATGGTAGGATTAGTATAATTTTGTAATTACAAAGTGTTGTGCATTCACTTTTGGTGATCTGTCACTAACTGAATCTCTCAGTGCAGTTTACAAAGTCTGAATTAAGGCCTTGAATTTCCAGTCTACTTCTTAAATGAATGAGCCACATCAATTTGTATTCATTTAAAATAAACATTTTTTAATGATAATTTTCCTCCCCCTATAAAACTATGGTATTTTTATTGCTTAATTTAGGATAGTTTTTAAAGTAATGAAGCAAGCATTCCAAACTCCAAGCACCCATTTTGTTAATTTTTAAATGCAATATTTCTTCAAAGTGAAATATTAATTTATTTCTAGTATAATATACTATAGCAAAGGTTATGAAGAGTAAGATAAAACATAGACACCTTCCTATTTTAAATAATTAAGAAAACTGATTAAAATGTATATGCATTTATCAATACCTGTGGTTATTTCAGAACTCTATGAAGATTTAAGAAAAAAACAAAAACCTTTTTGTGACATTCTAAATTGACCTTTCAAAATCCATCAATTTGGTGGTTAAGTTATAGATATTTGAATAACTAGGCCAGAGCAAATATCCTGAATGATCCTATTACGTTAAAGTAAATAATATATTTTATTTCACCTTTATTATTGTAACCAGGATATGAGCAGGTGAGAGTCACAGTATTATAGTGTCCATACTATTATGCTCTCAATATTCATATATCCTGAGCTTTCAAAAAAAAACACAAACACACACACAAAACAAACAAACAAACAAACAAAAAAACCTCTCTGCTTTCTAAGCCTTTTCAGTACAAAGTATGCATCTGTGTGATTGGTTGCTGGGTTAAGAGGTTGCATAGATTACCAGATCGAACTACACTTTACATCCAAATTGATGTCACAACTGTAACAAATTGGGATGCTCAGCTATTGTCAAACAATGTAGAGCCTGCATTGGCAAATTAGTTAGTATTAGCATATAGACCTTTTGGCAGGAAAGGAAAGCTTTTTACTTAGAGCTGGGCATTCTCTAGGATTTGTCAACTCAAATCTGCCACTGGTCTCATTATCTCATTTGTCTTATTTAAGCTGAATTGGCAGTTATGTCTTCATGGCAAATGTTTGTTTTTACAAATGAGCAATGAAGCAGAATCCTGGAGACGCAACAGTAAAACAGTTTCATGGCAAGTTTTTAAGGTATTTCTCGAGAAGGATCATTGATTTAAAGCCATAGAAATTTTATTTTCCCCTCTTGATTTCTTCTCATATTGCAAACTTGTGGCTATTTAGGACACCTAACAGAGAAATTAGAGTTTCTTGTGTCAACTGGACAAAAATGTATTGAGCTTTGAGAACGTGAAAGACTTGTTAAATGACACGGACTAAGCTAAAAAGTAAGCAGTTCTTTACAATTCTTATTGTTTTAGTATTATAAGTTAAAATCTCTTTAGGTGATTCTAATTAGCACCATCATATATCTTATGCACCTATGTGAGTATCTATATGTATGTACAAAACCAAACACATATGTGTATACATACACTTACATACAGATGTGACATCACTCTCAACAAGGAATTTTAGAAAATTAGGCAATGGAGAGACTATTTGCTTTCCATGGGACACATAAACACAGCCTTGTATGAATGCAAACACATACAGCCTCAGAATAGTACTGTGTGTGTATGTGTGAAAGTAAAGTGTTAGCAATTGTATGTATATAAACTGTTTAAAACTTTTGTTAAGACTACATCAACTAGGTTATACTATGTGTTACAAAAATAATGCCATGATAAAATACCAGCAAAAAATATAATAACAAAGGTATTTTGGTTAATTATGTGGGAAACCAAATGTAGAAAAAAAAACAGTAAATGCTAAACAATGTGAGTTGTTCTCAGGATTATCTGGCTCTGTAATTTTACTTTAAGCCATGTTCTATAAGAAACACTTGAAGATCTACTAGATAAGCGCTACCATTCTGACCCCAAATTTTTATGGACTTCATATATTGTGAATGCTGAAAGGAGTATCTTTGCTCAAATTTACAGATAAATTGATTACGGATAAATACAAAATTTCTTATGAAAACAACAAGATAAACAACCTTTTACTAACATAAATAACTGAGAAAAATATGTTTCCCTTATGAGCAAACATAAGTAGTCATGAATTAAGTAATCCCTCCAATTTTTATTAAAAATGTGACGATTATGATGTAGGAAAATTTGCAACACACACCAGAGATTTGATGTCCAAGAGGGGCCATGTGTTTCTGTCACAGATAATAGTTTATATGGGTTCTTCTTCAGGTTATGGATATATTAACACCAAAATTTTACTTACTCCAGTGTCAGTGACATGACTAGAATATCATGTATGGATTACAATAGAGATTCCACAGTGGAAGCACTAGTAAATTAAATACTAGTCTTCAGTGGGTAAAAGTGAAAATATATTAAATCAGTATTTGTCTATATTATACAGAAAATGTATTTCCAAATCAGGGAAATAGAATATTTGTAAATATTATTATATTTAACTTTATAGTTATGTTTTGGTCAATTCATTTAAAAATATTTTTAATAGTTCACTTAAAATACAATTAGTGTATTTTTTGCTTTGTATATTTCTGTCTTCTTTATATTTATAGTTAGAAAAAAATAGATAGGATGCTCATTCTTCATGATTGGCCTCAGTGAAGTTGGATAAAAAATGTTAGTAAGCACTAGCATATGTAGAGGATTGTGCTTTACAGAATCTGTGACAGGGATTAGCACGTAGGCTTGAGAAAGGAATTTATAGCTCATTTTCTTTATCAACACCATGCAGAACATTATGCTATAAAGTATTGTGGTCCAAAATATGTAACCTAAAAGCTATGCTGAGTGATTGTCAACCCCAGAATACCAAAGAGATAACTATATTTTTGAAAACTTGTAGTATGCTACTTCAAAGGAGATAATTATTAAAAAACTATCAAATACATTTTGGCAACCTCTCAATAAGCAGTAATTACTGCCATATGACTGGATGTAGAAGTAAATTTCTAAAACTTATTTTTAAGTTTTATTTACATTAATTAGCTTGAAAGTAGGATAAAATTACCCTTTCCAAAATGGAATCCACTTTTTAATGAGCTAAACAAGTCAATATTCACAAAAACTGAGACGGACATGTTCACTTCAAAGTGGTTCCTAGAGATTATGAACCAGTGACTACAAAATATCAAAAATTATTAGACCAAATGTAAATCATATTCTTTAAAAGAGTAGATGTATACACCATAGAAAAACAGAATTTCTATGAGGTCAGAACAAACTGGAAAGACAAAACTTGGACAGTAAGCAGTTGCTGAAGCTGCCGTGTATCATGAATTCATGTACCTGTGAAGGGAGGGATATGCTGAGAATCTGTTGACTTGTACGTGTGCTGGCTGGGGAACTAGATAGGAATTCACCACACATGTAGTAAAGAATAAAGAAAGTTCTATAGCATAAAAAGAGGTAGTTAACTAGAAGACAATTTGAGGACAGTCTGACAGTAAGGAAATTTTGTCTCTCGTGTTTCGGCTCTTGGTAGAAGAAAAATAAAAATAGCATCTTATGGGATTTTATGGCAACTGACTAGTAGGAGAACTGAATTTTACACTATTTGTCTGGTTCAAAAATACAAAAGAAAATTTAATTTAGAGTAGACTGGGTTTGTATTTCCTCCAAATCTCAGGCAGACAAAACAAAACTAAACAAAACAAAGGCACTTATCCTCTCCAGGGAATTGACCCCAGAAAAAAGCCGCATAGGAATGCCATAAAGAGTTATAAAAAAAAGAAACCCAATTAAAAATCATAAAATAATACAAGAAATGAGTCTCCATGAGTGGTATGCAGCAGGAAAAAATTAAAAATGCTAGATAATAAAATATTATATATTAGAATTATTACATATTGTGGTAGGCTGAATATTAGACCTCAAATATGTTGACATCTGAATTTCTAGAACCTGTGAATATGTTACCTTATATGGTAAAAGAGGCTTCTCATATGTGATTAAGTTAAAGATTTTAAGATGGAGACATTTTCTGAGATTATCCTGTAATCCTGGATTATCTTTATAAGAGAGAAGCAGTAGAGTTAGAGTCAGAGAGAAAGAGATCTGTTGAAGGAAGCAGAGACTGGAGTGATGCAGCCATGAGCCAAAGAGCCAAGGAGCAAGGAATTCCAGATGCCTTAGAGGCTGGAGAAATAAAGGAACAGATTCCACTCTGGGGCTGCCTGAAGGAACCAGCCCTGCCAATATTTTCACTTGAGCTCCTGAAGACTCATTTCAGACTTCTGTTCTCCACAACTTTAAGAGAACACATTTGCCACGAAGTTGTGAGTTGTGGTCATTTGTTACTGCAATAATAGGAAACTAATACACTTTAAAGAGTGAAATAAAAACTTCTTAATATGCTTAAAGTATTGCAAAAGAAATTGAAAATTTTCTTGAAAAGAGAAAACTAGAAATAGATACAGATCTGTGAGGGAGACTAATTAACCAACTTATTGGTAGAGATGTTAACAAATGTAATAACTCAAATTGAAATGCTACATAAGAGTTAAATAGTAGAATCAGCACAGCAGAAGAAATGATTAGTTAGATTGATGATTCATCTGAAGAAAATACCCAGAATTCAATACAGAACATCAGAAAGATAAAATATAAAAGAGGTTTAAGAGATACGGGACAATTGGATAAGAAAACATAATACGTATCTGAATGTAAAGTGATTGGAGAAGGAAAATACTGGAAAAAACTTAATCCGGAAAATTTCTAGAATTGATGAAAGATACAATACTCTTGAAAAGCATTCAGTTACATCTTCAAAAAGAACTTCATACTTAAATATATCATGATCAAACTGAAGAACACTAAATACAAGTAGAAGACAGACAGATAATATTTACTGCACATATATGGTTGAAATGACAAAACATTATGCTATTTCAGGAATATGTATTACAGAGTGAGGGTCAGTGTTTTACACATACAAAAAAGAAGAGTCTTTTTGAATGTTATGCAAAATGGAGGAGGAAAGAGTACGAAGGTATATGTTCAAACACTAAACAAAAGCTTTACAAGGTAGAATGTGACAGTCACGTGATGGGACAAAGTACTGTTACTCTTGATTTTTTATATTTAAAATGTAAATGATAAATTGAAAAAAGGAAAACCAATAACAATATGACAAAAAGTTAATCACAATTTTATAATACACACACATACACACACACCTCACTTCTTCTCTCAAAACTATTTTCGTCATTTTTTCTTATCCACAACATAAAATCACTCATTATTCTCTTATTGTCACCTTATTTTTCTGCTTAATTTCAAGATATTCCATAAGCATGACATATATCACCATTG
This sequence comes from Homo sapiens, assembly GCF_000001405.40. Taxonomy (NCBI): domain Eukaryota; kingdom Metazoa; phylum Chordata; class Mammalia; order Primates; family Hominidae; genus Homo; species Homo sapiens. Next base: position 67,626,490 of record NC_000013.11, on the reverse strand, counting down.
ACCCAGTTACCCAAATTAAATGTCCTTCATTTAAAAAAAAATATTTTTTTCATACCACCAGAAGGTTTTAAGAACTTCATAAAACTTTTTACTGCTTTCCATTTCTTCTAATTCAACTCAACCTCTGCAATACATACAACACACTCATGTTTTCTACCCAAATCCAGTAATCTTTCTAATCTAGCTCAAAATGCCACTTTGTCCATGATTATTCCAGAACTAATGAATACAAACTTGTATAGTATACCCTTGGGGAAGAAAACAAAAGAAAACAAAAATAAACAAACAAAAAACCCTACACAATTTTGTTACATGAGTCTGAAACAGGAAGGCTGGCTTTCTGGTGTGATCTGGTCTGGAGGAGAACAAAAGCCCCTTACTCAAGATGTAGCTTACCTAACTTTCAGCCAATCAGCAACAACAGACCCTAGATGTTGTTAACCACAAGTGCATGGAGTTAGGGACTTCTCTGAAGCCCCACATACACAGACTTAACCTAAACCTACAATTACGCCATCTTCATTATAATACTATCAATAATACCTAGAAATGGAGATTTAAAATGCTAATGCTACATGCAATGTATAAAGAAACATGTTAAACCACTGCACAAGTGTTATAAAGGGCCCTCCCATACATGCCTTGACATCACTCTTTCTCATAGGAAAGCTGTATAAAATTAACTTCCACACTGCTTTTGGGCAGCAGCCCATTCTTTCTTTTTATGGTACTGGTTCCCTTGTGAACAAGCTAAATAAACCTTCTCCTTGCAGTTATACCTGGTAGTCTCTCTTGATTTCTATCCTGGGAGGTTGCAAGAACCCAGGGCATGAGTAACAAGTCCATGAACTGATGTTTATGAGAAACACGTGTAATTAAGAGGCTGCATCTACAGGCTCTTGGCTTAATCAAGCTATATCAACTCTATATATTTTCTCAAGATATAATCTTCCCTTATTCAATAAGTGATGAGTACAGGTGATGTCTTCATGTACCCCAGGAAAAGAATTCTTTCCTATTTATAAAATATGCTTGTTTCTTTGAATAAGAAATTAATGTCTCATATATCGTAAAAGAATAATATAATTGGATATAATTAAACACCCTTAAATTCTGCCCTGAATAAATTAAGAAGAGTGAAAATAAGCTACACTCCAAAATAAATTTGTTGATACATATATAACTAAATTTCAAGAACATATTCCGTTGTCAAAGTTCAGACCACTAGCAAAAGGGGAAATAACTTTTTCAATCATTGAAAAGTTGCAGCTTCAGGCAGTCGGAGGACTAGACGGAAGGCTAGACTAGTAAGGTCTGGGCTAGATACAGTGAGTGAAAACTTCCGGTCTTCAAATTCCAATTCATTACAATTAAAAGACTTAATGTGCAATCTTGCCCAAAGAATAAGGCATATATCCCTAATGTGAGCAGTTTTTATGTTACTACCTCCTTACTAAAAGTACTGTAACCTAATGATTCATATATACATACTGCATTGTACTGTGCTACAATTTCATTGGTGAGAATAGCACATCTTGTACTTAAAATACTTCCCACTTTTTTGAAATTTCAATATTCTAAACTTTAAAGAAATCCCCTCTTGAAGCCACAAAACTGTGTTCCACCAAGTTTCAACAAATAGAGGCAGCTGTTAAAAATGAAAAACTAGAGGCTTGTTAGTTTCTGTATTAATTGATGGGGATTGTATGCCTCATCTGAAAACCAGTTAATGGTATTGATTCATTCCACCTGATTCCAGAGTAATCAGCTTTCCATATTAGCAATTGCACAATCTATTTACAATACACACTAAAACTAAATATTTAATTATAATGAAGACAGTGAATCTAACTAGATATTATTTATTTTTTAATTGCTAGTATTCCTCCTTTCTTCTAAAAACAACTCTCTCTTCTTTGTTCTGCCTCTCCACCTGTAGCATAAGTCCTAATGTAAGCAGACATTGTCCATTCCTCTACATGGAGTGACTGTAGAATAAATGGGCCTCTGACGAAAACCATAAAAATCTTTTCATGATGATTAGGTCACAGCATAGACATGCAAATGGAGCAGCTATATGTGAGATTTCTCCGTTATTTTTATCTGAAGCTAGTAGAAGGAGCTTTTTACCTGAGGTTCAGCTGTGAGGTTTTGTGTCTCTGGTAGTTACTGGTGCCCATGTCTCTCACTACGAGGAGAAACCTAATCAACTTTAGAAAAAATAAAGCCCAAATTAGAAAGAGAGAGGCAAAGGGGAAAGTGCTAAAGTATACATTCTTTATTGTAAGCAAGAAGATACATTTTACTGTATTTTAATATTTAGAGAAACCCAATGAAGTATTGTTATTACCATTGTAGAGGAGAAAAATGGTCTCAGAAAAGCTAAAGGAATTGTGCAAATTCAATCTATGATTCTATTGCACCAAAGCCATGTTTTTAACCATTATACTATTGCTTTAGTTTCTGTTGCTATTAACAGAATACCTTAAAGTGGGTAATTTATTTAGAAATAAAAAAAATTTCTTACAGTTAATTGAAGTCCAAGGTTGATGGAATCTTCTGGTCATATCAGAGGGCCTTCTTGCCAATGGGAATGGGGACTCTCTCTGCAGAATTCCAGGCCAGTACAGGGCATCACATGGCTAGGGAGCTGAGTGTGCTAGCTCTGGCCTTTCTTTCTATTCTAATAAAGCCACCAGTCCTATTCCCAAAATAACTCACTACTCCATTAACCCAGCAGTCCTCAACCTTCTTGGCACCAGGGACGGGTTTCATGTAAGACAATTTTCCCTCAGACGGTGGGGAGGGGTAGTTTCAGATTGATTCCAGTGCATTACATTTATTGTGCACTTTATTTCTATTTTTTATTGTATTTATTTATTTATTTATGTATTTATTTATTTATTTATTTTTGAGACGGAGTTTCACTCTTGTCGCCCAGACTGGAGTGCAATGGCACAATCTTGGCTCATTGCAACCTCTGCCTCCCAGTTCAAGCTATTCTCCTGCCTCAGCCTCCCATGTAGCTGAGGTTACAAGCATGTGCCACCACGCCTGGCTAATTTTTTGTATTTTTAGTAGAGACGGGGTTTCTCTATGTTGGCCAGTCTGGTTTCACACTCCTGACCTCAAGTGATCCACCCACCTCGGCCTCCCAAGGTGCTGGGATTACAGACATGAGCCACCACCCTTATTACATTGAAACATATTTTGGAATAATTATACAACTCACCATAACATAGAATAAGTTGGAGTCCTGAGCTTGTTTTCCTGCAACTAGGCAGTCTCATCTGGGGGTGATGGGAGACAGTGAGAGATCATCAGGCATTCACCATCAGATTACTATAAGGAGAGCACAACCTAGATCCATTGCATGTGACAATCTAATGCCGCTGCCGATCTGACAGGAGGTGGAACTCAGGGGGTAATGCAAGCGATGGGGAATGGCTATAAATACAGATGAATCTTTGCTCACTAACTCTCTGCTCACCTGCTGTGCAGCCTAGTTCCTAACGAGACATGGACCAGGGGCCATGGTGCCGGTTCATGGCCCAGGGATCTGGGACTCCTGCATTAACCCACAAATTTATGCGGGCAGAGCCCTCATTACCAATCACCTCTTAAAGACCCCACCTCTCAGTATTGCCACACTGGGGATCAGGTTTCTACATAGTTTTGGAGAGGACAGACATTCAAAACATAGCAACTATATTCACTCACTATTCTCTGAGTGAAACTTTGAATAAAAAGAAAACTTTAATGAACCAGTGCTTCAGCTTTCCAAATATCTTTAACTAGATTATTGAAAATTTATGTAGCTGACATATTACCCTTGATGTTAGTAAATGAATCCTCTGGTGGGGGGGATTGGTGATTGCTTATGGAAATAAATGTGATGAAGAACTACATGTGTATTATTTTGCTTTTATTATTTGGAGACCATGCTTATATTCCTGTGCAGGTTTTCCTATTTGCCTTTACAGCAAATGAGAAATAAATAAAAATAGGATGTAAATAAAAAATCATAAGGTGGTGATACATGTCTTAATTAATTTATTTATTTAAAAGAGTGGGATCTATTATGTCCGTGTAATGTTGTTACAGGAATTTTAAAAACTTCAGATGCATGGAATAATAATATGATTTTTTTTGCTATTTTTCATTACTCTCTTATAGTTGAGCTTCATTTTTGCTAAAATTGGTATATAAAAATGGAGTTATCTCTGCTTGTATCTATCTCATCTGGCTTTCTCCATTATTACAATTGAATACATGCAAAATACGAACACTAATACTTCCTTAGTTCACATTTTATAGTATCAGCCAAAAAAGTCAAAAGATTTACATTGGACAAGCATACTAAAATGAAAGCAATTTTAACATACTGAGGCAAATATGAATTTTGCATGAGTAATAGGAAAGTAGAATATATGGACTAAATTTAGTCACACACACACACTGGATTAATTTAGTGTGTGGATATGTACATATACATATATATATATACACATATAGACAGACAGTATATCACATGAATCAATATGGTATAATCCAAAGCCGTGCTGTCCAATAAAACTCACTGAAATGATGCAAATGCTCTATTTTTGCTGTAATTAGGTAACCACTGGCCATGTGTGGCTTTGAGTTCACAAAGGGGAATGAGGAATGAGACTGTGAAACTGAATTTTTAATTTTACAGCAACCTGGGGCTAATGTCCAACTATGTTGGACTGTGCAGATACAGAGGAAATAACAAATATGGTGAGAAAAAGTTCATAAATATGAAGAGAAAATATTTTATAATAAAATTCTGCATTAATTAGTCTATCCAAATGAATGAATGTGCTAGTTAAAGAGCATTTCTTAGTCGACTGAAACAGAAAATGTTAAAAAGAAAAACACTTAGAAAATAATTGTATGCCACTGATTCCAATATAACTGTAATAGTGTTTAAGACTACAGATATGTTTGAGCCATTCAGTATGCAATAAATTTACATCTTATATTTTTTCAAATGGAGGGTGTTTGAATTATTGTGTATGTAAGTAGTATATAAGTAGGATAAGTAAATAAGCAAAAAAAGTGAACAATTATATATTGGAATTTATGTAATATATGTGATATATATTCAAAATATTTTGAAGTAAATGGGTCACCTTCCAGGATAAAGCAATTAACTTGTCCAGTTTAGCATGATCCTGTTTCATGCTCAGTGAAAGTGTAATCATATGCTTCTGCTCAGAAATTTATTAATAATTTCCCAAGAAGTAGAGCAATTTACTCAGAGAGAAATTCCACACACTCCTATGAAAGGCGTCTCTAAAAGAATCATCTAGAGTGTTCAAAACTGGAGGAGACAAATACAGATTTACAAAAAAAGTTTACGTTCTTAACTGCTAACAACTTTTGTTTTCTGATTTAAACATCCTTGCCCTGAGATCTCTAGTTGAATCAGAAAGAAATGGTCCCCATCTGCATTGCATGTCTCTTTTACAGATGAGAAAAATGTTCCTTTAATATGTGGCTGCAGCTAAAGACGGAATCACTAATTGAGTCATGTTTTGTATTTATGTGACGTCTATGTTTGGAAATTGAACTGGGACTATCAAGTTATTTAAAAAAAAAAAAAGCTATTGGATATTATAATGTTTAGTCACCAGTGGTTTGGTTGGAATTTAATGCATCTGTGAGCTAGAAGTTAACATCTTTGTATCCTATTACTGATCTCCTGAGAAAGCTAGACTTATTTATTTCCTCATTTTAGATTCAAAGAGGTCATTTGTTCCGGATTAAAGACAAACATTGATCCTTAAATTAAAAAAGAAAAAAGTTTTCTAATGTCTGGTACAAGGTTTTTCTACTGTGACTTTTAAGTGTGAAAATATAGTTTAGCCAAGCAGAAAACCTCTTTACAGAACCAATTATGTTCTAGGTATCAATCTCAATGTGTTGGTCTTTTTGAGAATGCACTTCCCTCTCCACAGCACTGAAATTGCTCTTAGTATCACAGAGATACTGAGATTTTCTTTTTTTCATTTCTTAATCTTCACAAAATTCGAAAGTTTTTGAATTCTTTTTCTTCTTACAGAGTTAAAATGCCTAATCACTAATGCTACTTCCTTTTCTGCATAAGTATGACTATTCTGCTGATGTCAGGAATCGCAGCATAGTTTAAAGAGTAATGCTGTGCTATGCCTTGTCAACAGTCCCTGCTATAAGAGCAGTCAGCCTCTGCAAGCCCCAGGTCTTATTAAAGAAAATATGTGGAAAAGTAGAGCCAACCTGCTGGGTGTACCCCTGCTCTGTTTTATCATAGGATTTACATCACTGCAGAACATGGCAGAAGAGTTATAAATAAACCAACAGAGAGTGACTCATGCTAAAGGACAATAAAGCGTCTACTCCAGACACAGTCACCCTTCTTCTATTAAGTTATTATTCCAATTTTCAATTCAGGTTTTCAGGGCTCTTAAATATATTTTCCCCCTCTCAATTATAGATATTCCATTTATCTGTATTTTCCTCTCTCAAAATAGCTATGAAAATTACAGAATAATAGAACTTATTTCATTATACCACATTTTAGAAGTAAATCTTTGTCCCTTACAGGCTTTTCATAACTGTCTTCTATCATTTGTTTTATACATCTGCTAATTGAGTCCACACATAAATTTTGATGGCCTGTGTTATGCCATATTCTGTGCTAAGCAACACAAGTATTATGCATGAGCAACATATTCTGAAAAAGGAATACTCACATAATCTACCTACAAAAAGAGATCATCTGTAGTGCAACTATTAGACACCCAATAAACTGGAATATATAACTATCTAAATGGTTGCTCTAAAGTCTCAGACAATTTTGGAATAATCCACAAAGCTTTGACAAGACTGGATTTTTCAAGCCTCATTTCAGATCCAGTGAGTCAGACTTTCTGGCAGTGTTGACTTTAGAGTAAAAAGAGTCACAGCTCTCAGGAATGAAGAGGGAAAAATGACAAGGCTTGGATAGGTCTTGAAGGAGATAGAGAGCTTTGACTAAGACCCTTACCCAATACTGGGATGTTCAATGACCTATATACTTCAGCAATCTGATGGGCTATGGAAGATAAAAGAGAGAGAGAGAGAACAAAGAGAAAACGTATCTTTGCTGTGTGTACGTGGCTGGGGATGGGAAGAGCAGTGAGTGAGAAGAGCAGAGCAGTCTCACTTCCATGATTATTTTATTTTTCAGGAATAAAATATAAATGTTAAATAACTTTAGCCTTTACTGACTCACATCTTCATACTAAATTTCAAAGGATAACCCCTAAAGGAATAGAAATATAATTTAATAATTCTCAAACCAGTAATCAAAAAATGAGGGATTAAAAAATCAATAAATCAATACAACAAATGAATTTAAAGAAATTGTTTGTATTTTATAAATAAACTGACTCTCCAAAACTACCTCTCTGAAAATAATATAGAGCATATCACAGGTTGAAGAATAAGTACACTAAAATGCCTACTATATTCATTTAAATAACTTGTCATGTATGTATGTATAATCATACAGATGTATGAAAAATAGGAATTGGGATAATGGCAATCTCTGGGGAAGAAAGAATATGAAAGTATATAAAATGCTTCCATTATAGCTGCAAATACTAAATTCTTAAGCTGGGTGGTGTCTCCATGTGTCTTGATAATATCATTTGTTATATGTTTTTATAACAAATATTTCATGCATAAACACAAGTATGAGAAACATCAAATATACTGAGGATTATACAGTTAGGAATGGAAAGTTCTAAATTAAATGCTCATGAGAAACAACTTCTAGTCCTCAGAATTATTACCTAAAATCTGTTCTGTGGTTAGCCATAATCAGCTACCTTTATTCTCTTTCTTTCCCTTTTTGCTTATGCAGCCTTCCTGATCCCAATCTCTTTCTTCAGGTTCTCCAAATTTTTCACTCCTTAATCATGAAGAAATGTTCAGCTCCAACTCTCTGCTTAACTTGATTATGTGTGCACTCAAACCTAGTATAGCCCTCATCAAGCAGATAATCTTCTTTTTTTTTTTTTTTTTTTTTTTTTTGAGACGGAGTCTCGCTCTGTCGCCCAGGCTGGAGTGCAGTGGCGCGATCTCGGCTCACTGCAAGCTCCGCCTCCCGGGTTCACGCCATTCTCCTGCCTCAGCCTCCCGAGTAGCTGGGACTACAGGCGCCCGCCACCACGCCCGGCTAATTTTTTGTATTTTTAGTAGAGACGGGGTTTCACCGTGTTAGCCAGGATGGTCTCGATCTCCTGACCTCGTGATCCGCCCGCCTCGGCCTCCCAAAGTGCTGGGATTACAGGCGTGAGCCACCGCGCCCGGCCCAAGCAGATAATCTTCTAATTAGGACGTCTGTTCTTACTCATACACACACAGTGTTTAAGAAAAAATATATATACACACATATATACACATGTACATATACATCTTGTTATCCTATACATTTAGACATGCCAAAAAAACAAATCTACAAAGCGGAAGGGTTGCTTTATTCTTGTTTCTCTAGTATCTAGCACATAGTTCTGTACATGGCAAGGGTTACTAGATAAGGGATCACTCAATATTGCTGGTATGACCTGATCCACCAGCAACTTGGCAAGCCCTGTCAACCCCTTCCATGTACATAACGACACTATTTGATTCATTTTCAAATATATGTAAAGAAAAAAAAAGTGTAGGAGAAGAGAAAACATCATAAATCCTGGTAAAAATATAGAAGAGGGAAGGAAAATCTGCACGGATAAAATTTGTCAATTTCCATAGAAAGCAGGCTTCCTTAAATTTTGTTCAAACCAGTACTAAAATGATTCATTATTGAAGCTTAAAATAAAAGAGATTTGCATAATATGCTAAAGCTATGAATAAGGGAGAGATGCAGTCCATACATAAAGCAGGCTGTTGTAATTATGTTTGCTTTGGGGGATATATGTTTCTACTGAGCAATAATACTAATAATCATATGGAGGTTTGTGCGTTTGGCTGTTTTCCTGATTGACAGAACCCCAAGCCTATCTTTGATGGCCACTAATCAGCTAAGACCACCAACTGCTCTTATTTTCTAGCAGTTTATGGCTTTGTGGTTCTAGGTAATTGTTTTCGGTGTTTTATTTGTTTTTGTTTTTCTTTCAAGCCCAGCCCACAGATGCCTGGCATAGGATTAGGTAAATTGTATTATAAATAGATTATGTTTCAATTGAGATGCATTTGCTAAACCTTCTGTTGACTTCCTTTGCCCAAAGGCTGCCTACTCAGGAGCACTACTCAGGAGCACCATCTCTTAGAAGTGAAATAAAGTCATCCTTTGGTATCCAAGGGGAAACGATTCTGGGACCCCCTGCAGATACCAAAATCCATGGATGTTCAAGTCCCTTATATAAAATGGCATGTTGTTTGCATATGACCTATGCATATCATCCTGTGTTCTTTAAATCATCTCTAGATTACTTGTGATACTAAATATTATGTAAATAATTATTACATTGTGTTGCTTAGGGAATAATGACAAAAAAAAGTCTGTACATGTTTAGTAAAGATGCAATCCATCCTTTTAAAAAATATTTTGGATCTACATGGGTTCTGCAGAATGCAAATTTACATTACTTACTTCAAAATGCAGATTTACATTACTTACTTCAAAATGCAGATTTACATTATTTGGATCTGTGGTTCATACCCATGGGTTCTACAAAATGCAGATTTACATTATTTGAATCTGCATTTTGCAGAACCCATGAGTATGAAAGGCTGAATATACCTGCATTTCTATTTTGCTGAAGTAGCAGAGCCTGTCCAGCTCTTTAAGCACATCAAAGTGTTGAGCATTATTAAGTCTCTTTAACTTGCACTAGAAACTGAATATAATTTAGAATTTGAATAGTTTCATGGATCTCTCTTTACACATTTCCACCATCCTCTAATCTTTGGCTTTGTTTTCTGTGGTGGTTGTTCCAAAAGTTTAATAATCAGATTTTTATGGACAAAATATACTTTTCTCTGGATATTTTTTTACAAGCATGAAAAAAAAGTATGAAATGCTAGCTGAATTTTAAGGTGCTTTGAAGAAAGAAACACTGAATATTTTTATCCAACAGGGATATGTTGCTAATATATGAAGGGAAAAAATGTCTGGCTATAGCACCTAGGAAGATATTTTTGGATGATATAAGAACATTGAGAAAAGTGAATAGCAAATACACACATCGACGATGCATTTATATTTTCTAAATATGACTCTTCCTGTTCTTTGGAAAATGCCATTTTATAAACTGAATTTGAACTCAGAAGTTTAGCTTATTAAAGGTTAGATAACTACCCAAAAGGGTTTAGGAAGATAGAAAACCTCTGTGTTGTATATATCATAACTCAGAATAAAAGGAAAAATAGTGCAATTTAAGGAAAGACTTCAATATCCCATGTCCTTTACCAACTGATGAGTTTACTAGATTTTGTTTTATTTGTTGCTGCTAACTTACTTAAAGTATATTCAGAATTAGATTTAAATCACATCAAATGTTTTTTAATCCAACAATTGATATACCACTGGGATATAGCCAAATAACATCATCATAACCTCATCTGTAAACACTGTTAACTGGGAACTCAAAATATATAATTTGACCTAAACAAAAAGAAAAAAGAATGTTGATGAGTAAATTTATGCTGTGATTGTATATCTATTGGTCTATTTACCTTCAAAGAAACTCATGGACCTATATTCCTGTGCCCTGCACCAAAATATACACAGATCGTAAACTGTGCTTGATATTTTCTTGTATTAAAATACTTAGTAAACTTTTTACAATACTGTGTCCTCACATTACATGACATTAGTGGGAAAGTTCTGCTCTGACATACACCAGTCATTCTGACATATACCAGTCACTCTGACATATACCATTCACTCTGGTAAGAGGTAATTTCCATTCAAGTAAAGATACAATTAATAGATAGACACTATGGAAAAATGTAAGAGAAATACATAAGGATTATAGAAATGAATAAGCTAAATATAAATTTGAAAGTATTTATGAAACCAAAGAATTGCTTCTTTGTCCTCAGAAGGTTACTTGACTTTTGTCTTCTTTACTTTGTGTCTTCTTTCCACATTTCTCCCAACATCCTGTTTTTCTTTTATCTATTGTTTTCTGTCTTCTTTTAACAAATTATGTAATTTTAGAGGGTAGCATGTCTTTTCTCTTTACTCTCCTTTGTGACCACAGATTTTAAATTTCCAGTTCTTCCAAGGGGCATCCTAGAATAAGTTAGTCAGGAATTGTAGTTACATTTTTATTATTATTAGCAAGATTTTAGCTTTTCAAGTTGTTGTAATTGCACTAATGCAGCTAATTCTGCATTCTTTGCATTATTTTGAATTTGTTATTAACATTCCTTTAATTTGAGCATCTCAATCTTAAACGTTTTGTGTGGCCAAGTGGGTAAAATGATGCATATACATGCTCATAAAACAGAAAGTGATGAGAAACCTAGAAAATTAGAACTTGATGCTTTTTCTTAAAATTATTCAAATTCAAATTTCTAAAAAACATTAAACTTGTCAAATCAAACATGAGGTACCATTACCAGTTGTATAACCCTTGTATAAATTAATTTGTAGTTGAACAAATAGACTCATATGCAATTAAAAGTAGATATCAAACGCAAATTTGCTTACCTCAGCTCATTAAAACTTCAGTTAAAAATTCTCATATGTTATGCTAAGGATTTTTTCATTGATGTTAAAATTCAGATTGTCCCATAAGGTTACATATAGTTCAAACTGAAAAAATATAACTATTAAGTTATAGATTCTGAATTCATTTGCATGATAGAAAATGGGGGAAAATTCTTTTAGAATAAATGAGAAAAAATTAAATGAAAAAAAGTATTTTTTTAAGTAAATGACCGAATACTAGCTTCAAACCTACAAAATAATTTTACTGAGGCTGAACAAAGTACTGTGAAAAAGGACAGAACCCTGACTAACCAAGTAGTTGCAATAAAAAATAGTGTATCTCGACCAGCCTGGCCAATATGGTGAAACCCTGTCTCTACAAAAATACAAAAAGTATCCAGGCATGAAGGCGGGTGCTAGTAATCCCAGCTGCTCAGGAGGCTGAGGCGGGAGAATTGCTTGATCCCGGGAGGCGGAGGTTGGAGTGAACTGAGATTGCGCCATTGCACTCCAGCCTGGGCGACTGAGCAAGACTCCATCTCTAAATAAATAAATAAATAAATAAATAAATAAATAAATAACAGTGTATCTCTTTTGCACAAAATTAAGTGCTACATATTAAAAGCCTAAAGCTGAGACTTTTGCATATGCATAACATCACCTGTGAGTCAGATTTGTCTTTTAGACAACATTTGCACAACTGAGAAGATACTATCAACTGTCGTATCTGCCAATAAGAAAGAAAAAAGAAAAAAAAAAGTAAGACAAACCAGTGGTTTCTTATCAAGATCATAATCTAAAGGAGGACTTCTCAGGGGGAGAAAGGAAAAGTGTCAGAAATACAAGAGGGGTTTCTCAAACTGTATAAACAGAGGCAACATTTAGCCAAAAGGCATGTGCAATAAAGGAAGAGCACAGATTCTGTTCACCAGTGATGTATTGAACATCATCCCTAAATATATAGAAAATTTTACCCTAATTTCATGAAGGTCTGGTTGCATATACTCACACACAGTCTCACATTTATGCTCACATGTGCTCTTATTCTTACACAGGAACCTTCCCACTCAGATTCTAACACTGTCCTTCACACTCACACCCATGTTCAATAACACACCCAATCCTATGCCAGTAGACACTAGTCTAAATTCTATAGAAATTAACAACAGTTGCTCAAAATTTTCCTGTTAAGAAAAAATATATATTTTTTCAATTGAGAGCAGGTGGATAATGGACTTAGTGTTCATATATATATACATATATATATGCATATATATATACACATATATATATATGCATATATATACACATATATATACATATATATACACATATATATACATATATATACACATATATATACATATATGTGTGTATATATATATACACATATATATACATATATGTGTGTGTATATATATATACACACATATATACATATATGTGTATATATATATACACATATATATACATATATGTGTGTGTATATATATATATATACATATATATATTTTTTTTTGAGACGGAGTCCCACTGTCTCCTAGGCTGGAGTGCATTGGTGCCATCTCGCTCACTGCAAGCTCCGCTTCCCGGGTTCACGCCATTCTCCTGCCTCAGCCTCCCAAGTAGCTGGGACTACAGGCGCCCGCCACCACGCCCAGCTAATTTTTTTGTATTTTTAGTAGAGACAGGGTTTCACATGTTAGCCAGGATGGTCTCGGTCTCGATCTGACGTCATGATCCGCCCGCCTCGGCCTCCCAAAGTGCTGGGATTACAGGCGTGAGCCACAACGCCTGGCCTTAATGTTCATATTTTGAGAGGTTTTCAATTCGATAAAATCTGGCACCTATTTTTAATCCACATTGAGCCATTTCCATCTATTTCGAATACAATTTTATTTTACAAATGTGGCCAAACTCAACAATTTTAGGAACACAATTATTCTTCTAAATGAGGTAGCTTTATGATTGGGCAAAATACAAGTTTGCATACTTACTTTCCCCTTTGAGACAGTATCAATTTTGACAATAAAAACTTTTTTGTTCATTCCCCCTTTCTTTGAAAATTACTCACTTGATACACTCTCTTTGCCCACGTGAAAAGTGTTAAGTCTCTGATTTTTATGAGAAATAGAAGCAACTGGAGTATGGGTATCCTAATCCTAGAATCAAATAGGGGAAAAGAGCATACTAACATTGATTGAGATCTAGCATTGAGATCTAGGTCCTACAACAGGTGTGATATATACAGATTCTCATATAGGAAGCCCTTGGTTCTATTCTTGCTTCTGGATACGAGCGGCAATGCAATCTTGGACAGTAGTTAATTGCTATCGTTCAAAGCTATTTCTTTTAAAACTAACGGCTCTAACTAAATTACTTATGTTGTAATTTCCAGATTTAAATTAATATCATTGTATAGATATAACAGTAACTTATTTACTCATATTATAACTTTATTGACAAGATAATATTATTGTAAGTGTTGTGGTCTACAACGGAGACTTCCATATTCTTTCTTCAGCACGTTTTAACATTGTCCAGCATCTATTTTTCCTATATTTCATTTTAAATTGAATTTTCTTTCTTTTTAATGGACAAATGAAGACAGCATGTTATTATTGGTAAGTGCCTGTCTTCACTCATCCCAATGTAAAATAGTAAATAAATACTTTACAGCCACTACTACTTATAAAGTGCTCTCACAAATATTTAATCCATTTATCTGTATATAATGGAGATCCACAATATTCAAAGAATTAATGAAGACCTTCTAAGTTTAGAATTCCTTGATTAAAAAAAGGACATGATAATTTTGATAAATGTAGGGAGCTCACTTTTTCTCCCCAAATTTCTAAACTAACATTCAGAAGCATCACACAGATGGAGATCAAAATATCAGTTATATATTTGATAAAATTCAAACTGGAAAATTTGTCTTAGATTATCTAGACACAACAGGGTTTCATAACACTTTATTGTTGTTTGGTATCCAGATTGTTTACCAAGCCACTGGCATAGCAAAGGTTGCAGACCTCTATGCATTATGGGCCATGAGCCCCATTATAGAAAGACTGCATTCATCCAAAGAAGAGGTCACTCCAAAGAGCAGGGACCCAGAAAACCTTAAGCTCTGTATCACCATTTCCTTCTCCTAGGTTCATCAATTAGCCAAGTTGCCACTCAAATGGATAGGTATGTGAAACAATGTACAGAGGTTAAAAGAGCTGGAGGATTTTTGAATACTCTTCTTATGGTGGAATGGAAGTTTCTTATCTTATGAAGAAATGTGACAAGTGAGTATTCACATTTCTTTTCAGAGGTCATGTCTGAAGAACCTCAACACACAATTGCCTGAGCTTCCATGAGGCCACAAAAGGAAGACAAGATTCAAAGACTTCAAGGCTGTGTAATTCAAATGTAATACTTTCCTCAACAATAAAAAGAGGAAAAAATGCCTACATTGTAGTGTGATTGTGAGAACTAAATAATCTACTTGGTATCAAACAATTAGTATGCAAATGTTACCTAGGAAGTAGTGATTAACTTTGAACAGGCAGTATAGCCTTGAAGGGAAAATTGTCTTTGGAAAAAAGTGATTTTTTAGTTTTGGATTTTCTCTTTATTAGCTGTTGGACTATGAGCAACTTAGGGAACTTTTAAATCTTTTTTTCATTTATAAAGATGATGAGTTTTTTAAATAACAAAAATCTATGTAAACAATGGAAATTGTTAAAGTTAGATCATGACCTATACTCATTAAATGCTAGCAATTATTTTCATGAGAAAATGTTCAGATTTGGAAGTCTGCTTGTACAGTCAATTATCATTTGTCATTTGTTTGCTCATTCAGAAAAAGAGTCTCTTATATTCTTAGATTAACTGTTGTGCACCAGGTCTGTTCTAGGCACCTGAGGTACATCAGTGAAATCGACATTAAAACATCCAAGTCGTAGAAGAACTCAGATGTCAATAGACAGATTTAATTGTTAGCTGTCAAAATTTAGATGGAATGTAAACAGGCAAAAGTTCTTACTCCATTTATCACATAAATTGCCAAGATCACTTTGTGATAATTTCATATTGAGGGTTGATTTTATTTTCCTAAAATATGTGTACTGGGAAGACAGCATGCACACACATATAAATATAATATCTGAACAGTAAGGTTATCATGAAACTAAAACTGTTCTTATTTGCTTTTGGTCAAAGGTAGATAGTTTTTGAAAAATTTGAGAGTTTAAGGGCCTAAGAATCAGATTAAAAAATCTGTGTTGTAATTTGACCCCATGAAGATAGTAGGAGTGAAAATTCTCCATCACCTAGAGAAGTAAAATTCACAAAAGTGAAATGAGATCAAGATAATAAATTGAAAAACAAAAGCATACCTATACAATGGAAATGTTCAGCATCAGAGATCCCTAAAAAATTTTCAGAACATGGAAAGAACATGGGATGGATATCACTATTTGGAGAAAAAGCAACATAGCAGCAAAGACGATATGAAGCATCAAACAAGAGATTTTAAGATAGCAGCAGTATATGCTCAATTCTGACTAGCTTTGTATAATCTACGGACATCTGTTTAATTTCATATCTTTTCCTGCTTTACTGAGTTTATAATAATAAGAGCAGTAGCTTCTAGATAGCTGAGTTTCTGGACCATAAGATCCTACTTTTTGATAATGGATAAAAATATATACCCCTCTTTACATATTTCTTGCACCTTTCTTGCTAAATTCTCTCTTTTTTGAGAATTATGTAAGATTTTTATAAAGACAAATTTGTGGCTTCATTTCATTTTGCTTTTAGTTGGCTATTGCTAATTTAGCTGGCAAAGAGTATTCAGGGATTTTTGTTTTATGTAAAGCAAACTATAGTACTATTATTCCCATTTATATTTAAACTAAAAAGATGGCATTGTCTTCTCACCTCTTAGTGGACTGCAAACATTATTTATATATTCAAGGAAAGAGAAACTATTTTTTTACTCATTAATGATTTGAAGCCATTGTTTTAATAAGCTATCCAGGTATATAGAAAACAAAGCAAAACATAGTAATAGTCTATTTTACCAGAAGAAAAAATAAAGAACAGATATTTCATGAGAAAAGCATGGAAATAAATATGAGAGAGGAACAGAGTACTGAGAAGAAGAAGTGAACTACATTAATATCAGTAGTTCTCAACTGGGAAACATAACTGTTAATACGAAATTAGCCTAAGAGGGGAGAGGGCCAGCTATCATGTGAATAAACCCAGAGGACTTTTCCCAGAAAAAAAAAATGGTTTATGTGATCATTCACCCTAGGAGCAGAGCATTCACAAATGCACCAGGCTTCACTTGACTGAGCATTTCCCATTACTTGTTCCCAGAACATTTGCCAGCTCCCCATATATGCCCAAAGAAGATGCCCTTGCAATCCTAACTTGCCTATTTCCTGTCCATCAAAAATGAAGCCCATCTATGCCAAACTTAAATTCTTCTCTGTCTCATTTTTATAACCCAATGTGGGCTCTCTCCTTCTAATATCTAGACAGCCAAAGGCTTCAGGAAGAGGTAGAATCCCATGTAATTAGTGGGATAGAACTGAACAAGAATCAAAGCTTGAATTTTGAGGTATGATGGAGAGAGCAGAGTAAAAAAATCCTATTATATTACCACTTAAAAGCAAAAAAAAGCAATTGTAAAGCATCCATCCATTGTGCCAATCTATTTTTAGTTATAAACAACATCCAGTTGAGCTCATTAGGTTTTCCAAACTTGGCTGTAAAATAATTCTACAGAGTGACAGTGGTAACATCACCTCCAGCATTACACATCCTCAGGTTTTTTTTTTTTTTAATGGATTTAGGTTCATAAGGACGATGGTACTACATAGATACCTTGCACAGTGGTACAGTCTGGGCTTTTAATGTACTCATCACCTAAATAGTGTACATTGTACCCAACTGGTAGTATTTCATCCCTTACTCTCATTCCACACTCATATCTGGGAAACTCCAATGCCTGTTACTCTACTCTGCATGTTTGTGTTTACTCATTGTTCAGCTCCCACATGTGAGTAAGAACATACAGTTTTTGACTCTCTGTTTCTGAGTCATTTCACTAAGGATAATGGCCTCCAGTTTCACCTATGTTGGTACAAAAGTCATGATTTCATTCTTTTTCATGGCTGAGTAGTATTCTGTGAGATACATATATATATATATATATACACATATATATATTAGATATATTAGATATTATGTTATATTATACATATATAAGATATATGTATCTTATATATCATATATATGAGATATATATCTTATATATCATATATATGAGATATATATCTTATATATCATATATATGAGATATATATCTCAGATAAGATATATATATCTCATGTGAGATACATATATATTTTGTATATATATAAGATACATATATATGTATATATCTCATATATAATACATATTATATACATATATAATATATAATATATACATATATAACATATATAATATATATAATATATACTATATACATATATAATATATATAATATATATTATATACGTATATTATGTATATACTATATATAATATATTATGTATATATTATGTATATATATTATATATTATATATAATATATAATATATACATATATAATATATATTATATATATTTAATATATATAATATATAATATATACATATATAATATATATTAAATATATTTAAAATATATAATATATAATATATACATATATAATATATATTATCTATATTATATATATTTAATATATTATATATTATATATTATATATTATATATAATATATAACATATTATATATAATATATATTATATATTATGTATATATTATATATTACATAATATATATCATATATAAGATATATATATCTTATATATATCATATATATAAGATATATATAAGATATGAGATATATATATAAGATATATATAAGATATGTCACATGAGATATATATATTATATATATATATCTCTCTCACATGAGATATATATGTATATATCTTTTTTATTTTAGGTTCAAGGGTACTGTTGAAGGTTTGTTATATAGGTAAACTTGTGCCATGGGGGTTTGTGGTGAAGATTATTTTGTTACCCAGCTATTAAGCCCATTACCCAGTAGTTATTTTTTCTGCTTTTCTCCTTCCTCCCACCCTCCACCCTCAATGAGACCCCAGTGTCCATTGTTTTCCTTGTGTTCATGAGTTCTCATCATTTAGCTTTCAGTACTAAGTGTGAATGTGTGGTATTTGGTTTCCTGTTCCTGCATTACTTTACTAAGCATAATAGTGTCCAGTTTTATCCATGTTCTCACAAAAGACATGATCTCATTCTTTTTTATAACTGCATAGTATTCTGTGTTGTATATGTATGACATTTTCTTTATCCAATCTGTCATTGATGGGCATTTAGATTGATTCTTTGTCTTTGCTACTGTGAAAAGTGCTGAAATGAACATTCATGTGCATGTGTCTTTATGGTAAAATGATTTACATTCCTCTGGATATATACCTGGTAATGGGATTGCTGAGTCGGATGGTAGTTCTCCTTTTAATATTTGAGGAATCGCCATCCTTCTTTCCACAACAGTTGAACTAATTTACACTCCCACCAACAGAATATAAATGTTCCTTTTTCTATGTAACTTTGCCAGTATCTGTTATTTTTTGACTTTTATAATAGCCATTCTGACTGGCGTGAGATGGTATCTCATTGCAGTTTTGATTTACATTTCTCTAATGATCAGTGATGTTGAGATTTTTTTTATCTGCTTGTTGGCTGTATGTACGTCTCCTTTTGAAAAGTGTCAATTTATTTCCTTTGCCCACCTTTTAGTGGGGTTGTTTTTCTCTTTAAACCACATTTTCTATCCAATTATGATAAATACATTCATTCCATGACTTTGCTATTATGAATAGTGCTGCAATAAACATATGAGTGAAAGTGTCTTTTGATGAAATGAATTATTTTCTTTTGCATAAATACCCAGTATTGAAATTGCTGAATCAAACTGTAGTTCAATTTTTAGTTATTTGAGAAACTTTCATACTGTTTAGGCTGTACTAATTTACATTCCCACCAGCAGTATATAAGCATTTCTTTTTCCACATCCTCATCAACATCTGTTTTTTTTTTCCTTTTAATAATAGCCATTTTTACTGGTGAAAGATGGTATCTCATTGTGGTTTTAATTTTCATTTATCTGATAATTAGTGGTGTGGAGCATTTTATCCATACGTTTTTGAAAACTTGTATGTCTCTTTTTGAAAAATGTCTGTTCGTATCCTTTGCCACTTTTTAAAAGTGTCATTACAAAAGATACAACAGAAATACAAAAGATCATCAGAAACTGACTATCTCTATGTGCAGAAACTGGAAAACTTAGAAGATATGGAAAAAATTTATGGAAACATACAAATTCTCAAGTTTAAACTAGGAAGAAATTGAAAACCTGAACAGACAAATAGCTATTAGTGAAATTGCATCAGTAATAAACAAAATCTTCCAACACAAAAAAGCCAAGGAATAGTTGTATTCATAGCTGAATTCTACCAGATGTACAAGAAAGAACTGACACCAATCCCACGTAAATTGTTCTCCAAAACCCAGGAGGAAGAATCCTCCCTAACTCATTCTACAAAGACAGCATCACCCTGGTATTAAAGCTAGGCAAGGACACAGCAAAATAAGAAAACTACAAATGAATATCCCTGATGAACATAGATGTAAAAATCTTCCACAAAAACTAGCAAAACAAGTTTAACAGCGCATCAAAGAGATAACATGCCACAATCCAGTGGATTTTATTCCAGGGAAGCAAGGTTGATTCAACATATGCAAATCAATAAATGTGATTCACCACCTACACAGAATTAAAAGCAAAAACCATAGGATTATATCAGTAGATAAAGAAAAAGCTTTCAATAAAATCCATCATCCCTTCATGATACATACTTTTACCAAACTAGCTATAGAAGGAACATACCTCAGAATAATAAAAGGCATATACGACAAACCCACAGCTGAGAGTGTACTAAATAGGGCAAAGTTGTCATCATTCCACCTTAGAACTGGAACAAGGCAAGAATGCCTACTTTTACCACTTCCACTTAACATAGTACAGGAAGTCCTAGTCAGACCAATCGGGCAAGAGAAAGAAATAAAAGGCATCCAAATTGGAAAAGAGAAAGTCAAATTTTCTGTTTACTGATATAATCTTATAAATGGAGAGCCCTAAAGAGTCTCCCAAAAGACTCCTAGATATGATAAATTACTTCAGTAAAGATTCAGGATACAAAATTAACATATAAAAATCAGTAGCATTTCTATATATCAATTACAATCAAGCTGAGAACAAAATCAATAATCCAATCCCATTTACAATAGCTACAGAAATACCTATAACTGTATTTAACCAAGGAGGTAAAAGATCACAAGGAGAACTACAAAACACTGATGAAAAAAATCATAGACTTCACAAACACATGGAAAAGCATCCTATGCTTATGGATTTGAAAAATCAATATCAATAAAATGAGCATACTGCCTGAAACAATCTATAGATTCAATGCAATTCCTATCGCATTACCAACATCATTCTTCACAGATTTAGAAACAACAATCTTAAAATTCATATGGAACCAAAAAGCACCCAAATATCCAAAGCAGTTCTAAGCAAAAAGAGTACAGTTGGAGATATCACATTACCTAACTTCAAACTATACTACAAGGCTATAGTACCCAAAACAACATGGTGTTGGTAATAGACACATGGATCAACGGAGCAGAATAGAGAACCCAGAAATAAAGCCACATACCTACAGTCAACTGATATTTGACAAAGGTACCAAGAACATACACTGAGGAAAAGACACCCTCTTTAGTAAATGGTGCTGGGAAAATTGGATATCCATATGCAGAAAACATAAAACTGGACCCCTATCTCTCACTATATTCAAAAATTAACTCAGATGGTGTAAAAACCTAAACGTAAGAACAGAAAATATAAACATTCTATAAGAAAACTTAGAAAAAAACTCTTCTGGACATTGGTCTAGACAAAAAATTTATGACTAAGTCCTCAAAAGGAAATACAACAAAAACAAAGTAGACAAATGTACTTAATTAAACTAAAAAGCTTCTGCACAGCAAAAGAAATAATCAGCTAAGTAAACAAACAATCTACAGAATGAGAGAAAATATTTGCAAACAATCTATCTAACAAAAGGCTAATATCCAGAATCTGCAAGGACATCAAATAACTCAACAAGAAAAAAAGCACATCTTTAGTTTTGAAGTTCAATGAAATCTGATGGGCCCGCTTTGGGTGAAGTGTCCATCGCTAGGCAGTCATTGTGGCCAAGGTAAAGTACAGGTAACATGCTCCATTCCTAGATCCTGGGGTGGAGTCAAATTTATCGGAAACATGGACACTGAGAAAGCAGTAGGGTGCAGAGTCCCATAGAGGAATATCCTTTATTTTTTTTTCATTTTTTATTTTTTATTTTTTTTTAGTTCTGAACAAATGGCAGATAAACCTTTCTCCAGAAAGGGAAGACTTATTACCATTAAAACGCCAAAAGAAAATAGAAAAATTTAGTGACAAATTACTCAGAATTTTATTTTTAAGCTTGATTAAATGTTTCTGAAGTTTATGTGCAAAATAAATGTAGACCAAAAAAAATCTTGAAAAAGTGGGCCAGGCACGGTGGCTCACGCCTGTAATCCCAACACTTTGGGAGGTTGAGGCAGCTAGATCACTTGAGGTCAGGAGTTTATGACCAGCCTGGCCAACATGGTGAAACCCCATCTCTACTAAAGGGAGGCTGAGGCAGGAGAATGGCGTGAACCCGGGAGGCGGAGCTTGCAGTGAGCCGAGATCGTGCCACTGCACTCCAGCCCGGGTGACAGAGCAAGACTCCGTCTCAAAAAAAAAAAAAAAATACAAAAATTAGCTAGGCATGGTGGCGCATTCCTGTAATCCCAGCTACTCGGGAGGCTGAGGCAAGAGAATCACTTAAGCCTGGGAAGCGGAAGCGGAGGTTGCAGTGAGCAGAGATCGTACCACTGCATTCCAGCCTGGGCGACAGAGCAAGACTCTGTCTTTAAAAAAAAAAAAAAAGAAAAGAAAAAGAAAAAGAAAAAGTGAAATAGCAAGTTCAAATTTTTTATACTCGAAATTAAGAGTTAGTATAAGTCAACAAAATAAAAATCCGCATAGTGTCTGTGGAGAGGTAGGCAAATAGATACGTGGAAGAGAGTCTAGAACTAGGTCCAATTAAGATATAAATCAAAAAGTTAGCAATACAGTTAAAGCAAGAACTTAAATACACAGGAAATTTAAATGGGTCCACAGATTATTCATCTGTAAGACAACAATTTATATCTGTTATATCCATACTTTGTAAAGTATTCCAAACAAGTTCAATATAGATTAGATATCTTAACAAGATAATAAAAATAAGAATATTGCCATTATAGCTAATTATTGAATGTTCATATTATAGCTGGCATTGTTGTAAGCATTATTACAAGTAAGTCAGTTATTCTTCCAACCAGTTTGCTTTTATCAATAAAGGAATTAGAGTACTGAGAAGCTCAATCATTTGCTGCTAGGTATGGATTTAGAATTTCGAACAAAGCAGATACTTTGCACTTTATAATTATTTTATTGTAAATCTATAAAAATTTTAAAAGAAAAATATTTTATTGTCTTTAGGATGAGAACAGGTATTATTATAAATATTCAGATTTAAGAAATGCTAATTTTCCTTATTTCTCTAAATCAAATAATTTGTTGGTAATCCTCCTCAAAGTGGTAGAAAATTTAAAGTCAGCAATTGGAGGAAAAGAACCTCTTCTTTCCTAGGGTCTTAAAAAGTGAGAATCTATACATTAGTTTATCTTACTATGTAAAAATTTAGCACAAATTTACAAATTTCTTATCTCAGTTTTCAGCATCAAGGGTTCAGGTATGGCTAAACTGGTCCTCTGAACAAGGTCTCACTAAGATAATGTTGGCTAAGCTGAATTTTCATCTGCAGTTTGGGTTTTTCTTCCAAGTACATTTGGGTTGTTGGCAGAATTCAGTTGATTGAGGCTAAATAACTGAGGTCCCTATTTTCTTGCTGACTGTCAACTGAAGTCACCATCAATTCCTAGAGGCTGCCCCCATGTCCTATTCATGTGGCACTCTCAAAACATTGCAGCTTACTTCTTCAACACTCAGAGGAAAATCTCCAATAGTCTAATAAGATGGTGTCTTATTGACATAATATTATCCTATGACATTTTCCTTTAGACTGGTCCACAGAAAAATCTAAATGGGTTTTATTTCTATGCAATTTCTTCTCTTGGTACTGTAATGCAAAACTCATTTGCAACATAAGAAGCAAGAAAATGTAAAGATTTAGCCACCATCTTGAGATGGAAAAGGGTTAATATCTCTTAGTCTATCTAGTTTGTGACAGAAATATAAACAATTTGATACAGTTTGGCTCTGTGTCCCCACCCAAATCTCATGTCAAATTGTAATCCTCAGGTGTCAGGATAGGAATCTGGTGGGAGGTGATTGGCTCATGGCGGGGGGGGGGCAGTTTCCCCCATGCTGTTCTCCTGATAGTGAGTGAGTTCTCAAAAGATCTGATGGTTTAAAAGTGTGTGGCAGTTCCCCCTTCACTCTTTCTCTCCTGCCACCTTGCGAAGAAGGTACTTGCTTCTCCTTTGCCTTCCTCCATGACTGTAAGTTTGCTGAGGCTTCCCCAGCCATGCAAAACTGTAAGTCAATTAAGCCTCTTTTATTTATAAATTACCCAGTCTCAGGTAGTTCTTTATAGCAGTGTGAAAATAGACTAATACATAGTAAAAATTAATGAACACTAGATTACCTTTCCTGGTAAGGAGGACATATAACCAAATATATATGAAGAAATAAAATAAAATAAACAATTAAATTAAAATATAAGTGTTCATGTGGTAAACAAACAAACAAAAAACACTGTACATAATTTCAAAATATAAATGATAGACCACAGGAAGAAAATATCATTAATGTATATGACAGAGCAATACAAAATACCTTTTTAACTTAACGCAAATAGCTCCTATAAATTCATAAGTAAAACAACTTAATAGAAAAATGGTAAATAATATGAATGAATAATTTACAGCATAGAAAATGCAAAAGGGCAATAAACATATTATAAGACATTTAACATTACTAGAAATCAGGAAGCAAATTAAACCTGCAATGAAATATAATTTGTCATCTTTGCACTGAAAGGTATACAGGAGTAGATATTCTTACACCCTTTTGGCAAGAATGTAAATTATAACATTTTAGAAAGTAATCTGGTAGTATTTATTAAAATTTAAAATATAGGTGCTTTCAGAACCAGGATTTTTCTTCTGTGAAATATTTTACTAATATAAACATACCAACAATTGAGAGATATAGGCATGACCTACAATTAATAGAAAAAAATCTGGTAACAATATTGATATTCAAGTTAAACAATGGTTGAATATACATTAAATTCTTTTTTATAAAACTAAAAACTATTAAAAGATGATAGATTAATGTATATCTAATATGTGTTGATTGAGAGTGTGTCTCTGGTGTATTTTAAGTGGAAAAACTTACATTAAAATCTTTAAATATAAACCCATATTTTTGAAAATAAAACAAATCTAAACCAAAAAAAGTTTGTATTGAATACAAGCACTATTTTGGGAACATACACTATATACACCAAAAGATTAATAATTTTTAGTTCTAATACTCTATATTCAATCAAATTAATAGGTATTAATGTTTTTCAGGATAATATTACTCCCATCTAAATGTTACGTATTAGTAGGCTGATATGACCTTAACCTAGGAACACGTTTCGCATTATTTCTCTCCTTACTTACTCTTGGGGCTCTAACTCACATAGTATTTAGTTCTGCCCACACAGCTGTTTGAGCACAATGATGTTGGCTCTAAGTCAATATCTAAGAATATTTCTATATTTACAGCTCCATAAGTTAATTTTGTTTGTTCATTTTTTTCTGTTAAATAGGTATGGACTATGTCATAGAATACTAATTTTTTAAAGATATAAACCACAAATATTTGAGAAGGGAGTTGAGACCATTATATGTCGAATAATTGTCTTGTGCCACACAACTTCCTAGTTGTTTTCAGTGTCCATAAACGTGAGTCTTATTTGTAAAAACTTATTTGTAGAGCAATGAGCAGAATTCTGATTAGAAGGACTCATACACACGCAAGAAAAAAGAATAATATAAATGAAGACAAAAAGAACAGAATAAATAAGTTTGACTCAAAACATAGTTAAGAGAGAAAGCCGGCAGCAGCATGAAGAGACCAAAATGTTTGTGTTTATTCTTCCATGTTTTAAACAGTTCATTTTCTCTCTAGCAGGCTATGTCTATACTGCTCTCTCAAGTAGACCTAAGTAAGATCTGATCATGAGGCCATTACAATTCTGAAGGCAGTGTCCAGACAGTCACTTAGAGAAAACACATAAATAAAGCTCTATATTTTAAGATTTCTGTTTTCAAAATCAGTTTAAAAGAAAAAAAGAATAGAAAAAAAATCTGGTTTCTTTTTACTGGACACATTTTGCTCCCATTCATACATTTCTTGCTGCTAAACTTCAGCTTTTTACATCATATTATCATCAGTGTAATTCTTTCAGTCCAATATATATTTTCTGTTTTTGTTCTCTTGACAGTGCCTTAGTCTTCTCAGATTGCCATAATGAAATACTATAGATTGAGTGATTTAAACAGCATAAATTTATTTTCTCATAGTTTTTTTTTTTGGAGGCTGAAAAGTCCAAGATCAAAGTTCTGACATGGTTTGGTTTCTGGTGAGGGCTCTCTTCCTGGCTTGCAGACAGCCTCCTTCTAGCTTTGTTCTTATATGGACTTTCTTTGGTGCCTGTACATGGGACGAGAGAGTGAGAAAACTCTCTCTTTCATCCTCTTCTTATGAGGCACCAATCCTTTCATATTAGGATCCCACCCTTTTGACTTCATTTAACCTTTATTACCTCCCAAAAGCCCTATCTATAAATGCTGTCACATGAGGATTAAGACATGAACATGTGAATTTGGGAAGAGGGCACAATTCAGTCAGTAACACATATCAACACTTATTATTTTGGTTATTTATTTCAATTGGGAAATTAGAGAATACACTGACACACAATTAAATATAATGCAGGCACTATAAGTAAGTCTGCATTCGTTAGTTTATTCTTCCAGTAAACATTTTCAGAGGCCTATTCTAGCCACTATAACAGAAAGCCTAGAATATTGAGTAAATAACTGTAATCCTTAAAATGTAGGGGAAATTTGGGCTGGGGGTCGTGGCTCACACCTGTAATCCCAGCACTTTGGGAGGCCAAGGTGGGTGGATCACGAGGTCAGGAGTTTGAGGCCAGCCTGGCCAACATGGTGAAACCCCATCTCTACTGAAAATAAAAAAATTAGCTGGGTGTGGTAGTGTGCACCTGTAGTCCCTGCTACTTGGGAGGCTGAGGCAGGAGAATCGTTTGGGCCTAGGAGGCGGAGGTTGCAGTGAGCCGAGATCATGCCATTGCACTCCAGCCTGGGCCACAGGGAGAGACTCCATCTCAAAAACAAAAAACAAACAAAAAAAATTAGGGGAAATTTGAGACAATTCTATTGTCATATCAGATAATCAATCACGTGATTTGATACTCTGTTCTCTACCCAGCATTCTAATCTTTGTTTTGGGGAATAAAAATAGCAGTACATAACATAGACCTTGACATTAAAGGCCTAATATGTTCATAAATATCTTAATTTTAAGGAATTGTTATGGTTAATTTTATGTTGGTGTAACTGTGTTAAATCATACCTAGATAGTTGGTAAAACGTTATTTCTGTCTGTGAGAGCGCTTCCAGAAGATTAGAATTTAAGTCAATAGACAGTAAGATTGCTCACCAATGCAGGCAGTCATCGTCCAATCTTCTGGGGGCCTGAACAGAATAAAAAGATGAAGGAAAGGTGAATTTGCTCTCTCTTCTGGAGCTGGAACATATGTCTCCTGCTCTTGGATATGGGAGCTCCACATTCTCAGACCTTCAGACCACGGAACTTACCCTTATGCCCCCCTGTACCCCCAGCCCTATTGTCAGACCTTCAGCCTCAGTTATATTATCAGCTCCCTTGCTTCTCAAAACTTTGGACTAAGATTGAATTACACCACTGGCTTTTCTACTTCTCCAGATTTCAGAAAACATACTGTGGGATTTCTCAGCCTCCAAAATCATGTGAGCTGATTCTCGTATTGAATCTCCCTTTATCTATCTATCTATCTATTTATCATCTATGTATCATCTATCATCTATCTATCATCTGTCTATGTATCATCTATGTATTATCTATTTATCTATCTATCATCTAACTTTCTATGTATCATCTACCTATGTATCATCTATGTATCATCTATCATCTATCTATCATCTATGTATCATCTATGTATTATCTATTTATCCATCTATCATCTAACTTTCTGTTTATGTATCATCTGTCTATCTATCTATCTATCTATCTTTATCCATCCATCCATTTACATATTCAGTTATTTATTTAAAAGAAATAGATAACTGTTTTGTTTCTCTGGAGAACCCTGACTCATACAAGAATCGTTACCTTCTCAATTATCTATAATCACAACAATGTTGCATATTTAACAATCACAAGACTTTCATGGGATGCAATGATAGACAGCTATTTTTATTCAAAAGTCTGTGTATTTGGTGGGTTATTCTGCTGGCTGAGCTTGGCTCACTGGAGCCCATCCATGCAGCTGTGGTCAGCTTCCCAACAGTTACTCAGCTTTGCTGATCTTCAGTGGCTCCTTCACATGTCTGGAGCCCCAGCTAGAAATAAATACTAGACTGACTTGGTTCTTCTTAATGTATCTCCTTGGGCATGACCTCCAGGCTTTGGTCTCAGAATGAAAGCAGAAGAGCAAGAGAGAGAGAATGGAATCATGCAACACCTTCTAATCAGGAGTCTCAGAACTGGTACATGATTTCCTAATTGTCTATTATGTAAAACAAGTTAAAAGCCCACACCGGATTCAAGTGGTAAGAAAGAGAATGCATCATTGATGTGAACAGCTATAAAGACTCATTGCAAAGGATATGGATACTGGAGCTTGTTAGTGGGTGAGTGAAGATGGAGGCCATTTCTGCAGTCTTCTACATTAGCACAGATAAAAAATGCAGAAATTGTAAACTTAAATTGATAATTACTTTAGCAGAAAACCAGAGAAATTACCAAATGAAACCATAAAGCTGCCTATGTTAGTGAATCACAGATGCTTAAAAAAAACAAAGTTGAGAGCTATTTACTTCTTTAATTGTCCTATTGTCAGGAACGGAGAGAATTAATTTCAGATTATACATTGCCCCCTCCACATACATACATACTTCCCTGTTTCTTAGTAACTCCATGCATCCCTTTATTGCCAGGTATCCTACTAAGATATATGATGACAAATGAAATATCTACAACTAGATGTAGCCTTTCTGGTTTTTTTTCTTTGATGTTTTCCTCTTTTCGATTGAAACCAAAACTCCATTTCCTACTGCCAACAGCCTTATCCAATCTATTGTCAGTTTCTCTCCTGAACTCAACACTTGCCCCTTAACTTTAAGCACAATTAATTTCACTGGAGGCAGAGTGATCAAAACCAAACACACCTATGTGTGCATATATATATATACATATAAAATTGGAATACTGTCTATTGCTTTTCAAATATACCATCTTTCAGATGGACTACAATGCACTTGATAAGCTGAGATTTATTCAGTTAACCTTCAAAGGGTTCTACTCACACTTTTCTCAAGACTTTCTGGTCCTTCATGGTAACACACATCTCCCACTCATTCTTGAGCTTTTAGATAAATGCACATTTTCGTAGTTGTTTTTTACATGTCAGAATAGAAGCACCACTGCATGTTTACACAGAGCCTCATTGCTATTAAATAAGATTTATCACAATTTGAAATTATATTTTTGTGGGATTCTTTGATTGTTTGCTTATATTCTCTCCCCCAAAAGCATACCCTATACTGTAAGCTTTCTTAGAACAAGTAAAATGTGCGTTTTGCTCAGCATTTTATGTGCCTTGCCAGTGTCTAAAACACAGTCAACACTCAATAGCACTCACTGACAAGATACATACATCAATGCATCTATACTTAAGCTTCCAGATTAGCAATCAAAAAAATTCTCTTTGAAACGTGGGCTTTCAAAATATGATTATATTCTAGAGATATTTAGAACTCACAAAATATCCATATACTCTGCACTCCTCCCAGCCCAGTTCCCTGAATCACTGAATGAAAAAATAGCCTGGATGTCCCACTGGACTTTTGCTTTGTTTTGTTTTGTGACGGAGTCTCGCTCTGTCACCTAGGCTACAGTGCAGTGGTGTGATCTCGGATCTCTGCAAGCTCCGCCTCCCGGGTTCATGCCATTCTCCTGCCTCAGCCTCCCGAGTAGCTGGGACTACAGGTGCTCGCCACAATGCCCGGCTAATTTTTTTGTACTTTTAGAGACGGGGTTTCACCATGTTAGCCAGGATGGTCTCGATCTCCTGACCTTGTGATCCTCCTGCCTCGGCCTCCCAAAGTGCTGGGATTACAAGAGTGACCCACCGCGCCCAGCCTACCCCATTGGACTTTTAATAAGTCAGTATAAACCCTGTTGTATGAAATCGCTGACAGATGGAGGTTTATTTGTTCCTGAATGATAATTTATCTTGACAAATATTGATGTTAAAATGTAGAAAATTATTAACAAGCTTATTAATAGTCAACTATGCATAAAATTACATTCGGACTTTCTTTCTTAAAGAAATACAATATGTAGGTGTATTTTAAGTCTGTTTCAGTATCACCCATCTTTCATTTATAGATTAAAGTCATAATCTTTAAATAAATGCTAACCACTGGAAGCACTCTAAATACATTTTCTCTAATTTGAGTCAACAAACAGCACTGTGATAAAGAAGCATTACTGTCATTCAGTCACTAAATCAACTTTGCTACATTTGTTATATTCAGAGCAACAGGCTCATTTAAAATCTATATCATCACTAAAATCTACAATTTTTTTCAACAGTTATTCATGTAGTAACTGTAGTCTGACACTTTAAGAAAATTTCGTATGAATCAGTGCAAGCTCCAAATTTAACTTTCTCAAGACTATGCTATGCTGTCTTTTAAGTTGTCTATCTACCAGGGCTTACTTTTTCACTCAGGTTATTTGTGCATTATCACATTCCTTATTAAGGAGTATACTGTTTTTATTATCTAATCCTATTTTTTCTAGTATTTGGCAAATTAACATTGTAATCACTGTGCTTTTAGGAAAACCACCGAAATGCCCCTTCTTCAATTTTTATGTGTAGTGCTCATATTTGGTGTATATATGGAAGGTTATTTCTTCTCATTAACGGTTTACCTTTTTCCCTCTATGGTTACTATGGTCTTATACAATTTAAAAGTTTGCCTTAACTGGATACTTATGAAACTCCAGAACTATATACATTTAGGTAACTCGAAATTTCATCGTCCAACCTGAATTCTGAGATATCGAATTTAATCTCTACCTCCATGACTTGTTGCTTTCAATTTAGCCGACACTAAACATGGTTTAGAGGAGGCAAATGTGGGGTGCAGCCAGGTACAGATAAAGTGTCATGTTGAGTTACTGGCCCTGTGAACATTCATTTTTGAGTATTGAAGCATGGTATTTTATTTAACTAGGAAGAGGAAGAATTTTAAATTGATTCTTTAAGGTTTTTATAATGTATTCAATATGTGAACAGAATCTTTTGCTATAGTTAAATTATATTTATAATACCTTCAAATTTTTATTAAGAAAAATGTTATAACTCCAAATAATGACTGTAGGAGTTTTTAAAATGTGATTTTATGATAGATTATAGATGACTGTATAAATTAACTGTGATTTTAATTCAGAGACACATTTAGACTAAACATTCTGATATTTACTTTTAATTAGTCCCTATAACAGTCAGTAATATTTAAATTAGCTAAGTGAATGGAAAAGATGAAAGGAAAAGAATTTGAATATAAAAATGTTTAAAAGTCTACCCCACAAAGAACAATCTATATTGACATGGGAAGAATAGCTTTTTAAAATGAGAATTTATTTGTATGTGTCTTGTACACTGATACCAAATCTCAATTTTTTCATACTTTAAGTTCTAGGGTATATGTGCACACCATGCAGGTTTGTTACATATGTATACATGTGCCATGTTGGTTTGCTGCACCCATCAACTCATCATTTACATTAGGTATTTCTCCTAATGTTATCCCTCCTCCAGGCCCCCACGCCCTGACAGGCCCCAGTGTGTGATCTTCCCTTCCCTGTGTCCAAGTGTTCTCATTGTTCAATTCCCATCTATGAGTGAGAACATGCAGTGTTTGGTTTTCTGGCCTTGTGATAGTTTGCTGAGAATGATGTTTCCAGCTTCATCCATGTACCTGCAAAGGACATGAACTCATCCCTTTTTATGGCTGTGTAGTATTCCATGGTGTATATGTGCCACATTTTCTTAATCCAGTCTATCATTGATGGATGTTTGGGTTGGTTCCAAGTCTTTGCTATTGTGAATAGTGCCACAACAAACATAAGTGGGCATGTGTCTTTATAGTAGCATGATTTATAATTCTTTGGGTATATACCCAGTAATGGGATGGCTGGGTCAAATGGTATTTCTAGTTCTAGATCCTTGAGGAATTGCCACACTGTTCCACAATGGTTGAACTAGTTTACACTCTCACCAGCAGTATAAAAGCAATCCTATTTCTCCACATCCTCTCCAGCATCTGTTGTTTCCTGACTTTTTAATGATTGCCATTTTAACTAGCATAAGATGATAGCTCATTGTGGTTTTGATTTGCATTTCTCTGATGACCAGTGATGATGAGCATTTTTTCCTGTGTCTGTTGGATGCATAAATGTCTTCTTTTGAGAAGTATCTGTTCATATCCTTTGCCCACTTTTTGATGGGGTTGCTTGTTTTTTTCTTGTAAAGTTGTTTAAGTTCTTTGTACATTATGGATATTAGCCCTTTGTCAGATGGGTAGATGACAAAACTTTTCTCCCATTCTGTAGGTTGCCTGTTCACTCTGATGGTAGTTTCTTTTGCTGTGCAGAAGCTTGTTAGTTTAATTAGATTCCATTTGTCTATTTTGGCTTTTGTTGCCATTGCTTTTGGTGTTTTAGACATAAAGTCCTTGTCCATGCCTATGTTCTGAATGGTATTGCCTAGGTTTTCTTCTAGGGTTTTTATAGTTTTAAGTCTAACATTTAAGTCTTTAATCCGTCTTGAATTAATTTTTGTATAAGGTGTAAGGAAGGGATCCAGTTTCAGCTTTCTACATATGGCCTGCCAGTTTTCCCAGCACCATTTATTACATAGGGAATCCTTTCTCCATTTCTTGTTTTTGTCAGGTTTGTCAAAGATCAGATGGTTGTAGATGTGTGGTGTTATTTTGGAGGCCTCTGTTCTGTTCCATTGGTCTGTATCTCTGTTTTAGTACCAGTACCATGCTGTTTTGGTTACTGTAGCCTTGTAGTATAGTTTGAAGTCAGGTAGCGTGATGCCTCCAGCTTTGTTCTTTTGGCTTAGGATTGTCTTGGCAATGAGGGCTCTTTTTTGGTTCCATATGAACTTTAAAGTAGTTTTTTCCAATTCTGTGAAGAAAGTCATTGGTAGCTTGATGGGGATGGCATTGAATCTATAAATTACCTTGGGCAGTATGGCCATTTTCATGATATTGATTTTTCCTATCCATCAGCATGAAATGTTCTTCCATTTGGTTTGTAGTTCTCCTTGAAGAGGTCCTTCACATCTCTTGTAAGTTGGATTCCTAGGTATTTTATTCTCTTTGTAGTGATTGTGAATGGGAGTTCACTCATGATTTTGCTCTCTGTCTGTTATTGGTATTTAGGAATGCTTGTGATTTTTCCATGTTGATTTTGTATCCTGAGACTTTGCTGAAGTTGCTTATCAGCTTAAGGAGATTTTGGGCTGAGACAATGGGGTTTTCTAAATATACAATCATGTCATCTGCAAACAGAGACAATTTGACTTCCTCTTTTCCTAATTGAATACCCTTTATTTCTTTCTCTTGCCTGATTGCCCTGGCCAGAACTTCCAACACTACGTTGAATAGGAGTGGTGAGAGAGGGCATCCCTGTCTTGTCCCAGTTTTCAAAGGGAATGTTTACAGTTATTGTTCATATGGCGGTGGGTTTGTCATAAATAGCTCTTATTATTTTGAGATACGTTCCATCAATACCTAGTTTATTGAGAGGTTTTAGCATGGAGTGCTGTTGAATTTTGTTGAAGGCCTTTTCTGCATCTATTCAAATAATCATGTGCTTTTTGTCATTGGTTCTATTTATGTGATGGATTACGTTTATTGATTTGCGTATGTTGAACCAGCCTTGGATCCCAAGAATGAAGCTGACTTGATCTTGGTGAATAAGATGTGCTGCTGGATTCAGTTTCCCAGTATTTTATTGAGGATTTTCACATTGATGTTCATCAGGGATATTGATCTAAAATTCTCTTTGTTGTGTCTGTGCCAGGCTTTGGTGTCAGAATGATGCTGGCATCATAAAATGAGCTAAGAAGGATTCCTTCTTTTTCTATTGATTGGAATAGTTTCAGAAGGAATGGTACCATCTCCTCTTTGTACCTCTGGTAGAATTCAGCTGTGAATCTGTCTGGTCCTAGACTTTTTTTGGTTGGTAGGCTATTAATTATTGCCACAATTTCAGAGCCTATTTTTGGTCTATTCAGAGATTCAACTTCTTCCTGCTTTAGTCTTGGGAGGGTATATGTGTCCAGGAATTTACCCATTTCTTCTAGATTTTCAAGTTTTTTCATGTAGAAATGTTTATAGTATTCTCTGATGGTAGTTTGTATTTCTGTGGGGTTGATAGTGATATCCCCTTTATTATTTTTTTATTGTGTCTATTTGATTCTTCTCTCTTTTCTTCTTTATTAGTCTTGCTAGCAGTCTATCAATTTTGTTGATTTTCTCAAAAACCAAGCTCCTGGATTCATTGATTTTTGAAGGGTTTTTTGTGTCCCCATCTCTTTCAGTTCTGCTCTGATCTTAGTTATTTCTTGCCTTCTGCTAGCTTTTGAATTTGTTTGCTCTTGCTTCTCTAGTTCTTTTAATTGTGATGTTAGGGTGTCGATTTTAGATCTTTCCTACTTTCTCTTGTGGGCATTTAGTGTTACAAATTTCCCTCTACACACTTCTTTAAATGTGTCCCAGAGATTCTGGTACGTTGTGTCTTTGTTCTCATTGGTTTCAAAGAACATCTTTATTTCTGTCTTAATTTCGTTATGTACCCAGTAGTCATTCAGGAGTAGATTGTTCAGTTTCCATGTAGTTGTGCGATTTTGAGTGAGTTTCTTAATCCTGAGTTCTAATTTGATTGCACTGTGGTCTAAGAGACAGTTTGTTGTGATTTTTGTTCTTTTACATTTGCTGAGGAGTGCTTTACTTCCAATTATGTGGTTAATTTTGGAATAAGTGCACTGTCGTCCTGAGAAGAATGTATATTCTGTTGATTTTGGGTAGGCAGTTCTGTAGTTGTCTATTAGGTCCATTTGGTGCAGAGCTGAGTTCAAGTCCTGGATATCCTTGTTAACCTTCTGTCTCATTGATCTGTCTAATATTGACAGTGGGGTGTTAAAGTCTCCCATTATTATTGTGTGGGAGTCTAGGTCTCATTGTAGGTCTCTAAGGAATTGCTTTATGAAACTGAGTGCTTCTGTATTGGGTGCATATATATTTAGGATAGTTAGTTCTTCTTGTTGAATTGATCCCTTTACCATTATGTAATGGCCTTCTTTGTCTCTTTTGGTCTTTGCTGGTTTAAAGTCTGTTTTATCAGAGACTAGGATTGCAACCCCTGCTATTTTTTTTTTTTTTTTTTGGCTTTACATTTGCTTGGTAGATCTTCCTCCATCCCTTTATTTTGAGCCTATGTGTGTCTCTGCACATGAGACAGATCTCCTGAATACAGCACACTGATGGGTCTTGACTCTTTATCCAATTTGCCAGTCTGTGTCTTTTAATTGGAGCATTCAGCCCATTTACATTTAAGGTTAATATTGTTATGTGTGAATTTGATCCTATCATTACAATGTTAGCTGGTTGTTTTTCCTGTTAGTTGATGTGGTTTCTTCCTAGCATCAGTGGTCTTTACAATTTGGCATGTTTTTGCAGTGGCTGGTACTGGTTTTTCCTTTCCATGTTTAGTGCTTCCTTCAGGAGCTCCTGTAGGGCAGGCCTGGTGGTGACAAAATCTCTCAGCATTTGCTTGTCTGTAAGGGATGTTATTTCTCCTTCACTTATGAAGCTTAGTTTGGGGGGATATGTAATTCTGGGTTGAAAATTCTTTTCTTTGAGAATGTTGAATATTGGCCCCCACTCTCTTCTGGCTTGTAGAGTTTCTGCCAAGAGATCTGCTGTTAGTCTGATGGGCTTCCCTTTGTGGGTAACCTGACCTTTCTCTCTGGCTGCCCTTAATATTTTTTCCTTCCTTTCAACCTTGGTGAATCTGACAATTATGTTTCTTGGGGTTGCTCTTCTCGAGGAGTATCTTTGTGGTGTTCTCTGTATTTTCTGAATCTGAATGTTGGCCTGCCTTGCTAGATTGGGGAAGTTCTCCTGGATAATATACTGAAGAGTGTTTTCCAGCTTGGTTCTATCCTCCCCATCACTTTCAGATACACCAATCCAACGTACATTTGGTCTTTTAGCATAGTTCCATATTTCTTGGAGGCTTTGTTCATTTCTTTTTACTGTTTCTTTTCTCTAAACTTCTCTTCTCACTTCATTTCATTCATTTGAACTTCAATCACTGATACCCTTTCTTCCACTTGATCAAATCAGCTACTGAAGCTTGTGCATGAGTCATGTAGTTCTCGTACCATGGTTTTCAGCTCCATCCGGTCATTTAAGGTCTTCTCTACACTGTTTATTCTAGTTAGCCATTCATCTAATCTTTTTTCAAGGTTTTTAGCTTTCTTGCGATGGGTTCGAACATCTTCCTTTAGCTTGGACGTTTGTTATACCAACTTTCTGAAGTCTACTTCTGTCAACTCATCAAAGTCATTCTCCATCCAGCTTTGTTCCTTTGCTGGTGAGGAGCTATGATCCTTTGAAGAAAGAGGCACTCTGGTGTTTAAAATTTTCAGCTTTTCTGCTCTGGTTTCTCCCCATCTTTGTGGTTTTATCTACCTTTGGTCTTTGATGTTGGTGACCTAGAGATGAGGTTTTGGTGTGGATGTCCCTTTTGTTGATGTTGATGGTATTCCTTTCTGTTTGTTAGTTTTCCTTCTAACAGTCAGGTCCCCCAGCTGCAGCTCTGTTGGAGTTTGCTGGAGACCCACTCCAGACCCTGTTTTCCTGGGTGTCACCAGCAGAGGCTGCAGAATAGCAAATATTGCAGAACAGCAAATATTACAGAACAGCAAATATTTCTACCTGATCCTTCCTCTGGAAGCTTCGTCCCAGAGGGGCATCCACCCATATGAGGTGTCTGCCTACCCCTACTGGGAAGTGTGTCCCAGTTAGGCTACACGGAGGTCAGGAACCCATTTGAGGAGGCAGTCTGTCCATTCTCAGAGTTCGAACACCGTGCTGGGAGAACAACTGCTCTCTTCAGAGCTGTCAGACAAGGACGTTAAAGTCTGCAGAAGTTTCTGCTGCCTTTCATTCAGCTATGCCCTGCCCACAGAGGTGGAGTCTATGGAAGCAGTATGCCTTGCTGAGCTGCGGTGGGCTCCACCCAGTTTGAGCTTCCTGGCCATGTTGTTTACCTACTCAAGTCTCAGTAATGGCAGACACTCCTCCCCCCACCAGGCTGCAGCCTTGCAGGTCAATCTCAGATTGCTGCACTATCAGTTAGCAAGGCTCCATGGGTGTGGGAACTGCAGAGCCAGGCATGGGAGAGAATCTCCTGTTCTGCTGCTTTCTAAGACTGTGGGAAAAGTGCAGTATTTGGGCAGAAGTGTCCCGATTTTCCAGGTACAGACTGTCATGGCTTCCCTTGGCTAGGAAAGGGAAATCCCCCAACCCCTTCTGCTTCCTGGGTGAGGCGACACCCTGCCCTGCTTCGGCTTACCCTCCGTGGACTGCACCCACTGTCCACCCAGTCCCAATGAAACGAACCAGGTACCTCAGTTGGAAAAGCAAAAATCACCCATCTTCTGCATAGATCACCCTGGGAGTTGCAGAACAGAGCTGTTCCTATTCGGCCATCTTGGAATGGAACTCCCCAAATCTCAATATTAAAAAAAGAAAAGATTTAAACAATTACTAAACTCTTTTAAAAAAGTGTTCTTTTTAACACTTTTATAGGGCTGTTAAAGTCAGGAAAAAAATCTTATACAAACATTTTATTTATGAAAAAGATATTTCATGTCTTATAAATGATTGTTATTATGATTTGAGTTCAAAGCAAAACTAAAGCTTCAAATATTTATCTATTGCATCATTTGGCCTATTTATATAAAACTAAGTCAGAAATAATATAGCATAACATAAAATCTAAGTATTTCCTGAGGGAATTTCTCCTCTTTTCTAAAGACGAAGTTGTCTTATTAGTGATTTCTGTTTCTTCATTTGTTCAGCCTTAGGAACTTTAATAAGAAGAAGATTGATGAAAATAGCAGTAAGACAATGAAAATAATATAAGTGAATCTTGTGAAGCGTATTTTTTGTCCCACTAAGTATCAGTAAATTATTGTGCTGTGTCTCATGACCTTTATACTGTTACTAAGCTGTTATAAACTTGCTTTGCTTCTAGTTTGCCTTCACCCACAAAATATCTGATATAAATACTAGAGAATAAAGAAATTTGAAATATTCTTTGCCACATTTTATAGGAATTACGTTTTTATAATATATTACCATAAAAAGTAGATTATGAAAAGTTTAATTTTCCAGTTTACAAATATGCCATTTGATCTA
Organism: Homo sapiens; assembly: GCF_000001405.40. Classification (NCBI taxonomy): domain Eukaryota; kingdom Metazoa; phylum Chordata; class Mammalia; order Primates; family Hominidae; genus Homo; species Homo sapiens. Next base: position 67,587,643 of record NC_000013.11, on the reverse strand, counting down.
AAACATCTGCTTTTTAATAACAACCTACATATTTTGGCTTTCTTTTTCCAAAAATCTATTGCAAAGTAGTCTTTACGTTTCAGCACATTCTTTGGTAATTTTCTACAATTCAGGAAATAGTTATTTTATTACAGTTACCTCAGAAAACACTGAATACTTTCTGTCCACAAGACCTTTGTACCAGAAACTGTGTTTCTATAAATATTAATTTCTTCATCTTGTTGCAGTTTTTAGAGGAAAGGCTTTTAGCCATTTAGTATAATAGTAGCTATGAGCTTGTCATATGTGACCTTTATTATGTTGAAGTATATTCCTTTTATGCCCAATTTGTTGAGTTTTTATCATGAAAGGATGCTGAGATTTCTCAATTTTTTTTCTGCATCTATTGAGATATTCAAATTTATTCTGTTTGCATGTTGTATTACATTTATTGATTTGTATATGTTGAACCATCCTTGCATCCATAGGATAAACCTCAATTAATCATGATTTATTATCTTTTATATTTGTTGAATTTGGTTTGCTAATATTTTGTGGAGGAGTTTTGCATCTATGTTCATCATGTCTACTGGTCTGTAGTTTATTTTTTTGTTGTGTCCTTCTTTGTTGGAACATTACAACAATGTCCACTTTCATCACTCTTATTCAAGGTAATATTGGAAGTCCTAGGCAAAGCAATCAGGCAAGAGAATGAAACACAAGATATCTAAATTGACTAAGAGAAAGTCAGATTGTCCCTCTTTGCATATGCCATGATCTTATATACAGGAAAACATGAATAGTCCACTGAGAACTTTTAGAGGCTTGGCACAGTGGCTCAGGCCTGTAATCCCAGCACTTTGGGAGGCTGAGGCGCATGGTTCACTTGAGCCCTGGAGTTTGAGACCAGCCTGGGCAACATGGTGAAACCCTGTCTCTACTAAAAATATGAAAATTAGCTGCTGGGCATGGTGGAGGGTGCTTGTAGTCCCAGCTACTCAGGAGGCTGAGGTGAGAGGGTCATTTGAGTCCAGGAGGCGGAGGTTGCTGCAGACCAATATCACACCACTGCACTCCAGTCTAGGTGACAGAGTGAGACCCTGTCAAAAACAAACAAAAAGCCAAAAAATCTGATAGAACTGATAAACAAATTTAGTAAAGTTGCAAAATAAAAAAAGAGCATACAAAAATCAGTAATGAGCTAGCTGAAAGAGAAATCAAGACATTAATTCCACTTACAGTAGCTACAGAAAAATACCTAGAAATATATTTAACCAAGGAAGTAAAAGACCACTACAATGAAAACTATAAAACACTGGTGAAAGAAATGGAAGAGGATACAAATAAATGGAAAGATACCTTATACTCATGGACTGAAATAACTAAATATTGTTAAAATGGCAACACTACCAAAAGCAACCTACAGACTCAATGCAATTCTATAAAAATGTCAATGATGTTCTTCATAGAAAAAAAAAATCTCCAAATGCATATGGAATTGCCAGATTCCAAGTAGCCAAAGCAATTTTGAGCAAAAGGAACAAAGCTGGAGGCATTATACTACCTTACTTCAAGGTATACTACCAAGTTGTAGTTACAAAAACAACACAGATTTGGTATAAAACAGACACACAGACCAATGGAATGGAACAGAGAACCCAGTCGTAAGTCCACATATTTACAGTCAACTGAATTTCAATGAAAATGCCAAGAACATACCTAGAGGGAAAGGATACCCTCTTCAAAAAACGGTACCAGGAAAACTGGATATCTATATACATAAAAATAATAGTAGACTAGCTTTCACCATATACAAAGATCAATCCTAAATGAATTAAATACATAAATGGAAGACTTAAAGCTATAGAAGTACTAGAAGAAAACATAGGGGAAGTGCTTCAGAACATTAGTCTAAAGAAAGATTTTATGACTAAAATTTCAAAAGCATAGGCAACAAAAACAAAAATAGACAAATGAGATTACATTAAACTCAAAAACTTCTTCACAGAGGGAACAACTGACATAGTGAAGAGACAGCCTGTTAAGTTGAAAAAGACATTTGCAACTATCTATCTATAATAATAAGGGATTAACATCCAGAATATACAAGGAACTCAAACAACAAAAAATTAAATAATCCCATTAAAAAGTGAGCAAAGGATCTGAATACCTATTTCTCAAAAGATGTCATAGAAATGGCCAAAAGACTATAGGATATAAAAGCTCAACATTACTAATCAGGGAAATGCAAATCAAAATAACAGTAAGATAGCATTTTACTCTAGTTAGAATGGCTATTATCAAAAAGACAGAAAAAAAAAAACAAATGCTGGTGAGGATGCAGAGAAAAGGGAACTCTAATAAACTTTTGGTGGGAATGTAAATTAATACAGCCTTTATAGAGTTTTCTCAAAGAACTAAAAATAGAACTACCATACAATCTAACAGTACCATTACTGGGTATTTATCCAAAGGAAAGGAAACCAATATATCAAAGGGGTATGTGCACCACCATGTTTATTGCAGAATTATTTACAATAGCCAAGATATGGATCAATCTAAGTGTCCATCACCAGATGAACAGATAAAGAAATTGTGGTGTGTGTACGCAATGGAATACCATTCAGCTATAAAAAAGAATGAAAACTTGTAACTTGCAGCACATGGATGAAACTGGAGGTCATTATGTTAGTTGAAATAAGTCAGGCACATGGCACATGTATACATATGTAACAAACCTGCACGTTGTGCACATGTACCCTAAAACTTAAAGTATAATAATAAAGAAAAAATAAAATAAAATACATTAAATAAATTAAATAAAATTTAAAACCCCAGAAACAAACAAACAAACAAAAGAAATAAGTCGGGCACAGAAAAACAAATCACATATTCTCCCTCATATGTGGAAGCTAAAAAAAATTACTTTGTGCAGGTAGAGAGTAGAATGATAGTAACCATATGCTGGGAAGGGTGAGAGGGAGGATAAAGAGAGGCTGGATAATGGGTACAAACATACAGTTAGTTAGAAGAAATAAGTTCTAGTGTTTGATAGCTCAGTAGGGTGACTATAGTTAAGAATAATTTATTGTATATTTCAAAATAGCTAGAAGATTTGAAATGTTCTAAAACAAAGAAATAATAAATGTTTGTGGTGATAGATATCCTAAATGCCCTGATTTGATTGTTGCACATTGTATGCATGTATCAAAATACCATGTGTATCTCATGCCATGTATAATTATTATGTATCAATAAAGATACATACATACATACATTAATGAGCTCTCATTATCAAAGAGCTTACAATCTGAAAGGAGACTATTATTATACTGTTTTAAAAATAGGAATAGAGATATGTACATAAATAAAAACCTAAAATATAAATATGGGCATAGATATAGTATAGGTGCAAATCATGATAAGTATCTTGGATAGTTGCAAAAATAATTATCATCAGATAATCCAAAGAGAGAAAATGGTACTGACTTTATAAAATAAGTGAATTTGACCAACAGATAAATTCGTTTCCAAAGATATAGGTAGTGTTTAGACCAACTTTGTAAAATATTTTCAAACTTTATCAGTTTATTACAGTTTCCCAAGCAATAGCTGATGTTATAACTGCAGAAATCCTTCTGTTCCATTGATTGCTAAGAAGACAGGCTAAAATAAATATTATCTTCACTAAATAATGGTGATAATTATAATGATTGTGATGATGGTAGTGGTGATGATAACAATAGTAATGGCTAAAATTTATTGAGCCCTTACGCTATACTAGGGAGAAATTATTTTTAACACACACAATCTCAATTCACAAAGCGAAGTGATAGGGCTAATTTTATGAGTAATATTTTCAGCATATTTCAAATGTGGAAACTGAAGTATACAGGGTTTTTTGTTTGTTTGTTTTGTTTTGTTTTGTTTTTTGAGACGGAGTCTTGCTCTGTTACCCAGGCTGGAATGCAATGGCACAATCTCAGCTCACTGCAACCTCTGCCTCCCAGGTTCAAGCGATTCTCCCGCCTCAGCCTCCCAAGTAGCTGGGATTACCGGCACCCGCCATCATGCCCGGCTAATTTTTGTATTTTTGTGGAGATGGGGTTTCACCATGTTGGCTAGGCTGGTCATGAACTCCTGATCTTAGATGACCCACCCACCTCGGCCTCCCAAAGTGCTGGGATTACAGGCATGAGCCGCCTCACCTAGCCTTAGTATACAGGGGTTTAAAATCTTGTACAAGTTTAGATGATAAGTTATAAGATCAGATTTTAAACAATGGTCTATAGAAATATAGAGTCCAATCCTTTAATAGCAGTTGTGTTTGCATTATAGGAATACTAGTAAGTCATCAAGCTGTATGACAAAATTTCTAAAGAATACAATAGGAAATTTTTGCCTTAAAGTATGTGCAAACATTGTTTTCTTTTAGTTTTTTGTTTGATTGCCATTAATATACAAAGCCTAAATATGGTCTGATTACCATAAGTCATCTGCTTGGAGCGAGGGCAAGGAATCAATCTCATTTGCAGCCATCATCATGAATCTGCTATACACTCAGCACAGGTAATGAAATCACCATGCTATTACAGGTTTTCTACTTGCTTCTATTGGGAAATCATCTTCAATTGGACACCACTTTGAGTTATATAATTTAGAAGATGAAAAACAAATGTTCTCAAAGTTTGAGATGTTTTCCTAGGTGATAAAGTGGCATAGACTCCATTATAGCTCAAGCCACCTAATGTAGATTTCAATGTATATGTATAGCAAAATTATTGACACATTATCTAAAACCCAATAAATTGTAACTTCTAGTTGTAATTTATAAATATTTCCATTTCCATAAGTTTTCTCATGTAATGAAGCAGAAATGGTTGTAGTGCCTTTGTCACTTTTAACTGCCAGGACTTTAGTAGGTCAGACACCAGCTTAGTCATATGCAGGATTGAAATATTATCACTAGTTATCTTACCTCAAAGTGAGAATCCAATTAAAAAATGTACTCATTATTTACATAAAATTTGTAAACTCAAAGCACATACTTAATAATCTCAAGATGAAATAGCCTCTGTCTTGAAACTCTGAGATTTGTCTTAGGCTATTATTACAACCCCCCACCAAAAAAAAGATTTTTAAGTTCTTGCTATCATGATTACACAAATTCCCAGCTAAATCTCTGATGAAAGAGTCCTTTAGCTCTCAATTGTTCCTATTTCTGAAAGCTGCATACAGCTTCAAGTTAGAGCCCTCCCAAAACCAACCATTTATATACTTTTCTACTTCATGGGTCCTTTTAAGCCTAAGGGAAAAAATAAAACTTTCTTAAAGGGAAAACACTTAATGTTGATTGATCTTTCCCATCAACATAAATAACATGTTGTCTATAATTTAAAGACAGGGAAAGAGGAAATTAGTTAAATTTTAATGTAGCAGCTTTTTTCTAATTTCAGTCTTCAGTGTATCAAGATTTTGTTTAGTAGTTGAGAATTCCCAGCTTATTTCTAATATAATAACAACAAAAATAATAATTTTAAAAACTGACCTTTGTGAAATATTATATCCCAGGTAGTCAAATACTTTACATAAATTATCATATTTCTTTTACCCCAGTGCTATAAGGAAACATGTGCTATTATTATCATGCCGAGCTTACAGATGAGAATACTGATAGTTAATAATTCCCGTATATATCACAAAGCCACAATTTTATTTTATGAGAATAAGATTATATACATTTTTATACTGAAGTTCAGAGTTTTCCCTCACTCATAAGTCAGAACTTTTTTCTTTGCCAAATTTAATGATTAGACAACATTTTTATATTGTATTGTTTTTGCCTTCATTAAAAATTTTTATTGTAAAAAAAGTTTAATCTTTAAAATAAGCTTTGAGTTAAGCAACAGCAGGTTTTTTTTTTTTGTCAAATTGTAACTGTTCTTGGATCTTCAATTACTGTTTTAACAAACTTGTTGTTGTAACCTTAGATGTATGTCATAGGAAATGGATTGTGCAGTTGCAGACAGGTGCAATTTACTGAGATCCTCAGAGTTAGAGTATATCTGATGGGAGTTTTAAAAATTTCTCCTTATGAGAACTAAAAATACAACTACCATTTAACCCAGCAATCCCATCACTGGGTATTTAGGAAATAAATTGTTCTACCAAAAAAACACACACACCTGTATGTTCATTGCAGCACTATTCACAATAGCAAAGGCATGGAATCAACCTAGGTGTCCATCAGCAGTGGATTGGATAAAGAAAAGTAGACTACTATGCAGCCATAAAAAGTAATGAAGTCATATTTTTTGCAGCAACATGAATGCAGCTAGATGCCATTATCTGAAGTGAACTAATAGAGAAATAGAAAACCAAATACCACGTGTTCTTACCTGTAAGTGGGAGCTAAACACTGAGTACAAATGAACATTAAAATGGAAACAGACACTGGGGACTACAAGAAAGGGGAAGGGCAGGAGGGCAAGGGCTGAAAAACTACCTATTGGATACTGTGCTCACTAACTGGGTGATGAGTTCAGTAATAATCCAAGCCTCAGTATCATGTAATATACCTTTATAAGAAACCTTCACCTGTACTCCCTGAATCTGAAATAAAAGTTACAAACAATTCTTCTTATGAAAATTAGCTATTTTCTATATAATTCCAAATAGTTCAAAGAAAATTGTTCTAATTTTAGTACATTAAATTTAAGAATAGTTTTGAGCTGACCGTTCTATAGTCACATGTAATGAATGTCTTCGATAACTTCATTTTCAAACATATTTTTATTGATTCTAAATGATATTGTGATTCTTTGTCTTATTAAATGTGAGCTCTAGTGATCTCAAACTAGGTAAAGTTTTTCTGAAATCGTTCTGTGTCACAAATAATGAGACTAAATTAGGCTCAGAATTATTCTTTCAACATGAAAATATTTTCTCTTGACGATTTTGTTTTGTTTTGCTTTAAAAATTTTCCTTTCTGTCTTGTAAATGTTTTGTTTGAGCCAAGACTTGAGACATATATGCCAATGAATTTTAATGGGTTGGGAAAATATTATTTCTATCAATATCCTTTAACATAATGTCAAAATGAACACATTTTAAGTTTAATGACAACTGAGCAAATAGATTGCACAAGTGCACTAGAGGAAATACAAAATAAATATTGCAAGCTGAGAAATTAAATCAGATTAAACCATACAAAAACATGAGTCTGCATAGATGATGAGATGGAAGGACATTGAAATTGATAAATATGTATATTACTATGAAAACTACAAATTTATTTTTTCTTTATTTAGAAAGTGACTATATTAAAGAAAAAGTGTTACTCTGTATTTCAGAGTTTATAAGTAAAGTGGATTTGGCATATATATATGCCAAAAAAACTTGTGGTTTGTAAACAAAATTATCATGTTTCAAGTTCTGATATTTCTTATGAGGTAATGTAATGCACAAAATATTAACACTAAGCCAAGTATGATAGCTTAAGGCTGCATATTGTACACACTAAAGAAATGTGTGTGTCTATTTGATTGGTCAAATATAATGCACAATAAAAATAGAATCACAAAATACCAAAATACAATGCACAATAAAAATAGCTAAACAAAGAAGAATTGAAATAGAGTACTAAAAATATTTGAATTTTTAAAAAAATTTTAATTGGCACATAGTAACTGTACATATTTAAGGAGGCCAGTATGGTGTTTCTGTATATGTTTACAATGCATAATGATTAATTGGGATAATTAACATGATTTCTATCACCTCAAATGTTTTTCATTTATTTGTATTGAGAACATTCGTTTCTATTTCAGAATATAAAGGCACACTTGTTTTATTGTTATTTGCTTCATTGTGCTTCATAGATATTGCATTATTTACAAACCAAATGTTTGTGGTAGTCCTGAGTCCAGTAAGTCTGCAGGTACCATTTGTTCGACAGCATGTGCAAACTTCATGTGACCATGTCACACTTTGGTAATTTCTACAATAATTCAAACTTTTTCATTATAATATATCTGTTATTATAATCTGTGATCAGTGGTCTTTGATTACTGTTGCAATTGTTTTGGAGTGCCACAAACCATGTCTATATAAGATGACAAACATAACTGATAAATGTTGTATGCATTCTGACTGCTTCACTGATTGGATATTTCTCTCTCTCTCTTTCTCTCACTCTCTCCTTAGGCCTCCCTATTCTCTGAGACACAGCAATATGGAAATTAGGCAAATCAATGACTGTACAATGGCCTCTAAGTGTCCAAGTTAAAGGAAGAATTACATGTCTCTCCCTATAAATCAAAAACTAGAAATGATTAAGTTTAGTGAGGATGGCATGTCAAAAATCAAGACAGACTGGAAGCTACAACTCTTGTGCAAACATTTGCTGTATTGTGAATGCAAAATAAAATTCTTGAAGAAAATTAAAAGTGTTACTCCAGAAAACAACTAAGTGATAAGAATGTGAAACAACCTTTTTAATGATATAAAGAAAGTCTTAGTGGTCTAGCTAGAAGAGCAAAGCAGGCATGACATGTCTTTAAGCCAAAGCTTAGTGTAGAGCATGGCCCTAACGCTCATCCATTCTGTGAAGGTTAAGAGAGGTAAAGAAGCTGCACAAGAAAAGTTGGAAGCTAGAATAAGTTAATTTATGAGGTTTAAGGAAAGACGCTCTTTCCCTAACATAGATGTACAAGTAAAACCAGTAAGTGCTGATTTAGAAGCTGCAGCAAATTATCCAGAAGCTCCAGCTAATATAATTCATGAAGGTGCTTTCAGTAAACAACAGATTTTCAGTCTAGATGAAACAGTTTTCTATTGGAAAAAGATGTCGTTTAGGACTTTTATTGCTAAAGAGGAGAAGTCAATGCCCAGCTTCAAAGCTGCAAAGGACAGGCTGACTCTCCTGACAGTAACTAACGCAGCTCGTGATTTTAAGTTGAAGCCAATTCTCATTTACCACCTTAACATTCTAGGGTGCTTAAGCATTATGCTAAATCTATTCTGCCTGTGCTGTATCAATGGAAAAACAAAGCCTGGATGGCAGCACAACTGTTTAGATCATGGTTTACTAAATATTTTAAGCTCATTGTTGAGACCTACTGCTCAGGAAAAAACAAACAAAAAAAGATTCGTTTCTAAATGCCCATTGACAATGGCACTTGGTTACTCAAGAACCGTGCTGAAGATGTAAAGAGATTAATGTTGTTTCCATGCCTGCTAACATAACATCCACTCTGCAGCCTGTGGTTCAAAGAGTAATTTTGACTTTCAAGTCATATTATTTAAGAAATATATTTCATAAGCCTGTAGTTACCATAGATAGTGATTTCTCTGATAAATCTGGGGGAAAAAAACTTTGAAAATCTTCTCGAGAAGATTCACCCTTTCAGATGCCATTAAGAGCATGTGTATGTCATAGGAGATCAAAATACCAACATTCAGAGGAGTTTGGAAGAAGTTGATTCCAACCCGCATGATGACTTTGGGGGCTCTCAAGACTTAAGTGAAGAAAGTAGCAGCAGATGTGGTAGAAATAGCAAGAGAACTAGAATTAGAGATGGAGTGTGAAGATGTGACTGAATTGTTGCAATCTCATGGTAGAACTTGAACAAATGAGGAGTTGCTTCTCATAGATAAGCAAAGAAAATGATTATTTGAGATAGGATCTACTCCTAGTGAAGATGCTGTGAACATTGTTGAAATGACAACAAAGAATTTAGAATATTCCATAAAGTTAGTTGATAAAGGAGTGGCAGAGTTTGAAAGGACTGACTTCAATTTTGCAGAAAGTTCTGTGTCTAAGATGCTAGCAAACAGCATAGCATGCTACAAAGAAATCTCTCATGAAAGGAAGAATGAATTCTTGTGCAAACTTTATAGTTGTCTTATTTTAGTAAATTGTCTCAGCCACCCCAGCCTTTGGCAACCACTACCTTGATCAGTCAGCAGACATCAACATGGAGAAAAGACAGTTTACCCACAACTCTCTGGAAGCTAAGATGATTGTTAGTATTTTTTAGCAATAAAGTGCTTTTTAATGAAGATATGTAAGTTGTCTTTTTAGACATAATGGTATTGCACACTTAATTAACTATACTGTAATGTAAACAAAACTTTTACACACACTGGGAAAACAAAAAATTCATATGACTCACTTTCTTGTGATAATTGCTTTTTTGCAGTGGTCTGAAATAGCATCCATAATATATTAAACGTATGCCTGTGTCATGTGATTTTGACCACATACTCCTGAGCACAGAAATTGGTTCAAATATAATCATTTGACTCAAGTAGAGACGGTGGGTCAGAATGAATTTCGTTTTCTTAGACTTTGGTGCAAATAAACCCTTTCTACTTCAAAAGGATCATCTTACCTTGGAAATGCATAATTATTTAAGCCAATTATGGCTTCTTGAAGCCACCAGGGAAAGGCCTGTGTGAGAAATGATCTAGCACAAAGGAGGCCAAGTTGTGGAAAAAAAACACATATTTTCTTTTTTTTTCTTTTTTTTTGCTGTAGAGTTATATATATTTGTGTCTGTGTCTGTGTATACACACACAAAGACACACACAGACAGAGAGAGACCTAAGAATTGTACATATTTATGGGGTACGCTGTGATATTTTGTTACATGTACACAACGCATAATGATCAAATCAGGTAATTAGTATATCCACTGCCTCAAATCTTTGTTTCTTTGTGTTCTTAACATTCAAAACCCTCTCTTCAAGATACTTGAAAAAATACAATAAATTATTGTTTACTTAGTAACCTTATGGTATTAACACCATAGAACACTAGAAAGTATTCGTCTTATCTAGCTGTAATGTTGTATATTAATTAACCTCTCTCTGTTGCCCCTAGTCCCTTACCCTGTCCAGCCTCTAGTGACCATGTTTTACTCTATACTACTAAAAGATCAAGCATTTTAGTTTCCACATATGAGTGAGAACATGTAGTATTTATCTTTCTGTGCCTGGCTTATTTCATTTAACATAATGTCCTCAAGGGTCATCCATGTTGTCTCAAATAACAATATTTGATTCTTTTTTATGTCTGAACAGTACTCCATTGTGTGCCACATTTTCTTTGTCCATTCATTTGTTGATGGATACTTAGGTTGATTCCATATCTAGACTACTGTGACTACTATTGCAATAAACATAGGAATACATACATCAAAAAAATCATTACATCAAAGACATATCTAAAGCAACACTTTTAATATAATTTAATTCTTGGTCCAATTTGTGCGTGAAATCATGTCAATATCTTTAGTTTTGTGCACCATTAAATTCCCTTTTTTTAATCCAGTTTGTGTCAAATTATGTGGAAAAATATGTCGTCAGATTTATTTCGGATATTTAACATTGCTCTTCCAAAACACTGGGAAGGTGAACAAACTAAAACAAATTGCAAATGTTACTCTGATTTGACTGAGTTATCAATTGCCTCTGTGATATTTTGGTCAAAGAAAGGTAAGTGAGACATCAGTGTCTCTAAAATACTGGAGAAGGACAAGCATAATTTTGCTAAACCACACATTTTCCTCCTTTAACCAAAATTATTGAATGACTATGGTAAGTAGAATAATTATCTCCCAAAGATGTCCACATCTTAATCACTGGACCTTGTTAATATATTATAATATATTTAGAGCAAAATATATTATAATATATTTAGAGGAAAAATTACTTTGTAGGCAAAATCACTTTATAGAAATTGAGGTAAGATTATCCTGTATTACGCAGGTGGGCCCAATCCAATCACACAGGTCCCTAAATGTGATGATTATAGTCAAAGAGAAAGATGACTATGGAAGAACAGCCAGAAAGATTCAATATTGACTACTAAAAATAGAGGAAGGAGGTCAGAGGCCAAGGAATTGAGTGACCTCTAGGAGATGGAAAAGACAAACAGATCTTCCCTAAAGTGTCAAGATTGGGGCACAGCCCTGGCAGTACCTGATTTTAACCAGGTGAGACCCATGTCAGACTCTTGGCCTCCAATCTACAATATAATACATTTGTGTTGTTTTAAACAACTAACATTGAGATGATTTTTTGTAGTTTCAATTTAAAATTAATCCACTGACTCTCTAAAATTATGGGAGTGAAGTCTAGTACTTGGCTTAGCAACACTCTTCATGACCCAGAACCTACCTTTTTCCCCATGGGAATATCTGACCCACCTAAACTAATTATGCTGCTTCAAGAGTCTGTCCCCTTGCATATATCTGGAATGACATTTCCTCTCTATTTACCTTCATCTAAATATTCAAAACCAAGCTTAAGAATCATTTTTCTCATAAACATTCCCTGAAACCCTGGTATATTTTAGATATCTACCCATGCACTGCCATTTTCCCATGAGCTTATCTTAGCACTCTAATTATTTTTTAATATATGAATCTTCCACCAGACTTTAAAATTTTGTTATTTGTTTATTAATATTAAATGCAGCAGCTTCCCTGGGGCACATGCTTATACTATCTAATCTTCAGTTGAATGAATCAATAAATGAAAACAAAAATGAATTAGTGCTCTGTGTCAGGATCCCTAAGACTGTCTCCAAATTCAGTGATTCACAAGGAGGACTCACAGGACTCAGCATACAGTTGTAACCATGGCTATGATTTCTTACAACAAAAAGATAAAAAGCACCACCAGCAAATAGAAAAGGAGCAAGGTATAAATTCTGGAAAAAACCAGGCACACATTTCCAAGAGTCTTCTCCCCATGCAGTTACAACAGGATGCCCTTAAATTCCTCAGCGATGAGTTTTGACAACGCTTGTGAAATGTTGTCAACCTGGGAAGCTCATTAGAGACTCGGTGTTCAGAGATTCTTTCCTGGAACCTGATCATACTGGCACATCATGCCTGGCATATAACCCAATTCCAGATGCCTAGAAGTAAAGAAGTTGTTTAGCATAAACCACATTGTTTCCATAAACAGTGCAGGCATGATGAGGCACTCGTCAGTTAATGGTGGAAACTTCCTGAAATTCAAGTTCCTAGATGTAAGCCAAGTATTAATATAATACTTTAGGCCTGCCATATTGACTCTTTCTGTACAAGGTTAAAAGTATTATCTGAAGCAGAACTGCTGTCCAAAGTGGTCACCCTGGTTATAAATAGACTTGTTTGAGCTCAGAAAGTGCTTTCTCACCACAGACACTAACCAACGTAGAAACTCATCTAGAAATGTGATTAGATAAATAAGAATCATCACATCTTTGAGGAAAAAAAGAAAATACAAATGTAACATTAGAAGAACTAGCTCCTGAGGAAATGCAATGAACAGAAAAGAATATTAAAATCAAACGTTTTTACTATTTTAAAAGTAAATCTTTTAAATATTTAATGTATTTTGCATATTTTATTACTGAATACATGCTAGTAATGCCTAGAGAAATATTAGATTTTTATGAAAAATAAAAAATAGGAGAAAAGCGTCTGTCATTCAATAATATGATTAGGAACCAGGATAGCAGCCTTACTAGACAGACTATGGATGAACTACCAAATAGACGCAATACTGATGATTATTCTTTTCTAAGTCTGAATAGTATTCCATTCAATGCATAGTAAAATGAGCATTGTCTTTTTTCAATTTCCCAGTATTCTTCTTTAACACATCAACTACTGACCTTGGAGAGGAACTTCATAAATTAATCTCATATTGAATTTTATTTTATTCATTTAGTTTTAAAATTGTCTATCTTTAATTCTTGTGGGTACATAGTAGGTGTATATATTTATGGGGAACAAAAGATGTTTTGATAATCCCATATTTCACTCTAACCCATTAACAAGACTAATCTAAATCCAAGAACCCAAAAGAACATGATACAGAGGAGTAAAAGATAAAAAAATCATTGGTTACGCGCTAGGGATAGTGGAGAAAAGAAGAAGCAAACGTGACTAGATTTAAGGAGAATCCTCCTTATCCCCCTATGGGTTTCTAAAGGAAATACCAAGGGCAAATGGGCTACCATGCAATTCTCTGATTAGCTATTAGTCAGCTGTGCCTCCTGCCCACACATCCACCCTTACTTACCCTCAATAACCAGGACCATGAATTCACAGTTGGATGGTCAGGCAAGGAGGGATCCTAAATTTTAGCTTTGATGACTAGTTGTGTGTGTGTGTGTGTGTGTGTGTGTGTGTGTGTGTGATGTAGACAGCATTCAGAATTAGTTGAGAGGCTGACTGGAGAGTTTTCCAAATGTTTTCAAATAGTTGAGGTGGCTCGCCAAGGAAACATGTAGAATGCACTGATAGCCCACTGACATACCCCAAAACACTGAATTTAGAAAGCTATTTCGGGATGGGATTTTGGGCCTGATCAAACTAAAAGCAACCAAAAACAAGTATATGAGTGAAATCATTTTTTTCTCAGTAAATATATGAAAAATACATGAAACTAACTAGACGTTGTAAGCATTAAAATGTACATATTGATGGTAAGAAATGTTTATATAAATATTTCAGTAATAAAGAAAGAACACTCTTATGAAGCCTTCATGTAATTTATAACTTTTTTCTACTAATTAAGACAAAAAGAAATTTTGCATATGGAAAATAAATTCTATACACACAAAAAATACAATAGGTCTTTTCCTCTCACAACAAAGCATTATAACTAAAAATTGGTATTAAAGAATAGACCTTCTATTGTCCACTTTCCAACTCTACCTTGAAAATTTCTTAAAATCCATGGGAAAAAAAGATATCAGAATTGAAATTGCTAAGGCTCCCACAAAATTCCAACAAAACACCACGCTACACTCCAAGAAAAAAAATGTATCTAGCATCAAATTAAATTCTCATTAAAAATGAGAACTAATATGAAATATAAAAATATGGAAAAACACAAGTAAATTTACATAAAGGAAGTAAAATAAGGGATAAAATATAATAAATCAATAATATAGAAAAGTTTAAAGGCAGAGCTTTTAAATTATTAAATAAAAACCTGGTTCTTTTAAAATGTCAGGGTAGAAGATATTTGGTGATTCAAAGCAAGAAAAAATAGAAAAAGTAAAGTAAGTTGCTTTAGGAATTGGGAGGTAGAAAAATTTTGGATATGAAAAGTCTTATTATAATATTATATATCAATATGTGCAGTGATCAGGAAACTGGCCAAATTTGAAACTTAATTTGTGAGTTTTTCTCTGTTTTGAAAACCTTCCAACTCAGAGGGCAGTCATGCTCATGACACACCTGATAGTTAATTGCAGACTCCTCACTTTTTCTAGTATTTCTAGTCTGGGATGATGGACACAAGGGCAAAATTTTAATACAGGGTAATCAGATGTTTTTCTTAGGAAACTGATTCTTGAGCTGAGCGGTATATAGAAGATGTTTTGCACTGAGTTGCATTAGAACAGATCCTAAAAAAAAAAATCTCTAGGAGCTCCTGTGGCTAAGGTCTTGGGGTTTTTGTTTTTGTTTTTCTGTTTTTTCACTGCTTTTAAGTTCTCAGTAACTCCAATAACATTCCAATAAAACATTTTTTTCTTTTTTACTCAAGTAAACTGGGATAAGTTGTTAGCAAACAAAGGAATCTGTCGTCAAAGATCTGAAAAACATGAGAAATATCAGACTGCAGGGTTAGATTGCTGCTTCTGATATTTCTAAACAACTCAAAATAATAGGGTGACTATTTTCACTCTCAAAAGTTTTACCTCATGTAAAGAATAAAATGTCGACTTTCATATGCTCCTCTTGCAGGGATTGCTCTTGTAGTCATGGGGCTGAGACTGGCAAAAGTCATTTTAGAACATGAAACTGCAACAAATTACATCCCTAGCTAAAATTCACAAATGCTTTATTTTTCTCTGATGCATGCTAGAATGTTGTTTTGGAAAAACTGGAAAATTGAACGATGATATGTCAGAGAGTGTGTATCATCAGAAACTTACTGTCCCTCCTCCCATTTTTAATCCTAACTCCTGAAATTATCACTCTAGCTTCTCCTATACTGGAAGGCATAAACAATTTTCTCCGTTCTTCAATCTTTTTTTTCCACTAAATTTTAACTAGAATTATAATTCAATATGGTCCTTGGAGTGAAAAAAAGGTCACATTTTAAAAGGATTTATAAAACTTCCCTAATTTACATGTTAAAAATGAGAAATTTTGCCGGCACAATATTGACAGTTCTCGATTAAAGAAGATTAATTTTGGAGGGCTTATTTCATTGCTATAGATGTGCATGCTTATACATGTGTACATATTTATGCACACACATGCAAAATGATTCTGTATTTAATAGCATATTTGGAAAGTCAGCTATAGTTATTTCCATTGGCTGAATTAGATAATGTAAATCTTAACCAAAGTCTGGCTCATGCTACGTGATATTAGAAAATTATACATAATTTAATGTAATATAGAATAATGACTAGCAAATCTTCAGATTAGAATATTTGATTTCTTTTTTTATGTGTTATCTTTACACTGAGTCCAATCTTTGTTCTCTTCCAGACTCTGAAAATTTCTCTCTCTCTCTCTCTCTCTCACACACACACACAATTTGCATATGGCATATATTGATAAAGGGAGCAAAAGAATCTTTGAAACTTTGCTTTGATGTTCTTGAAATGATGGTGGAAGAGTCCATGATCCAATGAAGATTTCTGATATCAATTGTGATTGGAGGAACCTTACTGAGATGAGTTCAGTTTTCTCAAAAATGAAGTTGGTGTGATCATCGCGATATGACAGTCTTCAGTCTATCTGCAGCATTGAAGGGTCAGGGAATGGTGAATGGTATGACATGTAGAGCTTCCTGAAACTCAATGAATTTCCAAGGATTAAGTTGAAAGGAAGCTAAACTACTTGATTAGTAAAATCAAAACAATACAGGACTGGCAAATAGTCCTGTTTCAACTTGATTCACAACCATAAAAAAATCACATAATTGTCAATATTTATCAGCCTCAGAGTCTACCTACTGTCTACCTTGATAGACAGATTTATTTTCAGGAATTTTTTATAAAATGATATGCGTCTACTAACATTTCTCACATTTCCCACAGATAAATGTGTGGGAAATTAAAAAAAATCAAGATTTTGAGAAAACTGGCTTGATTCCGAGCTAATTATAATTACTAGGAACTCATAATATTATTGTGAATGCCAATTAGAGTAGAGCATTTTAGAGTAAAACCTTTGACTCTTGATCCTTATAATCTTCAATCATTTTTTCAGGTCCTAAAAATATAACAAAAATTTTATTTTCTAACAATACTTTCTTAGCCTATACAGAATATTGTAACATAAAGAAACAGCTGGATATCAATGGAACCCATCCCAGCCAAATCACCATTATCATTATTAGTGTCATTATTACATCATCATTACTGAGTTAAATATAAAAGGATATTTCAGTCATTAGGGGCTAGGAAGTCACAGGTACAATAATCTCTATGATAGTCCAACTTAATTCTCCAGTTCCCTTAAAAAAAAAAGTTGGATATTCTTAGAAAATCATCTAAAATGATGATGCAAATTTGACTTTTGTTACAAATATAACTGATAAAATGGTATGGTAGACAAAATAATGGTTTCTCAAAGTTTTCCATGCTCCAATCCCCAGAATTTGTGAAAGTATTCGATTATATTGCAAACAGAACTTTGCAGATGTAATTAAGTTAATGACCTTGGTATGGGAGGGACATCCTGGATTATCTAGGTAGGCCCACAATAACAACATAGATCCTTAAAAGTAGAGAATTTTCCCAGTTGTGGAAGGAAAAGAGATGAAAAGACAGAAGCAAGGTTAGAGAAACACTATGTTGCTGGCCTTGTAAATGTGAAAGGGGACTATGAACTTTTCCATCTCTAGAGGGTAGAAAAGGCGAAGAAGTGAATTCTCCTCTAGAGCTTTCAGAAAGCAACATAGCCCTGCTGGCAGTTGATTTTGGCCCAGTGACACTAATTTTGAACTTCAGACCTATGGAAATATAATATGATAACTTTGTGTTGTTTTACATCACTAAGTTTGTTATACCAGCAAATGGGAAAGTGCCATATATGGCTATATCAACATAGCCTCTGATATCTGAAATGCCGCTATTGATGGGGATAGCACATTCTATATGGTAAATGTTAAAATCCCCATTTGATTTTCTTGCAGTAAAGTAAGAACAGATTTTACTCTACCGCCTCAGTGACATGTTAGTCCTTGCATTTCATGCCTCCTTGTGGTCCACATGGTCCGCAATGCCCTCATCATCACACAGAACATCATTCTGGTCCATCATCCTAATGCTATCATGCTTGTAGGACCTAGAGAGCAATAAGGAAAAAAAAAATCTGATATTTTTAACACCCATGTTTGTCAGAGAAAATATATCCCATCAAAAAAGGACCTGCTACATCAGTAAAATTATTGGTAGAAAAATGACACAGTAAAATAGGGTATACAAATAGCTGCTTATCAGTTCTTCGAAGGAAGAAGCTCAATGCTGAGGACATAGAGGCAGGCCCTAAAATATTGCCTGATGAAAATTATTTTCTTTATAACTCAAATTACTTTCAAATACAGTCCTATATAAGAGAAAGGCCTTGCACCATTCCATGTTTCAGAGTACAACTCTGAAATTGCAGCTTCGTGACCTGGTAAATTGTGTAAAGTTCAAACACTGGCAGATTACCGAGTTGGGAAGTCTCAAACAGGAAACTTGTAAAAGAAAAACCGAAGAGTTTTGATGAAGATCATACATATATTAGCAATAATCTTTTCTACTATTGAAAATAGCTCTGGAATTATCTTAGGACTTTAGTGGAAACTGAATATCAAACCATTTGGGAATTATGTGATCATGTTCTTTAAGCTGCTCATTCCAAAATAATGCTATCTAACAAACATTGTCATAATGTTAGGTAATTCGTGTAATACTCAATCATTATAAAAAGATCACAGCTTGCATAAGGTCTGAAGGTACTAACGCATTTCATATGTGTAAGTTTACTCTCTGATATGCATACGCCTTCAAGGTGGTTTCTTCATGGTGAATTTACATCAATGGCTCAACATCCATGTTTAAGGATGATAAAATTGAAATGTCTTTTTAATTATGACTGGTCGAGCATATTGGATAATTATTTTGGATTTTGTTTGCTTTCCCTTAAAGTCGGAGTCTTACAGATTGATTGGATCACTCTAAGATTTGCCATATGCTCTGAATTGATGACATGTATTTGGTATTTTCTGTCCCACTCTTAATGCCTAGGTCAGCACTCTTAATTTTAGACAATAATATACTGCAGCTATTTTAAGAATAGAGATTATAACAGGTTAGGAGTCAATTTACAAAGTAATTGAAAAGCTGGAGAAACTAGATCCTTCCATGAACAACTCACCAAAAAACACTGCACACACAACTGAAATGTCCGTAGCTTCCACTGTTGCCACCAGACCCACGTACCCCTGCTATCACCCTTAACAGCTACATTGACTTAATGTGTCCTAAATTTTTTTCATGTAATTAAGTTCCACATCATGGTATTCCTAGTGGCAACAGAGGCTTGGGAATTTAACTTTATTATTATTCTTATTCCGAATTTGAAGAATAGAATTTTTTATTATTTACTTTATTATCATTATTTATTTTGTGTTTGAACGGTGAAAATGTAGGAACCCAATGTCCAGGTCTTGATTTCTAGAAATCATTCTCCAAAAAAAGAAACCAGGGCTCCTTGGAGAAAGCAGCCTCTAGGCCTGGGATAGGAAAATACAAGAGGACCCTGGAGCATCTTGTAGTGCCAGGAAAGAAGGAAGTACATCCCTGGAGGGAGGATGAAGGCAAACAGAGATTACACAAAGAATTTTCAATGGCCAACAATTTAAATAATGTAGTATTGGATTATAACTCAAAATATAAAATGTGTTTACATGAGTCCATAGTAAGAACGATTAAATAAATAGATAAATAAATAAATAAATAAATGGAGAAAAGGGAAAAATCTCTCTTACAAAAAAAATTCAAATGTTAGATATAGATACTTTCGCTTTTAGGAGGTGAAGCTGAATTCCCCTCCCTCTGAGTGTAGATTGAATTTAATGGCTTGTTTCCAAAAAAAAAAAAAAAAAACCACACACACACACACACACACACAGAATGAAATGAAAAAAATACGAACTTTACAGTGGAGAAATCTGGCAAATACTACCTAAACCAAGGGATCAATGCTAGCATAACCAGTAATGAGTTATATTGATAACATGAGATATCATGAGAAAAATGGCAGACAGACAACATTTGGAGACATTCTGCAAAATATTTGACCAATATTCTTCAAAACTGTTAATGTCACAAGATATAAGTAAAGACTGAAGAATTGTGACAGGCAAGGGGAGAATACAGAGAGATCGTGCCTAAGTGTGGTATCTTGAATTGTATTGAACCATAAAAGAACATTAGTGGAAAGCTTGCTAAATCTTAATAACCTGTGCAGTTTAGTTGATAGTAGTAAGCTGTGATAATTTCTTAGTTTTGACAAATGTTCCATGGTTAATATTATATATATATACACACACTATATATATTATATATGTAATATATTATATATGATATTAATCTATAACATTTTACATTAACATTAAGAGAAACTGATTGCAAGTTCTATCGTAACTGTACGCTTTCAACTTTTCAAAATAAAACTAAAATTATTTCAAAACAAAACATTTATTTAAAAATGTAGAAGTCTTCAAAAATTTTGTGCTGCTTGTACACTTCTTAAATATCAAATATTATAGATTGATTTAGAGATTCCCTATTTCTCCTCAAGAAGCTTGAATATCATCATCTTAATTCAAATAATTGTACAAGTGTTCCTCCCATTCATTCATTCATTATTTAAGAAAGCCTAATTTTATTCATGCTAGTAAAAAAGCCTTTTTAATAACAGGTTTATTTACTGATTACATTAATACTGATTGCTATTATACTATTAATATTACTGATTCACTAATACTGATATATACTAATAAGTGGTACTTATCTATAATTTTCCCTTTGTGTGTGTGTCTTTGTGGGTGTGTGCTTTGCCTGATTGTCATAGCAGGTTATAAAACTCTCAAAGAAACAGGATGTTTCCTTTGTTTTTTATGCATAGAAATTTTTTATTCCCTGAAAATCTAGGAATATTTGCCTATAAGATGTTCTGATCCAAATGCCCTTTTGGGCTATAAATATTTGAACACTCTATCAATTTAACCTATTATTAATTTTCTCATTAGATTTTATAATTATAGAATCAATCTCTATATATTTTATTAAAATTAAAATAAAAGGTTCGCTAAGTTGTAAAAGTAAGCAAACTGGTATAATTTTATGTAGTACTGTAATTTAAAAGGAAGCACAATATAATTTCATATAAGCACATTAAAAATATACTAGCAAAATAGAATTTTGAAAGGGAAGCATACAAATATACAGACATTTATTTATAAGAGAGAAAGAAAGAATCAGATAATTTAATTGGAAATGTGGATCTTTTTTATTCTAGTATGAGTTTACTTTGAATTTTCTCACAATAAGAGAAGGGAAATGATATTTCAGGAGTTCTCACATCAGTCAATCCCATATTTAAAGAACTAACTTGAAAAATTTATCTTAGAAAAGTTTAATATCAAGGTTACATTTTCCATACATCATGGATCAAGGAGCCAAAATGTACTTTCTTTAAATGATGGTTCAGCCAGCTATAACCAAGATTAAAGTTCAGGATGATATGTGCTCAGACTTAGCAGAGCATACCTAAGAGTTCCACATGAATACCAAAGAATCTACCAGGCAACAAAGATTCTAACACATGGTACATGATCACCTTTTGTGCTTTTTGTTAACTATACAAACACACTAGCAATCTATGTTTAATTCAATTAAAACAGCAATATCAAAGGAATGGTGTAATCATCCAAACCTAGCAAGGTTCAAATATAATTTTAATTATCATTGGAACTGTTAAATACTTCAACTAATGTGATGTATTAACTATATCTAGTTTAGCATTTTTAAAATAGTTTGCTTTCACTAATCAAACTGAAAAATAATAAAAAGAGCAAGGTAGGTTGAATTAGGCTTAAAATTTATTGAAGTGTGTAATACTTACAAATGTGCAAAATCTCTCTGCATAATTTTTCCTCATAAGTGTTTATTTTAAAATAAACTTTAATATAAATAATAAATTTATATTTATTCAAATGATGTAGGATTTCTATGAAATTTCTATGCACACTACTGTAATAAATATTTTCAGCATAAATGTCTTCTTTTGAGAAGTGTCTGTTCATGTCCTTCACCCACTTTTTGATGGGGTTGTTTGTTTGTTTCTTGTAAATTTGTTTGAGTTCATTGTAGATTCTGGATATTAGCCCTTTGTCAGATGAGTAGGTTGCAAAAATTTTCTCCCATTTTGTAGGTTGCCTGTTCACTCTGATGGTAGTTTCTTTTGCTGTGCAGAAGCTCTTTATTTTAATTAGATTTGTCAATTTTGGCTTTGGTTGCCATTGCTTTTGGTGTTTTAGACATGAAGTCCTTGCCCATGCCTATGTCCTGAATGGTAATGCCTAGGTTTTCTTCTAGGGTTTTTATGGTTTTAGGTCTAACGTTTAAGTCTTTAATCCATCTTGAATTGATTTTTGTATAAGGTGTAAGGAAGGGATCCAGTTTCAGCTTTCTACATATGGCCTGCCAGTTTTCCCAGCACCATTTATTAAATAGGGAATCCTTTCCCCATTGCTTGTTTTTCTCAGGTTTGTCAAAGATCAGATAGCTGTAGATATGCGGCGTTATTTCTGAGGGCTCTGTTCTGTTCCATTGATCTATATCTCTGTTTTGGTACCAGTACCTTGCTGTTTTGGTTACTGTAGCCTTGTAGTATAGTTTGAAGTCAGGCAGCATGATGCCTCCAGCTTTGTTCTTTTGGCTTAGGATTGACTTGGCAATGCGGGCTCTTTTTTGGTTCCATATGAACTTTAAAGTAGTTTTTCCAATTCTGTGAAGAAAGTCATTGGTAGCTTGATGGGGATGGCATTGAATCTGTAAATTACCTTGGGCAGTATGGCCATTTTCACGATATTGATTCTTCCTACCCATGAGCATGGAATGTTCTTCCATTTCTTTGTATCCTCTTTTATTTCCTTGAGCAGTGGTTTGTAGTTCTCCTTGAAGAGGTCTTTCACATCCCTTGTAAGTTGGATTCCTAGGTATTTTATTCTCTTTGAAGCAATTGTGAATGGGAGTTCACTCATGATTTGGCTCTCTGTTTGTCTGTTGTTGGTGTATACGAATGCTTGTGATTTTTGTACATTGATTTTGTATCCTGAGACTTTGCTGAAGTTGCTTATCAGCTTAAGGAGATTTTGGGCTGAGACAATGGGGTTTTCTAGATATACAATCATGTCATCTGCAAACAGGGACAATTTGACTTCCTCTTTTCCTAATTGAATACCCTTTATTTCCTTCTCCTGCCTAATTGCCCTGGCCAGAACTTCCAACACTATGTTGAATAGGAGTGGTGAGAGAGGGCATCCCTGTCTTGTGCCAGTTTTCAAAGGGAATGCTTCCAGTTTTTGCCCATTCAGTATGATATTGGCTGTGGGTTTGTCATAGATAGCTCTTATTATTTTGAGATACGTCCCATCAATACCTAATTTATTGAGAGTTTTTAGCATGAAAGGTTGTTGAATTTTGTCAAAGGCCTTTTCTGCATCTATTGAGATAATCATGTGGTTTTTTCTTTGGTTCTGTTTATATGCCAGATTACATTGATTGATTTGCGTATATTGAACCAGCCTTGCATCCCAGGGATGAAGCCCACTTGAACATGGTGGATAAGCTTTTTGATGTGCTGCTGGATTCGTTTTGCCAGTATTTTATTGAGGATTTTTGCATCAATGTTCGTCGAGGATATTGGTCTAAAATTCTTTTTTTTGGTTGTGTCTCTGCCCGGCTTTGGTATCAGGATGATGTTGGCCTCATAAAATGAGTTAGGGAGGATTCCCTCTTTTTCTATTGATTGGAATAGTTTCAGAAGGAATGGTACCAGTTCCTCCTTGTACCTCTGGTAGAATTCGGCTGTGAATCCATCTGGTCCTGGGCTCTTTTTGGTTGGTAAGCTATTGATTATTGCCACAATTTCAGCTCCTGTTATTGGTCTATTCAGAGATTCAACTTCTTCCTGGTTTAGTCTTAGGAGAGTGTATGTGTCTAGGAATTTATCCATTTCTTCTAGATTTTCTAGTTTATTTGCATAGAGGTGTTTGTAGTGTTCTCTGATGGTAGTTTGTATTTCTGTGGGATCGGTGGTGATATCCCCTTTAAGAAGACATTTATGCAGCCAAAAAACACATGAAAAAATTCTCACCATCACTGGCCATCAGAGAAATGCAAATCAAAACCACAATGAGATACCATCTCACACCAGTTAGAATGGCAATCATTAAAAAGTCAGGAAACAACAGGTGCTGGAGAGGATGTGGATAAGTAAGAACACTTTTACACTGTTGGTGGGACTGTAAACTAGTTCAACCATTGTGGAAGTCAGTGTGGTGATTCCTCAGGGATCTAGAACTACAAATACCATTTGACCCAGCCATCCCATTACTGGGTATATACCCAAAGGATTATAAATCATGCTGCTATAAAGACACATGCACATGTATGTTTATTGCGGCACTATTCACAATAGCAAAGACTTGGAACCAACCCAAATGTCCAACAATGATAGACTGGATTAAGAAAATGTGGCACATATACACCATGGAATACTATGCAGCCATAAAAAATGATGAGTTCATGTCCTTTGTAGGGACATGGATGTAATTGGAAATCATCATTCTCAGTAAACTATCGCAAGAACAAAAAACCAAACACTGCATATTCTCACTCATAGGTGGGAATTGAACAATGAGAACACATGGACACAGGAAGGGGAACATCACACTCTGGGGACTGTTGTGGGTTGCGGGGAGGGGGGAGGGATAGCATTGGGAGATATACCTAATGCTAGATGACGAGTTAGTGGGTGCAGCGCACCAGCATGGTACATGTATACATATGTAACCTGCGCATTGTGCACATGTACCCTAAAACTTAAAGTATAATAATAATAAATTTAAAAAATATTTTCAGCAACCACGCTTTTCAAAAATTTATTTTATCTTAGTCCATTTGAGCTGTTATAACAAAATACCAAAAATTGGGTAGTTTATAAACAAGAGAAATGTATTGCTCACAATTCTGGAAGTTGGGAAGTGGAAGCCCAAGATGCCAGCAGATTCAGTGTCTGGTAAGGGCCTATTGCACATAAAGAGAGTCTTCTATGTGTCCTCACATGGCTGAAGGTGCAAACAAACTCCTATAAAGACACATATCCCATTGACAAGGGCTTTAACCTCATGACCTAGTTACCTCCCTAAGGCCCTACCTCTTAATAGCAAAACATTGGGGATTCAATTTCAACATATCAATTTGGGGAGGTTGGAATCTTTCAGATAACAGCAATAGGAAATTGTTTTGTCTTCACAATTCGGCCTTCCGTCAACATTATTTGACTATATATATTTCTTAATTTTACCACTTGCTAGAATTTTCTTTAAAAAGTTAATGAGCTCACTATATTCTATATTTGAAACCTCTGAAGTGTAAAATAATTGAATGTTTACATCTATAAACCAAATTACTTCCTTAATGCACCCTAGCACACAGAAGGTAGAATTAATTTATAATTTAAGTGGTATTCACACACACACACACACACACACACACACACACACACACTACTTAGCATTCTGTAGTTTGTTTAAATGCTGATGAAGAACATAAGTCCCAGATAAATTGACATCTTATGGAAATTGTTCTCATTGTTTTCTTTTAAAAAGTTTTATTAAGTTACACTTCATATATCACAAAATCTATATATTAAGTATAAAATCCAGTAGTATTTAACAGATTCAGAGTTGTGCAACAAACACTACCATCTAAATTTTAGAATATTTTCTCACCCCAAAAATAAATCCCATACCAATAAGCAGTTATTTCCCATTAACCCTCCCCACCAGCCGTAGGAAACATCTAATCTTCCTGTCTCAAATATTTGCTTATTATTAGCATTTCATATAAATGGAATCATACAATATGGTATCCTTTGTTATTGGCTTCCTTCCTAAAGCATGTTTTCTGTGTTTATCATGTCATACATTGTATCAGTATCGGATTCATTTGTTATTAAGAAATAATATTTTATTGTCTGGATATACCATATTTTATTTCTCCATTCATCAGTTTATGAACTTTTTTATTTTCTTTCTTAAAATATTGTGTCATTTTGCTATTATGATAATGCAACTATAAATATGTATTTACTAGTTTTTATGAAGATATGTATTTTTCTTTTATGTATATGTATATAAGAATAGAAATACTTGTTCATATGATAACTATGTTTATCATTTTGAGCAATGACAAATTGTTTTCTGAAGTGGCTTCCTTATTTTATGTTTCTGCTAGCAATGTATGAGGATTCAAATTTGTTCATATTTTTTTCAACATTTGTTATTGTCTGCCTTTTTTAGTATAATGAGCATACTGTGTATAATGTGAAGTACTGTATTTTGATTTGCATTTCCCAAATATCTTTTTTAGTGTAGCCATCACACTGCATATAGAGTGAAATATTGTGGTTGATTTGTATATCCCAAATGAGTAATAATATTGATTAGCTTTTCATGTGCTTACTGACCACTTGTATATCTTCTTTAGAGAAAGTTCTATTCATATATTTTGCCCATTTTTTAGTTTAGTTATTAGTACTTTTATTGAGTTGCAAGCATGCTTTATACATTCTGAACACAAGTCCCTTATCAGATATATTACGTGCAAACATTTTCTCTCATTCTGTATGTTGTCTTTTCCTTCCTGAATGGTGTCTTTTGTTCAATTTTGATAAAACCTAATGTGTCTATTTTTAAAAACTCATTATTCAATTCAAGGCCACAAAGATTCATGCCTATTTATTTCTAACAGTTTTATAGGTTTAGCTCTTACATTTAGGTGTATGATTCACTTTGGATTAATTTTTTGTGAGTATTGTGAGGCAGGGGTCCAACTTTATTGTTTTACATGTTCACATACAGTAGTTACATTATCATTTATTGAAAAAACTATCCCTTCTCAATTAAATTGTCTCAGCACTCATATTAAAAATCAGTTGAACACCAAAGTGAAGCTTTATTTCTGGATGTTCACTTCTAGTTTGTCGATCTATATGTTTGTCCTTATGCCATGACCACATATCTTGATTCTTGTGGCTTCATAGTAAATTGTAATATCAAGACATGTAAACAATCTATATTTTTTTCCTAGATTGTTTTAGCTATTCTAAGTCCTTTAAATTTCCATATCAATTTGAAGATTGGCTTGTCAATTTTTTAAAAAGACAGGGCTGGAATTTTTATAAGGATTGGACCTATAGATTAATTTAGGGAGTATTGCCATTTTAACAATTTCCATATCAATTTGAAGATTGGCTTGTCAATATTTAAAAAAGAAAGAGCTGGAATTTTGATGAGGATTGAACCTATAGATTAATTTAGGGAGTATCGCCGTTTTAACAATATTAGTCTTCCAATGCATGAGCATGGAATGTTTCATTTATGTAAATGTCTCCCATTTATTCAAATCTTTCTCAAGTTTCTTCACTGATGTTTTGTATTTATCAGTGTACATTCTTACACTTTTTTTTGGTTAAATTTATTTCCAACTATTTTATCCTTTTTGTTGTCATTATAATTGTAAAAGGTTTTGTTTTAATTTTTAAGTTATTAATTGTCTATAGTCTATTAAAACAAATAGTCTATAAAAACATAATTGATTTTTGTATGTTGACCTTGTATCCAGTATATTGCTAAACTCACTTATTAGCTCTATAGCTTTTCAAGTAATTTTCTAAGGGTTTTACATACAACATTTTGTCATGGGCAATTAAAAAGAGTTTTACTTTTTTCTTTCCAGTCTTTGTATTTTCATTTGCCTAACCTCTCTGTATAGAGCCTCTAATGTAATGTTGAATAAAATTGGCAAAATTGGACTTCCTTGTCTTGTTCCTAACATTGGAAGAAAGCCTCTAGTTTTTAAGCGTTAAGTGAAATTTTTGTAGATGCCCTATATCTACAAAAGGAATAGGAAATTCCTTTTGTAGATGCCCTCTTTATCTACAAAAGGGTTAGGAAGTTCCTTTCTATACTTATTTTGTTAAGTACTATTATAAAGAGAGGGCATGTTATTCTGCCAATGCATTTCTGTAATTATTGAGGTGATCATTTGCTTTTCATCCTTTAACTATTAATGAGTTATTATATAAATTGATTTTTGAATGTTAAACCAAGCTCCCATTCCTGGGATGCATTCTACTTTGTCATGATGTATAATCCTTTTAATACACTGCTGGAATGAGTTTGCTAGTATTTCCTTGAAGATGTTTGCATTTATATTCATAAGAAATATTGGTACATAATATTGTTTTTTGTGCTGTGGCTTTTCTGACTTTGATATCAAAGTAATATTGGCCTCATGGAATCGATTGGGAAGGTTTTTTTTTGTCTTCTATTTTTGAAAATTTATTTTCTTTGTTATAAGAAAAGCTACTCCAGCTATTGTGGTTGCTGTTTGCATGATATATCTTTTCTCATCCTTTTATTTTCAACTGCTTGTATCTTTGAATGTTAACGACTTTCTCTTGTACTCAGCACACAGATGAATTTTGGGTTCGTTTGGTTTGGTTTTTAAATCCAATGTGACAATCTCTGCCTTGTTTAAGGCATTAAACAAGTAATTGTTTAATTCATATATAATTAAATTGTTATTGGTAGTGTTGGGCTTCTATCTGACAGTTTTCTTTGTTCTTCCTTTCCTCCTTTCCTACTTACTTTTAAATAAATTGGAAATTTTCTATGGTCCCATTTTAATTTCTTTGATGATTGTTTAAGTATGTTTTTTAAAAATTATAATCTTAATAATTGCTCTAAGGCTTAAACTACACATCCTTAACTTATAATACTCTACTTCAGATTCATAAGTTATTTTCAGTGAGATATAGGAATTGTATTCATATATA
Organism: Homo sapiens; assembly: GCF_000001405.40. Classification (NCBI taxonomy): domain Eukaryota; kingdom Metazoa; phylum Chordata; class Mammalia; order Primates; family Hominidae; genus Homo; species Homo sapiens. The sequence continues at coordinate 67,558,508 of NC_000013.11, read as the reverse complement.
GTTCCATTTCCCCTTTTGTGCTAATATTGCTATACATTGAAAATTTATATATATATATATCCCAAAAAGAGATCAATATGATTATTAATTTATATAATCTATTTCTTTTAAAGAAGCTGAGGGAAGAAAGGAGACATGTATAAATAGATAAATTTTGCTACATTACCTTCTTTTTAATGAATCCTGATTCTCTTAATCTTTTTCTGTGAATTAGAGTTGGCATTTAGTGTCATTTTCTTCCTCTAATGCAGTCTTGTTTCCACCTATCTCCTTTGTGATATTAATGACAAATATATTACATTTCTATATGTTGTAAGCCCGAAACTACAATTGGATATATATTGTTTTATGCATTTAAAAAAACAGGAGAAAAAGTGAGAAGAAATGTGCAATTATTATGTCTCTTATGATTACTTAAATTAATTATCTTTATCAGTGATCTTTATTTTTTTATGAAGTATCAAATTACTGCCTACTGTAACTTGCTTTTAGCCTGACCTACCTCTTTTAGTATTTCTCAAAAAGCAGGTCTGTCTGTATTTGAACTTCATTTTTTAAATTTTTTTTTCTGGATATGGGATTCTTGGTTGACAATTTTTATTTTCTTTCAGTACTTTGAATATGTCATCCAACTACCTTCTGGCCTCCATGGCTTCTGATGACAAGTCAGCTGTCAGTCTTATTCAGTTTCTCTTACATGTGATGACTCTTTTTTTCTTTTTGATTCTAAGACTTTCTCTTTACTTTTGGCTTTCAGTTTTGACTAGATGTTTCCGCATGAAGATCTCTAGTTTATCCTACTTGGAAGTTTATTGAACTTCTTAGATATTTATATTAATGTTTTTCATTTATTTGGAGAAGTTTGAACCATGTTTCTTTTGCTTATATTTTCTGCTTTCTTCTTTTTCTTTTCTCCTTCTAGAACTTCTATCTCAGATATGTTGATGTACTTACTGGTGTCCCACAATTTTTTCTGAGCCTCTGTTCATTTTTCTTCTTTTTACTCCTGTTCTTCATATTGTGTAAGTTTTTGATCCATTTTCAAGTCACTGATTCTTCTGTTACCTCAAATCTACTATCAAGCCCCTCTAATGACTCTGTTATTTTGTTTGTTGTACTTTTCTGGTTGCTTCTTTTTACAATCTACTTGTTTATTGATATTCTCTATCTAATGAGATATTGCATCATACCTTCTTTAAAGGTTTTAAACGTGGTTTTATTTTGTTATTGGAACATATTTATAATAATTGCTTTAAATTTTTTTCCTAATAAGTTCATTATCTTGGCTCCAACAAGGCAGTTGATTGTGTTTGCTTCTTTTCTTGTGTATGGGTTATATGTTCCTGTTTATTTACATGTCTCATAGTATTTTGCTCCAAACTAGAGGTTTTAAATAATATGTAGCTGTAACTCTAGTTACTGATGCCCATTGAAGCTTATTGTTGTTTGCTTGTTTATTTGTATATGGACATGTCTGGACAACTTCAGTAAAGGCTATTTTCTTAGCTGTGGGCATGCCTTGATATCCTTTTTAATATTTTTCCTAATTTTTTGATATCCTGTTCAATATTTTTTTCCTAATTTTTATCACTAAACCAGACTTTCTATGGGTTGCTCCTCGTTTAGCAATGTTTAGTGGTTAGCCACTGACTAGGGAGAGATTGCAGCTAAGCCCTGTTACAAGAAGGATTTCATTTTCTGTCATTAGGTATGTGTGTGGCTTGGAGATTGCTTTTAATTTAACTGTTCAGGATTTTACCAGATAGCCCTGTGTTCATCTAGTTATCAGTAACTAGTAGTTATCTCGCAGTTTCTCCTCAGTTAATAGTCTTGAGCATGTACCAGCAGCAATGCTTATTATTTTACCTGGCCACATTTGACTGTCTATTTTATTCATCCCCTAATTATACTTCTGGCTCATCTGCCCTTATTGGTATCACCTCCAGCTGTTAGATTTCACTACTTACAAGATGACTTCACTGTTTTGACAATGCCCTGTCACGTAAATTCTTCCTCAGTCTAATTCAAAGAAATAGGACCACTTGGCAGAGGCAGGACATTGCCAACTTTGAAACTTGCTCTGGACCTTCCCTGGAAGGAATCTCTGTAATATGAAGCAGGAGCTGGGGAAAGGGGATTATTACCATGAAGCAGGAACTGTATCTTTGAGGGTTAGGAGGAATTGCTGATGCCTCTTGGCTGCCACCAACACCCATTGTAGATCAGAGGCATGGATATTGTAATACGTTGAGGTTTACTAACTTAAAATCTGTCGTGGTAATTCTAAGAGGTAATGAATCTTGCACTTCTGGAAACTAAAGGAAATGGTAGTTGTTACTCAAAAGAGTTTATTTTGCAACACAGAGCTCTGTGAGAATGGGATACTGCACACTTTGCCTGCTGTCCCACCTGGCTTCTCCCTACACTGCAGTAGTTGGGGAAAGGGCAAACACCACTTGGCTTGTTCTATACATCCAGCATAGGTCTTACACAGTAAAGACCTATGAGAAATGGTATCTACCAGTGTTCACAGCTGCCAAATGTACACAGACTAGCTTTTTCATCGTAGAGTGTGGGGAAGATAGAAGCTGCCACTTAGCATGGAGCCTATTGGAACGTGTCAGCCTCAACACAGAGCTGTGAAGGTAGGGTACAGCTCCCAGCTCAAATGTCACAGACTATTGTTGTTTCTAATGTATATTCTGGTCAGGTGTGTTGACTCATGCCTGTAATCCTAGCACTATGGGAGGCCACATGAAGAGGACTACTTGAGCTCAGGAGTTCAAGATCACAATGTATATTCACCTATTTTGTGAAAAATGATTCTCATTTCTTTGTAAGCAGTTGGTTGATCTCTAGAGATTTTAAATGTTTGTCTTTGCAAATTTTGACCAGTTTTGGAGAGAGATCTCTAGATCTCTTTATATCATCATTTTGGAAAAGTGAAAAATTCATTTTTAATTTTTGAGTAAATGAATTCCTTAATTTTTAAAACATTTTCAAAACCAAATTTCCCACTATTGAGTGGACATTTGACTTGAAAATTTCAGTGGCATCAAAGGTAGAATATGTCTAAAACCCACTTATTATTTGATATTTCTACAGCAGATTTCTGCCACAATTATTCAACTCTGCCAACGTAATATGAAAACACCCATAGACAATACAAAACAAATAGATATGGTTATGTTTCAATAAAGCTTTACTTACAAAAATGGGCAAAAAGCACTATCTGGCCTATGAGTCATAGATTCCTGACATCTATTTAGAGTAACGGCCATGAGCAGGCTGTGGTACACACTATAATTCAGGAGAACTATTATCATAGAGGAAAGATATAAAGGATAAGGAAGACAATTTGAAAGTAAAAGTCCCCAGACACCAAAAGAAGCAGATCGATTATGGGACATATTAGTGTTCAAGCACCAGAGAGTTCTATAAAACTCTGCTTTTGAATTTTAGACCTAACTTTAATCCAACTGAAACCTCTATTTTTAGATTACATGAGGTACGGCCTAGAATATGCCCTGTTGCATATTTCTGTGATATCAAATTTCATTATTACCATGCGTAGTTGAAAAACCAAAACATTTACAGTTCAATAAACTGTATATATTTATGAGTCAGAGACCAGCAGATATATAAATGTGGTCAACAAAATTAGGTTTATTAAAAGCTACAGCAGGAGAGATCCCCCACCATGGGAAACTCTAGGGCATCTCAAAAAAAGGACCCTAGGAAAGGAGTACTGATAAGGTTTCGGAGACAAAATTGGTCATGGAATAATCTTTCTTGGAAATTATAAAAATTTATGAAATAGAGAGTTTTTGGAATAGTCACTGATCCTATCATTAAAACACATGGATCCATGCAAGGTTAATATAGCATTTTCTTGGAATATATGTATCTAATATAAACAGTATAAACTTAGGCTGTGATGAACATCATGGTTTGGTTTGAAACTGTTCATCTGTTTCATAAGTGATAATGCAGTCCATGTTGAAAGTTGTGGTTTCTGTTACATGTTTCAGTTGCCCCAACAGTCTAGCTGTCAGAAAGACCATTTTTCAATTTACCAAAGCCAACCAACACAGCAAGATTAAATAGTTGAAGTGAAATGCAATTTTTCATACTTAGAAATAAATCTTTTATGTATGCTATGTGCTGTTCTATTCAGTGTTAATGGTTTTATAATCTCTGGAAGTTTTTGCAGTTGTATGTTGCCATGATTTAGAATAGATTTAGCCCAGAGCAGTGTTCATAGCAATGACAATCTGATTTGCTATCTGCTTCTGTTTCACAAGTCATACAAAATTAATTTTATAAAGAATTGGAGAAATTCTTCAAGTGTTTTTCTGATAATATATCATGCCATTTTCAAATGACTAAATAAATAATGTATAATCTATACCAATCTTTATTTGATTTGCAATTGAAGTTTTATGTTATCTTACATCTTTTTACTGGAGAATTCACATTAGCAACTTTTATTTATATGGTTAGCATATTAGAGCTAGTAACTTTCATTTAATATGTTCATGATTACAAGCTCACAGGAAAAAATGCATTATGTTTTTTTCTGGCACCATGAATGACACCTACTTAATGCACAGTAAATATTGTTAATTGTATGATTGCATAAAAAAATGAATGAAATTTGCCATGTGGGCAGAAACTTGAGAAGCAATCTCAAAAGGCAAAATTTAAGACCCAGAAGATAGAATCAATAAATGAACTTACTTAATGTTTATTTTTTAATGCTCTTACAACTGATTTTTTTTAAGTCAGCTAAGTTAATTTTCTAATCATTGTAGTTATGTACCATAACAAGTTACAAGTTGCAAAAAAAAAAAAAAAACTTGAATTCAACTAATTTTGGGGGGGCTAAAGATAAAATTATAACTAATCCTCAAAATCCTTCATATAAAATGTGTGTGAGTAAATATCTGAACAATTAATCCCTTTTTTCTATTGATTTGATTATATTTGTATGCAAAAACTTTGAGGAGAAACATTTTTAGTGAATACATAGTAGAAATTATCATTAAGATCTTTAAGAAGGCTATATTTTCTTTAAAGGAAAATTAAGTTCTTGGTTCTCTGAATTTTAGAAAATGTGTAATGTTTCATTCTTTTTATTATTTTGGTTTACCTTTGTAAATTGATTATCTGAGGAAGAATAAATTACCATAGTGGCATGTGCTCTTTCTCAAACTTAGAATAATTTGTTTTATAATCAGATAACTGTTATCATACCAGCAAATATCTCCTTAAATTTTATTAGAACATAATAATCAAGCTCCATGCTTTTTCATTAAAAAATGAATATTCCCAATAGTTATTCACTTGAGATCATGAAAATCCTGATAATTTTACATTTGCCTTACAAGTCATTGTAGCTTCTTCTTGTCAATAATGTCAGCATGATTGTAACACATCCTAGAAACTTAACTTTGTTCCATCTGGAGCATAACCTATTTTCCACTCACACATTACAAAGCTCATTAAGCAAAACTCTTGAACACCGAAACACTCTAACCTCTTGATTTCAGTTTTCTTAAGCTTACCGCTATATCTGTATATATTTAATAGAAGCTTATTTTCTCAGTTCAACTGAATTTAAAAATAACAGATTTGTATAAATGTATTTACATATATACATAAAAGCTTACATATATAAAGTTTTATTCTAGTCTATCTTTATTCTATTTGACCACTCAGAGGAAGCCTGCTGTGCTGACAACAATGCTGTATTGAACAACTGCCAGGATTACTAAGTTTAAATTCTTGAAACATTGTAATCTCCCTCCTTAATAAATTTCCCCTAATATGCATTGATTTAGTTTGCAGTGTTGTATTTTCCTCACTCTCATGATACAGTGCATTTAAATAAGGTTTTATTGCCTTGATGCTTGAGATCACTGACCATTCTTATTAGGAGAGTAGAGCATATCCTCCAATTCTCCCTGTAGTTGTGAGAACTAAAGGGACTTAAGCCCTCTTTTTAAACTTTAAACCTTAGAATTTGTATTCTATAACTTTCCACAACTGCCAACTAGTGAAAAGTGCTTGCAAAATATTATCTATTACTATAGAATATACTGCAGGGTATTATAATTGCATTTTCTTTCATGAGCCCCTGCAAACATGATCACAAACTTGATGTTACTGTAAAGAATAAAAATGATAATTAACATTAATACTATTATGTGCTAGATATTTAATGGATATGTGTGTATATATATATATAAACACATACATATTATTTTTTGTTATCACACAATAATATGTGGAAGGTATTCTTAGGTTCCCTAATTATGTCTGAGAAAATTGATGCTTAGAGAAGTTTTAGGTAACTTCTCCAAAGTTAGATTGCAGATGAAAAAGGTGGAGTCAGAATTTGAATGTTAGCATTCCAGCACTGGAGTGCATGAATTAATTTTTTTTTAACTTTCATTTTAAGTTCAGTGGTACATGTGCAGGATTGTGAGCCACAGGGGTTTGGTGTGTACATTATTTTGTTACCCAGGAAATAAATATAGTGCCTGATAGGTAGTTTTTCAGTCTTCATCCTCCTTCCACCCTTCACCCTCAAGGAGGCCCAGGTGTCTGTTGTTCCATTCTTTGTGTCCCTATACACACAATGTTTAGCTGTCACTTATAAGTGAGAACACAGTATTTGGTTTTCTGTTCCTGTATTAGTTTGCTTAGTATAATGGCCTCTAGCCTCTGAAGGACATATTCACATTCTTCTTAAGGCTATGTGGTATTCCATGGTGGATATGTACCACAGTTTCATGAATTTAAATGCTACCAGTTATACAGAGGGTTCACTGTCCAAAGAGCAAGTGGCTTCTATAATTTTGCCTACTCTCTGCTCATCAAGCCAGGAGCCACTGGGCAAGATGTACCTCAGCCTGGAGGAAGGTAACCCTAAATATTCATCAAAGGATAATGGGTTTGAAGTTTTCTTCTTACAAATACAATCTACAGCATTCATGTTTCTTCTCTTATAGGTCAACATCTAACACTTTTTGGCCCCTTCCTTAGGAGGCTCTTCCTTATATTTAAAATCTCTTTACAAAAAAAAAAGTTTTCTCTCTTCCCAGCACAGTGATTGGAGTTTGATATTATCAACTTATTCTACCAAGTCTATTTTAACAGAGCCACAAGTCTACCACAGGTGAAACAGTTTTCTGCTGTGGCCACAAAACTAGTTCTTACGTGCCCTGATTTCCTTCCCATTTTGTAGCTTTTCTGGGACAGTAAACAAGATATCTGAGTTCTTACCAATTTATTAAAATTTGAAGCAAGCATAGTCAAGTTTCCTCTATTTCTAAAGAGTGGTTATATTTTAAAAGAGGGGTTTTAAAATGCTGTTCACAGGTTTAAAGTGATGTTCAAAAAATACAAAAAGTATAACTTATTCTTCATTGAACATATTAATAGTCTACTAAACTTTAAAGTTTCAAAATGTTTTTCCTTGCAATATAAAGCTAGTTATCAAGAATAAGTCTTTTCCTGATTTTCTTTAAAACCAACATGCTTCATGTATACAGTTAAGCATTCTTTGTGTTTCTTTGCAAAGAAAGAGGTAATGGCAAATGTCTTTTTTAAGAAATAAAATGCAGATATCAGTAGGAGAAGCATCCTATTATAAGTGAAATGCTTGGATTCCCTTGACATGGATGAAATTCAATGAGTAACTCTCTGCTTCATTAAACTACAATAGACAACAGTCAGCCTTGAATAAAGAATTGAAAATGATACATTTTGGAAAATGTTTTAAACATGCACAATTTAATGTAAATTGGATTTATTCCAAGGTCCTGAAACATTCATGTGTTGTTCCTTTCTGATGTCAAGTTGCTTGCTACATGAGAATGTTATTTAAACATATAATCATTGACATTAGACTACTAAGATATTGTGCAAGTAAGGAAAGTTGAAATCCTTTTACCTCATTAGAGTTGAAGTTGATGTGCTTTGATTTTCAGTTAATATCCTTACTGTGCTCCAGTAAGAGTAAGCTTAAATGAGCCTGCAAAGATCTACACAGAGATGGCACACAAAAGGAACAGGGATGCTTGAGATGTAACTTACTGAGAATGGTTTAGTTGCTATCACATTCAAAAGAGTCTATTGATAGCATACCATTGAAGACAGACAACAAGAAAGCAAAAAGGAGAGAACTATTGTGGGAACAAGGTAAAAGGAAAAGACATGAAATATAGGGGAAGGGATTTCTACATCCATAACATTCTTATTATTTTCCTCAGCTTAAGAGGCAAATACAATGCAAAATTATAAAATAACGATATGAGTCAGAAGCAAGACCATGGCAATTATGGTAATGATTATGATTATTAATTATTTACTAGACATTGAGAAAATACTTAGATTTTTAAATGATATTCAAACTATGAGAGCATCCCTGTTGCCATTTATTCTGCTCAGGTAAATGTAGGCACTTATACCATAAAGGTAAATATCTCCAGTTCAACATATCTCCACAGAATATTTAATAATGTACTTATTAAATAAAGTGAATATTTTTAAATGTTGGTTTCTCAGGGATGTCAATATTAAATAAATATAGAAAAGGACCTCTAAGCAAAGCATGTATTTAGAAATAATATATAATTATTAGAATGCAATTCAGGAGCCACTCACAGGTCAGAATGGCCTCTGGTATGTCTAAAGAACAAAGGAAAAGGTTGGGGCTTTCTTGGGAAAGCGAAAAGTTATGTAAGTTCTTTTGAGAGAACATTGATTGGTGGCTGTGATGTCTTTCAGGAGCTTGCAAGCTATGATTGGTGCATTAACAGCAGTTATTACTTAAAACTTGAAATCTTAATGAAATTACAGGCTGTTTTTCACTGGATTGGTTGGACTTGTAGACAGTGCGTCAGGCCAGTGTTCTTGTCTAAATAGCTAGCTGTCCTTGTGTGGTTAGTTCTCCTTGTGTGACTCATGTAGTAAGCTGCAACTTGGAAGACTTTCTTGTGGTTATTAGGGCAGTCATGAGAGAGCCTTCCCTCCATGGCTTTCCCTAGTTCCATTTCGCGAAAGTTTCAAAAAAGGAACACCATTTTGAATCCGACAGTTTTTACAGGGATAAAATAATTATATTTTTATATGTTTTGAAAAATTAAAATAATTTTTATTGTTGTTGTTAGCTTGTTTTAATGAGTCTTAGAGGCACATCCATAAAAATGTGATTATATGCAGGACCAGAATAAATTGAAAAAAACATTTCATTTGGATACTTCTCTGTAAATAAGGAGAAGTTGGGCATGTATATATATATATATATAACTTTTAAGTTTCAAGGACAACATATTATTATAAAGGGCTACATCTCAAAAATTAATCCATTAATCAGTAAACAAAACAACAATACTGTTTCTATTTGATAGCATTAAACTAATCATTATATAAAAATCTGGTTTATATTTAAATGTTCTAAATATCAATTATTCCCCTTATAAAAAAAAGTTACTTTGTATTTTATTTTCGGTATTTGTGACTGCTTCCTTGCTAAAGGTTCTCGTGCTCTTACTTGTATTAATCTTAAATGTGTTTAAGCATTAAAAAATTAGTACCTAAAATAACAACATAAAAATTTTGTTCTAATTACCCAAAATAGTTTGATTATGTTAAACTATAGATTTCAATTGTATATATCTTAACTTTAAAAACTAACACAGTGATTTCTGTGTGGGATTAGCCCTAGAACCAACATCATGAATATTTTTAAAGAGGCTTTCAGTTTTTTAACTTTCATTTATAATTATTTGTACTATTATAATCCAATAGAATTGTTTTGAGCTATGCAAAACTACCTTTTATAGCATTATGAACATGATACAATGTTAAAGTTCTCTAATTCCTGAAATATCTGTTTTCCTGTCTTACTTTCTCATTTCCTAAAGCACAAACCTGTTCATTTGCATGTTTAAGTTTATATGAATTATGCCTCATAGAAGAACAGAGTGTTATACTAAAAGATAACATTTAATGGGGTGTATAAATAGAACTCTGATTAAATCCTGACTCTTCCTTTTAACAGCTGAGTGACCCTGACCAGGATCTGGACTTCTCTGAACTTTAACTTCTGCATATATAAATGCAAATAATAACACCTACTCCAAAAGGTTGTTTCCAAGGTAAATGATGTGGCATAATTAAACCATCCAACAGAGAGCACAACGGTAGTGAGCATTTCTTAAATGAGTTTATTACCTCCTCCTCCTACTGATGTACAGCAAGTTTTCCTAAGATAAAGCCAGAGCCATGCCAGTTCCAAGAAAATCAGTGTAGTGACACTTTGGGAACATATTACTCGTTTATTTCATATTCATCATTGTGCATATGGTAAAAACTCTTTTGACATGCCTTAAAAATCAATGTAATGCAATCATGCATTTACATTCTGTAAGTATACTTGTCATAAGTTTTAATGTTACTTGACTCAGTACATTGAAATGTAACTACAAATTTAAGTATGATAATTTTTCATGAAGTCTTTGGAATGTGAACTCTCAAGATACAAAATTCCAAGGCCTGCCTATTATTCCAGAAAACTTTAGAGATGGAGCAACTTTATCCATTTATTTTATATCATGATTTAATTGACAAAGTACTTTGGCTTCAATAAGCAAGCCAAATGCCCAAGAACACATAATTATTCACCTTCTACACAGTATGCACTGTACTGGATGGTTTGAAAACCTTCAAAATAAGTCAGTGATATAGACATTTTTAACTTTTGCCAAAGTAAAACAAGTCCAGACTTAGGACGAGATTTTAATTAGAAAGACAGGCTATTGCAATAGGGAGATGGCTCCAATTTTAGATATCTGTGAGTATCTCCAATTCAAGCAGAAAAAGGTTTTTCTTTCATAAGGTAAAAGAGAGGCAAGCAGAGATAAGCAGAATCTTTGCTGGGGAAGCTCGAAATAACCAGCAGTTTCTGATAGGAAAAGGGCCCTGCTGTGGTCAACTGATTCCCAGGAGAAACTGCTAAGAAGGCATAATTTGCTTTTTTTGTGTTTGATCAGGCCTGAGGACAAGTAGAGTTTAGGGGCCTGTGGAAAGAGAGAAGCCTGGTGAAGGTTTGATCAAGACAAAGCAATGGATAAGCGGCAGGCAACTGTGAACACTTGGTCAGTCTTATATATTTGAGATATTGTTAAGACTGAATTTTGCCTCCTCACCACCTATGCACAAATTCATAGACTGAAGCCTTAACTGCGAAGGTAATTGTTTGTAGAGATAGGGCTTATAAGGGGGTAATTAAGGTTAAGTAAGGTCATAAGCGTGGGGCCCTAATCTGGTAGGATTGGTCTTGTAAGAAAAGAAAAAGAAACCAAAGTTCTTTTTCTCTCTGAGCTTCACAGAGAAAAGGCCAAACAAGGACGCAGCAAGAAAGTATACATCTGTAAGTAAGTCAGGAAAAGGCCCTCCTCAGGAACAGGAAGAGCCAGGGCCTTGATCATGAACTTCTAGTCTCTAGAACTGTTGGGAAAAAAGAAATCTGCCTTTCAAGCCACCAGGTTTATGGCATTTTGTCACGGCAGCCCTAGCAGACTAAAATAGATATGAAAAATTGAAGCTCCAAGAATGTAAAGATATTGTTCCATTTCACCATCTAGTACATGGCAGGGATCAGATGTCATGCCCCGCTCTGTTTGATACTAATGTCCATGAAATTCCATTTTGTCACATTACCTTTGCAATTAGTTAATTGCTGAATTATTTAAACATCATTTTTTCTTTCTTAATATAGGTCTCCTATTATTATACCACAGCTGTCTTGATATAATATGGTAACAGGAGAGTCCCCTCCATGGCAGTGCTCTGTTCAGGACATTCACCTGAAAGTTTTTGCAAAGGATAATGTTGTTAGCTCTTTTCAGTTTTACTACATTCAGTGGAGACGCTATACTTTTTATATAAGGGGGAGCAAAAGTTTCATTCTGATTAAAAGTGCAGAGACAAGTATTATAGCAAAGTTGCTTATACAGAGAAAGTATCTGGGTTGACTTAATTTATTATATGGAGTGGTTTTAGGGAAATCTAATGGGAATCATTGGGAAAGACTAAAAACTCCCCTCCCTACTTTGGTACCCCCGGGAATTCTCTTTATTTATTGATTTTTATATTGTGACTAAGGAAAAAAGAATTTTTAAAAACATTACATTAATCATATTAATACTATTTTTATTTTCCATTTTCCTTTTATCTTATTGATTAATATAATCATTTTTTCTTACAGACAGAAAGTGTTGCTTCACGCAATTTCAAATGAATAGTAGTAGTATTGAATTAAAGAGTTTATTTTTTCTGAGCACTATTTATATTTACTTGTTACTTTAAAACAATTTTCTGTGAGAATGAGATTAAACAACACACACGATCATAATGGGACAAGTTTTGTTTAGAAAAGTCATTATTTGCCTAAGATCTGTGATTCGGGGTCATATGTTCTTTGCCTCCCTTCTTCAATGAGCATTTTAATTTGTGAGTCTTCTGAAACAAAGAAATGGGTCATCAGATAATAGGAGTTTGTTTTGCATAATAAAGTGTGTAGCAAGACAATATACCAGGTCAGAGTAAGAAAAAAAAAATGCAGGAAATGAGAACTTTCCATCTAGGACAACGCTTTTTTTTTTTTTGAGTCAAGGTCTCACTTTGTCAACCACGCACAAACAGCTCACTGGAGCCTCAACCTCCACGTTAGCCTCCCAAGTACCTGGGACTACAGAAACATGACACCGTGCTATTTGTTTAATTTTTTGTAGAGACAGGGTCTCCCCTATGCTGCCCAGGCTCATCTAGGACAATTCTTCATAGTTTTGAAATTCCTTTGTCAGTCCAATAAAAGCTATTTACCTTTCCCCAGAAAAGGATATACATGCATAACTAAAACAGCATGCATATAACTGCAATGAATTCATACATTCTAAAGCCTTAAATCTTTAAGAAATTTTACAATTTTTTTTAAAATTCTGTCATTTAGTATCATATCTTTTTCATGTTGGAAGAAATAGTATAGAATTTAGACAAAAAGTAAACATTGGGTCATATTTATTATACACTTTTTTGTCAGGTTTAAACTAAAATACAATTTCATTTGAAATTTAATAAAGTATTTTTACACTCCAGAAATTAAAAGATCGAAATGACATAGAGAAAAGCATTTCTCAATCTTTTCATTTGTGGAAGGTACTCTACAAAATAAATAAATAACATCAGAACCATGCCTGCAACTCATGTAGGCATGAGTTGCTTATTGATGGGGCTATATTCTAATAAATGCATTGTTAGGCAACTTTGTTGTATAAACTCATTTTCTAAATATAGTCCTCATATTCCCAGCATCAACATCACTCAAAACTTGTTAGAAATGCAAATTTCTTAGGTCCACCCATGATTTATTACCCAGAATCTGAGGGTGGGGCCCAGGAGTCTGTATTTAACCATCTCTCCAGGTGATTAAAATACACACTGAAATTTGAAAAGCCATGACTTAGGTCACAGCATTCAGAACCTATAGTTCCAAACCATTTCAGGCTGGTGATCCCGATAATTAATATCTTCAGCCTCATGCTCTCTCTTGATGTCTTCAGATTAGAATACTGCCTGATTAAAACTATAATTAGCATGACTTACAGGCACCGCAAAACTAACGCATTCAAAATTCCTGAACTCTTTTCTTTCATCCTACCAAACAGTTCCTAGCGTATCCTAGTACTTAGCACATAGTAGGGGTAATATTGATTTATTAAATTAATTTAATGAAGTACAAATAGTTCAAATTCCCCAGTAAATCATGCTGAGACAGAAAAGTAAAAACTCTGTTGAATGTACCTAGCAAACTTTCGGCATATCTGTGTGGAAATAGGGAAAATTTAAGAGGAATCCCATGCTCACAAATGTCTATACATAAATAAACGGACCACGAGTAATTAAAAACATACTTGAATCTTTAAAAAAATATAATTTAGCTTTAGTCTATATCTTTAACACTAGCTCTCCATATTCTGTGGCTCTTGATTAATATACAACTAAGCAAATTTAGGTAGCACTGAAGAGAAATAATGAGAAGCAAAAGGATAAAAAAAATACATAAACACATACGCATGGAAAAAAGAGTAAGAATCCTTCAGTGTCAATAACAGTGTGAAAAATAATTGTTGAGAACCTATTATATACTAGTTCCTCTCCACAAAGAGATGAAAGTCCCCTGGGTTTGGGGGACACAAAGAATAATAAGAAAACATTTTTTTTTAAGTGTCCTAACTACACTTTTAAATCCACAGTATATAAAGAGACAACGCAGGACCACCTTAATTAAATGACTGAAGTTTCCAAGTTGTAATAAATTGCATGCCAAAGTACTCAAAGCTTATATATGGTATGATGTTTTATACATAGCAGGAGCTTAATTTATTAAATACTGATAAATTTTATCACAGCTTTTAATCTTCTTTAAGGAAGCATACACAATGTAAGATTTGTTGAAAGACTGGCAAATTTCGAAACAGTATTACTAAATAGAAAGATTATCAATATTACTAGGAATGGGAATGAGCAGATTTTCATTTAGAATAACTGTGCCTGGCCGGGCGTGGTGTCTCACAATGGTAATCCCAGCACTTTGGGAGGCTGAGGAGGGCGGAACACCTGCAGTCAGGAGTTTGAGACCAGCCTGGCCAACATGGTGGAACCCCGTCTGTACTAAAAATACAAAAATTAGCCAGGCGTGGTGGCATGTGCCTGTAATCCCAGCTACTCTGGAGGCTGAGGCAGAGAATTGCTTGAACCCAGGAGGTGACAGAGTAAGACTCCATCTCAGAAAAAAAAAAAAAAAAGAAAAAATGAATAACTGTTTCTATAAACCACTTTTTCTTTGTAGTTAGACTGGAAGGCTGGAGCACTGTTGTGCGTGCGCGCACACACACACACACACACTCGCTCTCCCTCTCTCTCTTATTATAATTAACTTCTTTAATAGTACCTCTTGAATCTTATTTCTTTTTAGACCCTGAGTAACCTAGAAAACCAGGAAGAATTATTTCCCCTCGTGTTCGCTAGATCAAATCATAGAAATCTGAGTCATGTTAATGATAAAAATAATGTATCTGCATTTCAGGAGGATAGCAGGTGGGCTTTATATGTAAAAGGATATTGATCAATATCAGTATGAGTTCATCTTACAAAATACACCACTAGGTTTTATATTTATCTATTTTCTATTTAATACCTTTATCAAAAATATAATGTCAATTATAGCTTCAAAACAGTGAAAACATAGCTAAAATTAATGTGCAATGTACACTTAGGCAACAGACTGATAACATAAAGTTACCAAATACTTAATATAAGATAGGTTCAAGGTTTGTGTGTACATCAGTACACTAGACATGGTCTGAAAGTTTGTTTAATGACTTGTACAAACATTTATTTAATGACAAAATTTTATACAAAATATGGAATATGGCATAGAATCACATATTTGAATTGCTGTTTGGTTGCCAAGGTCCAGAATATTTTAAGATTCTACTAGATAAAGAGTAATCAAAGATTCAAAGTATCTTAGTCTTTTTTTTTTGACTCCTTATATTCCTTTTGAAATAATGGCTAATATTTGTTCAGAACAGGTATTCATTAAATATTAGTTGTACTAAATTAGAAACAAATGTTATGTTAACAGATTTATAACACATAGATCAAGGAATACAAGTGTCAATTATACAAGTATATTATATATACAAGATGAGTAGATGCTTGGATACCACATGTAATAATTATGCCAAAACTGAAGTGTGTGCAGAAAACAACTGCCAACCTTATAAAGATTCTGAAAAGTATGTATTTTGGAAAATCCTAGAAAGAAGGAGGAAACTTAAGACTGGATACAGATTTTGTAGATGGAGTGGTGTAAGCATTTTCAAATTATTTTTTAAAAACTGTCATATAGAAGAGATTAGATTTGGTTAGGTTTACTTTTATTAGAACCATGTCTAACTCCTGACCATTAGAATTGCCCTAAACAAAACTGTGTGCTTTTTATGAAGTGCCATATTACTGAAAAAACTCAAAAGCAGAGGAAAAATCATTTTTTGCCATTGTAGAGAGGCTATTGTATTAGGTTGGAAATTGTGCTAGGTGACCTGAAATATTATTTTTATTCTATTATTTTATAATTATATTATTCCAAATTATTGAGTAACTGGAGTGCTAAGAGACTGAGGAAAGAGAATCTTGAAGCTGTTTTTATCTGTCAGCTTCTACATTCATTGACTTTTAATCTTGGTATTCTCACCTGCAACACAATTAACCCCTTTACTCTAATGCTCCTCTTATCTTTTATTACCTTTAAGACCCTGAGGAACCTAGAAAAGTGGGGAAAAAACATCTCCACTCATTCCCAGGAACAGATTATAGAAACTTGACTCATGTCAATGATATAATAATAATAATTCTACTAATAATGTATGTGAAGCACATTTTAATTTTTAATATGCCTCTACTTTAAAAAAACCTACATATGGTAGTGGTAATACTGTATTGTAGAATACTAGCTTCACATATTAATTGTTCCTGGACTCATTTTTACCTTTTTTTCTTTGCATAATGAGCTATAATATATGCTCTCAGAGGGCCTGCAATCCTCCCACACTTTCTTTGATGAGAATGGATGAGAAAAACTGCTAATTTGCTCTGAAATCAATTTTTGTTTCACCCCTGGATCTGAAAGCAAACTGCTAAGATATTTGGAATATATTCCAGGTTATACTATGAGTAGTTTTCAAAGTAACAATAGAAAGTTTAAAATTAAGGTATCTTGGGAGAGAAAAGTTCAGCAGTTTGACTTCAGTGAGACTGCTTAGAATCACAATTGGTAATTTTAAAGATGTTTAATACAGTTGTTGATCCTTGAAGACAATAATGGTTTAAAGGTTACCTATCATTTATTATGGGAAATGTTTATATTCTAACTAAGTTTCTAAGGTAGTTTGTTTCTAATGAAGTCCAGATATGTATTCATTAATTTGTTCACTCAATGTCTTTTGCAGGTCAACCCTATGCTCATCATTGCTTTGATATTGGGGGTTAAATTATGAACAATATATAAAGGAATAATAGAAAGTAGAAAGATCCAGATGCAAAATAAAGCACAGGACATTTGATGCAACTCAGAAGATGAATTTGACTAGAGCATAGGATGTGCTTTGGAGGCAGAGGTTAGAAATAAAATTGGTGAGGTAAGCAGAGGCCAGCTGATGAGAAACCTATCAGGTTATAGAAATCAGATAAAAAAGATTTTAATCAATAATGTGATGTGATTTTTATGTTGAAAGGAGCACTGCATAAAATATGTCAATATTGGAAACTTCTGTGGAATAAGTGTTCCATGAGATAAAAAGTTTGATTATCTCAACTTTATAAAGGGAAGAGTATAGAGATGTTAGAGTAAGAATGCATTGATGTTCAGAAAGCATGGAAGACATTGGAGGCAGAGAAAATGCATGAGGCCAGAGTGGAAATCCAGGTACCCAGGGTAAAGAGGACGGTGTTCTGGATCAGGGAATTGGAAGTATATTGGAGATAAGAATAATTTAGAACAGCCCTATTTCATAGAAGTATGATATGAGATGTTTAGGTAATTTTCTGGTAGCTACACTAAAAAAGGATAAAGAAATAAGTGAAATTAGCTTAATAATATATTTAAATTGAAATATAATCATTTCCCATGTAATCAGTGTAAAACAATTCTCAAGGAGATGTTTTACATATGCTTTTTTCTCTTGTCATTTTTTTATCTTTGTGTGTGTGTGTGTGTGTGTGTGTGTGTGTGTGTGTGTCGCCCAGGCTGGAGTGCAGTGGTGTGATCTCAGCTCACTGCAACCTCTGGCTCCCAGGTTCAAGCAATTCTTCTGCCTCAGCCTCCTGAGTAACTAGGACTACAGGCATGCCACCATTCCTAGTTAATTTTTGTATTTTTAGTAGAGACAGGGTTTCACCATATTGGCCAGGCTGGTATCAAACTCCTGACCTCATGATCTGCCCGCCTCGGTCTCCCAAAGTGCTGGGATTACAGGCATGAGCCACCGCACCCAGCCTTATGTACAATTTTAAAACAAATTATTTGAAATTTACATCTCAATTCAAATACTAAAGTTTCATCAGAAAAATTTCATCAATAGTTAGGTTTCATATAATTTACAGTTTAACAAATATACTTACATACCCTAGTTGTTCCAAATGTACTTTAGTGTTTTCCAATAACCAAAATGCATGTCAGTTTAAACATTTCAATTTAGAGTATTAAGAAAAAAAATCTGCAAAATTTAAAATTCAGTTTTAAGTTGCACTGGTCACATGTTGGTTACTCAATAACCACATGGAGTTATTGTCTGTCCTTTTGTATAATGCAGATTTGCAAGATATATTTTTAAAAAGAACTGAGAACATTTGTTGTAGCATTTGATATGGTGGATGAGGGAGATGAAATGGGGAAGTGTGAAACTAGGTTTTCCAGTTTAGGCAATGTATTGGGTAGCGGAATCTTCAGGGAGATAAAGAATGCAGAAGGAGGAGCATTTAGGTGAGAATAAGGGAGACCAGAATGTTAATAACTCAAATCGTGACTGTAGATTTCCTTTCTTACATATTTTTATTTTATTTTAACTTTTACTTTAGGTCCGAGGGTACATTGAAGGTTTGTTACATAGGTAAACGCATGTCATGGAGGTTTGCTGTACAGACTATCTCACCACCCAGGTATCAAGCCCAGCACCTAACAATCATCCCTTCTGCTCCTCTCCCTTCTCCCATCCTTCTACTCCAAGTAGATCCCAGTGTCTGTCGTTTGCTTCTTTGTGTTCATAAGTTCTTATCGTGGAGCTCTCACTTATAAGTGAGACCATGCAGTGTTTGGTTTTCTGTTCCTGTGTTAATTTGCTAAGAATAGCCTTCAGCTCCATCCATGTTCCCACAAAAGACATGATCTTGTTGCTTTTTATGACTGCATGGTATTCTGTGCTGTATATGTAGCACATTTGCTTTATCTAATCTGTCATTAATGGGCACTTAGGACAATTCTATGTCTTTGTTATTGTGAATAGTGCTGCAATAAATGTTCCTGTGCATGTGTCTTTTTGGTAGAATTATCTATATTCCTCTGGTTTTATACCCAGTAATGGGATTGCAGAGTCAAATGATAGTTTTATTTTTAGCTATTTGAGGAATCACCATTCTGCTTTTCACAATAATTGAACTTATTTACACTACCACCAAGAGTGTATTAGTGTTTCTTTTTCTCCACAACCTCACTAGCATCTGTTATTTTTTGACTTTTTAAAAACAGCCATTCTGACTAGTGTCAGATGGTATCTCATTGTGGTTTTGATTTGCATTCCTCTAATGGTCAGCAATATTGGGCTTTTTTTCATATGCTTGTTGGCTGCACGTATGTCTTCTTTTGAGAAGTGTCTGTGAACATAAATTTCAACTTAAATTGTAGTAGAGTGCATGCAAACTTTCTAGCACATTTCTGAAAGCTTGGTGGTTATTCAATAAATTATTAAGGAATAAAATACCAGTTTTCATTGCATTTCTCCATTCTAAGACTACTCCCCTACACTACTCTATTTTAAAAGAGGTTAAATTGGTGATTTTTCTTCTGTTGGCTTCCCGTCTGCCAAATCATTAGCCTTCATTGTTCCTCATTCTGGAATATTCCCTACCAGTTGCTTTCCATAGCACTTTATTTCTTAAGAATAAGAGGTTATGATTCTGTCATTAAAGGGATTCAGAGAACTAACACATATTAATGCAGTTATGGATATGTGGTGTGTTTCATAAATAATTCAGGGGTGTTCACCCTACTTTTAAGGGTAGACCTAACGAAATGAATGTGTTGCTGAAATGATAACTTAATTTGTAGGAAGACTAAAGCAATGTAGGTTAAGCAGTTCATGTATCAATTTATACAAGTGGTTTAGATTTCATTTATTTCAATTACATTTAGTCATGAAAATTAAAAAGGCAAAGGTAATTAATATTTATTAATAATTATATATGCAAGAAACTTTTAAAATGATGTACTAGTAAATCCTTGTAGCAAATGATATATTACGATTTCTATTTCCAGACGAAGAAAATATAGCCTGGATTAAGAGATAGAACCCAGGTCTATACGACATTAAAGTTAGTTAATTTTATATTCTTTTGTTGGTTGGTTGATTGGGTTTTTTCAATAGGCCTTTCATTTTGAATAGTTTTACAATTACAGAAAAAAATTAAAGGTAACACAGAGTTCCATACACATTAATATAAATTTTATTTTACATTAGTATGGCATATTTGTCACAATTAATGAACCAATATTAGTACATTATTATTATTAAAGTACATACTTTCTTCATATTTCTGTAGTTTTTACTTCATGTTCATTTAGTCATCTTGTTTCCTTAGGCTACTCTTGGCTATGACAGTTTCTCCAACTTGTTTTAGATGACTGACAGTTTTGATATTTTGTAGAATGTTCCTCAATTTGAATTTTTCTGATATGTTTCTCATGATAAGACATGAATTAGGTTTTGAGGAAGAAGATCACAGAGGTAAAGTGCTCTTTTTATCACAGCAATCAAGGGTGCATACACTGTTAATGCTGACCTTAATCACTTGGCTAAGGTAGTGCTTATGAGGTTTCTCTACCATAAAGTTACATTTTGTTGCTCTTTCCATACTGTAATCTTTGGAAAGAAGTCACAACCCAAAGGCACACTTTACAAGTGGGAAGTTATCCTCTACCATTTTAGGGAAGAGTATACAAATTTTGGCATTCTTCTGCATGGGAGATTTGTCTATTCTGTCCCATTTATTTACTCAATAACTAATTATTAGTATAGTCTCATGGATATTTATTTTCTGGTGCAAGAAAATGCTTCAGGCTCTTCTTGTATACTTTCTGCCCCAGACCTAGAATATGTCCTTTCTCCAAGGAGCTCTGGTTCCTTTCATTAGAGAATGGTATTAAAAAGCGACATCTGGATGCTAGATACGCTTGGTACTACTGATGTATTACACCTCTAAGCCCTCTCAGCTGATAGAGCAGGAGAACTTATTATATGTGTATACATTTATTGATTTTTTTTTTTTTTTTGAGATGGAGTCCTGCCCTGTCACCCAGGCTGGAGTGCGGTGGCATGCTCTAGGCTCTCTACAAACTCCGTCTCCCCGGTTCAAGTGATTCTCCTGCATCGGCCTCCTGAGTAGCTGGGATTACAGGCACCTGCCACTGTGACCGGCTAATTTTTGTATTTTTAGTAGCCACAGGGTTTCACCATGTTGGGCAGTCTGGTCTCACACTCCTGACCTCAGGTGATACACCCCACCTCGGCCTCCCAAAGTGCTGGGATTATAGGCATGAGCCACCACGCCCGGCAATTTTTTCAATTCCATTATACAGTTACAGTGGCTTCAGAATTATTAACGTGTACCCCCATGGGAAACAAGTTTAGCAATTTCCAAAATTACTTAGGTGAGCAACTTTTCACCCACCTTCTTCAGTAAAACTATTCCATACATTTGCAATATAGTTTATTTTTACATACATGTTCTTGTCTTATTCACTGTTCCATATAGAGATCCACTGAATTTCTAAATAAATTTCCAAAATTCACATTTGGCAAAGTTAACTCTTTGGGCTCCAAAATTCTATGGGCTTTGACAAAGTCATAGGTTCATTTATTCACCATTATACTATCACATAGAAGAGTTTCCAGGCTCTTAAACATTTCCTGTGCTTTATCTATTTAACCTTCCTCCCGCACAAACCCCTGTCAATTACTAATCTGTTTACTGGTTATATAGTTTTGCCTCTTTCAAAATGTCATACAAATGGAATGATACTAAATACATCTTTTCCAGACTGGGTCTTTTTGTTTTTGTTTTACTTAGCAATATGCATTTAAGATTCATGTATGTCTTTGGGTGGCTTAATACATCATAAACTAATTTATACCTTTGCATGAATTAAATCATATATTTGTACCTTTTATCACTGGGTAATATTTATTAATATTCCACTGTGTAGATACACTGCAGTTTGTTTATTCATTCACCTATTGAAGGACATCTAAATTGCTTACACATTGGGCAATTATGAATAGAGCTGTAATAAACGTTCCTATTCAGATTTTGTGTGTGGATGTAAGTTTTCAAGTGAGTTTGGTAAGTAAGAGCATATTTGCGGGATTGTATGAGAAGGCTATGATCAACATTGTAATAAGTTGTTAACTTGTCTTCCAATGTGGCTTAGCATTTTACATTTCCATCAGCAATGAATGAGAGTTTTTATTGCTCCTCATCCTCACTAGCATTTGGTGATGTTAAGATTTGGATGTTAGCCTTTCTAACAGGTATGTAGTAGTATCTAATTGTTGTTTTAATTTGCAGTTCTCTAATGACAAGTGATGATATCATTTCATATGCGTATTTGCCATCTGTATGTCTCCTTAGTTTGATCAGTACATTTCCCATTTTTTGTGTGAAGTTATTTACCCTTTGTTCAGCTTTACATGTCCCTTTTTACATTTTGGATACAACTCTTTATCAGAGATCTGTTTTGCAAATATTTTCTCCAAATCAGTAGCTCAATTTATATTCTCTTTGTTAAGAGAATGTACTATGACATTAAAGTTCATTTCATAGTTTTTTGTCAGTTGCTTTTAATAGATGTTTCAGTTTTAGGTTTACAGAAAAATAATCAAAGATAATACAGAGTTCCCATATGTAAAAATACACGTAGCATCTTACATTAGGTAGATTTTTTAAGAGAATATAAAGATGCTGTTGTGTCTTTCACAGAGTAGAAGACTTAATTTTAAGAATTCAACTTACTTTGTTGTTTGCTTTCACATGTCATATTTTTGGTGTTGTCTCTTAAAAACTCATTGTCAAACTCAAAATGACTTAGATTTTCTCCTATGCTTTTCTATTGGAAGTTATATAGTTTTCCATTTTACATTGAGATGTATGATCTATTTTGAATGAATATATGTGAAAAGCATAGGTCTGTGTCCAGATTTAATTTCTCCATTTAATCAGCTTTTTGCTTTGCCAAAAACCCATTGACAATATTTCTGTGGGTCTACTTATGGAATCCTTGTTGTTTTATTGATCCATGTATGTATTATTTTGCCAATGTCTCACTGTCTTGGTTAATTTTATAATGTGTTAAAAATGGGGTAACGTGAGTCTTCTAAATTTGTTCATCTTATTCGGTATTATGTTGCCTGTCCTAGGTCTTTTTCCTTTCCATATAAACTTAGAATCAGTCTGACAATATCCACAAAATATCTTGGTAGAATTTGGTGGAAATTGTGTTGAATTTATAGACCACGTTGGGAAAAACTTAGCTCTTACCATTATTTATTCTTCCAATCCATGACTATGGAATATCTGTCCATTTATGTAGAATGTCTTTTATTTCTTTCATCACTGTTTTGTATATTTTCACATAAGAATCCTGAATATATTTTGCTAGATTTATGTGTAGGTATTTTTTTGTGCTATTGTAATTTTTAAAAATTTTAAATTCCAATATTTCATTGCTGGTGTAAAGGAAAGCAACTGACTTTACTATATTAATCTTGAATCCTGCAGCATTGCTGCATTCAATTATCAGTTCCTAGAGTATTTTGTAGATTCTTTGGATTTTAGACATACTTATTCATGTTATTACCAAAGAAAAAAAAAGCACATTTCCTTCCTTCCTTCCTTCCTCTTTCTTTCGCTTTCTTTCTTTTTCTTTCTTTCTTTCTTTCTTTCTTTCTTTCTTTCTTTCTTTCTTTCTTTCTTTCTTTTTCTTTCTTTCTTTCTTTCTTTCTTTCTCTTTCTCCCTTTCTTTCTTTCTTTCTTTCTCTCTTTCTTTCTCTCTTTCTGTTTCTTTCTTTCTTATCTTATTTCATTAGCTAGGACTTCTAATACAAAATCAAATAGGTATTATTGTAACAACATATTTGTCTTTGTTGTGATTTTAGGGAGAAAGCATCAAGTCTGTCCACATCAAGTATTATATTAGCTGCAAGTTTTACAGATGTTCTTCAAGTTGAGGAAGGTCCCTCTATTCTCAGTTTTCTGATAGTTTTTGTAATGAATGGGTGATGGATTTTGTTTGATGCTCTTTCTGAATAAATTTATATGATCATATGATTTTTCTTCAGCATGTATTATAAATTTCACTGGTTGATTTTTGAACGTTTAACCAGCCTGGCACGACCAGAGTAAACTAAATTGGTTGTGGGTAGAATTCTTTTTATACATTGCTGCATATAATTTCCCGATGTTTTGTAGAAGATTTTTACATTGATGCTCATGAAAGATATTAGTCGGTAGATCTCCTTTCTTGTAATGCCTTCATCTGATTTTAATTTTAGGATAATGCAGGCCTCTTACTATGTGTTATGAAATGTTCCCACTATGTCTATTTTCTGGACTTCGTTAAATGCTCTTGAAAGGCTAAGTGAAAACCTCTGAACCTGGTGCTTTGTGTATTGGAAAGTTTTAAATTACTGTTTCATTTTAATAGATTTAGGGATGTGCAAGTTATCTACATATAATTTTATAAATTTTTGTAGTTTGTGTCTTTCAAAGAGTTTGTCCATTTTATCCAAGTTATCTAATTTATGGGCATAGAGTTGTTTATGGTATTATTTTCTTAACATTTTAATATCCATGGACTCAGTAGTGATAACCCCGCTATGTGATTTCTGTCTTTTTGTTGTTGTTAGATTGGATAGAGCTTTATATTTTCATTGATTTTTTTCAAATAACTAACATTTAGTTTCTTTGATTTTCCCATTGTTTTCAATTTTGTTTATTTGATTTTATTATTTATTTTCTTCTGTTTGCTTTAGGCTTACATTGTTTTTCTTAGTTTCCTAAAGTGGGGTTTATATTATTGGTTTTAGTTCTTTCTTGTTCTCTGATATATATATTTAATACTATAACTCTTCCTCCAAACACTACTTTCATTGCACCCCACTCATTTTGTTGATATATTTTCAGTATAATTTATTTCAAAATATTCTAAAATGTTTCCTGAGACTTTTCATTTGAACCATGTGCCATTTAGAAGTGTGCTGTTTGATTTCTAAATATATTTTATATTATTGATTTCTAATTTAGTTTCATTGTTGTCTAAGAACATGCTTTATGTGATTACTATTATTTTAAATGTTTTGAGTTGTGTTTTATAACCCAGAATGTGGTTTATTTTTCTGAGTTCTTCATTTGAGCTTGAGAAAAAAATGTGTATGGTGTTGTGGTTGGTTGGCATATTGTATAGTTAACAAATAGATGAAGTTGGTTGGTGTGTTGTTCAGGTCATCTGTATCCTCACTGAATTTTTTCTTGTCTGATCTATAAATTACTAACCAAGAAACAGTGAAGTCTTCAACTATAATAGTGAATTTGCCTACTTTCCTCTTAGTCTGCCAATTTTGTCCTCATTTTGTTTTTCTAGTTAAGTGTATCCATGTATGATATTGTTATTTCTTACTGGGAAATTGACTTCTTTATAACTGTGTCTCTCTTTATTCCTGAGCAGTTCCCTGATTCTGAAATCTGCTTTCTCTGAAATTAATAATTTTTGCAGCTTTCTTTAGACTGGTGCTTGCATGGTATATTTTTCTCCATCCCTTTTTTTGAACCAATCAATCAGTGTTTTTCTTTAAATAGGGTTTCTTGTGGACAACATATAGGCGAGTCTTGTTTTGGTTTTTAACCATTCTGATCATCTATGTTTTTTAATTGGTATATTTGGACAATTCATGTTTAAAGTAATTGGTGGTATAGTTGGATTAATATCTACCATGTTTGTAATTGTTTGATTTCAATGCATTTTTCTTACTTCTTTTTGCCTGCTTTTTCTGCCTTATCTTCTTTTAACTGAATATTTTATATGATTCCATTTTATAGTTTCTCACTTATACTTGTTTTTATTTAAAAAAATAGAGATATACCTACAGCATATAATATACTTTTTAACTAATCAAAATTCACCTTTAAGTAATGGAATATTCACAATTGCTTTCTCCCAACCCTGGTTATATTATCATTAACTGATTGTCATTAATACCACTCATCAATAGGTTATATTCATCCCATACATTGTCACTATTATTATAACAGTCACCTATCCTTCAGATCAAATAAGAATAAAAAATATAAGATTTTATTTTATCACCATTTATTCCTTCTCTAAAATTCTTCCTTTCTTTATGCACATAAGTTTCTAACCTACACTATTTTTTCTTCTGCCTGAAGAACTACTTTTAGCATTTCTTTTAGAATATATTTGCTGATGATAAATTCTCTGTTTTTTTTTAAGAATGTTTTATTTCTTCATACTGAAGGATATATTATCTGGATATAGAATTCCACGTTGGTGTTTCGTGTTTTTCATTTTTGTTTTGTTTCAACACTTTAGATGTTTCCCTTTACATTTTTTGCTTACATAGTTTCTAAGAGAAAGTTTGCTTTGATTCTTATCCTTGTTGCTTTATAGACATTTTTATCTCTGGCTTTTTCCAGATTTCTGCCTCATTGCATTTTTTTCAGTTTGAATATAATAGGAATAAGTTATTTGTAGTGGAGTCTTTGGAGGGGAAGTATTTAGGTAATCATCAATGTTTCCTGAACATCCTGGATCTATGATTCTGAGTATGTCATTAATTTTGGAAAAGTCTCAACCATTATTATTTAAATTATTTTTTCTGTTCTTTTTTGTTTTCTTTCTTCTCCTTCTGGCATTCTGAATGTGTGTGTGTTACACTTTTTTCCCCGCACAGTTATATATTCTTTTCTTTATTTTTCTTTATTTTTCATCTTTTTTCTCTTTATGTTTCAGATTGCCAAGTTTCTTGATCTGTTTCTAGGCTCACTGATTCTTTCCTTGGCTGTAACTTTACCATTTCTTCAGTGGTATAGCTGCCTTGCTACAAGCTCTACTCCACTCAGATGTAACCTTCCCAATCCATTTCCTTGAAACCATGACCCCAGTTGAGTTTGGATTTTTTGTTTTGTCTTCATATGAGACAGACAGGTTAGAGGAGCTGGAATGGGAGAAATGTAATTCTCCCAGGTAGGATAAGGGTCTTACAAAGTCTTCTCAAAGGCAGAGTATATTTTTTAATGGAGAAGCCTCTGGGTGTATTTCACAATGGTTATGCTTTATCTCATCCTGCCAGAATTATGAAGAGATCTTTTGCATTTCTTCTCCATTAATATCTGACGGGATTCTGAGAGAAGTACATGAAAGTTTGGGGGCCCTACAAAGATTGCAACCTCCAAGTAGTTTCTCAATCTATGCTAATCCAAATTCAACTTCAACTTTATCAAATGTACCTTGCGTATGTTCCTGTCAGTTGATGGCTCCAGTGGCTTCTGCTGCAGATAAGCAGATCTTGGCTATGTCTCTCTGGATGATCCTGCCTCTCAAGATTTCAGCATAGCCATTTCCCTGTGACTTAGTTTTCTAAAAGGTCTCAATAAGTAATTGTGCTTTCAGTTTGTCCAACTCTTTATTGTAAGTACAGGAGTGATGCATTTCAAGCTCTTGACATGTTGAAGCTGAAATCTATAATCCAGTTCATTCAGTTTTTACCTCCCCTAGTTTGATTAAGCATTTTCCTGAAGTTGTCCCTTTCAATATTGCCATTTAGAGATTTAACTAACTCTATCTAGGCTTTGTAGTTCCGCACATATCTGTTAAGTGCTTTTACATTCTTTATAAGATATTCCTGAAAATTCCCTCTGTTTTCCAAAGCATGCACTCTAAAACTTAGTATCCAGTTTTCTTTTATTCCAACCAAGATATGCTGAGAAATCAGCCCTATTTCCTAAATTCCTGTTTCTGTTGAAATTTCATATTTTTTCTGCTTCCTGCCCAACTGCCTAGAAATCTAATCACACCAGTAACCTAAGCAAGCACCCAAATTGTTCAAGCCATCACTTACTCAATCTGAACTCAATTGGTTCACTAAGGTATTCATATTTTATTCTTTTTTTGAGATGGAGTCTCACTGTGTCTCCCAGGCTGGAGTGCAGTAGCGTGATCTCAGCTCACTGCAACCTCTGCCTCCTGGGTTCAAGTGCTTCTCCTGCCTCAGCCTCCTGAGTAGCTGAGATTACAGGCACCCACCATCAAACCTGGCTAATATTTGTATTTTTAGTAGAGATGTAGTTTTACCATGTTGGCCAGGCTGGAGGCAAACTTCTGACCTCAAGTGACCCACCCACCTCAGTCTCCCAAAGTGCTAGGATTACAGGTGTGAGCCACTACACCCAGCCAAATTTTATTCTTTTATTACATGAATTCTAGTCTCTAAACTCCAGAAAATATAGACACAAACATAATAAGAAATTGCATAATTTGACTAAGAAAAAGAAGAAGAGTGAAATTTCGTCTCCTTCAACATCTTGCATATTAAGGATACTTTTTGAGACAATTTTCTACATATAATTTTAAAAACATCAGAGTTATTTAAAATCTGAAAGACATTGTTTATTTCCTATTTGATTTGTATACAAAAAATAGAATAAATTTTTCAGACCCCTAATCCATACACTAGGCAAGAACACAACTGATAATAAAATTTGCTTATCCTTTACATTCCATATTCTTCAAATGTCTTTCAACATTTTTCTTGGTGTAGATGACTTCTGTGCCCATGAAGGGTGCTTTCATACTCTTTTGTCTCACCAGATGTGGTTTTATAATACTTGGGAGTAGGAACAATTTCCATTTCACAGTGCATGGAAAACAACCTGCACGGAAAGTTGAGTTAACTGACATACATATCTCAATTGCTCTTTAGTTTGGACATCCCAAGCAGCTGCTCAGCTGACTGGCCTTGCTCTCAGTCCATGCTCAACAAGTCTATCTAAAAGGCAAATTAATGAGCTAGTCGAAATTAAATTCTTGTGTGAGAAAAATTAGAACACAGTTATTTCTTTCTTTCAAACATTGAGGATAATTGACATTTCATTTCATATTATTTTAGTGTTTCAGATGTATGTCATTGCTGTGGTTTACTACTGGTATACGCAGGCTTTATAAATGTGTGACCTCTGGGATATACAGAGGGACCATTAATTTTCTGCCCAAAATGTTTTTAAAAGTTTTACCTTCAAATTATTGAATTTCAGATTTTAAAATAAATTTAGAGTGCTATTTTAATCTATCGATTGATTTTAATAAAAGTTGTTACATGACAATGAATGATTGAGGACAATCAGGTATCAACATAGCTTCTTATATAGTCCATATTCTACTAACTTTAAACTTACTTTGATAAAACTCAGAGTAGAAAACCTGCTCTCACTTTTAGTACAAGAGCTGATTATCATCTATTTAAATACATAGACATAATTAAAATTAAGCAACAGACGGGCAGCCTATCTAAACATTTTGAGCTCTGGAACCCAGTAAGTCACTCTACTGCTAGGTTATTAGCAACTAAATCATGTCAAGAATGTTAAATCCAACTTGTGGTTAAACACCAAATGGCTGTTTATTTATAGTCTTACCTGCATGTTCTGCTACAACTAAAAGAAAGAGTAAAACTTCTGCTCCTCTCATTGGTAGTCATGCAAAATAAATTTACAACTTAATTTTGAAAACTATACAGTAGCATAATTTAGAATTTAAGTACACATGACGAATGTTCTGGAAAAAGAGGATAGCTGTTATTTTCTGATGAAACATTGAAAGAAGAAACTTGAGTCAAAATAAGGATTATGTGGGTGTTCAAATACCTTTGTTTTTACAGCAGAGAGAGCATAAGGATAAAGAGGTGATAATCATTGCCCCACATTTCCCAATTAAATATGAGCATTCAACTGTCCTGAATTCTTATATGTTTTGCTCCCTATATCTCACCACCTCCTTTTGTTTTGAAACAGGGTCTCACTCTGGTTCAGACTGGAGTGCAGTGGCATGCTCACAGCTCACTGCAGCCTCAACCTCCCTGGCTTCAGTGATCCTCTCACCTCAGCCTCTCTAGAAGCTGGGACTGGATGTGTGCACCACCACGCCCAGCTAATTTTTTGTATTTTTTGTAGAGATAGGGTTTTTCCATGTTACCTAGTCTGGGCTCAAACTCCTTTCAAGCAATCCACTTGTCTCAGCCTCCCAAAGCGCTGAGATTACAGGTGTGAGCCACCACATTCATCCTCTCAACACTTCTTCCTATAAAAACAAATTTTAAGTCAATTTTACCTTGTGTGCAGAATAACTTAAAAATTGTTGACTGCCCAATGTTTACATTAAATGTTTCCAATTACAAATATAAAGAACTATTCTGAAAGTAGTAATTGCAGGTCTCTCCAACAATAAACGAAAGTTTATTAACTTCTTTTTATTTTCCCTGTGTTTGATACTAAGCATTTTTCTAAGTAATTTTTATAATGAAAATTACATATGCACATTTATGCACAGTGATTTGAGATTGAGTGAAATTTTAACATTTCTCAAGAAAGAAACAAAAAGTGGTTGCCTCCTACCCTTCGAAACCCAGACGATCTCACATTCTGAGACTTTGTCCAACCTGGTAGAAGGATAAAAGTGCAGAGTTTGAAGTGGTGATGATGTGGAATACAACTTCACATATTTTCTCTTTTACAGTTGCACTAACTTAGCTCTTCCTTGGTTAAAATGTTGCAAGTGGTACAAGAACATCAGTAGCAATCGGTAGAGGATCAAGCTTTTTTAGCAAAAAATGGAGACAGAATCTGGGTGTGTAGACTAGTGCTGCATCTTAACTACTATCTATTTTTTAAACCAGTCATTTTCTTACTTTGTTTTCATAAGATAGTCAATCAACTAATAATTATTTCTGCAGTAAATCACCTATATCTGCCCAAAACATTGTATAGTGCAGAGAAAGATAAATTGTCTCATCACTTCATACTCACAATTGTGGGCAGACCTGACACTTAGCCTGTGCTCCGTCAATATTGGATGGCTGTTTTAATACCTAGTGCAGAGACTAGTGTTGTAGTACTTAATCTGACAATCACCATCTGTGTGATTTAACATGAGCCACTTAAATTATTTGAATTTCAACTTTATTATCTATAAACCAATCTCTCAAATATATGTAAAGCCTAATGCTTTACTATTCTATCAACTTTTATTTCAATTTGCAGCCATGGAGAAATTATTCCATTTATCATCAAAACTACAAGCCACTTGCTGCTAGACATCTTTAAAATTTGTGGTCAAGATTTTGTCTTTGATAAATGAAACTACCAAATATTGTCATTATTTATAGAGATGAAAGGGCATTAACTACACATCAAGTGTTGCAGAAGTTATATGAAGCCAAATAATGTAGGAATATTTTATTTTTTAACTCTGAGTAATAGGAGCTTATTAAAATTTGAGCCGAGTTTTTGACAACTATAAATATCCTTTATGAAAATTTAATCATAGGCACCTAAAAAGAGAAGAAAATGTATACCTTTTTATATCCTAATCACTTAAATTTGGCCATGATGCATTTGTTATAATCAGTTGCCTGATTTAGTGCCTCAAAATTAATAAAGTAAATGGACTGCACTCTCAAAAAATGCTATAAAATAAAATCTCGTTAAGATAAGACAGAAAGTGAATTTTTATAAAATGTTTTTGTTGCTTTTTGAAAATGTTTTTATGTTTCTTTGGCTTGATTATATTTTTTGAGACCCTATCAGAAGTTGGTGACATGGCACATATTAATGCCAAACATGGAATCATTATTTTTTAATCCAACGGTGGTTAAGAATGTGGGTTTTAGTTGCCACGGCTTGAGCTCTACGTTGGTCCCTTTCAGCCATGGCTGAAGTGAGTGGGACACAAGGCACCAAGTGCCTAGGCTGCACACAGCATGGGGAACCTGGGACTAGCCCACATAACCATTTTCTCCTAGGCCTCCAGGCCTGACGTGAAGACATCTGATATGTCCTAGAGACATTTTCCCCATTGTCTTGGGGATTAACATAAGGCTCCTTGTTACTGAGGTAAATTTCTGCAGCTGGCTTGAATTTCTCCTCAGAAAATGAGAGATCTAGAACTAGAAATACCATTTGACCCAGCCATCCCATTACTGGGTGTATACCCAAAGGACTATAAATCATGCTGCTATAAAGACACATGCACACGTATGTTTATTGTGGCACTATTCACAATAGCAAAGACTTGGAACCAACCCAAATGTCCAACAACGATAGACTGGATTAAGAAAATGTGGCACATATATACCATGGAATACTATGCAGCCACAAAAAATGATGAGTTCATGTCCTTTGTAGGGACATGGATGAAACTGGAAACCATCATTCTCAGCAAACTATCACAAGGACAAAAAAACCAAACACCACATGTTCTCACTCATAGGTGGCAATTGAACAAAGAGAACACATGGACACAGGAAGGGGAACATCACACTCTGGGGACTGTTATAGGGTGGGGGGAGGGGGAGGGATAACATTAGGAGATATACCTAATGCTAAATGATGAGTTAATGGGTGCAGTGCACCAACATGGCACATGTATACATATGTAACAAACCTGCACATTGTGCACATGTACCCTAAAACTGAAAGTATAATAATAATAAAATTTAAAAGAAAAAAAAAAGAAAATGAGGTTGTCCTTTCTATGACATTGTCAGGCTGCAAATTTTCCAAACTTTTATGTTCTTTTTCCCTTTTAAAACTGAATGCTTTTAATAGCACCAAAGCCACCTCCTGAATGCTTTGCTGCTTAGAAATTTCTTCTACCAGATTCCCTAAATCATCTGTCTCAAGTTCAGAGTTCCACAAATCTCTAGGGCAGGGGTAAAATGCTGCCAGTCTCTTTGCTAAAACATTACAAGAGTCACCTTTGCTCCAGTTCCCAACAAGTTCCTCATTTCCATCTGAGACAACCTCAGTCCGTATCTCTATGAGCATTTTGGGCAAAGCCATTCAACAAGTCTCTAGAAAGTTCCAAACTTCCGCATATTTTTCTATCTTCTTCTGAGCCCTCCAAACTGTTCTAACCTCTGTCTGTTACCCAGTTCCAAAGTCATGTCCACATTTTCAGGTATCTATTCAGCAAAGTCTCATTCTCAGTACCAATTTATTGTATTAGTCCGTTTTCATGCTGCTGATAAAGGCATACCCGAGACTGGGCAATTTACAAAAGAAAGAGGTTTAATTAGACTTAGAGTTCTACATGGCGAGGAGCAAGTCACATCTTACGTGGATGGCAGCAGGCAAAAAGAGAGCTTGTGCAGGGAAACTTCCATTTTTTAAAAACTGTCAGATCTTGTGAGACTCAGCATCATGAGAACAATGCAGGAAAGACCTCCCTGCCCATAATTCAACCATCTCCCTCTGGGTTCCTCCCATGACACATAGGAATTGTGCAATTTACAATACAAGTTGAGGTTTGGATGGGGACACAAACAAACCATATCACATGACCTGAATAATGTACATTATACTCATTAAGTAATTTCTCATCCCCCATTCTCTTCTGCCCCCCACTACCCTTCATGATCTGCAATGTCCATCATTACACACTCTATCCCCATTTGTACATATTATTTAGCTTCCATTTATAAGTGAGAACACATACAGTACTAGACTTTCTGTTTCTGAGTTGTTTCACTTAAGATAATGGCCTCCAGTTCCATCTATGTTGCTGCAAAAGACATGACTTTATTCTTTTTATGGCTGAATAGTATTCATTTGTGTACATATACCACATTTCTTTATGAAGTGTTCTTCCATTGGTGAACACTTAGGTTGATTCCATATCTTTGCTATTGTGAATAGTGCTGCTCTCCCAGGTATAAGGAAAAAGGGAAAATGGTAGGGCTGGGGCCTGAAAGTGTTCAGCAGTCAAACATTGAAAATGGAGTCTGATTCTTTATTACAAACTTACACCAAGAATGTTTTGTATTCTATTTAGAAAAGGAAAATGACAAAGTAAATGAGTCTTAGCCAACAAGAAATAGTGAAGGAGGGGCAAATATTAACGTCATAAGGCATGTAGAATGATTCTTCAGAAAGTAGCTCTGTAATAAACAATGATGTGGCTACCCTTAAGGTTAAAAAATGGAATTGGTGAGATATTTTCCACCTAGCTGATTGGCAAAGAACAATTAATTAAACAAATAAAACTCCAAGGTTCTGTGTTGGTAGAAGTGAGGTAAGGATCTGATGAATGAATGAAAATATTGCTTTTCTCTACAATCATAGTAACATGTTAGAAATTAAAAAGAAAAACATAAAAGCCTATGAAAAATAGCAGCATAAACTAAAATATACATTTAACAAAAAGTGAATGTTGCATTGAAATTAAATATAAAATCATAGTAAGACACAGGGGTGGGCGGAGGATATGCAAAACTTCCACACAAACAGAGAGACTTGCCATATTCTTTAATAGATGATTTTATGTCATAAAAACAGAGATTATCTAAGAATTAACACAAACATACAGTATAAGTATATCTTAATAAACATCTGATAGCACTGTTAAAATATCTCACAATTTGACTAAATCTATTACAATTAAAGTATAAGTAACATAAAATAACTCCTCATTTTGTGTTTTATTATATAATAATAAAATAGCAGGCATATGGTCAAGGGTGTATAGCAATTATTACATTTTAAAAAAGTTTGAAAGCAATATGAATATCTGTGGTAGATAGATGAGTGGATAAGTAGAATACCCACAAGGAGGTATATTTTGTCTTGTAAATGAATGAGTTAGAGACTTATCTAAGAGTTTGTGTACAATATGCATTTTTAATGAGAAACGTCATTTAAAGTATTTATAGTTGATATTTTTAAAAAGCAAATAAGTTCCAAATACATATATAATTGTATTTTTATAAAATGAAAAATGCATGAAGTCAAACACACTAGATCACCAATGTTTTCCAAAGGGAATGAAAATGGTGGGAGATATGGAAACATAATTCAATAAATATCTTGGTTTACTTAAATCAAAATTTATAAAGGAGAAAACATATATGTGTAGTGAAAAGTTTTGGAATAATAAATACCAGATTCAAAAATCTGAATACCTGTGAAGAAAGGGATGATAGGAGGAATAAATTTAAAAAACATTTATTTATGTAATATGCTTCTGTATTAAAGTTTTATGAATTGGTATATATACTTTAAAAATTATTGCAAAATTCATAGAATAAATAATTGCATTAATAAGTAATCATATAAAAATTGAAAAGGGCAAAGAAAAATACTTGGTTATTAAAATTTTAAAACCTTATATACTTGAATAAGTTGTTGTAAAGGTTTTTGTGTATTTGTGTGTTTTTGTTTTGGGGGTTTTTTTTTGGTAGAGATGGGTTTTGTCATGTTGTCCAGGCTGGTCTCGAACTCCTGGACTCAAGTGATCTGCCCACCTTGGCCTCCAAAAGTGCTGGGATTACAGATGTGAGCCACTGCACCCTGCCTTAAAATCTTTAGGGAGCAGATTTACTCAAGTCTCCAGTTTCAGTAGTCATGTAAAGGTCTGCAAAGCCTCAAGATCTACTGGAACAATTGTCTAATGGTTGAAGAGCAGAAACTCTGTTATGTTTGAAGGAACACATAAAATTCCTGCAGGAAATATAATTCTGACAAGGAATACAAAATGATATATTGCAACTTAAATAAAAGTTTCTAAAAAATCTTTACAGTCATGACAGGCAAAAAAAAAAAGACTTTTTTGTGCTTTCTATCTAATGAAATGAGAGCTGAGATAGGTGAAAATAGTGTTATAAAAATGTAATGTAAATAACCATTATTGCCCCAGGCCTTAAACTTTTTGAAATAGTATCTCATTTGTAAAATTGTTTATGCTGACATATAGTTTATGATTTCTAAAATCTACTATTATATGTAAATATTTATTAAGGATTCTTTTGTGGTATCACTACCCAAGTAGACTTACAGAGATATAAAATAAAGGTTGAATTGGTGCTCTCTATAAAAAATAAAACATAGCAATTTACAGAGCAAACTCAGAATCACATAAAAGTATTCCATGTTATTGTTCTTCCAAATTTTCTCTTGAAAGGAATCACGTTATATGTGTACATATATGTGTACATATGTTATATGTAATCAGATGTTATTTGTGCCTATTTTTGCACTATGAATTTATATCATCTTGTCAAATAGGCAGAGGTTTAGGAATCTGAACTAAGTAAAAAAAGACATTTGCAGTCTCTGGTTGCTGCAACTTTTCATGAAATGTGGCTATTTTTAATTTCCAATGACACTTTACAAGTCATTTGCCAAGCTTGCACATTTGAAGCAGCATCTCATTAGGTAAACTGCCAGTACTAATATTCTCTATTTATTTGCTATACATTTTTGCATAAGTAGTAGATTGTAACTTATATTGATTTTGTGTTGAAAGATGTGACAGATGAAATAAAATAAATAGATAGGGTATCAGATATAAAATTTAGTATTTATTATAAATTCAGGAAGATCTTGAATATCATGTTGGTGAATTTGAAAGTTTTATTATCTTACAGCACAATTATACTATTGCTCTTCAAGATTTCTTTCTTCTCAGGTATAGCTTTGACATGATTGTAAGTTGAAGATATTTTCCCTCTGAAATACAAGTTGGCCTGGAAAAAATCAAATATTTCCCATGTGCCCATCTTCCATTATATTTCAACTATTTCTCTGTCACTTTTGGTTAAAAGTGGTTAAAAGTGACACAGAAAATCATGCAGATTTTTTTAAAAGATGTTACTGATGACTGTATTCAAAATCATTTTTGGTGTTAAAGTAATCACATGTGATTCAAAGCTTGTCATTTGCTAAGAAATGAAATAATTGAAAATGTAAATAATAAAAAAATTACAATGGGTTCCTTTTACATTTGTTTATATATTTATGGGTCTAATCCCGAAGCACTTTTAAAAATACCCCTATTTTTGAATTCAGAAGCAAAGGACGTAATTTTTAACTTATTCTTAAAGATCACACTGTCCCCTTATTAAAGTGTAAGGCAAAGACCTACAAAAATTAAACAAAACATTCAGTACTCCTCAAACATTTGTACCAACTGTTATTTTAAAATTAATTAAATACATAAGTGCATCCTGGTGTAAAAAGAACTTACATGTCATCATCATTAAATCAAATCCACACACCATGTATTTATAATTTTATATTTTGAAAATTGCTATATATTTAGAGTATATTGCCTACATGTATCTTACAGGATATTTCTCATGGTAGAAGACAAATGCAGAGATCACATGGTGAAAAAGGAAGCAAGAGAGAGAGAGAAAGAGAGGAAGTGCCCGGCTGTTTTTAACAACTAGCTCTCACGCTAACTAAAAGAGCAAGAGCTCACTCACCCTCACCTCAGGAAGATCATTAATCTATTCATGAGGAACTGCCCTCATGACTCAAATACCTCCCACTAGGCCCCATCCCCAACATTGGGAAACAAATTTCATCATGAGATTTAGAGGGGACAAACATCCATCCAAACTATAGCATTCTGTCCCTGGTCCCCCCAAAATCTCACGTATTTCTCATGTTGAAAAACACAATCATCTTCTCCCAATAGTCCCCAAAATTCTTAACATGTTCCAGCACTAACTCAAAAGTGCCAAGTCAAAAGTCTCATTTCAGACTTGAGGCAAGTTCCTTAAAGATGTGGGCCTGTAAAATCAAAAACAAGTTATTTACTTCCAAGACACAATTGGTATACAGGCATTATGTAAAAAGTCTCATTCCAAAAAGGAGAAATCGGCCAAAACAAAATTCAAAACCCAGCAGGCAGATGTTAAATCCTAAAGCTCCAAAATATCCCATGATGGCATGTCCCTCTTCCTGGGCACCCTGGGGCCAGTGGTAGGCTCCCTACATCTTAAGCAGTCCCACTTTCTTAGCTTTTCTGAATGCAGCCCTACTGGCTGCTCTCAGCAGTTGAAGTCAAATGTCTATGCCTTTTCCAGGCTAAAGTGGCATACTGTTGGTGGCTGTATAATTCTGTGGTCACCATGGCAGCTCTGATCCCATGGCTCCACTAGGCATTGCCCCAGTGGAGACTTTCTGTATGGGGCTCAAAACCCACATTTCTGTGGAGCATTGCCTTAGTTGAGGTTCTCTGTGATGGCTCCACTCCTATGGAGGCTTCTGATTGGACACCCAGGTTTTTTGATACATCCTCTGAAATCTAGATGGAAACTTCCAAGTCTATACGGCTCTTGCATTCTGTGTGCCTACAGACTTTACAGCACATGGATGCTGCCAAGGCTCATGGCTTGTCTTACAGAAGCAGCAGTGAGAGCAGTACCTGAGGCCATTTGAACCGTGGCTAGAGCCAGAGCAGCTGGGATGTGGGAAGCAACATCCTGAGGTAGTCAGCATAGCAGCATCCCAGGCCTGTCCCCTAAAATCATTCTGTTATCCTATGCCTCTGGGCCTGCGATGGGAGTGGAGAGGGGGCCTTGATGATTCCTAAAATGCCTTCAGGGCCTTTCTGTTACTGTTTTGACTATGAGCAACTGGCTCCCTTTTAGCCATGCTAACCTCTCTAGCAAGTGGTTGTTCCACAGTACCCTTCAGTTACTCACCTGAAAATCCTCTTTCCTTCTCAAACACATTTCCAGGATTTTCCAAATTTGTATGCTCTGCTTCTCATTTAATTATAATTTGTACCTTTAGATCATTCCTTTGCTGCCATATCTGATCATAAGGTGTTGACAGTAGCCCTGCTACTTCTCAAACACTTTGCTGCTTAGAAATTTCTCCCACCAGATAGCCTACATGATCCCTCTTAAGTTCAGCATTTCACAAATTTCTATGACATGGACACAATGCAGCTAAGTTCTTTCCTATGGCTTAGTAAGGGTGACATTTGCTCCAGTTCCCAAGTTCCTCATTTTCATCTGTAACTTCATCAGCACAGGCTTTACTATTTGTTTCTATCTGCATTTTTCTCACAACTTGACCAGTGTCTAAGAAGTTCAAAACTTTTCCTCATCCATTTTTCTTCTTCTGAGCCCTCCAAACTCGTTCTACTTCTGTCATTACCCAATTCCAAAGTTGCTTCCTAATTTTCTGGTATTTTTATAGCAACACTGTACTCCTCTTTAAAATTTTATGTCTTAGTCTTTTTAGTGTATCTACAAAGAAATACCTGAGGCTGGGTAATTTTTAAAGAAAAGAGGTCTATTTTTCTCATGATTCTGCTGGCTAGAAAACTGGGCATCTGGTAAAAGCCTCAGGCTGATTCCACTCATGAAAGAAGATGAAGGGGAGCCAGCATGTGCAGAAATCACATGGAAAGAGAGAATGCAAGAGAGAGAGTGGAGCTCCCAGGCTCTTTTTAACAACCAGCTTCATGGAAGCTAATAGAGTGAAAACTCTCCTACCGTTCTCCCCAGGAGGGGATTAGTCTATTCATGAAACATTCAAACACTTCCCATTAGGCCCCATCTCCAACACTGGGGATCAAATTTCAACATGTGATTTGGAGGGCCAAACATTCAAACAACCACCAACCTGCTGGAGGGACTTCAGAGCACCCAAATTGTGTGAATTCAGGCTATGAATGCTGATATGATGACCTGTGAATACTGATATGATTACCTGTATCTAGAGTTGGGGAGTTGCATATTGGTAAACTATATATGTAATCATTTGCTGATTAAATGTTAAAAATGTGTCTAAAGAGTCTTGGATTCTATAAATAGCAGCCATTAAAGTGCTTAGGTAAAACTTGATCATAGATATTATTGGACCTTGCTACAAAAGTTCTAATTAGCTCTTGTAAATATGCAAAGTGAAACGCAAAACCTATAATCAAAGTGAAGATCAAGTCCTCAAAATTGCTTTTACCCATAAACTTTATTTTAAATTACAATTCATATCCACACAGAAATCACAAGATTTCCACACCAATACCTTCTCCAAATGACATTTTGTCATGATGTTGGCCAAATATATTTTATGTGATCCATGTATGAAAGAAAGTTTGTCCTGGCTCAAAGTGAAAGACATTTTTCTGGTCACATAATGAGATAAATATTGAAATCTTTCTTTTAATATAAATGTGATGTATGAGAAAATATAAGCATTATTATGACTTACCAAATTGCATATATATATATACATATATCATATGTAATGCCTTTGTTCCTTTACTCATCACCTGATGTTTCCCAGCTTTCCCTGGCTATTGTCCTTTGGACAGCATAAAGAGAGACAATTTCAATGTAAAACACTGTTTAAAAGCACTCTAGAAGTACATTAACAGTCACTATGTCAGCACTTAGTATGAAATTTTGAAGGTAATTTTTAACCTTTTCATCTTCTAAATTCTAGCTTGTCCTATTAAAAATACTTTCTCTTTCTCCTTTCCCCATTAAAGCCCTTGTTGTTATTTAAAACAAGAAAATGTACCATATCAAACAATTCAGAGATCCTCACTCTGCACATTCAGTACATGACAAGGGAAAGTGATGTTATCACAAACAGAGACTGCTTATATTCATTTATTATGCAAAATGACCGAGATGATCAGTTTCTTATTGAAAATGGTAAAAGAAGAAAAGGTTCAGAATGTCATAAAAGTGAAAAAAAAAGTATTTTCATGAATTCATTGACCTTTTCATTAATATCATAACAGAGTATAATCACTAAGCTTTTAAATGAGCAAGGTAGCTCAATACCGAAGGACGGCTTGAGAAGTCTCAAGGGCTTATGTTGCCAGAACAAGACCCTGACACTAAAAGTAAAAGGGTAAATGAGAATCATGTTTAGTGATGA
The DNA here is from genome assembly GCF_000001405.40 of Homo sapiens. Classification (NCBI taxonomy): domain Eukaryota; kingdom Metazoa; phylum Chordata; class Mammalia; order Primates; family Hominidae; genus Homo; species Homo sapiens. The sequence continues at coordinate 67,517,630 of NC_000013.11, read as the reverse complement.
CCTTTAGGTCCCACAGCTGCTTACCACATATCCTGTCTTTTTGCTTTACTGTTACACTTTAGCTTATTAAAATTAATTGTGTTCTATTTTAGATATTAAGCATTTTTGGCTCATAACCTTCTCTGTTGAATGAACAGTAACACTCTTTTTTTCTATCACACTTGATGTATGATGATAATAATTCCCATTTTGTGATTTAAATGAATACAATAAGTAAAAGAGGTCTTATAATTTTTGTCAAAAAATAAAAATAAAAATTTAATTTAAAAATAATAGAAAAAGTCACAAGTTCCAATAAGGAAGAAATTTTGGAATAATAAAAAGAGAATAAAATAAACCAGGTGTGTACAATAAATGTATTTCCTACAATGGGCATTTAAATACATTTTTGTGTATTTGAATGATATGGTTTGGCTGTGTCCCCGCCCAAATTTCATCTTGAATTATAACTCCCACAAGTATCATGTGTTGTGGGAGGAAGCTGGTGGGAGGTGATTGAATCATGGAGGTGGGTCTTTCCCATGCTGTTCTCGTGATAGTGAGTGGGTCTCATGAGATTTCATGGTTTTAAAAACAAGAGTTTCCCACGCAAGCTCTTCTCTTTTTGTTGTAAGACGTGACTTGCTCCTCCTTGCCTTCCACCATGACTGAGAGGGCTCTCCAGCCACGTGGAACTGTGAGTCCATTAAACCTCTTTTTCTTCCCAGTCTTGGGTATGTCATTATCAACAACGTGAACACGGACTAATACATTAAACTTACTTTTTTTTCTATTGATATGTACTATATATTCAGAGAAAATTATTTCCCCATCTAATTGACAATATTATTGGGAATATTTTAGTAGTTTATTTTTTGGTGCCTCAACTCACAAAAAGGTAGATAGTTATTAAGAAGTATACTATTACATTTCTAGTGTAAATGAACATGTGTTTCATCATTTTATAAAGAGAATGGTTAGCCCCTAATTTATACATGTTGTCAGATGAAGCTTTGATATTTAATACATACATTTCTGTATTTCTACAAACTATATATTAAATGGGATGATCAGAGTATTTTTTAAAAGGTAAAATTTGTGAATAAGAGAAGTCAAATATTGTTATGAGCTCTTTATCAGACATATACATATATAAATACATACACACAAATATGCACATATGTGTATACATATATATAGTACACAGGCACATACGCATCATATATTCTCCATATATGCTATGTATGTTTAATCCTCTCAACATCTAGAGGACTTAGGTATACGTTTTATCTTTACAAAGAAACTGGGACAAGAAAGGCTTGTACCAAGGAAAAATCCTAACGAGGTTTGGGAGACATAATTTTCCTTCCAACTCAGGAGACTTTTGAGAGTGAAAGTGGGCTTGTAATAAAAAAATGAGTTCAGCAAGCATAATTGGAAACTGTTCTAGGAAACCCAGATGTATGTTTGCATTGTAATGGGTACCTGGTGAAACTGGAACTGAAGCTTAAACATTCTGAAACCACAGACCGTATTCTTAAGCTCTGTTCTACACTGCCTCCAAACTGGTGTCATTAACTTATGAGTCACACTTTATGTTTTGTTCTGTTTTGTTGTAACCCAAAACCCAATATTTATTGAGAGCATATGGTTGCCAGAAACAGTGTTTTCATGTTGGGGTTGCATTTTTGAACAAGCTGAGTAAGTCTTGATACAATTGAATTTACATTCTTTTAGAGAGAAGAGACAATGGACAAGAAAAATATAAATGAGCCAAACAAGAAATACAGAATATAATAATATGATGCAGAATAACATGGAGGTTTAACAGTAACATAGGATAGTGAGGAAAAACAACACCAAGTGTGACATTTAAGCTAAGATCAGAAAAATGGAAAGTACATTATGAAATAGGTCAAGGAAATATTGATCAGGAGAGAAGAAAAAGTATGCTCAAAGGCCCTGAGGTGAGAAAGAATTCAAAATGTTCAAAGAACTGAAAGTAGTGTGACTGTAAGAAGCAAGTTAGGAGAATAGAGAATGAATTGAGGTTGGAAACACAGGCGGATGTTTTACAAACATGACAAGGCATTTGACTTTACCCTAATGGGCTTTGAAAACTCTTTGAAAGGTTTTAATTCTTTCATTAAAAGTATTTAATATTTACTGTGTTTCAGACACTGTGCTTAAGTTACATGAAAGGTTAAAAATGCTGGTGAGGGAAGAGAGTAAAATATTTTAATAGAGCATTCAGGAAGGAGATTTGGGGTAGGAGTAAGCCATATGGATATTGGGGAAGGGTAACGGAGGAGGGATAATGAGCAGCAGGAAAGACCAGTGTAAAAGTTTTCAAATGGGAGGTTATATGATGCGTTCTTGAACAAGCAGAGAAGCCTGAATTTCTGGAGCAGAGTGGGAGGGGCAGAAACAGAATAAGAGGTCAGAGAATGATGAGAGAAGGAAGAAGAGTAGATCATGTAGAGCTTTGTAAGCAATTAGTAAGGCTTAGGGTTTTCCTTTGATTGACATGGAGATCTATTAGCAAGGTTAGAAGAGAGAAGTGAATTTAGCTGATGTACATATTTAAAAGGTTACACTTACTGCTGGGACAAAGAACAGGTGGAGGCAGGGAGCCCAGTTAGGAAGCTATTGTATCACTCCACTTGAGAATGTGGTTTCAACGAAGTGGGCTAGGAGAAATGCAATTTTTCATGGGACTTGGAGATTGACTCAAGAGTATTTTGTTATGAATTAGATGTGGAGTATGAGAGGAAGGGCAAAGTTCAGATTATTCGTTTAGAAATTAAAAGAATAGCATTTTCATTAACTTAGTTGCAGAACACTGCGCATATAGCAGGTTTAGCTTCACTTCTGCTGCAAGAGTTCAGGTTTGGGTATGTCAATTATGAAGGGTTTATTAGATATTCCACGGAAATGTTAACTATATCTACCAATATCTCAAGCTAATGTTAAATAAGCAGGCGGATGTATGAACTTAGGGGAGCACTCACTAGTAGATACATAAATCTGAGAGTTGGTGGCATATTGATATCATTGAAAGCGATACAATAAATGAGATACATATTTAAGAGAGTGATTTTTCAGTAAAGAAAAAAAGATCCTGGGTATTCCAGCAGGAAGGAGGAGAAAACTGTGAAGTAGATTGGGAAGAGAGAGCAAGTGGGGTAAAAAGAAAGCCAAAAGTAATCGGGATCATAGAAAAATATTGAAGAAAATGAATTACCAAGGATATAGAGAGCAGAATAAAAGGTTACACAAACTGAAGACTGAGAATTGACCACAAGTCTTGTTAGCATGGAGGCCTTGATGAATATGACAAAAACCACTTTGACAGAGTGATTGAAGTGAAAGTCAGATTGAAGTGTGTTTTAATAATTGGAAGAAAGAAATTTGAAATAACCCAGTGAGTGAGCATAATATTTTCAGGGAGTTTTGCTTCAAGCAGAAACAAAAATAAAGGCAGAGGTAGCAGATGAGAAAAGTCGTATCAAGAAAAAAATAAAAAATAAAAACGTGTTTTTTTGGTTTGTTTATTTTGTAAAAATGGGTAGCTAACAAGAAGTTTGCACGATGATAGGAAAGATCTAATTAAAAAATTAATGATGAGAATGGGGGGCAAATTTCTGCAGCAATATTTTAGTGTAAGGAGAGGAGTGGAATGTGGTAAAAATGTTAGGGGCCTGATTAGCTTTAGAGAGTAATAGAAGATATGGGTACAGATTCTGATAAATGGGTAGATATAATGATGGCGTTTACAGGAAATTTGGCTCAGCTATCTACAGTTTTCAGAGAAGCAAGGTCACATAAGAATGGGTTTATAGGAAAGGTATTCAAGACTTAAGGAGGAAAGAGAAGATGTGAAATTGACATTCAGGAGAAAAGGAGAGTGACACATAAGGAATGACAGCATAACTGCGAACAGCCTTAGGAGTCGGCTTCATGTTTATCATCATGACTATAAAATGATACCAGTCAACACAAGTGTATGTTTTTCTACATTCACATTCAGCTGTATTGGTACAAGCATGGAGTAGGAGGAGAGCCGGATTTAGTTGGTTACCAATTTTGTAAAGAGGGTATAAAAAATTAGAGTGTATATGAAAGTTTTTATTCTAATGATTGATTATGAAATTAATCCAGGTAATCAGAAAAGAGAGAAACTGAGGGAATGAAGGAAACTGAAAAAAAGTTCAATACAGTTAAAAAGACTTTTGAAATATTCAAATGGAATGAACTAGAAAGATATAGTGTAGTCATGAGAGAACAAGATCCATCAAATTCAGATTAAGAAGGGTCTGATATCATAGGTGATGACAAGCTCCAGAATATGCTTCTGGGAGTGCCTGAGACAGGGTAAAACGTAAGATAAATAGAGGAGAGAATTAAGAAACTAAATATCCAGTTGCCACAAAGAGAAACTACTCTGAAATTATTGAGAAAAGTCATCAAAGTAGTGTTGAAGAACCTCTGAAGCAGAAGTTTAAAATGTTAAAATCTGGGAGAGTCTGCTAAAGGAATGGCAGTAGACGAGAATGAGAGGTATAACTAGTTAATTCAGAAAACATGGGATTCAAAACAATTTTTAAAGAGAAAGGGGGAAGAATTATCTGGAAATGACAATGAAGAGTGAGTAGGACACCAACCTGGTGGATTCAGGCTGTGGAAGGAAAACAACAGCAACAACGCCTTCGTCAATTGAGAAGGCTGCAGGGGAAGAGCGTTGCAAAATGGAGCAAGACTATGAAGGCTTCAGAGAAAAGCTTGAAGATCCAGGGAATTTTCCCTCAGATGACATAGTGAAAAGTATATGACAATGACAGAAGAGTGGGAATGAGGGCTGCTGGAGGGATTACAATGCAGGAGCTGTGAGGTGACTCAGAAATGAGCACCTTCAATTGTGGACTGATTACAAAATAAGTTCTGATGGACAAAAGGCAGATAAAAATATCAAGGCTATGCATGCCAGAGCAGGCAGCAGGTCTGCAGCTTTCTCCTGACTTCTGTGAATGCAGAGTAGGAATCCTGAGGATGCATGGTCTTAGTCTCAGTGTTTAGGGTTATCTTTAAACACAAGTAGCAGGAGGAATGGATTTAACCTAATGCTGCCTATGGACACATTGACCCCTGTTAGTGAGAAAGAGGTGTTACACCAAGCCTGAGGGGCATGCTACTGATCTTGTAAATAGAGTTATGAAGTGGAGAGCTGTGGTTTTAGTCCCTGTGCTATGGATGTGGATTTAGTATGAACTGACTTATTTTTATCAAAGCTCAATCTGATTACCCTATAGGGGATGAGCTAGAACCAAGAGTGGAAGGGGGAAAATGGGGAAATTATTGCATTTGTTCAAATGAGAGATGATGATGCTTAGATTATGGTGATAAAATGAAAATGGAAAATAATGTATTGGTTATGCATACAGGCATTATTTGTTATGCATAGTAATACAGGACTCTAACAATGACCATGCAAGCTGAAACTGCACAAAGCGATGTTAAAATCAGTGGGAAAATTATTGTTCTGTGACCTTTAAAATTGGTTGTTAAGACATAAACACTCCAATACTGTCAGTTATAAACGTATAGGGAAAGAAAAATAGCAAAACTAATATATATTTAGAAATTTAAAATGTTAAAACCATTGAAAATATATATATTTTTAAAAATAGTAGTTTGAATAGTGTTTGTCTTCTTTGCATATTATAACTCATGAAACTGAAACAATATTTTTTTTCTGTTTTGTAAAGTTTATTATACTTCCTTCTAAGTTTGGATCAGCATGCAACATTTTATTCTTTGTACCTTTATTGTCAGAAATCATCTTTAAGAGTTCCTCTAATGTGAAGTGTTCTTTTCTGGTATCATGTCCTCTGGGATATCTTAATCCTTTTCATCACATCACTTACTTCATTCATGTCCATGAGCTCACCTGCACCAAGTTCCTCTGGCTGCACATCTAGAGCCTGTCAAACAGTGGAGTATCAACTCTTCTACCATTAGCTATCTTTTCTATAATTCCAGTTACATTAGATTTTAATTTCACTTTTACTGCTACCACTTTTATTTTCTTTGCTGTGTTTTACTATTTTTTGGCAATTTCCTCTTTCCGTTACCTAATTTGAAAAAACATATCACAGGGGTTTATCAATAGGAGACAAGGAAGCAACACAATTACATGCTTTGCTGTCTGCATCTGAACTGAATAGCAAGTGTGTAAGGACTGCTCACTGACACACTTTGTAAAAAGTTGCATGGTTAGACATTGATCATGAGGCATATTTGTTATGTATGCAGCAATTTGTAGACTAAAAAACTAGCAGCAGAATCTGTACTTTATGCCATTAGTCAAAGTTAATATGCCATAATAGCTAAAATTCATGCATATTAGAATCATAAAATTTAGGAAATGCCTGAATGTGTGTGTGTGTGTGTGTTTCGTGTGCATTTTATTGTTGTTTTTAAAACCAGCAGTGTAACTAAAATAGAAAATCCTGGATGAGTTTTAGGTTAAAATATCACAAACTGTTTTGGGCTTGTGAAAACAGAGACACCTATGAAACCTAAGACAAAAGGTAGTAAGTGATCATAATAGAATTCTGGATGTCTGTGAAGATGTGAAATCTGAATAATCTAAATTAATGCTGATACAATTTAAATGAAATTTCCTGAGAAGAGAGTGGAAACAGAAAAGATTCACAGAAATGAGTCCAAGAAACTGAAAATGTCAGAATTTTATTCAAGGAGCAGAAGCCAGCAAAGAAGCTGCAGGTATTAGTCAGGGATCCAGAGGAATAAACATGGGAAAGAATGTTTTAAGAAGTTACGAAAATAAATGAAGCAGAGTTCCTTCTCTTCAGGTTCTCTAGTGGGGATGACAAGCACACACACTGACACACCAAACAATCTCTTGTGATTTTTGGTAACATGATAATATTCTAGCTATCAACCCACACTAAGTTAACATAATGGAATTTCTGTACATTCATTCAAGGATCACCAGTTATTGATCCTTGATATTTCCACCAAGGCTATGCTCTCCTGTGAGGCACTGCCTAGAGAAACCAAAGTTTATCTACAAAGATATATGAAGACTGGAAACACTTTGAAAACAGAGAAGTCTATGAACATATATTGTAATTTTATATTGTTTCACAATTCAAAAAAGCAATGAAGGCCTATAAAGCCATATTGTATTAGTCTGTTTTCACACTACTGATAAAGATGTACCTGAGACTGGGCAATTTTAAACAGAGAGGTTTAATTGGACTTACAGTTCCACGTGGCTGGGGAAGCCTCACAATCACGGCGGAAAGCAAGGAAGAGCAAGTCTTGGCAGGAGGCAAAGAGATAATGAGGAAGAGAGAAAAGCGGAAACCCCTGCTAAAACCATCAGATCTCATAAGACTTATTCACTACCATGAGAACAGTATGGGGGAAACTGCCCCCATGATTCAAATATCTGCCACCAGGTCCCTCCCACAACATGTGGGAAATATGGGAGTACAATTCGAGATGAGATTTCGGTGGTGACACAGAGCCAAACCGTTTTATTCCTCTCCTAGCCCCTGTGAAATCTCACGCCCTCACATTTCAAAACCAGTCATGCCTTCCCAGCAGCCCCCCAAAGTCCCTTCTCCCTATGAGCCTGTAAAATCAAAAGCAAGCTAGTTACTTCCTGGATAAAATGGGAGTACAGACATTGGGTAAATACAACCATTCCAAATGGGAGAAATTGGCCAAAACAAAGGGGCTACAGGCCCCATACAAGCCTGAAATCCAGTGTGGCAGTCAAATCTTAAAGCTCCAAAATGATCTCCTTTGACTCCATATCTCACATCCAGGTCCTGCTGATGCAAGAGGTGGGTTCCCATGGTCTTGGGCAGCTCTACCCCCGTGGCTTTGCAGGGTACAGCCTCCCTCCTGGCTGCTTTCATGGGCTGGCATTGAAGGCCTGCGGGTTTTTGAGGTGCACAGTGTAAGCTGCTTGTGGATCTATCATTCCGGGGTCTGGAGGATGGTGGCCTCTTCTCACAGCTCCAGGAGGGACTCTGTGTAGGGGTGGTGCCCCAGTAGGGACTCTGTGTTGGGGCTCCAACCCCACATTTTCCTTCCACACTGCCCTAGCAGAGGGTCTCTCATGAGCGCCCCACCCCTGCAGCAAACTTCTGCCTGGGCATCCAGGCGTTGCCATACACCTTCTGAAATCTAGGCAGAGGTTCCCAAACCTCAATTCTTGACCTTTGTGCACCCGCAGGTTCAACACCATGTGGAAGCTGCCAAGGCCTGGGGCTTGTATCCTCTGAAGCCACAGCCCAAGCTCTACATTGGCCCCTTTCAACCACTGCTGAAGCAGCTGTGGGACACAGGGCACCAAGTCCCTAGGCTACACACAGCGCAGGGACTCTGGGCCTGGCCCAGAAAACCACTTTCTCCTCATAGGCCCCCTGGCCTGTGATGGGAGGGGCTGCGGTGAAGACCTCTGACACGCCCTGGAAATATTTTCCCCATTGTCTTAGCGATTAACATTTGGCTCCTGGTAACTTATGCAAATTTCTGCAACAAATTTCTGCAGCTGGCTTGAATTTCTGCCCAGTAAATGGGATTTTATTTTCTATGGCATAATCAGGCTGCAAATTTTTCAAACTTTTATGATCTGTTTCCCTTTAAAATGGAATGCTTTTAACAACACCGAAGTCACCTCTTGAATGCTTTACTGCTTAGAAACTTCTTCCACCAAATACCCTAAATCATCTCTCTCAAGTTCAACGTTCCACAAATCTCTAGGGCAGGGGCAAAATGCTGCCAGTCTCTTTGCTAAAACATGACAAGAGTCACCTTTGATCCAGTTCCCAAAAAGTTCCTCATCTCCATCTGGGACCACCTCAGCCTGGACCTTATTGTCCATATTGCTAGCAGCATTTTGGGCAAAGCCATTCAACAAGCTTCTAGGAAGGTTCAAACTTTCCCACATTTACCTGTTTTCTTCTCAGCCCTGCAAACTGTTCCAATCTCTGCCTGTTAACCAGTTCCAAACTTGCTTCCACATTTTTGGGTATCTTTTCAGCAATGCCCCACTCTACTGGTACCAATTTACTGTATTAGTCTGTTTTCACACTGCTGATAAAGATATACCCGAGATTGGGCAATTTACAGGCAGGAGGCAAAGAGAGAATGAGGAAGACACAAAAGCAGAAACCTCTGCTAAAACCATCAGATCTTGTGAGACTTATTCACTACCATGGGAACAGTATGGGGGAAACTGCCCCCATGATTCAATTATCTCCCACTGGGCCCCTCCCACAACATGTGGGAATTATGGGAGTACAATTCAAGATGAGATTTGGGTGGAGACACAGAGCCAAACTATATCACATATGAATGGGCACCCCCCCAATAAAACTCATAATTTTGTATTGCACATCATAATGAGGCCTGGTTTACCTCCTAAAGCATTGTTTTATTTTTCCATCTTGAATTTCTTAACTTCTAATAACTAAAAAAAAATTAGCCCTCTTACTGGGAAGCACAGATATCATAGGCTTCAAGGCTAACTTAGTTCTATTCTGCCAGTTCCATTTCTTTGCACTTTTCTTGGTTTGGCATCTGCAAGCTAGGCTCCATTCTGCACATAAATCCAGAGAAAGAGAAAGTCTTAAAACTTTCTGTCTTATGTCCTACTGGGTCAGTTTGGATCATTGTGCATTATCATCAGAGGAAAACTGTGAGGTAATTGGTTCTAGTCAGGGATCCTGAGTCATTCACTAGCAAGGGCGATGGGATTTGTATTTAAAAAGACCTATAGAGGAGAGCCATGACCCCAAATACATGGCTACTTCACCATGGAAGAGAGGTGAAATGCAGGTTAAATCAATCATATCCACCCTGTTCTCTATAATCAAACTTTTGGCTCCTTCTCAAACCATATCATTTATTACCACATGATGGAATGATATAATAAATTGGCTCTTTGGTGCTTTGTGTTCTCATTTATAAAATAATTGTGTATTTCTAAAGCTCTACTCTATTCTCTTCTTGCTCTAAACTCTTCTTAGCTCCATTCACAATAGACTCCTTTATTTATTCTAGCTTCTTACGTACAGGCCTTCACATATGCTATTGTTCCATTTGCCTGGAATTAAAGAACAAAAAACAAAAAACTTTTGTATTCTTTAAAATTCTCAGTTTAACTGTCACTTTCTCAGAAAAATTTCTCAGATACTATTCTCAGACTAATAAAACTCCTCTCTCACAGCAATTTGCATGTCTTTTCTAAAGCAGTCCTTGGTAGCAATTAACTAATTAATCATTCAAATATTTATTTCATCAAAATTTGTATAACCTGGTCTATTTTAGGCCCTATGAGGGCAGGGTCTTGTCTCTACTTTCACTGTTGTGCGCCCATTTCTAGGAGAGAAATGTGAGCATGGCCTTTTTGACATGTTTATGGAAGGGAACGAAGAACAGATGGAGTAATTGGAAGGTAGGGAGGAAGAAGGGAAAGAGAAAGGGAGGGGGAGGACTGAAGGAATTATCCACCTACCTTCAGGGATGGTGGAAAGATACATTTAAAATGGCAGTTCAGTAAAAGCAATAGCTTAGATTGGTATGCTATATGTTTCCATGGCACCCTGTTCCACTGCTTTCCTAACAATCATCACATCTGAAATTTGTTGTTTATTGTTCTTCTTCTCCAAGGGATTTTTATGGTTCCTGTGGAAGAGACCAGCTCAATCTCCTTTATCAACTTATTCTCAGGGCCGAGCACTGTTTTGGACCCAAAAAGTGCTAAATTAAGTTGAATGAGTAATAAATTATGATTTATAATATTTTGTCAATGGGGTGATTAAATTGCCCACTCTAAAATTAAATTCTTGATTTAATACATTTCTTTGTCCTCTTAATCAAAATGGGCTCTCATATTTTAGACCAGTTGATTGAATAAATGAGGTGTCACTGTGTATTCATTCATTGCAGCTGTCCAGGTCATCCAACAGAGCCCTTTCACCCCCTATTTGTGTCTCCAGCCTTCAGAATAGAGTATGTCCAGAACAACTTAATCAAGTTTAAGCACAGAAAAATGTGGACTTAATTTGGCATCTTTGTGCATATAAACAAGTAGGTTCTTTTAATCTACTGTTCCTTCTTCTGACATAGAAACTTTGATAAATGAAGCAGTAATTTTTGGAGATTATGACATTCATTATCTTTTTTGCTTATCTTCAGCAGCAGACCTTTTTCCTTTTCCAAGAGAAATTTTCTTTGTGGCAAGGCTGTTTACTTCTCACAGAGTTATTTTAAAGCAAATGTCATGTGGGGATATCACCAGGTAACCTTAAAGCAAGGCTTTTTCACTACAACTCTATTTTATGAAGTGGTTCTTTTCATGGCAAAGCCATCTCAAAACACTGTCAAAATTGGAAACAAAACAAAAGTCACACAGTCAGAAAAATCAATGATCTTTCAAATAATCCAAGATTAAATCAAATCAAACTAACTCTAATCTTAAACTCTAAAGCCAGTCATGAGTTGTCTCACTTGAGAAGGCCAATAAAGACTAAATTCTAGACACTTGGGTTGCAATAGTAGGTATCGTTTAGGTAATAATGGTTTATCCAAAGTCTGAATGATCTCAGAATTAGTTCACACAGTGTAAACATTGAAAAAAGCTAGACCAAGCTAACAATTCATATTCAAACAATTTACAACATAAATATTTTTACTAATCAATTTAAACTGGAAACTTGCTCTCGAATTGTGCTTTACGTATAATAGTATTTAGAAAGTATTGCCTCATCAGTAAATGGCCAGTAAAAAAGCCTCTGTTTTCTTCACTCAAGAATAAAATTCTATTTGTGATGTAAAAAACAAGCAAACAAACAACAACAACAACAATAAACAGCAAGAAAGGAAAACCATTACTGAAGGTTACAAATTTGTTCATATGGTATAGGCAACTGTGGAACAAATAACTTATAGTTTCCAAATATTCTATATTTCCCAACCTAAATGTATTTTTCACATAATTAAGTAAAATTACAGAAAAAAGTGTTGGCAATATGCCCAGAACACATTTTTATTGTTTATATTTAGTCAAGTAATTTGATCTGCTTTAAGCAATATAGGTCATTGGAAATCTAATTCTACACATGAGTAGATTACAAAGAACAACTTGTAAATGAGAAATACTTAGTTTAGAGTAGTATTTTCTGAAACATGATATAACTATCTATAACAGGACTTGAATGTATGAACATAATATCAAAAGATAGTCATGAATATATGTATGAGAAATATTTTCATAATAGTCTAATGCCAGCATCAATAATTATATTTTTTTCATTCTATAAATCTGACTTTATTAATATTTTCTCTTCAGTTAGTATGTTCTCTTCAGTTAGGAAATAGATTTGCAGACCAAAAATTGATTTAGAACTAAATGACATATTCATAGAGTAAGTTTTGTAAACTCAAGGCTTAATGTGAAGAAGGAGAAATGTTATCGGTGTGGTGGGCAGAATAACAGCTCCTCAAAGATGTCCACATTACCCATCAATACGTTAACTTACAGGGCAGAAATGATTAAGAATCTTTGATGGGGAGATCATCCTGGGTAACGCAGGTGAGCTCAGTTTAGTCACAAGTATCCTTATAAGAGGAAGGCAGTGATATCAGAGTCAGAGATAGAAATTTGAAGATGCTATACTGCTGGCTTTGACAGTAAAAGAAAGAACCATGAGCCAAGGAACGCAGGTGGCTAGCCTCTAGAAGCTGTAAAACGCAAGGAAATTGATTCTCCTTTAAAGCCTCCAGAAGCAGTGCAGCCCTGCTGACAGCTTGATTCCAATTCAGTGAAACCAGTTTCAGACTTCTGACCTTCTGATGATATTGAATTTGTGCCGTTTTTAAGACATAAAATTTGTGACAATTTCCTATAGTGGCAAAAGAAAAGTAAGATAATTTTCTGATAAAAATAAAAGTAATAATAGATTACTAATACCATGCTTGCTATATGTTAGGCATACATTAAGCACTGTTCATTAAATATATCATTTCATCTATACAATAATACTGACTCATTATTAATTATTCTCACCATTTTACAGAGGAGAAAGGTATATTTTATTGAGGGAAATAGCATATGTGAAGCATGCAAAACTAAGTGGAAGAGGTGGGATTGGTGCCCATAAACATCTAACTCTTATGACAAATAGTGTAAGTTGAAAGAAAGATAAAATTCTAATAATCTCCTCTACTCCTAAATACATTTGGCCGTTCTATTAATTCTACATGTTTTTCTTAAAATAATTCAGGTAGAAAAAAATATTCTGTCCAGGAGGAATACATGAGTCACAACAGGAGAACTGAATATGACTTCCTTTTTATTCATTTAACACATCCACAGTGAGAACTGTAGGTCAGTGTGGGTATCTCAGAGCAATCATCCCTTCTTTCATAAATGTTTGTCCTCTGGGCAGGCACCACACTGAAGCCATATGTTGTTGCACCCCTGGATGCAGCTGATTGGTCCAGACTTGGGTACCTGTATCAGATTTATTCATACAGCTGCCCCTTCCTGGGAATTCAAATTGGTGTTACAAAAGATGTACTTCATCTCTCCTGGAATGCTGAGTGCTGAATGCTCCTGTATTATGGATACTCAGAGGCACCTAGTGGTTTCACCACATGGTCCAGAGAAATAGAGAAGGCTGTTCTGCAAAGAGTGAGAAAGAATTCGGTATAAATGTAGATAAATAATTTTGATGAATGCAGACAGAACTTTGAAATTTTGCCAGGTTTGGGGTCTAGTATACTAAAACACAGTGCAGTACTAACTATGCTACAATGTTACTAATTGTGCTCTTCTCCTTGGACTCTTTGAGATACCTTATGACAGATGTTTACTAGAGTTAACTTCAAGGGCTTGTGTTTCTTGCAAGGTGATCAGATTTGTATCACATATTGTACCAGATCCTAGATGTAATAATTCACCATCCCTTCCTTCAAATAACCTATGTCCTATTGCGGTTGATTAAGACATATTTTTACAAGTGAACATTTTACATGACAGAAAGAAATTGGCATTAACCAGCACATTTTAGGCCACCAATATTAAACCCTGAAATTCCAGAAAATCAATTTTCAATTACTTGCGATTGTCATTTCTCCCTCCTACCTTCCTGAAGGCAGACATTCAGGCGAAAATTCTAGTATGAAATGCATTTAAAAAGAAAAAAAGTGCTCCTCTTATGTGCCTTAGCTTATTCCCTAATGTAATATAGTCAATCCTATTCACTCATCAGTTTTCCAATTATGTTACCCTATTTGATTAATTTCCTCATTAACATAATAATTGGTGATCATAAAAAATCATTTTCTTACCTCATTACTGTGACATATAATTCCTGCTGCTTCCTTATCATCATCTTCCTATTCATCGTCTAATCAACTTACCTTGAAAATAAAATGTCCTAGAAATATTGATTTCATATATTTCTTTAAAAGCCAGACATGTATTTATCAATCTGTACCATTTTATATGATTGTTTTATGATCAACATGACTCTCTTTTCTGTTTCTGCTCCTCTTGCTTCAGATTTTCAATGTGCTCTACCCTCCAAGGAGCCTTAACCTTTGAGAGTGAATTCCAGATTTACTCTTACAAATATTTTTAAATCCCGCAACATTCTTATTTTAAATGTATGATTTCTTCTCCTGTGGACTAATGATAAAAATCCTCTTCCTTTAGATTATCAGTCTCAGCTGTCCATGACATGGTTCACATCATGATATTAGATCTTTTTCCACAAAGTGGCTGTAAATGTGTTTATAGACGTGATTGTAATGCCCTCACCTCTAGACTTTTCGTGATTACTTCCTATCCTTGTGTACCCATTGCCCTTTATTCCTCTTTCAGAAAGCACATCACATGCTGGTTTACGTCCAAGTCATCTTGTCTTGCAATGTCTTTCCCCAACTGATTAACTATATTTGTGAACAGATGTTGCTTTTATTTATTAATAAAATATACCAATGCATGATCTTGAATATAGTGGGTGAACAATATTATTCTAACAGCACATTATTTTTCTAAGACTCTGCTGCAGTTTTCCAGTTTACTTCATCTTCCCAACTTCTGCTTTTTCTGGACTTCACCTTTCCTTATCTCTCATTTGTTTCTTATACCCTATTGCCAGTTATTTACCAATGTGTCTGCATAAAACAATATACAGCTATAAACTTTATTCTAAACATTTATTTCCCCTTTTTTAAACGAGCACAAAGTAAACGTTTTCTGGGATGCAGTTACAGAAAACTCTTTGTCCTGTGTACAAATGAATTATGCCATTTTTAAAGAGAATACCTCATCGTACAATACAAGAAACAAATATAATGCTTCCTTTTCTTAGTTTAAGTTCAGCTATAGGTTCATGTGAATTTTGTTTTCCTTCACACTTTATTTCCTAACATCACTAGAATATAATTCAATATCTGGATTCACATTTATGATATCTGTATAAACAGTATCGGTGTAGTGGTAGACTTGGCAGGGAGAGACTGAGTTTATACCATTTGGTGTCCATCTGATATTATATGTTGTACTTGTTGGGTGGACCAGCCAGAAGACTAAGTCTCCTGGGAGCTAACTTAATAAAAAGAAATAATTACTTGGCTGAGTAACTATTAGAGTATTATCAGACTTCAGTTAGTAACTACAATTAGAGGTAGAAAAGGAAGTATTAGTCGCTGTTGATCTCCTGGCAAACTTCCATCCAAAATCACACTACCTGCATTTCCATATGTCTATCTTGAAAATAAAGCAAAAGTGAAATTGTTGGGAATATATGCACACTCTGTGATGTAGCAATTCTAATCCAAATATATTTTCAAGAGAAACACAAACATATGTTAACCAAAAAAAGAGTACTAAATGTTCATAGCAACAATATTGAGAATAGTTCCAAACTTAAGGTGATGAATATATTGTAAAATGAAATACTATACAGCAATAACAAACAACCTACTACTGCACTCAAATAGGAATGAATTTCAAGAGCCTAGTTTTGAGTGACAGAAGCCACACATAACAATATGTGTATCTTGATTGATTACTTTCATACGAACTAAAACAAGAAATAAGTCAATCTATGTTAGACGGCTAGATTAGGGTACCACTGGAAAATTAAATAGAGACATTAAGGTATAATGAGTAGGGCTCCATCTGTGTTTCAGAAATGCTGATAACGTTCTCTTCCTTGACGTAAGTGTGGCTTAAATGACCATGTCCAATGAAAAATTGTCAAGTTGCACAATGATGACATATATGCATATTGCTAAAAATGCTAATGATAGTCTGAGCCTTCAGGAAGTTGTCAGCTTTTTGCTGGTGGAGAGTCTTGTCTTGATGGCTGCTGACTGACAGATCAGGGTGGTAGTTGATGAAGACTGGACTGGCTGTGGCAGTTTCTTTTTTTTGCGCGTGTGATAGACACATTTATACATTTAATGCTTTTGTTAGTAATTATTTACAAACCTCCTTACACTATAAAAGAAAAGTCCAATTTTAACAAAAGGCATTGACTTTTCTATCAGGGTACCGAGTTAATTATTTCAACTTAATAATGAGCAACGTTGAAATGACATTACACAGGCCGTTGAGGGAGTCACAGAAAAATGAGCTTCAGAAATATTTTTTGAATGTGTGAGCATGGCTACAAGTACAACTAATCGGGAAAATTAATGCAATATGAAAAATTGTTGCGATTAAAGGACCCTGATTAAAACAGGATAAAGGGTTCAGGATGTATAAAGTCACCATTGGAGAATTTCTTAAAATAAGACAACAACGAAGTTTGCTGCATTGATGTATACTTCTTTTCACAAAAGATTTCTCTGTAGCATGCAATGCTGTTTGAAGGCATTTTATCACAGTGGAACTGTTTTCAAAATTAGAGCTTAATCATGTCTACATTTTGTCTTAAATCGGGAAATGTGCAGATCTTTACTTGAACATTTAAAAGCTAGTATAAGGTAATTAATTGGCTTAATTTCAATATTGTTCCATCTTAGAGAACAAGGAGGCCCAAGGAGAGGGAGAGAGATGAAAGAAGAGCTTGTTGGTGGAGCAATCAGAGCACACACAACATTTATTGGTTAAGTTTGTTGTCTTGTATGGGTTCAGTTGGTGGCACCACAAAACAATTGCAATAGTAACATCAAACATCACTGATCACAGACAACCATTACATACATCATAATAATTTAAAAATCTAAAGTACTGTGGGAATTGCCAAAATGCGACACACAAATTCAAAATAAACACATGCTGTTGAAAAAATGCCACTGATAGGCATGCTGGACACAAAGTTGCCACAAATCTTCAATTTGTAAAAAAGACAATAACTGCAAAGTACAATGAAAACAAAGTGCAATAAACCAATGCATGCCGATATTCAGCATCTACAGATTAAATTCCAATGAAACCTCATCGTAGGTTTGTTTTGACCGCATATACAAAAACTATACAACATCGTAATTTTATTTCACTATTGTCAAGGTTTATGTGAAATTTCACAACTCCTATGCATGTTATATCATATACTTCATATGGTTCTTATATGTCACAAAAAAAATATTTTTTTTTCAGACAAAACATTACCTGACAAGAGCTTTACCTGTTTTCTCTGCCTATGCAAGGCTTACTCGTCTTTGAAGACTTAGCCCAATTTTTTCATCTTCTGTGCAAAGGTTACCTACTTCCAACACAGAGCACAAGCTGCCCCCTCCTTTGTGAACCATGTATTGTGTTAGTAACTCTAGGATATCTCTTAAGGCATATGTTTGGATGACCTCTTTACTGATCTGACTTCCATACTATATTGTGAGGTTCTCATGGTCAAGGACATTCTTCTACATTCTAGTTTCACTGACACTTAAAAAGTACACATACAATCTCTAGAAATAACTTTAACAAAAATGTTGGAAACTACATGAAAAAGATGACAAAACTGCCCCGAATTAAGTCATATCCTCAAGGAACTAAATACTTGAACTACATTTTCTGCGATTCCTTTAGAATTACTTTTATTGATTTGCCCATTGTCATCCTATCATCTATCGACAGAGGTGAAATTTCTAGGAAGCAGCGTTAAAAAACCTGTGGCTGTGGTGCAGAAGAAATGTTGTTGAGGATATTGTTCATCAAATTATATGTTGTCTTCTACATTGTGACTACTCACACACACCAAAAAAAAAAAAAAAAAAAAAAAAAAAACACAAAAATCTCAGTCCTCAGCAGCTGCAATACTTAGCCTTTCCCTGAAAATGAACGTATTTTAATATTCTCACTATTAAAATTCTGTTATTTATAATATAGCTTCCGCTAGGCATTCTTAGGTTTTTTTTTTTAAAAAAAGGTCCAAACTGTAATCTCTCTCCAGCGAATGTTCAAGGCCTTACTGCCTATGTTTTTTTGAAAGGACAGCCCCTTGACTGAGTCAGGAAATAAAAGCTCATTTGTGATTTATCTTCACTTCACCCCAAGGGTAAAAAGCTTTATAATCATCCAGTATGATGAAATGGTAGTATTTAAAAGGAAAGAAATGGAGGCTTATGTTCCAGTAGAAAATGCAGAGACAAAGAGAAATATTTAGAGAAATATACTACTAATAATATAAATATCTAAACTCTACTGGTTGTTTCTTCTCTAACATTATACTCTACTGATTTCATTTCATCTTCATTTCAGACTTAAGACATCCCAATAGTAGTCTTACAGCTTTTATTATTTCCATACTGCAAGTCAGGAAAGTCTTAGAGAATTCAATTATTTTGCAAAACATTACAAAGCAGTGAGTAGTAGAGCTGGGTTTAAAATCCATTGGAATAAGCCAAGGTCTGTATCTTTAATAACTCTACTACACTGTTTCATATTAAGAAACGCAAACTATCCTAAAGACATATAATGCATTGTGCATGTGGTTCTTTAGGCTGAAACTTATAACTTCTATAATTTCTAATATCAAAAATTCTTATTTCATCTTTATTGAAAGTATTTATGCAAAATATCTTAAAGGATTTGTAGCATGACTATGAGATGGTATGCATGAATAAAAAATATGTAATGCACACACTATGTGCAAACAGAAATAAATATGCAGACTCTTCTAGACATATAAATCTTGCTACATAAGAACTTAAATAAACGGATAAAAAATGAATAAATAGGTCAATTATTTATAAACCTAGTCTTAAGTTTAATGTAATTACAATGAAAATTTTAATGAGAGTTTTGTGAGAAGACTTACAAAGACCAAAGTTTATCTAGACAATAAATACAAAAATAAATATGCATTACAATTTCTCATTTGTAATTACAGAAAATTAAAATGAAAAATAGTGAACTAATTGTTTCAAATAACAACTAAAAGGCCAGGCACAGTGGCTCATGCCTGTAATCCAGACACATTGGGAGGCTGAGGTGGACAGATTGCTTGAGCCCAGGAGTTCGAAATTAGCTTGGACAACATGGTAAAACCCCCGCTCCACAAAAAATACAGAAATTAGTGGGCATGGTGGCACAGGCCTGTAGTCCCAGCTACCAGGAGGCTGAGGTGGGAGAACCGCTTGATCCCAGAAGGTTGATGTTGCAGTGAGCCAAGATTGCACAACTGCACTCCAGTGTGGTGACAGAGCAAGACTTTGTCTCAAAAAAAAGAAGGCCGGGCGCGGTGGCTCACGCCTGTAATCCCAGCACTTTGGGAGGCCGAGGCGGGTGGATCACGAGGTCAGGAGATCCAGACCATCCTGGCTAGCACGGTGAAACCCCGTCTCTACTAAAAATACAAAAAATTAGCCGGGCGCGGTGGCGGGCGCCTGTATGTAGTCCCAGCTACTCGGGAGGCTGAGGCAGGAGAATGGCGTGAACCCGGGAGGCGGAGCTTGCAGTGAGCGGAGATCGCGCCACTGCACTCCAGCCTGGGCGACAGAGCGAGACTCCGTTTCAAAAAAAAAAAAGAAAAGAAAAGAAAAGCAAAATGCAACTAACCGTGATTTTTAAAATGGCAATCTCAATATTAGAGTGCAATTTGGTAAAACAAAGAAATTATAAATACAACTTCAGTAATATATATAAAATTTCATACCCAAAATATAAGAATTCTTTTTTTAAGATGAAAACCAAGGAAAATAATCAATTTTAACAAAGTTTTCTTCACAGAAATGTACCTTATTACCTGCATTATATAAAATAAAAAATTAGAAACAACTTTAATTTTCGGCTTTAAAAGAATGTCTAAGTAAAGTGTGGCATGTCCAAAAGTATTTCAACATCCATTTAAAGTATATCTGCCAAGTTATTGTAATTGTGTGAGAAAGGTTTTATACCATCTAAGTGCTAAAGTATTATGTGGAATGGTATATACCATATGATCTCAGTTACACAAAACTCTACCCAGAGGGAGAAAAAAAGAATGAAACACCCATTTTATTCTCAAGCTCTCTGCTGGCTACCATTTATTTGGGAGAATACTAAGCTTTGGATTTTTCTAACAGGATCAGTGGTGGTTTTGGGGAAGGAGAGGATGGAGCCAAATAATTTAGCTAAAAAAGCCAGAGGCAAAGAATGGGGGAGAGCTTCTCAGGTTTTATGTGAAGGGTCACTGAGAGTAGGCCAACATTTAAACATTAATTACATTAATCGTCTTCTTTCTATTCTAGGTTAAATGACACATTGAATAGTTAATACTTATTTGCTAAATACTGAACCCAGCATATGCATTATTTCACTTTAATTCTCACAGTGATCCTATGAGGCAGCCATATTAGTTTTCTCTCCATTTAACAGATAAGGAATGTAATGGTTTGAGAGTCTGAAGAACCAGAACAAATCTCACAGTTAGAAGGGAAAAAATTAAGCTATTAATTTAGGTCTGATTGATCCCAAAGTTTGCCAAAGGCAAGCAGCTTGATCCATAAAGGAAAATATAAAACAAGTAAATTTGAGTGAAGAAAAATAAAGAAGAACAAAATGAAACTATTTAAAGGCCTTCAGCAGAGAATTATAAATGACATTAATGTTTTAGGAAAATTAATCGGATAGGCAAAAAGATTAAAAGAGCGTGATAGATTAGAGGGGGAAACACCTACTAGAAAATGACTACAGAATTTCAGATGTGACAGATGAAAATGCAAATGCAAGTAGGAATGACAGGGAATAAATTTATGACAGAATTAACAAAATAATTAATAGAATAAGTAGCTGATTGGATGTGAGGAACAAAATATAAGAAAAAGTAATAGTGATGGATATTTGAAAAGTACTATTTTGGCATGTCTAATACATTTTCAAGGTCGGAAATAGTGTTTGATCTATCTTTATTCTCAATATTGTCTGTGTTCTCTTGTATTTCTTAATTTTTGAATGTATGGTCTTATTTGACTTCACTGTAGTTGTAAGAAGTTAGTAGAAAAAAAATACTTGCCACATACCGTATTTAAATACTGATCAAGGTTGGGAGGGCTTTTGAAATAAGCAAACCACATATAAGATAGAGCTCAGCAGTCAACGAATTCTAAGTGTTGTCTGCAATATGGTCATCAAAATTAATGTTTGAGTTTCCTATATTTATATGGCAGTAGCACTAGTATTAGCATATGCTGAAATGTAATTTTAATTCAGTAAGCATTTTTATTTTTTATTTTATTTTATTTTATTTTATTTATCTTTTTTTTTTGGAGATGGCGTCTTGCTCTGTCACCCAGGCTGGAGTGTGGAGTGCAGTGGCATGATCTTGGCTCACTGCAACCTCCGCCTCCCAGGTTCAAGCAATTCTCCTGCCTCAGCCTCCTGAGTGGCTGGGACTATAGGCACACGCCGCAACGCCCGGCTAATTTTTTTGTATTTTTTTTTTTTTTTTTTTAAGTAGAGATGGGGTTTCACCGTGTTGCCTAGGCTGGTTTCGAACTCTTGAGCTCAGACAATCCACCCGCATTGGCCTCCCAAAGTGCTAGGATTATAGGCATGAGCCACTGGGCCCGGCCAGCATTTTTATTTCTAAAAACTGTAGATGTAATTTCTTCTTATAAGAGTTCAAGAAATAAATAGATCTTTAAAAATATTTTAATTATTTTTATACCACAGGAAAGTAGCTGTATATTAACACAAAGGTATCATGTTGTTCATTTTGAGTATCACTTCAAATCTTCTGCCATTTCCCAGGGAACAAATCATTTGGTTCTTTGAATTTCTGCCAGTCGATGCAAACAATTAATTCAAGTGGAGATAGAAATCAATTGTGTTAGCAGAGGATCATCCACAATTGTAGTATTCCAGGAACTTTGGCCCTTGTTTGGGGCAGGGAGCAGGGGACAGCAGTAAGGCAAAGCACAGCATTAGGAGAACCAGAGTCTTTATTTCAATAAGTATTTCAATAATTCAGAAGATCTGATTTTGAAAGCATCTCATCTCTCTGGAATAAGTGAAGTCAATACAATATAAAACTTGTATTAGCTTGTGAATACTTTAACACCTTTAAGAAAAGATCTGAATATTAAATTTCCTACAGAATATTAGAAAGTGTGAACTCAGTCCTATAATCCTGATGCTCCTAGAAAACTATGCATTGCATATTTACAAGCATTGTGTCATACATTTACAAATATTTCGCCATTCGACTCTCACAAGTGCTATTTTTATGATAATGCTACAAATATATAAAAGGAGAGGCAAAGAGATTTAGGGTTTGTCCTGTTCACTCATTTATTTATTTTTATCTTCAAAATGATTGTTTCTTAACAAGGTATGAGAAAATGTTTTTAGTTACAAGGCCCCATAATTTAACAAAATCAGCCAGATATTCCTCATTCAAGTGAAGCACTTGCATAAACACATATCACATTCCATCTTATCTAAACAGATCACTTGCTTTGACCCAACCACCAGTGTTCAAATATTTCCAAATAGCATTTTTGGAGGCAATGTCTCCAAAAATATACAGATGCTGTAACAACAGGAATCAGAAAGTTCACTTTTTTTTTTTTTAAGTTATTGTCAGTGGTCACCTGAAATACTTTAAAATTTACTGATAGAAGTGGTAGAGATCTGTACATGCTCAGCACCTTGGAAATAACTGGCTTCGTACTAATCGGCATGCTCTGGCATTGTCGGACACAGAATTTTGGTCAGGGAAAAAAAAGCAAACAAACAAAACAATATCAGCAATAACAAAAAACATAAGCCAGTTTGTATAAAATGGGAATGAATAGTTTCATATAGAAGTTAGGTCATTGTATCTGTCTCCTTATGATTTTCAAATGTCATAACTGTCACAATCTCCTTTTCATGTCCTCTAACTTAAATACTGAAATACAGGGTTACCCATTATTAACACACCTTATGTGAAATTAGAGGGGAATGGAAAAAAGAAAAAAATAATTGTTTGATATATAAAAATATATACATATCAAAGCAAAGAAGGAAAAGTATGTAACTACTACAGTCCTCATTTCTTCAGCTTGTTGTGTGGCCAAAGTTAATATTTGTAACTTCCTTTCTCCTTATCTTTCCATTTACTCTGTTGCCCTGAGTCAGCACCACAGCCAGTCATGGTTTTTTTATCTGGGGGAATAGGGAAGTGACCCAAATTGTTGTTTCAGAGGAGTCGTTGTCATTAGCAGTCTGGCCTGTATGCAATTGTTATAGTTTCTTATTTATATATATCAATAAACTTAGTACTAGGAAATGACACTGATTCCAGACATATTCAGTATTAACCTCATTTTATATTAGTAATTCTATAACCTGGATAATCAGGATCTGTCATACCAGCTAGTACATTAGATTCCTTATGTGCCTGTCTGTTCTAAAATGGCCAAGGGGCAATCTCCTTCCGATTCAATGTAATTTGTGTTGGGTCACCTAGTGAAAGCATGTTTCTTTGAGAATCAGAAAAGCCTGAATATGCAGAGATGGGAAACAAATATTTCCACACGTTGGCTTATAAATTCTGGTTATGGGAGAAATGATGCCACATGCTGATCGCAAATTTGGAGCATCTTACAATTTGAAGAAAACCACTAGCTTAACAAATGTTGTCACCCAGTTAGTGTCATAACTGATAGTGGAGTCATAGCTGCAGTCTCAACCTCCCGGGCTTAGGTGATCCTCCCACCTCAGCGCCCTCTCCCTCCAGCTGGGACTACAGAGGTGCAGCACCAGGCCCAGCTAATTTTTGTATTGTTTTAGTGGACAGGGGGTTTCACCATGTTGCCCAGGCTGTCTCAAACTCTTGGGCTCAAGGGTAACTGAGTTTCTAGTAGCCATTCCGTTGTTCCATTTTGTTTAGGTAAGCTGTAGGATAATGAATATTATAACACCATGAATATATTTGGTGGAATTAAGCCTATTGCCACACTTCAATCACTTTAAGTGAATTTCCTGGTCAGAAGATATTTTGTATGTGTTCTGTGATATTAAAGATGTCACCCCATGAATCCACTGATGGTGTACTGAAAAAAAGTATTGCAGATTGCAAAAAGGAATTCATGTCCAGACTAAATGTCTTTTTCAGAAAAGAGAAATCTTTGTTTCTACCATGAAAGATGAGACAGTCCCAACTTCATTGAATTGAAGATAATTCGATTTGCATTTGCACCTTTCTTGAGAATCAATTACCCATATATCTGCAGTTCTGTTTCTGGACTCTTTCTTACATACCTTGGATTTAGCAGTTTTTCATCAATATGTGCTGTCTTCATTACTGTAACTTTATCATAAGTCTTGAAATTAGGTATTATGTTTTCCACAATTTTATTTTTTGGTTTATTTTGCCTAGTCTGGTTCCAATGAACCTCCATATGAATTTTAGAATAGTTTGTTAATTTTGATATAAAGTCCTAATAGAATTTTGATTGGGATTACATTAAATCTAAAGATCTATGTGGCA
Organism: Homo sapiens; assembly: GCF_000001405.40. Taxonomy (NCBI): domain Eukaryota; kingdom Metazoa; phylum Chordata; class Mammalia; order Primates; family Hominidae; genus Homo; species Homo sapiens. The sequence goes on along the minus strand of NC_000013.11, from coordinate 67,492,692 downwards.
AAATTGATATCCTAACAATATGTAATTTTTCAATGGACAAGCATGGTGTATATTTCCAGTTACTCAGATCTTAGTTACTTGTTTTCATTAGTGATTTATACTTTATAGTATGTAGTTCCTACATGCATTTTTTAAATTGGTACTTAAATATTTCATGTATTTTATTGTTATTATAAATAGTACATGGAAAAATCCAAATACACAATATCCAAATAAAATAACTAAAAATACAACTTATTACTTTACTTTGACCTTGTGTTCTCCATTCTTGCTAAACTTAATAATTTTAGTAGATATTTTGAAAATTTATTGGGATTTTCTAGGTGAACAGTCATGTCCTCCTGTGAATAAAGTTTTATTTATTTTAAATAATGTAAGATAAAAACTACTCTTTTATGCGTAATGATTTACCAGTTCTGTTGTTCTTCCTGTACCAAGGTTCTCTCTGTTATTTTTCTCTAATTTTAAGAACTTTCTTCAGTATTTCTTTTAGAGCAGGGCTTTAACAACAAATTATTTTATTTTGTCTTATTTAGCAATGAATTTATTTTACTTCATTTTGAATGAATGATATATATATGATGATATAGATATATATGATATAGGTATAGATAATATCAAATTCTAGCTTAGGAGGTGTTTTCTTTTCAGCAGGTGAAATCATCATTCACCTGTCTCCTGGTCTTTGATTTCTGATGAGAAATCCACAGTTAACAAATTATTATTCCCGTATTTGCAGTCTATTATTTTCTAGCATATATATAACATATAATATATTATTATATGTTATATATTATTAATATACATATATATAAAACATTTGGTTTTCAGAAGTTTGACTGTGATGAGTCTGGGCAAGGTTTATTTGTAGTTCATCTTATTTGATGTTTACTTCTTGACATACTTGTATCTAAATTTATGTCTTTTACCACATTTGGGAAGATTACCATCATTATTTCCACAAATGTATATTTCTACCCCAGACTTTTTCTCCTATCTTCCTAGAACTCTAATGACTCAAACTTTAATAATTTTGAAAATTTCCCATAAGTACCAAGACTCTGTTTATAGCTTTTCAATAATTGATTCTCTTTGTTCATTCATCTGATTTGTTGTCTTCTGTTGACCTATCTGAAAGCTCACTGGTTCTTTTCTTTATAATTTCTATTCATCATCAAATAAAATTTGTATTTTAGATATTTAATTTCATAATTTCTATTTCTCTGCCAAGAATATATATCTTTTTGTTCATTTTATTTGTAATTATCTTTAATTCAGTTATGATAGCTCCATTAAATAATTTCCAAGTAATTCTAACATTTGAGTCATCTGAGGATTGACATCTGTTGATTATACTTTTTCTTTAGAATTGATTGTGCTGTTTCTGTAGACTGCAACAAATGAATCTGATTTTATTACAAACTCATGACATAATCACACTGAACAGAGTAGGAAAAAAATGAGCTAAGTTGACTAATTCTGGAAAACAGTGTTTTGACTAGAAACTCCAAGGCTAAATATAAAAGTACACTGTATATAAACACTATATTCTAGTTGGTAAGTTTGTTTCTCCTGAGAGTAGAGCCTAAAAATTCTGAAACTGCTTTACACATATACTGAGGGTGAGTATATGAGTGCATGGATGCCTACATTTTTCTGGTTCTTTGTATGTCAAAACACTTTAGATTGTTTCCTGACATTTCAAATACGAAATTATATAGAATCTGGATCCTGTCACAATCATGTACAAAAATGTTGGTTTTGTTTTGGTTATGTTTCTTCACTTGTTTTGGCAGAGAATCATCCAATTTACCTTCAAATTGCGAATTCACTCATGCCTTCTGTGAGAAATGATTGCTATCAATCCTTAGTTAGGCTGCCTTGCATCTGAAAAACACAAGCTCCATTCCAAAATTTTTCTCAGACTTGGGTGGTGGCTAAAATCTCAGTGTGGGGGTGGGGGAACAACACACACTGGGGCCTGCGGGGCAGGTGGGGAGGGAGAGAATGAGGAAGAACAGCTAATGGATGCTGGGCTTAAAACCTAGGTGATGGGTTGATCTGTGCAGCAAACCACCATGGCACATGTTTACCTGTGTAACAAATCTGCACGTCCCGCACATGTACCTCAGAACTTAAAATAAATGCTGAAGATAGATAGATAAATAAATAAATAAATAAATAAAATGGTACAGCTACCCCCCTCCAAAAAAAAATCTCAGTTCAGATCTAAAACCTTCTGCTATGCTACTTTGGTTCTGTCCCTTGTGTAGTCAGAGGTGAGCATAAGATGTGTCAAGGATCATACATAAAACGAGGAATTATCATTTAGCTGTCTCTTTGAGATTTTCCTCATCATCTCTAGGCCTCACAGTGTACATTTCCTGATACCTCTGGCCAAGAAGATCAGATTCTTTCAGACACTTAGCTGCCCACACCAATGCTCTGCCATCCAGCCCTTGACTGGACCCTGCCCTCAGGCCAAAGTGATAAGAAACTGAGAGGAGAGAAAAAAAGAAACTTTCTTTTGTGTTGTTTCTCCATGTTTTGACACATATCCTTCCATTCTCACACTCCACCTGCTTTTATTAACTTTTCAGAAAAGAGAAATGAACTCTGACAATTGCCTTGAATAAGAAGTCAAGAAGAGGATTGAGAATAAACCAACAGAACTGAGAGGCTGAAGATTTGACGATCTTGACAATGGTGGTTTTGATGGTGATAAGACTGTTGGTTTAATAGTTTATATAAGATATGTTTATTTTGATTAAAATAATTTGAGTTTTATCATATCATTTCAATATATAATGCATTTCTTTCTTTTTCCTTAAATAGTTTAATGTTTATATACAAATTCCTTACTTTTATTATTAGGTGCACTTTGAAATTCTGAGACTTGAACTAAGTCACTATGACTTTGGAAAGCCTTAACTATGATAAAAAGCTTTTAGCACATATCTTTTTGTATCTTTTCCTTTTTACATCCTGCACTAAGTAAATTTTGTTTCTTTCTAAAATACAATTTTCCTAATGTTGTTTACAGTGTTTAGAAAAATAATGCCAAAGAGCAGCTACAATTAAAAATGAGAACAATGGTAAAACTTACCTTGATTTTCATTATGTCAAAGTCAGTACCATACACAGAAAATTAAGAATGATTAAATTGTTATTTGCTTTTTGTACAAAAGCGTTTCCTACTTAACTGATCTTCACATTGCCACTCTGATTTCAAGGGAGATAATTGAAGATTTCCAGTGCAATCCTGAGAGGTCCAAAACTTCTTGAACAAATGTGTGTCCATCGAAAAACCAGTATCAAGGACTCTGGGAATCTATTGGATAAAGCCCACCTCTGTAACTAAGTACATGTCCCCATTGTAGAATCATCAACCAGCATATTGAAATTGCTTCTTTCATGCCAGATAACAGGTTTTTTGCCAAGAAAGAAGACCCCGTGCAGTCATTGTTGTCTCCCCTTAACTCCTCTCCTGCTGTGAGTGTGGCTCAGAGCAGCTGCCTGTTCTTCCTAAACTCTGAGTCTATCAAATCATCCCAGGTATCCATCTGTACATCTGCTGCACTTATAGCAACAAAAGTTAGGGAATAAGGTTGATTATCTGCCAAAAACAAGTAAAGATATAATTTTGCTCTAGGACAAAATGTGTTTAGGACACAAACGATTTTTATTCTCTGGAAGCTCTCTGCTTTCCTCTCTCTACACAGCAATCCCTCCAGCCTGCCTCTTAATTAAACCACCATTTTGTAGCTGAGAGTAGGAGAAAAAACATAAAGTTCTTTATCAAAAAAGCACTCTGCTCTTTTCGTGATTCGCTACAGTCCTCATAAAAAAAATATATATAAGGAATGTTTTTGGACAGTATGTGACCAGTACAGGAGAGTTTAATACAATTAACTTAGATACACTTCCTGAAATTACTTGCTAAATCTGGATAATATAGTAAAATAATATTTTATGTCTGTGTTCCTCCTTAGTAGTATTTAAGTAACTTATATCATCCTATCTTATAATTCTGGAAACATCTATAACAATTTAAAATTAGAGAATTTGGGAAGTAAAACAAATAAGGATTTCACACAAGCAAAAGATATAATGCTGAAATTGAGAATTTGGTATGAAAAAAGTCTCTCTGTTTTCCTATATGATTGAAGTTATCTGAAATATGCTAGAGGCAACAGGCTAGGGTATAAGTAACAAATACCTCTATAACTATAAATTGCAAAATGTCTTTTTATTTCTTTACATTAAAAAGTATTGAAATAAAGAGAAACTCATTATGTGAACTTTAAGTAATATCTAAATGTAGACTATGATAATCAAAAGTCTTTCTTCACTATATATAACCACTCTTATCAGCAAAGGAAGGTAGTATTTACAGCTATGTATATATATTCTCATACTTTTTATTTTTGTTGTTAATTTAAAAATGTACATATAAATAAGGAATCATACTATAAACTTGTGACTTGTTTTTACATTTAATAGAATATCTTCAATAATATAAATAATTTTTATGACTGCATATATAATTATAATATTTTTGTGCATATACTTTGATCATATCTAAACTATTTTGTATAATACAATACTAGAAGTGGAAGTGACAATCAAAATTGCCTTTGACAATCTGTAATTATTTGCACACCTAGCAGCACCATTTGAGTGTGTCCTTTGCCAAATAGTTTTATAGTGAAATAATTTAATATTTCGATTATTGTGATTCATTTGCTTTTTCCTAGATTGTTTTAAAGTTAATTGTATTCTCATGCTTCTTTAGACTATTTTTAATTCTCCTGTGAATCACTTGTTCAGATATTTTTTCTTTAATTACTATTGCCATTTTAATATTATTATTATATTGATTTGTAGAAGTGTTATATATATAGTCTGCATATTTATCTTTGTATACATGTTATAAATACTGTGTTTCTTTTGAATCTACCACCTGTTTTTTTTTTAACATTTTGAGGATTAAAAGTTTCAAGTCATTAAGTTGTAATATATAAAAACACCAAATAATTTTAGTGCTTTTTTTGGATCTAATTTTTTTAGGAATATCATCTCCACTCTGAGGATATGCAAATATGTTCTATTTTATTTGGTATTTCTTCATTGTTTCAATTTTAAGATTTAGAATTTTAAATTTTCTAGCATTTAATTATTAATGTAGTTTTAGAGGGGTTGATATTTTTTAGTATAAAGTTCATATGGCCAGTCAATTATACCAGTACATTAGTTAAGTACATCAATTTGAAATGCCACAATTTTAATATTAAAAAATTTCCATTAATACCCATCTGTACTATCTTTCCTGCATTAATTCATTTGCTAATTCCACTTCCAATACCACTGTATTTAAATGTTTATCTTGATAAATGGAGGTTAATTCTCTTATTGTTTTTTCTAATGATTCCTAATATAAAAAGTTTATTTTGAATTATTTTCTAATTTTAAGTTTTTCTTAGTTTACTGCAGTAATACTAGACAAGTAATATTTTAAATAAGTATTTGAATTCTATTGAAATTTTTCTTTTACCACCTTTAGAATTGAATTATAAGCCATAATGTGTTCAAAGATAATAATATATTTTCAGTTATATAAAAGGAAATATTTGTTGTATGCTCCATTTTCTGCCTTAGAGAAAGACTGTATTTCCCCCAAGTGCTATATTAGTAAAGGATTTGAACATTAATGTCTTTTCCAATAACCTCTGGCATTTGCTTAATTTGCAGCTAGTAAACAAAATTATTTCATAGCAAATGGCAGGCTTTCCATTCAAACAATTCCTGAATTAGTGTTTCCTGTAATGTATTACATAGAACACTAGATATGGGCGGTTTCATCAAAATGAAGTTCCATTGCCATTGAATTCTGGGAAACTCTACAACATATATCTCATATACAATGTCGTTTGTGTCATTTTACTTATAAAACTACTCATGAACATTTCTAGACATATGTACATAAATACATGCTGCACTCTGTTTTCAATTATCTTAGTTTTAAGACCTGTTTTTATACCTATACAGCATTATTGTGTAATAAGTGTACGTGTGTGCCTTTGAGTATTCCAAATTTCTCCTATCACTTTAAATTGCATTTTTAACATATTTTTATTTCATTTACTTGGCTTAGCATAATTAAATACTAACAGGTCACTTTTTTATTATATACTACTTTTTTTCAAGGTGGGCTTTACTTGAGTTCTATGAAATAATGTTATATATTAATATGGAGAATTTTCTTCATATGATCAGTAATTTCATTATTTCCTTGCTTATTAGTTAATATTTTTACATTGCTTTGAGGTGTTATTTAAGAACTGTGAACATTTCTTAGAAAATTATATAATATGATTATAAGAATAGATGAAAAGTACTTTAAAAATAAATTATAATCTCCTTGTTTTACTTTCATTTTATACTCCCTCAGTTCTCTGTTCTGGATGCTTCAGTATTTTTTTGCATTTCAATGCTTGGTGATTATATTAAAAATAACAAAACCCAGGAGCTCTGTTGGCTGATAAGCAAACTGAACTTGCTTATCTCTTAAATTAATCAGATTTCATCAATCTGTGAGTATTCTTTCAAATTACAACTCAAGATGTGATACCTGCTTTAATCCAACCAATCTTCCCATGTTACAACCCACAAAAATTTGTACCTCCACTGTTATCAGCAAAAACTGTCTAAGCTTTTGCCTGTTCGGTTTTCTTGCCCTCTCTTTAATTACAATTTTCAAGCAAATACTTGTGAGCTCAAGGCCTCTTTCACAGCTCATGGCCATTCAATCTAGGATTAATTACTCAGGTGAATATAGTCCAATCTTTATTATGAGATTATATCCTGTTCTTTTGCACTAATTTTATGTAGCAAAATAGCCCTGGAATTTGTTCTTAAATTCAGGAGATTTATGATTTTCTTATTTTGTCTATATAGGAAAAATTAGCATTATTTCATGAAATACAGACTTCAATGTTTCTAAATTGAGAAAAGTTTAAAATTCATTAATTCATCTATTCTATAATGTCAGACAAAACAACATATTGAAACCTATCATTTTAAATATAATTCTTTCCTTAAAAAACAGTTAAGTGAAGCATTTACTTATCAGAAGTTTCATTATTGAACTTAAAGAATAGGGAAACTTCCAAAAACTTAAACACATTTTCAGGATATAGCTTACATACTGAGAACATTCTTCTTTATTTCTCTGATGATGTTAGTAGATAACAAAGCAGGAAAACTTCCATCAAAGTACAACACTATGTCCTTGGATATAACAAAAACAACAATAAAAGAAAATGATCACTTTCAAAATGGTAAATTGGCTTTTAAATATATTTTTAAAATCCATTGAAGTTTCTAAAATAGACAGGAATAAGATAAACAACGACCTGTAGGGAGAAAATCAAAGACCGACAGACACCACTGCTCTAATAGGTGCTGCTGCTGTTAACAAACCACCTGTATCCATCAAAAGTCGATTCAAAAAGATTGAAGGCGAGGTCTCAACCCTGATTGAAATGAAATGTCAGCAAGGATAAGAGAAGAAAGATGGAGATTGTATTAAAAAGAGAAACTATGTTCAGAAATAAGCTTTGGGACACACAAGAATCTAAAATGGCATCTATATCCAGCAGAGCAAATTCCCAGGGTACGGAGAACTAGGTTAGTTTGTCTTTTTGAAGCACTTGTTGAATTCTGAGTTGAATCTGAACATAAATGGATTTAAAAGAGAATCCTTTTTATTGATTTCCAAGGTAAGATGACATATGAGGAAGAGAAGTAGAAAGGAATAAAAATTGCTAAGGCTGTAAAAGCTTGTTACATTTTTTCTTTTTCAAGGTTCTCAGCATAAGTATAAATTATATACATTAATCTACTTTAAGAAATTGTGTACAGTATGCCAAACTGAGAAAACTGGCCATTTATTTCTTTGATTTTCTTCATGTCGGCCCCTGACATAGTACACACATCAGAAATTATAAAAGATCTAGGAATCCAAACTCATCACTAACACTCTAATTTGAACACAAAGACAAGAGTATTCATTCTTCAGGGAGGCGGTGTGTGTGATAGAATGAATATTGAATTAGTCTTGAAAGTCTAAAGTTTTACTTTCAGCTCTGACAATTCAGTCAATGTGATCTTGAAACATCTCACCCTACTAAACCTCACTCTACCCAGTTATAAAATGGAAAGAATAATCCCCGATTTTTCCTCACAAACTCAAAATCCTGAATAAAATGTTTAAGTTACGTGGAGGTGTGAAACACTACACATATGTGGCATGTCAATATTTCTACATGTGCAATGTGGAAAGTCTATCAACTTCTCACTATCTCTCATATAGTCAACCTTTCCTCCAGCCCACCTTGTAAGACATCTTAAAATGCCACTTCTTGATATATAATTATATAATATTAACCTCAGTCCTCATTTCAAATCCAAGTAAGACTCATGATAATCCTCTCTCCCCTATACCATCATCTTTGCATTTCTATTAGAATGATTTATCCTTAAATTTTCTTAATTATATTCCTTTTGGAATTAACTGATACCATTTTTTACGTCCAAACCAAATTCTTCGAAGTATTATTTAATTCAATTCATTCTCCCTTTCCATTCACTCATTCACAGCCTACATTTCCCATCATAAAAACAGCACAGAAGAGTCAACATAAGGAGGACAAGCTCAAATATTCTACTATATATACAAAAATATTATTTTTACTATCAGTTCTGTGTGAAAAATAAACAAAATATCATAAAGGATAATCATGGAATTTACCTATCTGAATTCAAAACAAATTTGCAGCAAATGAAAGTAACACAAGTATATACAATTAGCTCAAAGAATGGAAATAATCTGCTGATTAATAGCCAATAATAAACATATTTGTTAAACCATAATTTGCCAGTCATAAAATTCTTCTTTCTGTGGTTTAATCTTAGAATAAAATTGTGTTTATTAAAAAGCAAACTAACATAACTTACAATGTTAACTGGAATATAAAAATACTCTTCAGTGTTCATAGGCATAATGTTTAGAAAGAAATGAGGGCATTTCGTACCTAAAACTCAATTGTATTAATTAAAATGTGATGTTACGATGATCTTTTCAAAGTACAGTTGGTAAGATTTTTTTAAAATGTTGAATATAAACAGGTCATTAAAATAATAATAGCTTACTCATATTGTGTATTGCCATGCCCCATAAACTGTTTGAACCTCCTTTATGTGTATTGTCTTATAAAGTTTTCTAAACTTTGCTATTTATCATTATTACTGGATCATTCTAGCAAGCCAACAAATATATATATATTTATGTATGTATACAAACTGTTTATAAATTGGCTAAATGAATGTATACCTTACATTATTTAAAGAAATTGATGATAACCATATTTTCGCCATTACAAAATGATGGCAAAATTATTCTCATTGTCCAGGTAATTTTTCAAGTTACCCTTGCTTTTTCAAGGCAATAATATGACCAAAGACAGTCAAAATTACTTTCAGCTCTGAAATGGCCCCATTATTAGATACAAATTGTCCTCACACTTTGGCCAAGAACTATGTCTGCAGAGATTTAGCATGTGCCCTAGTTATATAAAGATGAACAATATCTCATTATGGGAATACTGTGCATACAGCAAAGGAAAATAACATAGTGTAGATAAGATAATGAGAACACAATCAAATACAATACTGAGCATAACAAAATGTTAGTTCTCCTTATCAGTTCTATACCAGGAGACTCAAACGAAATAGCATTGTCAAGTTAAAGCAACATGCATTTACAGGGGTGCTACATAATTCTACTATACTGTGTTCAGGTGCCCAGGTAGGAAAAGGGCTGGTCAATGCAGTGAGTTGTAAAAAAAAATATGAGGTCGGGAGGCTAACAATATATCAAGAGATGAATATGGTAGATAAACACTATATTTTCTTATTTAAACGCAAAATCCATAAACATTCAGTATTATTTCTACTAGAGTGTTCTTTAGGAAATTTTGATACTCTTCTCTCATAATGCAAATATTTGGGTCTTCAGAAATTCTTAGAAGTTCATGCCCACTATAAAAGACCATCTTTAATTTTACTTTTTCCTCGACATTACTAAAGCAGTATTACAACCACAATAAAGACAGATCATCAACAAAACCTTAAACACCTGGTTGACATTTCCCTCCAGACTGAAATAAAAGTAAACTTCCACAGATTCTATTATTTTTTTCCTCTTTCAGGGAATATCTGAAAAGAAGGAGGGCTAAAATGATATTATTTCAGACAATATTTTTTAAGTTGACAATAATTGTAACCATCATTCAGTATTTATCAAGGACCCATAATTATGCTGTGTGCTACATAATTACACAATCAATACCTCATGTGTTGCTTTTCTTTGTATTAACATCAAGTGCTCTCTGTGTATATGCTTTTTTAGTCAAGTTTTTTAAAAGTAGATGCAATCAATACTACTTTTCAAATTATACAGAAACACACATACACACAAAAGACACCTAAATAATCCCTAGCAAAGCCAAAAGTTAAAAATTCAAAATTCATTCAAATCTCTCTTCTAGGTTTAAAACCTGCAAAGAGGGATCAAAGCACAAGAGATCACATGTATCTAATCTAGTGGGAAGTAGGAGAAGTGTTAGAACTGTTATTTATGATCATTTTTCGAAAAAAGAAGGAAGTTGAGATTTGCTGCTATTGAACATACAGATTGCAGCTGATTTTTTAAAAATTTCATATGGGCAAGTGGACATTTGTTTTAAAATAGGCTATGGATACTGGGAGGAAAAAGGTTAGTTTTACAGCAGGCAAGCACTTAGAACCTCCACATTCATTTTCACTGCATTTAAGCTTATTGCAGTTTATATGTTCTAAATTAAGTAGTTTATAAATTATTTTATTTAGCTTTAACCAAACTGATCCTCATAAGATTGATAAGCAGCTTGAAAGTCTCTTCTCCCTCAAGCTTCAGTGAGTGTTGAGATAATGCCAAATATGCAAGCATAAGCAAAAAACAAAAATAACAGCATCAGCAGGTGAAAATAATTCTAATTTAATCAGCTATAAAATGAAGTTGTTCAAAAAATACAGAAGAATTTATTTAGAACACTATTTGAAATACAGATTTATATCCACTATTTAATGATAATATTACATTTGAAATTCATTTACTGCATTTTTCATAGGTCAGTTACGGCCCAAAAACGTTGCTGCAAGAAATACACATAAATGTCATTGATGAGTCTAATTGTATAAAGTCAACACTTCTAAACAATGTTTGTCTTTGTAGTAATTTGTTAAAATTTGAGGATTGACTAAGAAACTTTTCTTTTTCTGCACAGCTGATAGTTATCCAGAGAGAAGAGTAAATGACTACAAATTTTTCCTTTATGAAAGAAAAGAGGTTCAAATTTGTTGGTCTAGCATTAGTTTTCTGATAGATACAAATAAGATAGTATCTTTTCCACTGTATGCCACCCATCAGCTCTTGAAAAACAAAATATATTTAATTTATGCAACTAAGAAAAATGGGATGCTTTAACAAATAGAAGGCCAATGCTCTCATAAATAAATGTATGGTAGGCAAACTGTTTAGAAAATAGATATTTGGAGATGTTTCTTTGGTTATATTCTTTAGTTATTGGACATGACGTAAGTGAACTACCATTTAAAGAAACTAATCTCTGCACATGTAAAACATAAATAGCATACAAAAAGGAAACGAACGTTTCTAACTTGTTTCTTTTTTAAAAAAAACAAAATGTCTCAGAAGAAGACATTTATGCAGCCGACAGACACATGAAAAAATGCTCATCATCACTGGCCATCCAAGAAATGCAAATCAAAACCACAAAGAGATACCATCTCACACCAGTTAGAATGGTGATCATTAAAAAGTCAGGAAACAACAGGTGCTGGAGAGGATGTGGAGAAATAGGAACACTTACATTGGTGGTGGGACTATAACGTAGTTCAACCTTTGTGGAAGACAGTGTGGCGATTCCTCAAGGATCTAGAACTAGAAATACCATTCGACCCAGCCATCCCTTTACTGGGTATATACCCAAAGGATTATAAATCATGCTGCTATAAAGACACATGCACACGTATGTTGATTGCAGCACTATTCGCAATAGCAAAGACTTGGAACCAACCCAAATGTCCATCAATGATAGACTGGATTAAGAAAATGTGGTACATATACACCATGGAATACTATGCAGCCATTAAAAAAGGATGAGTTCATGTCCTTTGTAGGGACATGGATGAAGCTGGAAACCATCATTCTCAGCAAACTATTGCAAGGACAAAAAACCAAACACTGCATGTTCTCACTCATAGGTGGGAACTGAACAATAAGAACATGTGGACACAAGAAGGGGAACATCACACACCGGGGCCTGTCATGGGATGGGAGGATCGGGGAGGGATAGCATCAGGAGATATACCTAATGTAAATGACGAGTTAATGGGTGCAGCACACCAACATGGCACATGTATACATATGTAACAAACCTGCACATTGTGTACATGTACCCTAGAACTTAAAGTATAATAATAAAAAAAAATCTTCCAGAAACTTTAGGCTTTAAAACCATTTGTTAAAAACAAAAAGCAAGATATTGTCATTAGTTTGAAAAAATAATCGATTTGTAACAATAAATATATAGTTTTTCTGATGTAATTAAAACATAATATTGAATTCTTTGGAATTTTAACCAAAGTAAATCTTAATTAGTGAATGTGATGGGAAAATGATCAATGAGATAAAATTTGAACAACTATTCTTATGATTCTTCTATTTAGGCATTTCTATTTTGAGTTATCTTTTTCAGCACTGAGAGATATTTAAATTAAGTAATTAAAGAAACGAGTGAGAACCAGAGTTTAGTTAAACAAGTGTTAAGCAAAAATATTTGTATATTAGTGAAGCCCATTATTTAGAGTAACTCATGTGTTCATTTTATAAATAAACAAACACACATATATTGGAGAGGCATGTTCTATTTTAAAAGCTTTTGATCACTGAAAAACAGACTAATCTTTACAATGCTGATATTATTAAACAAGGGCTTTCAAAAGAAAGGGAGTAAGACGTAGGTTAAGAAAAAGACAAATTTCAGTAGGATAGAAACAAAAGAAGAGTCAAAGATTTCAGGGATTTAAGTAAAATAAGTGAAACTCACAGGTTAGAACTAGAAATTGAATAAAGGTTCACAAAAAAGGACAATAATGTTACTCGAAGCATTGTTTTATATAATTCTAATGACTCAATAGCCATGTGACCTAGATAACATTATCATTATTTTATATAGAAAGAAATTGAGTGAGCATAGGTAAATTACACAAAGTCACCAAACAAAGACTTTGTTAAAAAAAATGTTATCTTTTATATTTGCATTTTCTCTTAAGAGAAAACTTGCGAGGCTGAAGTGGGAGGATTGCTTCAGCTCCGAAGTTCAGGACTAGCCTGGGCAAAATAGCAAGACTGTTTCTCTATAAAAATAAACCTTAAATTTTAAACAAGAAAACTCAATTAACTACAAAAATTTTTGACTTTAACCATTTTAAATAAATAGAAGTATACAAAATGTATTATCCAGTAAGCACTCAACAAATGTTAAAATAATGAGGTTAAGATGTAAAAATAAATATAATGCTTATTAAATTGAATTAAAAGTAAAAAAATTAAAAGATAAATTATTAAAGACTGATACAGTTAAATAAATAATTTTATTGTAATTTATTTGGGTGGTACTAATAAATATTTTTTCAAATATTTTCTAAAATACAGTAAGTATCCTGCATATACACATTACTGAGAATCACTTCAAAGTAAAAACGTCATGTCCTCTATAGTGTCGTGCTTATTGTCTTTTTTTATACAAAGAATGACAAAAAGATTACCATCTTTGGAAAGCCATAGTGAATTTTATTTATTATTGGTTTTCATATAAGACCAAGGAAGTCTAAGATCATTTGTTTATTTTTAATTAGTAGGCAAATTGACTAAACATAATTGAACTTTGAAAATACACTTAAATCTGATTTTTGATTAGTAAAATCTTTCTCATCAATAATTTAACTAGTAAATTAATAAATCCCAAAGCATTTCTATTAAAATCTCATTAGCATGCCTACATTCTTTTTTCCCTGTAACTCCTGTTTAATTATAGGAAAGTCTTCCTTCAGATACAACCCAAGAGAAAATTTTTTTAAAAGTGGTTCCCTAGCCGAGATGAGATCAAACTAAAGGTCACATGAAATTGTACAGGAAGCCTAGGGAAAACTGTAAAGTGGTGGCATAAGACAGAGAAATTATCCCTGGGGAAATCGTCTTTCTCAGATCTGTGAATATACTGAATATGTCATGCTAGTTGAACTCACGTACACTTTCTTTTTCATGAAATAATTCTGAGATTAACTGCAAATCAACGAATGCCTTTTTTCCTCATTTTCTGTCACATTATGATTTTAATTGCTTCATATAATTTATTATTTAAACATAAACCACTCATCCTATTGTAGTCTTATGAAAAAGCATTCTAAGGTTCATCATTTTAATTAAAACTTTAATATACCTACTAATATCTACAAAGGAAAAAAAAGAAAATAAAAAAACACTATGAGATCAACCCTCCAGCCTTTTTTAGAATGGAACACTAAATATCACATCTTTATCTGACATATCTTAGGTTTTCTTGTTGGCCTCTGTCTTCAAATTACAGCCTTTCTTAGTTTCTTCTTCTCAGAAAAGTAATAGCCTGGTGCCTGATCAGTGAATGCAATCACACTTTGCTCTTAGATTTGTCCCTACCTGAACTGCTGAGTTGTGTATCATCATTCCAGCTACCTCTATATCAGCCTGACTGGTCGAAAAGCTCTAATGTAATTTGTTAGACCTCTCCTAAATCCAGCCTGCTATATCCAATCTTACACTGCAATTGAAGCCCTACACTTTTTTTTTAAACAAAATGATTCAGTCTTAGCATTAATCATTCGTATATTTTCTTCATTAATATAATAATTTTCCTCAAGTCATTCTGATAGTTTTCACAAAGTATTTTTATATGTAACATTTCAAAATACATAACTTCTACAAACATTCTTTAAAATATGTCCTGTAACTTTTGCCTATTTTCCAAGAGTAAAAAAGGAAGAAAAAGCGTCTTATAAAAATGAGATTTTTGCTTTTCAAAAATTTATCTTTACAATGTAAGTTATTTAATGGCTTCAAGATAGTTGCAAGAAAGCTTTCGTCTAAATTCTCAGTTATATATTAATGCTGTTTCCAGTAGTAGAATGTTAAAAATAAATGAATAAAATAAAATCAAGGTAAACATTTACTTTAAATGTGCAGAGTAGTTGACTTGCAACTGAAATAGTTATCAACTTAAGAACGTGAAGCAATATGGCTTAGTATAAACTTAAAGATACAAAAATTTTAAATATAAAATTCCCACGTGTAGTTATTTTTAAGCAAAATTGTATGTTTCTTTCACTTAAGCTGAATAAAATATTAACAGGTACATCGTCCCTACAGAGAACTCATAAATGTTCCTGTGTTGGCAATGCTTGGAACTGATTATTTATCAACTTCAGTTC
This sequence comes from Homo sapiens, assembly GCF_000001405.40. Classification (NCBI taxonomy): domain Eukaryota; kingdom Metazoa; phylum Chordata; class Mammalia; order Primates; family Hominidae; genus Homo; species Homo sapiens. Next base: position 67,477,041 of record NC_000013.11, on the reverse strand, counting down.
TTAAATTCATATTTCAATATCCTCTGGCTGAAAGAAATTCCCAAATTCATTCCTCTTTCACAATTGCTTAGTGAAACTGAAGGAACTTTACAAATTTCTTCTTCCTCTCAAAGCTGTAGATGATGTCTTGGATTTCTCAGCTATACAAGCCAAAAAATTCACCATTACCAATTTTTTTTTTTTTTTTTTTTTTTTTTTTTTTTTTTGAGACAGAGTCTTGCTCTGTCACCCAGGCTGGAGTGCAGTGGCGCGATCTCGGCTCACTGCAAGCTGCGCCCCCCAGGCTCATGCCATTCTCCTGCCTCAGCCTCCCAAGTAGCTGGGACTACAGGCGCCCGCCACCATGCCCAGCTAATTTTTTGTATTTTTAATACAGACGGGGTTTCACTGTGTTAGCCAGGATGGTCTCGATCTCCTGACCTCATGATCTGCCCGCCTTGGCCTCCCAAAATGCTGGGATTACAGGTGTGAGCCACCGCTTCCGGCCCACCATTACCACTTTTTTAAAAAAGATTAAACTAGTTTGAATTGTTTTTTTCCCACACACAAAGGGAAAAATCCTGTACATTAAATTGATAAAATATTTTATACTAGTCTGGGCATGGTGGCTCATGCCTGTAATCCCAGCACTTTGGGGCCAAGGCAGGTGGTTCACTTGAGGTCAGGAGTTTGAGACCAGCCTGGCCAACACGGTGAAACTCCGTTTCTACTAAAAATACAAAAATTTCTCCGGGCTAGTGGCGGGCACCTGTAGTCCCAGCTACTAGGGAGGGTGAGGCAGGAGAATTGCTTGGACCTGGGAGGTGGAGCTTGCAGTGAGCTGAGACCGCTCCACTGTACTTCAGTCTGGGCAACAGAGCAAGACTGCGTCTCAAAAAAAAAAAAAAATAAATAAATATATATATATATATATATATATATATATATATATATATATATAATACTTTAGTTTCCTATATGACACCCTTAATGTCTAAAGACATATTTCCTTAGAAAAATAAGGTCTCCTGTAGAATTTATACAAGATAGAATTATATATTATACAAAAATCCCTTTTGCAGTACCAGTACATGATAAGGTATGATCTGAGTAAAGGTTTGATGTTTGATTTTGTCTGATATTTTCTAAAGACCATATTACATAAAAATGCAACATTTAATTTATTACTTAACCACAGATCCAAATAGAGTAACATATTAGATTTGGGGGAAACCATGTAGATGATCTAGTACTATACCTAATGCAAGTGAAATATTATTTTAACATATGATATGGCAAGATATGAAGTGAATATTATAATGTTCCTGAAGAAGATCTTCCACCCTTTACTCAGGAAATTTAAGTAATTGGGTATAACTATGTTGTGGAGAAGCAATTACTTTTGGAAAGTTATGATTATTTGAGAGTGTTTTTACCTATTGAACTTGTAACAATTTTTTCTTTATAACTTTTCTTTATATCTTTCATGTATTGGTTCTCTAATCTCTTCAGAAGTGGTTTTTAGCTGTTTAAATATATGGTTCACTCATACACCTCCATACTCTTCCCATTTTCCTCTGTCTCTGGGATTCTTTTCCACCCACTGAAAAATTTCATCCATACCTACCTGTGATAAAATCCTTTTATTCATTCTTCAAGTCCCCCAGGTTCATATATGTACTCTTCTCAAGACTTCACCTTCTCTGCTCCATGCCAAGAGAAACTAACCCTATGTCTTCCATATGGTCCGTTTCTGCAAGGTTCTCATAGTTTCTGTCTTATAGTTTCTATTCATTCTTTCTTATTCAGAATAAATAATAGAACAATTATAATCTACGGCCTTTAAAATGGATTAAAACTTAAATTAACTAACATTCTATATTTTGTAGAAACATTTTCTAATGGTTAAAGTTCTTTCAGGATGTAGGGAGCATGAACAGGTAGTCTTTTATATAAAGGTGCCTTATTGCAAGAATATTGAAAAATATTAGGAGAAAGAGAGCAATCTCCACATTTCCTCTCTTAAGCATCATGGATATCAGGAGCCATATTTGAGAAAATTCAGCAGCTTTAGGGACAAATGGCAGGGTTATCATATGTACAAATCCAGGGACTATTTGCTTCCTTCCCAAGTCCCTTACACTGATGAATCCACTCATTACTATTGATTTTCTGCTTCTATTCCTTTTCAACTTTCTATGTCTGTCATAGTGAGAAAAAGAATATCATTGGTTGAGTTAACCACTTTTTGATCTGTCAATATACAGTTCCCTTGTCAAGCAGAGTTCTCCTATCAGGTTACTGCAGAAACCACAGCTCTTAATATTCAGAATATATATGGTTGCCTTTGGAAGGACCCAATTCCTGTCAGAGCAACTGCAACAGAATCATGCAACAAAAAAGCATGAAAACATGCATGCAAAATCATTGGCTGTTTTACTCTGGAGAATGATGAGGAGATGACATGGTATCCCAAGTTTCATGTGATAACAAAACATATTCATAACTTTTATATTTCCTTTATGTTGAATTACAGTTTCAGACTAAAGTAAATCATTATTAGCCAATTTTAATTTTTCCAGGCATCACAATTGTCTTGAATTAAGCTCTCTTAATTGGCCATAGTTACTTTAAGTGGTAGTATAATATCTTTACAAAAAAAAAAAACAACAGAAATAGTCACAATTATCCAACCGCTCAATTCTCTATGAAGGGCTCAGACAAGAAGACTCCTTGGTATGAATATGCTTACCTTGCATATATTTAGCTATTTAAGACAAAATAACACTAGTTTTTTTTTTTTTTTTTTTTTTTTGTCGGCATGATTCATCATAAAGGTTTTCATTGTTCCTCATTGTTCCGAGGCTGGTAAAAACAAGAAGGATAGAGTTTCATCTTAGGATATCATCATGATGGTATGATTAAATTCCAACTATATTATTTCCAGACTATGTACAAAATTCAGGCTATTTATAATATCCTCTTGATTATTTTCTGTAGCAGCATAACAATATTAACGCCGTCCTCAAGTCACCAGAAATTAGGACTCTATGTCATGCTGCTTTTTCTGTCATAATACCAAAAATAGAACAGAAAATCTAACTAATATTGTTTTTAAAATTTCTCTTAGGGAGACAATTTTTAACATATCAAAACTTTCTTCTTTCTAGATACTGCTGCTGAAGATATCTGATCTTTCTGTATGCTTATAAAACCAAACAAACTAAGAGGAAAAAACAAAGAAACACCTAGAGTGAACATGTGGTTAAATCTTCCTTCTCTTTAAATTCCAAATGTCCAAATTACTAATTTGCAAATAATTGTAAGAATACAACACTCATGCCTTATTTATATGTTTTCTCTTTTTAATATAAACAGGAGGAAGATCAATTTTTATCGTAGGTATTAATTTAGTTACCATTAACCTCTTTATAGTGCTTAATCCTCCTTCTAGTTGGCCATGTAAAAAGTACATATCGCAGTTATATTACATTATCTATAGTTACTCTTACTCTACCTGAACACTATAAAGGTATTTTTAGTGTTCTCTGTATTTAGCCTGCTTGTTTTTCTGAATATAGGTTGCTGCTCCTGTTTTACGTAGAAGATTTAAAATACATAAAAATAAACTGTTGAGTATAAAAACTTTTCATACACTGTAAATTACCACAGCATATTGAAACCTCATTTGTAGCTTTCTTTCTTAGGTGTTATTAGTGTTGTAAATGTGTTTGCATAATAAAGAAGGCTGAGTGGCATGAAGAATCATCCTCTGACCTGTGTATTCATAGATTAAGGTCCCCATCCAACATGGAAGTAACAGTAGAATAGTAACAGACTGCAGAATGAAATCAAAAGCTCTACGAATTGAGTGAATTCCACATTTATAAAAAGGAAATCTGAACAATTGCCAGATCGATTATTAATCTCTTCATGCATATTTTACAATCTTTTGGTCGATGTTGTCTTTCATTTATTTAGCTTTTATTGTTTATTTTGTAATTGGATGTGGAAGAAGAAAGAACAATCTGATGGGTAGGTATGAACACAGTGTATGCTGCAAGTCAGTGGAAGTTTCTACTCTACACATGCCCTATTTACACTCAACTATATCCTCTTCAAGCAACATGGCTGGAAATTTGTGATCCTATATTTAATCAGATGGGAAGTACAGACAGCTCAATATCAAAATTCCTTTCAGCTAATGTGGAAAAATCTCATAAAATTTACTAGTACAGAAATATGAGAGAATATATAAAAATGACCGATAGGAAATAGCTGTAACAATGCTTGTTATTTCTTGATTGTCAGTGAAATAGTTCAGAATCATTGAGAATAAATACTGAATATAAGATATTATCCATAACCAACATCATCATCATCATTATTATTATCATAAAATTTGTTCTAACTCACTGGCACAGTCTTACACAGTAAAAAATAATACTTTATTCAGCTGTTATTGTATGCGGGTTATTAAGTGATAAGGATAAAAAATGCACAAAAGAAAGTTAAAGAATTAAAGATAAGTTAAAAAATAGGTAATGGAGGAATCAAGAAAAGATAGTTCTCTAATGGTTTCTATATAATACATAGACTTTTGATAAAGGATTAATTTTTCAGATCATGAACCATTACTTTATATATAAAATGCCAAAAACTTGTTCAACTGATTTTGCCAGTTTGTTTGTTGTTTGTTTGATGTAACTGACAGAATATACCATATATTTTCCCCGTCATTTAAATACACTCATAAAGTGGCTCTAAATTGCACAGTGCTTGCCTTGTTGAATTTTTGCTCACTCCCACAAAATGACACAATAGTGACAGTCTGGCCATAAATACATTGCTGAAGAAATCTGAGAATATGTGTATTCAATACTAACCCAGCTTTTAAAAATAAACAGTAAGCACTTAAACTCCAATTCTTATATTAATATTCCTAGCACAGCCCTTTGAATAAATAATATCTAAAATTTACTTCCGCACTATTTTGGAAAGTATATGGCTGATATGCCACACATTATTTGCAGTATACCATGACCTGAATATGAAAATAATTTACTGAGATAAATAAAAACATGGAACTATTGGAACTTACTGAATACCCCTTAAATGCTACCTTGTAATTACTATCTAATAATCATAAGTATATGACAAAAAATATTTGAGGAGCAATATATATTCATAAGAGTGGGTACTACTGAAAGTCTTTATCAAAGTATTCAATAAACTAAAACTTCATGTCAAAATATTTACATCTGTAGTTTATAACAACAGGTAATATATGCTCAAACACACATTTAAAAAGAAGCCAATGAAGGACTAGAGAGGAGCTTCAAGATGGCTGACTGGATACACCTGGTAGACAATCTCCCTTCAAATAGATCATTTAAGAGTCAACAACAGAGAAGTTGTAGGAAATACCAAAAGCAAGGAAGAAGAAGAAAGCAAAGCAACTTGCCTAGCTGGGATTGGCTGGGAGCCTCTTGAGGTTCTAAAATGTGGGAGAAGTTTAAGTGAGAGACCCCAGTGGTCCACATTTCCACTACAGACTCCTGCAATCCTAGCATGGTAGAGCCTTTCAACTATCAGAGGCTCTCAGACTAACATAGGGAGCTGCCTAGAGACTGTACAACAATATTGCTCTAAAGACAGAGCACACTGAGTCCCACAAGACTCTGAATCCTAAGCAGCTACAGCCTGGCACCATTTTGAGAACCCAGCTCCCACCAGACTGCATCCTGCTTAAAAGCCCAACAATCCCTGCATCTTCACATCCCTGGGGTCCCATTGACATTTCTTGGCTGCAGTCACTGCAGCCGGGGCTGAGATGGGAGCCACTGTCAGCAAGCCTGCCCACTCCAGCAGAGAGGCAGCCACATATTTTCATGCCCCCAAAGAAAAATTCTACTACCATTACCACAGGCTGCCATGGGGCTGAAGTGTGAGTGAAGCATGTTAATCTTAGTCACTTACCTATGACTGCTCCCAATGAAAACAACACCACACTCCCCAGTAGCAAGGCCACAGCCCAACTGTTTTTGCCCCGACTTGACCATTCCTATAGCAGTCAGGAGATCACCCCATCTGTCTCTACCACTGCCAGCATCTGCATGTACCACAGGGTGCTGGAGTGGTGGGCTGTTGAGGGAAGGCTCATCTGGCCTGGGTCTGCCCTCCCAGTGCCTCAACACAATGTCCAGAGTTTGGGGGGTCATTCAGACCATTCCACTATCATTGGCAAATGAGCACTCCTTCCAGGGTTTAAGCTTGGGTCCACTCAACCTATTGCTACCATCATACCTGGCACTCACACAAATGAATTATCTGTGGGCTTGGGGACTGGCCTGCACAGTCCATTGTAGCCACCAACAATACCTGTGTGGACTGCTTGGGATCAGAGGGTTGTACTACCACTGCTGCTGCCACTGCCTACACCAGACCTGCTTCCCTGGGACCTGAGAACCTGCCTACTCACTCAGGCAATTGCTGTCATTTTTGACATCTAAGCAAGCCACATGGAGGCTCAAGAATCAGCCTGTCTGGACCCATTAGCAGCAGTTCCAGCATATGCCATCCAGGGCTTCAAGTACAGGCACATTCAGTCTACCACTGCCACCACTGGGACCCAAAGACTGGCCCAACTGGCATCCTAGTACCCAGCAAAACTTCACCACAACCTCCTGTAACAACCGCAGCCTAACTCACCAAGGAAAGCACAGATACGAATGATGTTGTTTATAGCTGAAGATATCATACAAAGACTGTACTACTGGAAAAACCCAGAATCAAAGCCAAAGTGTACTACCCAACCAACACCATAGATACGTATTCAGGAAAATGTCCTCCACTTTGAAAACACATTTAAACAATTAGAAGAAGTGATTATTACAACAGGTATGCAGATATCAATGTGAGAACAACAGGAAACATGAAAGGTTAAGGAAATATGACACTTCCAAAGGAACACAATCACACTCCAATGACAAATACTAAACAAAAAGAAATTTACAAAAAATCTCAGAAAAAGAATTAAAAATATTGATGTTAAAGAAGTTCAGTGAGATACAAGAGGATGCTGAAAAACAATACCAAAAAAATCAGAAAAACAATTCAGGATATCGATCAGGAATTGACCAAAGAGACAGAAATTATTTTTAAAAAGGACAAGAATTGTGGAAATAAAGAATTCATTGAATAAAATACAAAATACATTTGAAAGCTCAACGATAGACTAGATCAACTAGAACAAAGAACCTCAAAACTTAGAGAAAAATTTTTTGAAATAACCCATCAGGCAAAAAAAAATTAAATGAATAAAAAAGAATAAGCAAAGCCCATATTACATATAGAACCCCATAAAGCAACCAAACGTTCAAATGTTCAGTCACCCAGAAGGTGAAGAGAAAATAAAACAGTTAGGAAACCTATTCAACTAAATAATGTATGAAAACTTCTCAAGTCTAGCAGGAGATTTAAATATCAAGATAAAGGAAGCTAAGAAATTCCCAACTAGATATATTTCAAAATCATCTTCTCCATGACCCATTATAATCAAACTATCTAATGTCAAACACAGAGAAATCTAAAACCAGCAAGAGAAAAATGTGTAGTCACTTATAAAGGAACCCCCATTAAACTAAATGGATTTCTCAGCAGAAACCTTACAGCCCAAGGCAGAATGGGATGATATATTCCAAGTGCTAAAAAAGAAAAAAAAATGCTAGCCAAGGATACCATACCAGCAAAGTTATCCTTCATAAATGAAGGAGAAATAGTCTTTCCCAGATAAGCAAAAGCAGAGAGAATGTATCAACACTAGTCCAGTCCTACAAAAAGTGTTTAAGGAACTCCTATGCTTAGAAAAGAAAGAACAGTATCTACTATCATAAAAACACATAAAATATAAGAACTAATAATAGAGCAAACATGCAAACAAGGAATAGTAAAGAATCAAATGTTACCACTAGAAAACACCACCAAACCACAATGATAACAATAAGAGAAAGAAAAAAAAGATGTGCAAAACAACCAGAAATCAATTAATAAAATGGTAGAAAGAAGCCTTCACATGTCAATAATAACCTTGTAGGTAAACAGATTAAACTTTACCCTTAAAAGACATAGACTGACAGAATGGGTGTAAAAACATTACTCAACTACATGCTGTCTACAAAAAACTTATCTCACTTGTAAAAATCACATACAGACTAAAACTCAAGGGATGGAAAAGATATTACATGCAAATGAAAACCAAAAGCTAATAGGATTAGCTATACTTATATCAGATAAAACACTTTAAGTCAAAAACAGTTAAAAGAGAAAAAGGAGGTCATTACATAATGGTAAAGGAATCAATTTAGCAAGATGTTATAACAATTCTAAACCTATGTGCACGTACCACTGGAATATCCAGATATATAAAGCAAATATTATCAGATATAAAGGGGGAGATAGACTCCAATATAGCAATACTTGGGAACCTCAACACCCCATTCTCAGCATTAGACAGATAACCTACACAGAAAACTAACAAAGAAACGTTGAATTTTAACTTCACATTAGACAGAATAAACCAAACATAGAATTACAGAACATTTCCACCAACAGCTACAGAATACACATTCTTCTCAACAGAACAGGGAACATTTTCAGGATGGACCATATGTTAGCACACACAAAAGAAAACTCACCAAATTATTTAAAATCAAAATCACATCAAGTATCTTCTCAGAACACAATGGAACAAAACTATAAAGCAATAACAAGAGAAACACTGGAAATTTTACAAGTACACAAAAAATAAGTAACATGTCCCAAAATAACTATTGGGTCAAAGAAGAAATTAGGGAGCAAATCAATAAAGTTCTTGAAACAAGTGAAAATCTAAACACAACATACCAAAACCTATGGGACATATCAAAAGCAGTGCTAAGAGGGAAGTTTTTAACAATAAATTCCTAAGTCAAGAAAGTAGAAAAATTTCAAATAAACAATCTAATAACACAACTCAAAGAACTAGAAAAGCAAAACCCAAACCCCAAATAAGCAGAAGAAAGGATAAAATAAAGAAAATTACAGGCCAATATCTCTGAAGAAAATAGATGCAAAAATTCTCAACAAAATACTAGCAAAGTGAATCCAATAGCACATCAAAAAAAAATAATAATAATACATGATCAACTGTGATATATCCCAGAAATGCAATACCCAACCCTACCCACAGAGAGGGGATCAAATTAAATTCCAATTTTATATTAATTCTTTTCCAGATTGGGAAGGAACTGCAGGTCAGTGATTACGTGCAGAGGGAGAATATGACCCTTCCTAGGTGCAGCTGTACAGTGGTGACTCCACCAAACTTCAGTGTTTTTCTTAAGGCTACTCTCGGCCAGGAGGCAATATCAAGTCCACACATGTCTGTGGAGCAGAACCTCTTTGGCCCTATTTACTCTCTGAGGCTGAGCAACAACCCCAGAGACCTCACTCAGCCTTAGAGTCTATTACACAGCCCTGCTCAACCACAGGGCTTCAAACAACAGTACTGCCCAGATTTCAAACAACAGTACTGCCCAGTCAAAAATAAAGAGCTACAACCCTACCCAATTAGAGACAACCGCAGAGTCCAACCAGAAGCTCCACCTGATGGCAGAGTCCAGTCAGTCATTTCACTGGACCACAGAGTACAGCCAGCAATACCATTTAACTTCAGAGCACAGGAAGCAACCCAGCCCAACTAAAGAAACTGACACCATGGTCTGCCTCTCTGGTGTTGCTACAAGCCAGCATATCCATAATCTCAGGTTAGACCAAGTAGTAGTGGTCTACCACCACCACTAAAGAACATGCACAAAGGCTGGAAGAAGTGGCCATCTCCTTAAATGTGCAGGTGATACAGGAGCTAAAAAGAAATTAGTTAGGCAGTTAGTGAGGGTAAGAGAATCCTCTGTAATGCTTCACTTTTAACAAAAAGCAGCCCCCAAATCATTTCTTTTCTAAGGAAGAGCAGCCCGTAAAATCAAGCAACAGACATAAAGAAGCGAGCTGGAAGCTTGCATAGGCAAATGCAGGCAGCTGTGCCAATAGGAAAAGGCTACCTGGGTGCCAGGCATGTTCAACATGAAGGATTCCTCTTACCTTTTCTTTGTCGCCACATGTGCAGTAAAAAGTCAGGAAACGTGGCACAGTCCAGGTAAAGACCCCATCTGCATAATAGAAGATTAGGGCGGGATGGCCAGCTTCTTTGCACGCTATGCAAATGTCTCACCTGGTCTGACCAATCTCTTGGACCCTATGTAAATCAGACACCACCTCCTCAAGCTCGTCTATAAAACTCTGTGCATTTCACCACAAAACCAGAAGAACCACTTGGGAGTCCCTCTCTCTCCGGAGGAAAGAGAGCTTTTCTCTTTTCCAACATCCATTAAACCTCCACTTTTAAACTCACACCTTGTGGGTCCGTGTTCTCAATTTTCTTGGCATGAAGCAGCGAACCTCGAGTATTACCCCAGACAAACAACTCCGCTGTCTAGGCATTAATGTAAGGAAATAAGGATTATTTAAAAAGTGTAACTATACTTATATCACACAAAATATACTTTAGGTTAAAAACTATAAAAAAGACAAGGAAGGTTATTACATAATAATAAAGGGGTTAATTAATATCCTGATTTCAAAACATATAATGAAGCAATTGTAATCAAGACAGCATGTTACTGGCATAAAAACAAACACATTGACAAATGGAACAGGATAGAAACCCTAGAATAAATCTATGCATTTATGGTCAACTGATTTTCTTACAAAGGTGCCAGGAACACACAACAGGGAATGGACAATTCCTTCAATAAGTAGTGCTGTGAAAACTGGATATCCACATGCAGAAGAATGAAATTAGACCTTTATCTTCCAAAATGTACAAAAATAAACTCAAAATGAATGAAATACTTAAATATTGAGATCTGAAACTATAAAATTAGTACAAAATATAGGGGGAAAACCTCACAACATGGGTCTGGGCAATAATTTTTTTATGTGACCCCAAAGCATAGTCAACAAAAGCAAAAATAGAAAAATGGGACTGCATCAAACTGAAAACCTTCCGCACAGCAAATAATCAACAGAGCGAACAGATAACTCACAGAATGGGAAAAAATATTTTCAAATAATGCATCTAATAAGGGGTTAATATACAAAATATATAAGGAACTCAAACATTTCAAAGCAAGAAAACATAAAACCCAATTTTAGAAAATGAGCAAACGACTAAAACAGACATTTCTCAAAAAAGATGTACAAATAGCCAACAGGTACATGAAAAAATGCTCAGCATCATTAGGAAAATGCAAATTAAAACCACCAGGAGCTATCGCCTCACACCTGTTAGAATGGCTTTTATCAAAAAGATGAAATATAAGTTTTGGAGAGGGTGTGGGGACAAGGGAACACTCGTACATTGTTGTTGATTCTGTAAATTAGTACCGCCACTATGGAATATGGTATGAATATTCCTTAAAAAGTAAAAATAGAACTTTTGTAAGACCCAGTAACCCTACTTCTCAGGATATATCCAAAGAAGATAAAATCAGCATATTTGATGAGATGTTTGCACTCCTATGTTCATTGTAGCATTATTCACGATAGACAAGATATGAAAACAGCTTAAGTATTCATCAACCAATGAATGGATAAAGAAAATGTAATATATACACAATGGAATATTGTTCAGCCTTAAAAAGGGGGGAAATTCTGTCATTTTTGACAATATGGATGAATCTGGAGGACACTATGCTATGTGAAATAAGCAAGGCACAGAGAGACAAATACTGGAGGATCTCACTCAAATTTGGAATTTAATAAAGTTGAACTCATAGAAGTAGAAAGTAGAATGAAGGTTAGTGGAGGCTTAGGGAGTGGGGAGAAGTGAAGAAAGGATTGGGGAGTTATTGATCAGAGGGAACAAAATTTCAGACAGGAGGAATAGGTTTTGAGATCTGTTGCACAGCAGGATGGCTACAGCCAATAATAACATGTATTTCAAAATAACTAAGAGTACATTTCAAAAGTCTCACCATAAAAAAAAAAAAGATGAGTAAGTGTGGAGAGGGACATGTGAAATAGCTTGATTTAATCTAACATTGTACAAATATATCAAAACATCACATTGTATCCCATAAGAAATACAATTATGATTTGCTAATGTAAAATAATGGTAATCATAAATTTAAAATTCATTAAAAAAATTAACAGTGTACATAAAAGTGAAAAATTATTCACATGTCCCTGTTTCTTTAGCATGAGAACACAGATGTTTCCAATTAAAATTTGAGAATTTTTTTAGTTTACTTGTCATACTTGAAATAAAAAAAAGGAATAAGACTGTCAGATTATTTGTAAATCCACAGTATTCTACAGTCAAATTAATTTGTTTCAGTGTGGGAGGCATGCACATTATTGCTTTTTATTGTAGTCATCATTTATTGTATCTGTGAATGTAAATTGTATGTGTGTGAGGAGTGAAGGGGTTCAGGGTATGAACCTCATATTTAAGGGACAGAAACAAAGAAAGTACCTTTAATTAATACCTCAAGCAGCCCCTTCTTTGTAGCTCTGGAAACACGCTACAACTCTCTTGGTACTGATAATGTTGGCACAAGTAAAATCAGGAGTCCCGAGGTAATCTTAAAACCTCTGGCCTTGAATAGTCGTAGATTCAAGAATAGAAGCACTTGTGTAGCCATGCACTCTACAACCAAGTGTGCTGTTTTGGAAAAGCACACAGAATGAATTGTATTATTCCACAGCAACAAGAAGTTAGCAATTTTAAATGACACTTGACCTAAATAATAATCTTCGTGATTGTATAATCTCACAGCAGGAACTCAGAAGTTTATTCATCTTCCTCTTTTAAAAAAATGCTTCTGTACGGAATAGACTGGTTTGGACAACTAAAATATTTTCAACGTTATAAACATAAGCCCTTTATATAAACTGTCTTCTGGTGAATAATATGCCTAAATATCTAGCAAGGTGAGGAGAGAAAAAATGTATCTGAAAACTGCTATCCTCCTTTATCTCTTGAAACCATATTCTTTATCTGACATAGTAGGAAGTCTACGTCAGATATGACAGCAAAGCCCAATAAATTGAAGAGAGTATGGAGAATTGGGATGACTTGTTACAGTCTCAGCTCTGACAGTGTTACCATTTCTTTTCAGTTTTAACATCTACACAAAGAAGAAAATCAGGAAATCATGAAAAAGGATGGTGTGAATATTGCACCTGAAAATTGTGCAGTACAAGTGCCAATCCTATAAACCAGAGTTGTATCTTTCTGTGGACTGTTACAACCTACAGAATAAAGTGCTTTATAAAAAATAAACAAATGTCCTATTTTTAAAAAACATAGTCACTGCCATAAACTGGAGCTTCCAATCACCATGGAAAATAATTACGTATTAGTGAGGGCACTTGAATTCAAGTAAAAGCAAAGAAAATTGAAATTCTAATTGTTCTGAGCAGCCTTACATAAGGAAAAAGAAATCTTTTCAATTGATATTTCCTACTTAAGGTGGACAGTCTTCAATTTGTAGCTTCCAAGACTACAATGAGGATTGAGACCTGAGATTAGGAACTTGGAAATGACCTCTATAGATGATTACCAATATTCATAGGGCTATTTTTAAGGTATCATTTTTATTCCTGTCTTCCTAAGTAATCACACTAGTAACAAAAAAGTTTTAAAGATCAAAATGATTACATCACCAAACATTAAAATATTTTAATAGGGTAAGATAATAGTAATATATTTTTGACCTCATGTATTAAATCTTTGCCAGAGATTAAGTCTATGAATGTGGTTATCTGTGGAGGTAATGAGAAAATCCAAATAGATTATTATTACATCTTTATTCATTCCAGAAATAAAATTTAATATTTAATACATGTCTACATCTTACTAATTAAGTAAAGATTTTTCTGTTTAACTGTAACACTTTAATTTGCATGTTGTGCTGAATTTGGGAAGGAGGCAATGCTTTGGAAACACAATGTCTCTAAATGTGTTCTTAGATTCCAACTCTAAAATAGAGTGTTCACTTTTTCAATTTTACATACTGTTTCTGTCTCATTTAGTGCAGAAACCTGTGTTTCAGCCTGCATTACAGGAGCTGCACAGTTATAACTCCAAAAATGCTCGTCGTTGGTTCTTTAAAACAAGTTGTAGGTGAGATGGATAACATGCGAAACATACTAGTTGATGCTTAATGATACCTAAACCATCGGATATGTGTGTTTTAATGTTTTGTATCATTGAACCACTCCTAGTTTACCTAAAACTAAAATATAACTAGTTATATTACTTTCACATTTCAAGCATTCTATTGAAAAAAAATTATAATTTACTAACTTTGAAAATATTTGAAAAGTATTGAGATATCAACATTGACATTTTTTTCACTTAGGAGTATTTACCAAATACTAACTAAACACTGCTATAAGAACATATTGTGGATTTAAAGTTTGGTAATAATGACAAAACAGTTATGCAAAGGATTCATGAATAAGCCTATACACAAGATTGGGCTCTACTCATTTATGCCTCCCTCATTCTTCATGGAGGCATGCAGAGATACCCTTGATCGAATAAATCTCATGTAAAGTCTAAGGTCAGAGCTGCCAAGAAACTGTGGATTTTCTTATTTTATACTAGGTAAGATCATCAAATTACAACCCAAAGGCCAAATCTGGCCCACCACCTGTTTTTGTAAATAAAGTTTTATTGAAACACAGCCATGTTTATTCATTTACATATTGTTTATGGCTGCTTTGACCCTATAACAGCACAACTTAGTAGTTCCAATAGTGACTTTATGGTCCACAAAGCCTAAAATATTTACCATCTAGTCCTTTATATAAAATGTTTTCTGGCATCTATTTTATATCACTAAACCAAGGAAGTACCATACTGGAGCTTAATGGTCTATTTCCTAGCACCTAAGGCAAATTCTTGCTATGTTACAATCACATCATTCTCTTTCTATCTCATTCTCTGCCTTCAGGCCCAGAGGTTGTTGAGCTATATAGTCCACTAAAATTTATCCCTTTAGCTGGGATCATGATATCCATCCCTCAATCCTCCCTAATCTCAAACAACTCTCACTGATACATGAAGATGTTACTTTTTAAACATAGCAACAGCGTATCCAAAAAAAAGTGTCAAATAAAAGCAGATGATATTAATTTTCATAAGATTCCTATTTGGAGAAACCTACAAATCCAATTTAGTTTTGCAGCTTTTAAGGCAGCTGAAGTGCTTAACAGCATACTTCTTAATTTTAAAGCTTGAACTATTTAGCCTGTGCCTGACAAGCATTTCTTTTAGTTTTCATAAATTATCCATTCACTTTTTGTCTTTTAATTGTTACATCAACCATGAGTGATGGTAATTGTTATTTTTTTTAACATACAAGGAAACAAACAAAAACACATAGGCAACTTGTCTAAGATAACAATGGTTGTTTCTTTTTTTTTTTCTTTATTCAACTTTCATTCTCATAAAGCCTATGTAACCTATGGATAATATCCTCCTGAAAGTTCTATTAATAGTATTTCTCGAATAGCCTAATCTAATGTTATACTATAAGACATTATAGCACTAACATCTGGATTGTCCTGCTATGATATATCCCACTGACCATTTGTATCCTCTGAAAATTCAAAACCCATTTAGTACAACCTCTTATAGTCATCTGATTTCACCAGAGCTCTTTGAGAGGACCAATCCTTTGGACATATCCATTACAATGTTCCACTTCTAATACTCTCCACAGGTATAACTTCATTATTTGACACCTAATAAATCACATTTTCCAAGCCTGATTTTATCAAATTTTTGAATATGAATGAGATAACAATTTTTACTTTCCCGTTTTATTTCTGATCCGGTAACACTTGGCCCCCTTTCTAGCTTAAAGTCCATTGTCAATCAATTTATCCTTGGCTTTTTTTTTCTGAGGTAAGAAATCTAAAGCCAGGCAAATTTGTCTTTGTACTCAAGAAATATCACATAATATTTAAGATTGCACCATCTAGAGTCAAATAACCTCCACCTGAATTCAAAATGACTGAGTAACTCTGGTCCTCAGCTCTCTTATTTAAAGCAGAGTTATTAATAGCTACCAAATACAATTGTGGTAAAGATGAATTGAAATGAGCGTCATGTGCTTTATGGAGCCTAGTAAATATGCGCATCCTTCACACGCTCTGAATCAAATGAGCTAATTATGAGGAAGCACTTAGCCAGGGATGCCACATAGTGAGCACTCAATAAATATCTGAATACTACTACAAGTAATAATAATAATAATCTGCATTATGGAGAACACAACATTTCTCCCACCAGATTGTTCTCAAGGTGGGTGATGAGTTCTATGAAGTAGCCTTCACAGTGTTTGGCTCATGGTAGGTGCTCAATAATTATCGGTCATTATTGACATCTTAATACCCTAACATCTCTTGACTCTTAATACATTTTGTTCATTAACTAATATAGTTCAAGTCCACAAAAACACACACTGTCTTCCTGGGATTTTTTTTTTTTCCTAAGAATTATAGGGCCAGACGCGGTGGCTCACACCTGTAATCCTAGCACTTTGGGAGACCGACGCGGGCGGATTGCCGAAGCTCAGGAGTTCGATACCAGCCTGGGCAACACGGTGAAACCCCGTCTCTACTAAAATATGAAAAATTAGCCTGGCATGGTGGCGGGCACCTGTAGACCCAGCTACTTGGGAGGCCGAGGCAGGAGAATTGCTTGAATCGGGGAGGCAGAGGTTGCAGTGAGCCGAGATCACACCACTGCACTCCATCGTGGGTAACAGGAAGATTCTGTCTCCACAAAAAAAAATAAAAAATAAAAAATAAATAAAAGTGGGGAAAACTGTGGAACCACACTTAACCAATGCAAAATCATGTTGTGTAGCTTCAGTTAGGACTTTATTCTTGATTTATAATTATTTTCTTAATCCTCTGGATGGGTCCTTGTAATACTGACAGTAGCTACTTAAAAAATTTGTCTTCCTCACACTTGAATTCATACCATTAATTGTAGAAAGATGACATCTTTTTTAATAGACTTTATTTTTAGAGTAGTTTTAAGTTCACAGTAAAATTGAGAGGAAGGTACAAGATTTCCATATACTCCCTTCCCTCACACATACATATATTTTTTTTACTTTACTATAAAATCAAGTTTGACTGACATGAGTTCCCCAATATACATCTCCACCATCCAAAATATTTCAGTCTTATAATATTCTCTTTTCCTTCTTCATATACTCAGAGGCATTGATGTGCTGCTGCCTTTTAAGGCAAAGTTTCCCAAATCCTATTTCCTTCTTCATCTTCTGGGAACTCCTTCAATTATCTCTGCACATTGTGAAATATTTAACCTGGCCCTCTCAATTGGTCTCTGACATTTTACTCTCTAGTGTGAAAAGCTTTGAAACATCTTCACATGACACTTTCATTTCTTTCTCCTGTATTTCATTTTTACTTCCAAATTTTTCAAACACACAGTGTGTGGACTGCTTTTATTTCATCACCAACTCTCAATTTCTTAAGAAACTTTTGAAATGTTTTGGCTTTGAAGGACACTTCCCTTTCAAAAATTACCAGTTATCTGTTCACCCAAGAGAACTAGATGTTCTTTCAATCTTTCTTCTCCTTAGAACTACCTTTAGCATTTGACCACTCCTTGAAACAGGCAGAGAAACGGTCTAAGAAAAGGCATAAAAGTAGAGAAGCATCTTTGTGGTCTGGGAACATAACCAAGTTTTGTTCCTAAAGTTACAGGAATCAAGCAAAAAATTAAAAAAAAAAAAATAGGCCTGACGTGGAGAAGAGCAAATACTTACAAAAATCAGTTAGTTACAAAAAGGAATTTCTACCATGAGATGTCACTGTCTAAATACTTATTGTGTATAAGGCAAAGGATCAAACTTCCTTTTAACCTGGTTATTTGTATATGTGTGAAATTGGCACAATTAGCTCAAATCAAGAGTCCACAGTCATTATTACTAAGCTGGCTGCTTTTATTTCTGTGATTTCAGTATTATTGATCAAAATAACAAATTAAAATTAATGCGAAGAGGGCTGTGAATGTCGTGAAACACAGCTGGAAAGACAACAGCCATGAGCCATCAGAAGAACAAAATGTTTAAATACTGTTCTTAGAAGTATGAATTCATCAAATTATCCTTGGCAGTAATTGATTACAAGCAATTGATAATTGTTAACATCATATATAATCATCCAAGTTAGAGCTTAATTTGAAAAGTTTCTATCAAAATTAAATAGAACAAGGCTTCTATAGATAAGGATGGATTTCAATAAAATAAGCAGAAATTTCTGAAATAAAATGAGCACATTTGCGTCAAAAATCAACCTTGATATGCTAAACATAAAGGGGGATTTTTCTGACAGCAGAACTGGAAAAAATGTGCCCTGCAAATTCTTGCAAAGGAGTGGTCACATAGTTTAAAAAAAAATGCAGGATTTTCAGCCATATTTTAAAGGAACTATACAAAAGGAGCTAACTAGAGATATTTTGTGTCCTCTGTGAGATAACACTTTTGGTAAATAAGCATGAGTTTTAGAATAGCTTACTTATTTTACTTTTCCAAAAGAATGACTAAAATGTATTACAAGCAGCATTTAAATAAACACAAAATAGGCAAAGTTTAAGATCTATGCAAAATTAAACCATTAGTAAAAGAGAAGGATTATATGCACTTGAACCAGTGCCTATAATAGAAGATGATTTATATTTTTTAAAAGTGTAATTTAATATGAAAATAAAAATAAAATAATACAGTAATTCAGAACTTAAATACTAGAATTGCAGATAATTTTGAAATTGTTATTTTGTACCATCTTCGTAATTTTTGGCTAATTTGCATTCAATATTCATTATGTAAATATTACCTAGTATTTTTAAATAGAACTTGAATGCCTTTTCTTCTTAACATATTTTAATATAAAGCAAAAATTCACATGAAGTTATAGTTTTTTTTTATACTTTAAGTTCTAGGGTACATGTGCATAACATACAGGTTTGTTACATATGTAAACATGTGCCATGTTGGTTTGCTGCACTCATTAACTCATCATTTACATTAGGTATTTCTCCTAATGCTATCCTTCCTCCATCACCCCACCCCACGCCAGGCCCTGGTGTGTGAGGTTCTCCACCCTGTGTCCAAGTGTTCTCATTTTTTAATTCCCACCTATGAGTGAGAACATGCAGTGTTTGGTTTTCTGTCCTTGCGATAGTTTGCTCAGAATGATGGTTTCCAGCTTCATCCATGTCCCTACAAAGGACATGAATTCAACCTTTTTTATGGCTGCATAGTATTCCATGGTGTATATGTGCCACATTTTATCTAGTCTATCATTGATGGACATTTGGGTTGGTTCCAAGTCTTTGCTACTGGGAATAGTGCTGCAATAAACATACGAGTGCATGTGTCTTTATAGTAGCATGATTTATAATCCTTTGGTTGTATGCCCAGTAATGGGATGGCTGGGTCAAATGGAATTTCTAGTTCTGGATCCTAGAGGGATCACCACACTGTCTTTCACAATGGTTGAACTAGTTTGCACTCCCACTAACAGTGTGAAAGCATTCCTATTTCTCCACATCCTCTCCAGCACCTGTTGTTTCCTGACTTTTTAATGATTGCCATTCTAACTGGTGTGAGATGGTATCTCATTGTGGATTTGATTTGCATTTCTCTGATGACTAGTGATGATGAGCATTTTTCATGTGTCTGTTGGCTGCATAAATGTCTTCTTTTGAGAAATGTCTGTTCATATCCTTTGCCCACTTTTTGATGGGTTTGTTTGATTTTTTCTTCTAAATTTGTTTAAGTTCTTTGTAGATTCTGGATATTAGCCCTTTGTCAGATGGGTAGATTGCAAAAATTTTCTCCCATTCTGTAGGTTGCCTGTTCACTCCAATGGTAGTTTCTTTTGCCACGCAGAAGCTCTTTAGTTTAATAGATCCCATATGTCTATTTTGGCTTTTGTTGCTGTTGCTTTTGGTGATTTAGTCATGAAGTCTTTGCCCATACCTATGTCCTGAATGGTATTGCCTAGGTTTTCTTCTAGGGTTTTTATGGTTTTAGGTCTAACATTTAAGTCTTTAATCCATCTTGAATTGATTTTTGTATAAGATGTAAGGAAGGGATCCAGTTTCAGCTTTCTACATGTGCCTAGCCAGTTTTCCCAGCACCATTTATTAAATAGGGAATCTTTTCCCCATTTCTTGTTTTTCTCAGGTTTGTCAAAGACCAGATGGTTGTAGATGTGTGGTATTATTTCTGAGGGCTCTGTTCTGTTCCATTGGTCTAGCTCTCTGTTTTGGTACCAGTACCATGCTGTTTTGGTTACTGTAGCCTTATAGTATAGTTTGAAGTCAGGTAGTGTGATGACTCCAGCTTTGTTCTTTTTGCTTAGGATTGTCTTGGCAATGTGGGCTCTTTTTTGGTTCCATATGAACTTTAAAGTAGTTTTTTCCAATTCTGTGAAGAAAGTCATTGGTAGCTTGATAGGGATGGCATTGAATCTATAAATTACCTTGGGTAATATGGCCATTTTCACGATATGGATTCTTCCTATCCATCAGCATGGAATGTTCTTCCACTTGTTTGTGTCCTCTCTTATTTCTTTGGGAAGTGGTTTATAGTTCTCCTTGAAGAGGTCCTTCACATCTCTTGTAAGTTGGATTCCTAGGTATTTTATTCTCTTTGTAACAATTGTGAATGGGAGTTCACTCATGATTTGGCTCTCTGTTTGTCTGTTATTGGTTCTTTTTATGTGATGGATTACATTTATTGATTTGCATATGTTGAACCAGCCTTGCATCCCAGGGATAAAGCCAACGTGATCTTGGTGGATAAGCTTTTTGATGTGCTGCTGGATTCAGTTTGCCAGTATTTTACTGAGGATTTTTGCATCGATGCTTATCAGGGATATTGGTCTAAAATTCTCTTTTTTTGTTGTGTCTCTGCCAGGCTTTGGTATCAGGATGATGCTGGCCTCATAAAATGAGTTAGGGAGGATTCCCTCTTTTTCTATTGATTGGAATAGGTTCAGAAGGAATGGTACCATCTCCTCTTTGTACCTTTGGTAGAATTCGGCTGTGAATCTGTCTGGTCCTAGATTTTTTTTGGTTGGTAGGCTATTAATTATTGCCTGAATTTCAGAGCCTGTTATTGGTCTATTCAGGGATTCGACTTCTTCCTGGTTTAGTCTTGGGAGAGTGTATGTGTCGAGGAATTTATCCATTTCTTCTAGATTTTCTAGTTTATTTGGGTAGGGGTGTTTATAGTATTCTCTGATGGTAGTTTGTATTTCTGTGGGATTGGTGGTGATATCCCCTTTATCATTTTTTTATTGCATCTCTTTGATTCTTCTCTCTTTTCTTCTCTATTAGTCTTGCTAGCGGTCTATGTATTTTGTTGATGTTTTCACAAACCAGCTCCTGGATTCATTGATTTTTTTTGAAGGGTTTTTTGTGTCTCTATTTCCTTCAGTTCTGCTCTGATCTTAGTTATTTCTTGCCTTCTGCTAGCTTTTGAATGTGTTTGCTCTTGCTTCTCTAGTTCTTTTAATTCTGATGTTAAGGTGTTGATTTTAGATCTTTCCTGCTTTCTCTTGTGGGCATTTAGTGCTGTAAATTTCCCTCTACACACTGCTTTAAATGTGTCTCAGAGATTCTGGTGCGTTGTGTCTTTGTTCTCATTGGTTTCAAAGAACAACTTTATTTCTGCCTTCATTTTGTTATTTATCCAAAACAACAGGAGCAGGTTGTTCAGTTTCCATGTAGCTTTGTGGTTCTGAGTGAGTTTCTTAATCCTGAGTTCTAGTTTGATTGCACTGTGGTCTGAGAGACAGTTTGTTGTGATTTCTGTTCCTTTACCTTTGCTGAGGAATGCTTTACTTCCAACTATGTGTTCAATTTTGGAATAAGTGTGATGTTGTGCTGAGAAGAATGTATATTCTGTTGATTTGGGGTGGAGAGTTCTGTGGATGTCTATTAGGTCCACTTGGTGCAGAGCTGAGATCAAGTCCTGCATATCCTTGTTAACCTTCTGTCTCATTGATCTGTCTAATATTGATAATGGGGTGTTAAAGTCTCCCAATATTATTGTGTAGGAGTCTAAGTCTCTTTGTAGCTCTCTAAGGACTTGTTTTATGAATCTGGGTGCTCCTGTATTGGGTGCATATATATTTAGGATAATTAGCTCTTTTTGTTGAATTGATCCCTTTACCATTATGTAGTGGCCTTCTTTGTCCCTTTTGATCTTTGTTGGTTTAAAGTCTGTCTTATCAAAGACTAGGATTGCAACCCTGGTTTTTTTTTTGTTTTTTTTTTTTTTTGGCTTTTCATTTGCTTGGTAGATCTTCCTCCATCCCTTTATTCTGAGCCTATGTGTGTCTCTGCACGTGAGATGGGTCTCCTGAATCAGCACCCTGATGGGTCTTGACTCTTTATCCAATTTGCCAGTCTGTGTCTTTTAATTGGAGCATTTAGCCCATTTACATTTAAGGTTAATATTTTTATATGTGAATTTGATCCCGTCATTATGATGTTAGCTGGTTGTTTTGCCCGTTAGTTGGTGCAGTTTCTTTCTAGCATTGATGGTCTTTATAATTTGGCATGTTTTTGCAGTGGCTGTTACTGGTTGTTCCTTTCCATGTTTAGTGCTTCCTTCAGGAGCTCTTGTAAGGCACGCCTGGTGGTGACAAAATCTCTCAGCATTTGCTTGTCTGTAAAGAATTTTATTTTTCCTTCACTTATGAAGCTTAGTTTGGCTGGATATGAAATTCTGGGTTGAAAATTCTTTTCTTTGAGAATGTCGAATATTGGCCCCCACTCTCTTTTGGCTTGTAGCGTTTCTGCCGAGAGATCCGCTGTTAGTCTGATGGACTTCCCTTTGTGGGTAACCCGACCTTTCTCTCTGGCTGCCCTTAACATTTTTTCCTTCATTTCAACCTTGGTGGATCTGACGATTATGTGTCTTGGGGTTGCTCTTTTCAAGGAGTATCTTTATGGTGTTCTCTGTATTTCCTAGATTTGAATGTTGGCCTGCCTTGCTAGGTTGGGGAAGTTCTCCTGGATAATATACTGAAGAGTGTTTTCCAGCTTGGTTCCATTCTCCCCATCACTTTAAGGTACACCAATCAGACATAGATTTGGTCTTTTCACATAGTCCCATATTTCTTGGAGGCTTTGTTTATTTCTTTTTCTCTTTTTTTCTCTAAACTTCTCTTCTTGCTTCATTTCATTAATTTGATCTCCAGTCACTGATACCCTTTCTTCCACTTGATCAAATCGACTACTGAATCTTGTGCATGTGTCGTATTGTCCTTGTGTCATGGTTTTCAGCTCCATCAGGTCATTTAAGGTCTTCTCTACACTGTTTATTCTAGTTAGCCATCCATCTAATCTTTTTTCAAAGTTTTTAGCTTCCTTGTGATGGGTTCAAACATCCTCCTTTAGCTCAGAGGTTTGTTATTACCGACCTTCTGAAGCCTACTTCTGTCAACTCGTCAAAGTCATTCTCCATCCAGCTTTGTTCCGTTGCTGGCAAGGAGGTGCAATTCTTTGGAGGAGAAGAGGCACTCCAGTTTTCAGAATTTTCAGCTTTTCTGCTCTGGTTTCTCCCCATCTTTGTGGTTTTATCTACCTTTGGTCTTTGCTGATGGTGACCTACAGATGGAGTTTTGGTGTGGATGTCCTTTTTGTTGATGTTCATGCTATTCCTTTCCATTTGTTAGTTTTCATTCTAATAGTCAGATCCCTCAGCTGCAGATCTGTTGGAGTTTGCTAGAGGTCCACTCCAGATCCTGTTTGCCTGGGTATCACCAATGGAGGTTGCAGAGCAACAAATATTGCAGAACAGCAAATATTGCTGCCTGATCCTTCCACTGGAAGCTTTGTCTCAGAAGGGCACCCAGCTGTATGAGGTTCAGTCAGCCCCCTACTGGGAGGTGTCTCAGTTAGGCTACACGAGGGTCAGGGACCCACTTGAGGAGGCAGCCTGTCTGTTCTCAGAGCTCAAACACCATGCTGGGAGAACCACTACTCTCTTCAAAGCTGTCAGACAGGAATGTTTAAGTCTGCAGAAGTTTCTGCTGCCTTTTGTTCAGCTATGCCCTGCTCCCGGAAGTGGAGTCTACAGAGGCAGGCAGGCCTTGTTGAGCTGGCCTTGTTCAGCTGCGATGGGCTCCACCCAGTTCGAGCTTCCAGGCCTCTTTGTTTACCTACTCAAGCCTCAGCGATGGTGGACGCCCCTCCCCCAGCCAGGCTGCCACCTCACAGTTTGATCTTGGACTGCTGCGCTAGCAGTGAGCAAGGCTCCGTGGGTGTGGGACCTGCTGAGCCAGGTGTGGCATATAATCTCCTCGTGTGCCATTTGCTAAGACCATTGGAGAAGTGCAGTATTTGGGTGGCAATGTCCCAATTTTCCAGGTACAGTCTGTCACGGCTTCCCTTGGCTAGGAAAGGGAAATCCCCTGACCCCTTGCACTTCCTGGGTGAGGCAATACCCCGCCCTGCTTCAGCTCACCCTCCATGGGCTGCACTGACCGTCCAACCAGTCCCAATGAGATGAACAAGGTACCTCAGTTGGAAATGCAGAAAAATCACCCATCTTCTGCACTGATCACACTGGGAGCTGCAGACCAAAGTTGTTCCTATTTGGCCATCTTGGGATGGACCCCCCAAAGTTATAGTTTTGATATACAGTTATACTTTAATGTGTATTGAGGTAAATATGTATAAAAATGCACCTATGAATTTTTAAATGTATATCTACACAGCACCTAAAACATCTTGCATTATTGTATTATAGTAGTTGTGAAGGGAGGTGACTAATTCTTCAGAAACTGATTTTCATGTATTTGAGAAATAATCAGTTAACAGTTTCGGCAGCAATGAAATTTAGTATTTTTTCTCATCCTAATATTAAAGGTCATGTAATATCATATTTTAAATTTAATTAATTAATTAATTTTTTTTAGACAGAGTCTCACCTTGTCACCCAGGCTGGAGTGCAGTGGCATGATCTCGACTCACTGCAACCTCTGCCTCCCAGGTTCCAGCGATTCTCGTGCCACAGCCTTCCAATTAGCTGGAATTACAGACATGGGCCGACATGGCCTGCTAATTTTTAATAGAGACGAGGTTTCACCATGTTGGCCAGGCTGGTCTCCAACTCCTGGCCTCAAGCAATCCACCCGCCTCAGCCTCCCAAAGCTCTGGGGTTACAGGCATGAACTGTGCCTGGCTCTTAAATTTAATTTTTGATATTTAAAAATCTATGCCCAAGTGTGCCCATTATTTATGCTTATTATTTATCAGATAAGCTTATTCATGCTTATTTATCAAAAGTGTTATCTCTCAGAGGGCACAAAATATCTGTGGTTAGCTCATGATATTTAAAAATCTATACCCAAGTGACAAGTAGAATTTGGTGGATTACCCAATTTTTTGATTACTTATGAATTATCCTTCATTTCAAATGACTTCTAATGTTCTAATCTCTGTCATCACTGATAATATTATTGAATTAACAAATGATTCTTAACATCTAGTAATGGAATACAATCCAAATGTTTTACCAAATTATCCTAGTATGTTTATAAGCTGAAAAGTTCTACCATATGTGACTTAACTTTTCAATAATGAGGGATGGTGGTGGGGTATGAAATTAATCTAGAAACAAGCATGTCATCCCATGAAAGATAGTGGGGGCAAATAAATTACATGAAACTATTAAAAACAAAATATGACCAAAAGTGTTCCATAAAGCAAGATTTTTTTAAGTCAACTTAGGTATAATTTATATGAAATAAAACTCATTCATTTTAAGTGTGAGTTTGAGAAGTTTGGGAAAATGTATTCACCCATGTTCACTACAATTCCAGTCAACAAATATAAATGTTTACATTCAGGTCTAATATCCAGAATTTACAAGGAACTTAAACATATTTACAAGAAAAAAACGAACAACCCCATCAAAAAGTGGGAAAAGAATATGAACAGACACTTCTGAAAAGAAGACATTTTTGCAGCCAACAAATATATGAAAAAAAGCTCAGCATCACTGATCATCAGAAAATGCATATCAAAACCACAATGAGATGTCATCTCATGTCAGTCAGAATGGTGATTATTAAAATGTTAGGAAACAATAGATGCTGGCGAGGCTGTGGAGAAATAGGAACGCTTTTACATTGTTGATGGGTCTGTAAATTAGTTCAACCATTGTGGAAGACAGTACGGTGATTCTTCAGGGATCAAGAACCAGAAATACCTTTTGACCCAGCAATCCCATTATTGGGTACATACTCAAAGGAATAGAAATGATTCTACTGTAAAGACACATGCACGCATATGTTTATTACAGCACTATTTACAATACCAAAGACATGGAACCAACCCAAATGCCCATCAATGATAGACTGGATAAAGAAAATGTGGTACATATACACCATGGAATACTTTGCAGCCATAAAAAGGAAGATCATGTCCTTTGCAGCAACATGGATGAAGCTAGAAACCATCACCCTCAGCAAACTAACACAGGAACAGAAAACCAAACATCGCATGTTCTCACTCATAAGTGAGAGTTGAACACTGAGATCACATGGACACAGAGAGGGGAACAACACACACCAGGGCCTCTTGCGGGGGTGGGAGGTGAGGGGAGGGAACTCAAAGGATGGGTCAATAGGTGCAGCAAACCACCGTGGCACACATATACTTATGTAACAAACCTGCATGTTCTGCACAAGCATGTCAGTTTTTTTTTTTTTTAGTAGAAATACAGAAAAATAAATAAATAAATAAATAAATGTTTTCTTTCTTCATCCTTTCTCTGTCAAACCTCTCACCTATTACTACACTTTGTCTGTCCTGGAATTTCACATAAATGAAATTATATAGAATGAAGACTTTGGTGTCTGGTCTTTCATTTTCACCTTACAGGTTTTGAGATTTACCCACAGTGTTTGTATATCAGTCATTCATTTTTAACGTGGTGATTAATTTCCCTTTATATAAATACAACACAAGTTTATGATTTCACTTTTTGATAGCCATTTTAGAGTTTTCTAGTTTTTGGCTGTTACAAATAAAGCTGTCCTGAAGCATCATTCTCATGTTTTTGTGAGAAAATATGTTTTTACTTTTCTCAGATGAATACCTAGAGGGGATTGCTGGGTCATATGGTGGTTATGTTAATCTCTGTAAGAAACTGTCTAGTAATTGTCCAAAATTTTTCTGCCATGTTGTACTCCTGCCATCAATGTATCAGAGGTCTATTATATCACATCCTCACTAACACTTATATTATCAGTCTAATTTTAGCTATTGTGGTGAAATTGTAGTGATATTGCATTATAGTAATAATTTATATTTCCTTGATGCCCAACAATGTTGAGCATCTTTTGGTGAGCTTCTTTTTTGATGTTTGTTTTAATGCATTTTGCACATTTAAAAATTATCTTCTTAGTAGTGGGTTGTAAGTTTTTAAATTTTTTTAGATACGTCATTATGAGACATAAAAATTGCAAATATTTTCAGCCCATCTGTGTTTTCATTTTCATTTTATTAATGAAATTGTGAATTTTCAACAGCAAAATATTTTAACTTTGATGTTCACTTATCAATTATCTTCCTTTAACTCTGGTACCTTTTTTGTCCTGTTGAAGACATTTTTGCTAAAAAAGTTTACAGATTTTTTTTCTGTGTTCTTTTCTAGAAGTTCTATAGCTTTAACTTTGACATCTAGGTTAATAATCTATTTGGACTTAAGTTTTGTGTATTTTGTGAGATATAAAAATACAGGCCGGGCGGGGTGGCTCACGCCTGTAATCCCAGCACTTTGGGAGGCCAAGGCAAGTGGATCGCCTGAGGTCAGGAGTTTGAGACCAGCCTGGCCAACATGTTGAAACCCCATCGCTACTAAAAATACAAAAATTAGCCAGGCATGGTGGCATGCACCTGTAATCCCAGCTACTCAAGAGGCTAAAGCAAGAGAATTGTTTGAACCCAGGAGGCAGAGGTTGCAGTGAGCCAAGATTGCACCATTTCACTCCAGCCTGGGTGAGAAAGCGAGACTCTGTCTCAAAATAAATAAATATAATAAAAATTAAAATACACACATATGTCTAAAATTAAATCATATGTTTCAAAATTATTTCTTAAATTGAGTGTTCTTTTCCTATTTCATTCCTTAGCACCTTTTCACAAGTCAATTCATCATATACACAGGAGTGTATTTCTGTAATCTCTGTGTGTCCATCTTATTATTATTACCATAATTACCTGTTTATTTTAACTTTGTAGTAAATCTTAAAACTAGGATGTTTAAATTCTCTAACTGTTCTTTGCATTTGAAATTATGTTTGCTGTACTAGTTCATTTTCAAATACTTATAGATTTAAATAGCAGCTTGTACATTTCCACCAAAAAAAAAAAGCCCACAGGCATTTTTACTGAGATGATCACATAAAATCTATAGATTAATTTAAGGATATCATTTCAAAAATATTGAGTGTCCCATTTTATGAACATGGTATATGTCTTTCTGTGATGGTTAATTTTATGAGTCAACTTGGCTAGACTATGCTGCCTGGTCGTTAGTCAAACACCACTGCAGATGTTGCTATAAAGGTATTTTTAAAATGTGATTAATATTAATATAAAAGACTTTGAGTAAAGTAGACTAACTTCCCTAATGTGTGTGCATCTTATCCAAACAGTGGGAGGCCTTAAGAGAGAAGATGGAGGCTCCCTGAAAAGGAAGAATTCAGACTGCTTTCAGACTCGACAGCAACATCAACTCCTCTCAGGACTTCCAGAGAGCTTCCCTACTCTAGAGATTTTGGATATGGCATCCCCCACAACTGTGGGAGCCATTTTCTTAAAATCAGTCTCTCTCCTTATTTAAGTACCTTTTATTGGTTCTGTTTGTCTACAGAACCCTGGCTAACTCATTCTCTCTCCTTTTACAACTCCTCTAATTTATTTTAGAAAGATGTATATTTTAGTTTTCACTATAAAATATTGTACATAGAATTTTACATTTACCACCAAGTATTTTATGTTTTGGTCTTATTGTAAACCATATGTTTAATTTTATTTTTCATTTGTTTGTTCCTAGCGTGTAGTTAAAATTAACTTTTATTACTTTCAACTAGAATTATTCAACTTTTCTAAATTCACATAGTAGTCTAGTGTATTTTAGTAGATGCTTTCGGATTATTTATAGACATGAATATTTTGTCTGCAAAAGACAGAATTCTTATTTTCAATTTGTACACCTTTGATTGCTTTTTCTTTCCTAATTTCCTTAATCCAGAAAGGAAAGGAAAGGGTTATAAAAAATTATCAAATTCATATGTTCCTGTGGGAAATGACCTATGGAAATGAAAACAGGATTAATATTGAGGGAGGGAAGAATAATATTAAGAAAGTGATGGCTACATTTGGTTCTGTAAATAATTATGACTTGTTTTCATTTTTTTTGTATACCTAAAATTTTTTAAAAAACACAAATTCAATATAATACTTCTGCAATAATTTCAAGCAACTTGATTATATGTTCACATATATTTTAGATACGTATTTTTATCCATATTAGAAATAAAATATTTACTAACATGAAATATTTACCAAACATAGACAAGCATTCAAAAAAAAAGGTGCTTTTTCAGTCTCTGAGAATGTTCTAAAAACAATGTACCAGTTTGATAAAAAGTGGTTATAAAGAAAGCAAAGTCTTTTCAGGTGTGATTTATTTCCAAAGCTGATCAGTCATTATTAAGCAAGCAAAAAACACAGGGTGCAGCAACTCAAAAAAAGGTCAATGTTTCAAAAGGGAGGTAATATTGATTGTGTACCATGCAGTGTATTCTGGTCTGGGTCCTAGGTGTTGCCTATGTCTTGCCATGGGCAGTATAGCATAAAAGACAATGCCACAAACCCTGGAGCCAAGCAATCTGGGTTCAAATTCTGTCTCACTCTTTGATCACTCTGCGATCTTTATATTTAACTTCTCTGAGCCTCAAGTTTCCTCATCTGTAAAATGCAGATAATTATTGTAGCAGCCTAATGGGATTATTACAAGGATTAAATGAGTTATTATTTGGAAATGATTTATAACTTTGCCAGACACTTATTAAGCTGTGTGTGTGTGTGTGTGTGTGTGTGTGTGTGTGAGAGAGAGAGAGAGAGATAAAATTTTAAACATATTTCACTTATGGAAGAAGGCATATTATTCATATGCCTCAAGGCAAAAGTTATTCCCATGATTAGTTCAAGAAGTTACACATTTAATTGTAAAACAGATTGCAGATTTTACTAAACAGAAAAATTTCTGTGTCCATTTTATATGGTATAACTGTTTTTAAAAGCTATTAATATTTTTCATGAGTTAACAAAAAGCTAAGATTCTCCATAATCACTCTATGTTCTCTCTTCTTGTCTCTAGTCATAATTCCTTGGTCTTCAAATGGCAGCTTAAATATGACTTTCTCAGGGAAATCTCCTTTTCTTCTTTCTAGGTTGTATTCCTGATACATGGCTTAATGAACCCTATTTTCTTGTTTTTATAGCACTCATTTGTAATTAAATACTTATTTCTGTGGTTATTCTGTTTATGTCTCTTCACAATAGAACTTTAAGCAGCTCAAGTACAAGTCTTTCTTGTCTGTAACTGCATCTTTTGTTTCTAACGAAGTGTGTGACACAAAGTATCTATAAGTTCTCTGAGAGCAGGAATCTATACATACTCTTTTTATGGCCAGCTGTTGAGCATATTTAGGATGCAATAAATATCTATTTCATGAATGAATGAAGAACTGAACATTTAATAAAAATAATAAATTACTATTTTTGTGTAATAAATCAGTCAAAAATATGTTCCACAAAGTTATGATGTTGATTTTTGGTGCTGCACTCTGAAAATACTACCTAAAGTCACTATGCAGCAATATAATTGTATCAGATTCTCCTGCATTTTTTGATAGTTTGAGCATGTGTTTGCAGTAATGACTAAGTGATAGGCAGAATTGAATGGTGGTCTCTAATATTCTGATATTCTAACTTCTAGTATACACATACCTTCTTCCAGTGATCCAACAAAACACTAACGTAGGTACTACTGTAAAAGGATTTTGCAGATGTAATTAAAGTCCCAACTCAGTTCACTATGCAATAGAAAGATTATATGAGCGAGCCATATGACCTTTTGAATCTAGGCCTAGAGGTTAGATACAGGGAAAGTCAGAAAGATTTGAAGTGTGAAAGGAAACCCATGCAAGGGAAGTTCTCTGTTGCTGGCTTTGAAGATAATAGACACTAAGTGGCAAAAAGTAAAAACAGCTTCTAGAAGCTGAAAGGGATCCCCAGTGGACAGCCAGCAAAGAAATAGGGACTTGTGTGCTTTTAGTGCAAGGAACTGAAATTAGCCAACCACCTGAATGAGTCTGGAAATATTCTTCCCCGGACGATCAAGACAAGAACACAGCCTCGCCAACATCTTCAATGATACCCCTTTTGAGACACTGAGTACAGAACCTAGCCACACTGTATCCAGACTTCTAACCCACAGACTTGTAGCTAATGAGATTTTTTTAATTGTTTGTACTGTTTTGTTTGAGACAGATTCTCATTCTGTTGCCCAGGCTGGAGTGCAGTGGCACGATCTCAGGTCACTGCAACCTCTGCCTCCCGGGGTTCAAGCAATTCTCCTGCTTCAGCCTCCCGAATAGCTGGGATTATAGGTGCCCACGACCACACACAGCTAATTTTTTTTTTTTTTTTGTATTTTTAGTAGAGACGAGGTTTCACCATGTTGGCCAGGCTGGTCTTGAACTCCTGACCTCAAGTGATCCGCTGGCCTAGGCATCCCAAACTGGCATGAGCTACCGCGGGCAGCCTAATGAGGTGTTTTTTGAGCTACTAAATTCATGATAATTTGTTACACAGCAATAAAAAAACATATAATTCTGTCTATAGAAACGAGTATACTTGATTTGCATGTCCCAAGAAAAGTTTTATAGGGCTTGAATGAATTTATTTGACCATAACTTTTTAAAATTGTCTAATCATAAAATATAGACAAAACAAAGCAAATGTATTAAATTACTTTATTACAAATGTCCTATAAATAGTCAACAAGACAATGTCAATGGCAATGAAGGAGGTTTTAAACAAGAGTTTTCAAACAGACATTGATATTTGGCAGGGATTTTGCTATTTATGCTTCAGTACAAAACACATGCTGACTTGTTTGTATATGCCAGAGAGATAATCCAGATTTATACATCTCAAGAGTTGGTTTCCTTCAACATCCATTGACCTTCATCACTTCTGTTTCATGTGCTTGTTTGAACCCTGTCACTTCATGTAGAAATCACACAGGGAAGAGAAAAATTACAACCCCCATTGTGTTTGAAGATTAAATCTGCACCATTTCTCTGTGTCCTCCTATTAAAGAAGTGAGCCTGCAACCTTGAGGCCACAATGAGAATAATTTTTCTGTGTTGCCGAAACAATTCATATATTCTCAGGAAAACTGCAAATGGAAGAACCAAGCAGAGAAGAGACAAGGTGAAGAGGACCTTCTGATGTGTTTCAGTAGTGAGACAGCTGCTACTAGATTGTATACAATTCCCAGCACTTCTTAGTTCTTCTTCACAATGTGTTGGGAGCAATATTGTGCATTCCTTGATTATCTGAGTCCCTAGTATTACTGTCTCGTGTTGCTTTATTACCATAATAAACTTGTGAATCATAGTAACTAACTCGGTAGGACTCCTATGGCAAATTCATTTTCATAACCTCTTTTGTTGTCACAAATGCCATCCAAAAGTGTGCCAAGTCAGCAGTTCCTTGCTGCTTATTAGTGTAGCACATTACAGAGATTCATTTAAAATGTCAACAGATGTAATATAATGAAATATTCTACTTATAATTACAATTATGCTAACAGTTAATAATAATTAGGCCTCTGTGCCTATATTTCACTTTGCTCTAAAGACAATTGGATCTTTTCAAAAGTAGATAACCCCTTAGCAGGTGTTCTGCTTAAAACACCAACATAATGAAGTGAGCATGAAAAAGTGGTTATGGCATAAGCAACAAGGTGCAACTGAGAGGGTAGAAATTGGAGAGATCTGGAAATTAGTTATTCTTAAAGAGAAAGCAGCATTGCAAAATAAAGGAGGCTTAATGATAGCGCATAAACACATGAAAGTAAGAAGTAGGGAAAGTATGTCTTGATGTGATTAGCAAAGCATTTTGCCATTAAATTAAAACATAGGATTATATGTCAAGTCAAGTGTAAGCAAGGTGTCATCAATAGCTCATCTGATTCTTGACAATTTAGTAAAGGCAGTGACTAGAAATATCTCTTCTAATACTGATTATGATATATATTTTCTATCATACCATAATTACCTCCATTCTTTCTACATACTGTCACAAATATAACTGCAACATAAATATTATGCACCAGATACTATGAGACATTTCATAACAAATAATCAAGCTCCTCTGAATACAAAGTATGTGTTTTAGGTCCCGTTGACTTGAAAATTCTCCATAATGAAAGGGCTTTGATTTCACGTGAAATGTGTAGTTTTAAATGGATTCCACTGAATATTGCTATCACATCCACATGCTTAATTTTAATTGTAAGTAAATAATTGTGTAAATATTGATGAGTTTTAAATTAATGGCGAAACATAGGGATAAATAATAAAAAGGTATTTGTAATATAGGTTTCAGGAAAATGTATTTGAAAGTACCCAAGGTTGTGCTTTAATTACAAAAGCTGAGTGATATCTAATAGGTACTAAATAAATAGTTATAAACAGTTGGATATTCTTCCTTCCATCAGAGAATTTACAGTCTAGAAAAATACATACAATAAACAAATATCTGACTATAAATTGTGAAAACTGCTGCAGTTGAAATAAAAGTAGCATTGTGGAAGAGAAAAGCCCAGGAGACCTAGTTGAGAATGAATGATCTGGAGTGTTATTTCTCATAAGGAACCATTGTAGATGACACCAGATTGCTTAGAAGGATATTTTTGGGTGGAGGGGATGGGATGAGGCTGAAAATATACACCTAAAATGTCTGAGGTGTAGGTCAATGTAAATTAGTAGACTGTGAGTGTTCCCAGGTTAAGTTGGTGAAGAATCGTTTAGGGTAAGTTAAGAAACTTGAGATTTTAGTTTAACTTCATTGCAAGATCATGAAAGTATTTTAAGTATATGGAGGATGGTGACAAATTAATTTTAATTTTTCAAAACATTCCTTGGATGCTTTGTGGAGAAAGTACTGTGAGTAGGAGACATGAGTTGCAGCAGAGAGATCAATTTGGAAACTACTGCAATCATCTAGGTGAGTGATGATGATGGCTTAGGCTAAGCATTCGAAATTAGGTCTTTGAAAAAATTAAACTCCTGGAGATATCAGAATGATGGCAGAGGCTGGAAAAGGTAATGGGGAGGGGAAATAAAGAGGGAAGTGGTTAATGTGGATAAAAATACTGTTACATAGAATGAATAAAATATAGTGTTTTGTAGCACAATGTGGTGACTACAGTTAACAATAATTTATTGTATATTTCAAAATAGCTTGAAGAGTGGCACTGGAATGTTCCTAACACAAAGAAATGATAAATGCTTGAAGTGATGGATATTCCAATTGCTCTGATTAGATCATTACACATTGTATGCTTGTATCAAAATATCACAGGTACCCCATAAATATGTACAACTATTATATATCCATAATAATTAAAACTAAAAAATATTTATAAAATTTTGTAATGACAGAAATTAGTCCTTTGGGAATGATAATCATGCACTGAGTCTCTAAAATTTTGTTTGTTTGTTTGTTTGTTTGTTTTTTTGAGACAGAGTCTCGCTCTGTGACCCAGGCTGGAGTGCAGTGGCACGATCTCGGCTCACTACAACCTCTGCCTCCCAGGTTCAAGTGATTCTCCTGCCTCAGCCTCCTGAGTAGCTGGGATTACAGGTACGTGCCATCATGCCCGGCTAATTTTTGTATTTTTAATAGAGATGGGGTTCCACCATGTTGGTCAGGCTGGTCTGGAACTCCTGACCTCATGATCCACCCACCTTGGCCTCCCAAAGTGCTGGGATTACAGGTGTGAGCCACCGCACCCGGCCGAGTCTCTAAAGTTTTACAAGGCACAAAATCATTATCCTGTTAGTGGTTCAGGGTTGTATTTATTCATTTGTTTTCGAGGTTTTTACGCCCCAACTGGTTGCATAAGGTTTTAATGTGTAGTTTTATTAAGGTTACAATTAAATAACTATATCTGTGGTGAATCCCAGTAAAACAAATATTGAGCAAAAAGACAAGAGGTAAATACCAAAAGTGAGGTAAATCCATTAAACTGTAAACTATAATAGTTTGTGTATTAACTATAGGAGCACACAATTTGCTTATCAAATTTCTATACTAATAAAAGAAAGGAAATATAATTTCAGTTAAAAAAATTCAAACAAGTTAAACTGTTTCTCAGTTGAAATAAAACAATTCCTATACAGATATTCAATGAGATGTATATTCAAATGAAATACCCCACTGTAAATTTTACATATTAAAAGAAAAAACCCACCACAACTCTTTAGTACTTATTCTGAGGTGCTATGCCCAGGTTGAGGCCAATTCTTTTTGAGAATAAATTTTTGGCTTGTTACACCTGCTATGCCAAATGCTGGCTGACTCTTAATGCAGCATCAAGTCCAGGCTCTGTGTAAGCATGCACCTTAGCCTATTACAAGTTCAAGCAAATAATCCAATATTGAGGAAAGGTCATTTAAAAGTATGAACAGAATTATTATTCCAAACAGCTTTTTCCATACTGTGCTGAAGAATGTAACTAGCAATTTTTAATGAAATAATCTCTTCCAAGCCTATCTGTTAATGAGTTACAACAATGGCCCAAATATCAGAAAGTAAAACTACAGTGGTAAATGGCAGCTGGCCACATTAGAGAGCTCAAGGATTGTGCTCTCAAAGGGTTTGGGTTTGAATGTTGTCACTGTACTGAGCAATGTTTTAAGCTCTCTGAGCTTTACTTACCTGGTTATAAAATTCTGATAGGACTGACTGAACATAGTCGTTGTGAGGATGAAATGAGATGACACATCAAAAGCATCATTACAGAGTCTGATGCATGATAAGCACTTAATACATCATGACTATTTTTCTTTACTTGTTTTAAACAGAAAATAAAGCTTATTTAATGTTGCTTCCAAAAGTTTAATGCTTGCAAAAATAATGCCAGTAAAGTTGCTGATCTAATGAAATTGGTATGTGGCAAGACGTTTTATTTCACTATAAAATATCAGGGACCAGGAAAGTATTTTAGACGGCAACTTATCATATTATATAGAATATACACTGATCACTGCACCAATTTCTGAAAAGCAGCTCTCAAAACAGAAACAATTTCAGCTGTTCTTACCACTAAAGGAAAGTCTGGCAAGGAGATAAGGACTGTCACATCAAAGAAGTGACGTCAAGGAAGTGTTAAGGAGGGGACACATAAAAATAGAATAGTAATACTTCATCCACTTTACTAGAAAGCACAGTCTTCATTTCAGATCAAATTATGTGCTAATCGTCTAGCCTGAGAGTGAAATGTCTATTTACAAATCAGCCTTTTACCTTCTTTTTCTTTCTCTGTAGATGTTTTAACATGGATTGACTTTAGATATCTGAGAATTTCATATATTTACCTGTTAATCATATAAAATGAATGTATAAGATAATAACCATGCTCTATCAAAATAGCTTTTGTGAGCATTCTCAATGATCTTGGATCACTTATCATTAGCTCTGAATAACTAAAAGTCCTTGGTCCCAAGAGCTGACAATCAGCTCTCTCAATGTGTCTTATAATCTAGAATACCTGATAACAAATTTTGTAAGATGGTCTCACTCTTCAGTTACCTTTCAGGCTTTCTTTACAAATGTAAAAATATGAAGGATAATGCAACATGGAATTCTTAAATTCCATCTTTCAATGTGTTTTCCTGAAATAGGAGTAATTTGGAAAATATATAAACTAATAGTCAGTAAGTGCATTTGGGAACAATAATCTGAGTGTTGCTTATTCTTTTGCCTGTTATCATCATTTAACTATATGTTATATAATACATAGGCATAAATATGGCCTCAATTCTAAGGATTTTTCTGCCAGTCGCAATGAGTCAGATAAACATCAAGTATATTAATAATAGACCTTTATAGAAGTGTACATTGTAACATTATTTTTGAAATTAATCTTGTAGAGAGAGGACTGGAAGCAAGTGTCTCTAAGAAAATACTTTGTTTTTTTTTTTTTTGGAAGTGTTCCAATAAAACTTTATTTACAAAAACAGGTAAGAAGATACTTTGATATGAAATAGAGTCTGGCAAGAAGCTACTGGTTTCCAATTTTCTAGTAAATACTCATGGAAAGTCAAAAACATCCAATAAATTGTTTGAATGCAGAATAGGATTGG
This sequence comes from Homo sapiens, assembly GCF_000001405.40. NCBI lineage: Eukaryota > Metazoa > Chordata > Mammalia > Primates > Hominidae > Homo > Homo sapiens. The sequence goes on along the minus strand of NC_000013.11, from coordinate 67,439,427 downwards.
CAGTCAATCTGTTATAATCTGGGACAAATTTTCTCCAAGTGCAAGGCCTATAGAACTGGATTGAATAATGTAATAAAGACAAATTGGTTAGAGGATATTTTTCAAATCCCCTTCTTCTATTCCCTGATTTGGAAGCACAACGTAAAAAGTAAGCAAGCACTTAGGCAGCCAACGATTGGTACTTTCCTTGAGGCAAACACACTGCTACTGTTATCTCAAATCCCACTCAGAAACTGCCATTGTCATGCAACAATAGGCCACAATATTTTGGTAGGAAAATTAGAGATGTACATTGAATTCTGAGACTTGTATTGTCCAAATGTAATTTGCTGTTGGCCGACAGAGTGAGAACTTTGGTAAATTAATCACTGTGATTTCCCATATGCTTTATCCATACCAGGATCAGAGGGGCAAGAAAAATGGGCAGTTGAAAAGAATCAGTTTATCAGAGCATTATGCATAAAGTCCTCAGATAGTAGAAACTGAGCCATATGCTGATGCATATTGACCTCATGTCCAAAGTTTAGTTTAGAAAGAGGTCTCAATCATCAGCCAAGAGGCTGAGATTTAATCCGAGTGAACACTAAATATTCATTTGGTAAGCACCCTACTGTTTCATATCATTCTCAGTTCAAGGACCAGTAAACCAAGAATAACCTATGACTGAAAAATGGACTCCCCTTCTTTGTCTCCGAATTGCATAGCATCGTGCTTGAAGCAATCAGTATCTATGCTGTACTGTCACATTCTCTTAGTGCCCTCTACTGCCTTTCTGGGAAGCTTGGTGACAACAGGTTGGGTGACAGCTAAAGGGTATACCTTCAGGTTCCAGGGGCCAGTAAGAAAAAGAAAAAATAACAAGTGAAGATCTTCTTCTTAGAAGTTCTTAATTACTAGAAGATATATTTTTAAGCCATCCTAAGTTCCTTGTAAGAAGTATTTGTCCTTCAGTCTCAGGTCAAAGATCTGACATGAATATTTTTCAGAATATTCTATCTACAGAAATGAAGAGAAATTGTATTTTAATTGGATCATTATTAACTTACTAAGAAAAATGCTTTTTAATATGTTAAATAGTCCTTTAATTGATGATGATTTAACAATTGGTAAGTTAAATTATTGCTTTAAAATCTTCACTACATAAAAATGAAATGTTTATACTGCAGATTATGAACTCAAGAAAGCAGTACTTCCTTCCACTAGTTCTTGACATTGTGATTTTATAAGCCACTAAATGATGCTGGAATGCTTTTACAATTGAGAAAGTCCAGTGCTACAGAAGAAACTGAGAATCATCCTTTTAAATGCCAGTGTTGATAAAGAGAGCAAATTATACAAAATAAAATTTTCAGGAAATAGCAAAGACAAATGAAACAAATAAGAATTGATTTAGAGCAAAGTTCATAAAGTGGTAGCAGACCTTTTTTCACATTACCACAGTTACACCTTCAAAAACTCAACTAGTAGGTCTCAGAGGAATCTAGAATGGCATAGCAAAACTGTTTAGAACACAAAAAAAGAAATTATTCTGCAAAAATTAGCATAGTGTAAATAAATTTTGTACAAAGTTAATATAAAATGGAATTTAAGAGATATCAACATGTAGATATAAAATTATGTTCATACTCACATTCAGTATCACAAACCAATTTTATAATACAAGAATACATCAGAAGATAGTTTTGCTTTGAAGTTTGTTTTATGTCAAGTCACATTTTGATATTTCTTTTTATAATAAATAAAGATAAAAACAAATGTCAAAATGAAAAATAATGTATTTTGTACCTCGTTTGTGTTAATAGTGCAAATTGATCAATAAATATTAAAAATAAAAGGAAAAAAAAACTACAATTTGTTCTATTTCCAAAACAGAAACAGTAAATCACACAAACACATAATTTCTTCTGTTATATATTGTAAAGGTTATGTTTAGACTACGAGCTGTGAATGAGATTAATGAGTTTTCTCAGCACAGTAAACCTCCTCCACAGAAACAGAAGCTAAATTGCAATAAATCACGGGTTTATGTTCACGTATTTATGGGATAGGAAAGATTTAGAGTTCCTCTGTAGAGAAAACCATCCCAAAGTAAAAGAGAAAATTATGGCTTCCGTATCATAAAGGTAGATAAACTGGGCAAGCTCAAAATTGTGCATTCAATACAATTTAATAATGTCAGTAATTTATTAAAAGTAATTATCATGGCACAGTTTCATGCTCATACTTCACCAGAAGTGACAAAATACTAGTTCAATATGTTACTTACCTTCATATAATTATGTATCAAGACCAATTAAATTAGAGCTGTGATTTTTCTACATTTCCTTTAAAACTCAATACCACTTTTTCTTCCAAAGGTGTGTCTGCATTATTACAGATGATACGGTGCAAATCATTGACTACAAAATATCTCATATTATCATTTCAGGCAACAACTCAATTTTACATCACTTACTAAATATGTTTTTTTTCTTTGATTTTAGGGGAAAAACTACTAATTATATTTGACTATCTGGTGAGAGTATAATTCATGAAATTTATTTATATGCATAAAGTAGTTTCGAATATAAATTTTGTGGACAAACAGATCTTGAATAAAATCTAATATCATTTTTAAGTGATAGTGTCTCTGTCTCTTCAGTTTGTTTCATCTTACTGGAAAAATTAACTAAAGTCAAATGCATAAATACAATTATAGCAACAGTAACTCAGATGCCAGGATCCTTGTAAATGTTCTTCACCCATATCTTTAAATGAAAGATTCATTATGGGAAATAGCAGAGTGGCCTTTCTACTCAATATCTTGAAAAGAAAAAATATATATATAATCTGATATTTTTTGCTTCTGAGGAGTCATTCGATCTGCTTCAATCACAATGTAATGCTAATAAAAAAGGAAATCAGATTGTTTCAAAAAAATCAAGATCATTTCAAGTGAAAGATTCCAAAGTTTTAAAATTCTCATGAGAGGATCAAGAAAATAATTTCAATCCCTGCAAATATCAGTACAGTAATGAAGTTGAGCAAATATCGTAAGGTCCAGAGTGTCATATTTAGACATTTTAAATGGACTGCCTTTCTCTTCCATCTTCAGAAAGAGAAAGATCAGACAAGCCATGTAGCTATACTTAGATCATTTATGCTTACAAGAGAGTAAAAAGTCTTTGCTAAAATTACACAGCCTCAATTAATTCTTCATGGAGAAGAGACTTTTGATGGAGGAACAAGACATTACTCAGATCTGAGAAATGTAACTTTTCTAACAGATTTTATCAGGTTTTTTGAGAAATGTGTGTCCAGTAGTAGATGAACAATAACTTTCATATTCTTAAAACACTAGAATTCATCCAGTTTAAATATTTCCAAATAATAGATATTTAATGAGCAGTAGTTAACAAAGAACCAGAAGTACAAACATTAATAATGCAAAATATTACCCTTAAAGGGGTGATGAATAATCCATGGGTGGAAATAAGACAAAATTAATATAATATAATATGATGTAATACAATATAATAAAGATTTTGATATCTTCGGGAATAAAGACATAACTTTTTAAAACAATATGCAACTTCAATAAAAGAGCATACTATAATTTTTAGTGATTTCTAAATGAATAGCATATTTACAAAAGATAAACTGTTTCTGATTTGGCACCTTTACAGATAGCATGGTGTTATCAAACAACTCAGTCCATATACAGGTTTAATGAATATCCCTTATCTGAAATGCTTAGGGCCAGAATTGTTTTGGATTTCTGGTTTTCTTCAATTTTGGAATACTTGCATATACATAATGAGATATCTTGGGGGTGGGACCCAAGTCTAAACATAAAATACATTTGTGAATTACACATATAGCCTGAAGATGATTTTAAACAATATTCTTAATAATTTTGTGCATGAAACAAAATTTGTGTTAATAATTTTTATCTGGAATTTTCCACTTGTGGTGTCACATCAGTGCTCAAAATGTTTTTGATTTTGGAGCATTTTGGATTTCAGATTTTCAAATTGAGAATGCTCGACTTGTAGTATTGAAATTCTCATATGACACCTTTCCGTGTACAGTCTGTACTCACATGTTTTGACCCTTCTAGTGTTGTCAGACTATTTGTTATCAATAATCAGCAAGTAAGATAGATATATTATTTTTATTTCATTACAGAAACCAACAATTTGTCTTATTCCTAGACAAATTGCTTCACTTCTATCTGAACATGGAAAACTATAAAAAGGTTAACTGCATTCGCACTGTGTTAACTGTGTTCATACTTCTTCAGAAATTTCGTATTGGTTTGATAGAAATTATATTTTATAAAAAATTATAAAACACCATACTTTAACAAAGTAAGCCAATCAATATACTTAAAGTTGTACAATGTAAGATGAGGTTCAGAAGTAAGGGTGTACTAACTTCAGCACTTTCTTAAAACTTACTCATTTACGGCCAGGTGCGGTGGTTCACGCCTGTAATCCCAGCACGGAGGCGAGCGGATAACCAGGTCAGGAGATCGAGACCATCCTGGCTAACACAGTGAAACTCCATCTCTACTAAAAATACAAAAAATTAGCCGGGCGTGGTGGCAGGCGCCTGTAGTCCCAGCTACTCAAGAGGCTGAGGCAGGAGAAAGGCGCGAACCCGGGAGGCGGAGCTTGCAGTGAGCGGAAATGGCGCCTTTGCACTCCAGCCTGGGAGACAGAGCAAGACTCCGTCTCAAAAACGAACAAACAAACAAAAAACAAACAAAAAAACCCTACTCATTTACAATCAGCTTTACGTATAAAAGTTTTAAATCTTTTCAATTTCAAGAAAATTAGTATGTTAAGGAAGTACATAAATTTATTTTGTAATAACGTTAATGAATAAAATTTTATAAATGAAAATAAAGTTATTCCCACAGCAAAATAACTCTTTCCCCTCATTTATATATGGCACAGAATCTTGCATAATTAAAAATTAGTTCCAGAATGCAAAAGCTCAGGTTAACTAAAATGTTGTTAATGAAGGGTTGGGGAGAAGCAAAGAAATGTTTAACGGATTCAAGCTGCATTAAGATCTGTATAACACCCAAAGCTAGTAAAATTATATCAAGTTTAGTGTACCATAAATAGGCAGATAAACCAGACTAACATGAAACTGCTAGTAGAGATATTTATTTTTCATTAACCTTCAAAAGAATTCAGATTTTTCAATAACTAAAACTCTAGGCACATAATTCTACTAGTGAAATTTATCAAACATAAAAAGAAGAAATAAGACTAAATATACTCAAATCTTGCTAAAATATAGAGCAAGTAGAAATATGCTCCAACTTAGCTCATGAGACCAATATAATCTTAATACCTAAACATGAAAACATTACAAACAAAATTACAGAAATCAATAATATAGAGAAAAAATCCCTTGAAAATATAAACAAATACAATTAATCAATGTATAATAAAATATAATACAGCACATGTCTAGATTATGTTTACCTCAGGAATGTAGGAATAGTTAACTCAAAAATTAATCAATCACTACAATAACAGAAAAAATGAGCACAATTATATAATCATCTCAATAGACGTAAAAAAATGTTCCACAAAATTAAACACCTGCTTTTACTTAAAAGACTCAGCAAATGGCCAGTGGTGGTGGCTCATGCCTGTAATCCCAGAATTTGGGAGACTGAGGTGGGATGATTGCTTGAGGCCAGGAATTAGAGACCGGACTGGACAACATAACAAGACCCTTTCTCTACTCATATTAAAAAAAAAAAACCTCAGTAAATGAGAAATGAATACAGAGCATCTGTAAAAATCTATATCTAATATACTTAATTCTATAGAACTTACTGCTTTCTCTGAAATATTTTAAACATGGGAAGGAAATACACTGTCAGAATTTCTATTTGAATTTATACTGAGGACCAAGTCAGAATATTAAAAGGCAAAAAAGAAACAAATAAAAGAACTAAAGGAAAGGAAGACTGTAGTAAAAAATATATATATAACTGCCTCTATTCCCGGACAGAATTGTTTATATAGGATCCTAATATGTAAAATCCTAAAGAAACTGCAAAATAACTAAAACTACAAGTGAATACTGAAAGTTTATGAGATACAAAATAAATATACACAAATTAATTTAATTTCTACATATTTTGAGCAAAACTGGCAGCTTAAAACTAATTCACAACAGTGTTAAAAACATAAATCTCTTAGGAAAAATCAGGCTGTAGATGGGCACGTCTTTTATACTGGAATCTATAAAATACTGTTAAGAGGAATTTTTAAAGACCTGAAAACTGGAGAGAAATATTCATGGAATGGAAAGATTAATATGGTAAAAATGTAACTTCTTCAAGTTGATCTATAATTTCATTTTAATATCCATCATAATCTCAACAAAATTTTGGGTTTTCCTTTTGTTTTATTAAATAGTAAATTACAAGCAGGTATTAAAATTTACTTGCAAATATTAAGAGCTTAATACACTTAGATAAATCTTGAAGAAGAACAAATTTAAAAGACCTGACTTAAGTATTTAGTATAAAGCTAAAGCAAAACCAAATAAATAAATGAAAGAGCAGAGAGCCCAGAAATAGACTCAAGCATTGATTTTTCTACATTGGCACCCAAGCAATTCAATAAATAAGAACAAATATTTTTAACAAATTGTATTATAAAAACTGAATGTATACATATGGGAGGAAATCCTAGACTCCTGTCTTACATCACACACAAAATTATTTTTAAAACTTTGCAACTTTGAGTAGGCAAAGAATTTAGATACAGAAAAAATAAAAATAAAATGATAAAAAGGACAATTAGACGTCACAGAAGTTAAACACTTCTGCTCAGTAAAGTATACTATTAAGAAAATAAACAGAAAAACCACAAACTGGGTGAAAATATTCATGAAACATGGAAAAAATGGAAAAAAAAGTCTTGTCAGTTCATAAGAAACTTACACATACATCTGTATATGACCCAGCAATTCCACTTGTATTTGTCCAAGAGAAATAAACTATTTATATTTACACAAAAACATTGCACAAGAATGTTTATTCCAATTGTATTCATAATAGCCCCAAACTGGAAACAACCGAAATTTTCAACATCAGCAGGATGGAGTAAGGTAATATGATATAATCACACATTGAAATGTTACTAAGCAATAAAAAGGAACAAACCACTGATACTTACAAACACATTAATAAACCTCATAAATGCTACATAGCCATAGAGCTGCATTCAAAATAGCATATACAGTGCAATTTCATTCATAGAAATGCAAAGAGGCCCAGAATTACTTTTTAAAGTGGGGCAGTTACTGTGTATCTTGATAAGGGTATCTGTATATTTGTTAAAACTTATTGAAATGAGTATGTGTATTTCACAGTAAAAAACTTTTTCTCAGAAAACAATTATTTAATTCCAGCTAATGGGTTTGCTTTTCACGGCGATGTTATTTAGCAATTTTGAAATTACTTCCTTTGTTTTTTATACTTGAGCAAATGAGTAAATAAATATGTGGAGGATAACTGGAGACAGGATTCTAACTCTTGGAGAAGAGAGTTACTCATATGAAAAGAGAAAAAGCTACAGTGTTTCTTGTGATAATGGATTGAAATGTACGTATATATGTACATATACATATGCAAATGTACATATATATGCACATATGTGTATATATAAGTATATATGTATATATAAAGCAGCAGCAGTTTATTCTTTGTAATGATTGATTTTATATATATATACACATCTATATATATATATAGAGAGAGAGAGAGAGATAAAAATAAATATACATATTGTATCTTCTGACAGCCTGTAAACAATTATATCCCAGTGACAAAGGAGAAATAGTGCTCAGATTTTTATTTCTAATCATCATCCTCTACTCTAAGGAAACAGGGACTCTTGGAATGAAAGCTTGATTCCAGTGCTCAGGTAGTAAAAGCACAAGGTAAATTGGAAACATCTTGTCCAGGATGTTAGGAAATAAAGAAAGAATGAAGCACAGAAACCACACTGAGATGGCTCCCACTGGCTAAACCTGGGACAATTTGAGCATGAAAATAACTAATTATCATAATGGATAGACAAATACGTTACAGTAGAATGCCCAGTAATAAAAATATATATATATATGTAATTAAGGTATCATCAATAGGTGCTAAAACAAGTAGGTGGCAGGTGAATGAAGAATAGAATAATTACACACTCTCACAATATACCCCCAAGAATTACTTATTAATAGCAAACCAAAAGGAGATAACTTACTGGAGAAACAGCTTACACCAATTTCAAAAAGTGATCAAATTTAACATTACTAATATTCAGACTAACTGACATCAGGTGCCTCCTGATTTGAAGCACTGAAAGGTCATCATACCATTTCTGTGGTATTCCTGCCAAAAATGCATAGGATGGCTCTGATAATAAGGAAACATCAATCCCAATTGAGGCACTATGGTCTTCAAAAATGTCAACATCAAGAATAACAAAGGCTGAGCCTATGTTGCAAACATAAGAAATCTAAAGAGAGAGAGCAATTAAATACAAAAACACATAATCCTGGATTGAGTTTTGAAGCAGAACCAAATAGCTATGAAAGACATTATTGGGGCAGTTGATGAAATTTGAATGTGCACTGGGTAATGCAATACCAATTTTCCAGATTTTGATAACGTCCTTTGGTTATGTAAGACAATGTCCTTATTTTGAAAAAAAGAGACATTAAAATATTTAGGAAAAAAGAATACAACATATTTCAAATGGCCATACAAATATATGTGTATATAAGAAAGAATAATACTGAAAGAAATGGAGCAAAACGTAAGCCAATTGTGAATTGCATAAAGGACACATAGAAATTTCTTTTACTATTTTTGCATATTTTCTCAAAATTTAATGTATCAAAACAAAAATCATACACATACAAATCTATGAGCAACATGAGATTGAAAAGGGGAATGTTTCGAGGGTGATGTAAGGCTAGGAGATAATACTGCAAAAAATATATAGTTCTTGTTTTAAGAATGCATAATTTCTTTAGTTTTAAAAGACACAATTGTTATCCAGTTGAAGGACATTGGAAGAAAGTCTTGGAAAAAACAATGAGAGAAAAAAAAAAAAGAACTCATTAGTGATAGGATAACTGTCCTTAGAGGAAGGAACACTTGCTTGTGAGTTTTATTTGCAGAATGATGTCTACTAGAAGGACAAAATCAGAGAATCTCAAAGCCCTAACTTGCAAAGGATTTTTTTAATGCCATATGTCACATTCAAAACACAATGACAAAGATTAACTTTTAGTTCTATATGTGCTACTTAGTAGTTGTATATATGGTGTAAACCCCAAATATCTGAGACAGGTCTCAGTCAATGTAAAAAGTTTATTTTGCCAAGGTTGAAAACATACCCGTGGCATAGCCTCAGAAGGTACTGATGATATATACCCAAGGTCGTTGGGGGTGCAGCTTGCTTTTTTACATTTTAGGGATACATAATACATCAATCAGTTCATGTAAGATTTAAAGTGGTTCGGCCGGGTGCAGTGCTCACTCCTGTAATCCCAGCACTTTGGGAGACTGAGAGGGGCGGATCATGAGGTCAGGAGATCGAGACCATCCTGGCTAACACGGTGAAACCCCGTCTCTACTAAAAATACAAAAAATTAGCCAGTCATAGTGGCGGGCGCCTGCAGTCCCCGCTACTCAGGAGGCTGAGGCAGGAGAATGGCGTAAGTTAACCCGGAAGGCGTAGCTTGCAGTGAGCTGATATCGCACCACTGCACTCCAGCCTGGGTGACAGAGCGAGACTCCGTCTCAAAAAAAATAAATAAATAAATAAGATTTATGCTGGTATGCTGGTTCAATCTGGAAGGGCGGGACAACTCAAAGCAGGAGGCTGCCAGGCCATAGGTAGATTTAAACATATCCTGATTGGCAATTGGTTGAAAGAGTTATTATCTGTAGATAGGAATATCTGGATTATGATAAGGGGTTGTGGATACCTGGGTTTTATTATGCCGATGAAGCCTCCAAGTAGCAGGCTTTAGAGAGAATAGACTGTAAATGTTTCTTTTCAGGCATAAGGTCTGTGTTGATGTTAATGCTGGAGGGATATAATGAAGCATGTCCAACTCCCTCTTCCCTTCATGGCCTGAACCAGTCTTTCACGTTAAATTTTAGAGTGCCTGGTCGAAAAGGGAGTTTATTCAGGTGGTTGCAGAGGGCCTTTGAATTTTATTTTTGATTTACAATAGTTGAAAGGTATTAATGCTTAAAATTTGTCATTTGTAAAAAAGAAAAAAGCAACGATGATGACCAATTCAAGATATTTTTATGAAAATGTAATGTCAATTCTATGAAAAATTTTAAAACACTAAACATATTATTTAACAATTAATTAAATACTATATGAAAAAATTGTTGTGCACATGTATAAATATAAAAGTTATGCCATTTCTCCATATTAGTAGGTACAAATGATATCATGTTTCACCAGATTCCATATGATGTGCTGTAAATAATTGCAAAAAAGAAATATCAATTGCTAAAGTGAATTTTCAGTAAAAGTTTGGACTTAATATATGATCTTTGGACATAGCATATAATCATTAAGACATATAATCATTAAGGTTTTTCTTCTCAGACCGGGCATGTTGGCTCATACCTGTAATTCCAGCACTTTGGGAAGCTGAGGCAGGCAGATCACTTGGGATCAGGAGTTCCAGACCAGCCTGGCCCACATGGTGAAACACCATCTCTATTGAAGATACAAAAATTAGCCAGGTATGGTGGTGGGTGCCAGTAATCCCAGCTACTCAGAAGGCTGAGGCAGGAGAATTATTTAAACTTGGGAGGTGGTTGCAGTGAGCCGAGATCACTCCACCGCACTCCAGCCTGGGTGAGAGACTCAGTCTCAAAAAAAAAAGAAAAAAAAAAAAAAAAAAAAAAAAGATTCTTCTTGGCACAAACCTACAATAAACTCATTTTTGACAGATGTGCCAGGAACATACACTGGGTAAAAGATGGTTTCTTCAAGTAATGTTTCTGGAAGAACTGGATATCCATATGCAGAAAAATGAATGTAGACGCTTATTTCTCACCATATAAAAAATCAAATCAAAATGGATTAAAGACTTAATCTAAGAGCTCAAACCATGAACATACTACAAGAAAACATTGGGGAAAATTGCCGGTGCATTGGTCTGGGCAAAAATTTCTTGAGCAATATCCTACAAGCACAGGCAATCAAAGCAAACGTGAACAAATGAGATCATGACAAGTTAAAAAGCTTCTGCACAGCAAATGAAACAATCAACAAAGTGAAGAGACAACCAACAGAAGGGAAAGAACTATTTTTCAAACTGCCCATCTGACAAAGGATTAACAACAAGAATAAATAAGGAGCTCAAACAACTCTATATTAAAAAAATCTAATAATCTGATCAATAAATGAGCAAAATATTTGAATAGACATTCCTCAAAAGATGATCTAAAAGTGGTAAACAAGCATATGAAATGCTCAACATAATTGATCATCAGAGAAATGCAAATCAAAACTACAATGAGATATAATCTCACCCCAGTTAAAATGGTTTTTATCCAAAAGACAGGCAATAACAAATGCTGATGAGGATATGGAGAAAAGGAAATTCTCACGCACTGTTGGTTGGAATGTAAATTAGTATGACCACTATTGAGAACAGTTTCAAGATTTCTCAAAAAACTGAAAATAGAGCTATCATATTACCCAGCAATCTCTCTGCTGAGTATATACTCAGAAGAAAGGAAATCAGTATATTGAGGAATTATCTGCAATCCCTGTGTCTTGCAGCAGTATTCACAATAACTAAGATTTTTGAAATAACTTACATTTCCATTAACACATAAATAGATAAAGAATATCTGGTACATATACACAATGGAGTACTATTCATCCATAAAAAAGAATGAGATCTAGTCATTTGCAACAATATGGATGGAACTGGAGGTCATTATGTTAAGTGAAATAAGCCAGGCATGGAAAGACAAACTGCATGTTCTCACTTATTTGTGAGATCTAAGAATCAAAACAATTGAACTCATGGACAGAGAGAGTCGAAAGATGGTTCACAGATGCTGGGAAGGGTGGTGGGGGGTAGCATAGTCAATAATAACTTAATTGCACATTTAAAAATAACTAAATATGTAATTGGATTGTTTGTAACACAAAGGAAAAATGTTTGAGGGGATGGGTCCTCATTCTTCATGTTGTGATTATTTTACACTGCATGCCTGTATCAAAACATCTCATATACCCCATAAATATATTCACCTACTAAGTACCCACAAAAACTAAAAAATAATCAAGTTTTTCTGTCTTTTAGGAATATCTTGTATTTTGAATAGTTCTATCTGTGTTTCACTGGTAAACACAAAATTTTCCAAAAATCAAGCAGCTTCAGGAGATGTTTCTAAAGTTTATCTGAGCTACTGTCTTGGAATCTAGGACATTTCTGATACAGTGAGTTGCTACACATACTTTAAATGTCAAGACATACTCTCAAGATAATACAGGTTTTTCATGAAGTCTAGCTAAGAATACTGTCACATTTTTAATTCTACACACACTGATTTATGAACAATCCCAGTAGATTTTCCTGACAATTTTTTTTCTTACTTTTGAAGTTTGATCTAGCATTTCTATTAAGTACATTTTCTGTTGTCTTCATGGGACGCTAACAGTTCTAAAACTAATAAAAATTGCAATCATTACATGTATTTGCAAAAGTTATTTAATATAAAATATTAAAATTGAGTCATGATATTGAATATATAAGCACATTTGTGTATGTAGATATCCTATATGCATACATAATAAAATTCACAAATGTCATACAATTTCAGCAGATTAAGAAAGTCACTTTAGGCCAGATGCAGTGGTTCATGCCTGTAATCTCAGCACTTTGGAAGGCCGAGGCAGGAGGAACACTTGAGACCAGAGATTCAAGACCAGCCTAGGCAACATAGAAACACCTCTGTCTCTATAAAAAATTAACCAAGTGTGATGGCACACACTCCTAGCTACCTGGGAGGCGGAGGTAGGAGGATCATTTGAGTGGAGGAGTCTGAGGCTGCCTGCAGTGAGCTATGTTTGTGCTACTGCACTCCAGCCTCAGCAACAGAGCAGGATCCTGTCTCTTAAAAAAACAAAAAAGAAAGAAAGAAAGAAAAGAAAGAAAGTCACAAAAGCTTTATAAATCATTGATGATAATATATCTAGCTTATAACATAAGCTAGATATTTCAGAATCAAGCAGATGCATATAAAATATAAAAATACTTATAAAATACAAATAATATTCCTTATAATTGTGACAAAGAATACTGACCTAAAATTTCTGGTTTTCAACGTTCTGTATATTCAGAATTAAGCATTTGTTGTCTTAACCTTCTTTGATAATGTATATTATTATCTCATTGTTTTCTCTTTAAAGTCACTGTGTTTATTTATTTGGTAATAGATTTTGACTGTATGATATAGTTTGGCGGTGTCCCACCCAAATGTTGAATTATAGTTTCCCAAATCCCCAAGTCATGGGTGAGACCTGGTGGGAGGTAACTGAATCATGGGAATGGTTTCCCCAGCGCTATTCTCATGGTAGTGAGTAAGTTCTCACAAGAACTGATGGTTTTATAAGGGGCTTCCCCCTTCACTTGGCTGTCATTCTTTCCCTTCCTGCCATCATGTGAAGAAGGATATATTTGCCTGTCCCTCCACCATGATTGTGTTTCCTGAGGCCTTCCTAGCCATGCAGAACTGTGAGTCAATTAAACCTCATTTTTAAATAAATTACCTAGTCTCAGGCAGTTCTTTATGACAGCGTGAGAATGGACTAATACACTATACAACACACACAAAAAATCTGTCGATTATTTAAATTAAAGTGACTCATAGAATAAGCATTGATATTATGCCTAGGATATTTGTACATGTATCTAATTTTTAAAGGTTAATAAATTTATTTATCATCCCACAATGGCTTTCTCTACTTTCACTTATTCAAATAATAAATAACCCAAACAAATAATTGAAGGCTGATTCTACAGCTACATATTGTATGTACATTATGCAGATATGCACTATACAATGTAATTTAAGTTTGCAAATAAACAAGAAAGGTAAGGAAAGGAGAAAATAATGAAACCTAAATTTAAAATTGCTAATGATGATGCTAATACGGATATTGGATGAAGTGGATGGGATTGCCTACATTTTTTAGTGTAATCCAGGAAACCAATACGGTAAAATGATCTTTAATCATCCATCAACTAAATACAAACTACTTACTCATCAGAAGTTTGACTTCTTTTTATTTAAATCAGAAATTTTTTTCTTTTGTTGAAGACATTTTAAAAAGGATTTTGTGATTCCCAAAATAGATCAAATCGCCATGCAGTGAAAACGTTTTACAAAGTATCTACTTCTTTGCTCTCATACTCCTGGACCATTCTCTCTCTTCTTGCCTGTCAGAGAGGTCTTTATAAGATATTAATCAAATCCTTTCTTCCCCAAATCCTCTGATGGTATTTTACGGAAATTGGAATAAAGTGTAACCTCCTGATTTCTACAAGGCCCTATATGAACTAGTTCTTGGCTAAGTCTCAGGTAGCATCTTACAGCTGTAATAGCATCTTCTCTATTTTTCTTACCAAGCTTCTTAAATGCTACCCGGTTTCTGATTTTCCAATGAGCCAAACTCAGTATAGCTTAGTATTGTTACAAGTGTTTCCTCTTCTTTATTGCTGGATCTTCACATGCATGACTAATTCAGCATATATATATATATATATAATTGATACATATAAAATTGATATAGATAAAAAATTGATATATATATAAATTTATATATATATAGAGAGAGAGAGAGAGAGAGAGCAAAAGAGAGAGAGAGGTGGTAGGGGGCGGGGTGGATTGTAGTTCCATATAACAAGACTTGATTGAATATATATGGTCTCCTCTGCTTTGTTGGAAAATGAGATGAAGAAGTACAAGCTGGTAGAATCAACTTCTGCTTTCATACTGAGATAAATTATAATTAATGACTCAAATTTCTTCCTCATGTCATGATATTAGTTTACATTTTCTTCAGGCCATCAGATGATGGATAATCTTTAAGAACTATGATTTCATTTAGTCCTCACAATAATTGTGTGAAAGAGACACTATTATTATTACCATTTTGGAGATAACTCACATAATTTGACTCTGGAGACCTTGCTCCTGACCACTTTGCTATGATTCAGGCTACATTTTAAAACATTTTTTCACCAAGATAACGAAAGTACTGAACTTGGTTAGTAATCATTAGCTAAAAACTTATTAAAAGTTTGGACAGTAGCTTCTCCAAAAATTATCTTTAACTCTAATGTAAATAAATTAGATACCATATATGATAATTAGTAACAGGAACATTCAATTAATCCAACTGCTATAATTAAGGGAAGTCACAAAAATCTATACATATGCACAAGCATACACACACACTATATGTATGTAATCATATATAAATGTAATCATTTATATATATATGATTACTCTTCAGGATGGCCTACTTAGACATAGTTCTTGGGCAATCTGTAATTTTAAATCATGGAGAAGTACATTAAATAGTATCATCCGACTCACAAGTATTTTTGAAACAATTCATCAAGAGGCAATTCTATAGAATTGCATTCTCATGGCAGCAAAGAGGGATGTGATTCTAATGATAATCAATAACTGGAAGTCTCTAATGTGTGTGTGGCTATGAGGGTTGCTTTAGTAATATCTGTCTATAAAAACAAGGGCTGAAGAAAGGTCACTGTAAAATGTATTTATGACCAATTTCTCCTGTTAAATACTGGTATGAGAAACAGACTTCCATTGAAACCCTAGCATAGATTTTGGATAAAATTATAATAAATCCACATATGTGTAATTTAGATGAGTGATATGAATTTATGTCTCTATTCCCCCAAATTCTATTTTTTTCCTAGATATTTTCATAGCCGGAACAAAGAGGATTTCTATAGATCAGGCTACAGCTGATTGGGAGTCTCTGCCGAATGCCAGAAAGGTCTTCTGTGACACCAGAAACTGAAGTGAAGCCAAGAAAGACCAGCTCATAAATTACAGCTGCTGAGGTTTTTACTTGCAATTGCCAACATATCTAGCAACAACTTGGTGGCCAACAGATAGTCCTAGAGAGAAAGAGGTCCAGATGTCCCCACCCTGCCAAGTACTCTGCTCATCCCCCATCACAAAACTGCGTAAGCCAAGGAGCTCCTCTAATATACCCAAACATTGAAGCAGAATGTACCTAGGGAGGACAAGTGAAAGACAAAGAAATCCAGGAGCCAACTTTTATTTCCTTTTCATATAAAATTGTTTTAGAAATTAGTTCACTATGTTTCAAACCGTATGAGACTAAAATTTAAATCTTTTTCTTCTAAATGATATTTATAGACTTAGAAAAATGATAAGATTACTTTAAGTCAAAAATTTAAAAGCCACAGTTTCTTTGTATAAATAAATACTTACACTCATCTATTAGAACTTTTGTAAGTTCATTTTGCAGTTTTAGATTGTGAGTTCAACCTCAAAGTTTAACCTGAAATACTCACATTAGTTACTGATATTTTGTAAAACTTTAGTGGAATTTTCAATTCATTTCTGTAGGCCAGTGCCATAACAAAACATAAAAAGTAAAATTAGGTTATACAGAGTGCTTTTCAATGAGTTTACATTTTTTTCGTAATGGATATATAGGAAAGATTTCCTAATACATCTTTCTAATCTTAGGATATTTTATTTATCCTCCAGTTTCCAACACAAAAGCCACCAAATATAACATTCATTCTTTTTTATGCAACCAAAAATTTTTAATTTTATATTATGTACAAAACACTCTTTGTAGACTGAAAATACAGAAATAAATATAATACTATTATTAATCACAAAGGGCATATATCACTGAGTATGTGGTTACAAAATCATGCAAATAAGAATAATGAAATGAAGTAAGCTTTGCTATAGAGTCAATTTCTAAGTGCCCTGAGAGGAGAATGGGGAAGTAATAATATTGCTTTGGCTACTTAGAAGTACTTCAAAATGTAGGTAGTCGTTGAGTTGTATCTGAAAGATAAATAATATTTTGTTAGTCAAGTAATGGGAACAATTTTATTTCAAGTAATTAGAGTAGCTTGTGTAAAGGCACAATACTGTTAAGAAAATGTGTATTTATATCATATTAAATAATTTCAATGTGGCCAATACATAGGAGGCATAGTAGTGAGGGATGGAAGATACTATTGGGATGGAATATGATGATAGGACAGGTCCAGTCATCAAATGATATCAAATAAGGAATTGCCAATTACTTAATACTAAACAAAAAAGTAGCATTATCCCATTGATAGAGACATCTGCACTCTAACTGGATCTCTAAAGTACCTCCATTCTTTTATAAGTAGGCACTTCATGAAATAGCTATTAATAATAGGAGCATTTACTCTATATCTTATTACCCTTAGGTGAAAAGTGTCCCCAAACTCCCTAATACCTAAGACACAAGTCAATGCTCCTTTGTATGGTATGTAAGACACTTCACAATCTGGCTAGGCTAGCTTTTCCAGCAAACCTCCCACTTTACTTTCTCCCACACATTACACCCCAGCCTTAGGGAAATCTGCTGTTCTTGTCCATGTTTCAACTCAGTCTAATTATCACTTCCTCTTTTAAACCTTTCCCTGGTGCCGTTAGGCAGTCAGTCATAGCCCTCTGTCTGCTCCCACCAAAGGAAGTAATTGGCTGTCCTTCAAGGATCTTATGGAGAATATTCCAGTACTGAGACAGGTGCTAGATTAAATAACCTCAAAGGTCACTCCAGCTCTTCATTACTTTTCTACAAACAGTTATGTTTGCATAAAATTACCCACATCAACAAGACCAGTTACAACTGACATTTTTGCATTTAAGGGATTTAAATACAATAAAGCTCTGCCTAATTTACCAACTGCATTTTTTTTCTAGTTTAGAATGTCTTGTGTCTTTCAGAATGGGGGCACTACATTTTACATTAGATAGGCATATAGATATATTAGTATATTAGGTAAATACATTACCTATCATCTGTAGCATGGTATTATACAGTATTTTAATTTGCTAGGGCTGTTGTAACAAAGTTCCACAAACTGGGTGCCTTAAATAACAGAAATTTATTGTCTCACAGTTCTGGAGTCTAAAAGTCCAAAATCAAAGTATCAGTAGGGTTGGTTCCTTCTAAGGGCTGTGAGGGGGAACCTGTTCCCTCCCTCTCCCAAAGCTTCTGGTGGTATGCTGGCCACCTCTGGCATAATTTCACTTCAGGAAACATCCCCCAATCTCTCCCTTCATTTTCACATAGGATTATCCTTGTGTGCATATCCAGATCCAGATATCCCTTTTTTATAGTTGTACCAGTCATACTAGATTAGGAAGCATACTCCAGTAAGACCTCATCTTAAGTAATTACATCGCAATGACCCTATTGCCATATAAGGTCACATTTTGAGGTACTAGGGTTTAGGTCTTAAATATAGAAATTTGGGGACACACAATTCAACTCATGGCATATAGATATTATTGTAATATTGATATATTGTATTGTATTATCCATTATATTATATTGTACAATATAGCAGCTATATTATATTCTATTATAGATTGTTGTAATCTATTATATTGTAATCTATACTATATTATCTATACTATTGTATGTTACTATATTAAATAGTATATGTATTATTGTAACAATATATGCATATAGGTATAATACATAGATAGTATATACTATAATATTAGCATGTTGTCAGATAGCTGTATTAGTATATTTTATATTACATGAGTACAAATGTATTATTTATACTGTGTTCTCTTCTTTTTATTGTTAAAGTAATTAACCCTACAATAGCACTTGAAAATACAGGCACTATGAATCAATATTGTGTCTTATAGTAATATGCTTTTCAGTGTGCATGTGTGGGAGTGTAATTGTCATTTACTAAAACCTATTTTAGCTTGATATTCAAAAATAACTAGTTACATGGTAGTTGGTGAAGAAAATAGCACCATCTAAGATAAAATGGGTGTTACAAAGTGACAATGCTTTTAGTGAAACAGCTCTTCTGTGTTCTTTTTTTTATTAATAGGCTGGACTCCTCTCTCCTACTATCACTTCCAACAATTCTCTGTTTCAATCAGTTTGGAGAAGTATCTAAGTAGCAGAATCCTTGGTAATTCATACAAGAACAAACCCTTTGTTAACTGAGGCAAGATTTTAATGATTCTCTGGCAAGATGGCATTAATTGTTTGCAAGAAACATATAGTCATTTCTAAGCTCCAGTTTAGGTTCTAGCTGGGATTCCTGCTATATCAAGACTGACTGGTTTGTATTCTATTCTGCCACATATTAACTTCATGCCTCTACGTCCTCATTTATATGAAAGTAAAAATAATATTATTGAGAGTACTAGTAGAACATGTGTTAAACAGTCACTCATCCCATACTTAGTGTAGGAATTCAATAAATGAGAATTATAATCATCATTATAATTTTCATCATCATCATCATCATGTTTGAAAGAACATAAGCCAAAGTAATAACAATATCTTATCTCTATATGTTGGGGTTCAGTCTGATCATTTTATATAATACTTTTAACATGTTTTCCAGTTCTTTGAAAAACCATGAATTGTAGGAGTAATAAGTAAAACAGTGTTTTAAAATGAAATTCAAAAAAATCCAACAGTATTAACCCAATAGGATTAATAAACTCTGAGTTCTTTATTGTATAAAATAATGTAACCAAACAGTGTAGTACTGGTACCAAAATAAATATACAGACCAATGGAACAGAACAGAGGCCTCAGAAATCTACACATCTACAACCATCTGATCTTTGACAAACCTGACAGAAGCAAGCAATGGAAAAGATTCACTATTTAATAAATGGTGTTGGGAAAAATGGCTAGCCATATGCAGAAAACTGAAACTGGACACCTTCCTTAAGCCTTATACAGAAACTAACTCAAGATGGATTAAAGACTTAAACATAAGACCTAATACCATAAAAACCCTAGAAGAAAACCTAGGCAATACCATTCAGGACATAGGCATGGGCAAAGACTTCATGACTAAAACACCAAAAGCAATGGCAACAAAAGTCACAACTGACAAATGGGATCTAATTAAATGAAAGAGCTTCTGCACAGCAAAAGAAACTGTCATCAGAGTGAACAGGCAACCTACAGAATGGGAGAAAAATTTTGCAATCTATCCATCTGACAAAGGGCTAATATCCAGAATCTACAAAGAAGTTAAACAAATTTACAAGACAAAAACAAACAACCCCATCAAAAAGTGGGCAAAGAATATGAACAGACACTTCTCAAAAGAAGACATTTATGCAGCCAACAAACATATGAGAAAAAGCTCATCATCACTGGTCATCAGAGAAATGCAAATCAAAACCACAATGAGATACCATCTCACACCAGTTAGAATGACGATCATTAAAAAGTCAGGAAACAACAGATGCTGGAGAGAATGTGGAAAAATAGGAACACTTTTACACTGTTGGTGGGACTGTAAACTAGTTCAACCATTGTGGAAGTCAGTGTGGTGATTCCTCAAGGATCTAGAACCAGAAATACCGTTTGACCCAGCAATCCCATTACTGGGTATATACCCAAAAGATTATAAATCATTCTACTATAAAGACACATGTGCACGTATGTTTATTGAGGGACTGTTTACAATAGTAAAAAATTGGAACCAACCCAAATGCCCATAATGATAGACTGGATGAAGAAAATGTGGCACATATACACCATGGAATACTAAGCAG
The DNA here is from genome assembly GCF_000001405.40 of Homo sapiens. NCBI lineage: Eukaryota > Metazoa > Chordata > Mammalia > Primates > Hominidae > Homo > Homo sapiens. The sequence continues at coordinate 67,418,513 of NC_000013.11, read as the reverse complement.
CCATAAAAAAGGATGCTTTCATGTCCTTTCCAGGGATATGGATGAAGCTGGAAACCATAATTCTCAGCAAACTAAGACAGAACAGAAAACCAAATACCACATGTTCTCACTCATAAGTGGGAGCTGAACAATGAGAACACATGGACCCAGGGAGGGGAACATCACACACCAGGGCCTGTCAGGGGGTAAGGGTCTAGGGGAGGGATTGCATTAGGAGAAGTACCTAATGTAGATGATGGGTTGATGGGTGCAGCAAACCATCATGGCACGTGTATACCTGTGTAAGAAACCTGCACGTTCTGCACATGTATCCCAGAGCTTAAAGTATAATTTTAAAAAAAACTGGCAAAATGTTAATGATTAGTAAATTTTTAAAAAAGAGTATAAAGAAGTTTTTTGTATTATCCTAGATTTTCTGTATATTAGACATAATTTTAAAATTAAGTTTTTGAGTGTCTGCTCTGAGAAAACAAGTAGCTCAAATATCTAAGGAACAGAGAGTTTGTGAGGTCTAGGGTCCTACTCAATTGTGGGAACTTCATCTCAAGTCTCTTCCTTAGCGTTTCTGAAATCATTCTTCAAAGTTGGAGGGCACTCAATAAATATGTAAATACTGAACAAAAAATATTGTAGCAATAACTCTATATCAAACCAAGGTGTATAAAGTAATTATTTATTACACTAAAACACATATTAATAATTTTAACAAATTGGAAAAGAACACAAACACAAATTGCTACTTGTTTTCATCTCATTTGTTGACAATGGAGCCTTAGAGCCATCTAATAGGTTTCAATTGTTATTTTTCATCTCCTTTCATTTTTGTACATTTTGCCCTTTAAAAACATATTTAGGAGAGACTATCTTTGCCCTTTTTTGCACTATTTACCTTGCATTGTCAATTGTCCAAGGTTAACTTTGCTTCACCAGGATTTACAGATAGTATTTTCTGGCTTGCATTTTTCTATCCCTTTGCATTCAACTTTGTTGTGTCCTCTGATTTAGGTATTTATCTTAAAACAACATACATCTAAATTATAGCTTCTACCTGATCAAAGATGTTTAAATTATCTAATATGAAGCTAAGCCTGTTTACATCTGTCATAATTACTGACAGTTTGAACTCTTTTATGGTGTTTTGACATAATTATATTTGTTCTTACCCTCTTTTCTGACTTTTTTAGGTTAATTTTTCTTTATTCCCTTAATTTTCATCTTCAGAGACACATATTACAAATTTCTTTCTAATATTTTCTTTAACTGTTAATATTTAAAAATGTACTTTTTTCCTAAATATGAATCAATGCCGGCTTTTTTATGCAGAACACAACAAATAACATGGTATATTTTAGTTTCTTTGAAATTTTCCTCTCCTGATTCCCATGTTATTGTTGCATAATGTTTAGTAGAAATGTATTAACAATAAACACTCTGTCAATTTTTTCTTTTTCTTATTTCCTATTGTCAATATTTAGTAAATTTATTACTATGCTTTACCAATAGTCATCTTTGTTAACTTTTTGTCCTTTTTTTTGCATTCTTTTTTTTTCTTTACTTGCAGAAGCCCATGCTTTGATAGTTCCTTTATGGGAATAATCTAAGAAATATAAATTTCCCTTTTTAGATACTATAGCCAAAAGAAAACTTTGTTGTCTTGATATTATTCTTCTGTAGATAACCTTACTTTGCATCTCTGGTAGATTCCAGGATTTTCTCTCTGCCTGAAGAGGTGCGATTTTACTACAATGTATCCATTCCACACTCAGAGGGCTTCTCAGTTAGACAACTTATGTTTCTTCACTTCAGAATAATCTCAGATAATATTTTTTTTTCAAATATTGTCTCTCCACCATTACTTTATTTCCTTCTGCTTATTCTTTCTTGGACAAAATGTTACAGGATTCCTTTGGTGCTGTTTTGCCAGCTGGAAATCTCTGTGGCCGTAGCCACCTCTGCTCAGGCCTCACTCAGCCCACTGGGCTCGCTCCGCTCACTTAGCCCAGCAGGCGGCACTGTGCCCACACTCCAGCCTGGATCCCTCACCTACTGTGGCTCCGAGCTCAGCCCATGGATGGACAGGGCATGCCTCGAGCAGCTTCTACATTGGGCGCAGGTTTCTAGAAGAGAGGAATGTGGTGGCACCCAAAAACTAGGAGATGCCAGCAATTGTGTGGCCCCAAGAGGTGTTACAGCTCTTGCTTGAGGTGTCCTGAGGTCTGAGCCCCCAGGAAATGTTGCAGCTCTTCACTCCCATAGCTCAGGGAGTGGGAGCATCTCACAGCTTCGTCTCTCATAGTCTGGGGAGCTGAGCATGTTACAGCTCTTTTATTCCCACTCTCTGCAGCTCAGCAAGCCAGCCAGGAGTGTTACAGGTTTTTTCACACCTGCCATTTGGTGTATTCTGGGTTCTTGTCCTGAGACCAAGAGAAATGAGGTATGTGGACACTGGAGAGTGAGCAAGGCAGAGAATAATTTTATTGAGCAACAGAAAAGCTCTTGACAAAGAGAGGGAACCTGAAGTGGGTAGCCCTCTGTGTGGCTGAGTCTAGGATTTTTATGGGTTTAGAATAGGGGAGTGCATGCTGATTGGTCAATGGGTGGTCCTGGAAAAAGCACCATTCCATTGGTTAAAAGGCATCATCCAGAAGGAACCAATTGAGAGAGACAGAGAGTAAGACAGGGATAGAAGTTCTCACTCAGGTCATGGACTCTATCCATAAGCAGCAGCTCAGTTTTCAAGCTTTAAACTGTATTTGGCTTGAAGATCGGGTGTTTCACCAGGGACCTGTCCCTGTCTGCCTAGGAATTTCTCTGTCTCCTGTCACTATCAGTATGCTACAGGGCCTCCTTGTATCTCCATGCCCCCATTCTCTCTTTCTTGTCTGCCATCTTTTTACCCCTCTGTCTTGCATTTTGGTGCATGCTTTTGCTCTACCTTTTAATTCATTAAGTATTGGCACAGAAATTTTAATCTGTTTCCAAGTCTTCATCTCATCATAGAATATATAGAAAACATTAATACTTAGAGGGCACCCTTGAGTAAATGGCAAGTCTGCTCACTCCAGTTGTTTGTTTTAAATTTAGTAGGATAATTTATGTTCTTTCAGTAATGTCTCCAGGATTTATAGCTAGTGTTATTCATCAAGCACGGTCATTAATATCGTCAGATTCACCAGTTTCTAATGAAAATATTTTTTCTTCGACAATCGGTTTTTGTGGTTTATATATATCAACTGACATGTTATCATTGTAGTTATTAATCATAGTCTTCAGCAACCATATCCTTCTATTTCTCTTGTTTTATTAACATCAAATGATGTTGATAAGTGCCTTACAAGCTAGGTAAGAGAATCGTTCTGCACTTATGAGTGTTACTTTGTCTTCAGATATTAGCTGCAAGACATTGTGATTAGCTTATTGAGTTCAGTGTGATTCTTTTGTTATGTCCTCATAAAAGGTTATAGTTTCAATATTATTTCTGCCCATGATGAATATTTTTGTAGTAATTTCTAAGTATAATAGTATAATTCTTAGTGGCATTGCTGATGTAACTATTCAATCCATTACATCATTGCTTAATTTTATAAATTTTCAGTAACGTTTTTAGCTTAAGAATAAGAAGAATTATTGAGGCACACAAAAATACACTTGTGTATGTTAATGTTTTTTCTTCCCTCCTTGCTTTTTTTTTTACTTTCTTCATTTTTGTCTCTTTCTTTCATTCTTTCTTCCTTTCCTTCTTTTCTGTTTCTTTATTTTTAAATCATATTTACGTATGACTTTGATGACTGAAATAAAAAACATCATTTATTATGCTTGGACCATAAAGTACATACATATCAAATTATTTTAAATGTCAAACACTTAAGTACAAACATTTTAGCTTCAAAATTCATTTTTTAAATAATGTTTCAAAAATTGCAATGAAAATGTTGGAAAAAATCTAGCATCTTTTAAATATCTTTTAAATAAAGTAGGGAATATTAAAACAGACATTTTGTTTAATTCAGTAAGTAGAGTCCTATGAAATCATGAGTTATATGATAATTTAATAGATAAATGATATAATTATATATAATTTATGTGTGACAAAGTACTTAGAAAATCAATTTTAAGATGCTTCTTTTATATACTAATAGCTAGTTTTTAAATAAATAATGTTTTCAATTTGTAAAAAACAGTTCATTATGACATTTCATCAAATTTCAAACTGTGGCTGAGATTAGATGATGAGAATCACAATTTCTAGAAAAATTCAACAATAATCCTAGATTATAGAAAAATATGTACAGAATTAAATATACTTTATATGTTTACAAAACAAGAAATGCCATTGAAAAGGAAAATTGTAATAAATAATCATCTAAGTAGAATATTTAACTACAATGTGGTCTGTATATGTGTGTCCTGCCAAAATTTATATATTGAAAGAAATCACCGATGTGATGGTATTAGGAGATGGGGCCTTTGGGGGATGATTATGTCATGAGAGCAGAGCCCTCAGCAGTGAGTTTAGCGCCCTCATAAGAAAGGTCCCAGAGCTGTCTTGCCTCTTTTACCATGTGAGAACATGAGAAAGTCCTACCTATGAACCAGGAGGAACGCCCTTATCAGACTCTGAATTTGCCAGAAATTTAACTGTGGACTTCTCAGCCTCCAGAACTATGGGAAATAATTTTGTGTTGTTTATAAACCACCCACTTAATGGTATCTTGTCATAGCAGCCAAAAGTAAGACAAACTGGAAGGTTGAAGAGGGGATCATGTAGTGTGGCCAGTACCAAGCTCTTTCTAGTGTCAAGGACTAAGTATAAAGTCACACAATTATACATGTACATTGAATTCAGAAATTTTAGAAGAGAAACACAAAAATGTTCCACATTAATTTCAACTATAGGCTTTTTAATGGTTTTAAAGTCATTTGAAATTAAAATTTATGATAATTTATATCTCGCAGTAAACTATAACATACTCAAAGAACAATGGTGTTAGGAAGCTCTGAGCTCCTTCACTCTAAAAACATGACAAATGTTTAAATTAAAATAACCCTATTTTTTATTTTCAGATTTTTATAATCTTTTATGGTCATTTCATGGAATCTATGTTTCCCAAAACTTTTTGAATATTAAAAACCACTGGCAGTATCTTAGAGTCAACTTACAAACTCAGATTCTACTAAAACCTCTAAGCATGTCACCTGGATAACTCTGGTTTTCAAACACTTTGCCAAAGATTCTAATAAAGATTAAAAGCCACAATTTCAATACAGACTTTTTACAACCCCTCTCAGCCTGCTATGCATTCTTTACGAACTCTATTGTGAATTTCCATAGCTTGAGTCTGTAGATGGTTTTCCATGTAGTAGTAATACTTTCCATATATATATATGTTCTATAGCTTTTGCTTATTAATTTACTCTCAGCAGTAATCTTCTTCCACCTTTTCTCTGTAGGGTGTGTCCACTGTTACCCTTTTCTGGTAAATTCCAGATCAGTGCTCACCTATGTGAATGTACAAGAAGTTCAAATGCCCTTGTGAATTAAAGAGACTTTTGTCTTAAATTTAACTCCCATTTTCTTTTTGCTAAAGCTGACACCTAGTGAGATTTAGGTTTTTGATCTTTTAGTGGTTGATTCTCCTATATTTCAGCTTGGATAGGGTACTATCTTTATCTGAGCCCCAAGAGAGCAGAGAGATATATTCTGGTCCTTATTCATAGGCAATGTAATACCTTTTTGGCTTCAGGCTTTATTCAGGCTTGTTTTAACGATGCGTTCTCCGTGAGTTTTAAGTCCTGCTTTTTAAGTTTCGTATTTGCTCCTTGTCCTTTTGCGGTCCCTGTGAATTTAACACCTGCTCACAATTCTGGATATCCATCCTATTTCTGATCACTTGGAGATTTCCTTTTCTTATTTTTGAACGTGGCTTTCTAGGAAAATTTCAATGAATATTCCTTTACAACAGAAAGTAGGATTTCCTAGATGCCATTAATTCGTCATCTTGACCGAAAATCTTAAACTCTGACTCTTTAAATATAATAATATACTTCTCTGAAACAATGTTCTTTAGATTAGTAAAAAATAAATATATTTTTATTTTATTTTTGAAAGTCATAGCTTTTCTTGACAAATGAACTAAAACCTCAATGTTATCCTTAAAGGGATAAAACAGATTCTTAATAAAACTGAAAATAAATTAACACATTTTACTCAGAAATATACATTAATATATTGCTGGAAATTTCGAAACACTACAATGTTCTCCTAAAATGTGATCCAACTTTTATCTAAAATCCAAAATATAAAATTGGATGTTCTTCACATTTTAATTGTGACTTATTAGTGGTTTAATACAGCAATCAGAAATTTACTAGGCTCTCAGGATACTTCTAACTTTAAATATTTAGGCTTATTTTTCTAGTACAAACCAGGCCCTGATATTGCTATAGCAATGGTCAAATGACAACCACAGAGAATGATATTTTTGAGGCAGAATAACAAAACAGACTTAATTTGCTCAGAATGATTATATTTCCACCTTTGTCCTAGTTAAAAGTCAAATCCTAATTGCTCTATTCCTGTTTGTAAAATATTAGAATGGCCTTAATAATTCTATATTATATACTATGTAATGATTTCAAAAAACTTGATCTGTTAGAATTTGTACTACCAATCTTAAATTAACTTCCATCTTCTTGTTGTTAAAATCTTTTCTGTGCCTTAGGTTATTGTATGTAATACATTTGCAGGTAGTTGAAATCATAAAAATGTGTAACAATTTTATAAATTTGCCATGAGAATGCTTGTTCCTCTGTATACATTCTCTCTATGAAAGATTTTTTATATTAGTCTTTCTCTCAAAAAGAACTATTCCTAGCCAATACTATTTTCTTTAATTCATAAACTTTTTTTCTACCATTGCACAGCCTTGTTTTTTTTTACTTTCTATATATGATTTCTTTACACATTTATTATTTTTCTGTGACACAATACTGTACTTCTATCTTCAATATTTCTTCTTCCCAATAATAGAAAGTAAACTTATTCAGCAACAAACACTGATAATTTTTAAATGCAAGGGTAATGTTTCAAAAACCGAGTATTAGTTTGAAAAGTTAAAACTTGGCAGGCATGCTTTATAGTTCTGATATTCTATAAAATTTTAATAGTTTTAATTGCCTAATTATCTGCTCCAGTGCAATAATAAAGCGTTTTAATATTTCATTTTCTACTACAGAGAAAGGTATTCCAGTCTGTGCTAGAGAAACTTCTAACCCTTTGTTCAATGCTAAGTTGAAGTTCTTTATTCTAATCTTCTACTTTGGTAAGCTAGCTCCATCTGTCATCTCACTTTTGTCCTCTCCACCACCCTCCTTACCCAAATGTTACTTGTTTATTCAAAGAACACCTCGTTTTATTTTTTCTTTCTTTTTTTTTTTAGTTTTTTGTCAACAAAACTAAGCAGCTATGCTTTTTTATATCCATTTTTATATTCTTCAATAAATGTCTATTTCTATGTGTATGTTTTTTAATGCAGGCAATAACTTCATTTCTGAATCTTATATGCCTCTCCATGTCTCTGAATTCTTTTTCTCCCTACTCCCGATCTTGCCATTAGCACCTCCCTTAATCTGCTGGTCTGTGCTGTACTGAATAGTTAGGAGAGAATCAATGCTTCTTTTCAGGCACTGACAGGAAGAACTGCCTTGGGCACACTCAGCAGAACAAGGGACCATGAGGTCAACAACAATAAGAAGATTTAAAGACAACTTCTAGGCACTGAATTCTTACTTAGGAAATTCTGTGATCTATTTTGTGTCTCCTTTATTGAACTGATCAATCTAAAAAGAAATAATACATATGAAAAATGCATTTATTTACAATTTCAAGAATTTACTTCTCATACATCATCACACAAGACATTCTAGGATTTTATGCACAGAAATGCTGTCATGCATGTTCAAATTAGTACTATTTTTATACTCAAGATCAGAACTCTCTGTTTTTGTTTTCCACACTAATCTCAGCCTTGTAGCCCATCAAGTTGTTCAGCCTTGTTTTTTTATTTTGCTGCTACCTGCTGGTTCTGAAATTTTTGACATCTCATACATGAAAATGTTTACTAAGTTTAGTTATAAGGTAACAATAGGATTAACCAACAGAAATCAGGCCTTTAACATACTTCAGTGATGATGCTTATCAGCTTGGGAAATGCTTAAAATCATTTTCTTTTCCTGGGGAAAAGATGAAGCTCAATTGAGAAAATTGATAGAAAGCCAAAACAGCCAATTTTTGAAAATGATTTATCTCTGATATAATTTTTTTCTTCATAAATAAGTCAATTCATTGCAATTTACTGGAAAATGTTAAACATAAAAAAAGTTTTCATGAGTAATACAACTACTCCCATGTTAAACACAATGCATTTCAATAACACGTCTATTAGATATTAACTATAACTATCTTCACTTAATTAGTGATTAAGGGGAAAAACCAAAGATATCTTTATGATGTAAGGCAACAAACTGGACTGTAAGACTTATAACATAAACCCATAATTGGTTTCAAAATTTAATTTGTTTTATGTATAGCAGGAATACAAAATAGAGATTAGATGTCTCCTCAATAATGCATCAAAAATCTTTTACAAGAAATAATATTTATATGCTAGCAATATATTAACCCAGGTTTAGATGTTTTTGCACCATATCTGGCCCATCATTTTACAGGTATGTTAGAAACAGGTAAGAATATGTTTCATTTGTTTTTTGAAAAAAAGAAAATCCTTGATGATAAGTTTCGTGACATGCTTAAGATGAAAATTATAAATATGAATGATCCAAAATAGAACATCAATCAAATAAAGATTTGGTTGTAAATTCAAGTAAGACATTTGAAGAAGAACCATTTTCATTACAGTTTTAGAGATCACAACTCGTGTTAGTCATATTCATGACACTCACGATATGACCAAAGAATGAAAACCATAAAAAATATATTTTAAAGAATAGCAATTTATAGAGTGTTTTGCATTTTCTTTGAAAACGTTTTAAGTTCATAATCTTAATATAATCTAAACATCTAAACTTTGTTTCCAAACCATATCTCTTCCGCTCACAAACACACAAAAAATTCTGAATTAAAATATTTACTTGTTTAACATGTTTATTGATGACTGTATAAGTCACCTTATATATATAGACTATCTTAAGGTGAACCCTTTTAAATCAGTGACAATAAATCTTTTAAAAAAACAATAGGTAGACATTCAGTCAATTCTGGAATTATGTATACAGAGCTTTTAGAAATCAAATTTATGAAAAAGAAAATAGAGCTAATATTAAGGAGTGAACTCCATTTTTCCTGGCAAAAGACATGCCAAATGATTTTTGGAGGTATGTTATTTCATTACATTTGTTTGTATGTTCACTTGTATTCCAGTAAGTGTTGCAATAGTGAACTTCACACCTAACCCACAGTGTAAGCTGCAGGGTGGAGTGGTCGCTAAGCAACCTAACCAGGAGAACATTAAGTACCAGACTTTCCTCATTTAAATCTGTTTGAGAGCTAGAGAAGTGAGAGATTTTTATGGGCAGAACTTTTCAAGTTGATTTGGCTAAACTAAGCAGACTGCAATTTGTATGCCTGAAATCTTGTCAGGTTGGCAAAGGCCAAAACAACAGAAGTTGCTTTAAGAAAATACTATTACTGCTGTAAGAAGGATTTTTCGTTAAGGAGTAGACTCAGCTCTTTTCTTAAACCCAAGAACATATTTTTCACATACTTTAGAAATTTCATATTTGCTATATCTTTATTCCTGTCCCACTTGATATTTTGAAAATAATTATTTTTAAGGCAATTTATTTTGCCATTAAACTTAACCCAAATCCATCTTAGACATTACTAAATAGAAAATCTTTACTGTGTTTTGTAGATGTAAGCAGAGAAAATTTCAATTCCTAAAAAGTTCCTGACATTAACTCAAGCTAAGTGGGAGGATGAGGTTGGGAGGAAAGTGTATAGGTATTTTAAGAGCCCACAAAATATTGTATTTTTTTTCTATTATGTCTTCAAAAATAGTTTCTTGTTTAAATAAATGATTTTTTTTTTTTTTTGAGGCAGAGTCCTCACTCTGGAGTGCAGTGGCGTGATCTCGGCTCACTGCCACCTCTGCCTCCTGGGTTCAAGCGATTCTCGTGCACAGCATCCTGAGTAGCTGGAATTACAGACATACCCGGCTAATTTTTGTATTTTTAGTAGAGATGGGGGTTTCGCCATGTTGGCCAGGCTGGTCTCAAACTCCTGACCTCCAGCAATCCACCCGCCTCGGCCTCCCAAAGTGCTGGGATTATAGGCCTGTGCCACCACTCCCGGTCTGAATAAATGATTTTATTAACTATATACACATCCTTATAATTACTATACAAACTAATGTAATTATAATTACAAAACCCAGTTTATAATGGTTTATTTTGAGTTTTATATTAATTGAATCATATCATATATTTATTTATGAGTTATATTTCTTCATTACATAGTAAGTTTGTTAAAAACATCTGTGATTTTATGTGAACTATAGTTTATATATTTTATTATTATGTATTACTTTATTAAAGGAATGAAACCTATATAATTATTTGGGCCACATTAATAAGTAAAACAAATAAATATATTATTTGCCCGTTTTATTAATACAAATTTAAGATGTTTTTAATTTAGTAGTATTAAAAGTAATTTGTTTATATAAAAAATAATTTTGCCACAATATTCCTGTATATGGCTCCTAGAGTACTTGCGATGGTGTTCCACAGGGTATATTCCAAGGAACAGAGGACTAGGTCATAGGGATGCTAAACTTTTAACTTTACTAGATAATAATTGTTTTCCACAGTGTTTTTAGAAATTAACACTGCCACCACGACATATGACGATCCCATTAGTTCTTCCAAATCTTCACCAAATTTGTCAGCATCTTTTTTTTCATTTTTCCAACACAGCAAATCAATGTATATTTTACTATGGCTTTGATTGCCTTCTTCATGACTGGTAATGAGAATGAGTGTCATTTAATATGTTTCTTGTCTGTGACATGCCCCCTGAGAGATTGTATGAATGTTTAAAATCTCCATCCCTTTCTGAGATTGACTTCCAGTGATATTCCTCCCTGTAGGAGAATTATACTGTTCTGTTCTATGGCACTCAGGGGTGGTCAGTTACTTACTGTCACCAATGAAACATGAATGGAAAAGGTGTGTGTCATGTCTGTGCACAATATTTAAGAGCCAGTTTGTGAATTTTATGATTCCTTATCATCTGTCCTGAGATCAGTAATATTTCAGATAGATTTGCTTCAGGAACCTGGTCCCCTAAGTGAGACCACAAAGCAGAGATACAGCCCACCTGTGACAAGCATGCAGTGTGATTGAGAAGCTAATTTTTGCTGTATTCATACACTAATAATTTTTAGTGTTACTGCATCAAACTAGAGTCTGTTTGCCCAGTGCAATAAGGCAAAACATCCATACCACGGTTTTGCAGCAGGAGAAATGAGTGTGTTTATTTGCAGTGTGCCAAGCGAATGGAATCAGGCAGCTCATGTTTAAGACTCGACCTCTCCAATGGCTTACAAGCAAGGGTTTTTAAAGGCAGAAGTAAATTTCAGGGAAAAGGATGTTACAGGCAAAATCTTAAATCAATATATGGAGGTTATACATTGTTTTGGCCTAAAAAGGCAGGATATCTTGAAGCAGGGGCTCATAGGCCAGAGGTGGACTAAAAGATTTCCTGATCTGCAATTGGTTAAGGAAGGAAAGCTTTGTCTAAACACTTGGGGTCAGTCAAAAGGAATATTAGGCCTGGCCTGTGGGTGTGACTTCCTCCAGGATCCTCAGAAATAAATTTAGAATGAAGAATGGCTGCCAGAATTTACTCCTCAGCTGTCCCATGTCTGAAGTCTATGTGCTAGAGGATTCCTTTTCGGTAAGGGATCCAGGTTTCTGAAAAACAACTCAGGGACATGTTAAGATATTATCTTTTGTCTCTGTATGAAACCAAATGTTGCATGACTAACTTCTTTGGCTATTGTTTTAAGCTACTATTACCTGTTGCTTATCAAGTGGTTCATTTACTTCTCAGGGACAGCTCAGTGCTTAAAATTTCTCTTGAAAAAACTGAAGATTTTCCTTTATGTCCATGTTTTGGGGGAGCCAACAGGCCCCTAAGGGTGGTTTCTGCTTCAGAGTTCTTAAACTATATTCTGAGCACTAGTTTTTTTGTGAGATTAAAGTGTTGAAAGTATTATTCCCCATGCTATGATTCGTTTTCTGTTTTTTCGGTGGTATAGTTTGATGAAAAAAGAATCTTAAATAGAGCTTATGTGAATCTATCAACCTTTGCCCTTTTGGTAAACTCTGTTTAAGAAATCCTTTCTCTCTCCTGAGAACATTATATTCCACAACAATCTAAGTTTTCCTTTAACATTTCAGGAGAACTCCTCTGTGAGCATATCAGGTCTTGGGGTCTGTTGCTTGTTTGTTTTGAGAAATGTTTAACTATTAATTTTTAATTATAGATCTTGCTATAGTGTTTCTAGAAATTTATCTGTAGCAGGACGAGCTGCAGACAAAACCCCTCAGACATCAAGTTAAAGAAGGAAGGGCTTTATTCGTCTGGGAGCATCGGCAAGACTCACATCTCAAAAACCGAGCTCCCCGAGTGAGCAATTCCTGTCCCTCTTAAGGGCTTACAACTCTAAGGGGGTCCGCATGAGAGGATCGTGATCGACTGAGCAAGCAGAGGGTATGTGACTGGGGGCTGCATGCACCGGTAATTAGAACAGAACAGAATAGAACAGGACAGGGATTTCCACAGTGCTTTTCTATACGATGTCTGTAATCTATAGATAGCATAACCGATTAGGTCAGGGGTCGATCTTTAACTACCAGGCCCAGGGCATGGCACCAGACTGTCTGCCTGTGGATTTCATTTCTGCCTTTTAGTTTTTACTTCTTTTTTGGAGGCAGAAACTGGGCATAAGACAATATGAGGGGTGGTCTCCTCCCTTATTCCCCCCACCCTTTGAGAACTTCACTCATTAGTGGGAGTTCTCACTTTCATTCTCACTACCCATGTCTTCTTGCAAGACAGATCAATAGTGATTTATACATTACACGTGTACTGAAGCATTTTGGTCAACTAAGGTAGCGATGAAGTTTTTATCATTTGAAGAAGTACAGGTAGCAAACAAGGGAGCAGTAAACAGATTCCTATTACTATTATAACTCCTATTAAGAGTTTTAAATCCTCCTAGTGCTGGGAACCATTTTCCAAACATGGCCCCAGGATCAAATCCATGCCACACTTGCACAGGCACATGTGCCAGTTTTGTCATATCTCTATGTCTTCAACTATTTGCCCTTGATTATCTATGTGTAGACAGCAATTAGTAAGGTTACATTTCCCACAGACCCCACCTTCAGCTGCTAGCAAGTAGTCGAGAGCCAATCTATTTTGATAGACAGTATTTCTCATCTGAGTTTCTTTCCAGGCCAGAATAGTCAAGGCTCTGCCAGTTTTATTAGTGATTAGTTCTAAGACAGCTTGTAACCGTATGATTTGGTTGATCATGTAAATGGGGGTCTGGTATCCCCACAAGCTGTCTTGTTCCCAAGTAGCAGGCCCATAATATTGTATGATTCTCTCAGGGGGCCATTCATCATCTTTCCAATTTCCTATAGCTATGCTTCCCTTTTTGCAGGAAGCATAGACAGTGAAGCCCAGGAGTTCACCTGTTCTTATGGGCAGTAAGAAGAAAGATGGCTTAATAGTGCCAATAACACAACTACCTGCCCACTGGTCGGGTAATTTGGTGTAAGCTCTATGTCCACATATACAATATAATCCAGTGGGGGCTGTCCAGTCCCGGTGGGACTCCGGGTGGGTCCACATTGTTTGCAACTTTGGGAATTTACTAAATGCATTCCTCTGTGTGTGATTTGAACTCCACCAAGTGACTGTTTTTGTGGTACCATTATACAGTTTCTGTCCCAGACAACTAAGTTGTCCCACGGGGTGAGTGAATTATTTTCCTTCTCTAGCTATGTAATATTGTCCAATAATTGAGGTTTTTAGGACCCAGAAATTATCAGGGTGATTCTTTTGAGCAGGGAATTTGTCAGGAACTGGGTCTGTAGGTACTAATTCTCGGGCTTCCCATGGCCATTGATCTCCCTTTACAGTTCCTCCACAAACATAACATGAAGTGACATTGAGAGACTGGGCTACATGCTCGGCTAATTGCAAAAACAAATTTCTAGTTTTTCCTGGAATTTCTGGTACTGGCACATTTAGTTCATCATAGAAAGTTTGAAACACTGGCTCAGGAGAGCGTTTGTAAACTTCTCCTCAAACTAAGATATTTACTCGAGGATCCAGTCCAGCCCCATCGATTCTTAAGGTCACACGCTCCCCTTTTTTTCCAGTGAGCATCAAGGGGATTGGTTATCATTAGCTCTGAGGGGTTACATTGTCTCTTAATACAGGAAGGGCCATTTTTTCCTTTCTGAAGGTGGACTGGATCCTTTTCATTTTTTTTCCAAGTGGCCCAAATGACACAAGACCAGTATCCACATTCACTTCCACACAGTCCTAATTCATGACAAATGTACTTATTTTCAGTCATATAAACTTTTTCCCAATTAAAAGAGCCACATCTCTTTCCTAACTTATTGCTATTAATGACAGCACACGCATTAAATTTCAAGATTATGCGTTTGGGCACCTCATTTTCTTCTGTTCTGGCTAATACTTTACTTGTATCATTTATGAGTCCCCACCAGTCTTCAGTCCTTAATCTTATTTCAAACACTGTGGACATGGGAGGCTCAGAGGGATTATAACACATATCTGACTGGTCGTTTCCTGGGCTACATACCTTGTACTGAGTGTCATTATATAAACATGTTCCTTTTAAACTTCCTAGGCATTCTATAACTATAGAACAGAAAGATCGTTTTAACTTGTTGCCCTACCGTGGTAACCTGATGTATACACTGAGAACAGTCCTTCACGTGGGGAAAATCAGTGGAAGTTTTTACTATACAAGTCCAAATTTTAAGGAAAATGAGTCCCACAATGATCCTCCTCATGCTTCGGCCATGCGTGGACCAGTCAGCTTAGAGGTGTGACTGGAGCAGGGCTTGTCGTCTCCTCAGAGTCACTTTGCAGGGGTTGTCCAGGCTTGGTTTTGCCTCCCAGGTTTCAGCGGCTGCAGGTTTCACACGGCTGTGGTGGATCCAGGCTGGGATTCCTTCTACCTTTACAGCCATGAGGGTGGTCAGGATGACGGTCTGAGGTCTTTCCCACCATGGCTGTAAAGGAGCTACGTTCCAGTCCTTGATCCACACGCAATCACCTGGAGAGAAAGGGTGAACTGGGGAGAATAAGCTGATGGGACACCTCTCATTTACCCAAGTTGAGATTATCTGTGTAATTTTTCCTAAAGCCTATAGCTGTTGCTGTAATTCAATTTCACCTAACTCTCGGGGAGTGCCTGGAAGCCCCCGTATTATAGGAGGAGGCCTATGATATAGTATTTCTTAAGGGGAGGATCCTGTTTTCTTAGAAGGAGTGCATCTAATTTTAAACAATACCATAAGAAGGGCCTGTATCTACTTTAATCCTGTTTCCTGACATACTTTCCCTAAACTATTTTTGGTAGTCTGATTCATTCACTCCACCTTTCCAGAACTCTGAGGTCGGTAGGCGGCATGGAGCTTCCAAGTGATTCCTAATGCCTTTGCTGTCTTCTGTACCAAGTCAGCCACAAACACCGGCCCGTTATCTGAGCCGATTCATAAGGGCAGTCCAAACCTAGGAATAAGATCTCAGAGAAGCACATGCGTTACCTCGTAGGCCTTTTCAGTTCATGTTTGATAAGCCTCCATCCACCCAGAGTAAGTACATACAAGAACCAGCAAATACTTGTTACCTCCACATTTTGGCATCTCTGTGAAATCTACCTGAAGATCCTCAAAAGGAGCTGCTCCATAAGCTCGTATGCCGGGCAGAACAGAGGTGCCTTGCCTAGCATTGTGCTGTTGGCAAGTAACACACCGTTGTGCTACTGCTTTGGCAAGGACTGAGAAGTGTGAGATGTAGAAGTCCTAGCCTGATGAATTTTCAAGTGACTCGACCTAGATGAGTGGTTTTGTGCACGGCCAATATGATTGTGGCTCCCAGCAACTGCAGCACAGCTACCCTTCCATCTGGCAGTCTGATCCATCCTCCTTTTATTACTTGCCCCCCTTCTGCATGGAAAAAGTCTTTTTCTTCCTTAGAATAGGTAGGTACCAGGTCAGGTGTTTGAGGGAGTAAGGGCACTGCTACCGATGCCCGGTAAGGGGTAGATGCTGCTTTTTGAGTTTCTGAATCAGCTCGAGAGTTTCCTAAGGCCACTGAGGTGGAGGCTTGCTGGTATCCCCTGCAGTGCATGACTGTTACCTTCTGAGGTTTCCACACTGCCTCTAATAATTGTAGAATTTCTTGTTGATATTTTATGTCCTTTCCCCCAGAGTTTAACAGGCCCTTTTCCTTATATAATGCTCCATGCACTTGGAGGGTTAGAAAGGCACATCGAGTGTCCGTGTAGATGTTTACAGTCTTACCTTCACTGAATTCTAAAGCCCGAGTTAAAGCAATGAGCTCAGCCTTCTGGGCTGAAGTGCCCTGTGGAAACAGTTTGGCTTCAATGATAGCATCCAAAGTTACCACAGCATATCCTGCACATCTTTCTCCTTGTGGGTTGATGAAGCTGCTCCCGTCCACATATAACTCCCAGTCTGCTGATTCCCATGGCTGGTCCCGAATGTCAGGTCTGCTAGAGTAAACTGAGTCCAACACCTCTACACAGTTATGCTCAACCAGGCTCTCTGATACTGGGAGTAGGGTGGCGGGATTTAGGGTGTTACAGATTTCAATGGTTATGCAGGGATTTTCACATAGCAAGCTTTGGTACTTGATTAATCTAGCATTTGTTAGCCAATGATGTCCTTTGGTATTCATCAAGGTTACCACAGTCAGGTTTTGCCCAAGGGTTAGTTTATCTGCTTCTTGTGCTAATAGGGCCATTGCTGCCAGGGCCCTTAGACACGAGGCCAGCATTTGGAAACCCCGTCTAGTTGTGTTGAGAGCTAGGCCACTGGCCTTGGCCAGTGCCCCGCAGTCTGGGTTAAAACTCCAACTGCCATTTTTTCTCTTTCTGACACACACAGTGTAAAGGGCATTGTCAAATCTGGTAGTCCTAGGGCTGGGCCGACATAAGTTTTTCCTTTAACTTACAAAAGGCTTGCTGTTGTAGAGGCCCCCATTCAAAAAGCTCCCAGTAGTCCCCCTTTATACAAAGGTTTGGCTAGTACTGCAAAGTTTGGAATCCATAATCTGCAAAACCCCACAGCTCCTAGGAATTCCTTTACTTGCCTTCTGGTTTTAGGTTCTGGTAGGCTGGAGATGACCTGCTTTCTTTCTGACCCCAGGCCGCGCTCCCCTTTCCAAATAGTGAATCCCAGGTAGCGTACCTATTGTCTGCAGATCTGAGCTTTCTTCTTGGACACTTTATACCCACAATCCTCAAGGTGCAGAAGCAGGGCATCTGTCCCTCTTGCATACCCTACTGCCATGGAGTATCCCAGCAGAAGGTCGTCCACATACAGGAGCAAGATGCAGCCTAGGTCTTTAGCAGGAAACTTTTGCAGGTCTTGAGCCAGGGCCTCCCTGAAGATAATAGGGGAGTTCTTGAACCGTTGGAGAAGCCGGGTCCAAGTGTACAGAGTAGTGACACCTGACTATGGGTCTTCCCACTGATAGGCAAACAGCTTCTGGCTCTCAGGAGCTAGTCTGATGCTAAAGAAGGCATCTTTTAAGTCCAGACAGGTAAACCAGCTGTCCTTAGCTGGCAGCAGCCGTAACAATGTGTAAGGGTTAGGAACTGTTGGGTGCAGAGTCACTGTAGCTTGGTTGACCAAACACAAGTCCTATACTGGCCGGTGGTCCTTGGTCTCTGGCTTGGGGGAAGGCAGGAAAGGGGTGATCCATGGAGACTGGCAAGGAACTATAATTCCATAGGCTTTCAAGCACCTGAGATGAACCTGGATTCCTTCAAGAGCTTCTCTGGGAACCGGATACTGCTTTTGTCTAATTGGTTGGGCCCCAGGCTTAACTTCTATGAGTACAGGGTCTTGGTTGACCACCAGTCCCAGAGGATTATCCTCCGCCCATACTTGGGGCCACTACTTAGCTAGAGCTGGTTTTATCGCTTGGCCTGGCTCGGTTAGAAAAAGTCTCCATTCTTCTTCCTGGGGGACCGTAAGGGCCATGATAACTTCTGTTCCTGGTAACTTTAGCTGTAAAGAGCCCTGTTTTGTAAAGGAGATGGTGGCTCTCAGCTTGCTAAGCAAGTCTCTTCCCAGCAAGGCCAAGGGACAGTCAAGCATGTACAAGAACTGGTTAACTATTTCATGTCCCCCCACCGATCAGGTCCCTGATAGACAGAAAGCCTGCTTAATGGAAACTCCCATTGCTCTGATTATATCAATGGTTTTCTTGGATAAGGGGGTGACCAGTGTGGTCACTACTGAATGTTCAGCACCAATATCGACCAAAAACTTAATGTCCTTGCCCCCAATTGTAATCCTGAACATGAGTTCCTTGGGGGCACTTGAGCCCAGTCCCCTTCAGTCTAATAGCCCTTTAGCCAGATTGAACAGAGCTCCCTCGTCTTTACCTGAGGTCTTTTGTTCTGAATAACCTTGCTTTTCCTTCAGATGGGGACACTTATCTTTCCAATGTCCTATTTCCTTACAATAGGCACATTGGTTACGTTGCAAGCGTGGGCGATTAGACTAGGTATTCTTCCCAGAACCCCCCTTTCCCTCTCCTTTTGGGGGAATTCCCCTAATGGCCACGGCCAGTAAGTCGGTGTTTCACCTGGCCTGGCTTTTACCTTCCTTATGGCTTTCTCTGTGGCTTGCTGCATCTCTATTCACAAACACTTGCTTGGCTATTTCCAGTAACTGCGAGGTATTCATACCCGCAAACCCAGCCTGTTTCTGCAATTTTCTCCTGATATCTTCCGCGCTTTGACTGACTAAGACCATGTTAATCATGCGCTCATTTTCAGGGCTATCTGGATCAAAAGGAGTGTACATACGGTAAGCCTCACACAGTCTTTCATAGAATAGCACTGGACCCTCCTCTTTTCCTTGGATGACCTCAGAAACCGTATTTACATATGTAGCCTTTTGAGCCCCTTTCTTTAGACCTTCTATTAATGCCTCACGGTACCGTCTTAGCCTCTCCATGTCTGGTCCCTCGTTCGGGTCCCATTGGGGGTCTGTTCCAGGCAGCTGAATTCTTATATATTCTCGCGGGTTTTGGCAATCGGCTGGGACGTGCTCCTCTAACCACTTAGTTGCCACCTGGAGCACCCTTTGCCTTTCATCTGTTTTAAAGAGGTACATGAGCAGCTGGTGGCAATCAGCCCAAGTAGGATTATGAGTCTGTATAATAGTTTGGAGCACGTCAATTAAAGCTTGAGGCTTTTTGGTGTAAGATGGAGTATTAGTTTTCCAATTGAGGAGGTCAGCAGAGGTGAAAGGTTGGTACACAAAGGCACGCCTTTCCACCATGTGTCCCTCCTCATCTACCCCAGTATATTGTTGTTCTCTCAGGGGCATTTGGATTCCAGTCTTGGGCCATAAGTGAGCTGCCAAGGGAGGAGTTTCTACTATGGCTTCACTTCCTCTTTTGTCTACTCTGGGTGGTCTAGGAGTGTGGATATCTGGTGGAGGTGGAGTTGTAGGTGCTGTGGGCTTAGGAATGGGGAGCCCTTCCTCTCACTAAGGAGGGGGCACTGCTGGTACCAATTCCTGCCATGATTCTTCTAGTGTTGGGTCAGACAGGACTTTTGGTGCCAACTTCCCTTGGTGGGTGGAGCAAGACCTTTCCTTAACTAACTGTCCCTTTGCCACTAGTACTGCTGCTGCCTGTCCTCTTAACCAATGTAGGGGATCTAAAACTAGCTGTAACCAAGAAGCTATATATGGGAACTGATCTGGGTGCCCTGGCTTACAGGTTACCCTGTGCCATACCTTTGAGACAAGGGACCCATCCAGGCTTCCTTCTGATAGCCAACCCACCTCTAATGCTGGCCAGTCTATCTCACACAAAGTTCTAAGTTTTCCTGGAGTCATAGTAACTCCATAGTCTCCCTTAAATCCCCTTTTGAAATTTTTTCAACATAGTTCCTAGTGGGGTGGGCTTACTTTGTGCCTGACCCATGTTTCCTTGAGAAAAAAACACCACGCTCACACCACATGCACACCACAAAACAAAGAACAGGTAAAGAGGGCACACACACACTTTTATAGTTTACACCAAACCAGAATCAAAACCAAAATCAGAGTATCAAGAAATCCAAGCCAGATCAAAAGCAAAACCAAAGTATCAAGCAATCCAAGTCAAGTCAAAAACAAAAACCACGTGCCGGTACAGGCACGTCATGGGTGATCAGGCCAAACTTCCACTCAAATGGAGTGGACAAGTTCTCCATGGGGGCCTGCCATGTGCTGCTCTAGCAAGGCATTCCACTGGGGCAATTGCCTACCTGGGAGAACTCTTAGGATCCGTGTCGCTCAAGCTGGCCAGAGTCCCCCGCAGGGATGCTCCACAGGGCAGGCCTAAGCCACCTAAGGGGCTGCCTCGACCTTCGATTAATCACCTCACTTCCCAGTCAGGGAACCAAGAAATGTAGCAGGATGAGCCGCAGACAAAATCCCTCAGACACTGAGTTAAAGAAGGAAGGGCTTTATTCGTCTGGGAGCATTGGCAAGACTCACGTCTCAAAAACCAAGCTCCCCAAGTGAGCAATTCCTGTCCCTCTTAAAGGTTTACAACTCTAAGGGAGTCCACATGAGAGGGTCGTGATCAATTGAGCAAGCAGGGGGTATGTGACTGGGGGCTGCCTGCACGGGTAATTAGAATGGAACAGAACAGGACAGGAATTTTCACAGTGCTTTTCTATACAATGTCTGTAATCTATAGATAACACAACTGATTAGGTCAGGGGTCGATCTTTAACTACCAGACCCAGGGCGTGGCGCCGGGCTGTCTGCCTGTGGATTTCATTTCTGCCTTTTAGTTTTTACTTCTTCTTTCTTTGGAGGCAGAAATTGGGCATAAGACAATATGAGGGGTGGTCTCCTCCCTTATTCTGACATTTTTCAATTTATAGGCATAAAATTATTTTATATCATTCAGCATTTTTACATATTAAATATCTATAGTTTGTTAAATGTATTTGTGTCTTCTATATTTTTATATCAGTTTTACTATGTGTATCATTCTTATTAGATGTCTGCATAATCAAATGTCTCTTTGTTAATAAGTCTTTGCATACTTTTTAATTTCTGCTTTTATGTTTACCATCTTCATTTTAAATTTAATGGTCATTGATGTTCTTTTTCTTATAGCTTAAAATGAATTCTAAGCTATTAATTGTCAATTTTATTCCTTCTCCATTTAAGTAGTTATATCTCTACTTACAAGTTTTATGTATAATATTTTCAGTATAATTCAGTTCAAAATAATACTTATTTCAATTTTGAGGGTTTTTTCTAACACGAGTCATTTCAAGGCAAATTTACTCATTGCTAACACTTTTTATTCTTTTGGCTAGTACTTGATTGTTTTTTAGCACTTGGTAACAAAATTTGAGTTACTTGAAACATTTTACATGGACAATATATGGTCAAATTTGGGAAATATTCAAGGAGCACTTAAGTAAATATTTATTACACATTTGTGTGCAAGGATAATATAGATGAATTGATATATAAATCAATTTCTATTAATTTGCAAGTCTTATTGTTCAAAATATCCATATTTCCTGGCATTTTTTGCATGTTCTGCCAATTATATTGATAATAGTACTGAAAATAGTATATTACAGTTTTCAATACTAAATTGATATGTGTTTATTTATCTTTATATTTCTCTCAATGTTCATTTCATTTATTTCAATGCTATATTATTAGTTTCATTATTAGGTGTAAAATATCTTACTGGCTCTCTCTCTTGATGTTCTGTCTTAAAATATTTTTTTCAAATATTACTACCCTAATCACTTATAAAAGAAAAAATTAATATGGCAGGATGCGTACCAACAATAATAATGAAATAACATTTTCTAAGTTCAAAAGTGTAAAATTGTCAGCCTAGGATTGAATACAGAGCAAAGCAATTATTCATGAATATCAACACAAAACTTTGAGAGTTTACCATCAAAAGACCTTCGCTAAGGAATTATTAAGGTTTTAATTAAAGACTAAGGAAAGCAAACCAAGATAGTAGAAAGTAGGTGAAAAAATTGAAGTGGTAATAATAAAAAACAGCATATACATAGGCAACCTTTACAAATTAACAATCTCTAATTCATAGCATTAAAACACAATTTTTCATTTAAATTCTTATTGTTACACATGTTCCTTTATCTTTACCTCCTACTAGCTTATATATAGTAGTAGCTCAAAACTATCCCCTGAATTTATTGAGAAAGCAGATGGCAATAATATCTTTCTTTCAGTACAATAAGTTTTGTTGTGATGTAATAGTTGCTTAATTTTGTGAGCTCTTCACACACACACAAAACATATACATATACACACACTCCTTATGTTTCTGACGACTAAGCTTTTTCTGACATGCAGCATGTTCTTAATGGCTGTTTGAATAAATGAGTGATTTAACAAATGAATTTTATAACCCATTCAGCATTTCAATACTACACTTCAAACCACTGAATGTTGTTCTGCTTTCTAGTGATATTACTCATGAAGTATAACTGTACACTCTTGGCCCAGAGATTTGCAGTTTACTCCTTCCTAAATGCAATCCTTTATAAGATACCTTCTGTAACAACCCATGCAACATGAAGAAGGCTAAGACACAGCAGTGAAGCTGCCAGCCAGGGAATACAGATTATTCAAATAGAGAAAGGCTGAAGGCATAATATCACACACCACACACATAGTAAGTGAGATGATGCCTGGTAATAACTATCAGAATCTTGTTTTGCTTTTTTTTTTTTTTTTTTTTTAGACAGGGTCTTGCTCTGTCACCCAGGCTGGAGTGCAGTGGCGAGATCTCGGCTCACTGCAAGCTCCGCCTCCCGGGTTCACACCATTGTCCTGCCTCAGCCTCCAGAGTAGCTGGGACTACAGGCGCCCGCCGCCACGCTGGGCTAATGTTTTTGTATTTTTAGTAGAGACGGAGTTTCACCGTGTTAGCCAGGATGGCCTTGATCTCCTGACCTCATGATCCACCCGCCTCGGCCTCCCAAAGTGCTGGGATTACAGGTGTGAGCCACCGTGCCCAGCCAACTATCAGAATCTTTTGGTGTACTTATTGGAAAGATGCAAAAGTCACTCAGCCAAGTACTTGATAAAAATCCCATGCTTCAGGCAATCTTGATATAAGAACAGAAGCAAAGCTTGAAAATATTAATCCTGAACAAAAGGGGATAACCAATCCTGTATGGAATGAGTTTAAGCAAAATATCAGGAAGGCAAAAGAAGTTTATCAGTATCTGGAAGACTCAAGAGTAAGAGAAACCAAACCAAGACAGAAAAGAGAAAGCTCAGAAATTCTAAATATCCTGATACAAGATTTCTTCCAGTATCTAGTGAAATGGTATAAGAAATACATACTGGAAATCCATTGTATATTAATGATTGCTCCTTAAATTAACTCTAGAGAACATGATTTTCACTTACCCATTCATTTATTCTTTCAGTGAAATTACATTTTATGAACCCTTACGAAGTGCTAAGCAGTAAGAAAACAAGGTTTTTAATCTCTCAATGCCTCAGTTTTATCACCATAAAGTAGAGATAATAACATATTTTACTCATTGAGTTGTCTTAAGG
Organism: Homo sapiens; assembly: GCF_000001405.40. NCBI lineage: Eukaryota > Metazoa > Chordata > Mammalia > Primates > Hominidae > Homo > Homo sapiens. Next base: position 67,394,537 of record NC_000013.11, on the reverse strand, counting down.
ATTAAATGAGTTGCTCTATCTATGAGACAGCTCCTAGTACATAGTAAGCACTCAAAAAAATACCAGCCAATATTAATAATATTATTTGCCAAAGAAATAAGTGACAAACTAAGGAATAGCAATGACCATGTAAGAACATTTTTTTCCATAAATCTCTTTTCTGTCTTGCCATGTCAAATGGCAGTTAAAAATGGAAAACTAATGGCTGATAATTATTAACAAAAGGGCAAGGTAAAAGAAAAGCATTTCAGCCCATTCTTCCTATCCGTTTTTCTTTTTTTAATTCTCTTTTCCTGGGACAGTGTCCCCGTGATGGAGGAGTACTGTCAGCCATCTAAGTAGATATCAGCTAAGGATCTCTCTAATTGTGCTCAAAATATTTTCATTTCTGGAGAAATCATGATCAAACACTTCAGGTTTAATTTCACAAATCTGTGAAGAATAAGAGAATATGCTGGAAGAAGACTAGGAATAATAATTCCAAGAGGAAAAGTAAATGCTTCACAAGCAAGAGAGATTCAATCTGGGATCCTGGTCAGCAGATAATTACGTACACCACTCCACAGGCTTAGAAACAGAAGAACAGGGGTAATGCACTTTATGAACAGGTAGGCCTTTGAATTTGTCTTCTTTATAGTTTTTAGTGAGATACGAAATCAAAATAGCACAGGTTTCCCTTGAGCAAGTAAGTGTACATTCTTGCTAATAAAGTGTTAAAGTCAAATGGCCCCTCTTCCAGAAATAAAAAAAGTGGAAAGGAAAAGAAGGTGAAAATAGATATAGCATTTATGATTAATTTGTGTGATTATTGCCAAGATTAATGGTGAATTCAGCTGTAGTGATGAAATTTTTAGCAGTGATAATTTTTGAATCATGAATTTTAATATATTTTTAGAAAAACCTATGTTAGACTATTGTTTAGAACATATATTTTAAAAAGCATATTAAGAGAGGTAGATGGTCATAGTCATGCTCTTTATTTTGGAATGCCTCCTCCACTCATCACTTAGAGAATTTCGTTATATAGCTGCAACAAGTGTTTGATATGTCCCAGGCAAAATAAACAACCGGCCTCGCTTCTTTTGCCTGACATTTGTTCTAGCAGAGCTTTCAGATTCTAGCCTGGAACAAGGTCATGTTGCTGTTTTATATTCTAAGCTGCATTTTTAAAAAGTAAAGAATATTTATAATCTTTCTTAAGTAAATATATACGTAGACATGACCAGCTTACATACACTTACGCTCTTACGTGTACCTACAATGCTTGAAGAGAACTGTGGTCACCTTGTCATCCTGGGGAGAAAGGACTAGTTATCTCCTGTTATGACCACACACCAGCCCTGTGGAAGCCCCACCAAATTATGAGTCAAGGGCAACCTATAGTTATAAACTAGACAAGATGCACATTCCCTAGCCTTCAAGTTACAATGTGAAAGATTTAAGAACTGAAACGAAGTGGAGGCTAGAGTTTGGGGAAGTAAACCAGTTATAATGTAAGAGGTAATAAAGCCTGAATGTTGGTGGCATTTATGAAAATAAGCGAAATGGTTGGGTTCCACAGATTTAAGAAGTTCAAAAATTGATTTACGGACAATAAAGAGACAAAAGGAAATATATTTGCCATATTTTAGTCCCAAATGACTAAGGAGAAACTGGAACACTAAAAAGAGCAATTAGTAGTCTAGGAAAATTACAAGCTGGGATTGGATAAGAATATTTTTATTTTTGCCGATACTTTATCTTGTATGGATTTAATATATTTTTAAAAAGCCAAAATTTCTTTAAATTGAATGGAAATATGGAAAGCAATGAAACTGGAAAAAAGCCCCTTCTGGTTTCAAAACCACATGTGGCTATCAAGTAATAAAAGTGGCCATTTTATAAAACATAAAGTAGCTCGGAAGATTCACAGAAAACATTCTGTAGAAGTTTTAAGCATCAATAATGTTATTGAAGTAAGCGATGCCCTTCCAAAATAACTATTTTAAAGAATTACCATTTGAATATAGAAATTCTAGTGTATACACTAAGAAAAATAAGTTCTGTGCTTTTTGCCAATCTTCACATATATATGTGTTTGTGTGTGTGTGTTTTGCTTTACTGTGTATTTAAATACAGATATTTAATGTGTTAATATGTGTGTGGTATGTATATACACACATACCTTTTTTAAATGAAGGTTATTAAAAGCACTCAAACTTTGATGGCTGTCTTTTTTATGACAGCAGATTACTAAAATTGATGGCAGTGTAATATTAGAGAGAATTCATAGTAACTTAATGAAGCAGGAGTAATAACAAAAAAATTGAATTAAGTATATTTAAAGCTCAAATTTATCTTCCTGAATACTACTCCTATGAGTACATAAATCTTGAGTAAGTCTAGCTTTCAAAAATAATAGTTGGAAATATATATGAAGAAAGAAATATTATTTATATTTGGAGAGCAAGCACTCTAATCTAGAAAAATAGATCATTTTTTAAAATAAAATGTTCTATTAATGAGTTGTGACAAGAGAATTAACCAAAAGTAGATCTGTTCAAACTCAAAAATGATATTCATCCTAAGTGAGAAGCAGTACATAGCATGGAAGGGCCCCCTAGGTTGACCAGCAAAGTGAAAACACAACATTTTTTTTTTCCAAAAACAATCATGGTAATTTCACAGTCACAAAGTGGATGAGGGATAAAAGCAGAGACTTAAGCTCTGCATGCTAGCTACATGGGGAAGAGTAGGTTACCTTGTCTGCCATAATCACAGGTTTTACTCTGTTGCTACCTGATATATTCAAGCATACCTAATGGGGATAAAATAATAGCAGATGACCTCCTGTGGAATTCTGTGCACAGAAAATGGAGGATGAATCAGCCTCAATTGAATAGTGTTTCTCTCTCCCACAGATAAATATTGCATATTAAATCAGTTTCAGTGTACTTGCATTGCCTTCTGTTTAGTTTAATATATGCAGTGTCAAGTTATTTCAAACTGAGTACTGTTTGACTCTATATACACAGTTTGTCTAAGGTAAAAATTGGAAACAGTTAAAACCAAGTATAACAAAATTCTTTTCCCACTCCCACAGTTTTTCAGGGAATAGTGAGAAAAATCTATGAGCTGGAACATCAACTTAACTGGTTTTTCTAATACTATTTAGTGGCATGAAAAACTCACACCTTTCAATGTCTAAAAGAACTAAATAGATTGTTTCTTTCACAGACTTCTGCAAACTAAGACTTTTCTTTAGTCACTGTCAGGCAATTGGAATAAATCAAGTTAGTTTATGCTTTCCAAGGAGACCTTTTTATAAGATTACAATATTCCTGAAAACATTGTCATCTACACATCTTGTTAGAGACATACTTTTGGGGCAGAACTGTTTTCCCTATCTCTGAAGTGTATGTGTGCGCATGTGCGGGTAATATATGCACAGTGTCTTTGATAAGCAGATAAGGAATGCTGGATATAAAATTCTTGAACAGAGGCATAGTAGAAATATAATATTACCTGCTCTGCTGTCTTTTCTCCAGCAGAGCTATGGGCAACATAGCAAGACTCCATCACTACAAAAACAATTTCTTTAATTAGCCAGGCATGGTGGTGTGTGCCTGTAATCCCAGCTATTTGAGGGGCTGAGGTGGGAGGATCACTTGAGCCTGGGAGGTCAAGGCCGTTATGAGCCATGATCACACCACTGCACTCCAGTCTGGACCAATGAAGTGAGACCCTGTCTCAAAAAAACAAACAAACAAACCAGAGTAACAGTTATTTAAAGAAAATAGACAATTATTTATCTCTAATGTAAATCATGGTTAATATGGAGACTCTGACATGAGTCTGTCTATGATGCTAGTGCCTTCTGTTTTGCTGTAAAACATTCCTCTTGGGATGACCTGACATCAGAGTTTAAGATGACTCACCACCATGTGTACACTCTACCCACTGGGGAAGGGGAAAGGGGAAAAGAGAAAAAGCATGTATAACTCGGTCATATTTTTCTTTAAGCACACAACCTTGAAGGTTAACAAATTTTTTTAAGTTACATTTAACATCACACTAGTCAGAAATTAGTCACATGTCCCATCTGGGTTCAAGGATGATGGGAAATATAGTCTTCATTCCAAGCAACTTTGATCCCGGCCAAACTTAATGTTGGATGATTACAGATACTAGAGGATGGTTAGCACTTTGCCATTTTACTGTAAGTTGAATACTGACATTTATAGTAATTAATCTTAGCAGCCTAATAAAAATGCCTATGTCATAGTTCCCTGTTCTCCTCATTCTCTTAAAACATATATACCTGATAAGAAATGATATGATACAGCTGTCTAGAAAATCACTTCTGAAAATATATGTCCTTTGATTAAATCCTGGTTCTACTACTTTCTTGCTATTCTTCTGTATCTCAGTTTCCTCATCTGTTAAATGGAAATGAACTTCATTAGGTTACTATAAATATTTATTATGTTTTTGGATGCACTCACTTGGAAGAGTATTTGGTACATAAGATCTTAATAAAGTTAGCCCAGAGAATTATGCGGCGGCTCTTCCTCTGGAATAATGAATTTCAAAATAGTATATATTAGTTTTTCATATTTTTTTGATGCCTATTTATAGACTTGTATTTTATTTTCTTAAAACCTACATTGTTCAGTGATATCTAACATGAAACTAAATCAAGCCTCTATAAGTTTATTTTTTTAAGATGGAGGCTTTATTACAACTTCTAACAAAAGATGTGTGTGTGTGTATTTTTTAAATTTTATATCTACTTTTATAAGCAATGGCTTCATTAATTGGCTAAATAGTTTTATCAGTTGGCCAATTCTTATTTTTAAAATGCCTAAAAATAATGTTACATTTAAAAACTCTGTGTATTATTAAAAAGCAAAAACAGACTGTTTTAGACAAGTAGAAACTAATAACTATTTAATCTTTCATTCCAAGCATACAGCAATAATAAAGATTTGTGAGTGCCTACCAGAGCAAAACACAGCTTGAAGAATACAGCTGAGAATGTCGAAGGCATTCTGATGAAAAACAGTCAGATAAAATGTAAGAAATTATGTGGAGAATAAATTATAAGCAAGCATTAAACACAACAAAACCATGGCAAGTAGCGGATGTTCTGCATAAGTACAGGGTTAGGCAGTAGTAATAGAGTGTGCAGTTCGTGCTTGAGCATGTGGATGTACTAATATCAAAGGGAAAACACATTACTGCCTCTCATGATGGATCAACAGTGAATGGATTTTATGTCTTAAGACAGAAGACACAGAGGGGAAAAAAACAAACATTGGTAGAGAGCAAAGAGAAGAAGGAAAGGAAAAGAGAACAAAATAGTAAAGGAATCAAGTTTGATATAAAAATTTTGGATCTGAAAGAGGAAAACAGGACTAGCAACAGAAATAAGAGAGAGAGACAGAGAGAAGAGAGCAGAGAGAGACAGAGAGGATGTCAAGAAGAAAAACAAAAACAGAAACTCTCACTCTCAAAATCCAGGCCTGAAAAGAGAGGCTAAGATGCAAGGCAGATCACATACACCAATGACCCGGTCTCTCCAGATCAGCCTTCTACTGTCATTCCAGTAGTGAAGAGGTCTTCTTGAAGTTTCTTCCAGTATGTCTTCACAACCTGAGGCCTATAGCATTTCACAGACTTGACGCCACGCTTCCCTCTTCATATATACATCAGCACTTCAGTGACCACTGCTGCTTAAGAAACCAGTGGACCTAAAATCATAGCACTACACATATATTTCCTTGGCCATAGGCAGGTAGATCTAAATGGAAGCTAGGAATAGTTATTTCAAAGACAATAGTATCTATAGTCTAGAACTACCCTGGTATTTAAAATTTGGAACTGTATCGTCTAGTATGTTAGCCACCAGCCACATTTGGCTATTGAACACTAGCACAAATTGAGATGTGCTGGTAAGTCCAAAACACACAGCAAATTTAGAAGACTTAGTACCAACAATATGTAAAATACTTCATAAACATTTTAAAATTGATATGTTGTGATAATGTTATTTGTTAAGACTTTGTTATATATAATAAAAAATATGTTTTTTTTACCTTTTTCAGTGTGAGTACTAGAAAAACTGAAATTACATATGTGGTTCAAATTGCATTTCTGTCGGACTAAGCTCATCTAGAACTTACCCCACTATATGACAAAACAATTTGGCTTTCTGATAATTCACAAAATAGGCTCCATTCTGAGTGGAGATGATAAGCCTTATAATTATAGAGCATACATAATTTGGTTCATGGCCCCAATCTTCAAGGTCAAATGATTTTCCTGGCCATCTATAACACCTGTGTCTCTCTTTTACCTGAGGCCTTTAGAATATATGCAATCCAATTTTATTAAGCCAATTAAACCAATCACTACTTTGTATACCTCTAAAATCACATTTATATATTCTTTCTTAGTACTAATAAAGAAGAATATAAAAGGCAGAAAGAAAATTCTTATTTATGCTATATGCATTGAAAGTCAGGATAAAATAATGTTTTATTCATTGAAAAATTATGGTAGCTGACATATGTATTAAAATGGAGGCTAGAAACTAATGCATCAATTCAACATTAAGTATCTGGGAAGTCAGTACTTGACAGCCATATCACTCAGTAGCAGGAAAGCTATACAGATATAGGTCAAGCCTTGCATTTCATCAATTATAAGTTGCATAGTTTTTTCCACATTTTAACATTTTTAAAGTGAAGATGCATCTATGATTGATGAAATCTTATAATTTCTGTCCACCAAATAGCATTAAACAACAAAGATAGTACTTTGTTGAGGATTTTTGCATCTATGTTCATCAAGGCTATTGGCCTGAAGTTGCCTTTTTTTGTTGTGCCTCTGCCAGGTTTTGGTATGATGCTGACCTCATAGAATGAGTAGGGGAGGAATCTCTCCTTCTCAATTATTTAGAATAGTTTCAGTAGAAATGGTACCAGCTCTTCTTTATACATCTTGTAGAATTCAGCTGTGAATCCGTCTGGTCCTGGACTTCTTTTGGCTGGTACGTTTTCTATTACCAATTTAATTTCAGAACTTGTTATTGGTCTGTTCAGGAATTTAATTTCTTCCTAGTTCAGTCTTGGGAGATTGCATGTGTCCAGGAATTTATCAGTTTCCTCTAGATTTTCTAGTTTGAATGCATAGAGGTGTTTGTAGTCATCTCTGATAGTTTTTTTATATTTCTGTGGGGTCAGTAGTAACATCTCTTTTATCATTTTTAATTGTGTTTATTTGTATCTTCTGTATTTTTTAATTAGTCTAGCTAGTGGTCTATCTATGTTATTAATTTTCCAAAGAACCAACTCTTGGGTTCATTGATTTTTGTATAGTTTTTCATGTCTCAATTTCATTCATTTCAGCTCCAATTTTGGTTATTGCTTGTCTTCTGCTAAGTTTGAAGTTGGTTTGTTCTTGTTTCCCTAGTTCTTCTAGCTGTGATGTTAGTATGTTAATTTGAGATCTTTCCAACTCTTTGATGTGGGCATTTAGTGCTATAAACTTTCCTCTTAACACTGCCTTAGCTGTATCCAGAGATTCTAGTACTTTTTGTCTTTGTTTTCATTAGTTCTAAAGTATGTCTTGATTTCTTCCTTAATTTCATTATTTACCCAAAAGTCATTCAGGAGCAGGTTATTTAATTGTCATGTAATTGTACAGTTTTGAGTGATCTTCTCAGTATTGATTTATATTTTTATTGCACAGTGGTCCAAGAGTGTGGTTGGTATAATTTGAGAGTTTTTTGAATTTGCCAAGTATTGTTTTATGTCTGATTATATGGTTAATTTTAGAGTATTTGCCATGTAGTGATGAGAAGAATGTTTATTCTATTGCTTGGGAATGGAGAGTTCTGTAGATGTCTATTAGGTACATTTGATCAGGTGTCAAGTTCAGGTCCTGAATATCTTTGTTAATTTTCTGCCTTGATGATCTGTCTACTACTGTCAGTGGGGTGTTGAAGTCTCCCACTATATTGTGTGAGAATTTCTAAGTCTCTTTGTAGGTCTCTAAGCATTTGCTTTATGAATCTTGGTACTACTGTGTTGGGTGTGTGTATGATTAGGGCAGTGAGGTCTTCTTGTTGAATTGAACCCTGTATCATTATATAATGCCCTTCTTTGTATTTTTTTTTTAAATTGTTGGTTTGAAGTCTGTTTGTCTGAAATTAGGACTGCAACAACCTCTGCTCTTATCTGTTTTTCATTTGCTTGACTGATTTATCTCCATTTCCTTATTTTGAGCCTATGGAGTGTAAATTAGTTCAGCCATTGGGAAAAGCAGCACAGTGATTCCTCAAATAACTTAAAACAGGATTACCACTCTACCAATTAATGTCATTATTGAGTATATACCCCCAAAAATATAAATCATTCTACCATAGAGACACATGTACTATTATGTTCATTGCATAACTGTTTACAATAGCAAAGATGTGGAATTAACCTAAATGACCATCAACAGTAGACTTGGATAAAGAAAATGTACATATTCACCATGGAATACTATGCAGCCATAAAAAAGAATGAGATCATGTCCTTTACAGCAACATGGATGGAGCTGGAGGCCATTATCCTAAGGAAACTAACACAGGAACAGAAAACCAAATACTACATGTTCTCACTTATAAGTGGGAGCTAAATAATGGGAACACACATGGACACATAGAGGAGAACAACAGACACTGGGGCCTATTAGAGGATGGAGATTGGGAGGAAGGAGAGGATCAGGAAAAATATCTACAGTACACTATGCTTATTACGTGTGTGATGAAATAATCTGTAAATCAAACTCCCAAGACACACAGTTTACCTATATAACAAATCCACACATGTACCCGTAAACCCACAATAAAAGTTTTAAAAAATTAAAAATAAATACATGACAAATATATCACTGCTTGAACATGAGTAGATGTCACTGTTCTTTGTGACATTATAATACAACTGATAGATCAAGATTTCTATCAACAAACTATTTGAGAACTACCTAAGAAAGGAATATGAGTTGTTTATATTTTAAAAAATCTTACATAGACACACACCAGTAAGACAAATGGAGTATGAGCAACAAACCTTGTAGAATCAGTGTCCATCTCATAGAAGAAAGTTTTGGAGACACAGCAGAGCAATATTTGAAGAAAATTATGTATCTTTAACTCTGTTGGTAGTTCAATAGAGAATATATTTTGGAAAAAAAACATAGACATTAGTAAAACCGAGAGGAACAGTGATTCAATCTCTTCATATAAAAAACTTTAAAAATACCTAAACTAATTTATTTCACTTATGTTTTTCATTCAGTTATTCACTATGGTGATGTATGCTTAAAAATAATCTCTCTCCATATATATATATATATATGTAAGCCTGACAGAACTCTTTCAAAGTATAAAATTAAAATTTTAAATTTTAGTAATGAATTAAAACAGTTTAATTTGCAGCATTTTCTTTTTTGAATTTGTAAAAAATCATACGTTTGATTTGCACCATCTTAAATGTAATGAACTAGGGAAACAAAACAGTAAAATTTAAAAAGTAGCCCATTCAGTAGGCTACTTTATTCAGTGATAAAATATCCAGGACCTTACTGAGTTCACTAACTTTTACCATTTATGCTTTTAGGTCATTTTATAGCTATCAAGAAAATATTAAATATTATGCCTATACTTTGTCTACTTATTTGATTGTATTTAGATAAAATGTATTGATCCCCCAACATAAGAAATAAGAGTATTAGAGAATTTGTCCTGCCTGTTGTAATTCCTTCCAAATTAGCCTCCAAATTTTTGTTTCTGTTCATTAGTTTGTCTTTCACCTGACTATATATATGTAAAACTCATCCTTGATGTGTTAATTATAGAAAGTATTTATTGAAACTCTATACATGATTCATGTCTCCTAGTGTCTCCTGATTTATGTTGAATATACTGTTCTTTTGCATTATTCAAGTTTATAGTATTCACATGCTTCAATTACAATTCAGTCTTTTTTTTTCTGTATGTTGATTGAACAAACTAAAAAGCAATATACAAGATTCACAATATCATGCTTAAGTTACTACTTTTTACTTCAAGTTCAAATTATATAATTGAACTCATAAAGAAAAAAACAAAATTATATCAGTAAGTATATGTGTCTTGATTGCTTAAAAGTTGCACTACATTTTTTGGCATAGATGGAATAAGGCTTTTTGAACAGCTTTTATTTTAGTTAGAGTTTTAGATTACTTTTTCACCTTATTTATAGAAAATATTTGATTTGTAGTCATCATAAAATTATAAATTTCCTTTAACTGTAATACAGCACACTTTTGGCAATATTGTTTTCAGACCTCTTATTTTCTGCCACCTTTTAACATTCCACATTTAAAAAACTTCTACTCCTGGGTTTGGTTTAATGTTGCTTTAATTCCAGAACTTCCTCCCCTTTTTGTTGTTTGCCTTTTAAAGTTTTTTTTTTTCAATATATGTATATCATCAAGTAATTTTTTCTTTAGGCATAGTCTGTGAAAGGTAGATTTTCTGAGTTTTTGTGTGTGTGTGCCTGAAATTGTCTTTATTTTTTTTTACCTTAAATCTAATTTGGTTTTTCCAAAGAGTATGACTGGTTTACTTAATACTCTTTCCCAGCTCCAGGTTTCCTTGTCAGCCTCTAATATAAAGCCTTAGGAGAGTGAAATTCGGTCTCAGTCCTCAATTCTCAGCTTCCTGACAGCTATGAATGGCTAAGAAACACAATCGCATCTGGTGAACCTAAGTGAAATTCTGCTAACAGAAGGACATATCAAGAAAAAAAATGTCTCCTAAAGACATGCAAATTAAAAAAAAAAACTCGGCTGATGTCATGTAAGCTGCCCTATGCAACCCCCTTAATCTCTTGTACATTAATTGTGAAACTGTCTGGAGCAGTTAAAGCCATCATGTGACCATGAGGCAACAAGAATGAGGACAGAAGCCAATACAAATAGAGCAAAGACTGAAACAAACAAACAGAAAACAGGTGGAAGCTGTGGCTCACGCCTGTAATCACAGCACTTCGGGAGGCTGAGGTGGGCAGAACCCGAGGTCAGGAGTTTGAGACCAGCCTGACCAACATGGTGAAATCTAAAATTTAGTCTCTACTGAAAATACAAAAATTAGCTGGGCATGGTGGTGCACGCCTGTAATCACAGCTACTCAGGTGGCTGAGGCAGGAGAATCGCTTGAACCTGGGAGACAGAGGTTGCAGTGAGCTGAGATCATGCCACTACACTCCAGCCTGGGCGACAGAGAGAGACTCCATCTCAAAAAAAAAAGAAAAAAGAAAAAAGAAAGGAATTAAACAGTGAGCCTGCATCTCTTTTAACATTATTCAGATGCTAAACTTCTATTTGCAAGTGGCTAAGCAGCAAATGTGCTGTCTAACTCTGACATAGCTGCTAGAGATTGGCTTGCCACACTCTCATGGATTTGGTCAGTAAAATGACAATGAGCCCAAATGGGTTTGGGCAGTTTGTAACTTACACAGATAACATAAGCAAGATCAGTGTCATGTTGGCTTCCTACATCCCACAGGATGTCTCTGAACCAGAGGGGCCAGATGGCAGAGGAGACCAAGAAGTTAGTAAGGGAGGTTTTCAGCTAAATGATGGATATGGTGGAATGTTCCATATCTGAATAGAAACAGGAAGGTATACGTAAAACATCTGTGTACAGCTCCTGGGAAGACTGCTCAGATCGCCATATTCCAGGAAGCAACACACAGTGTTCTGCCAAGAGATGGGGAAGCCTGTGGCTTAGCTGTGCCCATATGGCAGATGTGAAGACATGCATGATGGCTAAGGAGGCGCCATTTTCCAACAGGTATATGCTATGTGATAATAATAAAACTTTGTACATGTAAGCTTATCTTAGCCTGGTTACCTTTTATTTATTGCTAAACTCTCCCTGTGATTTTCATGAGTATAACATTTTAGATTCAAAAACATGATCCCTCTCAACTGTGAAGCTACTGCTCAATTGTCTTCCTAAATTCTTTCTGACTAAAGCTTCCTGATGACAATTTAACTCTCTTTCCATTTAGATGATGTGTGTTTTCTTTAAGAAAGATTTTAAGATCTTTCTCTGTGGATGGTCCTCTGAAATCCTTTTATGTTGTTGAATTTTTTCATTCAAACTGATTGGCACTGAATTGCCCTTTCAATTCAAACAACTCTATTTTAATTTTGCTTTTGAAAAGTTCTTCATGAATTTCTTTAATAATTTCCTTGCTTAATTCTTTCCGAAAATTTTATTGAATTCTTTAAAGTCATCGTAAAAACAATTAACTGTATCTCTTAATTTTCTCTCAACTTTTTCATCTAATTTTTTTCTTATATTCTGGAATATATACATGGGTCTGTCTTGCAAATAGCTAATTCAATCATCATATTCTTTTTTTTTTTTTTTTTTGAGACAGCGTCTCACTCTGTCACCCAGGCTGGAGTGCAATGTCGTGATCTCCGCTCACTGCAATCTCCCCCTCCTGGGTTCAAGCAATTTTCCTGCCTCAGCCTCCCGAGTAGCTGGGACTACAGGCACCTGCCACCACGCCCAGCTAATTTTTATATTTTTAATAGAGACGGGGTTTCACCATGTTGGCCAGGACAGTCTCGATCTCTTGACATCGTGATCCGCCCGCCTCGGCCTCCCAAAGAGATGGGATTACAGGCGTGAGCCACCGCGCCCGGCCCAATCATCATATTCTTAATTGATTTTAAGTTTTAATTTTAGCAATCATAATTTTAATTTACTCATATTACTCCTGTTCAATTCTTGATTTTTGAATATATTTAAGAATATCTCTAAGATCAGTAACTATAATTTTAAAATATGTATTTCTTTGAGTAAATGTTCTGTTTACTCACCTTAGGCTTTTTCTTTTTTGCTATTAGCTGTCTTCAAATGTCTTATAACTCATTGTTTATTTTTGAAATTTAGGTATAATCTTAGTTGTGTGAACCCAAATATCTTAGACAGGTCTCAGTTAATTTAGAAAGTTTGTTTTGCCAAGGTTGAGGACACGTGCCCATGATACAGCCTCAGGAAGTCCTGAGACCTGTGCCCAGGGTCGTCGGGGCACAGCTTGGTTTTATACATTTTAGAGAGTCATGAGACATCAATCAATATATGTAAGATGTGCATTGGCTCTGTCCATGAAGGCGGGACAACTTGAAACGGAGGGGGCCTCCAGGTCACAGGTAAGTGAGAGATAAACAGTAGCATTCTTTTGATTTTCTGATTAGCCTTTCCAAAGGAGGCAATTAGATACTTATTTATCTCAGCGAGCAGAGGAATGACTTTGAATAAATGGGAGACGGGTTTGCTCTAAGCAGTTCTCGGCTTGACTTTTCCCTTTAGCTTAATGATTTGGGGGCCTCAAGATTTACTTTCCTTTCACTTTCGCAATGCATTATTTTGTTGAATTTTCATTGTACTTTCTGGATGAATATGTACTAAACTGTAGGTTCAGTGCAAATGGAGAGAGCTTATTAACAGATAGGCTTCCTTTTGGGATTGTGAATTGGAAATAAGTAAACATGCTTTTGATCCACATAATTATTTCCTAAGTAATGATACTGTTTCTCCTGGTAGAGTATTTTAATAGTTTGTATGCCTTATAAAGTTATATACATCTATATTCTTTTGGATATTGGAAGTGTAGAGTCACCCAAGCTATGTTCTGCCTTTCTCTTCTCCAACATTAAAGATACAGACTTTTCCACTCTTTTCAGAAAGTTCTAGTCTATGTAACCTCCTGTATTCTAGTAAAAACTGGCTTACATAGCAGGTTTTTTTTTTTAAGAATACGGTAATATATATGTTTTAATATCTTTTTGAATCTTTTAATGTGACTTAGTGAAATGGAAGAGTTCCCTAATTCCCCTTGCACGTATGCCTGTTCTGTCACCCCGCTGCTCAAACCTCTTGCAGGAGGGGAAGCATGCAGATGGGCAGGTGCAGAGGCTGGGGCAAGCGCTCTGGCCTCCAGCCCCGTGGTAGTGTCTAGGGGTGGGTGCCTGCAACCCCAGTGTTACCAAGGTTTTTTTTTTTTTTGAGTTTTTTTTTTTTTTTTTTTTTGTGAGAAGGTGTCTCACTCTGTCACCCAGGCTGGAGTGCAGTGGCGTGATCTCGGCCCACTGCAACTTCTGCCTCCCTGGTTCAAGCAATTCTCCTGTGCCAGCCTCCCGAGTAGCTGGGATTGCACACCACCATGCCCAGCTAATTTCTGTATTTTTAGTAGAGACGGGGTTTCACCATGTTGGCCAGGCTGGTCTCGAACTCCTGACCTTGTGATCCACCCGCCTTGGCCTCCCAAAGTCCTGGGATTGCAGGAGTGAGCCACAATGCTCTTTCAGCTTTGCCGTCTGCAGATGGCTTGAGTGTTAATCAGCTCAATGAACTCTCTGCCTTTTCACAAGGGCAGAGGGCCAAGGTGATAGCTTTCTGTATCTGAGCTCTTGTCCAGTGTCTTGGAAAAATCAGGTCACACATGGACTCCAAGGATGAATGGCAGGTTTTATTGAGTGGTGGAGGTGGCTTTCAGCAGGATGGATGGGGAGGCAGAGGAAGGGGATGAAGTGGAAAGGTGATCCTCCCCTGGATTCTGGCTGCCCAGTGGCTGGACTCCTCTCTGACTGCCCCCAGCTGAACTCATTTTGGCATTCAGATGTTCCTCCTCTTCTCCCTTTCTCTGCCACATCGTTCTGCCATCCTTCTGCTGGTCTGCGGGCTTGCTGGTCTGCTTCTGGAGTCTGGGGTTCGGGATTCATATGGGTGCAGGATAGGGGGTGTGGCAGGCCAAAAGATAACTTTTGGAGCATGAACACAGAAATGCCTGTTTTCGTTTTCGTTTAAGACAGCAGGTATCCAGGCTTGAGGGTGAGGCTTTGCCAGGGAACTGCCCTTTTCTACCCAGTATTTCCGTCTCCTGTCCATATCACTAAGAGGAAGAGAACGCAAAGATTAAGGAAAGGCTAAGTCTGTCACCTTGAAAAGTAATCCTTATTCCCTTTAAAAATAAGAAAACTGAGGCTTAGAATGCATGGAGAATTTAAGTTATTGACTCAAGTCCCTTTTTGCACATTAGTACTCTATATTGTTCCTTTCATATAGGCATATATATTAAATGAATAGACATACACATTTAATGCTTAAAATAAGTAATAGTGTTTAGTTAAGTAACCATTAAATTAAGTAAACAGTAATAAAAGTAAAATCTGTGATGTTATATACAAGCAATCACATAATTAACGGCATTTGAGTAGCTTTTCCAAAAATACTAGGAAGACGGTATATGTGTATTTGTTTATATGCTGTTGAGGCAGTAATAAAACAAGCCTACAAGCTAAGGAATTTTATTTGCAGAAAATGAGGGATTTATAAAATGTGTCTATTATCTTATCATAATACTTGGCTGGCAACAACATAAATTGTATACTGTTAAATCCAATAATTAAACTTTAAGAATTGAATTTACGGATACATTTTCTTGTGAATAAAGATATATAAACAAAAATATTTCCTGTCAAAACATTTATAATAGCAAATTACTGTAAAAGACCTAAATGTCCATCATTACAAATCAGTTTAAATAAAGTATATTATCCAGTCTGGGTAACATTTTTATTTTATTCGACCAAAAGAGAAAAAAAATAATTAGCCAGTCATGGTGGCCTGTGCCTGTAGACTTAGCCACTCAGAAGGCTGAAGCAGGAGGATCCCCTGAGCCTGGGAGATTGAGGCTGCAGTGAGCTGTGATTACACACTGTGCTCTAGCCTGGGCAACAGGGTGAGACCTTGTCTCTCTCAATAATAATAATAAAGTATGCTATATTAATGTACTGGCATATTATGCAGTAATTCAGAATAATAGAATTATGTGTGCTTATATGGAAAGATCTTCAAGATACACATCGAGTGAAGAAAAAGCAAGGCCCACAACTGAGCATACCGTTACTTAATTTCTATAAGATATTTTAGGTACATATGCATATATGTTCAGAGACAATATTTTGAAAAGTAACTCTTAATAGTAGTTCTCTCTGGGAACAGAAGTAGGAGACCGATCATAATCTAAGGTCTAGTTCTCAGAGAGATCAAAGGCTAAGGTGCAGTGATATTCACAAAACAAAAACAGATAGTACCATTGCTATCTTTATAAAAAGATATAAAAAGATATAAAAAAATTATAAAAACAAAATACTGAGTACTTTCTATGTGAAAATTCTTATTGAAAGCTATATATATACACATATAATTTACTTTACTTCTAATTTGGATATACAGGTATTATTATCCCCTTTTACAGATGAGGTAAATGAAAATGAAAGAGATTGAGTTGTTTGCAAAAGATGATGCAATTGCAGTTGTTTTGTTTTGGTTTCCTGTGTAGCACTTAATACCATGCTAAACTAGTAGAGAGGGCTTTGGTGAGTGAGGATAAACAGAGATTCGATCCAACTATGGAATAAAATATTCTAATGTGTTGCATGGAAAAGCAATAATGCAAGCAATAATCTCTAATGTTGCTTGGGAAATATACCAAAATATTGTTTGATGTTCATCTAAAATACAAATTGTAGTAAACAATTTTCTATTATTATCTGAAATTCAAATTAAATAGATGGTTGATTGGTTGGTTCATTCCAAGTATAGGTATATATATATACCTGTATATATGTATACCTAAACCTGGTTGGAATGAAAGATGAACAGAATTACACGCACATATATATATGTGTGCGTGATCACGTGTTTCTGTGTGTGGGAGTGGGGGAGGGCATGCCCAAACATGAACATACATGTGCACACATTTGTATGCAAGCACATGCATGCTTTAGGTTGGGTAAACATTAATTCTACATATAATTAAACTGTATACACATATACACAGTACATATGGTCAAGCCTTATCAACCCTGCATTAGGGTTTTAAAGAAAGAAATTTTTATACAAAATTGTGTTACCTTAAACCACGGCATTCCTTCCTCTTCTAAACAACATTTAAAAACGAGGATATATGAAACATCTTCAGAAGAATGACCCTTTGTTTTGCAGTGAAAGAAAATCTTCAGGGTTACCAACCTTGTGCAAAATATCACAGGGTTTGTGAAATAAGAAAGTCAATATGTATTAGAAAAAGAGAAGAGACCCGTGTATAGAGTGAACAGGAAACCAGCGATGAGAAAAGCAGCAGGGGGTTACCTGTTGAGCCCTGTGACCTTTCCCTATTCCGATTACACTGAAGATAGTGTAAATCACACACACGAAAAATGTTTCTTTAATTCTTTAGTTTTCTATATACAGGTAATGATTTTTCTCTCCACTATTTTCTTTTTAACTTTAATAATTTTCCCCATTAAAGTTATTATACTTGTAAATTCAACTCAGTGTAACTTAAATAGGAGAAAATAATAAGTATCTTGAAGTTTTCCCTAATACTATTTATAAAACTTTCCAAAAATGGATAGTATCCTTCCGCTATCAAGTAATACTATATGCACCAAGGGAAATGAAACAGATCTTAGCGTGAGCCCTGCAGCCTATTAAACATTTAATAAGTAATAAGGATCCATCAAAATGTGGACTATTTTTTACATATTACAACTGCAGACAGTCGTTCTCCAATTTGAGTTATAGAAGTGAGGAGGAAAGCCATTGTGACAGAAGAATCAAATATAAAGTGACTAGAAATAGTTGATTGATTGTATTGTTCATTTTGTAATACAAACTTTCAAGGACTGAGTCATGAATACAGACAATTTTGTGCCATTATCAATGTACATGTGTCTCTGGCTTAATATCTCAAAATATTGAGATCCTATTTCTTTTCCAATGTCATCATAACTATTTTGATACATTCATTAGTCAAATCCCTGGATTGCAATTTGTCTTGTCTTGTGATATCAGGGAGTAACACCAATACAGGACATATTCAATATAATTTGGTAATTCAGCATGCCTTTCATATTCTGATTGTCAGGACTGGCTAATTTTACAAAGTCAAAGTAGTACATTTCAGTGATAGCTGTCAGGACTGGCTAATTTTACAAAGTCAAAGTAGTACATTTCAGTGATAGCAGGCTTAGAGTGTCTACTTCATGGAGAACATGTCACTTGTTTCTTCTTCATTCCCCTTCCAAATCTAGCCTATTCTCATAGCCTTCTGTGAATAAGACACATTTGTCACCATCCTCTACAGTTCAAATCAAGTGACCCTGGCATATTGCGATAGGTAGGCTGAATTCTAAAATGTACCCAAGTTTCCTGCCTCTGTTCTGCATACCCTGTATAATCCCTTCTCCTTGGGTGTTATAGAACCTATAAATACGATGGGATATCACTGCCATGATTATGTTATATTATGTGTCAAAGATAAAGGGGCTGCAAACTAATAACTGTGTGTTTTTGTAAATCACTAAGTAGGTGGTAATTTGTTATACAGCAATGACAAACTAATACAAGTGACTTCTAGGCCAACATCATTATAATATGAATTGAAGTTAGCTGATATTGTCTTCAAGAATCGGAAACACTGAATTCAGAATTACATTAATATCAGGTCCTAAACTAGTGTTGAAAACACAGTACATACTCAATAAGAGTTGTATATGTGACTGACTACATTGTTTTTCTTTTTTTTTTGAATTTTTTGTTTTGAGACAGAGTCTTGCTCTGTCACCCAGGCTGGAGTGCAATGGCGCGATCTCGCCTCACTGCAAGCTCCGCCTCCCAGGTTCACGCCATTCTCCTGCCTCAGCCTCCCAAATAGTTGGGACTACAGGCGCCCGCCACCACGCCCGGCTAATTTTTTGTATTTTAATAGAGACGGGGTTTCACCGTGTTGCCCAGGCTGGTCACGAACTCCTGAGCTCAGGCAATCTGTCTACCTCGACCTCCCAATACATTGTTAACTTATAATAAATAGTTACCACTGCAGATTACAATTCACTTTGAAATATATCTATTTTTAAAAATGATAAAATATTGTTAGGATTATTATTAAAATACACATTTTAGAAGGGAGAAACAAAATCCACAGAGAGGTTAAGGAAATTGAAGGCGGAACATTCACATAAGCATCCCTCTTTGCAGGTTAATAAAAAGAAAGTTGAAAATGTAGAATTTTGAGATTTTAAAGCATTTATAACCTGTTATTGCCTCCTGTCTTTATAGCTTTATATATATTAAAATAATACAATTAAATTTGTATTGTAAATGTAATTTATTTTACAAATAGTTTTCACACACTTAAAAAAGCAGTATTACAGGCATTTTTTGTCTTTTTAAACAGTTTAATTACTTGTTAAGTAGAGCATTTAAGTTTTTTTTAATAAGTTCTTGATCATGCCTCAGTATTCTTCTATCTACCTTGAAGAAAAGAGTATAGAAACTAAGGTCCATCTAACGTGATAATAAAAAGCATGACTCTAATTTATCTATCATTTTTAGAATTTCAAAAGCAATCAAAATCACTCTGGCATATTAAGCAAAGGAATGGGTGATATTTTTTAAAAAATCTTTACCTTTTTGAAAGTAGTACAAAATGCATCTTTTCATTAAGTATTGGAAAGAAAGCCATTTGGCAAATAGCTCTTTCAGACTAGCTCATTGAAATAAATTTCTCCTTGAGAATAAAAAAGAAAAATCATCATTTTTATACCACTTAAAATATTAAAATAACCTCTCAAAAACATATTTTTTAACCTTTAAATAGATTGTGATTTGACAATATATTTCCAAAATTTACTTTTCATTTTTCAAATTTGCACAGACATTTTTGGGCTTAGTAATTACTTTTAATATTTCCAAAAGGATTTACTTCAATTGTTTGCCCAGAATAACTCCAATGGATCTTGAATAGGACTTCCTGACAGATACACTTAAATATAAAACATCTTGCAAAATGATTGACAGATTCTCGTACACACACTAGAGCTAGAAAAAGTAGATGTCATTTTCTGGGGCTGCAAAGAGAGATGAGTTTAAAACAACTAGTACTAAATTTAACTAGTAATTTTCTTTATAGTCATATAAAATTAATGGTAGATATATTCATTTATAAATCATCATCTTCATTGTATTCTATCTAGAGGAAAAAATAAAATTAAGCTTTAGCTATTAATGGATGTTTATTTTTTGTCACCATATCTTGGGAGAACATGTGGAAAATTCTCACTTTTACAGGCATTTGGATTTGTCTCTTTTCAGTAACTCTGTTCAAAACATAAAATATTTGAAAAAAATAAGAAAAAAGAAATCCTTGCTTATTTGCTGTACTTTCACAATTTCCACTAATCTTAAATCCTAATAGTGTTTATCTCATACACAAATATAACAAAATGACTCATCCACCCTTACTGATATTAAACTCGCACAAGATGCCTTTACATGAGTTTTCACACAAAACAGAAGCCATTATTCCTTCTGTGATGAACCGATCTTCAAACACAAGGGAGTCGCAATTTTTATCTGTCTATATTTTCCTGTAAAGTAACGTAACCGGAATGTAAAATCAATCATATCAATAAACAGAAGGAGGGAAATAAAGACACATATGCAAAGTAGAAAGTTTCAATTTTCAGAAAAGGTTTGGAGTTAAACAGATGATGAAGAAACTGTGTACCTTCTATGCCTCCAGGGAAAAGAAAAGCTACGTGTATTCAGTGTGCCTTGAAAATAGTGCATTTGACTGTGCATCTAGAGTGACAATATAGAATTTCAACATTTTATACCTGACATTAACAAGTATAAGTGATTGTGATTCTATACACATAGACATACATGAATAATTAGGAAGACAGCAGTAAAACAATACTTGTAACATTTTGTTAGGTGGCATTTTAAATGTGAAAACTCCACCACTTAGATGAAGATTTTCCATGAATAAGATTCTAGAAACTAAAAAAAAAAAAAAAAAAAAAAAAAAAGTCTACTGTTACTCTAGCAAGCACAAACATACTGTAAAGAAGCTGCAAATGGATAATGTGGAGAGGGTAATGAGACTTAAGTATAAAACTAAGATCAATTATATAAAAACTGAGAAATTTTCTACAACAATTAGCAGATCATTTTTACTTGACAAAATGTTACTTTTCCCCCAAGAAAATGTCTTTTTCTCAGAGAGAAATTCAATTAGAGGCTTAGCATTCCCACTGTCTAAGTAGCAGTCATATATACCTTGTCTCTGCCACAGTGCTTGATATTATCTATAAGTGAGTGACAGAAAAGTCCAGGACTAACAAAGGCTCACTCTGTTCCTGTCAGGAAGCTCCAGTGTATCTTTCTTATTAGAAGTACCCAGGAGTTTTCTCTGCAGAAGTAGAGTCCTAGAGTAGGTAATAGCTTTATCTTGTTTTTAACCATTTGTATTCCTGAATCGAAACAGATCTCTCCCTTTATCATGGAAATGCATGCCCCCTTTAGACCCAAAACCAGCAACTTAATTTACACTGAGGAGACACAAAACATAATGGCTCTCTTTCCCCACCCTCTTCTCTCTTAAGTTATCCAGAGGGCAATTCTCAAAGTACAGAAAAAATTAACTATGATGCCAAATTTCAGTTTCAAGGAAACTTCTGTGTTTTGTTATGCAAAGGGAAGACTTGGGAAAGTGTATATAATTTTAGTTTTTGGACAAAAGGAGAAAAAAAGGTCTTTGTTCAAAGAAGTTCAAGTTTAAACTTGCTTGTCATCAGCCATCATAAATGTATTACTTCTTGGAATCAAATAATTGCCATTATAACAATAATGGGATTATAAGGTTAAATAAGTTTACAAGAAAAATAAAAAACATTCAGTCTGTATCAGTTGTTAACTTATTATTAATTCTAACATTGTGATCAGGGATTACTATTGTGTGAAAAAATGTAGCGCAGAATATAAAGAACAAGAAATATCCAAGGGCAAAAATAGCTGATTCAGTCATTAATGTGGATAATCAAGGAATGTCAACGAAGTTGAAGTTTTGGCAGAAAAGTACAAAGACTTAAAGTGAGTGTCAGGTTGTTCAAATACTAACCTTTGATTCTGTGATTAGGAATGAGAATTAGGTCACAGTTCCCGTGGCAGGGAGGGGGGAAAATCACTTCTTGGCTTTGCCCTGAAAAGGTGATTATTTAATCAAGAATGACATTGGATTTATTTGCTTTTTGTGGTACATTAAGAGCTTACATCGAGATTAGATGGCGTATCTTTTCTTTTGAAGACAGACTGAAAAAGAAATGGGAATTATTTTCTTAAAAAGGACTGCCAGAAAACCCTATATGTGTTGACAAAGCCATATTATTTTATTTAGTAATTTATTTGATCAAATTTGGTAAACAAAAAGCAACATTTTATTGAGTCTTTCTTATCCCAAGAACTCTTTATCCACTTGCTCTTGGTTTTGTTTTTCTGTTGTTCATATGAAATTCCAATTTATATTTATTTGACAGCATTGTGCATTACTGCAAAATGCCACACATACACTTACACACACACACAAACACACACAAACACACTTTCTCTTTCACACACACCTATGCTCAGAAATAGTCTCTCTTGAAGGAGCTGAATTCTTTCTCCTCATTCTATTTTATGAAGAGTAACACTACGAGGAACTGATAAAGATAGCAAGGATGGCCATAATAGTTCCCTCAGCTTGACTAAACATTAGATAAGCTTCTTCCTGAACCTAGGTCCTGTTCTCCATTTTTAAGGGCATTTAATGTTAGAAAACTTGGAATTGAAAATTCATTTTCCCCTTTGAGATGTAAGTAAAAAAAAAAAAAAAAGCCTCTCACAGGATTTACAACCCAGGGATGTCTTTCTCAAAGACCTGGGAGCCATCCCTTTGAAATATATTCATCAAGGAAGAAAGAGGCTGGGCGCTGTGGCTCAAGCCTGTAATCCCAGCACTTTGGGAGGCCGAGGCAGGCGGATCATGAGGCCAGGAGATCGAGACCATCCTGGCTAACGCAGTGAAACCCGTCTCTACTAAAAATACAAAAACGAAATTAGCCGGGCGTGGTGGCG
Source organism: Homo sapiens (assembly GCF_000001405.40). NCBI lineage: Eukaryota > Metazoa > Chordata > Mammalia > Primates > Hominidae > Homo > Homo sapiens. The sequence continues at coordinate 67,371,475 of NC_000013.11, read as the reverse complement.
GGCGCCTGTAGTCCCAGCTACTCAGGAGGCTGAGACAGAAGAATGGCGTGAACCCGGGAGGCGGAGCTTGCAGTGAGCCGAGATCGCGCCACTGCACTCCAGCCTGGGTGACAGAGCGAGACTCCGTCTCAAAAAAAAAAAAAAAAAAGAAAAGAAAACAAAGAAAAAAAAGGAAGAAAGCGCTCCCATCTCCCAGTTTCTGTGAGCGAGCAGAAGCTTAACGTCAGTAAGTGGCCTTGCTTTAAGTTGTAAAATTACCTCCCCTCACGAAGATAGGAGAAAGCTTGCTTTTTCTTTAGGTAAGGCCAATTAGCAAAAATAGTTGTCCTAAAATTCCTCCTCCATTCCAGCTCTTAAAACCTTTCCCACATTTGTTTTGGTGGGGTTTTCTGTCTCTCTCCCCTATTGCAATGGGAAAATAAAGAATAAAGCCTGCCTAATTTAGGCTAGGCCAATGTTTACTTTGACAGAGCCAAATTTATGATGTTATGGATTTTTCTTTGTGTGATGTGGGATGATATTGCAATTTTTTGTTCAAATTTTCAGTCGGTAACCTCTTTCTGAGAATATCTTTCAATCATACCTAGGTAATTTTTATTGGCCTTTATCCCTTTTTGAGTTTATTCTCCCATGTGGACCAAGATTAGGACGTGAAAGTAGAACAGGAGTTTTTAAACTTCTTTGTTCTGTAAACCCCTTCAAGAGTTCAGAGCAGCCTATAAACCTCTTAGAATTTTCCATTTAAATCCATAAAATAAAATACGCAGGATTAAAAAGGAAGCCAGTTATATTAAAATATACTTATCAAAATAATTTTTAAATTATGGTATGTATTTGTTTCTTTAACATATTAAATAATAAGATATAGTTGCTGGTTTAATATCAACCATGACATCAAAATGGTGATAAATGATATTTTGGGATATCTATAACAACTGGAAAAAATATATAATATCTATTTGTAAATATAGACAGATTTGCTGATACAGCTGTGGGTTTTTTTGTGCATAGTCATAATTGAAGGAAGTGTTAAATTTCACCTGGTGATAAGTGAAAAAATATGGTTTTTTTTTCTATTCAAGTAAAAGAATGGCATGGCCTAGAATAAAAAGAGCAGAAGAGTGCTTTGATTCTAAACCAGGACTACAAAAGAAAACTTAGGTCCATAATGGTACATTCTAGCTTTTCATCATTAACGACTTTGTGTAGGAGATTGTAGCCAAATCCCTATAGAAATAAACTATAAACGCTCTTCATATATCTTCCTTATAAACTCGAAGAAGTGCTAGGATGGAAATTCAAGAGGTTGGAATTCCAGCATGATTTCATCACATCTTTATTTTTACTAACCTCTAACTGCATGCATAAAATGTACTTACTCATCTGACTACGCTAAGTTCAAAAGCCACAGGGACAAGCTGTTCCCTTTCAGTGGTATTTTTCTAGTGTGAGATAGGAAAGAGCCCGGAGACAAAGAATTTTTTAGTAATGGTAGTGATGCTAGAGAGATTATTCACTTACGAAGTGTTCTGTAACCTCTTGAATATATGAACTTACACAAAAACTCCTCTCCTGTAAAAAGCTGAGTTTGTTTATATATTGAAATGACATTACACATTTCTCTCAAATGCTGTTTGCTTTGCAATTCCCATATTGTATAGATTTTTACAATCATAATTTTGAATAGACTTTGAGATGAAAAGATAAACAGAAATACAGTTGATAAAGTGGGTAGCTATGAAAAAAGTATTGCATTTTACAGACATTTCTAACTGACTGATTATACTCTACAATTTATGTTTTGTCCTGATATTTAGGGGCTGTCAACCTAATTGAAAGGAACGTAGCTAGGAATTTAACACAAAAAAGAACACGAGAACAAAATCAGGGTAGAAGTACTAAGTCCTGAATAGAGACTTAATCAATACTATGATTGGGTGGGGGAATGATAATGATAATTAATATTACACTAAATACATTTAAATTCTATGTAAACTTTTACTGCTATAAACCAGAATATGTTTTTTCTCTGTACTGAGTGTTTAGTGCTTCCCGGATAATTCATTCATTTTATAATCATATCCAAAATTAAAAAAAAATTCCTTTGAACATTTCTAAAAGATGTAAGGTAATAATTTAATCCATGTTTACATTTATTATACAAAGCAGGTAAGCCTACCTCATGCCTTCCCAGAAGGTAATGCCTGTGATTATTTTCTGAAAATGGAGTCATTTGGAAAAATAAGATCATCATGGTAGGCCACAGACCATTGTTACATATTAGGGCCATGGACAATAAAAGGATTTGGCCAGCAGATTTGACCAGTTTGCCACCTCTCCTTGATTTGCACAAAGTACATTCGAGTAAGAAAGGAAAACTGAGGTGACAATGTGGCTCCACAGCCAGCTCCTTGACCGAGAACACTTCAGTCTTTGTGTGGAGAGATGAAGGAACACTATAAGCATGTTGATTGGATAGCCTCTCAGATTATCTCCTGATCTAACTCCATTCAATCAAATGCCAGAGTCTGAGAGAAAGAGAGGTTATTACAAAGAACAAGGCAAATCAAAGCTGCATCACTGTTCTTTGTGTAGATAAGATCCAGCTCCACATTGTGACTTCAGTGCAACAATAGAAACTAAATAAAGGGGAAATATTTCAGGTGCATAATATTTGCATACAACCTATGCACATCCTCCCATATACTTTAAATTATGTTTAGATTTCTTATAATATCCTAATACAATAAATCCATGCCAATTAATCCACCACTTAATTTGCGTGGATTTAATGTAGTCATAAGTGCATTGCAAATTAAAGTTCTGCTTTTAGAACTTTGTGGAATTTATTTTTTTCCAAATATTTTTTATCCATGGTTGGTTGAATTAGCAGATATGGAACCACAGATACAGAGGCCAGACTGTATATACTTGTCTAACTTCTTCTAATATATTATGAACTTTCTGAAAGTTATAATAATATTTATAAAATATTATAATATTTATATTTATAAAATTTGACCAAGTGCAAAATAATTTCAATTGCATTATTTCATTTGACTTAGAAAAAATTGATGAAGCAGGTGTTATTGCTATCCCCATTTATATGGTGATAACTTGAGACTCAAAGTGATAAAAATGACTTATTCCATTCTATATTTTATTAAACATTATTAAATTAAAAGCCCATTGTTTAACTTCACATTATGTTGCTTGCTTCTCATGTTCTTTGTGGTTTGTTTTGTAAACCCAGGAACACAAACCACTGGGTGGTTTGCATACAATATTTTTTAGTGAGTGAATGAAAGAATACATTAGTAATCTATTCATAAATGGAAATTTGACATTTTTGTTAGTTACAATTGTTTTGCAAAAAGTAACAATTGTTGGAATAATACAGAACAAAATATAGTGCATTAATAGTTTTGTGGTAGCTGGCACTGTATGAGAGAAAGTTAATAGTATTGTGGATTGAATTTTACATAAAATAGTACTTAATTGATTTATTTTTTTATTTTTTCTGATGACATCAAGAATATGAGGAAAATAGTAAGTGTAATATAGGATGTAGAACTTTGTTCAATTTTGTTTAATTTAGAAGGTGTAAAATTAGTTTGAAAGTTTCTATATCAGATTCAACCTTCCTTAATACTCAGAAATATTTTAAAACAACTTGCAATTAATCTTTTAGAGTTTTTCCATTTTAAATTGATTTTACATTGAAAATAATAGTGATTTAAGGCTTAACATCTCTGTAAAGAGCTATGAATCACACCTGCTTTTGTACATCTCTGCTCATGTAAATGTGAATGCAAATTATGAGAATGAGAAAATTATAGGCAATTTACATTTGTTGTAGCCTTGTTTCTATGGCAATGGGAGAAGATGACCATAATCTGTCGTCCTGGTAACCAGAAATGCACATAGCATCATAAGGGGCTGCCCAAAGTGCTTCTCTTCAATTCTTAGTGAGAGAATAAGAAGGGCAATAGAATCAGCTTTAAAATATCTTCAATAACATGGCAAGATTTGATCATTCTTAAAACTATTGTCCCTAACACTTCTCCTAAGAGTCTGCATGGCACTCACTGTTGCTGAAATTAACAATAAAAAGGGAAAGGAAAAAAAATAGAAAAATCAAAGCCTTTCTCATTTTTAAATTATGCCTTGAGACAGATTAAGCTGATCACATTTTTAAAAATGATGCAATAGAAAGAAAGAAAGAAGAATAAAAGAAAAATATTAAGAATTACCATGCACATTAATTTACAAAGATATCTTGGAATTTTATTTAAAAATTACTTGATTTAACGGGAAGAAACAATATTAAGTATTTCCCTCTAGAGTATACATTCTTTAAAAAATGCTTCTGATTTCAGTACTCAAAATTATACTGTCTGCTCTATTATCAAAATGTCTTAAAGGATTTAGAATAATTACTTAATATATTTTAAATCTGCTCTCCAAGAAAGAAGTATCCATTTCATAAAGTTATGCACATCTGTGCACACACAGTCAGAAAAGAAATAGATAGGATTAAATGGTATATATAAGCATTTCAGAAATAGTAACTCCAAAAAACAGTTAACAATAAGTTTTAAAATATATTATGAAAATTTGCATTCATATTTCATAGGCTATAAATGAAAAGTTTTTGATTGGATGGCTTAAAGTTCATACTGTGCAAAAAGGTGGTAAATTAGATACAGTTGGAGCATGGCCAAGTATACATGCAGTTACTGCTTTTACAAGTAGAGGGCTCTGAAAACATGCACACAGTCAGCTGATAAAAGATATATAATTCTTATTTCTTGCTTAGTTCAAATGAGAAATCACTGAATAGAACTTTCCTTTGCTGTCTATTTTAGGTTGGAAATAAGACCACACTGAGGAAGTGTCCAGCCATTCCCAAGGATACTATCAACTAGTATGCATAGCATATTATTCCATTCTTATATGTTAATAATGGGTGACTTCATATATTTTTCTAATTCATTCCTTTAGGAAATTTACTTCTCCAACAGGTCTGCCTTAGAGGGATCCATACATCCTGGTCCTTAACCACCAGGCTGGATCAATTTTATGGAGAGTTGGCTTCTTTATGTTGACTCCCATTCCATTAGGTGATAACATACATGCTTGATTCTTTTCTTTAGCACCAAGTATAGTTAAAAAAAAAAATCAGTGATCTCAAAAGTTTGCTATCTATAGGCTTCATTTTTAATTCACCTCATTGGAACCCAAGGCACTCTGGAACTGAGAAACTGTATATCCACCCATAAGCTTCTGTGTATCACTTCAGTCCCATTTCTAATAGTTTGCTAAAATGACTCTGAGTTCACTTTTTCTACCTACACTGTGTAAAATTTAGCTAAGAATCTAAGAATCTAATTCATAACATTTACTCATAGAATACCTTTTTCTATTCTAATATATAGATTGTTTGAATTAGAATTAACAGATATTAATTATAATTGAAAGCTAAACATCTAAGAAAGAATATACGTTCTACTTCACATAAACTTCTACTGTAATAAATCCCAATGGGACAGAACAAATTCTAAAATTATCCATACTTATCTTGACCTACAGTAATTCATAAACAACACCTTGCATCATAGATATGTAGTTATTCTCAAGTTTTTTCATTATTATCCATCACATCCTGAAATATTTTCTCTCTTGACATTCCTCGCTACTTGCCATGCCATTTGCAGCCTTTGGTCAACATTTTAATCTCATTTCCTCTAATTTGCTTCTGCACTTTAAAGCAGTGTTGGACAAAATCATAAGGTTCTACTGAATGGGTCACTATAATCTTTGCTATCAAACCATAATTTGTATCAAACCCTTATTTTTACTTATCAATCATTTTATTTTATTATTTTGTGGATTCACTTAGGCTGCCTTATGGCAGGTCTTTCCAAGTTTCCAGATCTCCTTCTGCTTTCAATATTATCTCTGCTTGTCTCATTTAGCGGGTGACATTGCTTCTTCATTCTCTGGTAAGCCTAAAATCATTAGACGTGATTTTCACAATTTTCTTACTCCAGACAAACCCAACACCTGTCAACACATACTACTCTCAATTCTAATACATAGCTGTCTCTTCATATATCACTCCTCTTAGGCCAGAGGAAGCCCTTGATCCCAGACCCTCTTTCTTTCTGCTCTAGCAAATATCTTCTCTGTCCATTCCTCTTCCATTCAACAAGAAATGTATTCTGTAATACCACATGGGACTTAAATGCCATATCAAAGAGGGAGATAGCAATAACTTATCAATATTACTATTATTACTATCACCATTTACTTCATTACTGTTCCAGGATTTTTTTTTTTTTTTTTAGATGGAGCTTCACTGTTGTTGCCCAGGCTGGAGTGCAATGGTGCAATCTTGGCTCACCGCAACCTCCGCCTCCCAGGTTCAAGTGATTCTCCTGCCTCAGCCTCCCGAGTAGCTGGGATTACAGGCATGCACCACCACACTTGGCTAATTTTGTATTTTTAGTAGAGACGGGGTTTCTCCATGTTGGCCAGGCTGGTCTCGAACTCCTGATCTCAGGTGATCTGCCCACCTCAGCCTCCCAAAGTGCTGGGATTACAGGAGTGAGTCACCACACCCGGCCTTCAGGATTTAAAAAGAAATTATTTTGAGGTCATCATGTACTATAGAAAATTCATCCAGGCATTTTCAAGGAGCTGTTATACAAGGCCGCCCAGGAAAGTCTGTTACTCAGAATACAGAAACTGGAAAGAGAAAATACGTCTTATAGTTCAAATTTTGTTGCAAAGATAACATGTTCAGAATTCAATTTGCTATAATATGAGTAATTAAACGTGTAAGTCTTAACAAATAGTCCTTAAAGAGCATTTAATATATACTTTTCAGTTAGGTAATAATATATTATTTAGATTAAAAGTTATAGGTGAACTACTACTATCACTTGGTACTTCCAAGATTTTACATTCTGGTTGGATGACAAACATGCATTTTTTCTTTTAGTATAACTCCCTGTGTCAACTCCTAATGTCCTTTACTCTTTCTCCCCATTATAGTATTTAATTATTTCCCAATGCCCAGCCATTATCATAATTTTCCAACATAATTCTAATGTGATTTGTCATCTTATAAAGCCCAAACCCATAATATATTCACACTAAGAGATATTGCTTGATATCTTTTGTGCACATTTACTGATGGCCAAACCTGAGTAAGTCCATTATATATTTTATTTAATTCTGGCTGAGGATTTGAAGCCTTACTGGAGAAAGTATGGCAATTGTATTAATAGGCTTCTGTACATCTTCAATTCACTTTCATTCAACAAATACTTATTCATTGCCTATTTTGATCAGTGCCTATCACATGGTTGGGCAATGGGAAACAAAATGAGATAATTCTTTCTTCTGAAAAGCATTGCTCATGCTGGCTGTTAGAGATGTGTGCTAAAATAAAAAATCAATAACATTTGATGAACGCTAAAACAGAAAGAAAAAAGACTGTGCATGGTCTGAAGGGGGCACAGATAAGGGGCACTTCATCCAGCTAGAGTGAACTTAGGAAGTGTCATAAGAATAAATGGATCCCAGGTAGAACGATGACTGCAACCAGAGAAAGGAGATATGAAATAGTCTAATGTATTTAAGTAATTATAAATATCTTTGGTCTATTGTAGGAATTGAGGCAAGGCAGATAGAAGAAAGATTGGTAAGACAGAAATTTGTATATCACAACTTAAGGAACAAAAGAGTGTCAGCTTGATTCAAAGAGGAGGGATTAAGACTGTTGATATAATGAGCTTGATTAACAACTTGCAATGTAGGTTCATGCCCGACAGTGAAATATGCAGTTTTGAAACTTAGGATAGATATCTGAGTAGAAAATATGTATCTGAAAAACATCTTTATATAAGAATGAATGAATGCTGGTTATCGATGAGATCACTCAGCTATTAGAAGTCAAACTAGAAGATTGGGTCAAAGGTAGAACCTCAAGGAATAGCAGCAGAATGCATAAGAGCAGGCTAGGGAGGCAGAATCTTGAAGCCTCTTAGTGAAAGGGTAGAAAATTAAGAAGATAGCTGTGATGGTTAATATTGAGTGTCAACTGATTGGATTGAAGGATGCAAAGTATTGTTCCTGGGTGTGTCTGTGAGGGTGTTGCCAAAGGATATTAACATTTGAGTCAGTGGACTGGGAAAGGCAGACCCACCCTCAATCTGGGTGGGCACAATCTAATCAGCTGTCAGCATGGCCAGAATAAAAGCAGGCAGAAGAACGTGGAAAGACTAGACTAGCTGAGTCTTCTAGCCTCCATCTTTCTCCCCCAGTGCTGAATGCTTCCTGTCCTCGAACATTAAACTCCAAGTTCTTCAGCTTTGGGACTCTTGGACCTTTGACCACAGACTGAAGGCTGCAATGTCAGCTTCCTGACTTTTGAGATTTTGGGACTCGAACTGGCTTCCTTGCTCCTCAGCTTGCCTATAGTGGATCCTCACCTTGTGATCACATGAGTTAATGCTTCTTAATAAACTCCTATATATATATATATATATATATATATACACACACACATACATATAATGATATATATACATCTCTAAAGGGATAGAACTAACGGGATATATATATACACACACACACACACACACACATTCTATATATATATCCCATTAGTTCTATCCCTTTAGAGAACCCTGACTAACACAATAACCCAAAGATGATAGTATCTGATATGGTTTGGATCTGTGTCCCCACCCAAATCTTATGTCAAATTTTAATCCCCAGTGTTGGAGGTGGGGCCTGCTGGGAGGTGATTGGATGCTGAGGGTAGATCCTTCATGAATGGCTTAGCACCATCCCTTTGGTGCTGTTCTCATGATAGAGGTATCATGAGATCTGGTTGTTTAAAAGTGTGTGGCACCTCGCCCCCTCTCCCTCCTGCTCTGGCTATGTGAAGTGCTGGCCTCCCCATTCACCTTTCTCTGTGATTGTAAGTTTCCTGAGACCTCTCAGAAGCCAAGTTGATGTCAGCATCATGCTTCTTGTACAGCCTGTGGAACCTAATTACCAGGACCTGTTAATATGATACCTTACATGTCAAAAAGAAATTAAGATTGCAAAACAACTGAGACAATTCTAGTGATTAGGACTTTGACATTTTGGGGGTGGGGGAAGAATTATTCTACTTACCACATCACAGACTGATTTCATATTACTTCATCTAATCTCTGTGTACTGAAGTAAAATGAAAGACTTCAGGTATTCTCAAGGAGCAACCGTCAGTTGGGCTTAAATAGCTTTAGTCTTGCCAACTCCTATAGGACCCTAGGTAGACTTTTAGAAAGGAGGTATAGGAAAGGTAAGTGGAATCATATAAATGGATATGCTGACAAGGAATTTGCTATTTGGGCGCGGAACTTTGGGCAGAGAGACAGATTTTAAAAGGCGTATGTTGTGTTATATGTGATGTTATCCAGTTTCCATCGACCCAAAAATTTTAGCTGAATGTCTTCAGCACTTTTGGAATCATATTTTTTATACTGGATTTAATCAAATGTTAATGTTATGAAATGGAAGGAAGAATAATGCCTAGTAAAAATCCAGTGTATTTTGGTTACAAATGTAAATGTGACTTATGTTATTTAGCTTTATTTTATTTTATTTTATTTTTGAGACTGAGTTCCGCTCTGTCGCCCAGGCTGGAGTGCAGTGGCACAACCTTGGCTCACTGCAACCTCTGCCTCCCTGGTTCAAGCAATTCTCCTGCCTCAGCCTCCCAAGTAGCTGAGATTATAGGTGCACACCACCATGCCCTGCTAATTTTTTTGTATTTTTAGTAGAGAGGGGGTTTCGCCATGTTGGCCAGGCTGATCTCAAACTCCTGACCTCAGGTGATCTGCCCACTTTGGACTACTTTCAAGCTTTTGATCCTAAATGCTCTCTGAGATGTGATTCATAACCTGTATAGGTTTATTTGCTTATGGTTGCTCTATATGCCACCCAACTTGTTTCTGAGGTCATGAGAAGACTTCTTTGTGATAACGTCATTGGCATCCATACAGAAACTTCTATATAACCTATTTCATATTCACTTATTGTCTCTTTGGTTTATTATATGTTTACTGGTTCTCTAAGACATTTTTGTCTTTCAAAAATCTCAATTTTTAGAATTCCTCAGGGTATTATTACATATAAATTCTATTCCTGATGAACTGTCACTTAATATTAAAAAATATTTCTGGTGTGCAGGTTAGTAGTAGCTATTAGATAAAAGGATCATACTAATACTAATTTCTGGCAGGATGGGCTACACATCTCATTAAATTAAGTGTAACTCTATGACTTGGGAGCCTGCTCAGATATATACCATTTCTAAATATGGATATATATTAAAACATATTAGCATGCCACATTAATAAGTCATTTTAAGTCAACAGCTTATTGTAGTTAATAAAAATATAAGTATTTTCCTAGATCATTGATATGATATCACCACATAAAGAAATCATAATATAAAGTCCCCCCTTATTGAGATATATATATACATTATGACTACAGTATTATCTATATTATGCATACCTAATAGAATTGTGGTTAGTGTTACTTTCAGTATTTTAATAGGTTGCTAGAATAGTATACTAGATTTTAATATAATTGCATATTTTCAATGAATTATTTCACTTGAATCTTCTTAATGGATCTTTACATCTTTTTCGTTTTTAAAAAATCGAATCTAAAATGGAATATTTTTGTTAAAACACTAAACATATCAGCAATATAGCACAGGGCGTAACTACTTCATAATTAATTTCTTCATATGCAACCAGATGAATATGCTCTTTTTCCTTATCTCCCAAATAAGGTCAAAGGTGATTTTATCTCATTATATAATAGATAAGAGAAATCACTTTAAAAGAATAAATGTGTAAACTTTGGAAAGGGAAGATGCTTATGGCAGAAAGGATAGCATTCATGCTGGGCAGGTGAACAGGTTTTCATAGTTAAATAGTTATACTGTTATTAAAGGCCATAAAGTTATAAAAATAAGTTCTACTTATTTGGCTATGGATCTTTAAATAAAATACTCAAATGTTCTGATGCCTTATACTCTCTATTAAAAATTTTAATCAATATCTTTATATAGAATTATTTTGGTAAATTCACTCTCCTGCTGGAGGCTTTAGTATTTTATCTAACATAGTACTTAAAAATATCAATTGTAAAATCAGAAGAAGAGTGCACTGGGATCTTTACCCATTCCTTTATGCACTAGTGTGCTTTGTGTGATATTCCATTGCAAAAACTGAAAATCAACACAACTCTAGTAATTAAAAATGAATGAAGATCAAAAAGATCTCTTCAATAGCAGTGTTCTAGGAAATGCAAGCTTTTTGTACTTGCAACAATATATTATGATATTAATTACTTAAAAGACATCAAAGCATAAAGAAAAGCATTGAATCATTTTAATTCTTACAAAATTCTGAACAAGTTCATTATTTCACTGTTATTTATTTACTTATTCATCTATAACAGTCAAATACTCATATTAATACAAATCATTGGCAAAATTAACTGTTTCATAGCCGGATTTATTTGTTAGGAAGACATGGATTGTCACTATTTGCATCCAGGGATATCAGGGATAAGGAGTAAGAAAAATCACAAGGTGCCATACTTAAGTCATTGACTTGCTTATCAACCCAATACCCCTTTCTCACACCTTCTCAACTTAACTTGGATTTTAATAATTGACTTTAGAACAGTTTACATTAAAAGGAATAAAGCAAACCCAAAATCCAGTGATAGAAAATAGTTCAATAGCATGCTTCTCACGCTTCTTTAACATTTGATGTGTCTGCATGTTTCCCCTCTCGGTGGGTGTGAAACAAGGGTTTTCTAGTATATATGTTCTACATATCAGTGATTAGACTCTAAGAAAAGAAGTTCAGAGAAACATTGAACAATGTCATAGTCAAAACCAAGTGTTGTACATCAACATTGGTCTTATTTTTTACTAGTTATATAATTATGCCAAAAGAAGTTGCAGCTGTTTTTCATTTGGCAATTATAGTTACCAAGAATAAGTAGGTAACTGAGGGAACCAAGTGAAAAAGACAGAAACAGAGAGACAGAAAGAATAAATCCTTGTAAATTTAATCAGCACAGGGAAAATTGTAAATTCGAATTAAATTATGACTATATACTTGAAAAGATAAATTCCCACCTGATATAAACGTGCTGTTTGTCTGTCTATTTTCCATTGAACTTTGCAGTAGCAGAATTATTAAAGATTCACACAGTGGTCTACTATGTAGAGCTAGTGTCGAACCCAATGGGTGTTCAATAAGTACTAATTATTGCTGCTGCTTTGGTACTCTAAGGTGGCCTTGGAACATTGTGTAATCAATGAAAAGAAATTACAAATTGCATTAATGGATTGCTTTTTTATCTTCTCAGGGTAAGGATGGCAAGGAGTAAATAGAACAGATACCTACTTACCTGGAGTGGTGAAAGAGTACTTTCAGAACAGCTTGCCCAAAATGTCTATCCCATACTCTAGAAATTACCACATTTCCCTGAACATCTCTTGTCTGAAGTAATCCTAGCCTGTCTCCAGGGGACACAGGCAAATTCAAGCTCTTATTTTATTTTCTCTAATAATACCATGAGATCGTTAAAACAAATGTGAAAGAAAAAAATATTAAATTAAAAGAAAGATTTTAAAAATGGAAGGAAGGAAGGGGGAAAGAGAAGAAGGAAGGAAGAGAGATAATTAGAGAAACATGCCTTTGTAATCTCAATGTGTTTGGGGAAGAGGAGGACTACTGGCCGTGGGTTAGGAGCAATGATTCTCTCTGCCTCCACCAGTGACATCAGTCACTATAAAAAACAAAACTGCCTATAAACATTTATAAATACCCCCAAGTGGATGATACCTCCCAGCTGGAGAACTACTGCAAGACTTTGTATCTCATGAAGGACTTGTTAAATTAAAAATAACACCACGAATGCATGGGACACTACACCAGTGGCTCTCAGTTTTGGCTGCACGTTAGGATAATTCAGGGGGCTCTTAATATTCCCAACGCCCAACACAGCACCCAGCTCAATTATATCAGAATCTGTGGAGGTGAGACCCACACATCGATATTTTTCAAAGCTCCCCTTCTCCATGCCTGTGATTTTAATGTTGTAATCAAAACTCTTTTCCTGCTTAACACCTTTAAAATAGATGTGTTGACTTAATAACCAAATCAAAACCATAGCACCTCTCTTATCCAAGGATCTGGGACTAGGATTTTAACAGATGTAACAAAAGATGTTAACCACTTACTGGAAGCCTAGTGTTTATCAGGATCACGTTCATTTACATATATATAATCTCAATCCTTAATGCAACTGTACAAGCACAAATTAGTCTTCTTTTTTTATTTTAATAAAGAAACAGGCCGGGCGCGGTGGCTCACGCCTGTAATCCCAGCACTTTGGGAAGCCGAGGCGGGCGGATCACGAGGTCAGGAGATCGACACCATCCTGGCTAACACTGTGAAACCCCTAAAAAAATACAAAAATACAAAAAAATACAAAACAAAAATTAGCCTGGCGTAGTGGCGGGCTCCTGTAGTCCCAGCTATTTCGGAGGCTGAGGCAGGAGAATGACGTGAACCCGGGAGGCGGAGCTTGCAGTGAGCCGAGATCCCGCCACTACACTCCAGCCTGGGTGACAGAGCAAGACTCCGTCTCAAAAAAAAAAAAAAAAAAAAACTTACGTTGTGATGATTGATTAAATTAGAGATTCCAGCTATAAATCTGAGGCTATCCACCTCTTTCTCTTTCAGAGCAGGAGGTAATGTTACAAGAGAGCATTTCTATGGGATAGGCTTGAGCAGGGGCTGTGACCATAGCCAGCCTGTGGAGAGCATTCCCCTAAAAGAAACAGTAGAGGTGGCGGCCTGCTATGGCCAGCATCTGTCTCTGGATCAACAACCCTTACATTTAAATTTGGTTTGCACTGTCAGGTTTCAGTAGTCAAAGACTAGCGGGCACTGAAATATAAAAATAATGGAGCATGAACATGAACACTTTAGAGTTCATGAAAGGCAAAGTTTGGGAGTGAGGATGAGGCAGTATGAGTGAAGTGGTACAAATTTAATTTTTTAGCACTTTCTATTTAGAGCCAGGGTTTATAATATGCAAAGCATAATTCAAAACCCGGATAGAATTACTGAATAAAAAGGAAATCACGAGGTTTCTAATTTTCTTATCCCAAAATGAAAGAGACACATACACTATGTAAATGTCATGACTACAGTGGTCAAAATAGAAGACGAGTTATTAAGGGAATGCATCACCATGAAAATAAAGTCCCTGAGGAGCGTAGTTCCAAATACTATAAATATAAATTTCATTTTCATCCATTTTATTGAGGCAAAGGAAAAATGACATGCAGAGAGAAGGAATAAAGACTTGTAGCATTCACCCACGTAAAAGAAAGTGAAAAATCCCCAGAAAACTTTTAATTATGTTGCTGTGGAATATCACCTCACAATACAAAATGTGTTCTGTTTCTTTATTAATTAGAATAGAAAACTAAATGCCATATTTTGTTTTTTTGAATTATATGTATTCTAGGTTTAAAGGCTGTTTTATTTTTTTCCAAAATATAGATAATAAATATGGTATAAAACCACAACAAGTGTCACATATTCATACCAATCTGTTTTGAATTCATGCATTTGAGGAAGAATATAATTAAAATTTAAACAGTTACTCATTTTCTAAAGCATAAGGAAAATTGTATTTCACTATTTAGTTCCTTTTCTTTTTGTTTTGTTTCCTTGTCTAAAAATTATTTTAGAATACTGTAAATAAACATGTAAAAAAGAATTACGGTTGTAAATTACAAAAAAAAAACACATTTGTTCCATATTTTCTTATTATCATGTTATGTAAGAGCTGGAGTGACTAAGAATTTAAATTTCTAGTTACAAGCATATTTTGCTTAACTTAAAATATTCTCAAATATTTTAAGCAACATATTTTTAAAATCTACAAGACAGTAGTTGAGAAAATAAATGACCTACAAGGACCAGCTACAGGGTTGGTAATCAAATCTGTAATATTGTGTCTTGAAAAGGAATCATGGGGCTGCATACTAAATACCTAACATTATTTCCCCTACTCCCAAAGAGAATATGACTTTCCCCTGCAAAACATTTAAATTGTAGTTTGTATCCAGTGCTCTCAGACGCTCAAATTGTTTAAGACTTTAAAATTTAATCAAGGGATTTCTTAATGGAAGCTAGGAAGAGCAACATCAGAAATACATTTGACAAAAGGGTAACAAATTTCTACTTAATTATTTACAATGACCATATACGGCTACACAGAGACACAAAAGTAGTCAGACTCTGTGCATCAAGCTCAGCCGTCTGAAAGAACAAGGGCATCAATTCGTCCTCACACCATGCAAACGGTTTTCAAGATTGCATCTTGTTGGCCTTGATGAAATTACAAGACTGGGATCTGAAGCTTCGTTCTGGTAATTTATGGCCACAGGTCACTCTGAATTGAATGTTTTCAGGATACAGAGAGCCTTCTTGTCATTTACATGCATCTCATTTTGTCACCTAAAACATGCTTTTCATCATTGCTAAAAACCAGTACTTTTTACTTTTTTCTTCTAGCTTTCTCTTTCTTCTGTATGTATCCCTATCTCTATATATTCCTGTTTCCAGAATAAAGCAGACATGATTTCCACTAACTCCAACATTATAATAAACACCAATATAAAAATAATAGGTTAAAATAATTTATTAAGTTTAGGTCAGGGGTTTTCTTTTTTACCATTTACTGAGCTAGAATTAGAGTGAAATCAAATATTTCAGTTGTATTGCTCTTAGAGAAAAAAAAAACTTTATCACAGTTTGGATTATGTGTTTGTTTACTTTGTTCTCCACAAATAACTGTCCAGTTTACTTTTTTCTAAGAAATAAGTTACATTTTCAAACCAATACATGCTGTCTTTGAAACTGCTTGTATATAATATATTGGCTTTAACATTTTAAACTTTCAAATTGTAATATACATTAGATTTTTTAAAATTTTATTTGGAGTAATTGTATGTTTCTTCAAAGAATGTCATTATAAATAAATTCATAGTGCTCTAAGAAACTAATTTCTTAAAGAGATTGTATCAGTTTTTTTTTACAGTTTAAAGACAAAAAGAATGAATAATTAGTATGTAATCTTATGAGTTATAGACTACATTTAGATGAGTTAAGCTTTCCGAACACATAAGGTTTTAGAAAGTTATATAAAACCAATGCATATTATTCCTGAAATGCCCCAGTATATCTCAACTCTTACTTTAGTTTTTAGCATATGTAAGCAATGAAACTGAAGAATATTGTGTCACAATGAATGCAAGATGATTCCAATTGAGAACTAATTTACGGGCATGTAAAATATAACCATGCAATTAAAATTTTGTTACAAAAAATTCAAAATTAGAAGTATTTGTATATATTTTTAAAAATTTCTGACAGTTGTAAAAATATTAGGTCTTAGAGTTGGAAGGAACCTGATGATATATTTCTGTAATTAAAAAAAAAAACCTTTTACCACATCCTACACAAATAGTCACTGGACCATTGAGACACTAAATATAAAAATGTAACTCAGATCAATAACCCAACCCCTTTTATTGCATATTATATACCTTGGATTACTTACAGTAGTTAAAAACATTTAGCTTCTTACTAAAACAAAAGTAATAGAAGTTTCCTTAGGATCTCCCTAATTTTTGACTAGGGCATAAATGTATATGAAGTAGAAAACTTACATTTCCAATAGTTATGCACTATATTTTAGTATTGATCTTCGTTCATTATAGACTGTTTCACCGGATTCAGCATCTTATGTACAAAAATGTGAATAATAATTAATCACTTTTTAAAAATTTAAGCTAATTTAAGGTCAGAATTGTTTTATCATGTTGCACTTTCCTTTACCAGATTAGTCATCTCAGAAAATTCTCTTATGCTTTTAGAGATTTAATACAACAGAAAATTTGAAAGACAACTAGTATAGTATGATTAAGAAACATCTCCACTTACGATACATTTTTATCCACTTCCATGAGCATTCATAAGCCCTTCTATTACTGGAGGAACTCTCAGAAAGTTCTGTAAGAATGTGTGGTAGTGACAGATAATAAAAACATGCTTCCCAAGAAATGAAAGTAAAAGAAGAGTCATTTTACATTTCAAGAACTGTGCTGGGTCTGAGATTTTACCGATTGCAAGATACCACTTTCCTAGATGATGACAGGAGACATGAAGCTCCTGGGTTAGAGAAAAAGGAGTTTATTACTCTATTATGCATCACAGAGCAGGCAGTGCATCAGTTCCTCTTACCCACCAAGCTCCACGGAGTTGAACCTGAGCTGGGCTCAGGGGGATTTGCACACAGTTGAGTTATGTCACAGCTGAAGAACTCTGAGCTTAAGAAACCCTAATCTTTTAAAAATGACTATTAGCAAACCTGTCTACATTTTTTTTTCTGTTTTGGAGGAAGATATTATTTCTTCTAAACTGGCCAGTAAACAAATTTGTCCTCTGTTCTGGAGAGAGACTCTTTCTGTCTTCCAAAGCTGCTTGCTATATAAACGTACTTGGAATTTAGTATAGGAAAAAAGCTGATACAAAATGCAGAAATGAAATGTCATGGAGAATTGTCTTCTAACCTTAATATGTGACATTGCACTGCATTATGACTTTAGGACTTCAAAACTATTACAAGCAGCCAGGCCTGGCAAAAAATGTTACCATAATCCAAAGAAAGCCAAATACTTCACATGTATTTGTCACTAAGGCTTGTGGAAGCTTTCTATTGAATTTATCTGAATTTTTGTTTTTATCATCATTTTTCCCAGTCAAACACTTGTGAGAAAATAAAAGGATTAGCATAACTGTTAGATAAATCTTCTAATTGAAACATTCATCTGTTTTGCATGAAATCCAGCATTGTTATAATTAAATTTGTCCTAACAGTTTCAGAAATTGGTAGATAGTTTTAGTTTTTAAATGTCATCTGTCTATTTCTCTTTCTCATACTCGTTTGACTATAATAACTCTCCTGTCACCATCAAATCCATCAAAATGTTTTTCCCATTCTCCTGCATCACAGGAGGAGATGCTATAACCAGAACTTGAGATCCTTGTGTCCTTCCCCAGATTCTAGTGTCCTCAACTGATAACCACAAAGTAGGGATAATATTTTTCCACCTGTGCAAGTGAAACTGCTCAGTAATCTACAGACTTATCCTGCTTTGGACTGTCAAAGTGTGTCAGGGTCTTTATGGAAAAAGCACTTTTATTTAATTGCTTGCAGTCTGTCTGATGAGGGATTATTTTTGAAGTAAGTGTAGGCAACATAAAGAAGGAAAAAATAGCATGGACATGTCGGGAAAATGTTTTTCATCTAATCAACAAAGGAATAATTGACATAAAAGTTAAAAGATACTAAAAATTGAAAAGTAAAACACAATAGAGAAATGGGAGAAAGTTATAAACAAACATATCAGAAGATAACACAGTGGTCAAAAACATTTGACAATATCCTCAGCCTTAGATATCAGAAAATTTATAGTTGAAACTACATTAAAATAATATTTCATATCACAATTTGGCATAAATTTGAATTTATAAGACTGTAAAATGTTGGTTGGATGTTTGTGGTGCTCAGGAACTCCATACAGTAACTATGAGTTTGTAAGTTGGTATAATTACTCTGGAAAGTAATTTAGTGGCATCTTATAAACAAGTGAATTCTTGTGCATTTTTCCCAGGAAACATGGAAAAGAACATGATAGCAGTATTGTTTTTAATGCTGTACATGTAGAAACAACATAATGACTACTAAGAAAATGGATAACTAAATTTTCAAGGAATTAATACTTGTATAATACTTGTATAGAGATGAAAATGATTGCATTATAGCAATGAGCGTTGAAATTTTACGAGCAGAAAATGCATACATATGAAAATATTTTAATAAGACAAAGCAGAAAACTCCAAGTTAAACTGTGGTATACATATAGATAATAAATATGTTGCAAAAATAAAATAAATGTTAAAACAAATTTGGAAACAGTGTGTTTGTGTGTGTGCGTGTGTGTGTGTGTCTGATAGAAAGGCAAAAATATGGGATGATAAATCTACAAGAGAAATGGTTATGTTCCCTTTATTTAAATGGAGAATATGTTCACAGATATTTATTTAATTATTTACTATTATGTTTCATAGTTTAGGCATGCATCTAACACTTGGTATGTACCAACTATTTCACAATAAAAATGGAGTAGAATCAGCTTGAATATGTAAACCTGCTAAAGGGATGGTAGATATCTTATCACACATATGCACATAAAGGAGAAAGAGAAAGAGAGACAGACAGATTAAGAGATACATTATTTTTGTTTGTTTGGGTTTTAGGGGTGGGTGCATTCCCATCCACTGATTTCATAGAATGCCTGACAAATCTTCCATAGTTATTCTAATTTAAAGAAAGAAAACTATGGAGTTTCTTATATTAATTGTCCTTGTCTATGAGCCTAAACTCTCTACTTTCTTAAGATGTAATTTTTTTCCTAAGAGGCTTTCCCGTTTTTACGATATTAAAATTTTACACTGTTAACTCTCTTATTTTTGTATGAATTCTGGAAAAAATGAAGCATAAAATTGGGGTTAGCTGGTGAATTTGAATGCTAATTTCTTTGAAATTGACTATAGTGACCATATGACCACATTTGAAGCAACTGGCAAGCTGGAAAAATTGCTACAACTCATCCTCCCATATGTTTTACTTGCATCATTGTATGTTTACTTGCTGGAAACAAGTTACTATCTTGAGTACAAAACGTCTTTTCTTTAAATTGAAATGCATTTTTGTAATATTTATTTTCCCTATGATATCTCCACGCAACATTAGTTTTTAAAAAGGAATGAGGATGAATAGAGACCTTAACTTTCAGAATGCTATCAATACAAATAAGAGTGCTTTAACTATTTTTTCCAATTTGTAAGAAAAAAATAGCAGTTTAGATCAATTAAATTTTTCAAGTAAATTTGTTATAGTGTTGATACTATTGTGCAATATATCTGTTTTATAGACTAATCAATTATTAATCACTGAATTTTAAAATGAGACTTGCAAAACTTCATTAATATTTCATGAAACTTTGCTGAATTTCATGGTATATAAATACATGTTCATTTCTGTGAGTTTCAATAGTGATTGCTTTAAAAATCCCTATTTTACACCAACAATAGACAAACAAAGAGCCAAATCATGAGTGAACTCCCATTCACAATTGCTGCAAAGAGAGTAAAATATCTAGGAATACAACTTACAAGGGATGTGAAGGACCTCTTCTAGGAGAACTACAAACCACTGCTCAAGGAAATAAGAGAGGACACAAACAAATGGAAAAACATTCCATGCTTACGGATAGGAAGAATCAATATTGTGAAAATCGCCATATTGCCCAAAGTAATTTATAGATTCAATGCTATTCCCATCAAGCTACCATTGGCTTTCTTAACAGAATTAGAAAAAAACTACATTAAATTTCATATGAAACCCAAAAAGAGCCCATATAGCTAAGACAATTCTAAGCAAAAAGAACAAAACAAGAGGCATCATGCTTCTTGACTTCAAAATATACTACAAGGGTACAGTAACCAAAACAGCATGGTACTGGTCCCAAAAAAGATATGTAGACCAATGGAACAGAACAGAGGCCTCAGAAATAATGCCACACACCTACAACCATCTGATCTTTGACTAACCTGACAAAAACAAGCAATGGGGAAAGGATTCCCTATTTAATAAATGGTGTTGGGAAAACTGGCTAGCCATATGCAGAAAACTGAAACTGGACCCCTTCCTTATACCTTATACAAAAATTAACTCAAGGTGGATTAAAGACTTAAACTTAAGACCTAAAACCATAAAAGCCCTAGAAGAAAAGCTAGGCAATACCATTCAGGACATAGGCATGGGCAAAGACTTCATGACTAAAACACAAAAAGCAATGGCAATGAAAGCCAAAATAGACAAATGGGATCTAATTAAATGAAAGAGCTTCTACACAGCAAAAGAAACTATCATCAGAGTGAACAGGCAACCTACA
This sequence comes from Homo sapiens, assembly GCF_000001405.40. Lineage (NCBI taxonomy): Eukaryota > Metazoa > Chordata > Mammalia > Primates > Hominidae > Homo > Homo sapiens. Next base: position 67,350,270 of record NC_000013.11, on the reverse strand, counting down.
AAATAGGAGAAAATTTTTGCAATCTGTCCATCTAACAAAGGGCTAATATCCAGAATCTACAAGGAACTTAAACAAATTTACAAGAAAAAAAACAAACAACCCCATCAAAAAGTGGGTGAATCATATGAACAGACACTTCTCAAAAGAAGACATTTATGCAGCCAACAAGCATATGAAAAAAAAGCTCATCATCACTCGTCATTAGAGAAATGCAAATTAAAACCACAATGAGATACCATCTCACACCAGTTAGAATTAAAAATTCAGGAAACAACAGATGCTGGAGAGGATGTGGAGAAATAGAAACACTTTTACACTGTCGGTGGGACTGTAAATGAGTTCAACCATTGTGGAAGACAGTGTGGTGATTCCTCAAGGATCTGGAACCAGAAATACCATTTGACCCAGCAATCCCATTACTGGGTGTATACCCAAAGGATTAGAAGTCATTCTACTATAAAGACACATGCACACATATGTTTATTGTGGCACTGTTTGCAATAGCAAAGACATGGAACCAACCAAAATACCCATCAATGACAGACTGGATAAAGAAAATGTGGCACATATACATCATGGAAAACCATGCAGCCACAAAAAAGGATGTGTTCATGTCCTTTGCAGGGACATGGATGAAGCTGGAAACCATCATTCTCAGCAAACTAACACAGGAACAGAAAACCAAACACTCCATGTTCTCACTCATAAGTGGGAGTTGATCAATGAGAATACGTGGACACAGGGAGGGGAACATCACACACTGGAGGCTGTCATGGGGTGTGGAGCTAGGGGAGGGATAGCATTAGGAGAAATACGTAATGTAGATGATTGGTTAATGAGTGCAGCAAACCACCATGGCATGTGTATACCTGTGTAACAAACCTGCACGTTCTGCACATGTATCCCACAACTTAAAGTATAATTTTAAAAAATCCCTATTTTAATTTTTGTGTGTACATTAATATAAAACATCACAAGATTAGATAATTTGGGGCTCAATTTTCCACGTTAATGGAAATTTTCTAAATTGTGGAATTCAATGAACTGTCATTACAGACTTAAAACTAGAGAGAATATATAAATTTTAATATCTTGTAAAATACATTCTCAACATTGTCATAAATAATACAAAGTACATAGTATCTTTATTCTGATTTACTCATTTATCTCCAGATCTTAAAATAAAGTGAAGAACTATGTGACTTTTGAGAATAGGCTCTATCTTTAAAACTATTTCATACTAGTAATTTGTGGTTATGCCTTAGATTTTAAGTCAAAATTATAATTTAAGTGCCTTTGTAGAGGGTGTCTACAGATGTATTTGCAAAGAGCATATTTAAAAAACCTCACAATGAAAATATAATTATTTTCTGATGATAAAATTTTTAACATTTGTAGCTGTGAAATAAAATATATGTACTGTTTATTAATTATGAGGTAAATCAAGAAATTGTATTTATTCTTATGCTTTTTTTTCAGAATTATAAAAACATGGGGTTCAGTTTGAATGTAGAAAAAAATCACTGAAATTTTTCTCCATTTTTATTTAATTACTATTTTCCCAAGTGCACTAGGCAGTACTTGCGGTGCAATGAAAATATAAGCCATGTTTTTCATACTTAAAAATATATGTGTATGTGTATATCTGTATATTTTATATTTATGCGTGTAAGAAAACATTTAATGGTCCATTTTCAAGGCATGGTACATCCAAGTACTGGCAACCAGCCTGTGGGTGTGACAAACCGCACAGCTCATGCACCTAGAAAGTCATGATAAGCAACCAGGATGTAGTGGAGTAGGCAGTCCATAAAAGAAAATAAAGTGTCGTTACTGGGAAATCGAAACTTAAGTGGGGAAGGGGACCAGGGTATGAACTTAGAAGAAAATAATGAAACTTAGCCAACATCCGGGATGATTATAACCCCGTAGTACTCGACCAATGAGGAACTAGGGGAGGGACTTGCATGCTAGGAAATAAATTGCCTGCTGCAACTGCCCCATGTGTGTCTGCCTACCAGACACCCGATCTTGCAAGATTGTTATTAAAAGTCTCACTTCCGCTGTTCTTTGCATCTCTGAGTCCATTCTTTGGATTTGGATGGGTGAATGTGTTTCTCACAAACTTGGCGTCTTGTCTGGGATCTCTGTGCCTGCAATGGAATGGTTCTCCAGCTGAGAGAGGAGACATGTCCCACCCAATTTTAGGTGGCCTGCTCTGTCCCAGCATCCTGGCTACTCGCAGAGGACACAAACATACCCGAGACTGTTATTCAGGAGGTGGCGGAGGCAACACAGAGAGAAAAAGCAGGCACCGTGGCAACCAAGCAACCTCATGCATGAGCCAAGGTAGGAAAATTGGTTTATAGGTACTGCCTTGGTGGTTGGGCATTTTCGGAGGTCAAGTGTGTGTGACTGAGACACATCCTAGATACAAAGCGAGTACGGAGTCCCAATCCACGGTTCCATTCTCCCACAAGGGAAATGACTGGAGACAGACGAAGTGATTCTCTGGGTGTGCAAGAAACCTCCAGTGTGGGGGGTCGAGTACATAGGGAAAAACTCAGATACAGAGACTAGCCAGAAATGGGAAACAGAAATTCTAGGCCTAGGGGGCAAAGGAAAGAGGGAGCCAAGGAGACTCTCTCTGACATTCCCCCAGATAGTCCTTTGGGGAGAATGCTACAGGTTTGGAGGGACAATGCTTGAACCTGTAAACAAGGAACAAGGGAAAGCAAAAGATAGTAAGACATTGCTGTTTTATCTGTCCCAAAGACCCCATTCGTAAGCCTTTGGTCTTTTGGCCTAAGTTTGGCTCAGATGAGGATTGGGTATGCCAAGCTTTAATTCTGTATGTAAATGATAAAACCCCATCCTCACAAGAAGAGATAGGTTACACCGTCTGCTGGATCAAATAATTAAACCCCACGTCTAGGTCTAAGGAGCCTAGTAAAAAGGCCTTGCCCAGTAAAAAGCCCAGGGACTCCCTATCATGCTTGCCCCCTCCATACAGCCACCAAAATAGAGAACAGGAAGATCAAGGGGCAGCAGGAGGGTTAGAGGAAGAAAGACCTGGAGACCGTGGGAAAGCCAAACCAACTGCTCCTTTAGATCCTTATCCAAATTTAAGAGAGGAATTAGAACAGTGTAAGAAGGATATTGAGAACTTTCCTATCCCCTCCAAACAGCAGACATCTAGCATATTCTCTCTTAGGGAAGTTTCCATGGGACAGGGAGAGCTTGGCTTTGTAAATGTTCCTCTTACAACTGGAAATGAAAACACTCCTAGAAGATCCCCTCGGTTTAGCAGACCAGCTGGACCAATTCCTAGGACGCAGCTTTTACACCTGAGCTAAAATGATGTCTATTATGAATATCCTGTTCACAGGAGAAGAAAGGGGAATGATTAGGAGAGCAGCCATGACCATCTGGGAGAGGCAACACCCTCCTGGGCAAGGAGTCTCACCAGCCAAACAAAAATTTCTGAACGTCGACCCTGAATGGGAAAATAATGATCCCAGAGATCTGGCCCAAATGCAGGACTTCAGGGAATTAATAATTAAAGGGATCAAAGAGTCCACTCCTAGGACACAAAATGTCTTGAAGGCATACGAGATTCAACAGGAAAATGAAGAAATTCCCTCTGCATTCTTGCAGAGACTCTCAGAGATCAAATGAGGAAATACTCGGATTAGATCCAGAAGACCCAGTAAGGCAAGGCCTTTTGAAGGTTAACTTTGTAACTGAAAGCTGGCCTGACATTACTAAGAAACTACAGAAGATTGATGAGTGGAATGAGAAACTGATTGAAGAGTTACTGAGGGAAAGTCAAAAGGCTTTTGTAAGGAGAGAGGAAGAGAAGCAGAAACAAAAAGTGAAAATCATGGTTTCCACTGTAGAAGAGGTAGTCAGGAAAAGATTAGATCAAGACCCCTCCTGGAGGAGATGAGAGAATACTAACTTATTTCAACAAAAAGATAAGAGGGAGATACAGGGAAAAACTAAGACTGTAAGTGGATGTTACAAATGTGGAAAATCAGGACATATTAAAAAGAGAATGCCCAGAGTAGAAAAGAGGAGAATTTAATCCCCTTTATGACTTTTGATGAAGATTATGGGGGTCAGGGCTTCCTTCTGAGTAGGTCCCACCAGGAACCCTGGATAAATTTGAAGGTTGGGGAAGGGGAAGATATGACATTTTTGGTTGACCCTGGAGTGGCTTGCTCCTCCCTAATATGCCAAGCAAGGTGCACAGAACACTAAGGAAAAGTTAATAGTATCAGGGGTAAAGAGGGAGGGATTTCAGGTTCCAATATTCAAGAAAATGTTAATTAGACTGAGACCAGAACAAATTGAGGGGTCACTCTTACATGTTCCTGAAGCAGGAACTAACCTCCTTGGTTGGGACCTGATTGAGAGATTGGGTTTAGGATTAGGAATAGAAGAGGGACAAATAAAAGTAATGATGAGCTGTCTAACAGAGGAGGAAGAAAGAAAAATTGATTTCCTTGTATGGGTTAGGGAAGGCAACAGGGAGGGTTAAATATCACACCCTTACGGATTGAACTAAAACAACCAGGAGAAGTAGTTTGCAGAAAGCAATATCTCATTCCCATTGAAGAAAGGAGAAGTCTCCAATCGGTAATAGAGGGATTGATTAAAGATGGACCCTTAGAACCTTGCATGTCACCATACAATACTCCAATCCTCCCAGTCAAGAAGCCTGATGGTTCATATAGATTGGTGCAAGACCTAAAGGCTATAAATCAAATTGTCCAAACCCACCATCGTGTGGTGCCTAACCCCTACACCCTCCTTGGTAAGGTACCCTATGAACATAAGTGGTTCAGTGTGGTGGATCTGAAAGATGCATTCTGGGTGTGTCTCCTTGACTTTAGAAGTAGGGACCTCTTTGCCTTTGAAAGAGAAAATCACATAATTAGGTGAAAACAACAGCACTGCTGGACTGTGCTCCCACAAGATTTCACGGAGGCCTCAAGCTTATTTGGTTAAGTCTTAGAAGAAGTCCTAGGAGAATTCCAACCCTCCAGGTGAACCCAGTTATTACAATATGTAGATGATCTTTTAATTTCTGGGGAGAGGAGGGCCAAGGTATTAGAAACCACCGTAGGCTTGCTTAATTTCCTAGGGGAGAGGGGATTGCAAGTCTGCAAGAACAAATTGTAATTTGTGGAAAAAGAAGTTAAATATTTAAGACACCTGATTAGTGAAGGCATGTGGAGAATAAACCCAGAAAGAATATTGGGAATAGTGGGTCTGCCTTTGCCTGAGACAAAGAGAGAACTCTGAAATTTTTTAGGTTTAACTGGCTACTTTAGGTTATGGATTGACTCATATGCTCAAAAGGCAAGAATTCTATATCTCAAGTTACTAGAAGAGGAACCCAATCCCTTGCAATGGTCCCCAGATGAAATTCAGTCAATGGAAGAGCTAAAGCAGGCCCTCATTACAGTCCCAGTCTTAGCCCTCCCTTCTTTGGAGAAGCCATTCCACCTGTTGTGACAGTAGGCCAGGGTGTGGCCCTTGGGTGCTCACCCAGACTCTAGGAGGAAAAAGACAACTGTTGCTTTTGTTTCCAAACTCCTTGATCCTGTCTCTTGAGGACAGCTTGAGTGGGTACAGGCTGTGGCTGCTACTGCCCTACTGGTAGAAGAGAGCAGGAAGCTGACTTTTGGCAGGGTCCTGATAGTGAACACTCTGCATCAGGTCATCAGTATACAAAATCAAAGGGCCAGTAGATGATGAACAGACTTCCAAATTCTAAAATATGAAGCCATATTATTAGAAAGAGACTATTTGGTTTTGACAACAGATACTTGCCTAAATCCAGCCAGTTTTCTGTAGAAAGGAGAGGAGAGTCAAGAGGCATCAGATCATAACTGCCTAGACGTTATAGAATACCAAACCAAAGTCAGACCAGACCTAAGAGAGGTCCCACTACATAATGGAATAAGGCTGTTCCTGGATGGATCGTCCCAGGTGATAGAAGGCAAAAGACATAATGGTTATACAATCTTTGATGGAGACAAACAATCTTATTGTGAAGGAGGTAGGTTACCTAATGGCTGGTCGGCTGAAATCTGTGAATTATATGTGCTTAACCAGGCCCTAATGCTCCTTGAAGGCCAGGAAGGCACTATATATACTGATTCCAAATATGCCTATAGGGTGGTACACAACTTTTGAAAAATCTGGACAGAGCAGGGCCTGATAAATAGCAGGGGAAATGCATTGGTACACAGAGAACTGGTCAAACAGGTTTTAGAAAGCTGTCTGCTTCCAGCAGAGGTAGCCATAGTTCATGTAAATGGCTATGAGAAAGGGAACACTATAGAAGCTGTAGGAAACAGGCTTACAGATGAAGCTGCTAAGCAAGCCTCCCTGAAGGAAGAAATTACACTATTTAGCCAGATCCCATACATCCCCAAGATAGTATTAAGGGGTAAATTTACTCGAGAGGAGAAAGAAGAATTAGACAAGATAGGGGCCCCTCAAACTGAAGATGGGAATGTGTGTACTTCCTGATGGGAGAGAAATAATAAGTAAGCCCATGATGAGAGAACCGATGTCCATACTGCACCAGGGAAGTCACTGGGTCCCCAGGCTATGTGTGATGCAATACTCAAAAATTATGGGTGTATAGGAATTTATACCTTGCTAAACACGTGTGTGGGGGTTGTATGACCTGTCAAAGAATAAACAAAAAGGTGATTAGAAAACAGCCTATAGGAGGAAGACCTCCTGGGCTAAGACTGTGTCAGAGCATTCAAGTATATTTTACAGAAATGCCCAGAATAGGGAGACTAAAATATTTACTGGTAATGGTAGACCACTCACTTCTCCAGCTGGGTGGAGGCCTTCCCCTTCCTGACTCCTTCCACCAGGAATGTGGGCAAAATAATCTTAGAGCAGATTATCCCCAGATTTGGCCTGGTAGAAAATATTGGTTCAGACAATAGGAGCCACTTTACCTCAAGGGTGCTAAAGGGAATTATGGAAGATTTACACATTAAATGGGATTATCACACCTTTGGCATCCCCTTTCCTCTGGAAAGGTATAAAGAATGAATGAAACTCTCAAAAAGCATATTACTAAACTCGTCTTAAAAACTAAAAAGCCTTGGAGCAAATGTCTCCCAATAGTACTCCTTAGGATTAGGACAGCCCCAAGGAAAGACTTGGGACTGTCCCCCTAACAGTTATTATATGGACTCTCATATTTGGGCAGAGCTACAGATCTTCCTACTATGGAAACCAGGGACCAATTGTTAAGAAATTATGTACTGGCCATATTCTTCACCCTGTCACCCCTTAGGTTAAAAGGACTTCTGACTCAAACTCTGCCTCTTGGGTTTGCAGTTCATCACTTCCATCCTGGTGACTTGGTACTGATTAAGGCTTGGAAAGAAGACAAGCTCCACCCAAGCTGGGAAGGTCTCTATCAAATGCTCCTGACCACCAAGACGGCCGTGCAAACAGCTGAATAGGGGTGGACTCACTATACTTAAGTCAAGGGACTTGTAAAAAAGACCCCGGAAGGGAGAGAAAAAGACCAGTGGAAAGTGCATGGGTCACCTGAGGAATCCTTAAAGTTAACTTTGAGAAAAACCTAAAAGGAAAACTTGGGCTGGCCTCATCTCTGGAAGTTAATATGGTTGGTATGGGTTACTATACAAAGAGCAAAAGGTCAGAATGGAAATTGGCAGGGGAATCCTCCCTACCAATCAGGTTAGTGATTAATGTAACTAAGATGGTAGCACCCCAGACTATAAGATTTGATGCCTGCCAGATTTTACCTTGTGGAAATTTAGGAGAGAGACAGCTCCTGCAGGCAGATAAATATCTTTTCCCTGAACAAGATACAGGTTACAGTAGGACGTCACCCTGCCCCAGCTGGGATAACGTATGGTGAACTACCCAATTCCAGGGTTAGACAGTAAACACAGGGTGGGTAACTCCGAGCTCGAGACCCTTGAAGAATAATACGTCTGTCCAAGGGCTCCCTGCCAAATAACTGCCAGAATTTAGAATGCAATCCTATACTCATAACCATTGATAATCCAGCCATTCTAGACCAAGGAGCAAAAGTAGCATCTCAAGTATATGTGTTAGGAGCAGATAGCACAGAGAAAGACCTCCTAAGGCGATTTATTCTCAAATTGATCAAGAACTCAACCTCCCATTTGCCTGAGATTACTCCAACCCAAGACCCTAATAAACACTTTAGTGCACTAAATAATGACCCTAAAAGAGTAGAAATAATTGAAGTAAAAGATTTAAGGCAAACCTTAGAAATTGAGACAGCGTACAGAGATGTGAATGCCTGGGTCGAATGGGTCAAATTTTTGGTAGAAGCCATTAACAAGAGTAACTGCTACGCTTGTGCTGCAGAACAACCTCAGGCAGAAAATACTGATTCATTCTTTGGGAGCCACTTTGGGACGCCTAGCATGGGATACATATCCTGAAGGAATGTGTTGCATGTTGGCTGTATACCTGGACAAGGATGCATGGGGAAATGAGACTCGTAAGAGTCTGTCATTGCTCTTTCCCGCATTGCGGAAGTCAAATCCCAGAGCAATACCCTCGTTCTCTATAGGGAACATGAATCACTCTTCTTGCCTCTCTAGGCAGGAGGAAGAGTTCAATAAACCCATGGGAGAACTCTCAACTTGTATCCACATCATAAACATCACTGGTGAGTCAGGCAATGGCAATTACTCAGCTCTCCATATACCCCAGGCTGATATCCGATGGTACTGTGGGAAGAGGAACCTCTGCAACCTGTTACCATCCAATTGGACCAGGACTTGTGCTTTAGTTCAACTGGCCATCCCCTTCACCCTGGCATTCCATAAGATACCCAAAAATACACATGGCCATTGAAACTGTAGAGATTCGACAAATTCTTTTGATCCCAATATATGTGTTGACTCAAAAGGAGTCGCTAGGGGGTGCCTAATGAATTTAAGGCCGGAAGCCAAATAGCTGCTGGGTTTGAGTCAGCACTCTTCTGGTGGTTAATTATTAATAAAAATGTGGAGTGGATTAATTACATCTACTATAATCAACAGAGATTCATCAATTACACTCAGGACACCTTCAAAGGGGCAGCTAGCCAGTTAGAGGCCACCAGCCGAATAGTCTGGGAAAACAGGCTTGCACTAGACAAGATATTAGCAGAAAAAGGGGGCATATGTGTTATGCTGGGTGAGATATGTCGTACTTTCATTCCCAACAATACTGCCCTAGATAGAAGCATCACAAAAGTGTTACAAGGATTAACAACTTTAGCCAATGAACTGGCAGAAAATGCTGGAATTGATGACCCATTTACTAATTGGCTAGAAAGTTGGTTTGGGAAATGGAAAGGCACGGTCGCTTCAATCCTTACATCTCTCATAATTGTAGTAGGGGTCTTAACAGCAGGGGGATGTTGTATTATCCCTTGTATAAGGGGACTAGCACAAAGGTTAATTGAAACAGCTATTAACAAACAAATGCCCGTGACCTACCAGCGAAGTAACTTACTGCTGTTAGACACCAAATCAGACTATGAAGAAGAAAATAGTCCTAAAATGACTTGAGGACCAAAAGACACAAAGATTAAAATGAGAATGAGACCAAAAGATTAAAAAAAAAGGAGAGGAGGAATTCATAAGAAACCATTTAATGCTCCATTTTCAGGGCATGGTAAATCTAAGTACTGGCAACCAGCCTGCAAACGTGACAAACTACAGGGCTCATGCACCTACAAAGTCACGATAAGCAACAGGGTTTAGAGGAGGGGTCAGCCCATAAAAGGGAATAAAGTGTCATTACTGGGAAATCGAAACTTAAATGGGGAAAGGGAACAGGATATGACCTTATAAGAGTATAATGAAACTTAGCCAAAGTCCAGGAAGATTGTATACCCATAGTACTTGACCAATGAGAAACTGGGGGAGGGACTTGCGTGCTAGGAAATAAATTGTCTGCTGTAACTGCCCTGGGTTTGTCTACCTACCAGACACCTGATCTTGCAAGACTGCCATTAAAACTCTTGTTCCTGAACTGAGATCGTGCCGCAGCACCCCAGCCTGGGTGACAGAGCAAGACTCCATCTTGGAAAAGAAAAACACAAATAAAAATAAAAATAAAATAAAATAAGTCTTCCTTCTGCTGTTCTTTGTGTCTCTGAGTTCATTCTTTGGGTTTGGATGGGTGAATGTGTTTTCACAGTGGGTATATATGTATGTAGGCATGTATATGACACATATGTATGTATGTTTATCCATATGTATGTGGATGAATACAGAGAATCATAAATACATAAATAGATACATAGATGATAGAAAGGCAAAGAGATAGATATATACAAATATATGCAGTAAAGATTTACTTATGATTAACATGATCTAAACCAGGGATTCCTGAGATGAATTACTGTGGCACGAAATCATGAAAAATCCTATCATTAACGTTTAACCACATATGTTTTAATAATTTCAAGAGTTCTGCCTAGATCACTACATTATGTTTTCCCATAATCCAAGATGAGGCAAATACAGGAAATAAAACGTGAAAATATAGGCTTTACTATGATATTCTCATTCATGTCAAACACTGTTACCAACTCAAACTTTTCACTCTCTTTGAACTGTAGAAAATCCTTTCTAAATTACAAAAATGGCCCCTAGTATCCCTGCTATGAGACTAAGTCCTTCAGTATCATGCTCAAAGTTTTTCAATGGACACACTAAGCTCTCTAGTCACACACCCTACTCTCCAGAAGCACAACACATTCTCCTCTGATTTGGACAAGACACTTCTAAGCTGTACTGTAGCTTTGACTTTCTATGTGTATCTGGTATAGTCAATGTACTTATTGTGGTGTCTATCAAGTTCCTTTCAAATATTTTCTTGTTCTTATATATGTCTTCTTGAAGACCTAAGTGCTTTTCCAAATTGAATTTAGGCTTTTTTATGTATCACCCAAGTTTATTTTATTACAGAATTATAAAATTGGGAATAAAATACTTATTTTTCTGCCCTATAATTACTGCAATTGTTCAAGCCCCATTTTTTTGTCTCTTGAAGTATTAAATGGCCTCTGCCCCTAATTTCATCATACTGTCACTTAATTGATTTTTTTTTTAACACAAGCCTAATCATATTACTCTTCTTAAAATCCTGCAATGGTTCCATTGCTGAAAAGCTAATACCCACATATTTCAGTATGATTTAAAGGCAGTTCATGATCAAGTACAAATCTTCCTGCACATTTCTTTCCAATTATTTCCTGACTACACTCTCTACGTTTGTTCTTCCCTCTGAGCAGAATGCCCATTTTGTTCCTCTTATTTCTCTTTCAAGCTTTCGCTCAAGCATTACATCTACAAAATATTTCTGTGATCCTCCTAAGAAAGAGATAGTCTGCTTTTCTTTTTTTCTAAAACCTCAAATTTATAACATTCACATAGCTACCACTATGCTGTGTTCATATTTTTATTTGTCAAACTTTAATATCATTATTTGTTATTTTTAACAAACTTCTTTTATTAGATTCAAAGTCTCTTTAGTGAAAGGTTCTATTCATCTTTGTATTATCAAACAGTACATGACTGAAACATAGTAGGCTCTCAACTAACAGCTATTTAAAAAGAGAATAAAGTGAAACACTCACACCAAAATATTAAAAATAGAAGGTGTATGAGTCAGGGTTGTCTAGAGAGATAGAACTAATAGGATATATAGATATCAGCTTGATATATATGTCAAACTCCCCTAGATAGATAGATAGATAGATAGATAGATAGATAGATAGATAGATATGTATATATAGAGAGAGATATCTAGAATATATCTATATGATATATAGATATCTATGATATAGGATATCATAAATAGGATATATAGATATCCTAGATATCTATATATCATATATATATCCTAGATTATCTATCTATCTATCTATTTATCTATCTCTATCAAGGGGAGTTTATTAAGTATTAAGTATTAACTCACAGGATCACAAGGTCCCACAATAGGCCATCTGCAAGCTGAGGAGCAAGGAAAGCCAGTCCAAGTTCCAAAACTGAAGAACTTGGAGTCTGATGTTCAAGGGCAGGAAGCATCCAGCATGGGAGAAAGGTGTAGGCTGGGAGGTTAGGCCAGTCTCGTCTTTTCAAATTTTTCTGCCTGCTTTATATTCTACCCACACTGGCAGCTGATTAAGTGGTGTCCACCCAGATTAAGGGTGGGTCTGCCTTTCCTGCCCACTGACTCAAATGCTAATCTCTTTTGGCAACACTCTCACAGACACACCCAGAATCAACACTTTGCATCCTTCAATCCAATCGAGTTGACACTCAATATTAACCATCACAGGAGGTAAATTAAAATCATGGATTCTGCAAATAAAATTTAATTTTATGGAATACTATGCAGCCATAAAAAAGATGAGTTCATGTCCTTTGCAGGGACATGGATGAAACTGGAAACCATCATTCTCAGCAAACTAACACAAGAACAGAAAACCAAACACCACGTGGTCTCACTCATATGTGGGAGTTGAACAATGAGAACACATAGACAAAGGGAGGGGAACATCACACACCAGGGCCTGTCGGGGGATATGGGGCTAAGGGAAGGATAGCAATAGGAGAAATACCTAATGTAGATGATGGATTGATGGGTGCAGCAAACCACCATGGCACGTGTATACCTATGTAACAAACCTGCACATTCTGCACATGTATCCCAGAACTTAAAGTATAATTTTTTAAAAATTTAAAAAATTTTAATTTTACATATTTATGTAAATTTATACATGTATTCATACATTTACATAAAAACCAGAGATGGTTAAAAAGCACCGAGTTTTTCTATGTGTGTGTCAAAGTGCAGATTCCTAGGCACCACAGATTTAAGAAATCAAAATTTCTGACCCTTGGGCCTCTGAGGTCTACAATTTTTGCTAACTCACAACTTGATTTCTATACATATTAAAGTATGAGGGTAAATTCTTATGAAATATTATAAGAAAAAGGGGATATTTTTGTTTTCTGTTGATTTTAGAAAATGTTGGTTTAGATTATATACTGACGTGAGGCAAAGACACATTTTTGTTTCATGGTGATCAGAGTTCAATTATATTTTTCAGCAGCCGGAATTGCTTAGTTGTTTCAACATTCAAAATGTTCAAGTGAGATGCCCATTACATCCCTGTTAGCAGAATTTACTGGAGGACAAAGGTTCACATGATATATTCATTTTTCTCAATATCATACATATAATGGATATATAAATCTATATATGTATACACACACAAACACACTTAATTTATCATAAGTTACAATAATCAGAAGATAAGTGATGAAGCTAAAATATCTCTGAAACTTGCAACATAGCATATGAAATATATAGTATACTTCAGCCATACTTACTATAATGTTTACATCTGATCAATATTTTTAAATATAATTATTGTATAATTGATGTAAGGAGATAATATAGATATGCATTGTTTTCTTCACTTATTTAGCCTTCCCCTCTCAGGAACATATATAATTTGCAAATGGGTTTGTATTTGTGTATAAACACACATACACACAAATTTCTTAAGTGCCATATGTTCTCTTTTTAAATCTTTTGTCTTCCAGATTGTATAGACTTTTACTATTGATTTGGCTTATCTAACTCATTTTCAGAAGTGAAATGAGATTTCTGATTAACTTGACTCATTCTTAAATGTATAGATTAAATGTCCCTTAATGTGTCTGCTCACATCTGGTATCCCAGATGTTTGCTATAATAATCATATAAAAGTCAACACAGCATTTCAAGGGCCATGAAAATCACTAACGAATGGATAAAGGCAGAATTGTCTCCCTTTCTGCATATTATTTCCCAAATATTGGGCATTTTGTTCTGTAACTATTCAAATACAACTTATAAAAACACCAAAACCTAAACAGCCCTAAGCCAGCCTTAAATAAATTGGAATCCTGAATAGCATGAAATATATTTCCCATTTGAAGCTTCTCCTGAGTAAAGAAATTTTACTTTCAAAATTCCTTAAAAGGGAACCTTAAAATATTTTCTTTATTTTGATTTTTTTAAAACATCAGAACTGGGGTTTGATGAACTGTGGTACAGTTCAAGCCAGATGACCATGACCAGGTTAGACAGCCACATAGAAGCAGAATGTACAGGAAGGTCCAGATTGCAGGTATTAGGAGAAAGGTGGATGACAGATAGTGCCATTTCAGGGGTGGTTGATATCAGACAATATGTTGGGACACTGATCAGTGTGGCATGATATATGTTTCTGGGTGAGTCACAGTGAGATGCTGTATTAGAGCTCTCTAAAGGGACAGAACTAATAGGATAGATATTTATATAAAGGGGAGTTTATTAAGGAGTATTGACTCACACGATCTCAAGGTGACGTCCCACAGTAGGCCGTCTGCAAGCTGAAGAACAAGGAAGCCAGTTGGAGTTCCAAAACCTCCAAAGTCGTGAAGCCAACAGCGCAGTCTTCAGTCTGTGTTCGAAGGCCCAAGAGGGCCAAAGCTGAAGAAACTGGAGTCTGATGTTCAAGGGCAGGAAGCATCCAGCACAGGAGAAAGATATAGGCAGGAGAGTAAGCCAGTCTAGTGTTTTCATATTCTTCTGCCTACTTTTATTCTATCTGTGCTGGCAGCTGATAAGATTATGCCACCCAGATTGAGGGTGGGTCTGCCTTTCCCAGTCCACTGACTCAAATGTTAATCTCCTTTGGCAACACCCTCACAGACACACCCAGTATCAATATTGTATCCTTCAATCCAATCAAGTTGACCCTCAATATTAACCATCACATATGCTTTAGTATCTGAATGTGGTAGAAGGATATTCAGTGCATCCTTGTATTATGGAAAACCAAGCTGAGGCACAGAATTTTTTTTTGCAACTCACCTGAATTAAAAACTGAAATTCTCAATATGAATGCTAGCAAGAACTTCTGAATTCATGGTTCTATACTGGGAGATCCAGATGAAAGCTATTAGATAATTTTATATTTATTCTTCATTCAATAATGGCCCTTTGCACAAAGCCAAAGTAGGGAGTACATATAAAAATGTAATTCAATTACTTTAATTTCCATATTCTAACATACTGAAATGTTGGTCAGAAATAATAAAGATAAAATGAATAATTAATAATGAAGACTTCAATGATGATTAGAATAAATTCAGAGAGGTAACTACAGAATGAGGAAAACACAACCTCAAAAAAATATCAATTGAAATAATGTTATCTCAATATGAATTGGTATTCATTTGATGCCTCAAAATCTAACAACATTAAAATGTCTATTAAAAGATTTATGGTTTTTAAGTGGAGTAATATCCCACCATGTTCTACATATCTTTTGTTAAATTCTGAACATCTGTTTTACAAAGATCATTGGCAAACAATTTTAGATTAAAGAGAGCAACCAGTACTATTCAGTTTAACACCTATTACCATGCTGATTATTTGTCAATCAGTTTGCTAGGTATAAGAGAGGGCTTAGAAATCATGTTACAGAAAATATTATTTGTAGGAGTGATATAGCACTTGCCTGAAAAAGGGAAAATTTTTAGATGTAATGAAGTTGGAAGGAATAATTTACATTGCATCCTTTTTGGATGTATAAAAGAGTGAGTGCCCAGGAAATGACAACCATTAATAACAACAACATAGAAAGTAAACTAAATGGACTATTTTGGGAGGCAACAATTTTCCTATTAATGTACATGCTCAAGCAGAAGATTGGTGTCATGTTTTGGCACCCTGAATAAAAGGTGGAGTTCCAGCTTATATTTTGTGAAAACCTTGCAATTCAAAATTGTGTTTCTTCCCAGCTGAATATGCAGAAATAAAATCTAAGGATCCTGTCTTTTTTTCTTCCCAATATACTTCTGGGTGATATTAACTAGTCTGCTTCACTTCCTTCAGCAGTAGATAATGCATTATAGCCACTTTATATCAGAAAAGAATGGGCTGTGAGATGTTGCTCCAATGACGTGCACTGTGTTTTGCGGAATGTCAACACAATATTTTTCTTTTCCAGAAAGATAGAAAATTATATTCCTTGTATGAAGGATCATGAGGAATTAGAAGAGGGGGTTATTATATAAAACCTAACTTTGAAAAATGAAACATCTATTTACTATTTAAAAACAATTCATGGTTATGTGATTTCTGGTGTCCTTGGACATAATAACTGTATTATAACTCTATTTTCTTTTTAAATTTATACTGTAATACAAAAATTACTTTTTAAATCTCTTCTGTTTTGAAAGGATAATTTGGGTTGATAATGTAATAAAATATAACCTGTTTTCTTCTTATTCAGCTTGACAACAATGCAATATATGAACCATGATCTGAGTATAATACACTTGTTTGTTTTTTTAATAATGTGAGGGTTTAATGTGTCCTAGATAAGATTCTAGTTTTTCTCATTTTAGTAGGTTTCAACTGCACAATATAAGAGTACTTTGATCAATATTGAGAAAAAACTCCATTTTCAACTAGTGAACATACCAAGTTAATTAATCATTGTTCATAACCCCAGGTAGGTGCAAGGTAATATAGCACTTCATAATAAATTTAAGATGGTTCTTGACGCAAGTAGCTTAACATCTTCCCAAGAGATGGAGGCTATATCCACAAAACCATATTCACCTTAAGGTATCCTTGAAAGTGACCAAGGAAAAGGCGCTTTTCACCAACCTTCATGTAATTGCAAAAGACAGGTTTTAAGAAAAATCTGGATAATCAAAATACTTTTGAATGTGAAACATTTCAACTGTACTTGAACAATGCATATTCTTTTTACACCAGTTTTCTCTGCTTAAGCCTATGTTTTATATGACAGTTTGGGCAACCTATAATGTCTTTGACCAAGAAAGATGTCCCAGCTAGCACTAGTAACTATTTTGTTTACAGTAGGCTGATGTCAAATTATATGGGAAGCATGAATAAAAGCTCTGTGAGGCCTCCCCTGAAGCCAAGTAGATGCCCACCGCATGCTTATACAGCCTGCAGAACCATGAGCCAATTAAACCTCTTTTCTTTATAAATTGAAACATATGTACACACATGTATATAATATGGCTGGGAAAGAATTCCAAGCAGTTCAAACCTGAGGACATCAGTAACCAAATATAGAAGAAATGCTTAGGCAGACAGACAGTCTGGAAGCCTGTATCTCTACCCACTAGGTAACACTTAGTGTCTAATTTGTTTTTGCAAACAGAAATGATATTTTTCAAGTGGCACATTGTTTACCTGAGAGAGAACTTCTAAAGTAGATCTTTTTTTATTCATAAATAACTGCACACAAGTCATGGTTTTTTGCGTAATTGGCTGTAAAATGGACAACTATAGAATTTCAAGTTTAAAAAAATAAAAATGATCAATCTGTAGTCAGTTCAAGTTTTTGTATATTTCATATTTAAAATCATTGTCAAAAAGTATTTTAGAAAATGAAGCTAAAATTGATTAATTTATTTTATCCTAGAAACCATTTATTCTAAAATGGGTAAAAAACATGAGAAAAAATATAAACTGTTAGGAATCAGCCAAATTTGGCTGCAGAGAAGATATAGTTTTCATTAGCCATTTTTACATTCTAAATGCAACATATATTTTGGGAAATAATTTACAACCAGTAAACTTATGTCCCCAAGTCATATTGTATATTCTCCATTGTTTGTGTGAGCATGATTTATTAGTACACAAATAAACATTGAAATACACAAGCTTTCCTAGTTAAGACAATTACATCATTTGCCAAAACTTACTTAAGTGAAACAAGATTGAAAAGAAAATATAGAAGTATGTTCATGATTTAAATGTAGTAGAAAGCACTTCAGACCTCTGTTAAAGATCTGAGTTTCAATCAGGCAAATAAGTTAAATTTTTATGTTAGAATCTTCATCTGTAAAATATAGAACATAATATCTACCATACATAACTCACGGTGCTATGGGATGTTTAAAGGTGATTGTAAAATAAAATTGTTAAAAACTATAAGAAGGCATATAATTAAGTAATAAGTAAATTAAGAGAGATTAAAAAGGTTAGTTTGCTTGAAAGCTGCGGCTTTATGGGTATCTTAATACTATTTGAATGGTAGGTACATCTTAAAGGAGGCAGATTTCTTTTTTTCTCTTGTATTAATATATAACAATTTACACATTTATGAAGCACATGTATTTGTTGCACACATAGAATGTGTAATGATCAAGTCAGGGTGTTTGGGGTATCTTGAGTGCTTATCATTTGTATTAGTTGGAATTATTTCAAGGCCTCTATTCTAGTTACTTTGAAATATACACATTATTGTCAGTATAGTCACCTTAGTCTGCTGTTAAATATTAGAACCTATTTCTTCTACCTAACTGTATGTTTATACCTATAACAAACTGGTATCTGGCACTCTCAGCAGCCCACAGTGGTTAGTTGTGAGCAAATGATCTAAAATTAGAGACACTTAATCTCTTGCCCAAGGCTTTAAATCTAGAAAAAGTGGCTCCAAAGGGAAGGGGGAGATCTCAGTTTGTTTTCCTAGCCTCAGTGTCTGGAGGTTGTGGTGGGGACTCTGGTGCTAGAGCAGAGGATGGGGCGGGAGGCACACCAATGATGCTGGCAAAAGATGCCATCCCTGGGGTGTGACCCTGGCTCTGATTCCTACAGCCCTGTGTCTCCCGGTTTCTGCCTATCATCTGAGTCAGGTTCTCCATCCTTCTGTGGTTTCTGAGAACCATCTAACATCCTTCCAAAATGTATTTATTTTCTGCCTAAGACAGTCAGGGTGGATTTTTGCTGTTGGCTCTAAAAACAAACAAACAAAAAAAATGATTGTATGATATAAATGAATTCACCAGGAGTTTGTTTTGATATGCAACATGGCGACAGTAATATAATTGATACTGTCTTTTTAGGATTAACCATACAGCTGCTGATTTGATGACCTCTTTTTTATTCCTAGAAAATCCTCCTTTCCTTCTATCACTCTGATCTTTTAGATATGTTAACGCTATCTTCTGGTGGTATGAGATGTCTTCTGGGATGCCTTACCTGAAACAACCTTAGTCATTAGGCACTCCATCATTCCTTTTATAGCTCAGATCTCTATCAGAAACTAAATTATATTATGGCAATCACTGCCCTAAAAAGAGCCAGTTAGAAGGGATATGTACCAAAATAAGGGGACTGATATACTAGTAATGTATACTTTAGTGTCTACAGTTGATCTACTTTTCACTAAAAATACAGTGTTTCATATGCTTCATTTTGTGTAATGGAATTGATGGTGTATTTCTCAAGACTGATTTATTTGGCTTAGTTTATATAAATTGATTCATTCTGGAATATTTGACAGAATAGTTGGTATCAAAATAATGCTGTATAGAGAACACATAAACACATTATTGAATGAAGAATGAACTGAAAGATCATAATTTCTCAAAGATGATGCTCACAGGAAGAGAATTAAATTGCATAAAAATCAAGTCACTACTCTGAAATACACAGTGCAATAAAAGCTGGTGCACATGTACCCTAAAACTTAAAGTATAATAAAAAAAAAAAACTTCCAAGTAAAAGAAATCTAAAAAAAAAAAAAAAGCTGGTGAGGAAAAAATGTAAGATGAACTCAATTTCTCAGCCATTGCCATGAGTCTAGATGCACATCCTGCTGTTATGTGAACAATTACCATGCCTGGAGGGAACTGAATGAATGCTGGCACCTATTGGTAGATGGAATAAAAAACCTAAGCTCGTTCTCCTATCATGAGGCTTACATGCCATATGCTACAAACTAATACATTAAATCGACATAATGAGGAAGATAATGCATTTTTATCACTGCTTGCTTACGTTGCAAAAACTGTAACACCATTATATAAATTGCCTGTAATTCATTGAATTTCTTTGTTTTTGCAAATCTTAAAAATTTACAAGGACACAAGTCATATAGAAAATATTCCAGTGGATTTGTTTGTTAAAGAGTATAAGGTAAATTAAATTTTGAACTAAATATTATTTTCTCCACATTCTCTTGATTCTTCTAAGCTTAATATGCCGTACTTTTGCCATTGAGTGCTATATAATCTATTAATCTTTTTCATTAAAATAGAATAATTCATAGAAAATATGCAGGTATGATACTGATAAGCTTATTTTTATTGGATGGATTATTCTTATAAATATGTTTTAATTGTATAACATTGACTTCTGTGTTAACTATTTTTACTCTGTTCCCTGTATAATAGATATGTAAAATACTTGGCAAAATTTAGAGTTTGAGCCAAGGGACCAGTGAATGCTTGACAATTGATTGACAATTGATATATAGAATGCTTAGAAAGAAAAGTCTGCAGAACCACATATCTTTAGATATGATTTTTAAAAAATGTAGGTATGAGGATGGGGGTAGAGAATGAATAATCGTCTCCAATGAAAGGGCTGCACATTTAGTCTTTCTTTTCAATTATTCCCAGCAAAAACTCCACAGACATGTCTGAAAAGAAAAATGGGCAGGTTAAGGTGAGGCAGGTCAAAGTGAGGTCGCCTGGAGTGAAAAAAGTGATACGCAAGTGATGATTGTATCCCTAGACCTCTCGTCAAATCAGCCAGTCAGTGACATGTTCTGCATTTGGCCATGTACTGTGGAATATCCAAATAAATATAGGACACAGGCTTTCTGCTCAAAGAGCTTAAAGTTCAAGTCACATGCCAACATACACAGCATTAAAGTATGAACAATAATAACTTAAGAGAAAAATAGGATGTAATTCAAATGGAATGGACCAACTTACTGTAAAACTCCTGAAATGTTTGAGGGCTTTCTGCAGAAGATTGAAGTTGATCTGGTTCATAAAGGATGTTAAGAATACAGATAGATAAAGAAAAGGTGTTAGAGAATACCATGGAAAAACAGGCCAGAATAAGCAAAGCTGTTACGTTAGCAATGAGTATGCCTTGTCTTTAGAAGAAAGGAGGAATACGGCCTGATGAAATGTCATGGAATAATTTGATAAATGTTTGGCTAAGAAGGAGTAGATGGCTCATGGAAAATATTGAAAAAGTGCAGATGTTTGGACTTGATCTGTTAGATAATAAGGAAATACTGAAGAAAATACAATTTCATGCAGAGCTAATACATATTAATGTAATTCCCAGCTACTGCCTGGCCATTGTGCAGGATGTTATCTCGCTAAAATAATTTCCCCTGCTTTATAGTTCTGAAGGAAGAGGAAGTCTCCTGGAGTTATATTATCTAGGATTACCTACATATTATTAATGTTATACTTTGGTAAAATATTCTAGGTGTATCAGCTGGTATCAATTTGTTATTTCTTCATTGTGAAATGCTTTCTGCTTTGCTTAAAAGTTTAATTTTAGACATTAAAAAAAGAGAAAAATAAAATATGGAGTTTCTATTTACAATGATTTATAAATTGACACTTTGAAATTTTTATTTCTCTTACACCTTGCCACCTTAAAAAAATGTGTGACAGATAGACAGATAGATAGACAGATAGACAGATAGATGATAGATAGATAGATGGATAGACAGATAGATGATAGATATAAAATGCATATAAGTTAACATAAAATAAGGCCCAAAGTTATGGCTTATTTGAAATTAAGGTTCTGGGGAGTATATAGGTAAAGGCTCAATTTAAGACCAGGGTCTAAAACAGTCCACCTCTGATTTGAG
This sequence comes from Homo sapiens, assembly GCF_000001405.40. NCBI lineage: Eukaryota > Metazoa > Chordata > Mammalia > Primates > Hominidae > Homo > Homo sapiens. Next base: position 67,328,504 of record NC_000013.11, on the reverse strand, counting down.
ATCTGGATTTGCAATATCCCTAGTGTGCCTTAGTCCATACAGGCTGCCATAAATAAAATAGGTAGCTTATAAATAGCATAAACTTATTTCTCAGAGTTTTGGTAGCTTATAAACAACAAACTTATTTCTGAGTTTTGGAGGTTGGGAAGTTCAAGGCAAATTCAGTGTCTGATGAGGGCCTGCATTTGAATTATAGACAGTCTTTTTCTCACTCTAACCTTACATGGTAAGATAGGTGCCAGAGCTCTCTAGGATCTCTTTTATCAGGTACTAATTCCATTCATAAGGAATCCATCCTTATGACCTAATTACTTCCCAAGGGCCCACCTCCTAATACCATCACCTTGAGGGTCAGGATTTTAACTTATGGATTTTGTGGAGGACATAAACATTCAGACCACACTACCATCTATCATTGTAGAAAGGAGCTCCAAGCTGATATTGTGAGAATTGACTCTGGATTGGGGGTTTCATGAGTTAAGTGAAGGCATTCAAAAATATGCAAGATGGGTTATGAGAAAGAGACAGAAAGAGAATGAATCACTGCTCTTGTCCCTGCCATATACCACTCAAGATGACCTAAAAAGTTGAAATTTCAATTAGCACAAAGATTAGAGAATAAAACAGTATTTGAAATGAATTTCTTCAGATGAAATAAGAATAATGTGATAATATGCAAAAAAATAAAAATTACTTTTAATATCATAAGTATAAATGAAATAACACTCAAAAATTTATTTCTGCAAAAAAATGTGCAGAAATGAGGTAATATCAGATGGTTATTAAAAATCTATTAGAAATATTTGAAAAATATTAATATTGAGAACAAAACCCAGGATAAACTCTAGAGTATTTAGCACTATGGTCCGTCATGTTAATTAGACCTAATGGCAGAGACAAATACAATATTTGCTTTGGAAAGATGCACATGTGCCAGAAAATAAGAGTTAAAGTCCTCAAAAACAGAAGCTCCAGTGAGATGTTTAGTATTTAAATAGGCTTTGGCATGCCAGGATATCATTTTAAGCCAGTGGTTCTCAAGCTTATATGTTCATTAGAATCATCCTCAGATAAACAGATCTAAGTTGAAGTTCAAGAATTTGTAGTTCTAAAAAATTTCCAAGTAATGTAAAGCCACACCACCTGCATCAGAAATCAAGTCAAAAAGCAGCTCCTTGTAATATATTAAGCACTAGCTGAGGCTGAATGCCTGACTATGTGACATCAATGAGAGGATATTATTACAAAGAAACTTAAGGTCAGACGGATACAACAATAATTCATGATGCCATGGAAATGATACACTTACAAATAGCCCTAGAAGATTCAGAGAACGTAACAAGGTACATGAACAAGAGGCCAAGGCTTAATTTTCATCTACTTTGTTTCATTTCTGCCTTGTCCTCAATTTTACAACTGATCTTCTGGAGGGTTCCCTAAGACCCACTGACAAAGGTGGATACAAATTCAGCTCTGATTTATGGGCAAATAAGTTGTTATTAGAGGAAAATGGACTGCTTCCAAACTACAATCTTTTTCAGGGCTGGCCCCGTATAAAGCAGCAGAAGGAAATACTCTCCTAATGGGAAGAGCTCAATGCCATGCACTTGGTTATTTACTTTGGAAAGATGGGGATGAGTGCAAGTATAGATTTACACCAACTCCTAGGCAGGCATGAATGGCCTATTTGCTCCAGATATATAAAGACAAACATAGGAAAATTAGAGTCAAACAGTTTAGCAAAGAGTCAAGTGAATAGTACTGACATTGGTTGCAAAATACACACATCTTTGTGTCTCACATTAATACTCACTAGAGAGCAATGTTAGAGACTCTTAACAACAAGGCGGACAGGGTTATCTTCCTAGCAGACGTCCACCAGCCTCTCTTCTCGTCAACTCCAGTGTTTCCACCATGGGTCCAAGAAGAGAGTGTACATGGTAGCACAGCTGTAAACTATGTATGGGCTTAAGAAATTGTTTCCCTTCACCACCTATAAACCTGCCAACAGAAGAGAACGACTCTGAATCCTTTATCTTGGCACTATTCCTCAAAAAGACCTCTTGGTGTCAAGTTGAATATATTGGACCCTTTCCATCCTGGAAGGTACAGCAATTTATTCTTGCTGGAAATGGCACATACCTCAGATAGGGGTTTATCTTCTTTGCCTGCTGCAGTGCCTCTGCAAGCATTACTATCTTAGGACAAAGAGAATCCCTGATTTAATGGCATAGGGTTCTATACTTCATTACGTCATAACAGAGGATCAATTTTGTGGCAAAAGAGGTGTGACAATGAGCTCCTAATCATAGAACTCACATCTTTTACAATATATTGCATCACAAACACTGACTTTCCTCATAGAATGATGGAATGGATACGACAGTCACCACTAAGAAACAGCAGAGATTAATATATATGGTAAGTTTGAAGTTCTATTTTCCAGCGTACACATTGAACCAATAGTTCATATACAGTGATAGATTCTCAGCAGCTAGAATGCTCAGGTCTGCGAACCATGTTTTGGAAACAAGGTTGGTCTCTCTAACCATTCATCCCAGAGACCTACTTGGAAAACAAAAAGGCATAAATTGTGAAGTAGATCTTTAAGAATAAATGTGAGAAGACTCACTCTACCTGATATTAAGGTGGTATACTACCCTTAAAGGACTGAGAAGATAGCATACATATATATATTATATATATATATATAAAATATATATAATATATATATTAAATGACAAATTTGGCTTATAAAGCAGTAAAGAATGAACTCTTCTTTATTGTTGTATCCGTCTGACATTAAGTTTCTTTGTAATAATATCCTCTCATTGATGTCACATAGTCAGGCATTCAGCCTCAGCTAGTGCTTAATATATTACAAGGAGCTGCTTTTTGACTTGATTTCTGATGCAGGTGGTGTGGCTTTACATTACTTGGAAATTTTTTAGAACTACAAATTCTTGAACTTCAACTTAGATCTGTTTATCTGAGGATGATTCTAATGAACATATAAGCTTGAGAACCACTGGCTTAAAATGATATCCTGGCATGCCAAAGCCTATTTAAATACTAAACATCTCACTGGAGCTTCTGTTTTTGAGGACTTTAACTCTTATTTTCTGGCACATGTGCATCTTTCCAAAGCAAATATTGTATTTGTCTCTGCCATTAGGTCTAATTAACATGACGGACCATAGTGCTAAATACTCTAGAGTTTATCCTGGGTTTTGTTCTCAATATTAATATTTTTCAAATATTTCTAATAGATTTTTAATAACCATCTGATATTACCTCATTTCTGTACATTTTTTTGCAGAAATAAATTTTTGAGTGTTATTTCATTTATACTTATGATATAGTGGAAGATGACTGGTTGTTTGTATGAAAAATATGAAATTGGATTCTTTCCACACATTAAACCACAAAACTTCATTCCAGATAGAATGTAATTTAAATGTAAAAAGCAAAATGCTAAAACTGTAAAAAAAAAAGAAGATATGATCTCAGAATAAGCAATGACATCTTAAAGATACAAAGAGCACAAAATGTACAGAAAAATATTTATAAATTTGATCATAATTAATTTAAACTTTGTCTAACTAGAGACATGATAAACAAAGTGAAAAGACCAATCATGATCTAAAAGAAGATATTTTCTACTGGGTATACATAAAACCCAGCAATAAATTATTTGATAAGAACATCTCCAATAAAAATAAACCCATAATAAAATGACAACCCAATGAGAAAATTTACAACAATAAAAACGATTAACACAGAGGATATCTGAATGAGCAGTGAGCACAGAAAATCTGTTTAACGTAGCTAGTAATCACAGAAATGAAAATTAAAACACAATTAGATGCCATTCTCACTATTGAACGGGCAAGAACTTTAAAATGTTTGAAAGTGACAAGAACCAGCAAAGACGTAGAAAAATAAAACTTGAAATTATCTCATGTTCCTGATGAAAGAGTAAAATAGCATTTTGTGAGCAATTTGCAATATCTAAAAAAACTGAAGAGGCACTGTATCATTAAAATGAATCCGGCCGCCACCCCATCTTCCACCTGCGCCCTCACCATCTCACTACATTAAAATGAAACAGTGGTATAAGTAACTGTAAACCAGATTACAATGGCTTAATCAAGAAAGAGGTTTATCTCAGACATGAAAATAAAAATTATCTGGGCAGGCATCCCAGGACTGGAGCAGAGGCTAACAATGGCCTCAAGGGATCAGAACCACTCTGTCACTCTGCCTTCCTTAATGTGCGGCTGCTGCACCTCCAGGATCATCACAATTCTGGACAAGAAAAAAGTTGGGACAATTGAACTGGCATCAGCAGTTTATGCTTGTACTGCATTGGCCAGAACTATCTCATAGATAGCTGAAAAAGGGATTGGGGTTCAGAGTAGTTTGCTTTTCAACCTTAAGATAGCCAAATGTAATGGGCTTTGAGAAGTGTTGAAAGAACCAGCCTACCATACCCACTTCATAGGTATACTTCACATGTGAATGTGTATGTGTATAAAGTATACCCACTTCAGCACCAGGTGAATGTACACACACATTCACATGTGAAGTATACCTATGAACGTGTATATACACATTCACATGGTACTTAAGTATACCTATGAAGGGGTATACTTCACATGTATATGATAGTGACTTGCTGCCTGCTAGTATGTTTTGTGTTCAGGGGACAAGCAGCAGAGGCATGACTAAGAAACTTTTAAAAAATGCGTAATCTCAGGATCCACTCAAGATCTACTGAATCAAGATCTGCAGTTTAACTGGTGTCTTGGGTGGTTCTACATGCAAATTAAAGTTTATGAAGCACCACTCTAGAGAAAGCCTGCACATGTAACAGTGTATATCTCAAAAGGAAATAATCTAAACAAATGCCCATTAATAACAGAACACAGGAATATATATTTATTCAATAGAATAGTTTACAGGGCACTTAAAAATAGTTTACAGGGCACTTAAAATAAATAGATTGACTGATGTTAATCTGGACAAATGCCAAAAATATAACATTGATTTTAAAAGAAAATGAAAAATTAAGTCAATAGTACAAGGTAGTTTGTGTATATTTTTAAGTGTACAAAACAATATTCATAAGGATATATATATACTTCTTAAAATATTTAAAAATGCATGGTTAAGTGTGCAAAACAATATTCATAAGGATATATATATACTTCTTAAAATATTTAAAAATGCATGGTTAAGTGTGCAAAACAATATTCATAAGGATATATATATACTTCTTAAAATATTTAAAAATGCATGGATGGAGAATAATCACTGACCTCATACTGGTTAACTTGGGGTAGAGAGGGAAGAAAATATGATTGAAAAAGGGACAAAGTGCTTTCAACTGTATCTGTTATATTTTACTTCTTAAAAATCTGAAGTAAATATGGTAAAATGTTAAGATGCATGCATATGTATTTACTTTGGTATCTTCAAAATCATGCTCTAAACATTTTATATGTTTAAGATATTTCATAAAATATTTTTAAAGATGAAATGAATACAACTAATTTTTTGAAAGGATAGTAATGGTGTAACTCTTTTCACACTGGCAATTTGTTTTTAAATGATCTAGCAATAGCTGGTAAAATGAATACATTATTTATGAAGATTAAGTAAGTTGGCATTAGAGTAACATTTGTAACTGGTTTTTATGATACTGAGTACAGGATATTTCAATGAATTTGAAGCTCTCTCCTGGTAATAACAGTTAGGAAACTGAAGAATATATCTAAATACATGCACCCATATTTATAGCAAGCATGCTTCAAAACTGCTAAAGATAAATGAAAAAAAAAATGCCTTGAACTTGAAAATTATGCCTGTTTTTGAAAGCAAGATGAACACCCTTGGAAACTATATGACATTCTCCCAAGTACTTGTTGTCTACCTCTCAACCACTTGCTTTGACTTTATCAGTGATGTTTATTATATGTTTGTTCCTTTCAAAACATTCTATCTGTTTGGAAAATTTGCATTCTAGTTCTTGTCATAATGTTTGCTTTATTTTTAATATACAACTTTTTCTGTGTTTTTAATGCTTAACACTAATACTAGAAACCACACACTGTTTTACACTGTAAGATGCTAATTTTTGGCATATAATACTCCTAGATAGAAACATGCCTTGTTAATAAAAATAGTGTTCACTGAACTTCTTTGCTATGTATATCATTTTTGTGTTTATTCGCCATCAGATAAGAAAACAAACAAGGAGAAAAATTAAATGCCATACTGTGAGGACACACAATGAAGACTGGAAGGAACAGAGTTTGAAACAATCTCACATGCTTTCCACTCTGTTCTCTTTGAATCTTTCGCTGTTTTTACAATATACATTAAATAAAAACAGAGACTTGTGGTTTCCTACTAAGATATAAAAATTTATTCTGATATTGGTCTCAAGTATTATTTCTTATCTTCTCCTACAATAGGTGCCAAGATGGTTTATTATTATAAGAAGCTGATCCATGGCTACTTGGCACGCACAAGTGTCTGAAGCAAGATCCAGAGAGTAATTATGTATCTAGAGCTGGCAAATTTTTAAAATGGTGAACCAAGAAGGAAAAAACTAAATTGTCATTAGTTGCACAGAATATATTTCTACTCCTAGTAAATGCAGATGGACCACTTAAGAACCAATAACAGTAATGAGTATTCAGTCAAATAGCCAGATACAAGGAAACATACCAAAATAATAGCTTTTTCAAATACCAGCAATAATAATCCAGGAACACACACACAATTTAAAATAGGAAAAAAAAAAAACCAACTAAATATTTAGGAGTAAACTTCACAAATTTGAGAAAGATATGATTGAAAAAAATTAACAAAACAGTAAAGATTTAAAAAGATACTATATTCCTGAGTAGAAAGAATCAATAATACAAATATGCCAATCATCCTATAATTAACATGCAATTTCAATGTAGTATTCTTCTACCTTGTAATATGGAGAAAATATACATGTGCTGACATGGAAATATGCTCAACCTATATTATTAGTTGGAAAACATCAAAATCTAGAATAATATCTGCTTCTTTATTAATCATCTATATTTGTAAATGCGTAGAGTACATAGAATGTGCATATGTTTTTCTTCCTTTCTCGTTATGAAAAAATGAATAATTCACATTGAATTTTTAAGATTGGTCATTGCTGGGAAGCAGGTGACAAAGGCAGCTGTATATATTATATATTTCTGTGTTGCTTGAAATTTTTATTATGGCCATATATTGATGTTGAAAAAGAAAAAAGAATAAATCAATAAAGAAACAAAATGAAGATATGCCATATGGGGGACATAAAGGAATCCTTTTTGGACAACCATAGTTGCCTTATGAAATTGTTTCAAGAAGGATGCTCACTTACATGTGGAATCTAAAAATTGGAACTTATAGAAACACAGAGAAAAATGATGATTACCAGGTGCTGGAGGAGGAGGGGGGATTGGGAAGATGTTGGTCAAAGGACACAAAATTTTAGTTGCACATGATAAATAAACGTTCAAGGGCTCTATTGTATATCATGGTGACTATAGTTAATAACAATAAATGTATACTTGAAAATAGCTAAGAAGGTAGATTTTAAGTGTTCTCACCAAAAAAGTATGTGAGGTAATGCGTATGTTAAATAGCTTAACTTAGCCATTTCACAATCTATACATACATTTCACATCTATACATAGATGAAAATATCATATTATTCACCATAAATATGTATAGTTTTTACTTGCCAATTTAAATAAAAACAAGGGTAATAAGATATGATGAATAATGGTCCCAAAGATGTCAATGTAAGAATCCCCGAAACCTGTAAATGCGTTACCTTTCATGGTAAAGGGAACATTACAAATGTGATTAATTTAAAGATTTTGAGATGGGAATGTTATCCTTGATTACATGGTGGGCCCAATATAATCAGAAGGGTACTTACAAGGAGACGAAGAAGATTTGACTACAGAGAGGGGAAGGGGAGGTGAAGACAGAAGCAGACATTGTGATATGGCCACGAGTCAAAGCATGCCAGTGCCCTCTAAAAGTTGAAAAAAGAAGCAGATTCTCTCCTGGAGCCTCCCGAAGGAGATGGTTCTGCCAACATCTTGATTTTAGTCCTGTAATAGTGTTTTGAAACTTCTGTCTTCCAGAACTCTAAGAGGATAAATTCATTTTATTTTAAGCTAGTAAGTATGTGATTATGTGTTACAGCAACAATAAAAAAAAGATGTAGGTAGAAAAATTGTATGAGACTACTCCAATATGCATTATAGTAACCAGGTACCCTACGTGGAAGACAATCTATAGCTTGATGAGATTGAGTAAGCCTAGCACTGCAAATCAAGAGGGAAAATGGAATGAGAATTACCATGATATGGTAAGGGCTAAAATTTAAAACACAAACAGAAAATTTAAATGAAAACCTGGGATAACACTGAGTCAAAAGTGAAGGATCAAGATGTTGTCAGATCAATCCAGCCATGTGATTAACAAACAGGTATTGAGTGTGTATTATGTACAAGCCTTAGGATGGAAGTGTAATGAGAAATGAACTGTGTTTTTTCAGAATTTGCAATCAGGGAAGACAAATAAGCCAATGAGTAAATTTAGATAGATGTGTGGTATGATTGCTTGCTTTGTAGATGATTACTCTGGCATCGTTGATGGGAGTTGGATTAAAAAGACAAGAAAAGCAGAAGCCTATGTTCCATGTGCAAGTCACAGGTAAGCCAAGATGAGAAAAGAGATTAAGTCAGAGCAGCTAGATGGGTTACAGGTCAAATGAATGAACTGTGCCTCTCATATCTCTTCTGAAATCCAAAGGCCTCTCAAAAGATGACCAGGGGATTTGCTCTGGAGAGCAAGACCTGGAGTGGCAGGTATTCCAGAAAGAATGATACTTTCTCCCTAGATAATATTTAATATGAGAAAAAAACAAAAATAAAAAATTACATTGAACATTTCAAACTAATATTCATAGCTCAGCTAATGCCAGTTTGCTTCTGATTATGCCTATAACAATGCCATTGATCTATTTCTAACCTGCATAATGGAGAGATGAAGAAAAATGTATAGACACATACACATTTGCATACTTGTTTTGTACAAGATTAGGTATTTTATTAAGGTTATGGAAAGAAAATCTATTATTCAATGCTCACATTTGTTTTCATCCTGTACTATTGGTTTTAGAATATAATTTTTTTGAGATAAGGGTGTTGTGGTCTTGTTAATCTGCTCCAAAGCCATTTTGGTGTCATGCACACATTGTACACTAATTGGATTCCTGATGCATCTTTAAAAACTAATTTCAAAACACTAAGTAATCAGAGGCTTTGTCTTCAATACAAGACATTGCATCAGCAAAAAGTGTTTATTACTCAGCCACCTGTGCTCTGCACAAAGCAATTTAAGCAGACTCAGTCCCTGCCCTGAGGAACTGTCTAAAGCCAGTGCCATTGCAACATTCAAAGACAGTCAGACAACTGTACTAATGACAAACACAAGCTACTAACATTATTAAAAAACAAAAGAACCCACTCCATAATGTTATTTGAATCACAAGATGAACTAGTATTTTATTTTGGAAAAAAAATGACATGAGAACTTGCTGAATATTCAATAAACAGTTGTTGAATTAAATAATGCACGCAACAATCACATTTAGAATTTAAAGAGAGAAAAATTAAAATGTAAAATTTGGTTTCTTGATTAGAGTAGATAGGGCACACTCCATAAGAAGTGGACTTGTAGATAGTTTATTTAACTGAGAATTATGTTCATATGTGCTTTTCTGCAAATTCCATGAGATTGTGACCTATTTGAAAGTGAGAACCAAGAGATACTACTATTTGTGTATCAGTTTCACCACAGTGTCTGGCAAAAGTACAGACTTTACTGAAATGTTTAGGGTGACTAATAATGAAAAACATAAAACAATATTGGAACAGGTTTTCTACAAGTAGTGAAGTTCCTGCCTATGTCTTCTTACTAGGACTGATAGGATTATGAATGTATTCATTCCTTTCAGTAACATGGAGATATTAGATCACCTCAGGTTTTTCTGTAACACGTCCCCTTAATGGAGATTTCCCTGTTTGCTTTGTAATCTCCACTATCAAATTCAATTACAAAAAAAAAAAAAAAAGAATTTCCAGTTTAAAGCAGTTGAGTCCATTTTGCAAGCCCATTAGATACGGCAGCTCTGGATATGCCACATGACTCCAGGTGCACCATTTACATAGATACATAAATGTAATTGAGAATGATACCCCAGGAGTTGTGCATTGTGGTAGCCCTGAGTGAGTTAAAGTGGCATAGATGATTCTCGATATAGACTATGATCCTTCACACAAACTGATGTGTGCAGACACTACCCATTAAAGCAATTTTTTTACTAGAAAACTCAGCCTCTCCGATACCATTCAGGACATAGGCACAAGCAAAGATTTCAGAAGAAAAACTCCAAAAGAAATTGCAACAAAAGCAAAAATTAACAAATGGAATCTAATTAAACTAAGGAGGTTCCGCACAGCCAAAGAAACTATCATCAGAGTGAACAGACAACCTACAGCATGAGAGAAAAATTTTGCAATATATCCATCTGCCCAAGGTCTAATATCCAGAGTCTACAAGGAACTTAAACAAACTTACAAGAAAAAACAAACAACCCCATTAAAAAGTGGGCAAAGGACATGAACTGACACGTCTTAAAAGAAGACATACAGGCAGCCAACAAACATATGAAAAAAAGCTCAACATCTCTGATCATTAGGAAAATGCAGATCAAAACCACGATGAGATACCACCTCACACCAGTCACAATGACAATTATTAAAAAGTAAAAAGAAAACAAATGCTGGTGAGGTTACATGCTGGTGAGGCCGTGGAGAAAAAGGAACACTTTTCCACTGTTGTTGGGAGTGTAAATTAGTTCAACCATTGTGGAAGACAGTGTGGCAATTTTTCAAACATCTAGAGGCAGAAATACCATTTGACCCAGCAATCCCTTTACCGGGTATATACCCAAAGGAATATAAATTATTATATTTTATATATATAATATATGTATATATATGCACGTATATGTTAATTGCAGCACTATTAACAATAGCAAAGACATGGAATCAAGCCAAATGCCCATCAATGATGGACTGGATAAAGAAAATGTGGTACATATACACAATGGAATACCATACAGCCATAAAAATAAATGAGATCATGTCCTTTGCAGGGACATGGATGGAGCTGGAAGCTATTGTTCTCACCAAACTAATGCAGGAACAGAAAACCAAACACTGCATATTCTCACAAGTAGGAGCTGAACAATGAGGACATATGGTGGGGAACATCACACACTGGGGCTATTGGGGGTAATAAAGCAGGGGGAGAGAGAGAGCATCAGGAATAATAGCTAATAGATGCTGGGCTGAATACCTAGGTGATGGGCTGATCTGTGCAGCAAACCACCATGGCGCACATTTACCTATGTAACAAACGTGCACATCCTGCATATATACCCCAGAACTTAAAATAAAAGTTGAAGAAAAGAGAAAAAAAAAAAGAACACTTGGCCTCTCTTCCGCTATAAAAGTGTTTTCCCAAAATATAAGCTTTTTTTTTCTTCTAGTGGAGAAGAAATAGATTAACAGAAGAACCTACAGCATTAAAATCCTAAAAACCTACAGCATTCTCATAAATCTGTTCTAGGAAAAATGAATTACTTTTGTCAAGTCATGAAATAGCTTTATTTGATAAAGTTTTGAGGCCAGAACTCATCAAATTAAATTTAATTGTTCAAGTCAATTTTTAAATATTGATCATCTGTAATCAGATGTGTGCTTTGATACAAGCTTATCAAATATTCTAACCAGAAAAATATTCTAAGCAGTTTCTGCCTTGAAAGAGTTTTCTGGGGAAATGAGAATGACAGAGTGTATATACTGAGGTCAGATCTTTTGCTATTAAGACACATAAGGAAATAATTCTTACAAAACATGTAAGAGAGATTTTTGTATAATCAGGTTACCTTAAATTCATATCTTGTGTCATCATTTTCAAAGTGTATTAAACATAGAAAGACAGACAGAGAGAAAAAGAGAGAGTGATACTTTAGAGAAAGAGAGGAAAACAATCAATGTGTAAAGGAAATAAACATTTCATTTCAAACTTACTGTAGTAAGCTAATGGTTCCTGCATCAGGTCATAATCCACAGAATCTGTGAATGTTACCATATTTGAAAAAGCATCTTTGCAGATATGATTAAATTGAGGATGTTAAGATGGAGAGATTGTCCTAGATTATTAGGATGGTCCCTAAATGCGATCACATGCATCTCTTTAAGAGGAATACAGCAAGAGAGAAAGGAGATAAATGAGAAAAAGATGTAAGAACAAAACAGAGATTTGAAGATGCTGAGCTGCAGATCTGAACAATGAAGGAGAGAGCATGAGTGAAGGAATGCAACCTTAGAGTCTGGAAAAGGCAAGGAAACATTTTCTTTCCTACAGTCTCTGAAAATATACCCACCCCACCAAAACCTAGGTTTCTGCCCAGTGAAATACACTTTTAGACTTCTGACCCCCAGAACTGTAGGTGAATAAATGTGTGTTGTTTTAGGTCACTAAGTTTGTGGTAATTTGTTACATCAGCCACGGGAAACTAATATACCTACTTTGAAATATAGAACTAGAGTCTTTTAACACTCTCCTGATGATATGCCTTTCTCTTTTCTTTAAAATAATGGAATAATTTCAAACACAAACAGCTTTATGAAGGTTTAGCAAATTAATCAAATAATATTTAACTATATTTTTCTGTTCATTTGCTCTACTTTGTTTCTATTTATTGGGTATTCCTTTAACTCTAGGCTTACACTTAAATTCTAGTACCATGATGTATCAATATGTTTTACATTGCCATAAAGGAATTCCTGCGGCTGGGTAATTTAAGAAGAAAGGAGGTTTATTGGGCTCACAGTTGTGTGAGCTAGTCAGGAAGCATAGCACCAGCATCTGCTTCTGGTGAGGCCCTCAGGAAGCTTTTGCTCATGGAAAGCAAGGGGACCTAGTGTATCACATGCTGAGAGAAGGAGCAAGAGAGTAAGGAGAAGGGTGCCATGCTCTTTTAAACAACCAGTCCTCCATGAACCGCTAAGGGGAGAACTCACTTATTAACATGGGAGAGCACCTAGCTAGTCATAAGGGATCCACACCCCAACACCTAAACATCTCCCACCAGGCCTCACTTCCAATATTGGGGGTCACATTTCAACATGAGATTCAAAGGAGACAAATATCCAAATTGTATCACATGTGACATACACATTTGACACATCTTGACAATTCATTTGATTGTTCAACATTTCTCTGCTTTTTCCTACGTTGTCTCATAATATAAATTATAGATAGTTTAATTTTAATGTTGTGCTACCAGAATTTAAAATCCTACTGTATTAATATGATATTCTATTGCCGATGGAACAAACTTGGTGGCTTTCACAAACTTGGTGGCTTAAACAATACACATTTATCACCTTTCAACTTGTAGTTCACAAGTTAGACCTGGGTCTCACTGGAATAAAATTGAAGTGTCAGTGGACCTATGTTCCTTTCTGAAGGTTCTAGGAAAAATTCTGTTTCACTTTTCCAGATTCTAGAGACCTTCCACATTCCTTGGCTGGGGCCGCTATCTCCACCTTCAAAGCCAGCAATGGTGGTTCCAGTTCTTCTCATGCCACTGTCTTTAAATTCTCTGCCCTCAACTGGGAAAGGTTCTCTGCTTTTAAAATCTCATGTGATTGAAAATGTCCTCACAGAGTTGACAAGAAATCCACTCTGGGTTCTGGACAGAAACATAGCTATAATTAGGCATTAATCAGGCTGAACTTTGGCCCACTTCCTTGTTGCTAAAAATCGCATAGCACTAGATACTGAAGATTTGCATCCCCATTTATCCTACAGGCACGATCTCTGACATTAGAGTCACAAAGCTTTTGTTTAAGGATCACTTAAGATGTTGTTCAGACCCTGAATTCCAGCAACCAATTTGAAGACTCCCACAGAGGAGTACATCAGGCAATGAACCTATTACGTTTACATTATTTGATTGGGTGCATCTGGATATTCCAGGATAATCTCTCATCTCAAAGTCTGTGCCACCCTTAACCATATTGGCAAAGACACTTTTTCCTGTAAGGCAACATTGTCACAAGTTCTCGTAATTATGCTTGGACATCTCTGGGAGCTATTATTCTGCCACCACACCAATCTACTACCCACATGTATTATTTATACTATTAAAATCTAAAATATGTTGATTGCTAGATATTTTAAATAATAATGGCAGCCATTTTAAACATTAAACTCTTTGCAAAAATTTTTTTATTTTATTCTTGAAACAAATTGTAGATGATTAACAGAAAAAATCAGAAAGGGTAGAGATGACATGGCCATTTTACACATGAAATACAGGTATGAATTGTGTTATTTCATTCGTGAATATCAGATTTTCATTATTATATTATGATATGCTCATGTTTGAGTCATAAGATCTGAGTTTTAAAGTTTCTAGACAGGTTTGGGTATACTTTCAGGTGGGAAGATAAAGAAAGCCTCTGTCTTATAAAGATAAACCTGAAGGAATGAAGAGAAATAGTGGATCTCAAAGATAAGTAAACTTAAATTTGAAGTCGATTCAATGGTGGTTCCAAGGAGTAGCCTGGACTTTTATAGCTCTCCCTGCTGCTCAACACTAATGTCTATAACATTCCTCAAAACCTGTAACACAAAGAGTTTATTTCGTTTGCTATACAAATGTAGCTCAATGTGCACATGCAACTTCAAAATCAGCATGTTCTTCAAAACATAGCACTTTAAACAACTCCTGTATAGGTTTCTTTTATTACAATGAAGTTGTATTATCCAGTTGCATAAGACTGCTTATGTTCATATTCGTTTCTTACCTTCACACACTGGTACTCAAGTTATTATTATTATTTTTTACATCCTAAATTATAATTTCTGGCCTTTGTATATGTCTTATAATCAATGCCAAGAGAAATGTGCCAGATGACAATCAGATTCAAAGTTTGAGGTTCACCATCAATTTTACTATCTACCCAGGGGCAAACCTAGTCATAGGCCTTACTTGTTTATCTTTTTGTCAACTTATTTGCCAGTACAACACAGCAGAGATTTAAATTTTAACTTAAATTGAGATCCCTGAACATTTTTTAAAATGTCCTCGGCCGGGCTCAGTGGCTCACGCCTGTAATCCCAGCACTTTGGGAGGCCGAGGTGGGCGGATCACGAGGTCAGGAGATCGAGACCATCCTGGCTAACACGATGAAACCCCGTCTCTGCTAAAAATACAAAAAATTAGCCGGGCGTGGTGGCGGGCGCCTGTAGTCCCAGCTACTTGGGAGGCTGAGGAAGGAGAATGGCGTGAACCCGGGAGGCGGAGCTTGCAGTGAGCCGAGATTGCGCCACTGCACTCCAGCCTGGGCAACATAGCAAGACTCCGTCTCAAAAAAAAAAGTCCTCAAAATAATAGCACTGTGATCCAGCACAAAAAGATTTTTATTTTCCAACACAGAAAGTGGCCTGTCACATACCAGGAAATGTAATCAAAGGTGGTAGAAATTGCCAAATTTCTCAGTGTAGAATAAATCTTTTCAAAGCTAGAAGTTCATGGTGAATGGATTCATACATGATGAAGAATATGACACAGATACCAACAGCTTCCAAAAGAAAAATGTGTTGGCAGATTTTCAGGAAGAACTAGTTAACTTTCAACAATATTTAATTTAATTATGATAAAAACAAAACAAAAATTTAGACAAATAGAAAATGCAGACAGAATTATGAGTCTTTCATATAGCTAGAATTTACATACTGAGGCTTAAAGATGCTTATATACTGAAGCTTAAAATATCATTAAAAATTAGAAGTGTATCACAATGATGCAATAATTGTCAATTTCCTGAGGTGATTTCACAAAAATATTTGTACTCTGAAGTTGAATTAGGTATAGACTTGAATTCTCATTGTGACATTTAAGAAAGAAAGTGGGTAAGAATTGAAAACATAGCATTACCAATTTTTGATTCATTAAAAAAAAGTTTTTTGTTTGTTTTTTGAGATGTAGTCTTGCCCTGTCACCCAAGGTGGAGTGCAGTGACACAATCTCAGCTCACTGCAACTTCCTCCTCCTGGATTCAAGCGATTCTCCCATCTCAGCCTCCCGAGTAGCTGGGATTACTGGTGTGCACCCCCATGCCCAGCTAATTTTTGTATTTTTAGTAGAGACGGGGTTTTGTCATGTTGGCCAGGCTGGTCTCAAACTCCTGACTTCAAGTGATCTGCCTGCCTTGGCCTCCCAAAGTGCTGGGATTACAGGAATGAGCCACCACGCCCAGCCAAAAAATATATGTTTTTAATAGGGAAAATTATCAAAAAGTTGATTGTAAGTTTTCTAACTAGATTAGGTGTTAGCTTCCAGAAAATATGACAGTGAAGTCATGATTAAATGCCCTAGCTATATTTCAGTTGTGTTCCAAGGAATTAGGGGGCCCCAATTCACTGGGTTCATTCTGGAGCTGCTATGAAAATTAGTGAGGTTGGGTGCGGTGGCTGTAATCCCAGCATTTGGGAGGCCGAGGCGGGTGGACCGCCTGAGGTCAGAAGTTTGAGATTAGCCTGGCTAACATGGCGAAAACCTGTCTCCACTAAAGATACAAAAAAAAATTAGCCAGGTGTGGTGGCCCTTGCCTGTAACCCCAGCTATTTGGGAAGCTGAGACAGGAGAATGTCTTGAACCTGGAAGGTAGAGGTTGCAGTGAACCGAGATCACCTCATTGCACTCCAGCCTGGCGAGACTCTGTCTCAAAAAGAAAATAATAATAATAATAATAATAATAATAATAATAATAATAATAAAGAAAATTAGTGAGAGCGTGTCAAGAGAAAGATGGTCTCATAAAAAAAGAGTCAAGACTATGAGTTTTGACCATCACTCCTCCTATCATCAATCTTCAAGGATTGTTTTAGTTTTATTTTAAAAATTTCCCTTGAGTTATTCAATTAATAAATGGTCATATGATTCCAAATCTTACGCTCAGGTCCCGCAGGATACTGAATTTTTAAGTTTCTAATTTAATTATTTCAATTTCATAGTTAAAGACATTATGTTAGAAATTATGAAACATGGACCGAAATGTGTCTATTCTGGATGGCTCTGAGAAAGATACTAAAGTGGTTTTTCCACTCAAGTCATCAGGAAACTAAATGTTGTTCTTCAAGTGCATTCACTCTATCCAGTTGTCTATGTGTCTGGAAAGGAACACTTTTTAAAGTATGGACTTTACAAAGACATCAGATAATTAGTTGTGAAAGAAAGAGTCCACACTGTGGAATGAGAGGAGATACATAGGCCCACACAACAAGACTGCTTTCAGTAACCTATATTAGGTTACTATATTAACTATAAATATTCTATATATAAAATTCTATATCGTATTATCTACATATTCTATATTAATTCTATATAGATTCTATATTAATTATCATGAACTCTTAAATAAATATTTATTAGAACATTTAGGCAAGTATGACTAAGAACAAATATCTTGGCTGGCCTCTATTCATCACTGAAGAGATGCATTGTCCTTTATTTGGTTATTGCATGCCCATGCTGTTTTATCTTGGCAAGATTATTTCTTTGAAGCTGGATACTTATTACTTACTGCTTCCCCAATTTCCCATTGTCAACCAAAAATGAGTACCCCAGACATAGTGTAACTGACATAAGCATCCACACTCACTATATTCCAATCCTATACCTCCATGTCAACTGAAGCAATGTATATGCATAGTTACTCCAGCAGTTCTCTACTATGCAGCAAGAATGTTAAATGTCCAGTATAATAGTCCAGGTTGATATTTCTTGCCCACAAGAACCTTGTCACCTCCTCTAGATCCTTCTCTCTCCATCCTTTCCATAATATAAAAAATCTATATTTTTTCTAAATAGCTCAAAGAATATCTACAATATTTACCAATCCTTACCACCTTGTTTTCACACTCCTTGAAGCTATGGGAGTCTTTTCCTTTTGTTGGTATATGAACCCCCTGCCAAAGATCATCCTGCACATTTTTGTCTTTTCTTCCTCTGTTCCCTTTTCTCTGAAAATTGTTTTATTTTTAGCAAAATAGTACATGTCCATGGATTTGCAATCAGAGATGTAGGAAACTTGTTATGAAAAATTAGGTGTGCCTCGTCTTTCTTTATATGCCATTCCCAGAGGCAGCAATTTTCGTGTCATCTTTTATTGTAACTTTATACACATTTCTTCTTGATTTTTTTAGTCATAGATATTATATATCTAACTTATTTATTTTTAACTATTACCTATGAAATTATATCTTTGGATGTTTGGGGCTTATCTTCCTTACCTTCAAACAACCACCATAACCCTCCTATCTACATTAATCCAAAACAGACATTCCCCAAATGATGCTATCCTTTCAGTGTAGCTAGAAGAAAATATTGGGTAATATGCTCTTTATTATTTCTATTAACATTTTCCTTTAATTTTTGACTATGATCTGTAGCTGAGTTATGTGATATATTGGTATACTATTTCCTTTCTTGTACAATTTCTTTCCCCCTCATAGTTATAGTACAGCATATTTATAACTAATGAGAGGTGTTTTTGTGTACTTTAATTTATCCTCAAACTTGCCCATAGAAGTGAATATCTCCTTTAAAACAAACACATCAGTATTTCTATTAGTTTCTTTTTTTCCTTCTTTTTTTTGGAGAAAGTGTTACTGGAATTCTCAGTTCTCCTGCTCCAATATAAATAGTCTCCTCTATATGTCAGCTGTGTGACTGTCATTCTGGGTGTTTCTCTTGTGCTGGTCTCTTTTTCTCGTATTAACCATTCTCCACAGATGTCTCACATTCCTTGCCTCTCAACTCCTATTGAGGAAAGAGGCACAAGTAATCCCCTGCTCTGAGTTGATTAGCCATTGATTATTATTGAGATCCATCAGCCTAGTTGAGAATATGTAGCTCTTTTCTCTTAAGTTTCCAGGTTTTTCTTCCTCAGAAAGAATAGTTCCAATCTGAAAATGTCTGCCCCAATCTACAAGCAAGTTCAAGAAGGAGGTGAGGAATCACCTGTTAAGCATGTAAAAATCTCACTTACTCCTGTTTTTATTCCATCAGTACCATCTTCACGTGTATTTCTGCAGTCCTCTAATTCAACTTCAGAGAGGAATCTATAGAATACTCACCAGCATTGCCTGGCTGTGCATGAGGGACAAGAGAACCTTTGATAACGTTTTATAACAAATTTTCAAACAATCTTCTGGCTTCTAACCAAAGCAGCACACCTTTTTATAACACACTCCCATTCCTGAGACTTTTCATAATATCTAAAGTATTTCTTAACCATCTCCCTGAAAGCTTAACTATCAACTTTCTCAACCCTGCTGAGTTTCACCCACATTTCAAACTTGTTGACATATATACTATCTTCTTGACTCTCCTTTCTTGATGCTTATATGTTTATAACTTTTTAAAATTCTTCATTGTTACATTGACAGAGTTTCCAGAGAATGTGTAGATAGAAGCATGTGTTCAACCCACCATGTTTAACTGGATCTCTGCTTCTTTTTCAATCAATTTCTCATTAGTGAAAATTTCACCTAACTGTTGTCCTCATTAGACTGCAATGTTTTTCATTTCTCCCTTATTATAAAGTCATGGAGGTTTCATCTCCTAGGAGATGGACAATATCTCTGTGCAAGTTTCACTATCTTCAGCACCAATTACGTAGCTGACTGTAAAGCAAACTGGAGTTAGCAGTGTTTCTACCTGCAGCCATCAAACGAGAACTCTAAGTAATACCGAAACCATCCTCACATGTTCACTAACTGGAAACAATTTTTTTCTCTCAGTCTGTAATGGCTGAAAGTTGATTCTTTAAATACACAGACTCCACAGGCTATTTTTCTATGGAACTTCTGCTTCCCTAAAACATGTTCTGTTGTCTCTCTGTTGGCACTTTATTTTTCCAATTTGTACAAATTTGATGCTTTTTTTTTTCTCTCTGAGAAGCTTAGTGCTGCTGCTCTTTAGAAATAAGATACTCACAGTACTGTAATGAGGCACACACCTTTAACCTGAAACATGGCATCGAAATTCCTCCTTGATAACTCATGATTGTTGTTCTGCAAATTACACCACCAAAGAGGGGAAAAAAGAAACTTTAGGCTCAGGATTTTATGAAAAAAGATGATGTAATCTAAATACTCTGCATGAGTCAAAGAGAGAAACTTGTTTTACCTGAAGTCACAGAAGATCAGGATACTTTGGAAAAAAGGCCAGGAAAGTAGTGATTATTTTGTATTAATTTCAACATAAAAAAGTTCACATACTCTTGACTCTGAATTCTTGGAAAAGAAGAGAAAAATGGCATAAAAGAAAGATACAAAGAGCTTTAATTATATTTTTAATGTTTTATCTCTCAAAAACAAATCTGAATGAAATATGGGAAAATGTTAGGATATATTACACTATGTGGTAGGCATATAAACATTTGTAATATTTCTTTCTATATGTTTATATATGCTTAAAATACTTCATAATTTAAGAAAAGGCAATAACAAAGGAATATGAACTAGTATAAATTTGAAAATCATACCTGTGATTGTGATATTAGAGACATGACTGTGACTTAGAGAACAAAATCTATGGTTGGAAGTTTATAAATATCACGCAGATTAGCATTTTCCCCAGTCTATGGGACTTAGGTCTAGGATTTCTTCAAAATTTGTCCAAATTTGATCTTTTATCTGAGAGGTAAATTAAGAAGAGAAAGGGATTAGGAAAGTAAAAAGAAGTAGCAATTATCTTTCACAATGAAAAGAAAAAGCAGAATTATCAAAGATGAAATACAGGACCGACCCCGCAAAATGAAATGTTCTTTCCATTGTACAATTACTCCTCTGTGAAGGCAGATTCCAAACCTCTGTTGCCTTTCCCCCACCCGCTAATTGTGCCTCATTTTTTTGGTTAGTTTTTATGTTATGCCTTATTTCTGGATATATATATATATGTGTGTGTATATATATATATGTGTGTGTATATATATATGTGTATATACTTTTTAAATGTCTTATATCCTAATTAAGACCATACAGTTTACAGCATTATCATTTGATATCAATTCTGACTTGTCTTTGTTAACATAGCATTATCTAAACTTAATTGAGGGTTGGAGGAGCTTTTTATTTTTTAAACATGGAGTCCCTATTGTCATACGGCAGTTACTAGTATCCCATGGAATACACCTTGAAAATGATGAATTAGATGAATCCCTAAGGTGCATTCAAGGGCTAATATTAAATGATTCCATCATTTCCTTGAAATATTGCCCCTTTCTGTGCTGCTGGTGGATGTTCTGCTGCAGCTTATTAAACAGCAGATGCTTAGGTATCCTGCTGTCATCCAGGGAGCAGGTTTATTTTGTAGCAAGTGACACTTCCAGATGGTGAACTGGATGCAGTCTAGCAAGCTGTTGATGAAATGGCTCAGGAAGTGGTGTAAGGCATTTGTGGGCAGTCCAAAATTCATTCAAAATTAGATATTAACACTGTGCTTTATGCATTCAAATGGCTTGGAACTTAATGCTAATGTTCAACCTTGTCCATTAAGGTCACAAAGGTCATACTTTATTATTAAACTCTATGCTTTTACTCTGTTAGAGTGTTATATCAGTAACCATTTTGTAAAGAGTTTCCAGTTCTGTCTTACAAATAAAAAATTATCATATCTAGTGCATTGATAGATATACGACATCCTTTTCAAGCGTAAATACATGCAGTATTTATATGCTCTAAAATCTAGCAAAGTAAGCTATATTTTTATTTCTCATTTTTATTGTTTTATATTTTCAGATAAAATTAATTATTCATTAACTGTTTTCTCAAATGATTTTTAAGACATTATTTTAAGAATTAGGGATCAAGTGCTATTAATTTATTCAAGTAAGTGTTGGTATTAATATCTAGATCTAGAAAAATAGAGAACAAGAAGTATAAATACTCCTAAACTGGAGAAAACATCGAATAAGTGAAATTACTACATGTTATATAAAAGCACATAAAGAACTTATTTTAGAATTTATGTGTGTTATTCTGAAATAAATACCATAGCATTAACATAGTTTTCCACTTTCTCCCTATTTGCTTCACAAAAATAGTATTCTCAGTTGTCTCACAGCAATCACTTCTCTAAATTATTTATGTTAGCATATGCCTATGCTTTCACCAATTATATTATTTTAGTTTCATAGATCCAGCAGGATTCATATCAATGTAATTAATTTTATCTGAGAATTTAACTTGAGAATTTAGCTTTGTAAATATCATGATTCAGGCACATAGTGTCATCTACATGCAAAGCATCCTGTTTTCAGACAACTAACTATGAAAAACATGAGCTC
Organism: Homo sapiens; assembly: GCF_000001405.40. NCBI lineage: Eukaryota > Metazoa > Chordata > Mammalia > Primates > Hominidae > Homo > Homo sapiens. The sequence goes on along the minus strand of NC_000013.11, from coordinate 67,305,948 downwards.
TATCTCTATGGAAAACTAAAAAAAAATCCAAAACTTACTAAAACATCTGTGTTAGTTATCTATTATCACATAACAAATTACTCTAAATTTAACAGCTTAAAAAACCATTTTATTCTACAGTTCCTGTGGGTCAGGATTCTAATTATAGTCTAACGTGGTCTTCTGGCTTACAGTCCCAACGGGATGAAATCAAACTGTTGGCAGAGCTGCAGCCTCATGTGAAGGCTCATGTGGTTGTTGGCAGGTCTTGGATCCTCACCATAGAGCTTCCTCATGACATGGCAGCTGGCTTCCCCCAGGGTTAATGATCTAACAGAGAGCAAGATGGAGTACCCACGAGAAAAGCCATAGTCTTTTTATAACCTAAACTTGAAAGTGACATCCCATCGCATTTGACATACTCTATTCCTCAGAAGAAAGTTTAAGAAGTCCCACCAACACTCCAGAGGGGATTACAGAAGAGCACAAATGCCAGAAGGAATGGTCACTGGGGACTACCTTAGAAAACGACTACCACAGTATTTTCATTTCTTAAGTGATTAAAGTAAGTACAATGTTGACTCTTGTGTTTTTAAAACAGAAAATTATCAAGACAGAATAAAGTTATTCAGCTCTTACAAATATGGAATTAATACCCAAGAAATTATTAAAAAAACAGAAGTCTCATTGAGGCAATTTTCCATTTCTTATATAAATACATCTGGCTATAATGTTAGTTGATAACTGGCTTCACAGAATTCTACACTAGAAAGGGTAAATTGCTCCATCTGAAAGAAGATGTGACTGACTCCTATGGGAAATATTTATGCATATGGACCATATATGTGGACATATATCCTATGACAAGTTACAGTAACTCTATTTGATAAAATAATCTTGTGTACTTTCTAAAAGTAACTACTAATTTTAATGCCATGAAGCAAAACAAAATTATTATAACACTATAAGAGGTTAACGTCTTTTGAACAGGCATTTAAAAATATTTTTATAATTTTAATAGTTCTTAACAATTTTAAGTTTCATATCAGTAAATCATTGTATTTACTGTAGAAGAAAATATTTCTGTTCCTCTGAACAAGGAACAATGAAAAATGGGCAATTTAAACCTACCTCTGATATATAAAAAGCCATAGACATATTGGCAGGGGAACAACATACACTGAGGCCTCTCAGAAAGCTGGCAGGAGGGAGAGCATCAGGAAGAATAGCTAATGGATGCTGGGCTTAATACCTAGGTGCTGGGTTGATCTGTGTAGCGAACCACTATGGAAGACATTTACCTATGTAACAAACTTGTACATCCTGCACATGTATCCTGGAACTAAAGTAAAAGTTGATGAAAAAAAAAAAAGCCAACAATGAACTGAGAATGAGAAGGATGCCTGCCTTCCTCTCCTTTAGATAATATTTTCTCTATTAGGTTTATAATTTCTACCCAAATTGCAACTTATATTTTATACCATTTAAGGACCTTAATATAAAGTTATTTATATGCAAGTGAAAGTTCAGTTAATCAATTAATTATTATGTTTTCAGTTAATAAAATCTATACTATGAAAGCATTCAACAGATTGATTCATTAGAAATGTGTAGAAAATATCTGTTGCTTTACCAAGTCATTCTCCAAAATCAATATAGCCTCGCACACTACAGATTAATGCTCACCCTTTTTTCAAATAATCCTAATTGCCATCCCATATCTAGGCATTAAAAAAGTAGCCTATTTTGATCAATATTTCATGATAGATAGCTTTAATGATAGCTAGCCATATCTCACAGCTTTTATTTATTAAGCTGACACAGAAAATTAGCTCTGCTTTTTCTTGCTTATGATTTGCACTTGTGCAGGAGCCAGATGGCAGTAAGAATCAGATAAAAGAATAATAAACTTCAGCTAGAGAAATTGAGATTGTTTGAAACAACATATCATTTCAAAGTATAAAAACCCTGACGGTTAAATCCTTTTCCTTTTGCTCCTTGCCTGAGCTGTCTAATGCATTTATTTCCATCTACCTTTATTGGAGAATCTGTCCATTAAATTAAACCACGGAAATACAGGGCAGATGAGTCTTCGTTCAGGGAACTAACAAGCCCACTTAGTCATGAGCAGCGCATCAGATGAGCTGTAGTTTTTCACCTTTCTTACACACCTGGGAGGCATTAGACAACTTTTGCTCTAAAGAGGACTTTTTTCCTTGTCCACTGGAAATACTTTTCTTACACAGACTCTAAATAATGAGCCACTTTAAGGTAACTCTGCGTAGAGGGACTTACATAGCAGAAGTACATCACAGGATGTATGCTATTAGAAACCCAGGCTCATTACTTTGATGTGCCAAACGATGCCACAATTCAAAAATTCCTAAAGCTCTATCTGTTTGGCATGCAGTGAGGGAAGTAAGTGACAAATAAAGACGTTATAATACAACCTTGCTTCCTTCACATCAAGCCCTGTATGAAACAGAAATCTGCCTCTCAGAAAAAAAAAATCTTTGGGCTACTTGCTTGAGCATAGATCCATAGGGAAATAATAAATATGTCCTTACTGTACAAGGGGTTAGATTTAATGGCAGATTACATGTAGTTAATTGAAAAGTTATTCCAACAATGTATAAAAAGAACATAGGAGATTGAACCAGTAAATGAAGAAGAGCAAGAGATGAAAAGTCAAATAATAATGAAATATGTAAAGATACGCAAATACGTGTCAGTATAATATAACCTGTGTATCTGCATGACTCAAATGCCAATAAAATAAAAATGAAAAAAAATGTAGAAATTTTATTATTTCCAAATTGCTTAGGTGGACATCTTGGTAAATTAGCCATCTCTGTATCATTCCATAATTCTGGGAGGGTGAGAAAATCGGGTGTGTGCCTGTAGGTTTTGAAAAAAATAAACATTTTCAGTATGAACTATAGTACATTGGAATTGCTAAAAAGCCGTTTGGTAATGAAACTTGATTTTGTGACACTATTTGAACTGACAATTTGGCATAATTATGGAAAATGATTCTAATATTTTTATTAATAAATAAATAAAGCAAGTTGAAATAACTAAAGGGGTAGGATAAGCTATGTATGAATACTTTATTAATGATTGTGGATGTTTTTCATATGAAGAATAATAAATTCTAATTCTTTTTCTCACTTATGATTTATGATTTATTTTTTCTTGCTTATGATAGGAAAAAGAAGGTCAACAGATAGTCATATGCACACAACTGCAGTCTACATATTTCCATTTCTTCTATGATAATTGACTTCTATTCATATTATTAATAATAATCACTTTTAATAAAGCAACTATAAAAAGATAATACTGATGGATATCATCCTGAATTGGTTTGGATCAAATCAATACACATTTGACAGAGTTAAAGATTTAAATTTTTCCAAAAGTAATTAGCTTATTTTTTTAACTAAATTTCAAAATTCTGTAAATAAATAAAACTTTCTCCCCACAAATAAACTAAATTCAATGCTCCTCAGTACCTTAAGAGTTTAGTGCAATGTAAGCAACAATGAAAATCCCTGTTGTTAATCATTTTTTAATGTTTAATACATAGCTTGAATAAGGAAAATCTTTAAAGTGCCACCATGCCTACCAGTTTATAAAATTGAACATCATTTGAATTATATTAATAGTTGCCCCAGTCTGACACTGTAATTCATCAACCTTCTGAATGATTACAAACTACTTTCTAAATTTTGATTAGTATAACGTATAGGTACAGGCAGCCCTAGGGGAAAAGTGGCCCTGAAATGGAGAATGGGAGACTACCTGAATAACATGAATGGTATCTCTGGGCTCTCAGTAAATTATAGAGTGTAGAGAAATAGATGGAAAAATGGAAGTTTAATCACTGGATGCTAATGAGTAATATATTTACTCACTCATTAGTTGCTTTTCAAAAAATGTTTAAAGTATGCTTTGGTGCAAAAAAAAAAAAAAATGTCAGTTTGTCAATGTCATCTGCCATTGTGCCCCAGACAACAGACAAACTGTTGGTGAACCTATGAACTTAAACCAGAACAAAGGACAGATCTAACCAACTGCTTTAATGGAGTTGAATTCTTAAATTTCAATAAGCATATTTGAATTTCTGTTTATTGTCTCATTTAGGAGTTTTTGTTGTTCACTTAAAAAAAAAGAGTAGAATAGTCATATGATCATAGTTTTAGTGTTAATGCTTAAGGACTTGCAGATGTATCCAATATGTGAGGTCAAGATCGAGGAACTGATTATCAGTTTGTACGTTTGGAAAATCTAAAATTGGAAGAACAGAATTCTGAAAGAATTCTAAAATTCTGAAGAACAGAATTTAGCAATTGAAGAAAAGTCTTTTTGAATTTCAAGACATCTATGCAACCGATATTATTTTTTCTTGTGATAATATTTGTATACACCAACTGTCTACTGTACTTTATTGAAAATTATGTCATATTATGTCAAAATACTTTTGCCACAATGAGATAAAACAATTTTTGGCAAAATTAATACTTTATGGAGCAATAATCTGTAGCTATTTATGTAGTTAATCATAACAAACTTTGCCTGTTTATAGCTCCTTATTATAGAAAAAAAACAATAGAACTTGTACAAAAGTTAAACTGCTGGTATATATGAGCTGCAGTAAAGGCTTTGATTTTAAAAATAAATAAACTGTAAAACCCAAAATATAGTGGATTAAATAAACTGAATGTATTTTTTCTTTCTCATGACAGTCTAGAAATGAGTGGCAGGTCAGATGACCCTACTCCAGGAAATAAGTAGGGTTCGAAGTTCATTTTACATTTTTTGCTTTGCCATTACCAAAACATTATTCTCATCTGCATTACTGAAAATAAGTCAACACTTTTCCATATTGTATCCTGTGAAGAGAGAAAAGGCAGTCTAAAAAATTCATTTAATGAATGAGTTGGATGGTCATTCATTTTAACATTCCATTGAAAAAAAATCAGTCATAACTTAATGCAAGGGAGGTTGGAAGATGTCTCAGTAGTCATATGCCCAAAAAAAATCTACTGTAATACAAGAATGGATTTGGAGCAACTTGGAACAAATGAAACCAAACACATGTGTCCTTCTTCATTCTCACATTGTAGACTCCTTCCACCAGTTATCATGCTTTACTCAAAGTTTGGAATCTCTTAGTCAAGCATCGTCCTCTCCATCCAAGCCTAAATATAACCTTTGAAATTTGGTACCCTATAAACTAATACACATTTTATATCACTACTCCTCACTCAATATGTAACCAAAAACTATATCATTCTATCTAGGCAAATAACTGGCATTGGTAGACTAGGCATTTGGTTTGGTGTCCTTGGAAATAAAATTATCTCAACAAAACAAGAGGTTTTCACCTTATTTTCTTCCAGTCAGTCCTCTGTTAAAATCACAAGACTCAAAGATTTCTTCTAGACATACACCTTGAGCCTCCCAATTCTTCTCTTTTATTTACTTATTCTGAGAAGACACATCCACTCTCCAATGACAGGCAGCTAAATTGAAAATACCCTGAAACAATACAGTTAAGTTGGAAAGTAACGTCCTCCATCACAATTTTACCAGAGACTGGCTCCCTGTTCTGTCTAAAAGGTTTAATTTGGAGGCCCTAAAGATAGGCTGCAAGTGACAATCTCATCTTCTGCTATTTAGGATAAAAAAGCTGTTGGTATTTTAATGCTTTTTGAGCCTAGATTATTGGTTGCTCCATCAATATAATTGCATATTGGAGGCAGAGAGTGCCTCTCTTAGCAATGCTATATTTTCTTCCATATAGGGCTGCAAAAATTATCAGTTCTTGCCTAATCTCAGCTCTCTTTTCTAGTAATTTTGCTAAAACAGCAAAGAGCCGCCAAAACACATCGTTAGTCTGAATTTCTCTAACATTCTAGTAAAACTACAGACTTGGTAAGCATATGGTCTGCCATTGAAGTTTTCACGGGTGATAGCTTTACAACTGTTTTGCCAGGTCCAACATGAGTCATCATGTTTCCAGCTAGAACTCTCATGCCATCTTTTTTCATCTTATCATCTTATAGCAATACCAGTGCCACATAAATTGGGGTTTTGTTTATAGCAGCTCACATCCAGGTACTCTTTTCTGTGTTAATTAAAGACTAAGTTGGTTACAAATAGACCACAAAATACAGTAGTTTAAATATGAGTTATTTCTCTCACATATGCAGTTTGGGTGTGGTCCAGACTTGAAGACATCATGCCTCTGTGAAGCCCTGTCCATGAAGGAACTCAAGTTCCTTCTATTTTGTTGCTCTTTCCTTCCCTAGGTATTGATTTCATCTATATGTCCCTAAATGGGTCATTTTCAATGCATTGTTCAGCCTACGGAAACAGAAACAATCACAGTGAGGACAGGCTACTTCCTTTTGAGAAAGAGGCTCAAACACTGCACAGATTACTTCAACTTCAATTGTATTACAGAGAACTTAGTCACTTGGCAACACTTAGCTGGAGAACATTCCAGACAGACTCCTCTTTAATGAATAACTCATTGAGTCAGCTTCTTGGTGCATTGTGAGTAGACATATTTCAGCTGTCAGTCCTTTTAAGTATGGTTTCAATTTCATAGAGTCTCCTGGCCTAAGGACAAGCCCCATCCCAGAGCAGCCTAATCACAATGACAAATCTCAGTGGGGATACAGAGGTTTGCTTTGCTCAGCAAAATCAAGGACAACTCTGAAATCCCATTCAAGTTCTAGAGCCACCCTACTTTGGGAACATGTCTCCCTGGTTCAAAGGAAAAGTCATTCCTGTGTCCATTGGCAACCCACTTTTTGTCATCCCCTTGTCATTTGTCATTAATTGGCTCATCCATGGCTGGGCTGGAGTGTGACTTCTCTCTCTGTCCAGTGTTTTCTTCCTTGCTTCCACAGTTATTGATCCCAAGAGTCCTCACTAAAACATCTTGCACACCAAACTTCATCTCAGAGTCAGCTTCTTAAGGAACCCAGTAATCAACAATAAGTTATTTCATCTAGTTAACACATATATAAATGTATCTTTTTATAATTTAGCTAGCCACAGTAAGACAAATATTAAGATAATCAATGTCTCTATGGATACTTTTCACATGATTTAAACTCACATCAATATAAACAATATTTCTAAATAAGGAAGCCATCCTCTACTCTCTTCCGTGTGACCACAGTATCAAATGCATAATGAGAATGAAAAAAAATATGTTGCTTTAATAATTTCAGTGTATGTTCCCATACCTCCTTAACAACACACTTACAATATCTGTATCCAAAAGCTACTACCTGATAGAAATAACCAAGATGTTCCTCCTCACTTCATTCCAAATTCATGTTAATTTAGTAGTCAGTGGTGATACTCCTTCCCTCTCTGCTTTTATTTATAACAACTAGCTTTTGTTTAAATGGCTCATGCCAAAGCCAGTACATCATACACCCCTAGAAACTAAATAAGGGTGTCATTGGTCAGCCTAATAAGCAATGCTTGTAAAAGGGAGAAATGCATATAAAAGAAGGAACATGAAGTCTATGAGGGTTTCACAAGAGCAGAAAGATTTAATGTGCTTCTTCCCCATCTTAATGACAAATGAAAAAGGGAGAATGAAAAGGAGGTTGCCAGTGGGCACAGGAATGACTTTTCCTTTGAACCAGGGGAGAGACGTTCCCAAAGGAGAGAAATAAACAAAGGTGAAAATTTTCTGCCAGTTAGAAGGTAAGATTTCACTCTGAATAGACTGTGCCATTTCTATTGTGCCATTGTGCTTTTTTCTTGAGTCAAATGAGGCCAAAATTTTAATACATTCTACATTACATAAATTACCATAGTGTGTTTTGCTGTTTTGACCTTTTCAGCATTCCTTCTATAATTTGATTGGGCAGCCATTATACTCGCTTTCTGTTTACAACATTTAACCTGAAAGGAAGAGAGATATTGAGCCAAACAAGCAAAATACTAAAATAACACAGAGACTTAATTAGAGGTATAATGTGCTGCAAGTCAGGGGACCAAAATGCCAGTAAGTCTGGAACCGCTTTGTGAATTCCTTGAGTGACAGAAGCAGCAAGAGAAGTGAAAGTGATAAGTAAAGTGAGGACAATTAAAACCAATTTTTGGTAGTATTTAAAGGTCATTTACATGAAAATTTCCTCTAGCATATTAGACGAAATAATTAAAATCTTTTCAAAATAAATTCACAATCAAGAAATGTGAAATGTGTCAAACGTACAATAATAGTATTGTTTGGATAAATAGGATTTGGCAAAACAAATCCATCAGGTGGCATTTCTTGAGTGCCTAGAATTTACAACTTATTGGGTTAGAAACTGAGTACAAATAAATATAATACCTGTTTCAAACAGCTTACAACCTCCAGTTGAGGTTGCAGACAATGACTGTGTGCTGACACAAATCCATACAATTGAGGGATTTTTCCCAAGAGCATTCAGCAACCTGAGTGAAGAAGTACACGCAATGGACAGCTGATTGATTGAGGGTTTTTAACTTTGCCAGATCATGTAGCAGAAAGATTAAGGGACAATGAAGTTGTGGTTGTTTGTAAGATTGTGTTTTTAGTGAGTTCTAAGAGCGTGATGAATGGAATAGACTATGTGATGAAGGGGAAGAAAGACACAGTGAATAGTAAAGTGAATGTACAGCTTTGGAAAGGATGAAACAAATTAGGGATGAGTGTAATAAAAATGACATGAAACTAGCACCTACATTTCTGGCATTGAACAAGAAAGGCAGGGACTTGAGCCATGGTATAAATAGCTGATTTTAGCTTTGTTAGTAAAAGAAAGAGACATATGAAAAGGGTAAATACAACAGAGTACAGTAGTCCCCTTTTATTCACTGGGGATACATTCCAAGACCCCCAGTGGATGTCTGAAACTGCAGATACCATCAAACCCTAAATGTACTATGCATGAATATTTTTTCTTCTTCACACTTTCATGGAAAGAATATTCATTCTTATTATAGATATCAACCTCGGCACATGATTTCCTCTTTATTAAGATAATACATTTTACCTTTTCATTTAAAGGAAGCCAGTTATGGCTCCTCTTTGGCATATCTGAAAGACCAGCATCACTACTTTTGGTCTTTGGGACCATTATTAAGTGAAATAAGGATTAACTTGAACACAAGCCCTGCAATACCACAACAGTCAATCTGACAACCAAAAAGACTACTAAATGACTAATTGGGTGTGTGTGTGGTGGGGTGCATGTGGCGTATACAGTGTAAATATGCTGGACCATGGGATGATTCACATCCCAAGTGGGATAAAGTGAGAGGGCATGAGATTTTGTCACACTACTCAGAAGAGTATACGATTAAAAACTTATGAATTGTTTATTTCTGAAAATTTTTATTTAATATTATTGAGCCACAATTAACCTCAGATAACTGAAACCTCACACAGCCAAATCTCAATTACTGTATGTGAATCTCGATTTTTGAAGAATAATTTAAAACACAAACTAATTTTTAAAAACCACCTTTAATCTATCCAAAAGTCTTAGTCATATGTTATTAACTAATTAGATAAAACATATTTTGAATTTGTTATGGTCCATTGGATGTGTAATCCCTACTGTTGTGACATGATAATCCTAATAGTATAAATATAATTATGAAACTAATTACCATCCATGTACCAGTGTCCATACATTTCACTTAGTATTACTTTTTAAAGTAGCCTTGAGTCTAGTTTCACAGTGGTGATGGTTGAATGGTTTTGAATTTCTTTGGTTGATGATATTTCTGGATCACTGATTTATAATTCTCAAAAAGTAATATAGGACACATTTATAAAAAACAAATATCAAAATAAGACATGAAGATAAGTCACTCTCTAGATTTAAGTCCTGGAAAAGTTCAATTTTCCGCACCTCTGAAAATATGCCAAAATATATTTTGGCATTTTATCGTGATGGTAGTAAATGTACCCTGAAAGGACTTTAAAAAACAAACAAACAAACAGAAAACAGCTGATAAAAATTTAAAATTTAATGTGCTTGTAGGTTCTCGAGAAGTGTGAGAAATCTCTGTGAATCCTTATTTCAAAAACGGGGAATTGAGACTTCACTTCTAGGAAGATGGGGTAGACATACATTTACCAATTTTTCCTTCCTCAGTACAGTGAAAAACCCTGGTCATTGTAGTAAAACAAACATAAGGAGACTTGGAAAAAAGTAGAGAGAAAATGGCAGACTGTCCAGGAAACTGGAGACCTAAGAAGCAAGTTGATGAGTTCCCTAGGTTTTCGTTTTGTTTTTTTGCTTCAGATATTCAAGACTTGGAGATGAAGTAGCCAGCAACTCTGAATCCAATGGGGGCGGATAAACAAACAAATAACAACAAATAATAATAAAAAAAAGATGTCTATTTTCTCTAGCTAGGAGAGCAAGAAAAGTGCAGCATAGCAAGACATACACTTTTAGACATTAACTGCTTTATTTCACCCTAACACCAGACACACACACAAAACCTGTTGCCTCCACCCCTAAGAACAAGGTTTAATAGACAATCTAGACTTTCACCCTTGGCAAGATTAACAAAGCACCCTACCCTCTTTGCTAGGGTGATGTCAGACAAAGCCAACTACGGAGCCAAAACTATTCTTCCTTACAGTGCCTAACATCCACTCTTTCCTGTCATTATCAAGGTCCCACTCCTTCTCCCTGCTAGGAAAAATTAAATGGGAACTTCAGAACTGAAACACAATATGGGAGCCAAAACCTGAATGGATAGACTCAATAGCGAAAACAGAGAAAAATCAGTGAATCTGAAAATAGAACATAGAGAAAAATCAGTGAACATAAAGAAAAATCAGTGAATTTGAAAATAGAACAATGAAAATTATCCAATCTACAAAACAAAACATAAACTGAAAGGAAAATGAAAAAGCCCTCATAGACCTGTGCTACTATAACAGACAATATATTTTTATCTAATAATCTAATATGTATGTCATCAACTCCCAGAAGGCAAGGAGAAAGAAGGTAAGACTAAAAAAGAACTTGAAGAAATAATGGCTCGAAACTCAAATTTGACCAAAAAAACGTAAACTTACTGACACAAGAAGCTGAGTGAACCACACAAAAATAAATAAGTAAACCTAAAGAAATCCACACCAAGATACAGTATGAGAAAACTTTGAAAACTAAAAGAAAAAGATCTTGAAAACAGAGAGTGAAACAACACCTCTGTTTATGTATAAGGGCAAAATAATTACAATATTGTGTATATTTCATGCAATACCAAAGAGTATATACAAAACACAAGACAATCTATCACCAATATATGAGAGTTCTAGTTGCTCCATATTTGTGGAGCTACTAGTTTGTGTTGCCCTTTAATTTTAGCCACTGTAGTGGGTGCGAAATTGTTCTCATTGTGGTTTTAGTTTTAATTGGCTAATAACTAATTACATAAGTCTATATCTTGCCTTTCATTTTCTTTATTGCATGTTTTCATGAGCAGGGATAGTTTTATTCCAGTTTATTGTTATAACTTTTTATTCTTTTTTGGTTTTGGGGTCTTATTTAAGAAATCATTGCCTACTCTAAGGTTACAAAGATAGTCTCCTGTGTTTTCTTCTACAAGCTTTGTAGTTTTTAGCTTTTATGTGTATGCCAATTAATTCAGACCTGAATTATTATGTATGATATGTGGAGATCAAGATTCATTTTACTACATTCATCAAATTGTTCCGGAAACATTTGTTTAAAATATATCATTTTCTCCATTAAATTGCTTTGGCACTGATGTTGAAAATGAATTTAATCTAATCAACTTTCCTTTCCGTTCTATTTTTCAATCCTAAAACAATACCAAATTGTTTAGAATACTGAACTTTTACAGTAAATATTGAAATAAGGTAGTGTGAGTCTTTCAGCTTTGTTGCTTTAGTGAACATTCTTTGCTTTCTAGAAACTTTGAATTTCATATAAATTTTAAAACCCACTTGTCAATGTCTCCAAACAGAGGTGTCAAGATTTTGATTGAGGCTGTATTCATTTCAGAATTATTTTGTATTGAATCCACATTTTAACAATACTGAATCTTCCAAGCAATTAATATTGTATATTTTTTCACTTACTTAGATCTCCTTAATTTGTCTCAACATGTTTTGTTTGGTTGATTTGGTCAAAATTAGAAGTCTGGCACATTTCTTGTTAAATTATTTTCTAAATATTTTAAGATTTATCACACTATTTTACCTTAGTCAATCATCAAAATAATAGCAGTATCAACTCAAGAACAAAACTATTTAAAAACAAATATCTAATAGTTATTGAGTTGGGAATTTGCTGTAGAAATATTTTTAAAGGATTATCCTATTAATTTACCCTTCATGATGATGTATTAGTGTGAACAAATTCAGAGAAAAACCTACTTTATTACAAATAATGCTGTTGATAGTTCAGGACAAACAATTCCAGGAGAATGTTGCTTTTTGAAAACAAATATTCATAAAATTTATAGCACAGCCGAAATTATATTATAATAAGGAACTGGCCTATTTAATGATCAGAAGATCAATGTTCTGGCGTATGCTGTTTCACTAGCTACATGACGTTGAGCAAGTTATATAAGGTCTCTTGTCTCTTAACTTCAGTTTTCTTCATCTTTGAAATAAAAAGGATAAGGTAAATATTACCCAAGTCCTTCTCATTTCTAAAGGTATTCTATTTTCAAAGATTATTCAAAAATTTCACTGCTCAAAAAGTGGTTATTGCCATTTAGAAATCCAGGGAAATTATGTATATGTTTGATCTATGGAGGTGGTGTGGCATACTGGAAACATACGTTTTAGTGAAAGGTTTGTGGTTTGAACTGTTTCCTCCATAGAAGATATGATGAAGTCCTAACCAACAGTACTTAACCACCAATAATAAAGATGAGATAATACTGGAATAGGGTGAGCCCCTAATTTAATATGACTTGTGACTTTATAAGAAGACAGTAGTATGCAACAAAAAGCTAGCAAAAGGCAAGAAAGGATTCCACTACAGATGTCAGAAGGATCATGGCCCTACAGATACATTGATTTGGGAATTGTAGTCACCAGAACTGTGATAAAAGAAATTTCTCTTGTTTTAAGCCACCTGGTTTATGTTACTTTGTTATGAGATCTCTAGGAAATTAATTCATATAGGATAACATTTTTATACAAGTTCCAGAATTTCTATTTTGTATGACCACAGTACTTAACCTGTATGAGCTTTAGTTTCCTCTGATGTGAATTTTGGATAATGAAGTCTGCCTTACAGGTTTATTCTGTGAGTAAAATAAGAGCACACAGAAAAATATCTCACACATTCTCTCACCATGTTAGGCATTCAATAATTTTATGCCTTATCATGTATATCACTGGTGCCCAAACTTGAACTGTAAGGGAAGTTTTATGAAATGTAGATTCTTTAGTTGCACCCAACTTTATGAGCTAAAATTTGTAGGAGTGGTTTTTATGAATCTATATTTTAAGTTGTTTCTTCAGGTGATCATTTTATACTGACAGCCAACTATCATCCTATATAGATCTATTTTGGAGAGTTATATGGTTTTTATTTGTGTGCCCATCCAAATCTTGTGTTGAATTGTAGTCACCTATGTTGGAGGAAGGGCCTGATGAGAGGTGATCGGATCATGGGGCGGACTTCCCCCTTGCTCTTCTCATGATACTGAGTTACCACGAGATCTAGTTGTTTAAAAGTATGTAGCACATCCCCATTCCTTCTCTCTCTCTTGCTCTGCCACGGTAAGACATGCCTGCTTCCCCTTCCCCTTCCGCCATGATTGTAAGTTTTCTGTGGCCTCCTCAGCCATGCTTCCTGTACAGCCTGTAGAACTGAGCCAATTAAACCTCTGTTCTTCATAAATTACCCAGTCTTAGGGTGTTCCTTATAGTAATGTGAGAACAAACTAATAGAAAGAGCTACTTATTTAAGTGACAACAGTTTCATTGTTGATCTAATAAAAATTTTACATCTGTAAAATGAAATTATTGCTTTCAAATTTGGAGCACTCCTGAGAGTATAACTGGTTAAGTTCTTTGTTATCCTTTAAGAAGAAAAGCTATCTTCCCTTCTGGAAAGTAGTTTGTATACACATTTTGTAAGTTAGAATTTTAACAAAAATTCTAAAGCTTGCATATTCAAATAAAAATACGTATATATGTGTATATATATGTGTGTGTGTTTGTGTATATATATGTATATATATAAAATATCAAAGTCTCTGACAGTCTGTCAAAAGATCCACAATTAGTTTAATTATTTCAAGAAGCTATAAAATAATTTTGGTCACATGCATTTCACAAATTTGAATTTCAAACTTTGTTAATATTTTCTCAAAATTATTATTACTATCATAATGGTCTTGTATTCTTAATGGCTTTTACTATGCTTCCTGGGCTTTAATTTTCCTTTGTCTTACTGAACATTCATTATCATGTTACTAAATAGTTTCACCTGAGACAGAGGGGGTTAAGTCTCTGTACATGTTGAAATTATATTTTTTAAATTCACATTTTTATTGAATCATAAAAAAGCATATATAGAGAGTGAGAGCTCAAAATCAATTATTGAAAGGATAAAAGTTATGATGAAAATAGTCATACAAATATTACAATCTGTACTTGTGATAAATAAGTAGTGAGATGCATACCAGTGCTAATGTAGATTATGAATCAGTATGAGACAGAGTAAATAAAACTGCAAGTGTGATGATTTTATATAAATAGATAAAAATGACTTAAAATCATAGGATTGGAAAATGGGTTGTAGTGAACTAGAAATTCATTACCTCAAGTATTCAGTATGTTACTATTTATAAAAATGTATTTTTCCAAAGCAATGTTCTATTTCTAAACCAATCACATTTCTCTAGAACAATGTCTCAGTATTAATTTCAAAATAAATTTTACACATTTTGTTACTAAATTACCAAAACTATGAAAATATCAAAGATTTATTCCTATAGGAAATCATGAATAATAAAATTTAAGGCACATTATTTCAGATAATTAAGTATAAGTATTATATTGGAGAGAACACAGAATAGGGTCTTAGCAAAATTCCTTTATCAATTGAAATATATACGATAGCAGGTATTTTAGCAGATATTTTAGCTGTACAGATGTGGTTATTTTGTGAAAGTATCTTCCAATTTAATATGGAAGGTGGAGTACATGAGTTTTTACTTGCTTCTCAAATTCACTAAAATAATAGTTAAGAAAGATACACTGAAAGAGAAAGAGAATAAAAGAGAAGACAAGATTTGTGAACAAAATATTGGGAGATTGAATGTATGTGATGAATGGTAAAGTTTTAAAGAAGAGAAAGCCACAATTATCAGAAGTAGTAAATACAAACTGTATTCACATTCCTCCTTTCAATAATATATCCCCTCTCTTACCTGGACACATGACTGCTCAGATCTGACTCTATTTCTAAGCATCTCTCGCAGCTATATTATATGTTTACTAAGATACAGGGAATGGAATGTGAATTAAAGTAGCTTGTGTGACTCTTAGAACATGTCCTTTGGCTGGGGATGGTGGCTCACACCTGTAATCCCTTGACTTTTTGAGGTCAAGGCAGGTGGATCACCTGAGGTCAGGAGTTCGAGACCAACTGGCCAACAGGGTGAAAACCTGTCTCTACTAAAAAAAATACACAAATTAGCTGGGTGTGGTGGTGAGTGCCTGTAATCCCAGGTACTTAAGAGGTCGAGGCAGGAGAATAGCTTGAATCCAGGAGGTGGGGATTGCAGTGAACCGAGATCATGCCATTGCACTCCAGCCTTGGTGACAGAGCCAGCCTGGGTGACAGAGCGAGACTCCATCTCAAAACAAACAAACAAACAAACAAAAACAAAACAACAACAACAAAAAAACATGTCCTTTAAGAACAAAGCTATTTGCTCTCCACTCATGTTTTTTCTCCACATCCTTCTGGCTACAACTTGGACCAGCGCTGGCATTCCAGCCTTCACAGGTAGATGAATGCAATACTATAGATGAGGAGAGAACAATAAAATACAAGGAGCCTGGGTCTCTGGAAAATCCCTAGGAAGAGTTGCTACTCGTTTTAGAGTTTTGTCGTTACTAGCCATCTATGAAAGGCAGGTGAGGGATAAAACTGAAGTTAATAGGATCTCTAGATCACTTTCTCCATGCCAGCAGAAGACAGGAGGTTTATTCTCTTAAGAGACTGCATCAGAGATACTCTGCATAAGAGAAACCATGGCTTAGCTGAAGGCAAGGTTGTGAAGCACCACCAAAAAAACAACACATATTAACTAACATTTTCCAACTTAAAACTGTAGAACCCAAGCCTCTTTCCCCAGCTTTACAGCAGTCTTCCCATACAGAAAATTTGAAGATTTGACTCCTCTCTGAGGAAAATAGTAAATCAAAGAGTAAATCTATAAATATTGATAGGTAAGTTTCTCTCAGAAAAAGGGAAAAGTTTTAAAACAATGTAGGGAAACATAGGAACAGTACTAAGCTTTTAGTTAACTTTTTAGTGTCTCAATCCTAAATATAAACTGGCCATCAAGGGAAAGAATACCATAAACAGGGGATAATAAAACAAGCAAAAATACAAAAACAGAACTCATAAAATATCAGAAAAACATTCAGAAAGCAAACTATTATTCCTAATCTGAAATTAATAGTATCTATATTAGTTATCTAGTGCTGATTAACAGACTATCCCAAACAGTGGTTTAAAATAACAATGAACCAGCCGGACACAGTGGCTCAAGCCTGTAATCCCAGTACTTTGGGAGGCTGAGGCAGGTGGATCACGAGGTCAGGAGTTCGAGACCAGCCTGGCTAACATGGTGAAATGCCGTCTCTACTAAAGATACAAAAAATTAGCCGGGTGTGGTGGCAGGAGCCTGTAATCCCAGCTACTTGGGAGGGTGAGGCAGGAGCATCACTTGAACTCAGGAGGTAGAGGTTGCAGTGAGCTGAGATTGTGCCAATGCACTCCAGCCTGGGCAACAGGGGAAGACTGTGTCTCAAAATAATAATAATAACAATGAACCTCTATTACTCCCATGGTTTTTTATGGGTCAGGAATTTGGGAGCAATTTAGTAATGTGGTTCAGGCTTAGAATTTCTCACGGTGTAACAGTCAAGATGTCTGAAACTTCAGCCATATGAAAGATTGACTGGGGCGGAGGACCAGCTTCCAAGGCAACTCTTTTACATACTTGATGGGCTGGTACTGATTTTTAACCAGAGGCCTCAGTTCTTCCCCATGTAGGACCTTTTCCAGGGCTACTTGAGTGTCCTCTTTTCTGGGGACACCTCAATAACTGGTGTCCCCAGAGCACGTGATTCAAGAAAACCCAACAAAGAAACGACAATGTCTTTTCTGATCTAGCCTCAGAAGTCTTACTGTCACTATTGGCCACCATGGCCAAACCTTATTCATTGTGGGAGGGGCCACAAGGGTGAGGATACTAGGAGATGAGGACCATCATGGTTCATTTTGAAGAATGTCTACTGCATCATCTGTAAAAGAAAAAATCAAATATTAAGTTGGAGAAACAATAATGCCATATTCCAAAACAGGAACTTTCTAAAAATACAAACCCATTATTAAACATTTAAATTTCATATCAAGTATTAAAAATTCAGTAAAATTTAAAAAATAAACCCCAGAAATTAAAATGTTAAAAATTTCTAGACATTAGATCTGAAAGACAAAGAATTGGCAAATTTGAAAAAAAAAAAAAAAAGGAGTGTTGTGATAAATTATCTAGAGTTGGATGCCAAGAACTTCTTTCCTTCGTATACACATGCAACTTGTTCTATCGCATGATGAAGTCTATTTCTACTGATTTTGAATCTGACCTGGCTCTGGGACTTACTTTGATCAATAGAATTTGGGGAGCAAAAGGTTCATTTCCAAGCTCGCAAGATTTGCAATAAGTAATAGTCAGTTGCTTATTTATACGTGACACTTTGAAGAGGCATATGAAACGACCACACTCTGATATGGAACACTGAGTGAAGGAAGAGCAATTATTTATCTGC
The DNA here is from genome assembly GCF_000001405.40 of Homo sapiens. Lineage (NCBI taxonomy): Eukaryota > Metazoa > Chordata > Mammalia > Primates > Hominidae > Homo > Homo sapiens. The sequence goes on along the minus strand of NC_000013.11, from coordinate 67,287,881 downwards.
TAACTCCTCTCTATCTCCTATCTTTCAGTGCTTGAAGTTCATCACATGAAGTATTAACTATCCTGCAGTGCTAAGTTGTATTAATTCCGATGGACAGTTACTTAGGGAAGTCAAATGCCCCACCACCATCATTCAGCAAAGAGGTGCATTATATGAGCTTGAAAGTGGTGAGAACTGAGAATGTCTATGGTTTCACTAACATGGGGCTTGGCTAGGATAGACGCTCTGCTCTCTCCATAGGAGATGCAGTAGTGGCCAGGTTATCACTTCAAGGAAGTCTGTCTGATGTAGCTAGAGGTGCTAGGGGTTTGACAATTGTGGCAGCCATGGATCTCCATTTAGGAAGCATCCCAGCTCAGGAGACAGGTAGGACTCAGCAAATCTGTTGGAGGAACACAACAATTATATATCATATAGTCCATTCCATATGTCAGTCAGATCTGCTCACATTCTCCAATAATATCTAATGTACTCTAATAAGAAAATAAGATTGCACCACTTATTTACCAAGAATGGAGGCACAAATTTAACCATTTAAAGTCTAAGCCAGTTGAAGACTTCTAAAAAAGTATTGCTGAGGGTTAGCAAACCATATTACAGTTCCTGTTACCACAGATGCTACTGAGATATATATGATTGATATTCCTCTGCCAACCAATTTAGATTCACCACCCCTACCCTCTTTGACTAATTATTTCACCTTGCTTGATGGAGTAAGGAAGTGACCAAGATCTATATATGCAAAGGTTCTCAGTGTAGTTTCCCTTCTCATGTCAGGCTCAATTTGTTGCATAGAAACACCAAGAAATGTCACATTAAAATTCTTTCATTTAATACATATTCCTTCCTGCAACCATTGTGCAGAAGCACTCCCATTTTCTCATGGTCATCAAAGTTATCAATACCAGGCAGTCCAGTAATTCTTTCTTTGCCTGCAAACTCTCCAGAATGAGGATCCCAATATGGCCTAGTGATATTAGCAACTTCCATTTCCGTGAATCTTACACTTTCCTCTGGTGGAAGTGATCTCCATTAAAAATGAGATAATTGATGATGAGAGAGTCTGTCCTAATTCTCCCATTTGTTTCTTGAACCCATATATCAGCCATTGGATCAGCTCATATACTACCTCCAGGAGGATGATGCATTTGAATTAATTGTGTTTTCCAAAATGGACGTAAAATCTTTCATCTCATATGCTCTTGTGCAATGTAACTTTTCCAGTCTTATATGTCATTAGACTCTACCTCCTTAATCTGAGCTGACCTCAGTGAGTACCTTGACCAAAAATAATGTCAATAATGATATTATGGATCAGATCCTAAGAAGTTTTACAGCTCCAACTTGTCTCTTAGAATCCCTGTTTTTAGAATGTTCCTGTTAAGAATCTGGCCGTCAAGCCCAAGCTACATGGAGAGGTCATGTTCGGATACCTCAGTTAGCCCCAGCTGAGTTTCTAGCATTAACTCTCAGTCATGTGGGTGAGTTGTCCTCCCTATTCAGCCTCAGTCTCAGCCCCATTCTTCTGGCCACAGTCAACTAAAAACTTCCAACAAGGACATTCCAGCTGAAACTGAATCAATCAACAGAAGGGTGAGAGATAATAGTAATTCATTTAAGCTACTTAGTTTAAGGATGATTCATTGTGTAGCAATAGATGACCAAAAGAGTAGTCCAAGCACCTCGAGATGTTGATTCCAAGTTGATACCTTAGCAGACTTCAATAGGCCGTTGCATAATTCTGTGGAAGCAGTCATTTTGGATAAATGGAGAGCATGGTAAGATCAGAAAATCTCATGGTCATACACCCATTAACAAAAATTATTCCCATTATATGGCTCCTTTAATTAGAGGTAGTACTGTGTAGGATATGTTATTGGATCAGGCATTCTAACAGTCATCAAAAGATGAGGCTGGCAGAAGTATGGAGGCAAACTGAGTGTGTATCAATTTCAGTGAAAGGCAGCTTTGTTCCTTCCAAAGCTGAAGGTGTGTAATATAATCTACTTGTAACTGTATGTTTCCACTGGGAAACAGTGACATGTTCAAGAGCCAGCACTTATCTTTACTTCAGTGGTTGGACATTCTGCAGTAGCTATTTCAGCCTTCACAATAGGCAACCGATAATTTTTGACAAGTACAGAGCTTCCAGCTATGACACCATAGTGATTCTGTTCATAGGCCCATTTGACAGGTAATGGAATAGCTGAGGAAAGAGGCTTGCTGATTTGCATTGTACAGGTCATCTTGTCCACCTAGTTTTTGAGAGCCTGCTATGTGATAGAAGGTCACTGGTTGGCATTAATATGAGACAAAGAAATCTGCATGCTTGGTACCCTCCCCCATAAGTTTATCCATATAACTCTTCTTTAGACCTCCTTATCCCCAGTCCTCCCTTCTTATTTCTTCTCAGCCATTATCCAGTACACAGAACTTCATGTTTATCCATATATTAGATGACATATCCTTCTGTGCAAAGTAGATGAATGAGTAGTTCGCTTACAGATTCACCCTCTGATATGACTTGATTTCATTATTGTCTTTCAGAGCAAGCTATGAATGGGGATGCAATGTGGCAGCAGTTCTTTTGCTGATAATGCCAACATATTGTGGTGTTTTATCTGGGAGCCAGGTCTCTGTCTTTTCTCCCTTTGTTGATTGGTCAAAAGTTACCCTCCGTAAGGACATAGTTGTGAGTTTGAGGATAAGCATCGAATAAACAGAAGTAAGTGACAAGGGAGTCTGGGCCATCTGTTCATTTAATTTACTTGTGCTTTCTGGATCTGCTTCAGCCTACTTCTAAATGTGTCACTTCTATCGAATATTCAATTGCTATACCACCTGCCTAACCTTATGAGTAGCTGAATTCAAAATAATTTAGTTTATGGTGGAAAGTTTTGGTTATACAAGCTCTTGGTGCTCCTTAGTTGCTCAGATAAAAGCACTTACTGACATACATAAACAAACTATATTTTACAAATGTAGGGTAATTATCTGCCTTGGTGTGTGTGGCCACAGGACCTCATATGACTATCTCATAACCAGAGAGTTAACTCAGCATCATTATCTGCTACAGATTCCTCTAGAATAAATGGGTCTATGAATGAAATGGTTATAAAAGCAGGGCAGCCTGCACTGAATACTGGATCTTTGAACCTCATTCAAAACAGGTAGCATTGAGAATCTCCTGATCAGTGGTTTGGGGTTTTATTTTCAAGTGATGTGCATGGTGCATCCATAATGCAAAAAACCATATCAAGCACAATGGCTCCTTGTGGTACATAATGCTATGAGCGACAACTTTAATTTAATGCAGCATATTCTGGAATTCCTCAGATCTCTGAACTCCCCAAACCTTCACTAATCTGTCAGGTACCTGGATTTTTTACCGTCTTCTGTCAATATTTCTCTGTCCTAACCCTCAGTTGGATATAAGACACCTGTTAAGGCAACACATTAGTCTATTTTGTGATTCAATTCTATAATCAGATCTTTGGTCTGATTTCCAACAGAATCTATCTTATAACTACAGAAGATAAAAGTCTCCTTAAATTCTACAGTAGAGACTCCTTGGCTTTCACAGCCTATCTTAAATTGGTAATTAGCTTTATAGAAAGTCTTCAAAGTCATAGAAAAGTTATACTACATTATTAAGTGTTTAACTCTAATTGGCCTTATACTGATCAACTGTACTTGCCTTAGAGTTACACTTCAAATGAAAAAAGGACTATGATGTCATTGAATACAAGGAACTATCAGCACCCCACTTAGCATAAGAAACATGGCCCTATTTCATTCAGCATGAACCCTCCTGTAAAACCCCATCCTTCAGGTTGACTTTTCAGGGTCTGTCCTGGTCTGTTGTTTCAACTCAAGTCGCCTTGAAAATGTGGCTTTAGATAAAGCTTGCATGCCAATTCTTAGTTGGTGAATGAAATTCCAGGTGATAAGAGAGAGGGAAAAATGAACTTGCTGCAAGGATGAAGAGAAAGTCAATATAAGGCTTGTTACTAAACAGGCTCAGCTTTATTCAGCATCATATCTAAGCTTGGACTTTGGAGCTACTGCAACTCCCACTACATTGGAAATGACGGAAACTGCCTAGTCCTTAGCCCAGGAGAGATGAAACAGCCAGCATTGTTTAGGTGTTTAGTGATGAGTCAGAGGAAGTTGCTGTGGTCATAGTCTTCTATTGATCAGACAACAGAGAAGGAAAATGAGAATAAGTGAATCTAGGTGGGCACTTAAATTGGGTCTGATAACATGAATTACACAATGTAAATATAAATTTTGAACAGTGGACAAATTTTACTTTCATAGTATATTTTGGGTTTTATTCTTAGATTACTCCAATCATACCTGGATTAACAGTAGCAATTCATATCATTTTCTTTAGATAATTTGCACACTAGCAGTTAACATACATTTGATTTCATTTTTTACTACAACTGTAATACATATTTTCTCCAGTTTAGAGAGACAGTAACTGAAACTAAGATGAAATAACATTCATTATCAGACAATTAGTCTTTTTAGTCCAAACTAGGTCTGTCTGAGTCCAAAGCCCCTTCTTTTCCTACTACAGAATGACAAATCCATTAATATAAAAAGAAATTGCTGCTGGGCACTGTGGCTCACGCCTATAATACTAGCACTTTGGGAAGCTCAGGTGGGAGGATCACTTGAGCTCAGGAGTTTAAGACCAGCCTGGGCAACATAGCAAGACCTCATCTCTACCAAAAATAATAAAAAAAAAAATTAGCTGGGCACAGTGGCTTGCACCTGTAGTCTCAACTTCTTGGGAGGCTAAGGTGGGAAGATGGTTGGAGCCCAGGAGGTCTAGGCTGCAGTGAGCCATGATCACACCACTGCACTACAGCTTGGTGACAGAGGGAGACACTGTTTTCAAAAAAAAAAAAAAAAAAAAAAACACATTGCTTTGTAGTTAAATAAAAAAAAAAAGTGAATGTGTATTTTGTTCCTTTAATATTTGTAGAATAATATGGCATAAGTTATTCCTCTTACTTGACAAGTAAGAAACCTGAAGCTCTGAGATTCTAAACATCATACCCAAGTTCACATTCCTGGAAAGCAGAAAATTAAGGGAATATCTCTTATCACCAATCTGGAAATTCAGTAGGCCACCATAAGGACTCTAGGGCTTTATGTCATGCATCATATTTCACCAGTAATCATTCCTCACTTCTGCCTACTAATTTGGTTATTTTTTCATATTAAAAAGGAAGACAAAACTCTATGAAGGGTTGTTATAATATAGACTTTATTCAGAAAGCATTCTTACTGATGAAAAAAACAAAAATACAGTAACTCATAATATCAAAGAGAAGGGAGTCTCTGTAAATTATTTTGCAATGATTAATAAATCAGTTTTCTCTTCCTATATTAGTAGAAAGTTCTAGATGTAACAGGGCGGTCCATAGTAATAATAAAGGTTCTTTTGGGGTTTGCAGTGAAGCATTCAAGTATGAATATGTACACCAGAGGCAGACAGACCTTATACAGCCATTTAATAACTACAAGACAAAGGAGGAAGTTAATGAGACTGTCTGCTCTCGATTTTCTAATGTGTGAAATAGAGACATTTAACTTGCGTGTAAAATAGAAATATTCAACTTGTGTCAATGAGAGGTAACCTTTGCCATGGGCTTGATAGGTGCCTACTATAGGCTTCTCAATACCTATCAGCCCTGTGGTTTAGTTTCAATATTTTGAATTCCTATTTTATTCTTTATATATTTTTAAAAGCAGAATTTTCCTTTATTTTACTGTTAGTCCTCATATATTCCCACAAAGCTGGGCATTAATAAGGTTAACTCTCAGTTGCTAACTAATTAATCTGAAAATGCTAAATACCCACGTGAATTAAATCCTTGTTTTTATCATGAGTCACTCACGAAAAATGAAGAGCTGTTTAAGGTTGTGTAAGACATTGATTAATTATCTATCACAAATAAGAGTCCAGGGATATTTAAACTCTTTGCATCTCAATAGCAGAGTATTTAACTCAAATCACTAAACTAAGTCATTTTATGATTGAGGATGAAAAAAAGATGAGTTCTTGACTGTGAGAAAGGGGTAACAGGACACAGGAGAATGGCCCTAGTCCCCATTTTTGCAGCAGCGTGTGAAGTGCATTGCTGTGAAGTGAATGAACAAAATCACATATGGGGAGAGGCAACAGCTGTCTCCATAAAGTCTCTGGCCTCCTGCTGCCCTCAGTCCTAGAGGCAGACGTGGTGGTTGATGGCTGCCCACCATGCTATACTTTATTGCTTCATTGACTGCTGCAAATGCTGACAACAGTTTACCAGCTGCAAAGAAATTATTTGATTTACTCAAGTTCCTTTGCTACCATTTCAAAGTCTTGCATGTCCTTGGTTAAATGGTGCCCTTATAAAATTGCAAGGCAAAAAATAAACTGTTTTCCCCTTAACCAAATAGATATAGTGCTGTGATGTGAAATTACTGAAAAAAAAAATGTGATTTGGGGAAATTACAGTTCCTTGTTTAGTATGTATTGTGCATGCCCTACAGCCTTCCCTAACCAGTAGCTCCCAATTTCATTTAAATTGTAATGATTTCCTTTAAGGACAATTAAGTTGCCTAAGAGCAGTGCATGCATACTAATGTGGCAGAGGCAAGGCACAGTGTAGAAGAAAGTAATAACTGTTTATTAATATGATAATTAAGTGTTAATGCTTAGCAACCTAATGATATCTGTTAAATAACTTAACATTTTGGAGTCAAATCCAGGCAAATGAAATTCTATTAAAAATAACAAAATGCAGCAAATATAAAAATAAATGATGCTAATCTGTCACTAAATCACATATATTTTCTGATTTGCATCTCATGTTAGAGAAGTTTCCTATTCTCTCTTTTCCACCAAATATGCCAAACCAGTGTAATGATCTATGCCCATTTCAAAGAGTTTTTTTGCTTGTGGATATTTATATATATTCACAAGGAAAGAGAAGCAATAAAAGGTAGAGATGAATATGAATACCTTTTTGGAAGATCTTTTGAAGCTACTATTTTGAAAATATACATAATCTTGATTTTCAAAAACATGTCTAATATGAGAAAATAAAACATCCAGAATGTGGTATTCAAAAGTTTAACACTTTCTGTGAGTCCTCATTCTCCAGCCTCAAATTTTCTTTCACCCTCTCATAAGCTATTCCGTAAATAATGGATACTTCCAATTGTCCTAATATTATCTGAATTTTTTCTCTTTTTAAAATTTACTTGTAAATTTTAAAACATATATTCTTAATCCTTCATCATTTTTACATCTTTAGTGATTGTACATTTGACAGTGTCAGTATGCATTCTTAATTTGATAGAGTTCTAGCCAAAGTTAAATGCTGGGAGAACAAATAGAAACTGCAGTGTTCTCACAAAACAGGTAATGGAAGGTTCGCTCTACAAGTGTGATGTTATACTTCTATAAATTTAATGAATAAGCCGTTTCTGTGTTGATATGCTGCTCCCCTTTGGAAGTGTTTAAACTGCTTCCGAGGTTGAAATGAGATACAGCAGTATCTTATTCATTATGTGATTTTTGCTCTCTGCAATAATCTGAACCTACCAATAAGAAGAGGAAATTATCCCGATGAAAGCTGTATTTCTGAAATTCCAGTTTTTTACCACTCTCTTCGACTTCTTCCCCATCACTCTTCTGTTGCCCAATTGTACAAACTAAGTAGAGTCCTTTGGAGAAGATAAAATGCCTAGTGAAGTTCTCTTCAGAGAGTGACATGTATGAATGTATACAGAAGTAAAGCAGTCAAATGCTTAGTGGATTTGATTAAAATGAGGACTAGAAGTACTTTTTTGAATTTAATCACAAAAAAACTTTATAATGACCTCAAAAAGGGCAATATTCTCAGAGTATTAGGAGCTATATCATATTGCAATGGGCTGAAATGTTAACTGGATTAAATCACAAAGAAATTAAAACAGAAATGATTAATTTTCACGAGGCTTGGCTATAAAGGAAAGGAGAGACAGGGTACTAGCTAGAGAGAGAATATAGAATTAAACACTATTTTAAAGACAGAGTATGTTTACTTAATATGATTAGATGTTAAAGGAATAGATAAAAGAGAGTGGTTTAAGATTCACAGGAAAGGAGTAAGAAATGGTGAAATAAGACCCCTGAAGCAGGAGAAGAGGAGACTCAGCACAAATGGAGACACCGGCCTTCAACCCTATAAGCACTTGTCTCTGAAACTGAAAGAAAACAGGTGAGGTGATTGTGAAGCAGGATATTTCCCTGACCCCTTCATGGGCAGGAATTGGAAGTGCATGGGCACTAGAACCAGTTGGCCACTTCTGTGCCAGCAGGGGGGCAGACTCCACTGACTCGTTCCCCCTGTGCTCCATCCCTCATTGGAGGGGGAGCACAGGTGAGCAGGTGCAGGAGTTGCGGCAAGTGCTTTTGGGCACTGTCAGGAGCAAAATTCCATGTGGGCCCCGTGGCAGTGTCTACAGGGGTGCATGCAACCCCTGAAGCCCCAGAAGGAGTATTAGAGTGCTCTTTTATCTCTGCTATCGTGGATGGCTTAAGTGTTAGCAGCTCAGTGAAGGGTCAGTGTGACAGTCTTTTTCACCTGCACTCTTGGCACCTGAGTTCTTGTCTGGCATTCAGGAGGAATGAGGTTGCACTAATGAGTTGAACATGGTAAATGTGTTGGATTTTATTGTCATTGAAAGTGGCTCTCATCAGGAAGGGGAGCTGAAAAGGGGTCAGAGCAGGAAGGTAATCTTCCCCTGGGGTCCGGGCAGGGATGGACTCTTCTCTGAAACTACGCTGTCAAGCTGTCCCTCTGAAGTCAAGCCTCTTCTCTTTGATGTCAGCCATAGTTTCCAACATCCAGCCGCTTCTCCTCTCTGCCAGCTGCATTCTGGGCTTTTTGTAGGCACAGGATGGGAAGCGAGTGGGCCATGGGTGGTTTCAGAAAAGGCAACATTTGAGTGGGAAAATAGGAATGTAAGTTTTTACTTTGGGCCATGGGTCCAGGCTTTTTGGCTTGAGGTTAAGGGCCTCAGTGGAACCTGCTGTCTTTGGCCCAGAATTTCCCTGCCTTCTATTTGTAGTTGTGAAAGCAGAACTCTCATGCCGAATTGCTTTAAATTTCTCAATGAAATAAAAAAGCATCGTTATTGAACCCTTCCTTTACTACAAGTAGAGTTATGTTTGGTGCATTTCTCCTCAAAATAATAAGCAGTGGAATTTTAAAAATGCAGACTTTCACAACACACTCATCATTACTCTCCTTTAGTCTGTAGACCTCTCAACCTCGAAGGTTGTAGCTGGTCTAGTTATTCATTCCCATGTCTAATGTCTGGCTCAAGTTATTGTCTTGGGTCTTTCTTTCAGTCTCTAGGGTAGTGAAGAATTCTTTCCTGTTTGGCCCCAAGTTCATCCCTTTGGCTTCTGGTCAAAATTATGCTGACACACTGTCTACCTCCTTGCAAACTTGGCTGATATCCGTGATGTAACTTGAGAAAGCTTCTGTCTCCTGGCTAACTATTCTATTCAGACAGGGATATAAGTCCTGCTCCCTGCCTTAAGGCCTGTTAGATGCTCAGTTTTTCTACTTTTTTGGCCATACAAAAATGAGACGTACATCTTATCTTTTATAACGCATTATAAAGAGGAAAATGTAGATAGAAAAAAAATTGGTTTTGCTGTAAATGCTAGTTAGACATTTAGGTTCATGAGTTTGAAGTTTTCACCAACATTCCAGGAGCTTGGAAGATTTTTGTTGTTTAATGCATGTCTCCTGAACAACAAGCGAAGGAATAAGATTCATATCTCTAGAAATGGAGAATAATAACTTGATTGACTTGGAGTTTAAATGGCTTCTTATTTGATTTCATGACCAAATAGGCAGAATAAAATTTGTGTATAATGTTTGGCCACGTGGAAGTAAAAATATTTACACAGAAAGTTATGTTTGGGGACAAACTCAGCTCAGTAAAACTAGAAAGCTAAGAGGTAAGAATGGAAACACAGCACATCACCAAAAGTTTTCCTTGTGAGGCTAATGGAGAAACACATATGTCAGTGGTTAGTCATTAGGTAAATGGCTATTCAATAGGTGAGTTTACTAAGGGATTCTAAGTGTGCTCAAGAAACTTATCCCTCAATGCCAGATGTTTGTTATATTTATTATACTGTTGCTTAATTGGCTTTCCTATTATTACTTTGTGTCAGAGTGCTTGTAAGAAATTGCATGCACTGCCTAGTCCAATGAGGTGACTTACTGTAAGTGCACTACATTGAAAAAGAGACCATATGACCAAAGCCTGATATGGCTAGGCTTTGTGTCCCCAACCAAATCTCATCTTAAATCGTAATCCCCATTAACCCCATAATCCCTACATGTCAAGGGGGAGACAGGTGGAGGTAATTGAATCATGGGGGCTGTTTCCCCCATGCTGTTCCGGTGATAGTGAGTGAGTTCTCACAAGATCTGATGGTTTTATAAGGGTTCTTCCCCCTTTGCTCACACCTCTCCTTCCTCCTGCCTTGTGAAGAAGTTACTTGCTTCCCCTTTGCCTTCTGCTATGATTGTAAGCTTCCTGAGGCCTCCCCAGCCATGCTGAACTGTGAGTCAATTAAATCTCTTTACTTTTAAATTACCATCTTGGGTATCTTCATAGCAGTGTGAGAATGAACTAATATAGATACTAAGTCAAAAACTTCATGTTAGTGGAAGCATTATGGATGCTTTACTTTTTGAAAAGGAAACAAAGACAATAAACTATTGATTTCAAGATACTTAATTGAGCCCAAGTATTTACATTTGCTCCCTTTAGGTATAATAGAAATTATCAAGTCAATGTAACAAATTTTACAGCAGAGTTAGAAAAAAAAGAATCAGTGCCATCAATAGAACAAAATTTGAATTAATTTTTGTAGTAGAGGAACCAAATATAATTGGATTAAGGAAAAAGCCAATTAGATTTACACATCACTTGACTGCACGTATCAAAAGAGAACAAACAGAAGCAAGTGGACTTTTCCTCTTTTCCAAAAACATCACTAGTTTGAATTTGAGAGGAGTCAATATAACATGTAAGCATATGCCTGTGCGTGTATCTTTGTGTGTGTGTGTGTGTGTCTCTGTGTGTGCGTGTGTGTCTATGTGTGTGTGTGCATACATACCTGTTTGTGAATTTTGTAGGTGGTAGGTATTAAAGAAGTCTGGAAACTTCACCAGGACCAAAATTGGTTGTGACTTACATTATTACACTTGGTGACTCCAATGGACAGTCCAAGATGGAGACTATACTACAAAATGTCAGGGAAGCAGTTCCCCAATTAAATCCTGGAGTGTGGCTACCCCAATAATTAAAGAAGAAGAAAAACCTTTGGTAAGCAGTGAAATCTCCAGATCAGAATAGTCTCTATGTTAACTCCTTTCCTATGTCCTGCTCATTAATAACTGTATTTAGACCGAAAGACATTCTCACTACTCCATAGGCAGAAGATGAAAGAGTGTAGAGATTGTTGAGTGAGGCACAGAAATTAGATCAAAGCCTTGAGGAACCTATTAGTAACCTTCACTGAGCCCAGTCGGATACTGCATTCTTCCTCAGGGAATGTGCTGGAGTGAGCTTTATCCACCAGCTTCTATTATCAGAGGTTTCTGCCCCACCCTAGGAGTCATTGGGAGAATTCTTCAAGCATAGAAGAGTTCAGTGATGAGTAGCCAAAAAATTCACTATGTTACTAGCATCCTTGGTACCAAAAATCAAATCAAAACAAAATAAACCTCAAAATCCATCGTCCAAAGTCATAAATGTCACATTCTCTGAACCCATTGCAATAAAACTAGAAATTAACAACAAACAGCCAAACAAAATAAAACAACTAACCACTTAAAAAGTTAACAGCACTGCTTAATAAATCTGGAATTAAAAACTAATTCAAAAATCGAACTGCAGAAGTACTCTACGAGGGATCTACAGCAGCAATGGGAGCTAATACATCCTTCAAATCTCCAGGGAGGCACTGAGCTGTAAGTCAGCACCTAGTATGGAGGGCCCAAGTAAGAAGCAGAGCTGAAACACCAGAGGATTAACTGAAGGTTTCTAAAAGAAACAGCTGTGCACAATGTATGCCACCATCACACCACTCTATACACACACGCATGCACCTGCACACAGAGCTCAATTTCTGGCCAAAAGATAAGGAGTTCTTCTCTAAAGAAGCTGAAATACTAACAAAATGAAAGCACAGGTTTTTAATAGAGTGTTGCAGCCTCAGAGTAAAACCCCCTCTGTTCTCGGGATTTGAGAATCCTTATCTGATAGCCCATCTGTTCACCCTAAAGTGAAGAACTCCAGTGATCTCTAACGTTCCCCTCCACACTGAGGTCTCTGCAAACTTCCCAGTCAGGGAAGGTGAGAAATCATTCATATATACATCAGAAGAAGAAGCCGCCCATACTACCTTCTCAGTGCTTAATTATTAAAACACACAGATAATCAGAGATTACCAGATAGGTATTTTTAGAAAACTAGTGGTGGTAAAGGTAACAACCAAGATCAAAACAAAAGCTGATTTCTAGAGAAATCTGTAATTTAAAAGAGGGTATTAAAAATATAAAATTGGTATATCTAAGGAGATTAAGGAAAAGTTACATCTTTCTTAAAACTTTTATTTTTAAGTGACATGTAATAATTGTACACATTTATGGGGTATAGTGTAATGTTTCAATACATGTTACGATGTATAATTATCAAATCAAGGTAATTGGGACATCCATCCCTTCAAACTTTTATCATTTGTGTTAGGAACATTCAAAATCTTCTCTTCCAGCTACTTGAAAATATACAATAAATTACTGTGAACTATAGTCACACTATAGTACTACAGAACTCTAGAACTTATTTCTCCTATTAAGCTGTGATTTTGTGTTGTGTAACTAACCTCTTCCTATTCCTCCTCTCCCCTACCCTTCCCAGCCTCTGGAAATCACTATTCTACTCTCTACTTCTATGAGCTCAACTTTTTTAGCTCACACATATGAGTGAAAATATGTAGCTTTTATCTTTCTGTGACTTACTTATTTCACTTAACATAATGTCCTCTGGGATCATCCATGTGGCCATGAATGAAAGGATTTCATTCTTTTTTATGGCTGAATAGTATTCCATTGTGTATGTATACCAGATTTTCTTTATACATTCATCTGTTGATGGACAGAAAGCTGCATCTTTAACACAAAAATAAGACACCAAGAGGGAGAAAGGGGAAAGATCAGAGAACAAACCAACCAACCATATGAAAATATGGGCTTTGTATGTAAAACATTATATATTTGTTATTTCATTCATTCAACAATGATGTATGAAATGTCTGCTATGGGCCAGTGAGTCAGGCATTTTCTCCTCATGCTGTCCTACATTTTGAAAGTTGTTAGCAAAAGACCATTCCAAAATTTAAGGCTTGAAATGCTACTATCACGAAGAGATGAAAAAAAATCCAAAATACTCAATAATGTACGAAAGATAAAAATCAAAATTTTACCTGAGAGAAGCTGAGCACTAGAGGGTGTAGACAGGGCACAATCTTGAGGCAAAATGGTAGAAATAAAATAAAGAAGGATACTGGATACTAAAGAAACTTACGTAGGCCAAGTAGCTTGTGAGCTGGCTGCGAGGGATTAGTTTGAGGTGTCAGCAAGCCTGTTTCACCACACCTGGGGAGGGTCTGCTAACTATGTCACCCCAGCCTCTGTCCCAGGTGTGCTGAAACAGAACCTTCCCTTTAGGGATAAGGCCCTAGCAAAAAACTCGGCTCCAATCAGGAGCTGAGGAAAGGAAGAGAGAGTGGGTGGGTGGGCAGACGCACAAGCACTCAAAATGTACACCTGGAGGAGTAAGAGGAAATTCAGCTCCTGGAAAGTGAGTTTTCTGGACCTCCGGGGAGCCTCAGACTTGGACGCTCTCTGTGTTGTGGGTAGGCTCTTCTGTCTCTCCCCTACCTCTTCCGTTCTCTCTTAGAGTATTAGTTTCTCAAAATTTGAAATGCAAACTCTACAAAAGAAGGACCTGATTGATGTAATTTCAGATCACTCACCTTGCTTCTCTGACCCTCAGTCTCTCTGTTAACACGGAGATACTAATAGCTATCATGTGGTGCTATTGTAAATATTTACTAACATGGCAATAGGAAGAATGCATGCATACTGCTTTAGTGCATACTGAGAGCTCACTAGAGGAGTTATTAATGCTGGTGAATTTTTAGCTCCTACTGACACATATTATAGCCATTTGTATTTTCCTCTACAAATATTAATCACATTACCTCTTTCCTAAAAATATTTAAAGATACTATAATCAGTACAAATGCTACAGGTACTGTTTTTATTAATATTACACGTAGGTCTCTAGTCAGTTATTGATGTGGAAAAAATTTCTAGGACAAAACACTTAACACGCCATCCTAACTAAGAAATTTTTTTTAAATCAGTAAGAGAAATTGTAAGACAATGGTTGACAACATTTGGATTGTACAAAAAGCACCAGAAAATTTTGTTAAAGAATGCAGATTCCTCTCTCAGAGTTTCTGAATTGGGCCTTCAAGTGATTCATGCAGAACCTACAGTTCCCTAATTCTGTACTTGGGCAATCATTCCTTGCATATGAATTGTTGAGAAATTAAAATATCTTTGTCTGTCTCTGAGTCAGCTATTTTGGGTTGAGCCATTTATTACATCTTAAACTATTAATAGAGTGTAATATCCCCATCTTTACTCTTACTTTAATTCAGAAGGAAGAGAGTTCTGCTGTAGGGAAGTCAATTAAACCACTCATTACTATAAATATGATGAAGGTAGAAAATTTTATATTACCATAACTCCGGTAAGGTATTTGCCGGCAGATTTAAGAGAAAGCTTAGCAGAATATTTATGTTGCATCCAATCTCACAGGTGTAAACTGTGAGTAAATCTGCAGTTGGGGTATTTGATTAGTGCTAGTTCTCTGGTGCGATGGCTCAATACACAAAGACGGGCTTGAATAAATTGAGATGGAATAAGGGGTTGAATGTAGTCAGCTGCCATTTCACATTCTTGTTTAGGGATCTATAAAAGCAATCATTTATTTTAAATTCCAGTTGGTTGTTTTGTTATCCAAATGTCATTAGTTAATTTTTGCTTATTCAATAAATAACTACTGAGCACCTACCATGTGTCAAGGAACATGCATGTGTAAGAGGATGGTCTATTTTATTCTTTCTTTCACAAAGGCTTTTATCGAAAACTTGAAGTTCAATTTTTTCATAATCTAAGAGAATAACATTGTTTTGTGAAGGTAAAACTCAGTAGAACTATTTTCATTTGAAACCTATTTCAAATTTTCTCTGCACATTTGTCCCCAGGGAAAAGTGAGTAGGCTGGTTCTTGGGTTTTTCATTGATGAACCTCAGTCAATTACACACAGATCATCAATTCATCAGCACATAGAGCCACACAAATGACCTCATACAAATCTATATTTAGATTTGCTTATCAAAAGATTCACGCTGTTTTAAAGCCTCAGTGTTCCTTTAGTTCTTCACAGGTATCTTATAGCAGGCTCCAGGAAAAATAAAGTCTCCTCAAACATGTCCATTATAATTACATACCAAAAGAAAAATAACATTACGGAAGCCTTTCACCTAGTAAAAGTATTTCTTTCCTCTTTATTTTTTTAAACTATGTCTGGAATTAAGATTTAACTATGGCAGAATGTGATACTTACTAAGTCAATACCACGTAATATATTTAGTAAAATTATATGATTGGTAAGCTTGTTCTGCTAATACATTTGAAAGAATTTAGCATTCAGATTTCAAAACATTATTCATACTAGTTTAAATATAAAATATATGGGCATTTCTTTTAAAAATTCAGTGCTGTGCCTCTCTGTCAGAAATATTTTACCATTATTTCTGTAGGAAAATCAGATTTGATTTATATCATTTTGACTTAAGATACCATTTATGGTTCTGTAACCCACCTTATGTGTCAAGACTACTTCTTACCTCTCCCCCCACTTTTTTGTGTAAATCCAACTTGACATTTTTTTCCCAAGGATATCAATGTTACAAGAACTATATCATCCAAGAAAAAAAAAAAACAGAAAGGAAATGTTGAAATGACCTGAAAAGATGACAATGACTGTCTGAAAACAGTGAGGTGCAAGAAATCAAGCTGATAAAAGGAAATAAAACAGATGTATATTGATAGTAATCTGTTAATGGGAAAATAAATAAGTCCAAGGAAGATTTAGGAGAGACAATGGGAAACAGACCATCCAGAGAGAAAGCTATTTTAATGACAAGTTGATTCTGGTAATTAGAAATTCTGATACTGAAAAAAAGCCATCAGATATAAACAAGGAAATGATGGCAGCTTGAGAGCTATGTGGACCCTAAAATGTCACTTTCTTGATTATACAATATTCTAAATAACCACCCTATTTCCCAGAACCTAGGATTAAAATGAGAAAGGAATTACAGAAAGAGTTAATGTAAAGAATGCAAAAAATTTGGATACCCAAATGGGTGAGAACTTTTCCAAAAATAGAAATATCCCAAACCAAGAGAAAAGAGGATGAAAGAGCAAAATGAAAATACTGTAATAGGTTTAGCGCTTTAGAGAGCTGTACATTTTTCAACCTTTTTCATCTGACCCGACATCCACCAAATAAGAGAAGTGAGGATAATATAATCTTCATTATCCACGAGAAGGCTTAGGCTCAAAGAGGCTACCATTTTTCAGACTGTCTGTTTTTCTCTGCTACACTCATAACTGCCAGCATCTCTTGTCTTATTACTTTCCTCTGACAGTAAGTATCATAATGATATGATGATGATATATTCCCTGAGATCTCCTATGCTTTCCTTCCAGTAGCAGGTCCTAAGTTTTCTACTGACACATGGGGGTGCAGAAGGTTCCTAGACAACAGTTACATGCCTTGTTGTCTCTGAGCTGCTTTCTCTCTGCACATCACATTCCCTTTCTTCTAAATTTTGAGCTGGAAGAGTTTTGTTGTGGTTGTTGTTGTTTTCACTTAACTTTTATTGGGGGACTGAGACCACCAATAAATTATTCTCTCCCGCTTATTTCTAAGCTAATTGAGAGATGTGAAATTGTGGTGTTCAAGATGAATATGTTGTCACCAGCAGACATGTTGGAGAAAGCAGTTCAAGGTGACCCTGAATCCACCTAGTCCACAGTTTTGGCAAAACCCACTGGAGGATAAATGTGAGTCTGTAGAGCTGAAGCATTTACATAACCCATTGTCTCTCTCTGGCCCTGGATAGGGAGGAAAGGAAAGAACAACCTTCCACTTAGGAGCTTTACTAAATTGGTACACCCAATTGAATGAAAGGATTAAAATAGGAAGATAGGAATGTTTCACTGATTGATATCCTTTTACATCAAGAATGGGATTATTTTCAGCTGTGAAAGAATCCAAATAATGGAAGCTAAAACATGACAGAAGCTTAAATTTTTGCTATATCCTTTGTGTAGTATGGGATTATATGGCAGCTCAAGGATCATGAGGGATCCAATCTTTTTTAAACTTGAATCCTCCTTTTGGTATCCACATTCCACGTTGTGATTCAAGAGCACTCCAGCTTCAGCCACTGCATCCACCAGCCAGCAGAAATGAGGACAGGGGAAGGAAGATTATGCACCCTTCCTTCAAGGACACCTACCTACAATCACACTCAACAATTCATTCCACAGCACATTGGTCAAAACTAAATCATTTCCAATACCTACTTGCAAAAAGACTTGAAAATGTAATCTTTTATCCTATGTGTTTGTGTTCCAAGCCAAAATTGGAATCTCTAATACTAAGAAAAAGAAAGAAAGAATGTATAATGGGGACAGGCAGTATTTTTTTTTTTTTTTTTTTTTTTTTTTGAGACAAAGTTTCGCCCTTTGTTGTCCAGGCTGGAGGACAGTGGTGCAATCTCAGCTCACTGTAACCTCTGCCTCCCAGGTTCAAGCGATTCTCCTGTCTCAGCCTCCCGAGTAGCTGGTATTACAGGTGCCTGCCACCATGACCAGCTGATTTTTGTATTTTTAGTAGAGACAAGCTTTCACTATGTTGGCCTGGCTGGTCTTGAACTCCTGACCTCAGGTGATCCGCCCACCTGGGCCTCCCAAAGTGCTGGGATTACAGGCGTGAGCCACCATGCCCAGCCATACGGCCAGTAATTTCTACTCCACTCACCAATTTCTTACACACCGATGTGCTTTTGGAGGAGTAGAGTAACATTCACATATTTAATCAATGGTTTTCTTGCTGTGGTCAATGATTTTCCAACTACCTGATATAAGTTTTTACCCTTTCCTAGTTTGATTAAAGTTAGCATTTTTTATTTGCTTGTTTGTTTGTTTCTGCTGCTTTTCTTTTTATTTCTTTGCTTGTTTGTTTCATTAGATGTGGCAACAGGAATGTTTTGACCCTGTTATTATCTTGTTTATCTTGTCTTTGTCAGCTTTCTTTGATTTAGATTACTGTGTACCCTCAGGGTACTTTCTAGTTTTTCGACTATGTGAAATCTTCTGTCAGCCTATATTTTTAAGAAAAGATGTACATATATAATAAATAGACTCATACCTACTCTCTTATATTATCATTTCAGCTGTGTTGTCAGTTATAGAAAAAGAACATAATATTTTTATATTTGTCAATTGATTTGTAATTGAACTTTAAAATGTAAGTGTCTTTTTGACCAGGCACAATGGCTCATGTCTGTAATCCCAGCACTTTGGGAGGCCGAGGTGGGCGGATCACCTGAGGTCAGGAGTTCCAGACTAGCCTGGCCAACACAGTGAAATCCCATCTCTACTAAAAATACAAACATTAGCCAGGCTTGGTGGCAAGTGCCTGTAATCCCAGCCACTTGGGAGGCTGAGGCAGGAGAATCACTTGAACCCGGGAGGTGGAGGTTGCAGTGAGCCGAGGTCGCTCCATTGCACTCCAGCCTGGGTGACAGAGCAAGAAGACTCTGTCTCAAAAAATAAAATAAAATAAAAATATATGTGTTTTTTTACTCTTACTGAATTAAAAGCTCTGTGTGACTCATTTGTGTATTTTTCTTTCTTTTTTTGACCACTTTATTGAAGTATAATTCATATACAAAATGCTGCACATATTTAATACGTGTAATTTGGTGAGTTTTGAGATAAGTACATACCCATGAAACTGTCAACACAATCTATGCCATATACCTCTCCATCACCTCTAAAAGCTTCCTTCTGCCCTCTTACTTATTACCATTGTGTATGCAATAAGAACATTCAATCTAAGTCTACCTCCTTAGCAAATTTTTAAGTACACAATACAGTATTGTTAACTATAGTCGCTATGCTGTACAGTGGATCTCTAGGAATTATTCATCTTGTGTAACACTATATGTCCTTTGCCTAATACCTTCCTCTTTCTCCCTTCTCCACGTCCCTAACATTATACTCTCTACTTCCATGAGTCTCACCATTTCAGGATCATAAGTAGTATCATATAGTATCTTTCCTTCTGTGCTGGCTAATTTCACTTAGCATAAAATACTTCAGGATCACTGATGTCATCACAAATGACATGATTTTCTCTTTTCTTAAGGTTGAATCATATTCCATCGTATGTATATGCCACATTTTCTTTGTCTGTTCATCTACAGATGGACATTAAGCTTGCTTCTGTGTCCTCACTATTGTGAATAATGCTGCAGTGAGTATGGGAGTGCAGATATCTCTTCAAAATTCTGATTTTAAATCCTCTGGATATATACCAAAGAGTGGGATTGCTGAATCATGTAGTAGTTCTGTTTTTATTTTTTTTAAGATTCTCCTACTGCTTTCCCTAGTGGCTGCATCAACATATGTTCCCACCAACAATATACAAGAGTTCCCCTTTTCTCATATTTTCACAAATGCTTGTTTTCTTTTGTAGCTTTATTTTGTTTTGATAATAGCCATCCTAACAAGTATAATGTGATATAGCTCTATACTTTTAATTTGCATTTCCCTGATGATTAGAAGTGTCGAGTACTGCCTTTCCGCGCTACCTACAGAAGGGTCCATACAGTGTTGTTCTGGATTCCTATCGTAACTTAAAGGGAAACTATCACAATGTCTGGAGCCCTTGATGTCCTGCAAATGAAGGAGGATGATGTCCTTACGTTCCTTGCAGCAGGAACCCACTTAGGTGGCACCAATCTTGACTTCCAGATGGAACAGTACATCTATAAAAGGAAAAGTGATGGCATCTACATCATAAATCTGAAGAGGACCTGGGAGAAGCTTCCGCTGGCAGCTCATGCCATTGTTGCCATTGAAAACCCTGTAGATGTCAGTGTCATATCCTCCAGGAATACTGGCCAGAGGGCCATGCTGAAGTTTGCTGCTGCCACTGGAGCAAACTCCAATTGCTGGCCACTTCATTCCTGGAAGCTTCACTAACCAGATCCAGGCAGCCTTCCAGGAGCCATGGCTTCTTGTGGTTACTGACCCCAGGGCTGACCGCCAGCCTCTCACAGAGGCATCTTATGTTAACCTACCTACCATTGCTCTGTGTAACACAGATTCTCCCCTGCGCTATGTGGACATTGACATCCCATGCAACAACAAGGGAGCTCACTCAGTGGGTTTAATGTGGTGGATGCTGGCTCGGGAAATTCTGCACATGTGTGGCACCATTTCCCATGAACACCCATGGAGGTCATGCCTGATCTCTACTTCTACAGAGATCCTGAAGAGATTGAAAAAGAAGAGCAGGCTGTTGCTGAAAAGGCTGTGACTGAGGAGGAATTTCAGGGTGAATGTACTGCTCCAGCTCCTGAGTTCACTGCTACTTAGCCTGAGATTGCAGACTGGTCTGAAAGCGTGCAGGTGACCTCTGTGCCTACTGAAGATTGGAGTGCTCAGCCTGCCACGGAAGACCGCTCTGCAGCTCCCACTGCTCAGGCCACTGAATGGGTAGGAGCAACCACTGAAAGGTCTTAAGCTGTTGTTCTTGCACAGGCTCTTAAGCAACATGGAAATAAATAAGGTTGATGGAAAATAAACAACAGTTTCAAAAAAAAAAGAAATGTTGAGCACCTTTACAAATACCTATTGGTCA
The DNA here is from genome assembly GCF_000001405.40 of Homo sapiens. NCBI lineage: Eukaryota > Metazoa > Chordata > Mammalia > Primates > Hominidae > Homo > Homo sapiens. The sequence continues at coordinate 67,266,713 of NC_000013.11, read as the reverse complement.
TTTGCGTGTCTTCCTTGGAGAAATATTTGTTTAGTTCCTTCACCCATTTTTTAATTGGGTTATTTGTTATTGAGTCATAGGGATTCCTTATACACGCAAATATTAACCTCTTATCAGACACGGTTTGCAAATATTTTCTGCCATTTCATAGGTTGTGTTTTTATTGTGTTGAATGCTTTCTTTGCTGTACAGAAGATATTTGTTTGAAATCCCACTTTTGTTGACTTTGCTTTTGGTGTTGAATCTGAAAAATCATTGCCAAGGCCAGGGTCAAGAAGCTTTTTTTCTAACTTTTAATTCTAGGAGTTTTACAGTTTCAAGTCTTATGCATAAATCTTTAATCCATGTTGAGTTATTCTTTGTGTGTGGCATAAGGGTCCAATTTCATTTTATTTTTGCATGTGGATATCCAGTTTTTCCAATGCCACTTGTTGAAAAAGCTATCCTTTTCCCAGTTTATATTTTTGGCTACCTTGTTGAAGATCAGTTAACTATTTATGCATGAGTTTTTCTGGGCTCTCTTTTCTGTTCCATTTGCCTATATGTCTGTTTTTATGCTCATATCATAATGTTTTGATTACTGGAGCTTTGTAATATGTTTGGAAAGGAGTAAGCATGATGCCTCTAGTTTTGTCCTTCTTGCTTAAAATTGCTTTGGCTATTTGGGGTCTTTTATCTATCCATATGAATGTTAAGATTATTTTCTGTTAAAAAAAAGCCACTGGAATTTTAATAAAGATCACATTGAGTCTGCAGATTGCTTTGAGTATTATAGTTTAACAATAATCATTTTTCCAATCCATGAACACAGGATATCTCTCCATTTATTTATGTCTCCTTTAATTTGTTTCAGTGTTATATAGTTCTTGGTGTACAAGTCTTTCACCTTCTTAAGTTTATTCCTAAGTATTTTATTCTTTTTTGATGCTATTGTAAATAAGATTGCTTTCTTAATTTCCTCTTTGGACAATCTGTTGTTAGTTTATAGAAATGCAAATTATTTTCTATATTGATTTACATATTTTTCTTAAAATGGTCATGATTACATAAATATATGACATAAACAAAGGTTTGTGAAAATTTTTTAAAAAGAATAAGCAAAAAGATGGAAAAGAAGGTTCAGGTAAAAAGGTAGACAGAGAAGACAATGGTGACATGGGTGAATTATTTATGCTCAATTTCATAAAATTAGAAATACATGGAACATAGGTAAGAGCAGATTCGAATACTTGGGAATCAATTAAAAAAATTATGCTGTGTTAATTTTAGAGTATATTACACATCAATTCATCATTATTCAATACATATAATTGAAAACATTACTAAACACATAAAGTGGGCAGAAAAACAAAAAGAAAACATTTTTATTAACTGGATTTCATAGCTGCCATACATTAGTTGATACATAAAATAATTGAATATTGCCCTTGTATGCTTTTTTTTTTTAAATGTAAGTAAAACAACTCTCATGCTTTCATGAAAAGAACAAACCAAATGCTACTGAAAATAATATCTTGTATCTTAATAATAAATGACAAACCTGGACAACACTACTAGCAGATACACATTATTTAGGACATTCGTGGTTTAATGAACTCTAAGGCTCATGACTGACATTGCATGTGGTTGTTCTTAGCAAACTAAGAATACTTATAATCAAAATATTGATATCTCAAAACAAATATTTTATTAATGCTGTCATGACTCTTTAGTATTTGTTTTTCTCCATGAAACTGAGGATACTATGTAATAAAAAGACCTCTGCTTTTTGTGGTGTATGAGCATGAAAAGGCTTTAAAAAGATAAGAGATTTGCGCTCTGTACTTAGCTGAATTTTTCAACATAGTTAAGGATAACTCTGAGAAATAGCATAGAGAAAGTTAATAATTTCTTTGGGAAGTGATATCAGGCAAATGAGTTTTGCTCAAACAATCATATCCACCTTTTTATTCTAAACTAATAAATTATCAGTTTTTCTTCATGTAAACGTAATTGCCCATTGTATGTATTGGATACCTATGTTATCAATTATTACCATCATATCACATTTGAGTGCTACTTGACACAGGGTAGCCTAGATGCCATCCTTAGTGTCCTGAGTCTTTGCTACTAAATAGAAATAACATAGTCCATGAAGGCATAATAGATAAGACTGACACTATTAATTAAACTATACCTAGTTTTTGTGTTTGTATATTTAAAAGCTATATATATGTGTGTGTATATATATTATGTATCATAATATATAGTATATTATATATCATATATATTTATCATATATATTATATATACACATGCACACACACACACATATATACATGCTACATAGTGTTATACATGCATTTTGTTTTTCTATACCCAGTACCATACCTACAATAGTTTTCAGAGTCAATGAAATAAGATAGAGTATCTGGACACACTTTTAATTCTATTTAGGCATGATAGAATTGCTTTGAACCTAGAATTAGGTTAGCTTTTTGAGAATTATGCAGTGCTAGATAGGATGCAAGCAGAGCGATTGTGAGGCTGATGGAAGATACATGGTACAGCCATCGGTGTCTTACTGGAAGCTCAGATTGGTGGCATAATTGTTCTCTTGGACTGAAGGCTGTATAAAACTTGTTATCTAGATCATGGAAAACATGAAAAAACATATTTGTAAAGACTAGTTGCAGAAGTATATTAAGGTACAGTAGAAATGGAGGCCACATACTTTAAGGTTCATCTAATATTAGACAATGTTAACAACATGTTTTCTATGAGCAAGCTCAGTATCCAGAGTTCACGTAGCCATGGAAGGCAGAGCTCAACATTATAGCATTGTGGGGTAGAACAAAGCTTCAGCCAGAGAACAGACTCAAGACTGATATTGGAGTGAAACTAGAATTCTAAGACACCACGAGTTCTGATTACAAAGTTACCACTGTGAGAGAAGTAGAAAACTGACCTGGGAGCAAACGGATTCCTACATGTTCATTCATGAGGTTTTAATGTAGGAGCAGGTGTGAGCCAAGAAGGCTAAAGTGTTCATCAGTAACACTGTCAGTCAAGGAATCAGTCCTAGAGCATCAATAGTTCTAGGGGGGGGGAGGCTGAGGGAAGCATGTCCAGAGAAAATAAGTTGAAAAGCTAAAGGGTGGGAGAAGATGATCAATTCTTGTCGTTTTCTTTTGCTTAAACTAAGGATGACCAACATAATAAAAGTTGAAATGAGAAATGAAGGAAGTTTTCTAATTTAACAGAAATGGTATAGGGAAATATGCAGAACAATTATACTAAACATAGGATTTTTTTAGACCAAGAATAAACAATTTAAAGTGGAGTGACCAAAATGAAATTATGATATACTTTGTAATTCTTACAGAATTAGAGAGGATATGCTAATCATCATGTAGGGACCACTGTATGTGAGATGTAAAAGAAGACACTGATATGAATATGTCAGGAAATTTAGGGCTGTTTCCAACATGTAAATTGCAATTAGAGGCAAGACTAATAAAGATTTTGTATAAGTGATATAGGAATAGTCTGTTTATAAGTAACGGCTGGCTTAGAACTATTTAGGAACTATAGGTTTTAATTTTCATTACAACTTAGCAATCTAAATATCTTTTTCTACCCCAATAAGAAGTTAATCTTCTATATTTATCACTAATATCCAGCCCTGCTCATCTTCTTTAGCTATATTCAGGCTTTCTGAGCTGAGGAAATCTCAGCTTTGTAGTCATTAATGATCATTATCCTTAAATGAAAATGTACTGGAAATAACTTTGATATCATTCTTAGTGGGTAATTTAAGCAATAGAATGGGAATATTAATGTTGAAAAAGTACAGTGTAATAGCCACGAAGCCTGCTGAAGAGAATACCAAGCTATAAGTATCACCAGGCAAGAAGGTGTTCTTGTCTGATACATCACATTAGACTGCTACTATTCCACTGCCCTAGCCAGAGTGGGGAGGGAGCAAAGAAATGGGGAGAGAAAAAGAAGGAGGTTAAAAAGGCCTCATCCCTGCCTTCCAAAGCAAAGAGAAAGAATGTCAACCAACACAACGTAAGACTAATGCGATCTTACTTCCTGATGACTTAAAATACTCTCATTCTGAGATTATCAGATTAAATTACTTGCTACTAATTCATTCTGGACCTCTCTATTTTAATCTGACAATTTAATATAACTTTTACTCTGTCTTGAGGAAACATTCATGAACGTAAAGTCCCACTTGGCAGATACTACCTTTATACTCTTCAGTGGAAACAGAACACTCAGGAGCACTGTACCTTTGTAGCACCACTGAGACTTTGTCTCAACAGTAGATAGGACTCAGCAAGGCTAGGCTTAAGCAGCAGTAGAAGCAACAACACTCTGGTGAGCCCTGAATACAAGAAGAAGAATAAGCCACTCGTCATTCTTCCACTTAGACTATACAGCTTCTACTGAGGTAATGCCACATGCCAATTCAAGCTACCCCCTCAGTCACAGCCACAGACATTCCACTGATTTCATTCAGCCTTCTGGTGTGGCATTTAATATCCATAGGCTGATTCCATCTATATCTCTCATAGCCACAGTTCCTGAAGATAGCATATTCTACTTACCCATTGCTTTCATGACTTTATTAATACATAGCTTTCTATTCCTTCTACCATATTGTACAATCCAACTTCGTTGCATTTCCAAAAAAGTTCACTGTATTTATAGTCTATTTGTAGAAACTTCTATTTGTTTCCACAGACTGAAACTTGTATTTCTCTCCATGATTGGACACTGGTCCTTCTCTCACCTCACATTATTGTCCATGAAGTCTGGAGGCAGAGCCATGACCCATTCTTCTAACCATGTTTTTCAAAGCTTGATCATTTTTTTCTCCCTCATATAAAACACTCTCCTTTTCTTAAATGTATACTCTCTTCCTCTTCTTTATCATTAATATATCTTGATGGGTCATTTGCTCCTATTCATTCAGGAGTTCAATTGAACTAAAGTCTCCTTCATTGTTATCCCAACTCCTGCCATTAGACTGAAAATATGCATGTCTATTTAGATATCCATCAATCTCCCATTTTTAAAATTTTTCTCCATTGAATGACCTCTACTGCCACTCTATTTCAGCATCTCACTCTTAAGAGTACATCTTAAACTTCTAAAAGAAAAAAAAAGAATTCATTTTCCTAATTTATCACAACTGTCTATTCTTCTATAACATCATTTATTAAATACAATGCCTGTTATAGAGAGAACAGTTTAAAATATTTGATTTTTTTCAATGGGGATAAAAAGATGAAAATCTTCTAGAACTTTGAAAGGAATATAAATGTCAGAGTAAAGTTTTTGAAGTTGTAGAGAGAAGATGTAAGAAAGATAATTTTTTGAAAGTTTTAATAGAGAAGAACAAAATTCCAAAAGTCTATTTATAAAGTAGAATAAAACAGAAATATCACTGAGTATTAATCAAGAAAAACACAAAAGACATAATTAAAGGGAGATGTGATTATACATAAAAATTAAATGTATGAAATATATGAAGGTCATAAAACATATCAATAAATCAAAATCTTAGACAAGTGAGCAATTTCTTGAATACTGCTTAACAAAACTGAGAAAGTTAAAGAGAAACTGAAATGACTATAATCATTATTGAAATACTATCAGTAGCTGAAAATTTATATCCTGAACACAAAACACACACACTAGACCCCGATAGCTTGCATTGCTCCTTATCATGCTGTCGATTTTCAAGCTTTTAAATAAGATATTTTTTGAAATAAAATTTTAAGATTACATATTATTCCTTAAATTGTTTTTATTTTTCAACAAAAATGCTCCTGTGGGCCAGGCATGGTAGCTCACCCCTGTAATCCCTGCATTTTGGGAGACCAAGGCTGGCAGATCACCTGAGGTCAGGAGTTTGAGACCAGCCTGGCCAACATGGCAAAACCCTGTCTCTACTAAAAATACAAAAATTAGCCGGGCATGGTGGTGGGTGCCTGTAATCCCAGCTACTCAGGAAGCTGAGGCAGGAGAATTGCTTGAACCAGAGAGGCGGAGGTTGCAGTGAGCCAAGATCGCACTATTGCACTCTAGCCTGGGTGACAGAGCGAGACTCTGTCTCAAGAAAAAAAAAAAAATGCTCCTGTGAAAACAAAAGTCTTCCTTCTTCACAAATGAAGAAACAGAAAGTTAGGATGAGGAATCATAGAGACAAGGTAGTGGCAATCTCCCTAAGTATTCCTGTTACCATAGCTGCAAAACAAACTATACTACAACTCAGGGACTTAACACAACATTTGTTTTGCTCATGAATCTGCTACCGAGGAGGAACATCAGAGAATTTATAGACATGTTTTAAAGACATCAGAGTAGCCAAAGTCTGGTGTTTCTAAAAGACATGAATGGAGAGAAGTTAAGATGGAGACTTATAATTAAGACTACCCCAAAAAGAATTACCTAAAATGACTGGGAAACTGAAAGAGCTTCACGCTCAGTGAAAGCGTAAACTAAGAAAGCTCAACTGAGAGAGGGAGAGAACATACATGAATCTGTCTTGGCCAGGACTCTTCGACAAAAACAGGCCAACTTTCTGTTCAAGAATTCAGGATCGCTGATCCAGCCCTAACTTGAGTTTGCAGTTTGACGCTAGTAAACCTTACATCATAGTCTGAAACTGTGAAATACATACTGAAAAACAGCTACATGAATGAAAGTAAGAAGTGGCCCCCAAATTTTCCAGAGAATACTAGTAAGAAAAAAAAGATACCCATCTCATTTTATAAGATTAATATTACAATGATAAAGCAAAAGCAATGTACCTAGGTAAGGAAACATATTCTTCAATCTCCCTACAGACAGTGGTAGACATGGGACTGTTTTGTCCAAATCCACATTGGTGGTTTAGGATTCTGAGAGGACTTCTTAACAGAGGGCTGACTCAATTTCACATGCCCTTTTCACTTTTTCTCTTGTTTTACTTCCTGCCTATGTCAGAGGCAGTTACGGCAGAGCAACTGCATCTCGAATAGGAGCTGGGTAAAATGAGCCTGAAACCTACTGGGTTGGATTCCTACATGGTTAAGGTATTCTAAGTCAAAGGATGAGATAGGAGGTCAGCACAAAATACAGTTCATAAAGAGCTTGTTGATAAAACAGTTTGCAGTAAAGAAGCCAGACAAATCCCACCAAAACCAAGAGGGCAACGAGAGTGACCTCTGGTCGTCCTCACTGCTACACTCCCACCAGCACCATGACAGGTTACTAATGTCATGGCAATGTCAGGAAGTTACCCTGTATGCCCTAAAAAGGTGGGGGGGAGGGCATGAATAATCCACCCCCTGTTTAGCATATTAAGAAAACAACAACAACAACATAGTAATGGGCAACCAGCGGCCCTTGGGGCTGCTCTGTCTATGGAGTAGCCATTCTTCTATTCCTTTACTTTCCTAATAAACTTGCTTTCCCTTTCCTCTGTGGACTCACCCTGAATCCTTTCTTGCACGAGATCCAAGAACGCTCTCTTGTGGCCTGGATCGAGACCCCTTCCTGGTAACACCTAGACTCCAGAAAGTGATTATGTTATAACTAGAACTCTTGAAGTCATTTTTGGAGACTGAAGATAGGATTTATAATTATTTGCCTACTTTAAAATCTCCCATTTCATCTTTCTAAACAACATAGATTTACTGTCATCTCTCCTCTTCCTCTTCCCTTTCTTTTTTTCTTGTGTTCAACACTTGTAGAAGGGGAAAAAATACAACAAGATTGCAAAAGTGATTTATTTTCGCCATATAATAAGAAACCCAGTACTATGGCAGTGGCCTTAAGATGTCTTTGATGCTTCAGGCACCATCTACCTATGGGGCCTGCAATCTTTGAAATGTGACTTTTATCCTCAATTGCAACATGGCATCTGCACTCCTATGCATCACAAAGACATTCCACAAGATAAAAGTGGAAAGGGGAAGTAAAGGGAATGGCAGCTAAATCTGTCTCTTTTAATCCAAGAATACACAGCTCTCCTGGGTGCCTTGCCCAACATTGTTCTACTTACATCTTATTGGCCAGAAATGTGTCATTAGGCCACACCTAGATGGGCAGCAGCTGGGGAAATCAAGTGGTTAGCTGGGAACAACACTAAACCACACAGAACTGGGTTTCAGTTAGTAAAAATGAAAGGCAGAATGAGTAGTTAGGGACAGCCAGCACTGTACAGTATATATCTTCTTTCCTCGACATTCCCATCTCTATTTGTTTAATTTTATGTAGCAAGCTAAAATGACTGGAATATTTAATATTTAGTCCAAATTAGACAAATGGATATAATATTCAAGACAAAAAAAAATCATGGAATTTCATTAATGGTTTTAATTATTGTTACATACATACATACATACATTAATGGTTTTAATCATTGTTATATACATTTGGCAAATCTTTTAAATAAATTATATTGGTGTGCATGGCAGCATTCAGATTGTTATATTTATTTAGCTTTAAATTAGCATTCTGCTTCAATTTATTAAAAGAAAACTGGGATAACTTTTTCTAACTTCCCAGTGAAATATTTTGAATATTATTATATTCCTAACCCAAATGTCCTTATTGTATTTCCCTCAGGCATTTAGCCATTTTGTTACATCTTACAGCAGCAATAATTCTCTATTCCATAAAAAATGGAATTTTACAAGCAGGACAAACGGCTCCATAAATTAACAGGAATACCTGCCTAGCTGAAACAACACATTTCTTTCTTATTCATACTTTTGTGATGTATTTGTCTTGAAATTACACTCTCGTTTTTCTGAAATTTACAGCTTCTTTTTATGGGTTGAAAATCCAGTGAAAAATTGGTTGACACCTAGAATATCAAGAAGAAAGGAATTTATAAGAAAAATGCATATTTCAGATATGAATGTATTCTCAAAACATGTATCTCATCCTAAAATGTTCCTGAATGTATTTAGTAGAGTAAGATTTTTCTCCCAACACACTTGAATAATAGTATGTGTGTAAATTCCCACATAGTTGAGAATCTTTCATTGTGTTTTTAGATGAAATAACCTTATTGATAATATATTCCTTCTATTTAAGAGTGTGTCTACTAGTATTAATCCAGTTCTATACATGACTATTGATGAAGGAAACTAATTTGTAAAAATAATAGCATAGCAATAACAGCTTGTACTTTGCATTTCAGAGAACTTACATATTTTATACAAATTTTTTCTTACATGTTACAAAAGAGACCCTGTATCAGAACAAGTGAGCATTTTCATATTTTTATTTTTCAATTATGCAGTCATTGATGGAGTAAGGAATGGAGCCCAAATGCATTCCATAAGCCAGACACCTCAATAAGTCATGCAAAGACTGAAAATAACGTTTGTAGAAGTATGACTTTCTAACAATTCTTCTCCCCCTTATAAAAGTGCCTATTAAATATCAAGAAAAAGAATAAAAATCCTAACATTACTAAATTACTTCAAAACATATGTGGCTTAAGAATGTTGACTTCAAGATTATGAAATATTTCTTTTAGGATACTCAGAGAAAAATCTCTTGACAAAAGCCTGTATTAATTTATATTTTATAGATGTATAATTAATATCTCTAGACTTGTATAGTTTCTCTGCAAGTGCATCAGACTTCATTCATAAATATGCATTAAGCAACTACTATATGCTGGGATCCATACTTCTTGGAAAAAAGTTTCTCAGTTTATAAACTTTCATAAAGGTTTGTAGGAGGAAAAACTTAAAGCTAAAATTAGTTATGCATTTATCTTATATGACTCTTTAAAACTAAAACACTCAATATTTTATTTTTATTTCTATTTCTATTCAGATTAAATACAGAGCAAGGATTGCAGAGAACACTTAGAAAGCCATTCCAGTATTGGAGAATTATGAGTTCTCTACATTCGACAAGTATTACCAAAAGTCTACTGGCAACATCTGGACAATTAAGCAGATACAAGAATAAAAAAGACATATGCTTTGTCCTCAAGCACTTAACATTTAGCAGGCAAAAACATAACTATAGTCCAAATGGGAGGTGAAATTTGTTTCTTACAGGTGCTCAGTGGAAAAGAGAGAAGGAATGTTATCTTTGGGATATCCAAACAGTGTTTTCCATATTTAATCTTCATGACAGACTTGCAAAAGTAGACATTCTTTTTTCCATTTTATTGCTAAATAAATGTGAAGAAATTAAATTTGCAGTCTCTGTCAGCCTGTCTCAGAGATCTTGTGAATCACAGTAATCCCACAACCCCTCTACCCCTCCATGACCTGCATTAATCGTAAAGTATTTGCAAGAAATAGACACTTGGTGGGTTACGTCACTTCAATTTTGGAGCTATCTGTTGCTGTAACACAAGCTAGGATATCCTCAATCAAAGTCTTTCTGAGTAAAAGAGCAATAAACGTAAATGTTTTAGTGAGTATAACAAGAATGTAAAATGGTGACAAATTTATTTTCGCTAGAGTATACCACCTGTGTAGGGTGGTAATGGGAGATTAGATTGTAAAGGGCTGGTTGGGACTGTTACGGAAGTCCTTTAATGCCAGGTAGAAAGCAATTATTCTCAATTTAGTAGGTGTAATTCAGTATTTAAATAGCAGGCTCATTCTGATCACATGAAGATTAATCCCCAGCGAGTAAAGCATAGAATAAAAATGATTTCTAATCTAAAGAATCGATTATACTACATGTTAAAGTTGTTCTCTGTATAAAATAGATATAAACAATCCTTCTCTAAAATGGTTTTGAGATAAGCTAAAAACAAGCATTTTGGAATAATAACAGTTAAATATGTTAGCTATATTTAGTGGAAAACCAATAGAGGGCATTGACATTGTTAATATAATTTTTCTACTAAGTCAGACATAGCAGCTATTTAACTAACAGATACTTGAAACCTTTTTTTGGTGGAGATTTAATTGTTTTCCCTTAAAGTATCGCTAGGGTTATTGTCATTGTTCAAAAAATGCCTTCTCATAGTTTGAATCTCATCAGCAGTGACTGGTTACTATCTGTAGTGTAATATATATTAAAGGTTGGCTATCGCTGAACGTAGAGCCACATATAGGGGTGGATACTGGGCTGGGAGAAACTGATACTACTGCAAGCAATGTGGAGCCTGGAAGTAAAAACAGACAGAAATGGTGTCCAGTAGTTTGTAGCAATCACAAATATCAGTGCAGCCAAAGCGAGTGTCCAAACCACAGTAGAAAATATGGATGAGGGCATTTTGAAACTCACAGAATGATAGTGCGCACTCAGGAAGTCTGAAGAAAGGTAGAAGATCCCTTTACCACACCTCCCCTCCCCGTCTCCATGTGCTAGCATTATTAACAGAATGATAATCTGTGGGTGTTGCAAGAAAAAGAGAAAATAAAGTTTCTTCCAGGTCTATGGAGATGCTTTAAAAGTGACCAGAAGACGACCGTGGAAAGAAGACAGTAGCAGAGCTAGTGAAAGTAGAATGCGATGTAATGTCTAACATGCATTTCCCTCAGCCCTAGCATCTCTCCTGCACAAATAATTGAAATATACATACTGTATCTTTGCAGATTTGAACTTCCCGATATGCTGTACACTATTTGAAGACCTCTGTAATAATACATGATCAAGAAGCATTATTGTTGCCAGGCGTGGTGATTCACAACTATAATCCTGATAGTTTGGGAGGCTAAGGTGGATCACTTGAGTCCAGAAGTTCAAGACCAGCCTGGGCAACACAGCGAGACCTCATCTCTACAAAATATATATAATATATTAGATGGGCTTTGTGGTGCACACCTGTCATCTCAGCTACTTGGGAAGCTAAGGCAGGAGGATCACTTGAGCTCAGGAGTTCAAGGTCACAGTAAGCTATGATTGCACCATTTTACTCCAGCCTGGGTGACAGAGAGAGACCCTGTCTCAACAAACAAACGAACAAACAAACAAAAACATTGTTGTTATTGTTGTAATAGTCTAAATTACAAAGGGTATCCATATTTTTTTGGTACATCTGATTTAGTTTGAAATTAGGAAGATGAGCCATGAAATTGATTTCTTTTTTTGTTTGTTTGTTTCATTTGTACATTTGACTAAATTTGATCCTAATCAAATCAAAAGATATTAATTGATTTTGGAATCAAAATACATTAATCCATTTTCCCAGAATAGCAGATCTTTATTCAAATGCGCTTTGGAATTGCTTTATAATCAACTCCTCTCCTGTAGCTTCATAACATAACCAGGATATTAAAGTTTCTAAAATGTCCCACAGTAACAAAACATCTTTAACTTGATCTGAGTTAAATAAATGTTTATCCTCAGGGGAAGATTTTCTTCATTGTTTCTTTGAAAACTACCTAGTAACATCCCTTTAATAGTAATTTGAGAAGTGCTAGACCAGAATGCTTTAGCTAGTGTTTCTCAGACTTGGCACTATGGACACATTGGGCCTGTGTGTGTTTTATACTGCAGCATAACGAATCAAATTTTGTGACTTTAAACAACACCTGTTTCTTAGCTCATAGCTCAAGATGGTGTGGCCAGGATCTTTGCTCTGGCTTGGACTGCATTCTCCTCTAGTGGTTCAAGGTGCTCTCTGAGCCTATTCCTGTTATGGGCAGAATTCAGTTTTTTGTTGTTGTGAAATTGAAGTCTCTGTTTCCTTGCTGGATGTCAGCCAATGACTTCTCTTGGCTCCTAGAGGCTCCTCTCAGATCCCTGATCAATGGCTCCTTAAATCTCTACAACAACCTTCCTTGTGTTGAATCCCTCCCATGCTCTGATTCTCTCTCATTTCCACTTTGGTGACAATCAGGAGAAAACTATCCTCTTTTAAAGGGCTCATACCTGTTTATCTCCCTACCTTAAACTCAACTGTGCCACAACAATCATAGGCATGAAATCTCATTATATTCACAGTTCAGGGATTATGCAGCCTATGAACTCTGGGAGGGGGATGTAAATCTTCAGAGGCACCTTAGAATCCTGCCTACTATGGAACCAGATAATTCTTCGCCATAGGTGCCATTTCATGCATTGTAGGATATTTAGCAGCGTCTCTTGCCCTCTACCCACTAGATAAGTTGTCACAATCAAAAATGTCTTTGGAACGCATCAAATGTCCCTTGAGGCAAAAATTTCTCCAGGTTAAGGGTAATTATTTGGTTAAAATCCTATCCTATTATCATAAAACTCATTACAAAAATATATATATTCATAACCTTGTCTTTTAAAAAGTTCAGTAAGATGTAGACTGCATTAATTTATTAATATAATTGTATTAATAACTTGAGCTGATCATTAAGCATTCATTCCAACATTAGTATAATATACATTTTTACTCACATGGAACTACAGCATTGGTTTAGCTTTTCTACTTGAAGAGCAACTGTGATAAACTTCAGTTTTGTTTTTTTTTAAGTGGATAGGAGGCAGAGAATTGGGAGTTCTGGAACTTCAAAGAAATTGGACTCTACTTAAAATATTGAGATACTTCATTAATACAAATTATATTTTAGACCCACACCTGCCTTCAAGTCCTAGCTTCCCTTCAATTTGTTAGGGGTTTTCCACCTATGGAATTTTCTCTATCCTCTTCAGATTCATTTAGATCTTCAAAACGAAGCATTTTCAGGGTTTTAAGTCCCAAAGTTTTACAACTAACTCTATAAAGTAGAAGTATCTTTTATTAGTTCTAAAAAGTATCTTTTGTGAGTTTCTGGGGACAGCCTCTTCAAACATTCTTGGATTACTGAAAATTTTCATGTCCGTCCTCTCATAATATTTTTGAGTTTATGGATTTTATAACATTTCTTCTTCATTTTTATTTCTCCAGGTTGAAGAATCCTAATTTATTTTTTAAAATCATTACTTATATAGAAATGCTTTCACCTCCATAATTCATGAGACTTCAAGCTTTTGCGATGAGAGGACTCTTTGCTTTTTTGAAGCCTTGGGATCCCTTGTGTGGAGGGACAATCAGTGATCTGATGCTGGCGGGGCACACACTGACGAGCTGTGTGACTTCACACAACTGAAAGGTGGATTCTGATCATCTTTACCCTAACCTAGGAATTACATCACATGCTTTTTAGAATTGCTTTAAAAAGTGCAAAGTATAATGCACAAGGGCCTAATATAGTGTTTAGCTCATAGAAGTATTTAGTAATCTATTTATTCATTTAAGAAATACATTTTGAAAGCTGGTTTGTGGTAATGCTAACTATTTAGGAGTTGAAAACACACGCACAAACGCTCATGCACACACACACACACACACACACACACACATGCTAGGCAGGGCCCTGGTCCTCACTGCTCTAGTAATTTTCATACGCTTATGAAGAGAAGGGAGAGCAGGACTAAGGTGCTGATTATGATGTTATCACTCCATTTGTTCAAACTTTAACAAGAACTACTAGTAAGCAATAGATTAGTCATTTATATCCTGTGATTATCTTCTGTGGGGGACTTTATAAAATACAGACATCTAAGCTAAGTCCACACTGCAGGATACTCTAATACATTAGGTTTCTAGTGGGGGATACTATCTGAATTTTCAAAAAGGGCCACAGGGAAGTTTGCTCCATAATCAAAGTCCAGAAGTTATGGCCTTGTGGGGAGTGATTTAGAGATGCTTAGAGCATCATCTATTGACCAGTTGGGGGCTGCTGCTTTAATAATTTTATTGCATTGTTATGGATTTTCTCAATGTAGTAATTTTTTGCCTGAAGTGCAGTTTCCAGAAATGCATATCTCAAGTCTGAGGGTATTTTATACAAGTGTAGAATAATATTGTAGTTTTGCGTTCAAGTCTCTCCATCTAGGATTCTCAAATATGCCAGCATATTGTGTTATTTTATTGTGATATATTTAAAACAAAGCACATAATGACACTTTTATCCTGGAATAATAGTGACTTATAAAGAATCAAATTAAAACTGAAGTCATTTTCTTATATCTAGTACAGGTATTTATGTTATCTACTGTGAAGTTCATACACGTCTCTTCCCTCCATATAATCTCTCATGATAATCTTTAGATTTTGCTACTCATTCTGTCATTTCATTCTTCTGAAGATTTAATGACACCTAAAAATTGAGCAGGCTTACTAATCACTTTAGAAATCTTATTATTTCTAATAATAAGATAAGAAATAATAATCTTATTATTAAGTAAATGATAATGGTCTCATAAGCAATTTTTAGAAACTCTTTTGTTCACAGCTTTCAATCCATCTATTTAATTCTCATCTGTGTTCATTGACTTTAGTTTAATTTTGTATTCATAACCAATTGTTTCCTTATTTCCCATAATCCTTTGGTTTTTCAACACTGTTTTTTTCAAAGATATTGCAATGCTGTAAGTCTAACTGTATCCCTGTTCCAAAAAAAGAGTAAATGAACAACAACCAAACCAAAATTCTAATAATTAACCAAAGTGATTTCCACTTACAAAAGTTTTGCTTTCTTTTCCATAATATATACAGTTCGATAAATGTCCCCTAATCCTACCTTTTATTGCATCCTAACAAACAGAAATCTGTATGCAAATGAGATTTAACTCATTTGCTCCTCTCAGGATAAGTTTAATTAGTATTCTTCAAGGAATTATTTGTTAATTGTATGGTATTATATTTTAATAATTTTATCCTTGCATGTTTTCTCCAAATTCTTGGTAACTGCCTATTTAGTAATCTCTAATGTTACCTTAAAATACTGTCTTTTCAGATTTTTTTATATCACAGTTATCAAAGAGATATATATTTTACATTGACTGAAAAAATATCCACCACAATGGATGATGACCCAGAGGCATTTTTCCAACCTGCACACTTTTCTCCACTTTTCATAGAACACAGTAGTCCCAGTTGGGGTTAATCCAATGTGCATCCATGCATGTATGTCTTTGAGCTTCTCATTGAGTTAGAACTTGAGGTTCCAGAACTAGATTTGATTTGCTTTGTAAAAAGGAAGTAGTGTCCAGGAGCAGTTAATACCTATTGCAAATGTAATTTGTAGTGGTTCTTCGCCTTCTTCTAATATTGTCGTTTCATAATGATCCTGAAATTCACCATCCTTTCTAGAAATTAGAGATAAAGCTCTATAATGGAAAGTGGATGTGATTTGTGCTTTTGTAGTCTTCTAGAACAGGTACATGTGTTGATGTGTTGCCCCATTACAGTGATGGACGCAGTCCTAGAAAAAGGCTTTTAAGTTTGGTAAATTTCAAATTTTTTTTTTAAGTTGAGAAGTAGGGTTGTTTGCCTGTGACAATTTGCCAAAGGCACTAAAAATCATTTTTCTACAAAGAATATTCAAGGCAAAAATAGTTTAGAATTTTCTCCTTTAAATATACAAAGTCTCCGCAGTTTTTTCTGGGATGATGATGAGTCGTTTCCAAAAATACATACTTTTGAGTTGCAATGTCTTACACCTGAAGTAAGCCTAAAGGCAAGAAAGCTTAGATATTTGAAATTGCCAAGTTAAATATCCTAACTTATATTATCAACTGATATATATGTTTAGTTAAGAATGTAAATGTTTGTAAAAGATTCTTACACAGAGGTTTTTTCTCAACTTCTAGGAATATTACATTTACATTTAAAGTTAAAAAAGGACTCATAAAATTAAGTTGACCAGCACAAAAGATAATACCCATGAAATTAAAATAATTTATAGGAATGAGAGCCACAGAAGTGAGGCAAGAATATCACTATCCAAAGATTAAATATTTGATGAATTATTTCATTAAACAAACTATAGTAAAGACTTCAACACATTTTTAATCTACTAATGCTATATCATCACAGGATACCATGTTTGAATAAGAGACAATGAATATATAGAGAGAAAGAACAAAGAAGTCATTAAAGTACATGTAAAAATTAAAACTAGGAAACAAAAAACTATTTAGCTATAAGTATTCAGAACTGTGAAGTTCTTTTTACGTAGTATTTTGGTTTATACAGCTGTTGACAAGTCTTATAAAGTAATAAATATATATATCTTAAGCACAGTCCACATAGTTTTAAACATTTTCTAAATGGAATAATTACACTAAAAAATTAAAACTAAAAACTTAGCATTTAACAAGTAAACTAAGTATAATATATTGAGTTGATTGCTACAGATTGGCAAGGCAGTCTGTTTTAGAGAAATAGACTGAGCTTTGAAGAGAACATTATTTTAAATTCTTGCTCTGTCACAAACAAGCTGTATGAATCTGTCATATCATTTAACCTCTCTAAATATGATTGCTCATCTGCAAAATGAAGATGTAAGTTCCTAGAGCTGGGAAGAGGATTACCTGAGAGATGACATTTGTAAAGTATTTAGTAGAGTGCCTAGCATGTACCAGGCATTCAGTTAAGTGGTCCCTATTGTGTTCAATGGTGAATTGTTTTTCCCAAGGGTGGAGAGAGTGAGAAGGCATGTAAAGAAAGGTTTCTTTGAGAAGATACTGTTGGAACTTGACCGCAGGCTTGTCTTATTTTTGTTTGTATGTGTGTATGGTTTTGTTTTTGTTTTAGAGACAGGATCTTGTAATGATTCCCAGGCTGAACCTGAACACCTAGCCTCAAGTGATCTTCCTGTACCAGCCTCCCAAATAGCAGGTATGAGCCACTGAGGCTGGCTAAGAATCACTTTTATATGTGCCCAACAATTTGTTCTTAACTTGTGTGAGTCCCTGACCTTATGAGCCTTTATATTTTTAAAAAGGGTACAGCAAAAAGAAAATAAAAACCTACAATTAGGTTTATTTTAAAACCTAATTGGAGATTGAAATACGATGACCAAGAGCAGCTTTTTCAAAATACAAAGTATGACATTGTATTAACTACATTCAACATATCTAAGTCCTAGCACCTTTGCATCACACATTACATTAAATTAACAATTACTGACTTGATAAATTTTGCTAGGAATCAGGACAATTTCACCTATGGCTTAACAGCTTTCCTGAAAGTGTCCCTTAATATTTCCAGTGAGAAAGAGTTACTCAGGGTGAAAATAGGAAAATGAAGCCAATTTCTAGGTTAAAAATAGGGAAACTAAGTGATGGTGGCCCTGCCACTTTGAAGAATTACAGACCTTCAAGCTTTCATGTCATTCTGAGACCTCGTTACTTTACCCTTTTCTTCACAGGCATGGGAAGAAACAATCGGAATAAGGACAGTGGTTATCATTGTGGTTTTTGAGTTGCGGCTAGAAGTAGGTGAAACTGTTAAGAAAGTCTGAAATCAGAAAAGTAATATGAATGACTGAGCAGGTCCTAATCATTGGTTCCATTTTCTATGTAAGTCTTCAAGTTTGCTGTGCGAATATTTCGGAGTGTTTACATTATTCACAAAATCATTTGTCCACCACATAATTACTTAGTGCTTGTTAGGTAACCAGGACTATGATGGGAACCACAGAGAATCCAAAAAGAAAAGAAGAAAACACAGGACCCTCTCCATATCATTGAGAACTTCTTTTACTGGGTCAAAGAAAATGCATAGAGAGAGTACATATTGATAAATATGTATAGAGGCCATTCAGTGAGATAGAAGAAGACAGAATGATGAGAGGATATGTGTGACCAAAGAAACTGGTGGGGAAAAAGAGAATGGTTCTTGGGGAAGATTGAAGGCTTTCTGGATGAAGGGATGCCTTAGTTGAGGGTTCCTTGCCATGGAAAAGTTAAAGAAATGAGGAAAGGGAAACTAGCATTGCAGGAAAAAAATGCAAGCTTAGGGTGGGAGAGAAACAGCTACTACAGAGTTGAAGTTTGAAGTGATTAAGTAAATGGTAAAATGTCCATTCTTAAATAGTAAAAGACTGAGGTACTTTTAATTGACAAATTTTATCCCTATCTGCCTTCTAATCTTATCACCATATATCACAATGTGATACAATACAGTGGGGATTAGAAGACTAACTTTGGATCAGACATGGAAAGGAAGAATCCATAATTCTTGCTCAACTGAAAGTACTGAGTAATCTGGACCGCCATTTCATGGGCACAGAAATACGCATATACAGTGCAAGTGCTGGGCTCCTGTGCCTTTCCCAGCACTTCTGTCCCTCTAGGTCCACAGAGCGGTTTATGAGTGCTCTGCATAGTTGAATAGAGAAGGCTGGTCAGGTGGGGTAGTTCAGATAGGCTGAGCAAAGATTCAGACTCAAAGGTCATCAAACCCACTGAACTTTTAGGGGAAGATAGGCTACTATAAAAGACAAGTTATATTTCTTGACAAAGGAGCAGATAAAGTAGTTCCTTGGCTGTGGGATCACACGTGGTATTCACTCACATAGTGAAAGACTGATTACCTGCTCAGCTTCCACCCAGTTGCCTGGTGCTGGGGAGAAGGGGTGATTAATCACTTGAAGCTGGTGTAGACTTTTTTTTTTTTTTTAACATAGAGTTTGGTGCAATCATAGCTTACAGCAACCTCAACCTCCTGGGTTCAAATGATCTTCCTGCCTCAGCTTCCTGAGTAGCTGGAACTACAGGTCCACACCACCATGCTCAGCTAATTAATTTTTCATTTTTTGTAGAGGTGAGGTCTCACTACGTTGTTCCGGCTGGCCTCAAACTCCTGGACTCAAGTGATCCACCCCACTCAGCCTCCAAAGTGTCTAGATTACAGGTGTGAGCCACTGTGCCTGGCTTGGCATAGACTTTTGAGTGATGATTCCGCTTGTTCTCACACAGAAGACCCTGCAGACTTCTATAGCTTAGCTCTGAAATCCAAGCTTTTGGAACTCATTTTTTGTTTCTCTCAAATTAATGCCTTTGAGATGAATATTAAAGCATGTGTTGAACTTTTCCATTACTGGAGCCTAGTAGTGTAGAAAGTAATGATTTCCCAGATTACAGGATAATCAGTTTAATATAAAGACATACATGAACATACAAACACACATATATAATGTACACATATGCATGCATATATACACATACATGGAATATGTTAATTATATATTATAAATATAATATAGGTATTATTTTTTGAAACACTATTTTTATAGCCACCTCTTTGTAAAAATGCTCCATCAATAAATAAATTTGGGAAACATACTTTGTTTTTTGTGGTTTTGGTACTTAATAAAACATATTACCATATGAAATATTACATAAAGCTCATATATTATATAAAACTCAATTATAAAACTCATATATATATATATATAAAATTCCAAATGTATTTGACAATAGAACCCATTTCTCTTGATGTTTATCCTCTGATGAGTGCTGAAGAATACTTTATGGAAAATACTACTAGAAGACATAGAAATTACCATTTTACAGAAGGCTTTTCTTCTCTCTCCCATTATCTACCTTTATCCTTCAGAGGATGGAAACATTACGTTATTTGTTCTGGATTCTCAATATCTGGCATGTTATATAAATTTGACTTGGATGCAATATCAGCTTTTTTCAAAATCTCTGATAATTTGGAAAGTCTATTTCTGGTAAAAATGTATGAAGAACATTCCTTACTAGGACATACAAGTTTAAAATTTGGATTTTATTATTGCCGTGTTCAATAAAGATGAAAGAAAATGAATACAAATATGTTTAAAAGCCTGTAACCTGTTTAACTAGTAAATTAAAACAAAAATGATCTTGGGATGCATAAGGCTCTTGTAGCTATGAGCTGAAACTCAGGATTAGAAGAAAACACAATTTTGATTTGGTCATATCAATTTAAGCTATTACAAAGATATATCAAAGATGAAAAGGAAATAAGAGACAAAAATAGTTGCATTATCAGACAGTATTACTATTTAAAATGAGTTATTTTCTACATTTCAGTTAAACATATATAAACATATAGAAAAATGGCAACTATCAAAAGAAATACAAATAATAATATGCATCATTTATAAATCTCTAACGATCAAATAAACAAAAAGTTAAAAAAAATTTGCCCATCAGACATAAAAATTAAGAAAGGTTGATCATACTCAATGTTAGAAAAGATTTGAGTGTACACTATTAGTACATCTCTAAATTGGTATCTATCTGGAAGGCAATTTGGAAGTTTATCAATATATCATATGCATTCCCTTTGGCCTAACAATTTCTGTGCTAGATGTTTATCCCCTAAGAGACAAAGTGAACAAAGATGTATGCATGATGATGGTCAACACAACATGGATTTTTAGAAAAAATTAAAGTACATGAGAATGAATTTCTTCTAAAAAATTTTTCCAACATTACTGAGATACAATTTACAAATAAAATTTTATACAATGCCCCCACCAATATTTGTAAAGTTGGATTCTAAGCATTTCCATACAAAGTTGTCCATTTAAAATACCTATGAATATCTATATGCACATTTATGTGTGTTCAAGTGTGGGGTGGAGAAGGGGAGAGCCTAGGAGAGTCCAGCGTTATTATACACCAATATGCTGGCAGGTGAGGTGGATTATATAGAAAAGAGAGCGTGAGAGGAGTCACTCCACTCTCTGCATTATACTGTTAAGATTTTCTTTTTCCCTAAGGAGTTCATATAGCTTTTATAATTTAAGAAGATATTTCAACTGTGAAAACCATTTTCATATATGAATACCTCATTTTGGAGGAGAAAAAGAATATTAAAAACAAGATTAAATTAAAAGTGAGATTTAATCACTAACGTGAAAAGGCAACAATTCTTTTCATATCATGCTAAATTGAGTAATCATGTTAGTAACCTGGATTTATTAAAATGTTCACAACACACTTGCTTATTTGGAGAAAATATTCACTAATTTTCAGCCATTGAAAGCAAGTTATTAGGGGTTTGAATTTAAACAGGCATATAATATAAATTAAAAACAAAGTGGCAAATGAATTTGTTGGAGTCATACAAATTATTAGAGTTGCAAACAGCAAATATAACTCATACTGACATTTTACAATACAAAAAATAAACATACCTTAAAAACAAAATCGGTGAAAACTGGAAAACAGAAAAATCAATGTAATTATCGAATGTGAATATTTTTAAGGATGAATTGATACTTGGCAATTCCTCTGTACATGTCTTAAACTACAAAGTCTTAGTAATAAGCATATTTTAAATTACTTTTTTTTTCAAGTATACGTGATTTCCTGGGTTCTTTTTCCATAACTTTAAAAGGACTTTTAGAGAAAAATAAACCATGTTTATGCTGGGTGATTTAGATCTCATAAAAGGTTAATAGAATGCTAGAAACCTGATCAATGTATGCATTTATTTTACTATTTTACCCAACAGAGTTGTATTAAGTTTCTAATTTTGTGTTGCAAGAGTGTGGCTTATACACCTGCTGGCTACTGTATGGCAATGATGTCACATGTGTCCTGAATTGGGACCCAATCCTGAAACCTAAGAAAAACATCAGCACTAGGCATCAGAGCAGGCTGGTGACAACTCTTCAAATTGCAAGTAAGCTTGTCTACAATGCACTATGGACTTTTAGCTTTGCTTGTTTGTTTAAAGTACAAAAATTTATCTTTCTTAAGTGATAAAATTAAAGGGAAAGAACCCCTTGAACTAAAAGGCAAGGAATCTGAGAAATATCTGTGCAGTAAATTTGATAAAAATGATAATGCCCTTAAATGAACTGGAAAACCACGACAACTCTGTCTTAGTTCGTTTGGGCTGCTATAACAAACTCCCACAGGTTGAGTGGCTAATCAACAACGGCCACTTACTTCTCACAGTTTTGCGGGCTGAGAAGTCCAAAATCAAGGCACTGGCAGATCTGATGGATCGGGGGGCCTGTTTCTCCATGGGTGGCAGTCTTTTTGCTGTAACATCACATGGCAGAAAAGACAAGGGAGCTCTCTGGTGTCTCTTTTATAATAAGTAATTCCATTCACGAAGGCACTGCCCTCATGATCCAATCACCTCTCCAAAGCCCTACCTCCTAACACCACCATCTTGCGGTTAGGATTTTATTATATGAATTTGGAGCAGTGGGGTGCATAGACATACAGTGCATTGGAAACCCCAATCAATTTTTTTTTTTTAATATTCATGAAGAAGAGAGGAAAGAGAAAAGAAGGAAAAAGATGGAAGGAAGTTGAAGGTATGTCTGGCAGGCATCTCGGACAGCAGACAGCACACATATCTGAAGTTCAGTCTGGTTGTAGTAATGATTCTGGCCGGGCATGGTAGCTCATGCCTGTAATCCCAGCACCTTGGGAGGCCAAGGTGGGTGGATCACCTGAGGTCAGGAGTTCGAGACCAGCCTGGCCAACATGGCAAAACTCTGTCTCTACTGAAAATACAAAAAGTAGCCAGGTGAGGTGGCGCGTGCCTGTAGTCCCAGCTACTGGGGAAGTTGAGGCAGAAGAATCGCTTGAACCCAGGAGGCAGAGGTTGTGGTGAGCCGAGATAGTGCCACCGCACTCCAGCGTGGGTCACAGAGTGAGACACTATCTCAAAAAAAAAAAAAAGGAGAAATAATTTCCCAGGAAGTACAGAAGTATAAATGGGTATGAAGAGGGTAAGCAGTACACATGTTAATATCCAAGGCAAATTGATGAATTCAAGTCCAAATCAAAATATACAGGAAACGTGATCAGTCAAGTAAAATAACTGTTTATTTCCTGGATGGCAATGTTTCTCAAAATCAGGCCAGTGACAGTATTTGACTTCTCTGTTTCTGTATGTATTAAGACTGACTCCAAAATGGTGGGGTAGGAACAAGAAGAGACCCTAACATCAGGAGAAGGTGGTTCAGGGTGTCTGCCAAGCTGGCTGGAATTCCTCACAGGCTTCAGAACAAGTAGGGGACTGAAAGAAAAACCAGCACACACATTGGACTAGGTAAGCAGAGGCAGAAACATCAAAGGAGGCTGGGGCTCCATGAGAGTTCATGCTGAGACCTCACCCTGTCATTGAAGATGACTCTCAGATTGGTTACAGGCTCATCTCCCAGTGGGCTGTACTCCCAATTTACTAAAGGAAATATTGATTTAGGACTGGGTGAGCTGCCTCTAACATGGCAGGGCTGAACTTAGAAGGAACACCATCCCTTCAGGGGAAACCTAACACCCTCCCTGACACTTCTGACCCTGGGGTGGGGAGCATCTGTTTGTTTAATTTGTTTCCGTTGCTCTCTTTTCTTCAAGTTTGTCTTTGCGTATATGAGCAATGATTATAGGCTTTTCAGCACAAAGTAAAAGCCCTAGCAACTGAAATGGAGCCACAGAGATTCCTTTTCTTGAGGCTCTTCCTTAAATGGCTTTGCAAACATAGAAACTTACCTTGAAGTGAATTCACTAGCTCAATTACAAGGTGGTGGTCTTTCTTTTAAGAATTAATTTCTGCAGAACAGCAAAGCAAGGAAAAAAGTCTCTAATCTCCTATACTATGACTGAGGAGTACTTTTCCTGCCAAACAACAGGCTGAATATTACTTTTCATCCAAGGGAAATGGGATGCACAACAGCTCCGGGGAGAGAACAAGGAGCTATGACAGAGCAATGAGAAGTGAGATTTTAAAGTGTTTTCTCTGGTCCATGCATTCTACATGCAAAAACAACAAAGAAAATTGTATGCTGAATTTATCATCTTAAGGGAGAAATAATCAGATGACTGGAGGCTGTTCCAAGGGCAACCAGCACAGGTGATACTGTATTCATTTTAATGTAATTGAAGGAACTCATTTCTGGAATTTATTTATTTTATTTATTTTATTTATTTTTTTTTTTGAAACTGAGTTTCAGTCTTGTTGCCCAGGCTGGAGTGCAATGGGGCAGTCTTGGCTCACTGCAACCTCCAACTCCCAGGTTCAAGCTATTCTCCTGCCTCAGCCTCCCAAGTAGCTGAGATTACAGGCACACACCACCACGCCTGGCTAATTTTTTTGTATTTTTAGTTGAGACAGAGTTTCACCATGTTGGCCAGGCTGGTCTCGAACTCCTGACTGCAGGTGATCTACCCGCCTCAGCCCCGCAAAGTACTGGGATTACAGTTGTGAGCCACCACACCTGGCCCATTTCTGGGATATATTTATTCAGATTATATATGTGGATGTGCATGTTTCTGTGCACATATAAAACTTATTTTCTCAGGTAGAAGAATGATTTCATGTTTGTTTTAACTCTTTCAAAAAAAACCCTCTTACAATTACAGTAAAGCAAAAGTCACAAGAATGAAGAGTACAAAAGTCAATAAGTAGATCTGAAGCTTCAATTAATTTAGAGGATCAAAAAACGAAGCATATATACAGACAAAATGTGATGAGTATTTTACCCTCATAGTACATTGTAATTTGGACTAGTCACAAATCATATGACTACCATGTTGCCTATCACAAGACTAGGTCTTAATTAGATTACAACTGAATATTCTGGGTGATAATAATTCATAGGTGAGGTTGTATTCTTCATATTCAATTACACTAGGGGACTCATAATGCCAGATTGTTTCACTGTTCATGATATGACGTTTAGAAAAGAAGGTATTTTATATTAGTTACATAATATTAAATGATGTATTTTGGATACATTGGATTGAATTAAATACATTATTAAAATAGTTTTTCACCTTGTTTTTTTAAAGTGGCTATTAAAATATTTAAAATTATGTAAGTGATGCAAATAAGTTTTTTTTCTTTTTTGAGACTCATTTTCGCTCTTGTCACCCAGGCTGGAGTGCAATGGGATGATCTCGGCTCACTGCAACCCCTGCCTCCCAGCGATTCTCCTGCCTCAGTCTCCCGAGTAGCTGGGATTACGGGCCCCAGCCACCACGCCCGGCTAATTTTTGTATTTTTAGTAGAGACAGGGTTTTACCACGTTGGCCAGGCTCAAACTCCTGACCTCAGGTGATCCTCCTGCCTCATCCTCCCAAAGGGCTGGGATTACAGGCGTGAGCCACGGCACTCAGTCACAAATGATATTTTTATGGGCTAGCACCGCTTAAGATCTAATTTCTAGTTGACAAAAATACAGGTCACAGAGAATCAAGTTAATATCCTAAGAAGAAGCAATTAAGCAAATCCAGATTGTGAAAGAGTCTACCCTACAACTTTTCTAAACTCATCAGAAATTCAAAGTCATGGGGGAAAAATGGAGGGAACTGTTTTAAACTAAGAAACTAAGGAGAAAAACAAAGGCAATGTGATCAGACTAGATTGGATTTAGAAGAAAAAAAAACCCACAAATATCCCTCAACTTCTTGGAAATAAATTTCTAAACATTTAAAATACTGTAGATATAAAATTATGTTTATGGAATTATTATTACTTCCTTAAATGTGCTAATAATATCATGGTTATGTAGGCAATGATCCTTACTCTTCGGAGATTTATTTTGAATGATTTTGTGGTAATGTGATCCATACTCTACTTTTTTTTTTTTTGAGACGGAGTCTCGCTCTGTCGCCCAGGGTGGAGTGCAGTGGCGCCATCTCGGCTCACTGCAAGCTCCGCCTCCCGGGTTCATGCCATTCTCCTGCCTCAGCCTCTCGAGTAGCTGGGACTACAGGCGCGCCCGCCAATTTTTTTGTATTTTTAGTAGAGACGGGGTTTCACCGTGTTAGCCAGGATACTCTCGATCTCCTGACCTCGTGATCCGCCTGCCTCGGCCTCCCAAAGTGCTGGGATTATAGGCCTGAACCACGGCGCCTGGCCTATACTTTACTTTCAAATGTTGGAGCAAATATGTGAAAGAGGAACCAAAGAAATTGGACAAAATATTTAAAATTGTTGAATCTATAGAGAAGATTTTACTATTTCTCTACACATGAAAGTTTTCTTAGTAAAAAAGCAAGCAAGGATCAAATTTAAGAAGTTTTCAGAGATGTTTAAAAATTTTACATTTTCTACTCCTCTTATATCCTATTTTCTTCCATATATATTTTCCACAGTGATCATACATGTATATTATATATATGTATGATAAAAATAATACAAAACTATGTCTCTAATAAAGCAGAAGTTATTATAGGCATGTTCATTGATAATGATTTAATTCATTCCTTTCTCCTCAGTAATCATGTACAATTGAAACACCAGATTCAATACGATGATGACTATACTAGTCAAAATTCCATCACTATCATCAACTCTGTAATTCTTACATAAATGTGAAATTATAATCAAATAAAATTGTGTCAGATTCTTATGGATATTCATTGTAATTAAAACATCAAATTATGAGAAGAAAAATTACTTTAACTTGTCAGAGATTTCACCCTTAAATAGGCATCTCCACAGCTTTATAGGAAATTGACAGAATTACATTTTAATGCTACATATCCGTCTTATTTGAATTGATTTGAAATTTACACTATACTTTTTCTTTCTAAGCACAGAATTAAATTTGTAATCTCTAGCTCTTTAAGTGCAGGGCTACCATAAAAAGATACTAAAACTAAAATAAAATCCTAGTCATCTAAAAAAACTCAAATACACATAACATTTGTTACAATTCATAAGAAGTAGACTGTTTCACAAATTCCACTAGTTATCTGAAATTTAGGGAGCATGTAAAAATAAATTTGATTAGGCAACATTTTATAATTTTTTACTATAAATGTGTCTAATATTCACTTAAAAATAGATACTACTGGTCCCTGGAAAATTTGTCATAGAAAAAAATATGTTTTTTCCTGTTCACTGATTTTTGACAATGGAAACTGTATATGTGCTAGTATTTCTATTTAAACAGGAAACAAACACAGCAAGGTACCTCTCTTTTAACACCTTTGTAGGTCCTGAGTAACCCCACAGAGGCCCAGCCACCACCTTGGAAATCAGCACATTATGTAAGTTAATGTAACAGGACTGAAAAATATTCACATTGAAAGAGGAAAGATAGGAAGAAATAATAAGAATAGTACAGGTAATTTAGTTGCTTTCATGAAAGAAATATTTATTATTATATATATATAAACATGATTGTATTTCTGGTTTTTCTAGCTATTGACTCTTATTTATATCTCACAAGAATATGACTATATATCTTATTTGATAGTTTGTTTATAATATCAAAATTAGATTACTGACAAGTATAACAACATCATGATTAATAAAAAAATTTCAAATAATTTTTTGACAATGTATTAGTATTGATACTCTAAATCATAGTAAATAATTCCTTAATGAATTACTGTTGCAGTTAAGCTAATTTCTTGAAATATATAATTTTGTCAGATTTGAGAAATCTATTAAAAAAACAAAACTACAGTACAGGCCTGTACATTTCCCACTTTTAGGTATTTTTGTTTTGCTCTGCATTACAATAAAAGTCCTCTAGATGGCAGTGTTTACCATACTTAGAATTATTTTGGCACTAACTCTTAAAATGACACTCAATAGAGCTAAATACTATATAGTTAAAAACTAATTTTTCTTGTATTCAATATTTCTTTAGGATTCTTGTTTTTCTCTGAATGCATATTTAACCTAATTCAACAAGTTTTTGCTCATTTTTAGGTTGTTATTGCAATTTAATTTGCTAGTTTTCAGGAGCAATTAAGTTTACCCAAAATCTTTAAAATATAATATACATGTGCTCTGTATTCTTTGGAGGAATTAAAGTAAGTTACTGAGACTGTGGTAACCAGAATAAAAGACATCTTAGCAACTAACCACATAAATTACATTTTTTTCAAGCTTGTTTATAACTACAGATTTGAAGGACATTATAGGTGCTTTATTAGAACCAAGCGAGATTTTCACCTTCTATTTGAAGTAATCGTAGTTTTAATCTTCTCAGCTGATGAATATTCCAAATGAGCCACAGGTGTATAACAGAATATAGAGCAATCATATTTTGTCAGAAAATTTGTGGGTGGGTGAAGTTATTTTTAACTACTAAATTGTAGAAATGATAAAGGTATAATATACATTTGAGTTTTATACTGAATATACTGCATGTTATCATAAAACATAAAAGTGCTAATATACACATTGATGAATCTTATCTTTTCTGAAAATAAGACTGGACAGAAATGATCAAGTTCAGGACAAATTGTTGATTTGCAGTTTCCCTGTGCCTTCCATAAAGATAAAACATTTGTCACTAAGGGCTGGAAAAGAGATTTATTTCTTCAATTTTTAAGTTGGACATTGGAAAAATAAATTGTAACATATTTTGTACAGACATATTGCTCTAGGTCTGTAGAAATAAACTCCAGGGATATTTTAATTTTTGATTTGGCAATTTAGGGACTTGATATAAATTTGCTTAAATAAGTAATATATATATTTGTGTATATATATGGTATATCTATATATGGTATATATGTAGTATATATATATGGCATATCTATATATAGTGTACATATATATGGTGTGTGTATATATATATAGGGTGTGTGTGTGTGTGTGTGTGTGTGTGTGTGTATATATATATAGATATATATAGATTCCAAAGAAGGAAAAACTCTCATGAGCTTTGGAGATGACCCAAATGTGTCCACCATGTATTCTATTACCTCCTGTTGACACTTTCCAACCCCGTCTGACCTGGTACCCCACATTGCTCAGCAAGTGCCCTAAGGCTTATTGGTCTGTTCTATGTAATTTGCCTTCCTCTGAAGAGTACCAGGCTCCAAAGAGACCTCTTCGTCATTCCTAGTTCAAAGTAAAACTAAAATTTAGCTCTAGATGTCTAATCTCTGAGAGAAAGAGACAACCTAAATTAAATTAATATGCGGATGATAAATACATTCCTTGACCCTCTGAGCAGTACTAGCATCAAAAGAATGCTTGGTAACAAAACTAACCTTTGTATGATAAAATGGTAGGGGTGATTCTTTCTCTAACCTTCTGCTTTTGCTTCCCACTCTCACCCTTTAGCCATGATACTTTGTATTTAACATGCCTTTTAGGTCCTTGCTACTTTATCTGTGGTCCACAGATCAATACCATTAGTATCCCCTGGGAACTTTTTAGAAATATAGGACCTTAGCTCCCATTGAAGAGCTAATATAACAGAACTTACATTTTAATTTAACAAGATCTCTGGGCTATTTTACTCACATTAAAGTTTGAGAAACATGGAATCAGGTTCAGTAAATACCCTAGAATGTTATTTAAATCAAGAAGTCAACTTTAGCATAATGTCATTCTTATAATAATAAACCCAATAAACAATCTGAACCAATATAAAGATTAAAAATAACTAGATTGGTAGTACATTTATGTAATCAAGAACTTACTTGCTAGTGAGCATTCAAACTATTAAGATTAATGTAACAAGCAAAATATTTAAAATCTAAAACATAAAAGAGATATTGTGATGGGTATTCACAAAGTAGAAAATATTTCCAAGGTAGTAAGATTTTTTTTAATATAGCACATATCTTTAATTTTTATTTTTTTAATATAGTAGGTTGTTTAAAATAGGTTTGAATGAGCTGATTAATATATTTTTTAACAATGAATTTCTCCCTTACATGCTTTGCAATTATTTTATGTAATTCTCACTTCTACCTTTTTCAACGAATTGTGGTATTTACCTGAAGTTTCACCTGGTCTTTAGAATCTACTTATCTGTTATACTGAAAAGTTGGCCTCATCCCCTGGTGAGGGACAAATATTATTCAAAAATAATGTAATTACTCTCTGTTAGCATAGCCATTAAGGACACCTATATTGGTATAGTTGTAACGTATAGAAATTACACAAGTAATCTGCAACTAGTCCATAGATGTAAAACATGGTACTCATTTGTTCTTTAAAATCAAAACATTATGTGAATTTTTTTGTGACATCAGGAAACATTTATAATCTTTTCAATGTTATTATTACAGGTACTTATTGTTTGTCTTATATTTTACAGGTGATATTTTTGCAAGGATAATATTTTAAATTAGAGTTTCGAATAAGCTCCACATATAATGTTTCTTATGACATACTGTTTTTAAAAAAATGAATCTTTTTTATGATACATTCTGGCTTACTTACCAACCCCATTCCCTGCAGCCAAGAAGTTTCTTTGACGTTCTCTTAATTCTTTCTGAATGTTTTACCAATCTGTGGCTGGAGAACAGTAAATTCATAAGCATGGGAATGAAAAGACATGGTACATTGTAGGACTATTTAAAGGCTTGTATTACAGGGCACTACAGAATAGGATTTTCATTTAAGAAAAAAATTATTCTAAAGAACACGTGTATAAACACACAAAGATATGTAATTTTTGTAAGCAGAGTAATATTAACTTAATTCTCATAAAAAGCATAACAGTATCTTTTAAAGGCTTAGCAATCCCCATTTCCATTACTTTGGTGTTATCAGTGATACGGAGTTAAGCCAGGGCTGCAGAAGTCAACAATGTACATTGTCTCCCTGACTCATCCTAATTCAATTAGAGGGGGACTGTGGGGGGAATTTGGTTCCTAAGAGGAGACTATAAGAGAAAAATGAGGCTTATCCATCCTGCCCTATATTAGTAAGTCTATTTATGTGCACATTATGTAACAAATTGGACTTCTAGAAGAATATCATGTGAGTTTATTAAAAAAAAAAAGACAAAAAACATTATAAGAATGAAGAAGGGAGGACTGAAGAAATAGGGAATGAAAGTTCCCAAAATAATGTTATTTCAGGTAACACAAAGTTCTGTTTTAGGGAACATACTATTTTGAATAAGAAAGTAATGAAAGAGAATTTTTAAAACACTGTAATATGTTTATTAATTCTTAAAACTTCTCATACCTTTTTAAAAAACTGTTTCCTGAATTATTTTTGGGCAAATGCTATTGTGCTTGAAATGCGTTCTTGCCTCAACATTTTCTTGTCTCTATTTTTAAGTTTAAACAGAGGTGCTTCCAAAAAATATGCAAGGTTTTCTTACGTCTTCAGGCATTTATCATTTTATAAATGTAATCTGAATAGCTAATAGTCCATATTTCAATCTAACAGTTCTTACCTTACAGATTACAGAAATAAATGTCATAAAGACCCAAGAAATAAAAAGATTTTCACATTATATTTCACTGGAAATTACATGACTTTAAAGTAATCAACTTATTTAAGATTAAACATGATGTACGTTTATTGTTTACTATCTTAAAACTTTTTTCTATGTTTTCCTACATGATTGCTTAAGCCCTACATGTGATGCAGAAAAAATCTGTTATGAAAGCTATGCCTATAAATAATCTGAAATTTTAAAGAATAATAAAACTTAAGAATTCAATATTTTCTTTATTTAAATAGTAATCATGATAAAATAGTGGCACTGGAAAATGTCAGTTTATATTGTGATAACTGTTAGAGCTACAAACCTGACATTTATAATCCTTGTCAGTCATAAAAATATAGCAAATTGGGATAAATTTAGTTCAGTCATTCAAAAAGAATGAAGGTTGTCACCTGCTTTCCTTTGTGATTTGATTATCATGGTCTAGGTTTTTCTAGAAAAGAAAAGGTAAAAAGATTTTTAAAAAGGGGTTCAAAATGAAAGAGCTAATAATAAATAGTGAAGCAACAGAATTATTCAAGGAGCTTACTATACTTTGCCAGTTTGCATAGCCTTAAAAGGTGTTAATTTTCTTTTTGTGGTGTTAAAATTCTGCATTGTCATTTTCTAAACAGTGATAATATAAATAACCCTGAGCATTTTTAGCACAATTTTCCCCAGAAGTACTGTAGAATAGTCTAGTCTTTTTTGTGAAATGGGGACAATAATGCCTGCTGTGACATGAGAGCCCCTGTGATTGATTGATTAATGTCCGTTAGACATAATAAGACACCTGGATTAAAGGAGCCTTAGAAGTACAGGCCACAAAAGTATTTTTTATATTATTTTTAACTATGATTGGAATATAGAACTAGTATATTAGAGTTAAAAATATTAGTCTTGAAGTCCTTGTGGAGGTCATTTCATCATTCTGAATATTACAGTCTGTCTTTTCTCTAAATGTAACTTACAGAAACAGCCTTTACAATCTCCGTGTGAAATGTAGTTTTAAAATGCTGAATGGTAACTAGAAAATCCTAGATGAAAATCCAATTAACAAACTGAACTGCTTAATAATTTAGGTTATTAAATGCCATTACATGGAAATCATTGTTTAAATATATAAATAGAACAATATTAAACTTGTGGAACACAAAATAATTTTATTAACTCCACATCTGTTTGTGTTTAAATCTGCAAAAGCATTTTAGTCTTCAGTTAGCTGGCTGAAGGTGACTTAGCTTCACAAGTATCCCATGACCTATATAACCAGCAGAAAACACTAAAGCAATTTTACTATAGCTCAAATGGCGTAATTCCCATTAGTATCCTGATGCTACTAATCAGGTACAACACAGGTGAAAACATCATAATTCCTTGCAGTAGAAAATACGCTTTGACAAAGATGAATAAGGGTTAACTAAAGAGATCTAATTAAAAGTCTAATATATATACTGGAAGATCGATATTAGAAATCTAACATTTTATTAAATTCACTAAGGAAAAACAATGATAAAACACAGCATAAAAACAAATAGGTGTTCCCTTACAAAAACTGAAATTAAGAATATTTTCCTGATTCATAATTACACAGACCTAACTTAAAAAATTAATATTGGAGAGGTAGATTATGAACAGCTCTCATTATGAAAATGATTTATATAGTGTTTTGGGAAGAAACCTTAAGTTGTGATAACACAGGGTTAGGAATATGACCCTTTATATTTAATTTTCCTCTAGGAATATTAATAAGATCTCTAATAATAGTTCTCATTTTAGAGTTTAGAAGTCGGATTATTATAGGGCAAACCAGCCTCAACTATTCTAGATTTAAGAGGTAAAACTGAGAACATTAAGGAATCTCAGTCGTTCAGATAATGCCAAATAAACACCTAAAGGATATAATGCCCTGAGTCCATAGCTCTATTTGTCTCTGAAACTCCATCTCCTTTGAAAAGAATCTAGACATATTTCATTCTGGGGCTTTGACCTGTGGTTTTCTTTAATTGAAGTCTCATAGTCATTAATTGAATCATGTGATGATTTTTTTTTTCTCTTCTCTAACCTTCATCTTGTGTTCAAACTAAGATTTCATTTATGAGCAGGAGGTAATAATGGGTTCTGCCAACACGTGAAGCTATCCTTAGCAAAGAGAAACAACTCCGTTTAATAATGATGTTAAATAATTATTGCTAAGCTATGTGTTGCGACTACAACATGACTTTGAAATGACTACGGTATGATTAGAATAAGAATATGATATAACTGTGGTGCTTATGAAATGAACTGGAAAGTGGCTGTGCTGCTATGTTTATTGTAAATGTATCACAATGATGGTTCATTTATTTAAAAACAGTGCAGTGCATAAAATAGGTGACAATTGGAACAATGTACTAGCTTTAATTGTAGATTTTGTGAATGGCAAAATGATCGTTTACTGTGGTAAGATAAAAGAATCATCCTTTCATTCACTGACATTATTCTGTGAGGCAATATTTTTCTTTTCACTTTGGGATACTTGTAAGTCCTTTCTATTCTTGAATTTTATATATTCTAATCATACAAAATATTACTATAATAAAAGTTGCTTTGCTATTTAAAAAATATCAGTCTATTATCTGCAAGGAAAGTATTTTATATTTTACATATAAGGGATTAATGGATTTTACAGTGGGCTTTTAGACACTGCAGTTGAACTGTGAATATTAACTCAGAAAAGTTTGAATTAAAAAGAGCTTACAATTTCATGTTGGAAAATTGTGATGTCAAATTAGTTGGTTAAATCATGTCATTATTTATTCAATATATGGCTTAGTAAGCTTGATTGGTGTTTTTTTTTTTTTTTACTTTTCATTTAAACGTCTAAAAACAAATGTTACTTAAAAAAGAAAAAAAGCAAACAAAACTATTGTACTCAAAAACAAGGGGTAATCTCCAACACGCCCTCAGTCAAGAGCTTAAGTATGTCAAGAGCCTTTAATGCCTAGGCAGCCCATTATAGAATGGGGAACACACAGGTTTAAAATAAATGCCCTTTATTCTTCCTGTAAGTTAGACCAAGTTATTCAATCATGTACTAAGACCTTCTCTGACAACCTTTATAGGTCATTCAGAAAATAAATTTTTGTTCCAAGTGAACTGTTCCTATGTTAATGCTTCAAACTTTACTCAGGTATCAGGCGTTAAGTACAAGCCATTACACAAACCTTTGTGGT
The DNA here is from genome assembly GCF_000001405.40 of Homo sapiens. Classification (NCBI taxonomy): domain Eukaryota; kingdom Metazoa; phylum Chordata; class Mammalia; order Primates; family Hominidae; genus Homo; species Homo sapiens. The sequence goes on along the minus strand of NC_000013.11, from coordinate 67,231,609 downwards.
TTACTGACTTTGAAAGATCAATCAAATATATTACTAGATAGTGCTTTGGGGGTCAGTATTTGAGAAATAAAGCTGTATTTTTTGGGGAGTCATTCCATCCAGTTCCCGTATGAAAACGAGAAACTTGTGAGGATTTAGTACAGAGCTGGAGTCGGAGAAATGAAATGCACGGGAAAAGACGAAAATCACAGGAAAGAAAGTTGGAATCAGCAGAAAGTGCCTAGGGGAAAGGAAGTGTTCCACAGCTTGGGAAACAGCTGCCTGGGACTCCTTCCAGCCCCTCGGAAGCAAAGTTCGCAGTGAGGTGGGCTGGAAGCGGGTTTTGCAGCAGCCGCGAGTCCGGGCTCAGGTTTCCAGGCGCGGCTGGAGCAGAAGTGCAGGGACCGCCACGATCCACCGCCGCGGCCGGTCCCGCTCCGCTAGAGGAGACTTCGCACGCGCAGCCGACTGGCCCGGGCTGACCGAGGGGACCCAGACGCTGCCACTTTCTCTTTCCAAGGCAGTTTCCGTGGCTCTGCATGTAGGAAGTGCTCCGATTAATTTTCTTTCCGGTCTCCGCAGAGATTCCAAATTCTGCGGTCCCCACCTTTCGCTGTACTCCCTCTCCGCCCTTCTTTCCAATGTCCCTGCCAGCAAAAGCCTCTATTTGCAGCACCGGGCATGTTGTCCGTTTAACGCGCTCCGGGGATCTGCTGGCTCGTGCTCCCAACCCAGGGGTGGCTATACGTCTCGCGCCTCTGTTCCTGGGTAGACTCCCCCATCTGTGCATTTTGGCCCCTTCACTTAGCAAAGAGATGTGCGAAGTGTGCGCCTGGAGACGAGCCGCCTCGGTGACCCCCATCCGCCCGCAGCGGTGGCCCTGGTTCCCCGGATCCGCGCCCGCGCCCTGCGGGTCTCCCGCGCCGCCCTTGCCCGCCGGACCACCCGGGCTCAGAGGGTCGCTCGCTTTCAGCGCCTGCGAGCGCCGCTTCCGCCCGGGCCTGGGGAGCGCCAGCGCGTCCCTCCCACGCCGGACCCTGCAGAGCATGCTCAGTGCACCTCATGGAACCCGGCTCTCCTGGGGCCAGGATCAGATTTCCGGGTTTTCGCTGCTGCCGAGGGGGCGCGGAGGAGGGGAGGCTGGGAGACAGTCAGCGCCTTGTTCCGCGCTCCCTCCCTCGCGCCGGGCTGCGGCCGCCCGCGCCGCAAGATGCAGGCCAATCAGAGCCCGGGGGCGGGGCCTGGGCAGTCACGCCCTCCCTCTGGGCTTATTGAGAGTTATATCAAGAAATTCAGTTCAGAGAGAGGAGAGGGAGAAGGAGAGAGGGGCAGAGGGGAAGGGAGAGAGGGAGAGCACGCGAGACGGAAAGGAGCGCCTCAGAGTCTCTGAAGCACGCAAGAGATAACCGATTAGGAATTTTTCGGGCAACTGTCACCCGGATAGCTGTCAGAGAATCATCATCACCGCAACTCTGACGTTTCCTACAAGAAGTTAGAGACTTAAGCAGTATTGGCATCGGATGGAAATGGTATGCATGCTGCTGTGGAAAATATCCCTGAGCTGAAGAAGTGCAACTATGTGTTGTGTGTGCTAAATGCCCAGAAGAACCCAGACCCAGTGGGTAAGAGAGACGAAATGTGGAGAGAATGACTAACGACAAATCCGTGAATTTGTTCTCTGGAGTTGCTAATTTGCCAGCCCGAAGCAACACATTTTACAAGGAGGAAACATTTTGCTGCTTCTGATTTCTCCCCAAACTGGTGCTACCAGATGCATGGCTTTCTATGTGTTGGAACAAATCATTCCTAACTGCAGCATACTGGGAAAGGGGAAAGGTTGAGGCAACTAACGTAAGTGTAAAGTTTCGCATGCACAATTGTAAATTCTGTGTTTAGATGTGTCCTCAGTGTAGGCGAAAGATGCTTGTAATTGGGTAGACGGTTGGGGCAGAGCTCACCTACTCGGCTGTATCTGCATCCCTACCTGCATCACTCTGCCGGAACTAATCGCGGGCATCAGCTACTGTGCAGCCTAATGCAGATAAGATTAGAGCCTGAGAACTGACCAGTCCTACTCAAGTAGGTAGCTGCCTGGAGCCTTGCACCCATTTAAACTGCAGTTATCTAAGCAGAAGCCTTTTTACCTGCATGATTGGGTTGCAGTATTTATGTGTGGCAAATGTTACTAATATTCTAACCAGAGATCAGGATTAAGAAATTGCATTTTTTTTCTCTTTTATGTTCAGTAGAAAATATTGTGATGTTACATGGGAATGTTAGCTGCGTTTCACTTATATCTCGGCACTCTCTTCCACCTCTAGGAAAATGAATCCTATATTATTATACATTTTTAAAAGTTTTAATGTGTTTATGAATCCTAATGAGGATAATTTGTCAATATGGAGAAAGGAGAGCAAGCTGTGGGCAAGAAATCTGAAGTCTTGTTGTTGTGCTTTTAGGCAATGAGGATGTGTAGAGGCCGGTGACTATTGCTTCTGATGCCGCTGCAGCGGCATGTCCGGATGCTCGTTTCCCAGTAAGATTGTATTAGAAGGCAGTTGAAGAACTGGGAGGAAAGAAAAAGATAGCCTTTTTAGAAAAGATAGGTGACTCAGTGGGGCAGAGAAGAAAACACATTTGACATGTGACAAAGCAATTAGCAGGAACCGTAGCTAAATACTTAGTGTTTTTCACTTGCACCTGAAAAGACTGAGGGAGGTAGGTTAGAGGCTAGGAGGAGGGTGAGACAGGGGGAGGGGAAGAGGAGAACAAGAATGCATGTTTTGAATTAAACAGTATTCTGAAAAACAACGTGCGTGAATATAGGTAAAAATAGCAGCTGTCCTTAATTCAAAAGTAGAAAATTTTATTTTCTCCCGGCAAATGCAACCAGCAGGAGATATTTAGTGTTTTTCTCCACAGAGTAAACTTGCAAACAGTGGCAGAGCAAACTGCCATGTTTACTAATGTTCAGGGGAAAATGTGTGGTGATATTTTGTGACGGTGTGTTTTTATTTACTGAAGAATAATATTGTCTATACAATTGTGTTGACAGCGGCTGTCTCCAAATAAGTGATGAGATATAATGCATCCTCCAGTCCATGCACGCTTCCTCTTGCAATTTGTGCATCATTCCTCAGTGGAAACCTTTAAACCCTAAAATCCAGGAAAAGAAAATAAATACATTATCATGGACCTGAGGGATTTTTACCTGTTGGCTGCTCTGATTGCCTGTTTAAGGCTGGATTCCGCAATAGCTCAAGAACTTATTTACACTATTAGAGAGGAATTGCCTGAAAATGTGCCCATAGGAAACATACCAAAGGATCTGAACATTTCTCACATCAATGCTGCCACAGGGACCAGCGCCAGCCTTGTCTACAGACTGGTTTCTAAAGCTGGGGATGCCCCTTTGGTGAAAGTTTCCAGCAGCACTGGGGAAATTTTCACAACCTCCAACAGAATAGACAGAGAAAAACTCTGTGCTGGCGCCTCATATGCTGAGGAGAATGAGTGTTTCTTTGAACTTGAGGTGGTGATCCTCCCCAATGATTTCTTCAGGCTGATCAAAATAAAAATAATTGTCAAGGATACCAATGATAATGCCCCCATGTTTCCATCTCCTGTCATCAATATTTCCATTCCAGAAAACACTTTGATCAACAGCCGCTTTCCAATTCCATCAGCAACAGATCCTGACACAGGCTTCAATGGTGTACAGCATTATGAATTGTTAAATGGGCAGAGTGTTTTTGGACTGGATATCGTGGAAACTCCAGAGGGAGAGAAGTGGCCACAACTGATTGTTCAGCAAAACTTGGATAGAGAACAGAAAGATACCTATGTGATGAAAATCAAAGTAGAGGATGGAGGCACTCCACAGAAATCCAGTACGGCCATACTGCAGGTCACAGTAAGTGATGTAAATGACAACAGGCCAGTGTTTAAAGAGGGTCAAGTGGAGGTGCATATTCCAGAGAATGCTCCCGTAGGTACCTCTGTAATTCAGCTCCATGCCACTGATGCAGATATAGGCAGTAATGCTGAAATCCGGTACATTTTTGGTGCCCAGGTCGCCCCTGCAACCAAAAGACTCTTTGCTTTAAATAATACTACTGGGCTGATTACAGTTCAGAGGTCCTTAGATAGAGAGGAGACAGCCATTCACAAAGTGACAGTGCTGGCTAGTGACGGCAGCTCCACTCCTGCTCGAGCAACGGTTACCATCAATGTCACCGATGTAAATGATAACCCTCCTAATATAGACCTCAGGTACATTATAAGTCCCATCAATGGCACCGTGTATTTATCTGAGAAAGATCCTGTCAATACAAAGATTGCCCTAATTACAGTTTCAGATAAGGACACAGATGTGAATGGCAAAGTGATCTGTTTTATTGAAAGAGAGGTCCCATTTCATTTGAAGGCGGTATATGACAACCAATATTTGTTAGAGACCTCTTCTTTGTTGGACTATGAGGGCACCAAAGAATTCAGCTTTAAAATTGTTGCCTCTGATTCTGGGAAGCCCAGTTTAAATCAGACTGCCCTGGTAAGGGTTAAGCTTGAGGATGAAAATGACAACCCACCAATTTTCAACCAGCCTGTAATTGAGCTGTCAGTTTCTGAAAACAACCGACGTGGGTTATACTTAACAACTATTAGTGCCACAGATGAAGACAGTGGGAAAAATGCAGACATTGTTTATCAGCTTGGACCGAATGCCTCCTTCTTTGATCTGGACCGAAAAACAGGAGTTTTGACAGCCTCCAGAGTATTTGACAGAGAAGAACAAGAACGATTCATTTTTACAGTAACTGCCAGGGACAATGGGACCCCTCCCCTCCAAAGCCAAGCGGCTGTGATTGTTACTGTTCTGGATGAGAATGACAATAGCCCCAAGTTTACTCATAATCATTTTCAATTTTTTGTGTCTGAGAATCTGCCAAAGTATAGTACTGTGGGGGTAATCACAGTGACAGATGCAGATGCTGGAGAGAATAAAGCTGTGACTCTTTCCATTCTAAATGACAATGATAATTTTGTGTTGGATCCCTATTCTGGAGTCATAAAGTCAAATGTCTCATTTGATAGAGAGCAGCAGAGTTCCTACACTTTTGATGTCAAAGCCACTGATGGAGGACAACCACCTCGTTCCTCTACTGCAAAAGTAACTATCAACGTCATGGATGTCAATGACAACAGCCCAGTTGTCATTTCTCCACCGTCTAATACTTCCTTTAAGTTGGTGCCCCTCTCAGCCATTCCTGGCTCCGTGGTAGCAGAAGTTTTTGCAGTGGATGTTGACACTGGAATGAACGCTGAACTAAAGTATACTATAGTGAGTGGAAACAATAAAGGCTTATTCCGGATTGATCCAGTAACAGGTAACATTACTCTGGAAGAAAAACCAGCACCTACTGATGTGGGATTGCATCGTTTGGTGGTCAACATAAGTGACCTGGGGTACCCTAAGTCTTTGCACACGCTTGTGCTTGTATTCCTTTATGTTAACGACACTGCTGGAAATGCCTCCTATATCTATGACTTGATCCGCAGGACTATGGAGACCCCGTTGGACAGGAACATAGGGGATAGTAGCCAACCCTATCAAAATGAGGACTATCTAACCATCATGATTGCCATCATCGCCGGTGCCATGGTGGTCATTGTTGTGATCTTCGTCACCGTTCTGGTGCGCTGTCGCCATGCATCAAGGTTCAAAGCAGCTCAGAGGAGCAAGCAAGGTGCCGAATGGATGTCCCCAAACCAGGAGAACAAGCAAAACAAGAAAAAGAAAAGAAAGAAAAGGAAGTCTCCCAAAAGCTCTCTTTTGAACTTTGTTACTATCGAAGAGTCCAAACCCGATGATGCAGTTCATGAACCTATCAATGGGACAATAAGCCTGCCGGCTGAACTGGAGGAGCAAAGTATAGGAAGATTTGACTGGGGCCCGGCACCTCCAACAACATTCAAGCCTAACAGTCCTGACCTGGCCAAGCACTACAAATCTGCTTCTCCACAGCCTGCTTTTCATCTCAAACCAGACACTCCAGTTTCCGTGAAAAAGCACCACGTGATTCAGGAACTCCCTTTGGACAACACCTTTGTTGGGGGTTGTGACACCCTTTCTAAACGCTCTTCCACTAGTTCAGATCACTTCAGTGCCTCAGAGTGCAGTTCCCAAGGAGGCTTCAAGACAAAGGGCCCCTTACACACCAGACAGGTAAACGAGCACTTTTACTGGTCTATAAGTACTGCATACAAGTGCCCAGTCAACCAGTATTAACGTGCCAGTATGTCTATTGTTTTGGTCTAACTTTAGCTTAGTTAGAAAGAGGTAAAAAAAAACTTGACCCCTTTTCTATTCCTCTGGGGCTCAGTCAAGAATTTTTAGAACAGCTTTGAAATTTCTGAGTTCTGAGAATATTTTCTCCTTTCAGTTTCCTTCAAATGGCAAAAGATGAAAAGAGAAAATTATTCCAAAATGTCCCAAGATAATGTTTGCTGAAGAAGAAAAAACCTGTCCTGATATGCCAAATTCTGCTCCTGGGGGTTTCCAAATTGACTGCTTCAAGACTTTCACCTTACCTTTTGATCTAAAAAGTCACCTTCAAATCTCAAGTTTTCAATGACTTTTGAAGGTGTGACTGCAATTATGTTGCAGCTATGGTTGCTAAAGGGGTTAATTTTTTTTTTAGTCTCTAAACAGGATAGTAGAATATTAAATGTACATCAGCTGTGAAGCACATGATCGTTGATAGATTGCAACTAAGCCATATAGGAAGTCTTCTCTTTGATTTCAAATTATTTTATTGTAATATATTAAATTCGGTACTTAATAGAAAGATTTTTAGTGTCCGCAGTGGCCAAATACTCTTTCAAAAAAAAAAAAAAAAAGAATGCTTGCTGCCTAATATAACTGATTTAAAAAGAAAAGAATGAATCCATTGTAAATATTCTCTCATCTTAGTAATGCATAAGTGATCTGTCATAACTCATTTTAAACTGTGAAATATGCCATATGAAGAGGGATTAAGAGGCTGAGAAACTCATATTTCAACCAAATCCAGAATTAGTTTTTCTTAGGTCTAATAATTCCTTGTTAATAAAGATTTAAATGCAGCGCTGTCTAATTTATTTCACTGGTGCTTGTCTGTTGCCACAAAATTTGAATATCGATAATAGCCTGTAGATGGCACTAGGGTATCATGTCGCTTGTGCTGGCCAGGTGCCAATCCCGCAGTAGCAAGGAGAAGGGGGAGGGAAGGATCAAGCTGGTAGTACAGCCAAAGATACCTTTTATTTAATGATAGTTGCTCTGGAGCAACTAGCATTTAAGTTCATTCGCTTGCTCTTTTGTGATTAGCTCTCAGCACACCAACTTTCTAGGATTTCGTAATGCTAGTTCTGTCTTTGTCGATATGGAGTTCACCTATGGTGATGGCCCATCTGTACTTGTTTATAAATAAGGAACACATAGATTTTAGAAAATCAAGTAAAGCAAAATTAGTTTGCAGAACAGTATCAACAGTTATCATTGATTAGTCTTTGGAGAATCAAGAGTTTTTATTTTCTGAGGGTGGGGTGAAGTAGGATGTTTTATTGAAACAGTTTCCCCCTTACCAACTATCATTTATTGCTCTGGAAGGACTTAAGGCTTCATGGTAATAAAATATTTATAAGAGTAATTTTGACAATGAGTCATACAGATACTCCCAGAACATCAAGTATAATACATATTACCATACAACTAAAATCTCCATTCTTAAAGTAAAATATTAAACAGTAGAGCGTTTTAAAAGTACAAATATTTACAGCTTAAATACACAGGAAGAAAGGACTTTAATCAGTATAGAATTTTAAAGGAGACTATGAGATTATTACATATAAGTCAAAGTTAGAACGACTTAATTTTTGTGTTAACTTTGTTAGTATTTGAAAAGAGGTTGATGTTTTAAAATTTAAAAAATGTTCAGTCTTAGTAAAGGTTTTTAAAAGTTAAATAGTTAACTATGATAAGAAAAGTAATTTATGAAACTAAATGAGTTTGATTAAAAAGTTGCTCTTAATGAACAGAAAGAAAATTTTTTAAATTATTTACTTCTGTTATGGTTACTCACAATACACATGGTATTTTATGATATGCATAATTATGTTGAGAAACTAATATGACTTAAACTTTTTCATGTAAAATCTGACATTTTCTTTCCAAAGAAATGTACTGATATACTTCCAGCATCATCTTTTTTTCTGTCTATACGTGGTGATATTAGCATTGATGTATAGATCCACTTTTTCTGACCTCCCCAAAAGTTGAACCTATATATAGTGTAGTGACATAAATGTTAAGTGCATTTCAGCAAAGTATGCAAGAGATCTTTTCTTGAGGCTTAGTCAGTCATAAAAGTCTTTGTATGATGTAATCTTTCAAATAGGATACTGAGTAATTCTCTAACTGGAACTAAAGTGCGTTTTAGAAATTTCTTGTGACCATGTGTCACTTTGCAGTTCTCCTATGGGTATTCCAATGTTCATATGGAACTAGGTAATTCACTCTTATGATAAAGAGCTATTAAAATGGCTTTGCTTACACCTTTTAAAAGTTTTCATGCTGAAAAAGAAATAGTGTGATGTTGGAGAAAAGAGATAGAAGTCGGTGGAGAAGTGGTAGTGATATACAAAGTAATATGTACATTTTTTTGGATAAAAGAAGCATATTTCCTATGAATGAACGACATCAAATATATACTACTCTTTAAAAATTTGTTTTCACTGAACTGTATGATTGCTATCTGCAGATGTTCTAGTTAAGCTAAAAAGTAAAAACTTTTTTAACTAGTGGCTTTTATATAAAATGTGCTCCTGAAGCTACACAATTTTGAAAGAGTAACATTTCTTGCTACAAAAACTTTCAAAGGAATTTATTTAAAAAAATACAATCTGTGAAGATTTTAGTTGTGTGACGACTATTGCTCACACCATCTTTTCATTTTATGCTATTAATTGATATGTGGGTAAAATGCAAGATTCTTGGTTAAAAGCTTACCAAACTTAAATTTCACTCATTTATACTGTATGTATAACGAAAACATAACGTCTGATGTTTTCATCATGAATTTGTTTGTGGTACATCAATTCCTATATTGTCTGATATTTTTCCCCTTGCTGTTTTCCCTTGTGTTAACCTGCAAAGAACATAGGAAACACTGTAAATCATATTCCTCATTCACTCTATTTTATAAAGCTTTCATGTGTCACTAAATTTTTCACAGATTATTTCTTACAAATTTTTGGAAGTGCGATTAGCCTTTATAGGTTAAGAATTTACTTTTTTTTTTTTGGCAAAAGGTCATGTCTCGGTAATTATTTGTAAAAAAAAAAAAAACAACAAAGTTTACAGCCAAAAGGTGAAGAGGATGAAAACGACAACATTATCCATTCCAACAAGGCTTTAAATGATAAAATTCATTGGTATATTTGCCTAAAAGAAAAATGGTCTTGTTGACAGATATTGTTTTAAAATATGATACTGATTCTCCCTGTGGAATGTCTGGGAATCATTTGGAGCACTACTTAAAACATGGATTGTTGGGTTCTACCCCAGAGGCTCTGATTTCGTACCACTGAGGTCAGGACTGAAAATATACATTGCTAACAAGTTCCTAGGTGGTACTGATGCTGCTAGTCCAGGGCCCACACTTTGAGAACCACTACCTTAGCATATTGAAACAGGAAGTGTCAGCCTCTTTCCCTCTCGTATTATCATATCCAGAGAACCTGTTTTTGCACAGCCCAACTCTCAGCCCACTTATTGACAGCTGTTTTATTGTAGCTGGAGGCTTTACAGTAAGCTGTTTATTGCTGTTTCCCAACCCAGTTGACAGCATTTAGGGAATTAATTTCTTGGCCCCTGTGTGGTTTTTTGGGGGTGGGAAGAGGGAAGATAAATGAAAATGTTAAAGTAAAAGAAATAGTCACCCATTTACATTTGACAACTTCTTCAAGTAGTAAAACAGTCTGTAAGAGTTGCACTAGACATTGGTTCTGGGTAAACTGTCATTTAATTTTCTAAAGGAAATACTCATTTTAGAGCTTTAAACATCCTGACTTTTCACAATCTAGAGTATTTACTCACATATATTTTTCTATATATTGAGGAATGTATACACTGAAAATGTGTATGCGTGCTGTACTTAAGTGTATACATGTATTTTTACAGTGTAAAGGGAATTTCTTCTATTCCAAACCATTTAGAGATACTATATTACATTTATGATTACTTTTCATTTTTGAATAATCTACTACAACCACTACTGAAATGTTATTATGTTATGTAAAATGCGGAAGGCAGTCACAGAATTGATATTTAGAACAGCTAGGGAAAAAATGCAATTGAAAGTGAAGGGGGCAAATGTTAACTAATGTGAGGCTAACCAAAATCTTTAAGATATTTTCAATTATTAAATTCTGGAATAGATATATATAGTGACAGTTGAACACAGGTGACAACTGATCCCCCAAATGCAAATTGTTTTTAAAATGTTATCGGTTGTGATTTTTATTTCTATGGCTCTTTGGCTAAGTGCCCTATGGTCATGAAGTCAGTTTTCATACTTATGAGGTAGAAGATACCCAGAGCCCTTGGATATTAACACAGATTTTTGAAATGAGGATAGGCCACCCATTCAAACTGGCTATCTTTCCATTTGGGTTTGTAAGATAAATATTTGACTATTTTTCTTTCCATCTTGATATTCCTAAGCTATAAAATTCAAGACGCATTTTGGCCTTCCATTGCTAATAACATTAAGCAGAATAAAAATGAAAAGTTACTATTGTATTAAACATAGACATGTCTGTTGATTCTTGAATATTTGTTAACGTAGAGAAAATAGTATATGTGGTGACAATATTCTATTCTCTTATTATTTGTTTTTGTTGCCATTAATTCAAGATATAGAAACAAGGAACATTAATGTTCTCCTTAGTTTCAGACCAGTCATCCTATGGTGAGACAGGGCAGGCTTTGGTGTCATTGAAATTACTTTGAAAATATTGTACTTGTAATAACATGTTACATTCTTATGGTGTAAACATATTCTTATTATTTAAATAATTGCAAGCTATCATTTATCTTCTTATGATTTCATACATTAAATTAAAATATGTGAAATAGTAAAGTAGAGGGAATTTAGATTTAAGGAAAAGCCTCAAATCTAAAATCAAATTTTCTCATAATTAACTATGATTTATATTGAACCTTAAGGTTTCATTTTCATATTGATGTGTGTAAAATATCTATAAATTATACTTATATTATTAGATATGGCATTGTAACGCATCCTTTTTCATATTACTAATTTTACACTACAGTACTGAAGTATGAAAATGACACCTTTAAATCATTTTGTTTTCTGTAATCTTATTTCCACAACAATTTTTGTTGTCTTATTTAGATTGTTTTTATTTCTAATTTTTTTTTTTCGGTTGGGGGAATTCAGAAATCCACCAAATGCTGAACGTTACAGTTGTAGCCTTGGTCCCACTATACCAGTCTGGGTGTTTACAGGGTTTCAGGGCCAAGTCAGATGTCTGTATTGCTCTTTTACAATACTTCTCAGTTTGACTTTGTTAAAGGTGAACTCTTAGCTTGTATATAGTTAAAAACATAACAAAACTGGAAATCCAGTGGATTGTTTACTACTTTGACTTAAAATCCTTGGTGCAATCTTTCTTTGAATTTAGTTTGGTGTTTTCTTGAAGATAATTCTTTATTATAACTAGAAATTACTCTCTTAATATTAGTAAATCATTTAATATCTTATATATTTCACTGAGTTGGAAAGTACAAATTAGTTAATGCAGATTTTTAAAGGTTTGGCCTTTCTGACACTCAACTTCACATTTAATATTTTTTCCACAATTTATTACATATAAGGACCCTAACCATTATATCAGATTTATTAAAATATGACTCTAATCACAGGCCAGGTATTAGTGAAAATTTGGAAATGCAAGTCAGGAAGAGGCTTATTCTAAAGTTTCATGGAGGCATAAAAGTCAGACTCTTTCGTAAGTAATAATGCTAATGTCTTATAGACTTTGACATAGTCAGCGACCCCCAAATCTACATTATACTACAGAAGTAAAGACAAATGTAAAAATAGGATCTCTCATGTACATAAGGAGATGTACTCTGTTTTTAAGATTTCATTGGTTGTTATTTAAGAAAACTGTCAAATCTGTCAAACATTTCATTTAGAAAGGAACACATGCTTTTTGCCTTTGTTTGATACAAACCTATTGGGCTGTCAGTCACCAGAAACATAGAACAAAAAAGATTTATTACCATGATTGACATTTTGCTTTTGATTTATATTCTTTTCTTCTGTAAGCCAAGACTCATTAAATTTTCAAATTCCTAAATAAGTTAAACAACTGTCCTTTTTTAACAGTAAAGAGTGATACAGAAATAAACTGGAAAAACAACCCATATTTAATCTTTCTCATTCATATTTTTGTCCTATAGACAGTTTGTCTCTGATAGACAAGAATAGTGGCAGAATCAGTAGAATTTTCTGAGGCATAGCATATAAATATAAGAAATGCAGAACTCAAAGTCATTCATTAGGGATCTGTTTTTACATATTTATTCATTATTTAAATGGCATATGAAAATATTTTCCCTTGATCTTTTACAGTTTGATTGATTAGAGTGCCATAAGCACATATCACGTTTTAAATGATGGGCTTGAGACCACCTGTACAGCTAAGAATGGCAAAGATAGAAGCACAGTCAAGGTCTTTGAGGAATATTTGATTGATTCTATCATTTTATACTAATTATTCTGGATCCTTGAGAAAATATATGAAATGAACTTACCTGTTCTTGAAAGGAGCCTGCTACGTACAGCTTCACCACTTAGTAATTTATGTGGATATTTAATTGTGTGGGCTGTAGGAAAGAATGGAAATGTGGTCAATTTTATCATGTTTGTGTAATATCTTGTATTTTAACATTCTTCTATAGTTTGTCTCTCTATCCAACCATCTCTGCATTTGAGTATTACACTGCTTTGTTAATAACCACTCTCTGGGCCTTTTTCAGCCTGTTAGCAGTTGATTAAGAAACACTCTAATCCCTTTCAGGATATTGAGGAGCTAATGGATTGCAGACTATTTGGATCTTTAAGCTTCTATTGTAAACGGTATGAAGAATTGTCATTGAGCTGATATTTGCATATATCTCTCCCAGTGCTAGTTACTTTGCCTCCTTTTTTGTCCTCTTAATCTTCAGCTTTCATTCTGAGAATATTTATTTTAGTCGGAAATAAGCATGCCAGTGATAGAAATTTGGGATTCACCTCCAGATGAATGCCATCACAGACAGGGAAGCTCTGGCACATTTTGCATAGATCTGTATGAACACAGTGAACCCTTCATAAGCTCTTAGATTGCAGGAAATCAGTGCTGAAAATTAAGTGGGGTTTTAAAGATTTGCAAAGTAGAGAGCTTTGTATAATGCTGGTATTGCAGGTGCCTATTAAATATGAAGTAAAGGCTTTGTAATACAACTAGCTAACACATTTCCCTCCACATTAGAGTGATTTATAGCCTAGGGAATTAGTCTTGCCTATTTTTTCCAAATGCAGAAACACTGGATGTGACTGAAAGAATAAAAATCTCAAATACATGCCTTACAATGGACTGATTTGCTGTTGGATGATTCTAATTATTCAAGATAGATGATGCAGGCTTGTTTGTACTTCCTTGTGGTATCTCTGATGCCCATGATCTGGCCTTCATTTCTCCTAAGAAGAAACTCTCAATTGTGTATGCAGACTCTCTTCTGAACCTAAATCAGATTAACACCCCAGGTGTCTATAAGACTATATAGCATTACCATAATGAAGAGGCCTGGGTACCAAGTGAATGCTTCCATCCTCATAGGAATTACTATTGAATCATTTCTCAAACTGTATTTTTAGAATTCATCTTTGCTGCATTTGTAAATATGGTGTGTATTTGTAGCACAGCATTTTGTTCTAGACATACATGGATTTCAATATATTTAGCTTCATGACAATGTTCAGTAAAATCCCTTGCAGTTCTTTAATACTTAATGTCTTTGACTAGCCCTGTTAGATATAAATTGGAGCAAATAGCCATGCATATTTTAAAATGATTTTATAAATCCTATATTTTCACCTATTAGAAAAAGTGTGTAATCCATATGCAGCCCACAGTAGGCACAGGGGCCTGTGAGAGTCATAATAGATGATTGATTTAGAAAAGAAAACAGTTTTTGTGCAAGACAATAGCAACTGCAATTCAGTGAATTAGGTTTTTTTTTTTCCTCATTAAACAAACCTCAATAAAGAAAAGAACGGAAACACAGAAGCAGTTATGAAATGAAGCTGTATCTTTTATAGAAGGAGAATGTCTTCTGCTGACAGTAGTAGTTCTATAGTAGACATTTTCTGGAAAGAAAAATACTGGTGGTTTTTTGGATTCGGTGGATGCAACCAATCTGTGCCTCTGTGTGATAGCAGCTGCATGCTGAGGACTTTCAAATACACAGCTACATAGGATTCGGCAGGAAACTTTTTGTAGAAGGTGCAAATGACAAATGGAGACAAAATGGAGTGAGTTCTGAGTTGTGAGTTGATGCCCTCCTGTGTCATATATTCATGTCATTGAACCGATTTTCACATTGGATGTCTAGAATCACAATAGCCTTCCTTCTGTGTGTCAGCTGGGAACACACCTGGACTGGCTACTTTTCTTTGCTCCATTTCTTGTCATTCACTAGGTGGACTATATTCATGTATGTTGTTAATACATCTGATTTCTTAGTTTCTTGATGGATTTTAAAGTGATGTAATATTATTTCTGCATAATCTTTTCCGTATATATATCCATATATATATATATATATATATATGTTGCTTAAGACAACCACAAAGTGTGAAATAAAATCTATGATGTGTCCTTTCTTGCTAGAAATAGTAAATTCATATTTATTCTGACTTATGGTCTCAGATAATATATTTTCCTTTGCTATTTTTTGTATTGAGTTTTTCTTACTGATGCCTTTTTCCAAGTTAAGGAATAATGTTAGATTTAGGTATATAGAGTAATAATATTTCAATGCATTCTCAACCCATTCAAATTTCCAACATAAAAGAGATGGTAGAATTTATACAAAATCATCATTTTTTGCCTTAAAACTTAAATAGGTATCAAAATTGTATTACACCATAGTAAAAATTGACACAATTTTTAGGATATTTTAGTATGACATAAACTCATTTTCATTCTTGGTCTTAAATGGCAAGATTTTCTGCCATGCAGTGGTAGCAAAATATGTTGAATTCATTGATTGATTTTTAAGCATGATAATAATTAAGTAAAAGCTTCTTGACACCTAAAGTCTCTGTTTTAGACAATTAAATTCTGCTTTAGCTAAGGGTTATTGACTTCTGTATGATACTGGGAGCAACACTCCTCAGGGTTTAAACTATTCTTGCAGGACCATCTGTTATTTGCAGGGACTGTGCATCCTCTCCAGCTGATACTGTGTGAACCCAGGCGTATTTCAGGATTGTTCCTCACATGGCCCTGGTTCCTGATGATCTTTTGGTCTCAAATGGCAACTCAGTAAATCCAAATACTGGTATGCCACTACTTAAAGTATGAAAATCTTAGAGAATATAAGAAAGTTCCTCAAAGTAAGAGACTGTGTCTTACTTACCTTTGTATTTCTAACACTGAACCCACAACAGTGCTGAAAAGAGTGAACTTAGTAGGCATTCAGTAAATTTTGATGCAACCTGAAGATCAGTGATCTTGAAATTTTATTTTATATATATAAGATTTTCCACTGATTTAATCTTTACAACAATCATTCAAGAAAGACATCATTTATGTTCAAAATATATTCTTCCATCACTTAGAGATGTCTGTGGGTCCCATTTTCTCAGTAATTTTGGACATATCATTATGTCTGCCCATCATATCATGGTTTTTCATATTAGGAAATAATGAGAAGGCAAGAGGTGAGCTAAACAAACAGGATCAAATTCCTTCACTTCCAAGCCTCTTCACCCCAACCTTTTATTTAAACCTTTCAGTACTTAGATCATTGATTTATTACTTCTAAACATAATGATCAATATATGTACTTTCATAGGTGCTTGATAGAGATACGTGTTTGTAAGAAAAATACCGTATCACATTAAAGTTTTCTTAATAGACTTTTGAGCCATCCAGACAGTATGCCAGAATCAAGTATAAATTCTATAAAAAGAAGCAAAATAATAACTGAATAGTGATTAATGCAGTGTCTAGCAACTATATTAATTTTAGAAAGATAAACTTGGTGTCTAATAGAACTTATAGAATAGTTACACATTC
Organism: Homo sapiens; assembly: GCF_000001405.40. NCBI lineage: Eukaryota > Metazoa > Chordata > Mammalia > Primates > Hominidae > Homo > Homo sapiens. The sequence goes on along the minus strand of NC_000013.11, from coordinate 67,215,211 downwards.
TCAAGTTTCCAATGCACCTTTGGGATTATTTGGCCTATTTAATTCTTTTTCTGACTGAAGAAATGGAGACTAGAGAACTAATTTGATATTTGGAGTAACAAAAACTGACTTGATGAACTACTACATAAAGACTGTGATACTGGGCACATCATTTAAATGCACTAGTCCTTGCTTTCCTTGTCTGCAAAATGGGTGTAATCATGCCAAATCCATATAAAGTTGTCCTAAGATTAAGTGAATATATATATATATATATATATATATATATATATATATCTGGCTCGCAATAGCCAGACACTCAGAAAATGTTACCTGTTTTTCTACCTCCTGTCCAAGAATACCAGCTTGCCATTGACAGATGTTTGCACATTCATTTAGTGAATGCTTTCTTGATTTTGTTTTTGGTTGTTTTCTTGAATCTGATTTCTATTGTATCTTTTTCACGACTCACCTGTGTTCATCTGCTTTTGTGTTAAAACACTATCTGGTTTCAGATTATTTAGGACTTTTGGAAAATTGATCTTCATAACAGTATCTCAATATAGCATATTTGATGTTGTTTTTTATCTTAATCCCTGTTGTTTCACATTTGTATAATTGCTTCGTCTTTCATTTTGAGTATTTTACCTATTTCATTTGCATGTCATGTTTTAAAATTATTCTGTTCCTTTTAGTGTTTGTAATGAATTTACGTCCCCATAGATTACCCAGAAGCTCCACCCATCTGGGAATTTTCACCGTATCCATCACTCCTATTACAAAATCACATATAAGAGAGAATCTGTTTCACAGTCAGTACTTAACACAGCTGGAATCATTTGAAACCTGCTGGTTCTTGCTTCCAATTATTCCATAGACTGGAAAGCATCCCTGTTGAAGTAATGGCATCCATGGTGTAATCAAACCAGCTAAAATGCCTCAAAGTATATGGATCATATTTCTGAGATTGATTGAATTCATGGTAGAAGCATAATCACCAACAGCTTTTACTATTTTTCTTAATTTAACTTATATTCATTTTATAAGTAAGTTTTTCATGTCTCAATATACAAGTTTGTAATGTTTGAGTATGTGAGTGACATAATAACATAAATGAGACACAACAAATAAAAATATTACACACTACGGTAGTACCCCAAAAATACCTTTTGATAATATCCTGGGGCCAAAATCATTTCCTTTTGTTGGAACAGCTGAAACCATCACGATAAAGTTACTGATTTGTATTTAGAGCAGAATGTAGTGGAGATTTGTTACTAGTTCAATTAACTTTATCAACTAAATAAGAAGTAGATATAGTCAAATTTCAATTGGCTTTGTTGTGATTTTGATTGAATAAATTAAATATGTAACTTCTTGTTGAACTTAACCACCCTCTCAGTGCAATACAATTGTTTTGGATTGGTCTTTTAGTTTAGTTCTAGTTTTATATAAGAAGACAGTTTCATAAGACAAGAATTTAAAACAAAACAAACTTAAAATTAAAATACTCATTCTTTGTGCTTAGAAAGCTTAATCTAACACATAAAACCTGGAAAACTGGTGTGATTTTCTTTAGGCTTCTGCTTGTTTTATGCTAAGATGTGATATCCATTTTATAGCATTGGGATACCAAACAGGGCAGGGACATAGTGTGGATATTATCTTGAATATCAGACCTCTTAGGGTTATTACAAGGATTGTAGCATGGCATATAGTACATGTTTGGTAAATTCTATTTAATCCCACCACATAGGCAGACATGGACCTAATCAGGCAAAATGTTAAACACATTTTAAATGGTTAAAATCAGGCTTTAAGGATTTGGATTCATTGTTTTATTTGAAATATTTAGCATTCTCATGGCATCAAGTATGTATACATGTATACTGTATGAAGCGATATATTTATTATATACTGCTAAATGTATATTCAAAAGGCTACCATTTTATGTTTTTCATATCAGTCGTTTCCTCTATTAGCTTTTTTTTTTCTTTTTTTTTTTTTTTTTTTTTTTTTTTTTTTTGTGACGGAGTCTCTGTCGTCCAGGCTGGAGTGCAGTGGTGTGATCTTGGCTCACTGCAAGCTCCGCCTCCCGGGTTCAAGCCATTCTCCTGCCTCAGCCTCCCAAGTAGCTGGGACTACAGGCGCCCGCCACCACACCCGGCTAATTTTTTATATTTTTAGTAGAGATGGGGTTTCATCGTGTTAGCCAGGATGGTCTCGATCTCCTGACCTCGTGATCTGCCCGCCTCGGCCTCCCAAAGTGCTGAGATTACAGGGGTGAGCCACCGCGCCTTCTATTAGCTTTTATAATGGAGAGGTAACTGTCCTAGAAAGTCCATGTAAATTCCAGTTCAGATAATGAACAATTACTTATTCTATGAAGACATTTATATTTCCTGGACTGTACCTTTCACATCTTTCCCTATGTGAATGGGTTCCCTGAAGAACTTTTTCTGCCTGCTGAGCACTTATTTGGAGGTAAGTCTAACAATGAGATGATATCCAAACTTATCACTAGACTACTGAACGATATTCTATTTTCCCTAATGGATACCAATGCTTATTCCAGAATTATATTCTATAGTTTTAAATTTTCATGCTTTCAAAAGTATCTGACATTTAGCTGTGAAATTTTCTGCTGCCAAAGACCTTGTCATATGATCCACGGACAGATACACAGCTAGGCTTTTTAAATTTTGTATTAATTCTGTTATTCAACACACATCTAATAAATAACTGCTGTGATCCAGGAACAGCATTAGACAATAGGAAATTTTTTTTAAGATAAAAAAAATTGTCTTTGGTTTAAAATATTCCATTAAATTTTAAGCACAGTACTTTTTTCCCTTGGAATTTCCTTATTAAAAAAAATATGAGTTCACTCTCAATTTTAAATAGATGTCATCATTTCCCTGAAATATATTTTTTAAAGTCTCTCTCTCTCACATTTTTTTTAACTACTGCTGGAGACTTGATCTTTCAATGGGGTAATAAGATTCTAAGATCTATTACTCTAATTATAAGAATGCCAGGTTTAAATTTATCCTTTGGTTAATTTGGAGGGAAATGTACTTTTTCATTCTTAAAATCACACTCCTTCTACAGGCAAAGGTGTTAATAAAATATAGTAGCAAGTAAAACTTCATTTTTTTACTAGATGAGATTAGCATATTTGCTATATTAAAAATTACTTTAAAAACATGGCACACATGAATAATGTTGAATGATAACCCAAGCTAAAGTAGACAGTGGTTCTCTAAAAATGGAATTTCACTTGTAGAGACATCCATTTTGAAAAGGGCTGTTTCAAGTCATGATATTTTGAAAAAATGTTTTAGCCTTCGTACGTTGAAAGGACATGTTTACCACAGATATGGAACATAGATATTAAATTCTGGCTGGAATAAATGTTTGGTTTAATTGGCTTCTGCCTCCAGATGGTTCTGATTTTATCAAGTCCATTTTCTTATGAATATTTATCACAGTACTTCAAGGAACCAATGCAATGATATAAACGTTGAAAACAAGAGACCTTTATTTTATATATATATGTTTTCCTAAATTGAGAAACATACATATCCTGAAAATTTAGTTTTCTTTCATCATCGAAGAAAATGTCATAATTCGGCTATTACAGCCAAGACAGACTATGTTTTTTTAACTCAATTATTTCTAAAACACTAACTTACATATGGATAAATGTTTATATAGGAAGGTCATCCCCAAATTTCAAATTTTTATTTAAGCCAAAAATTTGTATTTTAAAAAATAATGCATATAATGCCTCACCTGCACATTCTTGTACAAACATATTTTAGGAGATAAATCTTTATTGCCAGAAAACATACTATTTTAATTGCAATTAGACTTCTGTGATAACCATCAAGCTGGTGCCTAAATCTAAAAGGATCTTTCCAACTGTTCTGTGGATGCTTAGGCTTAGGCAACTATCACCAAGTAATTACTATAATTTAAATGAACTACGAAATTGAAACCTGCTAAAATATGTAGACCTCAGGAATCAAATGTGTATTAACACTTGTTAATTAAATATTATTGGTTAAAATTAATTTAGAAATTATTATTGGGTTGATATGACCAACCAAAAAACTATATGTAAATCACTTCTTAATACTATGAAAATATGAACAGTTTGGTAAACTAATTTAGAACCAAGCAACAGGATATATTAAGCTTAGGAAGATACAGACATTTAAATAAAGGTTGGTATAGAAGTCACATGATAGTTGCTCTGTCTGTAGTAACCAATTTCTAAATAAAATCAAAAATGTGGCATTCTCACCACTTTTCACAGTGACAATTAACTTGGTGTTTTTACGTAGTTTCAATTCCTTGCTTATTCTGATTTTTATAAGTGACTATGCAATGTATTACCACATAAAATAAAACAGTAGTGGTTATTAAAATCAGTACTTAAATTTTCCCATTTTAAAAAGTGTAGAATACATTATTTTCTCTCTTTTTGGCTACAATAATGTCTATTCAAAACCATTTATACTTTGCTAGAATTACACTTAGCATCTTGAGAATTCAGTTTTCTCCTCTGAAAATTAGATAATTGGACTCAACCATTTTTTTATTTCTATTATTAAAAATTGAACTACAGCTTTTGTTAATTACTTAGGGAAACATTACTCCTTGGCAGGTTTTCTCTTGCCACCCAACATCCATCTGGCCTACTTCTTTCTATTATCAGTTGATATATGTTCAAATAGTGCACATCAGTGTTAACATTGGCTCAAGAAAAACAATTACAAAATAAATCACATGGTTCAGTCTCTCCTGACAATGAATGATTTGCAATATTCCCATTGTTTGTATGATCTATGTTATCACTCTCTTGCATTAGTGTTGATAACACAGTATTGCCTCTATCTTTTTTGAGGTTGCTCTGTGATTAATTTTCCCCTTCTGAACTAGAAAATTAACTTTTTTCTCTTGAATTAGAAATCAAAAAACAGAACTACAAAACCTTGAGCAGATTGTTGGCATTTATTATTTGATTGGAAAACCATGAACTTAAAATCATTATGTAGCTGCCATATTTTTATCAGTAATATTACTCTTATAATGTTTGATTTTATTGTCTATAGTAACACATTAAGGTGACTTTAGCATATTTCAACTTTTGTTAATGTTGGAGAATTACACATAGTTTTGCAATAATGTGTAAATGTAATAAAAATATCAAACAGTGGTAATTTTGACTGATAATGTTAGTTATCAGGACAAGTGTTAGAAAAGCAAATTTAATCAAATGGTGCCCACTGATTTTATAGGCAGTTTCTTCATTCAAAGTAAAAGTGATGTTAAATTGAAGAACTTGTCAGTCTCATGCTGGAGGAAAATCAGCTTTAGGATTAGAAAAACCAAACTGCAAATTAGATGAAATACCACATTAATTAGATGAAATACCACATTAATGTTAAAAAAAACCGGTGTTATTTGGTTACATGGAAATAAAATAAAACGGTTTTGCCATCAATGAGTCTAACACATTTTCTTCACAACACTGCAGAAATAAGAACCCACAGGATGGTTCTGAATCTTGAACAGCAGCTTAGGAATACTTACTCGTCTAATAACTCAATTTGCTTGCATTTACTACTACTTACTGCATTGTACCCTTTCATCTTCTAACAAGTTTAGGAAGACCAAATTCTTTTGGTGTTTTTGATAGAGATATGGTAAAGAGACTATTTTACACTGTAGATGGATCGGTCTAGGAGTCACTTTGTAAGTTTGGAAAATTGACATCGATGGAGGAGATGTATTAAATAGTTCCAGAAATGCCACATTTTGGATGCAAGACACTTTTTAATCATATTAAGCAGTCTCTTTAATGCTCACACCCTGAATGCCTTCCTTAAAATGTTCTAAACACTTCCAATTTGAAGAGGGGTTAAAATATAAATGTGGTAAACAAATCACAGAAAGAATATACATTCTTAAGGAATTGTTCTTCTTATGTTATGGTCTTCCAAGTGCGCCAATGACATCGGAAGTATGTGGTGCTAAGGTGAGGCATTCTGTGTAATGGCTTAGTTGCAGGACTCAAGTACTGGGAATTCAGTCAATTCTGCTCTTGTAATACATTGTGTTGGCTTTCAGAACAATACTCCAGTGTTTTTCAGGGGAAGGTATGAGTGTTTCCCTAATAGAAGAGCAGATGTTGTAGCCAATACTGAGAGGTAGGAAAGATATATAATACTTACACAATCTAAAATTTCACCTAAAGTAACGTTTAAATAAAGTTTGTTTAGTAATCATCAGTGTTCTGTTGTCTGTAATGACCAACTTCACCATAAAATCAGAAAGGTGGCAATGTCAACATCACAAACAGTGGCAGCAAACATGGTGCTGTTCTAAATACAGATTGTGTATCCCAAGCCCTTTGCTTTTTTCTATGGATATTCCTCCAACTACTCGTATCAAAGATGTATGTTCTGGTAAAGCCTTCTGTATTGGCAGCTCCTGCTGCTTTTCTGTCATATTCAAACATGACCAACAGCAAATGTACTTACATTTTTTTTCAGCCAATTCTTTCTTATTTCTAGTGACAGTAGTAAATTTACTTATAGCAGTAAAGAAAATATGAGAAATACTTTTCTGTAGTGCCAAATGTTTTAATCACTGCCTATATCAGCCTAATTGTTTCCTAATCAAAAATTGTGAGAATCTAATTTTTGGTCAAAATTGTTTATTATGGAGATTTTGCACATATAGGAAAAAAGTGACATAAATATTATTAATACTAAGTGACATTAATATGTCATTGGGGAATAACCATATGGCTCTCTGAACATGATATGCTTTCTAAGTATTCATCCAACAAATATATGGTCATTTGGAGGCTACTAAAAATAAAGCCCACCAATTTTTTAATGTTGATAATGCCTCTGACAGGAAATTTTAAGGAATATGAAAGTAAAACAAAAAAATAGTTTGTGTCAAATGAACACGCAAGGATTTTTGCATAAGACACACATTAGCTATTTAGGGCATTAATTGATTGATGAAATATTAGCAGTATCTGGCAAGGTTAGAAGATGGACAGATAAAGAAAATTCTGTGAGTTCATAGAGCATTGTCAGAGTGAGCATTCCAGGGACAATACAGTGTGAATTACAGCTATTTGATTAATCGAATCAGTTCTGTATTGTAAAAGTACAAAGAGATGGTGTTACTGGAATCTGATTTGGAATTGGATGCTTGTAGATTAATAAACTGGTATAGACTGTGCTTCCCAATATTTTGCCTCAAAAAAGAATAAATTCATTAGGAATTGGAACAAAAGCAATGTTACATAACCTTTGTAGTATTAGAGTAGTCTATATAGGGAAAAAGCTAATAATAAAAAGTAATCAATTCATTAATCTCAATGGTTTGCTATTGGCATTGAAACTAATTATTGATCGCATTGACATGATTAGTCATAGCTTTATTACTAGAAATGTGAACATGATTTTAAACATATGTAAAACTAACTGGCCAAAATAATCCACAGTTAATTTCAGCTAAATAGCTAACAATTTCACAGGAAAAGTGGAAGATATTTGAGGCTTTGTAAAGAGAAGATCACAGCATTCACCTTGGTACCATTATCTTTTGATTTCTAGAAACACAGTTTGCAATGCCTTGAAAGTAGATGTCAAACACCAGCTAATGATAATAACTGATATTTATTAAGTACTCCATGTGCGTGAAGTTCCTCTCAGCACTTTACATGTATTAATTCAAATAGAACCAACTACTTTCTGAGGAGGATACTGTTATTATTGTCCGTATTTTACAGCTGAGGAGAAGTTGAATGATTTGCTTCAGGTCACAGTTCTAGTCAGGGGAGAATAGTTTACGGTTCCAACCCTAGCAGTCTTAGACACTGCGCTCTCTTAGCTGCTAATTAATACTGTCTCTATCATGGAACTTTTATACAAAACATAAACTTGTAGTTAGTCAGCAAAAGTAAATTTTGCCAAAAAGAAATTTGGCCATTTTAACCTTTTTTTAAAGGTTAAAAAAAAAATCACCGAAGTCTAATTTAACCTTTTTTTTTTTTTTGCTTCATTATTATACAAATTTTGCCACTGAGCACATAGCATTATGACAGAACTATTCCTGAGACATGGGGAGATACTTTACAGTTTACAATGAACATTCACAGACAGTATATGTGAAAAGTAGAAATTAGCATTTGTATCTTTTAGGCAGTACGATTCGAGATATTTTTCACAAACGTGAATTTTAGTTGTTAATTTAAATAAATTTGCTCATCTCAAAGCAGAGTTTTGTGATTATTCTTATTTTATACAATGCCTCATATCAGATAAGAAAAGATCTAGAAGAGGGGAAAGTCAAACTCTAATGATAACAAGTGTATCTCAGTCCTAGACTACTTGACTGGAATGATGCTTTCCTTTCTTTTTAAATCTTTATTCCAGCCCCTGTGCCTGAATGGTTCAGAAGCAACCACCAGGCATCTCTGCACAAATTTGCCAGCTAAGATCAGTATAGGCCCTCCTCCAACTTATCTGCAATGCACTGGGAGAATATATCTTCATATCTATTTAGAAACATGCATATAAGTTATTTTAATACTATTTATACAATTTTAGCATTTTCCTAGAGTAGGTTTTCCACTTTCATCACCCACAGCTACAAAATTATTCAGTTATTTTCTACAGTTTTACAAATATACCATATTACGGGCTGCTTAATATCTTCCTTGTTTAAGACTTTAACAGTATCAGCCGGGCGTGGTGGCTCACGCTTGTAATCCCAGCTCTTTGGGAGGCGGGCAGATCATGAGCTCAGGAGTTCGAGACCAGCCTGGCCAATATGGTGAAACCCTGTCTCTACTAAAAATACAAAAATTAGTTGGGCGTGGTGGTGCGCGCCTGTAGTCCCAGCTACTCGGGAGACTGAGGCAGAAGAATCGCTTGAATCCAGGAGGCAGAGCTTGCAGTGAGCCGAGATCATGCCACTGCACTCCAGCCTGGGCAACAGAGTGAGACTCTGTCTCAAAACAAGCAAACAAAAAAAAAAACTTTAACAGTATTTTGTAAATGCCAGTGTGGTGGCTTACACCTTTAATCCCAGCACTTTGTGAGGCCGAGGCGGATGGATCACTTGAGTTCAGGAGTTTGAGAGCTGCCTAGACAACATAGCGAGACCCCATCTCTACAAAAAATACAAAAAATATCCAGGCGTGGTGACGCCTTGGCACTAGAGCAAGACCCTGTCTAAAACATAAATAAGTACATAAATAAAAATAAAATTCATCAACCGCGTGTTGAATTCTCAAGATTCCCCTTAAACCTGAGAACTGGAGAGAGCCATTTCAGTTATATAGTAAAATTAAATTTGTTTATCATGGATTATTATAATGGACGTATATTGATAAAATGTCTAGGTGAGAATTTTACAGTTGTAATTGGAGGTCCATTTAAAGGTTAAAATGAAATAGAGAGTTATGGATGCACAGCTTTCCATATTGTGTTTGGCAAAGGAAATTGATTCTCGGAATGATATGCTACCCTTTTTGTCCACTATGTGTAGTGCATATGGATGATGGAATCACTTTCATGAGTACAGTTCTTATTTAGAACACACATTCCGTAATATCCCTAGAAAATAAAAAAGATTTATGTGTTCAAAAGGAGTTTCTTGATATGAGACAAGCAGACTGACTTTCAATTACAAACACTTAGAATTCTGAACCTTGCATTTTTATTGCGAGAACTCAGTTATTTTCCAAAGCTTGGTTTGAGAGCTATTTTCAGGCAGCAGCTTTTTCTTGAAGTCCCTTACTGATAAGTATAGTAAGCAGAAATATTTCAATTACTCTAATTAAAAAGCAGTATTCAACATGTTGACTGAAGGTGGAGTTTATGTTGTTCACCAGACAATGAGAAATTGGGAAGGGACTATTTTAGATAGATCATTGATGTGAGAAAGTTAAATTCACCTGTTAATTTGTCAATAAACTAGAACAGCAGGGTTTCCTTTGTTAAAATATAAGATAATATATTGGAAACGCATAATTCTTAGACATGAACTCAAAGACATGCAGGCAGGTTTACTTTTAGCTCATGGCATATGCAAAGATAGGCATCAATTTGTGGTGAGGATATGAGGAAGTTTTTATCTGTACATTTGTTTAAAGAGTCATGTTTAGAGAAGCATTTTTTAATAGATACTCTTTTCAATGGAACTCATATTTAATTAGACCAAACATAAAAGCCAACACTTTAAGTAATCTCTTTTTAGCAGATTTTCATGGAAGAGTGCCAAATTGTTTTGGTTTCACTATAGGTTTACAGTCTTCTGATAGAATTCCCAGTTGGGATTTGAAAACCAAACTGTGTCATACAGACATGAATACAGTGGCCTAACGTGATGTGTTGAATTAGCTTTCTAGATGACTTAAAGTATAGCTGGGGTTTTCCTTTATCCAGGGACTAACATTCAAGGTTTTGTGAAAAAGAAAATTAATTTTGCATTGACATTCTGGATGTTGGTGATAATTTGTAGTGACATTATGCCTATTGGTTGTGATTGTGACAGGCAGGCAGACTGGATCCAAATGGACATTACAAGAGCCAAATTAAATAGTCTGAGCATTGGAAATTTCTGCCTTAAGGAAAGCAGAAGCTTTTCAGCATGCACTTGTTTTCTACCTCCACAATTATGGATTAATATACATCAATTCTAGGCAGTTGAGGAATGACATGAGAGGATTAATGGAACTGGACAACATTACACAAGTGAAGTGAAAATTCTGTAATGATTTTTCTGAGGTGATGTAGTAGACAAGGCAAATGGGCATCAGCTCCTAGACTTTGCACCTTTAGAATTTCAAGAAAATGATTGAAAAGAGAAATGGAAAACAACTATCTAACTAAAGCTGGCATAATAATTTTTCTCATCAAATATATACATCATTTTTCACAAATAAGGAGGAGTTATTCAACTGAGTAAGCCAGTACTGTGTGCAGTGTATGATTTTATCCAAAAATTGTGGCCACTTTTATCTCTTAAAACTGTTTAGAGAAAAATTGTGCTTAGTGTGTATCCACAATAAGAAAAACAGATTAGATGCAAAAATAAATATACATAACCAGCCTTATATGTAATCATACTCATTTTGCTTTATGAAATATCTCTGAGGGGAAAATATTTTTTCCATGTCTTTTTGAAGTTTTAATAAGATTTTTTAACCCCAATATATTGAGCTGCCCTAATGCCTACTATTTATTTTTTTCTCTTCTACAAAGTTTACCTATCATATCATATTTATGGCAACATTTTCTACTACTAAGACTGTGGCGGTTTTTTTCCAAGTTATCTGAAAACTTGACTGTCATTATTGCAAATTGATTATTTCCATAAAGGTGCTTTAATAAAATTTCTGTTCTTAGACTTTAATTTGGTAAGCTCTTACACATATTTATACATAATTTGTGATAGGAGTTTTAATCTTTAGATTTTTACAATGTGATTTTCTCATATCTATTCATTGGAAGAGGTAGACTTCTTTTCTTTAATTGCATGCATTTTATCCTTTAACCACAAAATGTGTTTAAAAGCTATGCAAGAATTAGCAAAAGTAAACTACAGCAATATTAAAATGACTTATTTGGTATCACCTTTACAGACCCAGCTCACTTAGGCAATGGTATTCTAGTAAATTACAATATTTTTTAAAGCATAGTTTTTTTTGTTACCTCTTGAAATAGTGATTTTAAAGCCAAAAGGGTCAAGAGTATGCCAAATTTAAGATGATTATTTGGAAAAGAGAGATATCAGCAACTTAAGTATGCTGTATTTAAGGTGATTGTAAAAGAGTTTTTTTATATACAGGACAGCATTAAAACAGAATTACAAAGTCTATTAACCATAATGAAGGAGTTCAAGATGCAGATAAAATTAAATGATTGTCTTTAAGCTTTCAATAAATTTGTTAGCCAATTTAAGAATAATTGCAGCTTATGAAAGCTTGTTTATATTTATCTAATTTCAAAAATTAAGAAAGAATTAAAGGATATTTGAAGTTCTTATTATGTAGTTTCTAACATTGTGAGAGAATGGTCAAAAGACTGCTATGTCTTATTTAGTGTAAATGTGTACATACTTTACAGTTAAAGGAATTACTGCTTTGCTACCATCAAGGTCTTAAAACCCTGTATCAAAACAACCTAGAGATTTGCTTCATTAACTCCTGTTCATTTCGCAGGGCAAGAAATAAGATCCTCTTTGGCAATCACGTGTTACCTGAATTATATTTAATCTCTTTATTACCTTGGAAATATACCAAGACACTCACATATTCACATACACACAGCACACACACATACAACCCTGATGCAAATATGGACAAAATGAACACCCTCACTTATACATCAGTCCATTTCTTCCTCTCATAAATTGAATGTGAATAGCTCTGATGGCATTTCTCTCTGACTGAAAAATAAGGTGCCATGCTTACTCCATGCAAAACCCCTGTTTTACAGTTTTATGCCCCTCACTAAAAATAGATAAATCTGCATTTGTATGTGTCCTCTACTCAGCCTCCCTCATGCCGCCTGACTTCTTGCAGAAGGTGTATATGCTTTTCATTCTGACCAATAAGAGGCAACTTGGTGAGTTATAGAGATTGACTGGGTGCTTGACATGTGGTGCTGCTCCATTAAAACAGTGGGCAGTTGGTACTGGGGAGGTTTAGGAGAATTTAAGTTGTCTTTATTGTTATTAGATGTGCTCTTAGATGTGGTAATATTCTAATATTCTATTAAAAAATATAAAAATGCAACTTCAGTTCACATTATAATAGGTTTTCTCATATTGCTTTTGTGGTCCAGATGTGAAACATAACAATAATAATATGTAATTCTATAATCATCTTCTAATGTTACCAGGTAATTTTTGTAGACAGAGCCAGATAACCCTATTGCTCATTATTTAAGTGCAAAGTACATTTTTTCAATCATTATTGCCTAAGAAATTTTTAGGAGATGATGGTTGAATGGTCCTTCTCCTCACCTCACCACACCAAGATAGGTTGGTATGTGTGTTTGTGTTTCCTTGCTTTCACTTTTTAAAGGATCCTATAGAAAATAACAGTATTGTTTCCATTTAAAAAAAAAACTTGATAATTTATATTCCATTTTATTTCTGAAAAATAGCCACATTTTTACATACCCCAAATAAATCGCCATGTGTAACTATGTGCAAAAAATAATTGAATGTGGCTGAAAACGATCTCACTTGTTGTACTATAATGTATGAATAATAATAAATGTAAAACCCTTGAAATCACATTTTCTTATAATACTATTCTATAGGTAACACTTACAGTACAGTATATTAAATTGGTACTTTGTGAAATGAATTCTTGAGATACTTAGGCACTACACAAAGCATTATTATTAAAGAATTATAGGGGAAATTTTCCCAATTGAAAATTGATAATTAAAGGTATTTAAATTATGTATGTTGCAGAGCAGGTAAGAAGTTCAATGTAGCAATATATTTCTATTTTGATTTCAAATTAAGTTTTAATTACACAAAAAATTGGCTCAAGAACTAGGTGATACATTTTAGAAAATTTTAAATAGCCAAAATAATGTTGAAATATGTTATATGGATAATTTATCAATAAAAATTATTACTGTTAAAAATTGGTAGAATTCTTTCCTCCCTGTGATAAATGATTTAAGTTGAATGGGAATTTAAGTAACATACAGGGATGCATCTTAATACCTATATTTGCTCAACAGTGGTAAACACACAATTAAAACTTGTCCTCATTAAAATGGACTTTTGTACACTATAATTTGAAGTAAGTAATGAATATATAAAGTATTTAAAGAGTTGTATATCAAAATGTATAACGTTCCATTTTTGGCTATATTTTGTAAAACATTTTTGGTGTAATCAGTATGACTATCACATATGTCAAATCAAGTATTCTACTATTTATTTAAACGGATATATACCTAATGTATTTGAAAGCTTATTGCACTCATAAAATTGTATATATTGTGGCTTCAAAAGTCTGTACTTATTCTTGCTTTAAAAAAGTAGTATGTGCATTTCTTTCCAATTTATTTTTAATTAATTATATTAAGGATAACATTCTTTACTAAATGTACCTTAAAATTCACAATAAAGTTTCAGAAATTGTTTTGTACAGTGTTGAGACTTTGTGTTGAATTTGTTCGTGAAAACTTTTTGAAATTTTGCTCTGGTCTTCTAATAAGGATTTCCTGACCTTAATCTTATTGAAAAAATGATGAGTGAAAACATGTGGTTTGGTTAACAGCTATAGCCCTTGTATAAATAGGAGGTCGTTCTCCTAAGTGATGAATTGCTCACACATGTGGAACCTTAGGCTAAAGGACACAGGCTGGGCTTCCCCCCTCACTCTCCCAACCCCAGGTACTCATTATGTCCACTCTTCAGCATCGAAATGTCAAGCAATTTGCACTTTAACTGAGTATTCTAGACTGCAGAGAAGCAGTTACAAGGAGGTGACGTGGAGAAAATATATGCAGGTCTGTTAAACCCTTTTGTGCTCAATTTACAAATGTATTTAAGACATTTAATAGTAAAAGTTTGCAGTACATTACTTTTGGCATGCTATTGAAAAATGGTAAAGCTAGACTCTTAAATATAGTCAATATAAATATAGAGACTTGGTTTAGGTTTGCTCACTAGAGGATTGATTCACTTATTTTGCTAAGAAAATTTAGATTCCTGGGTTGAGCACAAACCCTATACCATCATGAGTCACCACAGTATTTAATACCACCTTATTAAACCTGCTGGGACACAACCACCTGGCTATTACCATAGAGAAACACATGTACCTCTACACTGCTGTGTAGGGATGCATTTGCTTTAGCTATGTGTTTTATATTTTGATTCCCTACAACAGAAGTGGGAAATTCAATTAAATTCACATAGAAAATAACTCTCCCAGTTTGTGGATTATTTTATTTAGATACTAATTAAAAACAAACAAGTAAAAAATTATTGATGCCATTTAAAAGTCCCAGCATGTTTCATTTAAAAAGTGTCCCATTTTTTAAGGATATTCATTGAAAGAGCAGAGATGAAAAATGGCTAATCATAAATGTAGAATGCATGTTCCAAAATTGCTTTTAGTCTTAAAGTTATATTTATTTTAACCAGAGGCATTTAGCCCATTCTGCCCTATTTGCTAGTTTGGTTTTGTTTTTGCCAGTGGTTTTTCATAAAGAAAGGAATTTACTCAGGTCCATTTGGAAAATCTAGCTGAATGAAAATACCATCAGCTTGCTTTGAGGTTCTCATGCTGCACACAAAACAGAGCATGTTTTCACGTTCCACCCATAAATAGAAATATTTTGCATAATGAAGTAGTGAAATGTGAAGATAAACAAGAACTGAGCAAGCGGCTTGTTGGTATCTTAGTTAAATGTTTAAAAGTCCAAGATAACAAATGTTTCCTATAACAAAAGAAGTGATTTCAAATAATATTTTCTCCTTTGATTAGTTCCCTGAAATTGTTTCCTATTTTAATGGTTTCCAGCAGTTCTATCCATTCCTTTATCCTTTAATATTTTTTCATGAGCTGTAATTCCTTACAAAGATTTTGCCCACATGTTTATTTACAAGTAGTACATATTTTGTCAAAACACATTGATACATTATCCAAATAATGTTCGTCACTTAATTTCACTTCAAAGATGTATTTTGCTATTAAATTGGATATTAATATTCTGATACATACTAATTAAATATGTATTATTGGTCATTTTAGAAGCAAGTGATTTTTAAGTGAGAAGAATAGAGTGCAGGGGAAGGAAAAAAATTATGACTAACCTTTAAACAGCATATTTTTATAAAAAAAAACTAATTTAGTTTATCTTCAATTTAATTATCTAATCACCAGAAATATAGTGCTTAATCTTAGAGATGTAGTTGTATATGGTATATGTTCACACATTTATACACCCAGATATAAATAAATTATAATACATATTCACTTAGATATAGAATATATTTATACATAAGTTCAGATAGATTGAAAATGATCCAAGCATCAATTCTTCTGTACTGAAAAAACCTACAATTTATGTTTATTAAATATGATCAGTTTAGTTATCTTTTATACAATCAGATTTTAAGACATGTTAATGTGATAATTACTTGTGATGTTATTTGAATAATGTATCACATTTCTGTTTTAAATTTTTGAATAGAAATAGCTTTTGAAATTAACATTAATAAGTATTCTTTTTTTAAAAAATTATACTTTAAGTTTTAGGTAATAACCTAAGTATCATAAGCAGAGGTCATTATTTCTCCTATAGCCACTTTTGCTATTTAAATATTTCTTAAAGCACAACTACCAACATTTAGTTTTTGAAAATATGAGAGTAACTATTTATTCATATGAACACATAAATAAATTCAGAATTATCAAGTTAGTTTAAATGAATCATTATTTTAGCTTTTTTGTATCACATTAAAATACTATGACTGTCCCCCAAAAAGGGTAATTCCACACTTCATTTATTTAATGAGTTTTTATAGATTACCTAGGTTATGGTATGTGTGTTTTGTTAAGTGGATGATTAGCATATTCATGATTTGGTATGTTTCACATGCCACACTTAGCAACCATCCTAATAGATTTTTAAGGTGACTGTTTGTTTGTTGTGGTGGAAGAAACGATAAAATTAGAAGTTGTGTATGCCAAATGGGATTTCATAAATTGCTGTGAATTCAAAAGAAAACTGGCAGAATTTCTGGTACACAGTAGGCGCTCAATAAATACTTTTTGAATAAATGAAAGGAGACTCCTTAGGATTTATTTCTTCTTAAAATATGTATTAGTAATAATAATTTACACTTTTATTTACAAATAAAATTGTAGAAAATCCTTGTTATAGGTTAAGATGCATACTAAGGTAAATTTTAACATTTTATTTCATTTATTTTTCCCCTTGACATATTTGCAAGATAGAACAAAGTATGTTCCCTATAATGGAAAAAATAACACCTAATATTTGTGCTTTTGTTTAAAAAAATCTGTACATGATATTTAAAATAAATGTATTATCCCTATAGTTCATAAAAATCATTGAACAACTATATTCTATTTGCTATTTTTAGTGTAAATATATATTTAATAAAATTATGTTTTATTTTTAAAATATCAAAAACAATAAATACTGGAAAATCTATGCTGTTTTGTTGATAACCATGTGTTACTTTCTTTGCATTATTAGTTCATGTCTTATATAGAATTGTAAGAGTTTTAATATTAAGTCATTTATAAATCATCAATATTAATTGATACATTTAAGAGGATTTTTAAAATATATGTGCTAAATACATACATGTAATATTGTGCCTTTTGGCAATTACTTATTTTAATCATTTTGGAGATATACAACAGCCTTAAGCATATAAATGGTTATCGATATAACAGAAATATATTTGCTGCTTTAAATATTTCATTTAAAAATTGTCATTTCTAAAAAGCTTTATGTTTTGGACTCCTTTGAGTATAATTTAAAGGCTATAGGCCTGCTCCAGAAAAATTCATATACCTGCAGATATATATTTTTTGAAATTGCAGATCAAAGTTCCCACAGACTTCATGGAGCCCATCTATAAAATCTTCCCGGAGCCTGTGGCCCTGAGTAACAACCAAATAAAAAGTTATTGGGCTCTCAATGCAACTCTTAATAAATATGCTTTGAAAATAGCTTGGAGTATTTCAAATAAAAAGAATTTAATATTCTTTTCCCAGCACTAGCTATTTTTTTTAAATGAACTTTCTTCAGAACCAGTTCCTTGTCTAATAATGGCTAAAACCTTGAAACAGTTTAGCTTCCTTATCTTGTACAATATAAAAATGAGATAAAGACACATTTTGCCATAGGAATGAATGCATTGATCACATTGATGAAATGCTTTTTATTGAATATATAATTGAGGCTATTACCAGACGTGCAAATATGCAGCCAGATAGAGCTAGCCAAACAGAATGTGGCAATTTTAAATTTAGACTCCTTTTGATGTATGCAGTCTACATTATGTGTTAAATTTGATTTTTTTTTCTATATTTTGTCCATTGTCCTTTCATTACTATAAATTGCACAGATAATCCCTATGGAGGGACAGGACAAAGGTATTTTTTCCTGTTCAACTTCCCGTTTCCAACCTAGACTTTGCCTAACATTCTCTTTCTTCTTACAAATAAACTAGTAAAAAGAGTACATTTCTTTTTTGCCTATAGCCATGTTTATAATTTCACATGAAATAATGTTTGAAAATGTGCACATTTTATTTCTATCCCCATTTCTGTGAAAATTAAAGCTTGGTATTTAAGCATTTTTCAAGGTCACAAGAGCTCCTATTTGGCTTAGGTAGGATTTTGGGTTTTTTGGTAATCTAACACTCATTCCAAGAATCAGGATTGATTTGAAAAAGAGACAAAAATATGCATTTAAAGGACAACGAATGAAACATTTACACAATCATACATTAAAATGCACTTGCCCAGTATTCATTTTTGGAACACGTACAAAACTTTGTTATTTATCTATAATATTTAATAGTATTTGTCATATACGCAGAGATGCTTTTCTCCATACATTTACACTATAAGTAGTTTTCTCTAACTCATGATCAAAGACATTTCAAACTTGATGAATTAGTATGTTTTTGTTGTTTTGTTTTTCCATGTATTTTCTGTCAGAATTTGAGATGGAAGAAGTTTTTCTTATGACTCAGGAGTAAAACATCCTGGATGAAATTTATAATCAATACACATTTATGTTCATATTCCAAGTACCATTCTCTCTCAGTCCATTTCTTTAGGATGTATTTCTTTATTCCTCTCAATTACAATTCCTCTTTAGTTTTCGGCTAATTCATATCCCTATTAGCGCTACTATACCTGGTACTTGTTTTGCACCACATACATTCCACATATTCTTTCTTTGTGGATTATTTTTAACCTTCAAAACAGCTCTATTAGGTAAATGTTACTTTTATCCTCAATTCCTTGATGAAGAAACTTGAGTTTCAGAAATATTAAGTGATGTATCCATAGAGTTTGTTTACTCTTCACAACAAACTATCACCGATTAAGTGACCACTTCAGTGTCACCTCTCCTTTAAAAGTTAGTGATCCCTTTATTTTTTACAACTTAAGGTACATTTTACATATCATATAAGTCACTCATTTAAAGTTTAAAATTCCATAATGTTTAGTAAACATATCAAGTCGAGCAACCATTCCTATAAACCAGTTTTAAAACATTTTTATCACTCCAGTGAGATCTCTTGTACTCATTTATTGTTAATATCTGTTCCCATATACATGGAGTCAGCTATCTCTATAAAATTGACCTTCTTGGTTATTTCATATATATGGAGTCATGCTGTATGTAATATCTTGTATCTTGCTTTTTAGTAATCATTTTTATTATTACTTTTAAGGAAATATACCTTTAAATATCATTATAATTATCAATATTGTCAAAATATAATAATTCATTCTTATATCCCCAGAAATATGAATAATTTCTCCCCAAAGCATTCTAGTTGGCACAAATCTTTATTTTGCTCAAAAAGTTCTGGTAAAGTCTAATAACTTGTCTTAAGAGTAACGAATTATTTTTATTGCTTTCAAACTGGTATTTCCATCCTTTGGTACCTATTAAGGAAGAGAGATTAAGCAGTTACTTTTAAAGATCTCAAAATGTACGCGGTGGCTCACGCCTGTAATCCCAGCACTTTGGGAGGCCGAGGCGGGTGGATCACAGGGTCAGGAGATCGAGACCATCCTGTCTAACACGATGAAACGCCGTTTCTACTAAAATACAAATAATTAGCGGGGCGTGGTGGAGGGCGCCTGTAGTCCCAGCTGCTCGGAGGCTGAGGCAGGAGAATGGCATGAACCTGGGAGGCGGAGCTTGCAGTGAGCTGAGATCGCGCCACTGAACTCCAGCCTGGGCGAAAGAGCGAGACTCTGTCTCAAAAAAAAAAAAAGAAAGTATGAAAATAATAGTCAAGACATTATTAATTGTCCCAGGAGACTGTATTGACTGGTATTTTCATAGGCATTGTTTTGTCAGTGGTTTGGAGGGATAACATCCTCTTACGGAAATTTCTCAGTTTTCACAAGTGATCCAGGTTCCTATTTTCAATCAAGCCGGTAATTCTTCCCTGACACAAAACACATCCATTGTAATTACAAATGACTTTTTTTGATAAACGGTCTCATATTTATATTAATGATGATGTCTCTTTGTTATTTGTTTGAAACATTTTTGTTTTATTTTGTTTTGTTCCTATATTTCGACATCTACTCTAACTGCTGAGTAGTTCCAACTGTGCCCCTCATGTCAAAAAGTCGCAAAACTTTTCAGTTCTCCTAGAGTAAATTAAATGAGCAGAAATAAATGCTCTCCATTTCCTGGCAATTCTATAGAAGGCATCAGAAACTTCAAACTGCAAATTTTAAATGGTGGTAAACCTAATACAATAATAAATATGAATATTATTGTAAATAGGAAGCAAAGGTTTTACATTGCAAAATATACCACATGATCCGACTTTTATTTGCTTTTAAACTTAAGCTGCCATTCCTCAGTTTTTAGTAGCAAATTAAATTCTTCAATTATAAATTTTGAGCAAATATTAAGCTAGTTTTATTCTCTGAACAAATATTAAACAGCTAATTTGAGGAGATGGTCAGAAATGGTCGATAACAATGTAGTTTTTTTTGAAGAGTCATTATACCTCTGGAAAATCAAATACAAAAAAAAAAAGATAAAAGTTAAAAAACTTATTTCAGTTTTCCACAGTCATGATTGAATTTTTGTCCCCTATGGTTTTATTTGGAGACAATGATTTTATGAGTGAATCAACATTAGTAAAACAGAGAAACATTGAATGTTTTATAATTTCTGTAGTGCTTATATGAGTGCAGTAATCAACAAGTCAATATTTGAAAGCACTTAGAAAAGTATCTGGCACAAAATTGGCATCATTAAGTATTTGATAAGTAAGACTGATAAGATTCCCCAAACAAAGTTTTCTTCTCAATTTAACTTTGAAAACTGCTTTTGCTTTGATAGTCTTCTGTCCAATCAGCTTTTTTAAAATTCCTCTTGATTTATGTAATAGAAAAAATGTAAATAACCTATAGGTATGCAATTCGAAAGTTACATTGTTTCTTGTTTCTGTGTATGTATGTGTAACTTAAATATTAGTGACACTGAAGTTAAATGTTGGCCTCGTTTGTATAATAAAATCTGACTTAACAGGAATATTTAAAACTGGTTTCACTTCCATAGAAATATGGACAGAATTAGTAAAAGGTCGTTTCCAT
The DNA here is from genome assembly GCF_000001405.40 of Homo sapiens. Lineage (NCBI taxonomy): Eukaryota > Metazoa > Chordata > Mammalia > Primates > Hominidae > Homo > Homo sapiens. The sequence goes on along the minus strand of NC_000013.11, from coordinate 67,193,805 downwards.
GGGGATTTCAGGAGACTTTCAAATAGAAAAATTAAAGGAACCTTTATTTGAAGCATCCATAGACTCATAACTATAAGATTCTCTTTAAATATTACTTGTAAGTAAAGATCCCCTCTTCCCTTAGAAGGAAGTAATTAAGAATATACATCCAAGGTAATCTATAGTAACATAGGCTCTGCACAAGGCATTATTTATTTATATGACATTTATTTCAGAAAAACTCATGTTTTAGAGTTTAACAGATAGGTACTCTAGTTGAAATTCATGTTCTTTCTTTAATTTCAGGCAAGATTTGAGATATTGTGCTTACTTTCCTGAATTTATTTTTATTGTGTTAAATATAATGAAACCTGATTAGAGAAAAAAAATAGATAAAAGACTGCAAAAACTATTGTGTTACAAGGGAAGAGTGCCAGAGATTGATTTTTTCTCCTATGTTGTGTGTGTGTGTGTGTGTGTGTGTGTGTGTGTGTTTTAATCTCCAGTAGCACAAAGCACAAATCTTCATATGCAGTTGACCAAGAACTAAACCTTCAAGGAAAGGGAAGATCTTATGACACTATCATTTTTGGTATGGGATTTACTTAATTTTTCAGACATCTTTATTTCACTAGGCTGAGGAAATTTGTCCTGGGTACAGTCAAGACCTAGCATGTCACTGGATATTTATTGGGTTCCAAACCAATGTGATTTTAGTCTGGTACATTTGAACATAGTATTAATTTTAACTTTTTGCTGTAATAGGGATTTCAGATACATATTTCCAGCTTATCTTTTTAGAGTTTACAAAAGCAATTAGGTGTTGATGGACAGAAAAGAAGCAACAGGACTAAGGTGCTTGCCAACAGAATTGGTCAGAGGGACAGTTCCTGTTAAACAGTTTTCCCTTTCTGCTACTCGTTGAAAGATAATAGTATCTTACGTGAACTGTCCTTATAAAAACAGAGTTTACATGTGCTTCTGGCAAAGATACAAGGGACCAAGTATTTAAATCGAGTGGTTTCAAAGGTGTAGCTTTGGACGTAAATGTAAAGAAAGGACTATCCCTCTTACAGGTTATCTGTGTTATTTTATCCACATCTCTTCAGGAATCTACTCCATTCACTATGATTTCCACCTTTCTGAGTTTAGCCACCAGTGCTTAGTTATTCAGCCTTCCTTCTATTTTATGAGATAACCCAGATCCTTTCTAATACATTTCTAATACCACCCCCCTAATTTTGAATTCACTTTCGTTCAGTCAGAATGAATATGTTCTTGTTATTTGAAATCCAACTATCTTAAAAGGATTTTATAAAAGCACTCATAAACCTATGGGTTTTATATGTATAATGTAAGGCAATATATATGCAGCCAAAAAGTGCTATAGAAATGGAAGCTATTATTTCTGACTGGGATCGTCAGAGAAACCTTTAGAAGAGAGATTAAACCTTTGAAGAAGTGTCTCAAATAAGTTTAAGTCAATAACTAATATTTGTTTGATTTTTAGTTATTTCATATTATTTTAACACTTTTCACTTAATTATTCACAAAAATATAGTAGGTTTGGAAAATCAGATTTTTTTCACATCTTAACACTGACAAAATTAATGTCAAAGAATTGCATAGTGGAAGAATACGTATTATATTCTTTTTGTTTTTCCCCATCCCCAATATGTATTATATTTTTAATATGTACTAGGAACTGTGTTCATCTCTTTCTACATCTTCCAGCAATTCTTTTAATTATAGACTGATTTACCCCAATTTTTAAAATTTACTAATCGACAAATTACACTTGTACAACATGTTTTTTTTTTTCTGAAATAGGTATCATTGTGGAATTTCTACTCAAGCTAATTTTAATGTGTTGATTTACTCCAATTTTTACAAATAAGAAATCAGAGTACTAAAGTGGCTTGTTTAGGATCATATTGAAAGCAAGTGGTTCAGTTCCAGCAAGGACTCTTCATCTTTGAGTTAGTTCAATTTCTTTCTTTCATACAGTTTCTTGAAAGAGGATTAGCAGAGTTTTAACAGAAAGGAGACAGACAGAGAATGCTCTTGGGAGGGGCCGGAGACAGGGCAGGTAGAGAAGAGAGAATGGCGTTAAGAATATAAGGCAAGTCCAGGTGGGGGTGATAATGGCTTGACCAGGGCAGAGATTTGTGCAGGAAAGTGGTTAGAGAAACACCTGAAGTGGCAGGCTAGTGTTAACTTATGGTGAGCACAATAGCTTTCTTGATGTTTTAGTTGTTTCCAGTGTTTTCAAACTGAAATGTGAGAATGTGTTCCTAACTTTATACGAGATTATATAATAGTTTCCTTTAAAAGGGTTGAAATAATTATACCCATTAGGAAGCAATTCAAGATAGAGGGATGTGAACAAAGTAGTGATTTATAGAGATAAATTCTTCAAATTTATTCAAATTTTTATCAAGTATTTATTGAGAGCCAATAATATGTTAGTACCTGGGATCAACAAAATGATCAAGATAACCTCCCTGTTTTCCAGGAATTTATATTTTCGAGGAATGTACATTCTCCAAAGAATTTATGTTGAGACACAGAAATGTACTAAACAGATAAAGTAGTTATAAAATTATGTGATAAGAATATATTTGTATTACTTGTGGAATGAGAATTTAGCCTATAGTAAAACTTATAAGCTCAGAGAGTGAATTGTTTTCTTTTTTAAAAGAAGAGGGATATCTTCAAGACATTCATCATGATATGAGTGGATATTCAAGCACTAAAAACATATTTCATTGCATTGAGAATTACAGTCTTAGTAGATCACATATGAATAGAATGGAGGTCAAGACCTTGAGAACTTCTTGTGCAATCATTTGTTAGTGTTTTTCAGTAAGAAGAAAAATAGAAATTAACAATTTGACTATTTTCCCATTGTGTACTTATCAATAAGAAGGTCAAATGAAAAGTGTGCTTTCATCTGACATTTTTAGATATTATTGGAAACGATCAAGAACTTAAAGCACATAGAACATAAACAGGCAATGCGTATTCTTTCTGGGAGATAAGAAGGGTTTTGCTATGTTTTAAAAATATATTATTCAAAAATTACAGAAAAGCTTGAGTTATAGTAAAATTATTCATACTTTTGAAATCCTTGTTGACAAATCTATATTATTAGTGTATTTGGGCACTTCTCTATTCTACAATTTAATTACTAATTTACATTAACAGCTTTTTACTGGATTCTGACCACCCAGCATTTTCAAAGCAGAAATCCAAAGTTCTACCTTAGAAAGTACATTCTTCAATTTGCTAGTTTATCTTCCTCAAAAATGGTTCATTAATTGCTCAGTTTCCTCTCTATTTTGAATTAATTATAAACAAAACAAAATATTTCCTCTTAATTTAAGATATCAAAGTCTAGGTGAAATTACCATAAAGAAGTCTAGCAGACTCTGATTTTGGAAAAGTAAAAATTAGCCCTACAATGATTCATACATTTATTTACTTAACAAACATTGATATTCTGTTCACAATTAGTGTTTTTACCTGTCCTGTTTTCTGCGTCTCTAATGTTTTGATGCCATTAGAGATATGAAGCATAGCACCCATAGTATAATAAGATGAACTGGGTATCAAAGGGCTAGTGGCAGGAATCAGGTAATATCTTTAAGCCTCAGTGTCTTTGTATAATAAGGAATTTAGAGTACAATTTCTAAGATTCTTTGCATATTTAAAATTCTATGAGGACCTTCACAAAACTTTTTAATATTATAAGCCTTACAAAATGAGACTGGCAAGTAAGATTTCAACTGATCAATTTTAATGTCAAGAAGGGCATAAATATTTGATGTGCCTTTGGTAGACTAATTTTGTATTATTTTTAATAACTCTATCAAGAATTTGTTTTATTTTGTTTAAAAACTGCATTCACTACTTGTATTTATATAAGTAAATTAAAACATTACATTTTTTTTTTCTTGAAGACAAAGCACTTTTTCCTTGAAGCATTAGCCTAAGTAACTTCTTATTCTCTTGCTAAGTTTTCTCTCTATCTGGAATGATCTTTTGCAGATTGTCAAATGGCTTTCTCCTTCATCCACTTAGGGCTCCTTTCAGTACTGCCTCGTTATTGCTTTCTATCCTTTTTCATTTACATTTTTATCTCTTTTCTCATCATGGCACTTATCACTGTCTAACTTTATATTGTACATTTATTTTTTAATTGTATATATTTTTGTAACTAATTAGAAAGAAATTTTATCAGGCAGGTTTCTTTACTCGCAGTTAAGCCGTATCCTTGTTGCCTATATTTACTATGCTATCCAAAGAAGTAGTCACTAACCACATGTGACAATTTAAATTTAGAATTAAAAGTAAATGGTATAAGAAAAATATTTCTTCAGTCACAGTAGCCACATTTCAGTGCTTGCTAGTTACATGCGTCTGTGTTTAATGGACAGTACTACAGTGACTATCATATAATTGGTGCACAATAAATAAAACTTAATGAATCAGTAAAAAGAATAAAAAATCTTGAAAGTTACAGTATGCTTTTTAAATTAAGATATTTCTCCAAATGTCCACCAATCAATGAGTGGACAAAGAAATTGTGAGAGAGATACACACACACACACACACACGTATATATGTATATGTATATATGTGTGTATATGTGTATATATATACGTGTGTGTGTGTGTGTATTCCTTCATATATATATATGAAGGAATTAACGGCATTCTCAGCAACCTGGATGGGATTGGAGACTATTATTCTAAGTGAAGTAACTCAGGAATGGAAAACCAAACGTCGTATGTTCTCAGTCATAAGTTGGAGCTAAGCTATGAGGATGCAAAGGCATAAGAATGACACAATGGACTTTGGAGACTCAGGGGAAAAGGGTGGTGGGAAGTGGGTGAGGGATAAAAGACTACAAATCAGGTTTGGTGTATACTTCTTGGGTGATGGGTGCATAGAAATCTCTCAAATCACCACTAAAGAACTTACTCATGTAACCAAATACCACCTGTTCCCCTAAAACTTACAGAAATTAAAAAAAATTAAAGATCTATTACAGCTGCTCTTATAAAAAGGAACTTTCAGTTTAGTTTTTAAAAAATAGAATTATTCCCATGAAGTTATAGATATTATAAGAGTGAAAGCATAAAGCCTATTTCTCAGGATTTTATTCACCAGTAAAGTAAAAGCTTTCCAGGGCAGATCACTAGGATAATTTTTTTCTCTTTTCAAATGTGATTCCAAATATTTCATTAAAAGGACATGTACATGTTTTATAGATAAATAACTTATTGAAATTAACAGAAAATTTCTATTAGTAAAATAGAATTAGTGTTAATACACAAGATTACATGAGGAATTATACCTCCCATGCCAATTAAAAATACCTTTAAGATTATTTTCTATGATTTCATAAATAAAAGCATTGTCAAGATAAAAGTACCAAAATATGTTTTGAAAAAAATCTTTACTTTGCATCACATTTTTAGATTCAATAAAGATTAGGACGTTTAGATGATAGAAATTGACAGGGTTGCATTTGACATAAAATATCTTTTATAATAATACTTGTATAGCACTGCTGACATAGCAAGGTAAGCGACTTGCCATTTCAGTAAACTCAGAAATCTCACATACATACACAGAAATTCGCATGATAAGCATATGACACAGGTTTTTTCCAATTTCTCCTGAATGCTCTATTAGTCAACTGTAACATATAAATTGTCTTATTGGTTTTATTACTGTATATTTCTCATGAAATTTTTACAATTCTATTATACTCTTGAAATTCATTAGGAGGAGTGAGATCTAGTGTTCGGTACCAACTATAGTCACAATGATTACAGTACAGGGTGACTATAGTTAACAATAATTTATTGTTTATTTCAAAATAACTAAAAGATTAAAATTGGAATATTCCTATCACAAAAAATTGTAAATGCTAGAGGGGATGGATATCTCAATTACCCCATTGGATCGTTATACATTGTACACTTGTATCAAAATATCACATGTACCTCATAAATGTGTACAACTGTTATGTATCCATAATAATTAAAAATTAAACATTAAAAAAATTCACTTTGTCCTTTGGAGAACATGGGCTTTAAAATCTCTAAATCTCTATATTGTGAATATAGTTGCATTTTCTCATCTATATTAAAAATATAAATAAATATGATTTCTAAATTTTATTACAATCAATAATCATAGAACTGTGATAATATTTGTGATTATGCATATTTAGGTATAGAGTTGTATAAAATGTAGGATGCAGCTTAATAAGAGCATTAGTTGATCAGTTGTATTTTAGAAAAATAGCATTTTGTAGCTGTACCATTTAAAGATGTTAGAAGGTCTTCTACTGGAAATAGAAACTGTCTCTAAGGAAACCCACTAGCTAATCCTCTCAGGTTATAGCAAGCCATACTATATAAATCAAATCCATTCGCGGACACTTTGGTGCACATTTCTATACTCTGCCTTTCCTCTATCCCTAGAGGTTCAACAAGACACGGGGAAAGACAGCTGTGATTGTTTTCAGTTACTGAAGAAAGAGGCTTTTATATTTACTAGGAGGATCAGAGAGGCATCCTGCAACCTGGAGAGCTCCCTTGACTCCAAGTTTTAAGTCGTTGGGTGTGTTTGTTCTTTGTTTGTCTTTCACAGCGTCATGGAACAGCATGACCATCATGTTCAGCTTTGATGCCTGTGGGGGATAGGTTAGATATAAGACACAATACAGAGAAAGGCTTAATGCATTTGTATTGAAAAGTTTAGAGGAAAAATGTGAAATTGTTTGCGTCCACATAAATTGAAAGAAACAAACCAATGAAATACTTGTAAGTTGCTGTTAAAGTTAATGATGTCTCCCTCTCTTTAAAGACTCATTGAAAATGGTCTTAATATTTCTGTTTTTGCTTTATAATACTGTCTTTTTTGTAGATGTTAACAGCTGAGCCTTATAAAGCCCATGAATTTTCCATGTCTGAAGCTTAATGGTCAGTTAATGTGTATATTTATTTTAAGGGTATAGCAGAACAATATGTTAAAAAATAAACATTAGTATATCTAATGAATTACACATTAATTTGTTAGATTCAAAAGAGAATGGGATATGTAATAATGGGATATGTAATATTATTATCCAGATGATTTTTTACCAGTGGAAAATAATTTTCCCTTTCCTCCTTACTTTAATCATCCTAGTCTTTTCTTCTTGTGGTAGATCATTAAACATTAACTAATTCTATTTAAGGACTTGCTACTCAAAATGCAGTCTACCCATGAACCAGAAGCATTTGCATTAGCTGGGTGCTTGTTAGAAATGCAAAATCCCCACACCTACTGGATCAGAATCTGCATTTTAACAAGATTTCCAGGTGATTACGATGTACATTAAAGTTTAAGAAGCAGTTCTTTATTATAGTATGAATTATTTTGCTGTAGACATTTCCTCGTCCCCTACATACGTTTTTGGTTCCTGAAATGAAATTGTGCTTTTCTAGTACATAAAACAATCAATTCATGAGTTTTCAACTTTAGAATCACTCAACATATTCAAAGGTGAATCAATATAAATTATTTTCAGATTATCCTTATCCTTTAAGATTATATTTTTAATAAAAGTATACACTCTTATGATTCAAAAGAGAATGGGATATGTAATTCTTCCCAACAGCCGATTGTTTCATATTGATTGGTAACCTCTTTATATTTATATATATAAATATTTTACACCAGAACAAGTTTTCACTTTTGAACAATCTTAAATGCTTATTAAAGATGCTTGCAGGGTCAGGCACAGTGGCTCATGCCTGTAATGCCAGGACTTTGGGAGGACAAGGCAGGCAGATCACCTGAGGTCGGGAGTTTGAGACCAGCCTGACCAACTTGGAGAAACCCTGTCTCTACTAAAAATACAAAATTAGCCGGGTGTGGTGGCTCATGCCTGTAATCCCAGCTACTTGGGAGGCCGAAGCAGGAGAACTGCTTGAATCCGGGAGGCGGAGATTGCAGTGAGCTGAGATTGTGCCATTGCACTCCAGCCTGGGCAACAAGAGTGAAACTCCATCTCAAAACAAAAACAAAAACACAGAAATCTTCCATACGTTTAACTATTTTTAATTCCAGAAAATAATTTGGAAAGGAATTCCATTTAAACTTGTGTGTCAAAAGATGTATCATTAATGATAAAAACTAATATATTGAACAAACATTTCTTTTTAACTTAACCAATTAACTTATTTCTGGATCATACATTTTTAACCCTACAGTAGAGAAGCACTGAATTTTGAAAGTAAAGTATAGGATTAAATAGAGATTTTCAAAATGTCATCAAATTCTTCTTAAGAAATCTATTATGTATATTACACAAAGTAACTTACAGCCCTACATTTTAAAATTTCTTACATGTAGCTACTTGTTACAGCATAGTACAATATTAATGCATTTTATTAAATTCTGTGCAAAGAAAAATAACGTAATTTTGAAGTTGCTATTTCCTCATACACAGTTGATGATGATTTTTAACTACTATTCACTAAACAAAATGAAAGAATACCTAAAATTAAGCAATGAGAGTAAAAATCTACATTGCAGAAACATTGTTAAACAAAGTATAACATGAGAATATAACAAAACATAATATCCTTGATGGTGATGTTATTTTCTTTCCTTCTTTTCTAATGGACTACAAACAATATATTTATTTTAATTGCCAGGCTCTCTAGTAGATCAAATATTAGTGCAACATTCACTCACTGCTCTCCAGGGCATTGCTAGGTATAGGAGTTACATGAATGGTAGACAAGCAATTCTCATCAAAGGTAGTATGTGACAAGTCTTGCCTATGTAGTACGGAGATTCTGTGAAAGAAGTTATCGCAGTCAACAGAAAGGACCAAAAAGGGATGTATTAAGATGAGGTTTGAAGGATGAATAATCTTTTGACAGGTCAGAAAAGGTCACTCCTCGTGAATAGAAAATAGTGAAAAACTGCACTATTTATAGAATTTTTGGTTTTATTTACTAAGATCCAATACATCAATACCCCTCACCCTGCCCTTAGGGTTTTATTTGTTTGTTGGTTGGTTTTTAGACAGGGTCTCACTTTTTCACCCAGGCTGGAATGCAGTGGTGCGATCTCAGCTCACTGCAGCCTCAGCCTCCTGGGTTCAAGCGATCCTCCTGCCTCAGCCCCCCAAGTAGCCGGGACAACAGTTGTGTGCCTCTAAGCTCCGCTAATTTTTGTTATTTTTTTATAGAGACGGGGTTTCACCGTATTGCTCTGGCTGGTCTTGAATTTCTGAGCTCAAGGAGACTGCCCGCCTTAGCCTCCCAGAGTTCTGTGATTACAAGCATGAGTCACCATGCCTGGGCCCTACCCTTAGTTTTTGAAACCTGTACCTCCATAAATTCACAGAGATCTGAATGCGGATCTAGTAAGATTATCACACAGTCAAAAGGCAAACATGATTCAGAATTAGCACAGAATTTTTGGCATGAAAAGGAACTTACCTCCTTTTCTTTCATTATAACCTTCACCTTCACAAGTTTTGTTGTTAAACAAGCTGTATGCCTTAATTTCCAGTGTTGTTCCCTGTGTCATTTGATAGAATGGTTTAGACACCAAGCATCTGAAGGAAGTTATAACCTACATTTTTACTAATCAGGTGGTTGTGAAGTAAAGACTAAGGAAAGAGACACTATTCTCTTTATTTTTTGCGCATGAAACATAGAAAATTTATACCGCAAACACTAGATGTTTTAAAAGACGCAAATGCAACATTCAGGATACTAGTTTTCTCATAAACATACTTTTAACAGAAGAATCAATGAATGATCATAGGACGATTTGCAAATATGTCTGAAAATTTACTGCAAATCTGCATCTTAATATGCCTAGTGTTCCATTATTGGAATGCCACGTAACTCACCAAAGGGACATAATATTTTTTTTCTTTTTAAATTCTTGTTCCTTGAATTTTTCTAGGTAACACATGTAAATTTCATGCAAAAATTCAAAACATTGCAACCTCAGTCGTAAACAGGTTAAATCTTATTTTCTAATCATTGAAAGTGTTTTTCCAAATTTTCTTAAATTATTATTTTAAAATATAACAGTGATCTTTCATTATAAAAGTAAAAAATATCAACATTGCTTAAACACCATTGGTCCTTTACCTTAAACAACATTCATCATATCTTATTTGGTTTTTTGGTTTTGATTTTTTAAAAAATAAAATGTATAATATACAAAAGTGTTGTAATTAAACTGATTGTCTTTATTCACACTTTTCTGAGTACTCTGCTTTAACCATATCTCAAAGACCCAAGAGAAACATAATAAAAATAGCAGCTGAGATATTTGGAGTTACAGATAAATTTGGAGTCATAGTTTGAAGTTATAGATTCAAAAGAAAAGACAGGAAGCAGACTTGTGAATGCAGGAACTTGAAAGGGAGCCAATTCATAGCAGACTTTTTCAAAAATATATTTACCTACACTACCCCAAATTCCACTTCACATGCTTAGTTTTGTGTTTTTTTTCTTAATAGTTAGGAGTCCATGGTTGGACGTGGTAGAAATAGATTTGATTCCTGACAGTTGCTTACTTTCTAGTTTGGGGGCAAAACTTTAGGCTCTCTGATCCTTAGTTTTTGCAGTGTTTGGTAGTGAAGTTCAGAAGTACTTAAAGTGCCAGGCATAAAATAGTAGTAATTATTATGATTATTTTATTATCATTGATAATGTCTATAGTAGTAGTAACAGTCATAGAAATCCTTACAATCTATAGATTAATTAATTACAATTATTCCTTCCAACACCTAGCTAAGAAAATTGCACTAAGGTAATAGGGCCATTCTTGTTCATTTTCCTTTTTCAGGAGATTGAAAAGATAGTAATTTTAGAATTTAGATCCTTCCTACATTGATCCTTCCAACATTCCATGGAAATTAGGAATAGTAGTGAAGAATTTATGGCATAATGAGAACACCTGGGGACAGGCAGAGTGGCATGTAAAGGAAGAGGGTACCCCAGAATAAATTTTATCCATCTCCTAATTTTTCCAGGAAGAATTAGTAAACGCTATTCTACTTCTTTCACCCAATGGCTTCTTAAGTCTGGGTGGTAACAATTTACTGTCAGTGTAAATTTTTCAACAGAGATCAGTTGATTTAATCAGTAAAGATTTATATTGCATCCTAAGTGGGAAGAAAAGTGACTTACAGTTTTCAGCAGAGGGATACCTTAATCTGACCTATGATTTTCATTTTTTTTTATTTTTAGAGAACATTTCGATTACTATGTGTAGAACTGACTTTAGTGAGGAAAGAGTGAAATAATAATACATATAATGATAGTTTGGACTAAGATATAGCGAAAAAAGGTGGTAAAGAATGGTGAGATTTTGGATATGTACTGCATATGTGTTACAGCCCATATGGCCTGTAGACAGATTAGATGTTGGGGTGTGAAGGAAAGAGAAGATTTGTGTCTAACCTCTCAACTCCATGTTTTTTCACTTTAATGACAGGGGAAATTGGGAAATTTAGGTCTGGAACATATTCAGGTGAAAAACTGAGAGTCCTGTTTTAGGCAGGATGATTAAAATGTCTACTAGGCATCTAAATAGAAATATTATGGAGGTAGTTTAACTTATGAGTCCTGAGAAGGAGGATATAGCAGGATATACATATTTGAGACCCATCACTGTGTTGTTTAAATGCCCTGAAACTTGAAACTGATGTTGGTAACAAGTGAAAGAAGAGATCCAGGGGCAGAGCCTTGAGCCATGCCCACATTCAGAGGCAGGAGGAGAGGAACCACCACAGGACACAAAGGACTGGTCAATCAGGTGAAGGCCAGACTGGGGACTGTAGTGTCCTAGAAATTAAGTGAAGAAAATGTTCCTGAAAAGAAGGTGATTTGCTGTTTAAATGTTGCTGAGGAGGCACGAGGGTGTTAGAAGACAGAGAATAAACCATTGGAAGATAGGTATTGCTTGTATCTTGAGAAGAATGGTTGTAGAAACAACTTATTTTGTAGTGGTGTTTTTTTTTATGGCCTAATTTTTAGTCACTTTTGTGTCCATTTGGTAATTTTTAAATAAACAGCTCTATTACACTGTCCCTCCTTCTTTCCAAGATTCACTTACTTTGCTTTGATTTCATATCCACTTATAGAGCTGGCATCCACTGAAATTCTTTCCCTGTTTAGGATATGTGCACAGAACTTTGTATCACCTCCATTACACTGTACCTACAAAGCATTATTATGTCATACCATATTAGCAAGTTAGAAAATAATTTAACCTTCCCTGCTTTCTAGTTGTCTTGATATTCATTTCACAAACATATTTTGAAAACGGTCTGTGTGATTTTTCTACCCATTCCTCTCTCCTCTCTCTCCTGAACCTCCTGTGATATGAATTTCCTCTACGGCTTATGAAATCGCTCTGCTTAATGACACCAATGATTTCCTAAAAACTAAGACCGATAGCTTCTTATGATTATTCTCCCTATGCAGCTGCTTTAAGTAGAAAGTTGAAAAAAAATTATTTGCACTATATGCAAGTTTGATTTACCATGACTTAAATTTCAATAATAAATCCCCAGGAACTCCTCTTTTGACTTAAGCTTTTCATAGACACTAGTTTGAAAACCACTGATCTAGAAAACCAGCATTATGTTAATGCCTTTTATAGAGGACCGCACCTAAGGTAAAGGCCAAGCTGATTGTCTCTGGGTTCCGACACATCTCCCACTGTTAAATTTCACATTAATTTGAAATTGATTTTTAGTAATTAAAATCACAGTTATATTAGCCTCTTGACACAGATTTAAAATGAAGAGCTTTAACTTTATAAACGATAATGCTTATTGCAGTTGATGGTGCTAAAAGGTAACAATACAACTCTGTAAATACATTTGGATTGCTATCCCTGAACATGAGCCAGCATCATAATCTGCTTATCAGTGAGAAATGTTCAGGGAGTGTGAAATTCAACAAGACAAGCCAAAGAAAATTAATTCAGACTTGCCTCAGAAATGCCAATTGACCTAATCTTCCCAATCTATTAATTCTGAAGGTAGAAGGAGCAATAGATAGAAAAGCCTAGAGGGTAATCACAATGACACAAGACTTAGGAGCAGCTCACAAAGTTGGCTCCGCTCGTGAAGACCAACCAGGGAATTTTGAATAGTTATTTTAAATGGACATAGGCCATGCAGAGTCTTACAGGTCAAAAGCAAAATCCAAAAATCAATAACAAAAAGTGAATTAGGGAACTTGAAGATATAAATAATGTGATGGTTTGATTTAATACAAGTGACTCCTGGAGTGGGAGGCATCCTATAATAACAGCAGAACCATGTCTTTCAGTGAGCCATACAGGAGCCCAACAGTGAGCTTCACTGGCAGATTTGGAGATAATAAAAGCTTTGACTCATAATACTTATAAAATGGTGTAACTGTAAAAAAAAAAATCCTCAAAATTGGCGCTAGCGACATAGCCTACAGATTGCATTTGTGAGTTAAAACTTGCAGGCTTCAAGCTCTGCAGCCAGTCTATTCTTTCATTTTCCATTACATACAATAAAGCAGAAAATATACATAATTAAGGAGATAAAACTGATCTTCTAGGATATATTACAGATAGTTGAAAAGCATCTCAGTATATCACACTTAAATAAAATAGTCATTAGCTCTTTCATCTACCTTCCAAGGCAATCAAATTTTGTAGAAAAAATTCTAAGAGATATTTTCTACTGGTCATTTGGTGATTTAAAAGTTCTAATCTAGATGAAGAATTGACTATATATGCAAAAGTGTATAAACTTTAGGTTGGAGTTACCTTGGGTACCTGAAATACAGATCATACATTTCTTAGCCAACTATAGTTTTGAGTCTATATTGCAATCAATATTTGCCTTTCTGTTCTACTTCTCTTTTCCCTTACCCTTAACCTTGACTTTGAAATAGTTTTAAATATGAAATTCCCAAGAGAAGTAATGATAACACACCCAAGAAATTGAACAGAAAAATGGTGTAGCCTAGGTGATTTTTTAAATAATTTCTCTCCAAAATAACAACCCTTATTTACAGATAATCTGTACAATATTTACTTCATAAATGATGACCTTATGAAAACTTCTCTTATTGCTAGCTTCAATTCTAATAGAGTATGACAGGCATAAAAACTAGATTTAATGCCAGTAATTATTATAAATTAAATAAAAAGTGGTTAACACTAGAAATCTGTTTGTGCTTAACCTGGTTTGTTAGGATATAGTCCCTGTAGTCTTGATTTGACCTATAAGCTAGTTACTCTAGCAATGCACTTCATAGTCATTGAGCAGTTGTGTACGGAATATGTATTGGCTGATGGTCTGTGAATACATTGCTATGGATCAATCACAGCCACTGACTCTATGACAAGCACCTTTAACTATTTAAGTCTGAATGATCCCATCACAAAGATTAGTTGTGCAGATGTTTAAATTAAAAAGAATAAAATTTCTACATGGAACTTTGGGTCTGACAATTCTGAAAGTGAACACTGGCTCTGACAACTACTATGGGCATTGAACAATAACTAGGTGACCTCTCTAAACCTCAGTTTCCACCTCTGTAAAACAGAAATTTTACTAATTCCGAGTGGCTAAAAAAAATGCCAACCCAACACAGTGCCTAGGACATAGTAATAATCAACTATGTAGCCACACTCTTCAAATGTTTATTGAGCAATTATTATGTTCCACAACTGTGTTTAATTGGGGGATATAAGCATAAATGCACAAGTTTATATTTAACATTTTTGTCCTCATGGACTTTACAGTAGAACTGGAAGGAAAATTAAGTAAGCCTTTGCATTGTTTTATTTTTGGTAAGTATAGGGTATCAAGAGTTTTTATAGCCAGGATACTGATTTGTCATTCTGTTTGAGCTCAGGAAAGTCTTTCTCCTGGATGAGGTGGTTTTGAGGAATTTAAAAATGAAATTATTTGTGTAAATCTTTACTCAATGTTTGGCACAAAATCCTCATACAGCAAATGTTTCCTAGCATTAACATGTTTAAGATGAGATCTAAAAGTTCTAAATCCAGTAGAACTTAAATGACAAAGAAAAGGGGAAAGGTGATTCAGGAAAATGCAACAGCATACGCAGAGACCTGGGGTGAATAAGAGTGGCACTTAAGAGGAGTTTAAAACATTGGATGTGGCTGCTACTACATACACAGACAAAAATGAACACAGTATTCAAGGCTCAAGTTATGAAGAGGCAAATTATAAACTAAGAAAATGTAGACATTTTTCTAAGTTGCAGTGGGAACACACCAACATTATTATTGTAAACAGTTGACATAATCAAATGCAGAAATCACAATAGTAAGAAATAGTTTTTGGATGTTAGATAAATAGTTATTGTGTGCTAAATATCTCATTTATTCTTTCCAATATATTATTGACCCTTATTTTACAGTTGAAAGACTTGAGACATAAAGAAGTAAATGATTTGCCAAACATTGTACAACTGCAGGGTGAAAATGGAATTCTAACATATTTTAGTTTGACCTTTAACTTTCATAGTATCTTTTTCCCCATCTTAGTGATCTCAGCAAGATCTCTCTTGGTATACAGATAGGTAAGGTAGGAGATGGGAGCAGTAAGAATTCAAGACATAATATCATCTGCAGTAAGTGAGGTAGAGAAGAAAAGGACAACCTTGGGAGATACTTAAAGTCAATAGCATTTAGTGCCTGTTTGTATATTGTACAGTGAGATGGATGTTTCAAAGATGTTTTCCATGCCAGGCTTGGGCAGTTGGGCAGGTATTGCTTTCCCTTATTGAGCAGGGCAACATACACAGAAGATTGATCTTAGGAGTGGAGGTTAGAAATCATGGGTTCAATTTGGACATTTTGAAAAAAATTGTGTAGTCATCAGCCTTCAAATGTTTATTGAGCAATTATTATATGCACTGGGCTCAATTTTGGACATGCTGAGATTGAAGCAACTGGCATATATCCAAGTTGAAAGGTCCAGTGTTAGCAAAGTAGTATGTTTTACTGTCTGAAAACAGAGATTTCAGGACCATCAGTGGTAACTGGTAACAAATAGTATTTGAACGCTTGCCTGCAAGAGGTTATGAGAGGACAATGGAGAGAGACAACAACATAGGGGAATCAACACCAATATTCAAGCATTATGCACAGAAGTAAGATTGTAAGGTTGTATCTTCAGAGATGGGCAGAGGAATGGGGTGAGGAGTGAAATGGAAAGACAGTGTTATCAAAGAGATCAACAAAGGAAAGAGGGTCAAAGTGTCAAAAGCTGTCAAGATAAAAGTAAAGTAAAGGCTGATAAATTAACTCGATTTGGTAAAGAGCCTCTTGGGAGATAAATTTCAACAAAGTGGCAAAATCCACCTGGCATACAGCCAATTGAACAGAAAATTGGAGTGAAAGAAATGGAGAAGGAACAAAGAGTTTTTTCAAGAAAATTGATTCTGAAAGGGAGGAGAAGATATGGAAGCTTGGAGAAATGACAGGTGGCAGGGGGGTTTCATTTAAAGAGAAAAAATGTGAATTATTTAATAACAAGAAATGATAGGTGTTTTCAATTTAATTTTTAATAAAGTGAATCCAAATCCTGAAAGTGGTAGATCAATATTAGAAATCTTGTATTATTTCTAAGTAGTCATAGAAATAATTAAGGTACTTTATTGAATACTTGCCATGGGCTGGACCCAGTGTTCCTTATTCACAATAGATACTTTAATTTTCATAACAGACAAGGTAGCAATGCTTATTGCTTCCATTGTTTGAAAAGAAGAAATTATGACTAAGAGAGATCACACATTTAGTAACGAAGGCAACTCAACTGTTGTACTGTCTTTCTTACCCAACAGCAAATCCCTATAGCATATATTCTTAATTATTTTGTAATAAGATCACAGGCATACTACCTTTATTATATTAGATAAATGAAAGTAGGATAGATTTTTAGAGGGAGGGTTGATAAAAGTATCCTCACATGACTTAAAAAAAGAGAATGCCTATGTCTGTGACAAAAAATGTCCCATGAAAGAGCCAGATGGGTATTGGGATGGGTACAATTACATAAAGAGGGGGGAAATAATGTATTCTTACTTGATGTTCTATTATAGATAATATATATTCATTTTCACTTTGTCTAAAAATATTAGTACTACAGGAAAAGTGAAGCTCTGTAGGACTTTAGCTGAAGCATTTCTAAATATGTTTCTTTGTCCTAATAGAGATTCTTTGTTTTTTTTTTGTTTATTTTTATTTTTGAAAACCATTCAAAGGGTGCTTTAATAAGTGTTTTTATAGTAGAATGATTTTAGCCAGAAACCTTAACACTGAATGGAAAGTATCTTTCAGTTCAAGAGGAGATAAATGAAGAGAGTGGGGTAAAATGCTTGTGCACAGACCCAGGCAGATCATCTGGTTAAGCATGGGGGATTGAACCTGAAAAGATTTATGGGCCCCTGAGCAATTTGCTTTATGCTGGTAATAATTGGAACACCACTTATTCTCTACTTCCCTTATTAACTTTCTCTGCATCACCGCTCTTTTTGAGTTCATCTATCTTAATGAAATATCCATCTTCTGTCTTTCTTTCTTGCTTTACATTTTAGGCCTTATAAAGGATTGAAACTAGTTTTCCCAGTTGGACACATTCGCTAGCCAGAGGCCAACTTTGCTTCCAAGTTAGACTCAATGCAATTTTCCCCATTAGGCATTTGTTTCATTGTCTACATGAGAGTAATAAAACTTATCAGCTAGCTCAATCAAACACATCAGCTGGAAACATCTTCTTGCTGTGAATGAACAGACCAGTTTTTTTTTTTTAATGGTTTACTTGGATTGTGTTGTTAGAACAGTCTGGATCTGTTATTTGAATATTAGACACATTCTCTATGTCTGAATTTTGGTGCATCTCTAAAATCTAAAGAATGCTGCATTTTATAGAGGTAAGTAGATCATAATTCTCTTTAGAACTAGTTAAGGGAGATAGAATTGGAGGTATGAGTTTTAGGTGAGTTTAGACAGTTACAGAAATAACTATATTCTATCTGTAACCAATTTGAACAATGATATAGTTTTCATTTCTCTTTCTCATCCTAAGGGAAAATGTATTTATGAAGCCTTTTTCATTCATCTAAGATACTCCCCAAATCCTGAATGGGAAGGACTAATGTATGGGTAGTACAGTAAGCAAGTGTGAGGTGGAAATAGGTGAGGAAATAAGAAGCCAAATCTCACCCAACACAAACATCCCCATATGTATTCATGGGTATAGACCTGCTGTCTATTTGAACTTTTTCCATTGTATAGCCCCTGTTTGTTCCAGGCCCTGCTTGTAGTGTTTCTGTAGGTAGTTAAGGTGGTTTATGTGTGAGAATATTGGTTGAGGAAGAAGTTTATAATTACTTTCACATAAGATGCTTTATTTGTTATTATTTTTAGATTGTGATGGGTAGAAACGAAGTAAGTTTCCTTTATTTCTGGGATTACAAAAATTACTTTCCTACGACAGTAACTACTTTTAGTCACTGGAAAGCTTCTTTCTCTGAAGATTATCATAAGTCTCTCAGGAATAAACACATATTGTCCAGAGCTTGGAGAGGATCCTTAAAAACATTTTTTATTTCATTTTTTAGAGACAGGATCTCTTTCTGTCACCCAGGCTGGAGTGTGGTGGCATGATTAGGATTCACTGCATGCTCCACCTTCTGGGCTCAAGCAATCCTCCCATCTCAGCCTCCCAAGTAGCTGGGACTATAGGCTTGTACCGTCACTCTGGGCTAATTTTTTTTTTTTTTTTTTTTTTTGGTAGAGATGAGGTCTCAAAATATGGCCCCATCTCAAACTCTGGGCTCAAGCAGTCCTCCAGCCTCAGCCTCCCAAAATGGTGAGATTTAAAGACCTATTGAATTTAATTTAACAAAGAAAGTTTGCTTCTATCCATATCTAGATATATAATGCAAAATTTATCTGCAACCTTTCAATCTGATAAAGAAATGACACTTTATGAAAGAACATTTAGCATTGTTTAGATCAAAGTCAGTGAATAAGTCTTTTTCCTGACACAAAAGAGGCTTTGGTTCTTTATAAATTTACAATGACTCATTAAACATCAATTTGACATTAAAACAAAGTAAGTAAATTGAAAGCTAGTTTAAGAAGAAAATAAGAAACCTGGATGCATGCATCAGCCTTGTATTGCTATAGGAGCTCCCACACATAATCTTATCTCACGTCACTCGTGCTCACCTGACGAATGCAGCTTTAGCTCTCAGTTCAATGAACAGATAAATTTGCTATAAACAGTGTTTATAATCAACACTGTTTATAATCTATAATAAGAGCAGCACAGACTTCTTAACTGAGCTTTCTGTAAACAGGAGCATTTTAATAAGCGATAAATTTTTCTTCCCTCCCTTCGTCTGTATGTATGTATGTATGTATGTATGTATGTATCTATCTATCTATCTATCTATCATCTGTCTATCTAGCTATCTATCATCTATCTATCTATCTATAGTCTGCCTATCTGCTATAAGTAATATATTTCAAAATTAATATTTTAAACCAAAATACTAAGGACATATTTTATGTATATGTGGAATGTAGGGGTACTTAAGAGGGATTTTTAATTTCCCCACAAATAATCTTGTTAATTCAATCAATGTTTTATGCCAACCATACTGTCTATGAAAAAATAAAGATGCTTTAAAATTTTTATTACATCTAGAAAATAAAATAATACTATGAATAGATTAATTATAAACTTTAATATCATATGAATTGGTATGTTTTTTGACCCCTCTTCATGGATACTTTCATTTGAGAAGCAAAACCTGTCCCTAAGTTGTTGAAAAGAGTTAGCTTTTGATTTTGTGCAAAATGCTCTTTTTAAAACACAAATAATTCATGCATGCAACTCTATAGATCAAGTCTCTTGAGGGAGGTTTATGGTTTGATAAGAGGGTGGTGGGATTCTGTTTTATTTTTGTCTTTTAGCTGGAGGCATAAAACAGCATTTTCTGCCAGTAAAGAATACTTAGAATTCGAAATTCAAAACATATCAAGGCACACACTTTCTGCTGCCTTGCTAACCTATTTTCCAGGGTCATTTTCTTTCAAGTGTAGTTAAAATTTTTCTCTGTCGAACTGAAGTGTATACCAGAGGCTCTTGGGATTTGAGTTCACCATTCCAGACTTTTATCTAGAGCAGGTAGCCTAAGTGAATTTTCCATCTTGTGAAACTCCTGCAGTGAGGCCACAGAGAGGAAAATGGAGCTAAGTACTGACAGATGAGCCAAAGTCTCTATATTGTGAATCAGGGTTGTAGTTGGAAAATATATATATAATTTGTTGATCTTAAAGGATATATCTTTCAAGGGACTAAGTTATTCACCCCTACATTTTCTGATTTAATACTTCTCACAGGAAGGTGGATTCAATACCTGTACCTCTTAGGTGGTAGATTTCCCCACTCTCTTCTTCAACTTCCAGTTATTTTATGTAACAAATGTCAAATTCTATTTATTCAAGATTACTACAGGGAAAATTATCTTAATGTGGATAACCTTCAATCCTCCCTCCTCTTGCTTTATTTTTGTTGTTGTTTACTTCTATAAGGTAATGAAGATTGTCTAAATTTCCCTTCCTTTGATTTATGCTTAAAGAAAAATTTTTTTAATTGGTATTTTGAGTTTCTGGAGCTGTAAGAAACAGAGTTCCAGAGAGTTGAGTGACTCCCTGATTTTTAGACTTTAGCTGTTTGGGGTTGCAAAGTTATGTTTTCTGCATTATTTTAGTTAGTCCTGCAATATTTAAGACTTTAAAAAATGTTAACTTCTCTTGAATGTTTGGATAAACTGCCAATACCATCCTTTTTTTTTTTTTTTTTTTGAGATGGAGTCTCGCTCTGTCTCCCAGGCTGGACTGCAGTGGCGTGATCTCGCCTCACCGCACCCTACACCTCCCGGGCTCAAGCAATTCTCCTGCCTCAGCCCCTCGAGTAGCTGGGATTACAGGCTTGTGCCACCACACCCAGCTAATTTTTGTATTTTTAGTAGAGATGGGGTTTCCCCTTTTTGGTCAGGCTGGTGTCGAACTCCGGACCTCAGGTGATCCTCCCACCTCGGTCTCCCATAGTGCTAGGATTACAGGCATGAGCCACCTTGCCCGGCCAAAACCATCCATTCTTGAATGGCCACAAAAGCCCTTTGAAGTTGAGCCCCTGTTATCACTTCAATTCTCAGGTTCCCTCAAATTTGAATAGTCCCAACAGCAGCTGTCATCTCATTATTTGAAGCCAACTCTCTGTTACCATTCTTCATCTTACTCCCCATTTAGTTATAATTATATACTTTAACTGCCTGTACACTGAAGTCATTTAAGTTTGCTTATCTTTCTATAGAAAGGGCATAGACATTACAAGTTTTCTGAAACTCTTACTAGTATGTGCTACCTGGAGAGGTATGTTTAGAATGATGCCAGGGCTCTGCCTTGGCTAAGCAGAAAAGTGTGCCTTCCAACGTTCTACTTTCTCCCAGGGGATGCCGTGAGAACAATCATGCTAGATATAGTTAACATTTACTTGAGATTTGAAGGACAGTAAGGGTGCCTGAAATAGTACCATGACCACAATTGGAAGAGAAGCTGATGTTTACTGAGCATATCTCTTTTGGTCAGAGATTAACATACATTCATGGATTTAGGCTGCATAAGTTTCAAAAGTTTCATCCGATGTGATAAAACTAGTAAGTGGTGGTCTTAAATTGTGACTGTACAGCTCTATTATATTGTGCTCTCTTAGTGTTTTGAATACTTTCACATCTTTGAGAGCAGGCGATGTAAGGCAGATACCTCTAGCAGTAAGGCCCTTTAGGGAAATAAATGACACCGCTCTCATTTTGAGGGCTTACAGTGTGCTCTGCTGTTAGGAACTTTGCATAGGTCATTTCATTTACTGCTACATTTTCCCACTTTGTAGGAAAGTATTATAATCACTACTTTATAGGAGAGGAAACTCAGGTTCAATCGCCTCAAACAGGTCTCCAAGGTCACAGAACCAATAAGTCACTGAGGCAGAATTCAAATCCTGGGGGATAATTTCTTAAATTTGTAGTTTATACGCACTGCACCATTAAAGGTGTTGATAGAAATGCATAATAAAGATAAAGGTATAACATAACCAGAGATAAATGACTACAGTCACAATTTTGCCTGAGTCTAGTTCTCAAGAGTTTTAATGAAATCATAGATAGCTCAATGGTTTGTTTCAAGGCTTCCAACTTTAATTCTGACACATATGGAAGAAGTATACCAACTAGCAGCAATATTGACAGAATGTGATCTTCCCAGAGAGTGAGGGTTAATGATTGGTGACAGTCTAGTCCTCCAAAAGCATCTGCTGTTAATGAGGTTAGACCTCCAATGCCACCCTGAACTGGAAAAGTCAACTGTTACCCTGAAATTCTACCCCGACTCATATATATTTATGATTGCTTTTACTTACTGTAGATACCCTATTTTCAACTTTTTCTTTTAAATAGTTTGGGTTACCGTACATATAATTAATAAGAAAAATTATTCCCTGTGGGAAAATTTACTTGGAAAAATAAAATTAAAATGACAGAAATCTCTTAATGAGAATATGGCACCAGTTCATGGTAAATGGATTTCGGTATGCTATGTTTCATCTAGGAGATAGAAGTCATTTCGGCCAGGAGTTGCCAAACTTTATGACATCACCCTTTGACAGCTCCAGGGATAGGATGACCATATTTTTCTCTGAGTTATGATTTCATGCAACTTTTTAATTCTCTCCATGGTTCTCACTTTTTTGTTTTTGTTTTTGAGACAGAGTCTTTCTCTGTCACTGAGGCTGGAGTGCAGTGGCGCAATCTTGGCTCACGGCAACCTCCACCTCCTGGGTTCAAGTGATTCTTGTGCCTCAGCCTCCCGAGTAGATGGGATTACAGGAGTGCACCACCAGGCCCAGCTAATTTTTGTATTTTTAGTAGCGGCAGGGTTTCACCATGTTGCCTAGGCTGGTCTTGAAGTCTTGGCTTCAAGCATTCCGCCGGCCTCGACCTCCCAAAGTGCTGGGATTACAGGCCTGAGCCATAGTGCCTGGCCAGTTCTCACTTCTTACTTTTGATAAATATAGTAAAATATGCAATTCCCATTGTTATTATATTATAGCATTCTAATGATATATGGCAAAAGTTTAATTCTTATAGGATGGTCTTTCATAGAATCTCCTTTGCTATTGCAAATCGAATGGTATTACTTTATACTTCTGGTCATGTTTTTGAGGCAGCCATTCTCCTTATCTGATATAGAAATAATCCTTTTACCATAGAGTTTACTCAATTTTTAAGTAACTTGTAACAAACACATTTTGAAACTTTATGCGAAATGTATTTCTCAGTGTTAGAAAAATAATTATTATCTCCATTCACAAGCAAACAGGTGTTATCTACAGCTATGTTATATGAGCTGCCATTTCTTTAAGTTTGGACATTGGCATACATGACCATATAAGTTTTAAATTTTCTTAATGAAGCATTACATTCAAATACAAATACCAAATAGAGCTTTGCTAAAGACCATAAATAAAAGTAATCTGATGGTTTCATAATGCTATAGCACTGATACCTGTGAATAATATAAAGCTGTTTTTCTTCTCAAAGAATGGATCACTTAGAATGAGACAGAACCACCTGCAAATAAGCAGGTATCTGTGATTTAAGAAATAATATAAAAAAAGGAGGAGGAGAAGCAGGATTATAATCGGATGCTCTACAACCATATAGAGACGTACCTAACTGGTTCCAGAGATTTGAGGAGCTGGATGTATTGCCAGAATTATAATTTGAAATAGTCAGTGAGATACTGCAGAAAAATAAATAGAGACTCATGTGAGTCTTTTAGCAATTAACTATTTAGACAAAAAATACAGAAGAGTAAAATCAGGGCTAAAAGATTAATTTACTTTCTTAAGATCTTGGTTAGTAGAAGCTTTATTAATTAAATAATAAAAATGTTGCTCTTAATTATTTTTCAGGAAAATACAGATACACTTTGTTGAATTTTTTAATAGCCTAGGGTTGTTCAGATTCTATATGAGTTGACATTGACTCAGCAGTTTCGATAGCTACAGAATAAGTTAAAACATTGTTTAGCTTACAAAAAAATCCCTTTAGTTTATTGTGGAACATTTCAATAACAATAATTAAACAATGAGCACTTCAGAATCTGCTGTAAGATTCTAGCTAACAGAGGCCAAAAGACATGTAATCAGAAATGATTTTATGGGTTAAATCTATGCCAGAGCTTTCTTTTACAATAAAATTGGAACGAATTTTGTATGGCAGAAGATGGCAACAGAGCAGTGTTTAAATTCTTAATTTTTAAATGAAACATTAAAAATAAATATGAACACCATAATGAGCATTGTACAATATATAAAAATAAATTTGAACAGATGATTTTAGGATGTTATAACTTGGATTTACCTAAAAGGTGGATTTTCAACAATTATATAGTTCTGGCTTCATATTTGCACTCTTGGTTTTCATATCAAGTGCCATCAGTCATTTGTGTTACAAATATAACTGTGGTTTCCATTCACAGGGAAAACAAACACTGATTTTCCCCAGTGGTGCTGAGGACTTCCAGTGTCACAATGTGAGGATAATATTTCCAAACTTTCCAATTTTATTTGTGATGTCCCATGAATATGTAAGTGAGAAGAGTACATAAAGCATACACTAATAACTACTTGTTTGACAAACATTTATTAAACATCTACTGGAATGGTTGTTCATAATCATATGAGTCCAGACTTACTCATAATGTGACATACCGTCATTCAAAAGATGGCTGTAAGATTCAGAAAAAGTTGAACTTTTTCAAATTAGGGATTTAAAATGTTTAAAGATTGAGATAACATTTTAAATGACCATTAAATGATTGTAATTGATAATTGGGAGTGTTTTCTGAGTATTTTTCTCATGTATTCTTGTTACTACATTTTACTTGGAGCCAGGATCTTGCTCTGTTGCCCAGGCTGGCTGGACTGCAGTGGCCTGAACACAGCTCACCACAGCATCAACTATTTGCACTCAAGTAATCCCCCCATCTCAGCCTCTTGAGTAGCTTGGAACACAGGTGCACCCACCATGCCTGGCTAATTTTTTTTTTTAACATTTTGTAGAAATGGGGTCTCACTATGTTGCCCAGGCTGGCGTTGAACTCCTGGGCTCAAGCAATTCTGCACCTTGACCTTCCAGAATGTTGGGATGACAAGTGTGAGCCACTGTGCGTGGCTTGACCTTTCTTACCACTTTTTAAGGTCACTGATATTCTTGTTAGTATTCCTAGTATAGAACTATTTCACTCTCCATATTTCTTCTTCCTTGTTTATTTCCCCATGGTTATGAACGTTCTGTATCAGCCCTCAGAATCAATGTTCCTGAACTGCAGCAATATAAGATGGTGATATGGTGCTGAGGCTTAGCAGAGGGATTATATATTGAAATCATTTTAAAATCAGATATCTTACATTAGAAGAAGGGTGCAAGAATAAAGGTTTTGTCACAACTTGTCATAAATGTGAATATGGATTTTCACTTGCTTTTGGATAACAAGTGATTTTCTGGAGAAGTTGTCTACAATGTGGTTACCTTTATCAGTATGTTTTCTTCTCTCCCAGGATTGTGTTTGTCATTTTTAATTTGAGCTTTTGTTATCTATCACTGTGAAACAAATCGTTTGTTTCTTTATGAAATAGTGGGCATGTGTCCTCAAGCTCCTGGCAACAGTTCTGTTTCCTTTTCCCTTGTTCCTGGGGTATAGAGGGAAACATGGTTTCTGATTATTGCAGGTAACTCTAAATCCCTGTATGCATTAGTCTTAATGCTATTGCTAACATATTGGGTTATGAGTATAACTCCAGACACCTGATCTGTTTTAAGTTTGATCACAGGACAATAATTAGTTCCACGGTGGAATCATAAATAAAAAGGAAAAACAGAATATTTAGATAAAATGGAGTTTAGAACTTCAGCATGTTTAAAAGGCTATTGAAAGTAAATTCAATCTGGATAGATGCTGACACTGGGCCTCAGTCCATTATTTAAAGCAAGTGACTCAAAATGTTGATTTTCCTGCCACAAGGGAATGTCAACACTGTAAAGAAAAAGATATTGACTTAAAGCAAATGAGTTAGAAGGCCATATCAAAAGCTTTTCTATGGTTAAGGAAAAGTTTGATGAAAAGTGGCTTCATCAAACTTTTCTCCCAATAAAAGAGTAATTTGAATTTATGTACTAGAGAGTTATATGATATAGTCCTTATCAAAGTCAGATAGTATCCTTATGGATTTTTATATTAGTGTCTTGAGTCCGCACAATCATACTATGAAATAGATATCATTATTATCCTCCTCATTTTAAATTAGGGGAAACAGAACCCCAAAGAACTTAAGTAATTTGCTGAGAGGCACGCAATTATTAAGTAGCAGATGCAGATTAAAGCCTATGTAGCCTGACCCCATATTCTGTCTGCTCTTAACCACTTCATCATGTGCTTAACCATTTCATCATGCTCTTAACCATTTCACTAAAGACAAACATAGCCTTTTAAAAAATCAAATAATGTAGCATGAATATTTTATACTTAAGTTGAACCAGTGACTTAAAAAATCATAATGAATTCTTATAAAATATATGATTGTAAGATATAACAAGGAAGGTTATCGTTGTAGAACAAGAAGTCAGATCTAAATTATGTAATTATTAATGGCACTGTGTAAAGAACCCTTGCTTTTTAGTGTTCATTCTAAACTTAGGTGACTATTAATGTCAGGCAAATTCCCTTTCCACGGTTAGTTTACCAATGAAAAAAATATTTCCAGATAGTCAAAAAAAGGATAAACAAGTGATGGTCTTTTAGCCAGACAAACGCAGGTACAATGCCCGTAGCCACGGTAGCCACACACTCATGGTAGCCATTTTATTCCAACATTATACGTTTTGCTATGGAAAGAACTTTATTTCTCTTACTACCACCGTAATAATATAACACAGAATAAAAAAAGGTGCAACAAAACAATAAAAAACTCAAAAATTTTTACTGATCAAGCCTTATGTATGAGTATAGTAAAATAACCGGACACTTTCATTTGACAGAAAATATCAATTATGTTGTGTTACCAAATTGAAACAGTTACCAAATTGAAACTAACCAAGTAATTTATAAAAGCTCATTAAAATGTCATAGTTAAGGTCCATTCTCAAATATCCTCATTTTGTATAATCTGAAACTGAATATTCAAAGAGGTTAAGTGACTTGTTCAAGGTTGTATCATGTAGTGAAATCAGGCTTCCGATCAAAAGGATTTTATGAATTCAGTTTGTTCATAGTTATCTATTAGATGCCTGCTCTAGGTTACACATCATATCAGAGGTTGAGAAAACAGCAAAGACTTCCTTCATGTCACTTATCCATATCTAATTGAAAAGAAAGACAAGTAACAATATATTGTATCTAAGTGTTCATAATTGTATCAAAGGAGAATAAAACAGGGTAAGAAGCCAGGGAGTTATAGTGGATCTGAAATTTATTTTATATGGAGTGTTCAGCAGAGGCCATGCTGATAGGAAAATCCAAAGGAATCCATTGCAAAGCATGATCCTAACCATTCAGGCAAATTGACTCCACACCACGACTTTTTTAACTCAAGAGAAAAAAAGATTTAGAAAGCCTAATTAATCATGTTGTTTTGAATGTGGTTAACTCATTACTTGTAATAGATACATCTAAGTCTGTAAAATGGGTAGTTACGTAGTTTCTAATTTACAGAGCATGAGAGGCTGTTAAGAAGTAATCATACATCAACAAACTAGTCATTCAAATATGATTTGTTACACTAATGAAAAAATGCAAATGTCCATGCGTCTTAAAATCCTTTTCAAATTCACAAGGAAATAAACTTGTATTTTTAAAATAAGATAATTAACTCCTATACAACTGTTAAACATTTTTTTAAAAGATAATGTGTTTAAAATTGACTTAGGTTCCAAAAACAGATATTCTCATAAAGAACTGTTAGCAATATAAATTAGAATAACTTTTTTTTTTCCTGGAGGGGGTAGATAGATAGATACATAAAAGATAGAATTAAAATGTTCTCTTTGTTATGGATTCAATCTCAGTTCTGCCATGTAAGCCCAGGACAGTCTTGACCACTTATAAAATGGAGCAATATCAGAGTTAGTGGGAATATAAATGAGGTAAGTATTGGAATATTTTAATCGCAGAATAGTACATTATGCACCCATAAAATATTCACTATTATTATTGTAAAGTGTATAATGATATATTCTGCAGCCATCAAATTCAGTTTAAAATTAAATGGAATGCTGAATTTTTTATTAATATGTGGATAAATGTTTAAAATCAGATAAACAACAATTATAGTATGATCTCATTTTGTACAAGTAATCATGTATTTTTAATGTATAAACACATTGTAATTTAGGATTTAGCTCAAACTTTTTTTATTCATCAGTACAATTCACTAATAAAAAAGTAAAGTGAAGTGAATAATATCAAAGAAATTAAGTTTTAATTTCTGAATGGTAGAAATAGATGTGATTTTAAATTTTTAATTAATTTATTCTTTTATATATTGTTTTTCAACACACTTTATCAAGTACCTACACTTTTTTGTGGCCCTGTTTCAGATGCTGGGGATGCTATGGTCAATAAGATGGCTAAGTTCTCTCCCCTGCTGGGGCTTTCATGGAGGTATATAGTCAACAGGTAAATGAATTAACGTGGAAGATCATTTCCATAGGACTAGTGCTATAGAAACACAAACAGAATAATGACATAGCAAGTGATTGGGTAGGGGCAAGAGGAGGGATGCAGAAGTTCCTGTATGTGAAGATGGTCAGGGAAGATCTGAGGAGCTAATAAATAAACCATAATCAGGATGATGTCACTGAAACAAAGCTGTGAAGAGCAATTTGCTCAAAGGCCTGAGATGAAAACAGGCTCTATCCATCTAACAATGGAAAGGTGACCTGATCAGAGTGCAGGCACCTGGAAGGGTAGGGAGAGTTTGCAACAGCACATCACAAGGCTGGAGTCAAATGTTATAGTCTTTTTCTTTTTTTTCTTTTTTTTTTTTTTTTGGAGATGGAGTCTGGCTCTGTCACACAAGCTGGAGTGCAGTGGCATGCTATCAGCTCACTGCGACCTCTGCCTCCCTGGTTCAAGCAATTCTCTGCTTCAGCCTCCCAAGTAGCTGGGATTATAGGTGCCTGCCACCACACCAGGCTAATTTTTGTAGTTTTATTAGAGACAGGGTTTCATTATCTTGGCCAGGCTGGTCTTGAACTCCTGAACTCGTGATCCACCCATCTCGGCCTCCCAAAGTGCTGGTATTACAGACATGGGCCACCGCGCCCGGCGTATATTCTTCTTAATACTTCTGCTAATTTCTGAATTTTCCTATAGTAGATATAATATGTATTTTCAAATATTTACCTGAAATATATATTTGTGTTATTTTAAGAAGGAAGAAAAGCTGAAAATAAAAATGTTTATGGATGAAATTAGAACAACAGAAAACTTGAAGATGCATTATGATTGCATTATGTGAAGGTGCACACACATTTAGTAATAACTAGAAGATGTCAAAACACATGATTTTGTTAGAGTGGATTGGTAACTTTTTAAGAACTAAGTCCTTTAAACTTTTAACTAATTAATTTTTACAATAAAATAAAGGGAAACTCATGCCATGTATTCCCTTCATAAACTTAAGAGACCCCCATTATCTTTTACTTTAAAATTCCTATAGGATGTCATTATGCTTCTTTCTATTGTAATGGCTTGGTTTCAGATCACTAATAAAGAATCTGGATTACATTTATTGACAGTTAGTTTTCCTGATCATGTATAAGAAAAGAATTAACCATTTGAGTTACTGATTATTCTTTAAAGAACTGTACATTTTGGAAGCCTCAATATAAGTTACAAGTGATCGCATATCTCTGCAAACATTATACAGTGTTTAAATTCAGTTACTTGACGCAGCAAATTCTGGGATTAAAAACAAACTTTTCTCATGGTCTGCTCTGGCATATGAATTAACTAAAACCAGAAATTGTAATTACTGTCTGAATGCCTTCCTACAAGATAAAATGAGATGTTAAAATGATTTGACATTACAGAGTTTAATGTTTTTATGTGACCTTATTATACCAAATGCGCTCTGAAATTTTAAATAGAATGTAATGACAGAGAACCAAACTTAAGATAGTAAAGTTAGAGCATATATTTTTGACAATTTTAATAACTTTGTTTGACAAATGAGGTTAAAATACCTGATCTATCTTCTCAAAGAACTGTTCAAGATCCCTTATATTATTTCACATATAGGTTTATAGATACTTTCTTTAATACATATTATGCCTGAGAGTAGCTTGGTTCATCTCCACTAAGTGAGAAAGTTATGTATGCAATTTTAATTGGGAACAAGAGTCTTTACTTACACATTTTTATTTTTCGGGGCTGGGTGAGATCTGTGTGGGCTTCTTTATATTTGATTCCTTTTGATTCTCATTCATGCACACGGAGTTTCTACAGTAACCAAATATGTGAAAGCCTGGAGTTGACCACTTCTCTGATTTTATAAGCCAAACTTAAAAGTGTTACTATCTATATATGGTGATTAATTAATTGTTTTTGCTACTTCACATCATGATCTAAATGTGGAAGAACTGGATCGCAAATAAAGAGCTGCAAAAGTACATACATGATTTTCACCATATTTTCTTGTTAACTTTTCTAAATTTCACCACTAAATATAATGACATACTTAAGATATATTTTCTGTTTAATACTTCAAACCAAAGTGCTATTTTTTTTTTCAGTTCAGTACAGTGCAGGCACTTGTATATTCAACAGTTATCTTTTTTTCTGAATACATTATTACTTAAATAGTAATGTCTAGGGGGTACTCGATCTGTTTTCCTTTTTCTCTGATGTGGAAAAAGATGTTAAAGACTCTGAAGCACCTTATCTTCCTTCTCTACTCACTCGGGAGTTTTAGAAGAGGGCATTGAAGTATGGCCAATTTTCTTTTCTGATACAGACACCTGCAGGCCAGGAGCTAGGTCAAAAACTGCTGACCTTCAGTGAAGAATTTCTTCTGGTGATCAGATAGGAAAGGCTTTTGATGGTTGTTCTGTGAGTTAGGACTCCTGCAAGTGAAAGTCCACACTGCTTGTGGTGTTTGGTGTGTAACAAAAAAGATGAACTTTAATAAAGCTATTTTATATCAAAATTCCCAAGAGAAAATATCCAGTCCACCTTAATCAACTGAAATTTTGAAGCTAAAATTCTAGAGATACACTTTCAGAGAGTCAGATTTTTTTGAAAGTTGACATGTATTTTGAAATACTTACATATCAGGAGAACTAGAACTACAATTCAAGAAGGATATTGACATATCTTTTGATCTTGTCAAATGTTATAATCTACAAATATTAGTTGTGTGTACCTGCACATTATTTAGGATGGCTATTTAGGCCAGTAAGTATTAATAAATGGAAGAAATAAAGCCAAGGAAAATTTAGCCTGAATATGAAAAATTAACAACACTAAAAATCATTGGCTTTTTAATTGCTTCCCAGAAGATAGAGCAAAAAACTCTACTTCCAAGGTCGTTTAGGAAGGCGGACTTGAACAAAACACTTAGACTGTGGATTAGGCTAGCTAATAAGTTTTGGCCTTCTCCAATTCCCAAGCACTATTTATTGCCCACAGAATATCACAGTTATCACTTTAGTAAGTTGGAAGAAGGCTGAAACTCTATATTCCTTGGAGGAGTTGTGTCGTTGCTACTATTATAATATCTGTAGTTGGGAGACTAATGGTAAGAGGCACAGATTACAGATATTTGTAAGAGGAAATAGTCTCCTTTTCTATTATTCTCCCTGACTAACTACTAATTTCCCTCTCCCTGCTCACATTAACCCTGCCTGACAGTCCCTGGAAATTAAAGTGTTTATTAGGCCCTATCTTCTGTACACTGTGAGTGGTACATTCTACGGTCAACAGTTCCCTGCCACAAAAAATAGATCTGCATGTGAGTCTATGTATGACCTGCAGAAACTAACTTACTCCTCTTGGAGTTCAGTGGCTCTCTTTGGAGCTTACCATCAGGTAAGGGCTCCATGGTTAAACTGTGTTTAGAACAAGAGGGAAAAAAGAGATTTAGCTATTCAGAGGAGGCTGAAATCAGAGGGTGCTAAGCCAGGTGTTTCCGTCACTGAAAAGCTTTAAGCATGGATGTAGCTGAACAGCAGCAAAGCAGGCCTCCTGAATGATTCATCACTGCCCGACACTCTTCTGAGGCTGTACTCTTATTTATGAACATAGATTATACTGTTATTGATTGCAGTCCTCACGGAGGTATTTCATTAACTGGGAGGTTTGTCTGTTTGCATATGCTTTGTTTCCCTGAGACTTTCCTTATATTTGAACAGAAATTTATATCTGAAGTAAAATTAAAGAGAATTGTCTAACTATTTTGACTCATTCTGCAATCAGGAAGGGTATTGGAAATGGTTTCCTCCAGACACCTGGATTGTTAAATCATTTTATTCTATTAATTGTACTGTTATGTGGAAGTGTGATGAAAAGCACCCTAGAAAGATACTCTTCCTGAGAATCGCTCTACCTACTGCATTTATCACTGTTGTTCCAGAAAGATTAGCTGAAATTTCAAATAAATGTCCCCATGCTACTTGCATTTCAGAAATGCTTAAAATATCTAAGCGACCAGGAAAGTTGTTTGACTATTCCACAAACTGGCTCCTAACCACATTAATTCAAAAGGTGTGAGAATTCAATTGTACTCAGTGCTACACAAATGTTCAGAAGGGAATACAGAATCTGCCTCCATAAGACAAATGGTTCTCTTAGGCTCCTGTGAGTGTAAGTAACTTTTCTTAAGAGGGATGAGAAATGATGCTTGTGGCTCAAGATACTGTAGTAGCTGATTCAAATAAAATGCTAGTTTATATCTGATAAAAACACAATGGTGTGAAGAGTATTTCAACCTGCATGTTGTCTTGAATCATGGTATTTAAATCATAAACCCTAAAATAAAAAAAAAAAATAGCCTTTGAGTATATCACTTTTTTTTTTTGAGACGGAGTCTCGCTCTGTCACCCAGGCTGGAGTGCAGTGGCGCGATCTCAGCTCACTGCAACCTCCGCCTCCTGGGTTCAAGCAACTCTCCTGCCTCAGTCTCCCGAATAGCTGGGACTACAGGCGCCCGCCACCACGCCCGGCTAATTTTTTTTGTATTTTTAGTAGATACAGGGTTTCACCGTGTTCGCCAGGATGGTCTCTATCTCCTGACCTTGTGATCTGCCCTTCTCGGCCTCCCAAAGTGTTGGGATTACAGGCGTGAGCCACCGCACCCGGCCAGGTTGTGTTTTTAATCAAAACTGAAATATGAAAATAATTTTCTATTGCAGGAAAGAAAACTTATAAAACTTTTGGAGTATTTGCTGTTGTTGCATTTTGCTGTTGTTGTAGATGATGATTTGTTAGTTTGAAATCTACAAGGCTGAAGAGAAATGAATCACAAAAATTCAGAGGAGTCAGAATTTCCCAGATGGCAGAGATGCTCATCTGAGGAGGCTCTTCAGAATGTCGCTGAGCTGGAGTTCTTTGACAATGGAAGAAGTAGGAAACAAGTTCATATCAGGAGTTTCTTCATTTGCATAGTTGCAAAGAAGCCCTTAAAATCTCAGCGACTATGCAAAAAAATAATAGAAAGAAAAAAGAAACCAGCAAAGGCCCCTTTCTTATAAAACTACGTATTTGGCTACATAGTTTAGTTGCTTCTTTATTACAGTATCTGTTTTCTTTGCACTAATTGCTACATTGTTTTCAATGTCAGGTTCGTTTTGTTCTTTTCCCTGAATGAATTTGTTTTTTAGTCAATTACTGAATAAATCTATTCTCTAAAAAAGTGTGTTACCATTTTTCAGGCCAAAAAAGCATTCACCACCTGCCTGTTTAGTAATTTCTCCAGTTATCTTAAAGGTTTTAATGAGAATGTTTAAATAAACTGCAAATCTCAAGTAACATTTTATTTTTCGAAATGTTTTACTCTCCCTTCTGGGGTCCAGTCTGGTTTCTCTGACCTCCATTATTTCCTACTCGATGTCCAAGAACTCACTCTACGCTTTTCTTTTTGTAAATTCCATTCCATTTCAAGATGGGTTGTGAAGGGCCAAGTGTGCCAGTAGTATGCCAGATGTGACACAATATGATGGCTTCAAGTCATGTCATTCTTTGCTCAACATATTCAGCAGTAAACCTTTTCCCTTAGAATCAATTCTAACCTCCTCACTGTGGTTTCTATGTTTCTACACAGGGTGGCCCACTCTCCTGTGTTGCCTATGACCATCTTTGTTTTCTCGAACCCGTGAGTCTCAGGAACCCACCAATCCCGGTCAAATCCAGGCTGTCACCTTATAGGGCAACCCTCTTGCCTAGAGTTCCTCCCACTCAAATCTCTCCCTTCTTGCCAACAATATCCAGTTGCAGGATCTCAAAGAAATCGTCTAATTTTGCTGATCTGCAGTTTCTTTACTCAAAATGAGAGCCATAATAGCATCTCCTTTTATGGTTCTTTTGAAGATTAAAGATAGTGACACTGGGTCAGTGTCTGGCTAATTGTCTGTGGATAGGGTGATACCCTACCTCATTTGGAGTTTGATAGTGCTTTAGTCTACAGGGAGACTGTTATTTCGTCTTTCCAATGAGAAATAAACTAGTATAATTTTAGCATGGTAGCTTATGTATCCTTTGCTTGAGTCATTCAGTGTTCATAAAATTAGATAGTTGTGGTAGAAAATATCATTGACAGCAAGTCCCACCGACTATATCTCATAAAGAGTGAAGCTGTAACAAAACCAATTTATTTGATATCCATCTTAGTCAGTTTGGGCTGCCATAACAGAACATCATAGAGTGGGTGGCTTCAACAGCAAATTTATTTCTCACAGTTCTGGAGTCTGGACTGTCCAAGATGAAGATGCTGGCAGATCTGGTGTCTGGTGAAAGCACTTTTCCTGGTTTGGAGACAGCCACTTTTTAATTGAATAGCAGACAGAGGGAGAGATTCTCCTTCTACTTTTTCATATAGGGGCACTAACCTACTCATGAGGGCCCTGCCCTCATGACGGAATTACTTCTCAAAGGTTCCACTGTCAAATACTATCATATTGAGGATTTAGGCTTCAACAAACAAATTCTGGGAAAACACATTCAGTCCATAGCAGTATTCATGCTTTAGGGCCTTTCATTCATTGGCATTAAAAACTCTGAAAGTATAAGTTCGCACTTTTAATTTCTGATCTCAGTTTGCAAGCCACATAGATATTCAAGCAATGGATATATGAAATCAAATAGGTGTTTGTTCTATTAGCTTACATTGTATGAAGCAAAATGAGGATGCATATGTTTACTTTCTTTGGGCCTAAAATAAGCACTAATATCTCTATGCCTTTATAATATCTCTCAGGAATATTAGACAGTCTAGTGATACTAATTATGTATCACGAAAGCTTGCATGTGATGTACTAAAGAGAAGTATTTTAATTATCTTCGTTTTAAAAATGTGAGATTCTGACATTCAGTTACCTTTGTAAGAAGTTTACTTTTAAACTCGCTCCATCTCATTTGGCATCTAAACTCACCACAGATGCTTTATGATTTTTTGTTTTTAATTAATGTCAACCCCCAGGTTGCAGTGAGAGTTGTCTTATTTCTCTGCCAGAGCCCAGACTGAGAGAATTATGCTGGCAATGAAGAAATGATGATGCCCATTAAGGTTTCAAACTCAACTTTCAAACTTCCCCCAAAAATCTATCTGCGTGCTAGACTTAAGGCTGCCTTCTTCTAAAGGCCCTTCTGATCACAGGAAAAATATATTTAATAAGTATTTTGGCTAAAAATTGACCATAATTCATAATTATATTTTGCTTACTCACATGTATTTTTTTCATTAATTCTCATGGCAAGTTTTACTTTCTGTCCATTTCCTATCCAATTAAAGAAATCACTCAGTTACAGACATTTAGTTTTGCATGATGTTGCATGGGTGTGAGAGTCAGTACAGTTCACCCACTGCACAGGCCAGTGCTATAATCATATATATGCCTTCTCATAGAATTTTAGAAAATGAAATGTTTTTAAGCTTCTGGGTAAAAAGGAAATAATAATTCTTAAACTTGCCCTTAGTATAATTTACATCCATTCATTTAAATAATATTATTTGAGCAGTTAGTATATGTATGTCTTAAAGGCATGCAAATTTTAACAAATGAATATAAGAAAATCCAGTTGCCAAGAAATTTGCAATTTAATGGAGGAGATTTTTAAATTACATAAATCCCGATAGTGATAAGTGACCTACGTGAAATATATGCAAACCGTTGAGGCAAGGAAGAATGTGAAAAAAGTTATGTGATACAGTTAAGATATATTCATACTCAGGAAGGAGTGTGTTTATCCATTTATTTCATCAATTAATATTAATTCAATATATGTTAGGCATTGATCGAAGCATCAGGGATACAGGGGATTACCGAAAAGATAAGCAATTTATTTTATAAAGCAAAAGAAATAAAGAGATAAAATATTATAATACAAGTATTTAACAGATGATGTTGAACGCTCTGAGGAAATGTGTTAAAGCGATAGGCCAGAGGGTTATATTGTATATGCTAGTGAAACGGGAAAGGTTCAGTAGTCCCCCGGCAGGGCATGCGATGTGGGTGTGGCTCTCCAGTGCCCCACTGCTCAGACCTCTAGAGGAGCATACAGACGGCAGGCTGTGGGGCTCCCACCCTACAACAGTGTCTAGGGGTGAATGTT
This sequence comes from Homo sapiens, assembly GCF_000001405.40. Classification (NCBI taxonomy): domain Eukaryota; kingdom Metazoa; phylum Chordata; class Mammalia; order Primates; family Hominidae; genus Homo; species Homo sapiens. The sequence goes on along the minus strand of NC_000013.11, from coordinate 67,156,797 downwards.
TACAGCTGAAGCCCCAGTGGGCGTGTGTTACAGGATGCTCTCTTAGTGTGCCATCTATAGGCTTGTGTTAACCAGCTCAATTAGACCCTCTACCTCATCTCAAGGACAGAGGGCTTTCTGTATCCCGGGGTTTCTCGCCTTTGTGTACCGAAAGAATAGGATCACATGTGGGCTTGGAGAATGAGTGCAAGCTTTTATTGAGTGGAAGTAGCTCTCAGCAGATGGGGGAGCCAGAAGGGAGATGGTTTTCCCCTGGAGTTGGGGCACTCCACGGCCAGGGCTCTCCTCCCACTGCCCCCACCAAACTCCGCCTCATCCCACTCCCACCGGGACAGTGCCGGCGTGTGTCCTGTCGGTGTGCTCTTCAGCTGCCATGCTCCCCTCAACATCCTCTCGCCATCCAGATGCTTGTGCCTTCTTTCATTGATGTGCTCCTCTCTCGCTTCAACGGCCTGTGTGTTCCTACGCTGATATGCTGCATTTGACATCCCCCTGCCTCTATCTTCTTCTGCTGATCCGCTCCTCTACACGTCCAGTCGTTTCGGTCTTTGCCTTGCTAGAGTCTCAGGTTTTTATAGTCACAGGATGGGGCCGTGGTGGGCCAGGATGGTCTTGGGAAATACAACATTTGGGCGTGCAGGCAGGAGTGCCAGGTCCTCATCTAGGTCGGTGGGGGTGGAGCCCTAGCCAGGGACCACACCCTTCCTCTACCCAGCACTCCCGTATCATTTAAAGGGACCATGGTCTTGCCTTCCCAGCACTCCTGTATCTCCGGCATCCTTAAAGATACTGTATTTGAGCTGAGACCTGAAGGATGAAATTGGCCAGCAATGTGAGAATCAGGGAGGTGAACGTTCCAGGCAGGAAGAAGAGCAAGCCAAAAACGCTGTAGCAGGCATAGATTTTGAGATTGTGTTAATATTTGAGTTGGGTTTCTAAGGTATGAATAGAATTTAGACACCTAAGTAAAAGCCAGATGAGATTGCCACTGCTTTTACTATAATAATAATAATTATTATTATTATTCCCACAAAACAGCTTCCTTTTGTTGGTCATTTCAGAGTGACTCAAATGTTTTACCCCTCTTTGTACAATTCTTAGTGTTCTCTATATTTCCTTTAGGGTATCTAGCTTCTGACAACATTGCTAATTCCTTAGAAAACACAGAGGGAAAAGGAGGATGCCCCTGAGACTTGAAGAGAGGATAACTTTTAAAAAATCACGTCATGGAACACATCAAGCATCTAACATATGCTCCCTTGTTATTTTAAAAATGCAACAATAGTTGTTTTTCATAAGTTTGATAATTACAATTTAAGGTTATGATCCAATTTCAAAATAAATCAGTTTTGTTTTCTACACCTCTTTTCCATTTGGAAATCTTCCCATGCTTATGGAACATTCTAACCTCTGATACAGTAATATCAACTGACCACCAAATCTTAAAACAAATTTCAAAACCTTATAACAAATTTCAAAACCTTATAACAAATTTCAAAATATTAGAAAAGCCTGAAGCACTGAAATATCTCTGAAAAACCTGAAAGATTTGGAAATGATACTGGAATAACTTGAGCCTGCTGGCCGTTTGCATTCAGTTCCAGACAGTTTTAGTTTGCTTCTGAAAAATAACTGATATAAGTTTAAAAGGGCAAATTGGTGAGAAATTGTGAAATATTTGGTAAGCTGGGATGGAATGACAAAATACAAAATTGAAAACCGTCTGTACAGAAAGTAAAACACCTTTGACAAAAGAAACACAGTAAGAGAATGTGATGAAATTAGGTAAAAAGAAATAATTATAGGCCAGGCTCATGCCACCCACCCACCACTCAGGTGGGTGGATCACCTGAGATCAGGAGTTCGAGACCAGACTGACCAACATGGCAAAACCCTGTCTCTTTTGCATTACTAAAAATACAAAAAATTTGCTGGGTGTGGTGACACGCACCTGTAGTACCAGCTACTAGGGAGGCTGAGGCAGGAGAATCATTTGGATCCAGAGGCGGAGGTTGCAGTGAGCCAAGATCTTGCCACTGTACTCTAGCCTAGGTGACAGACAGAGACTCTGTCTCAAAAAAAAAAAAAAAAAGATTACAGATCAAAATTACTTAACACAACATAAGTTATCAAAAAAGAGAGTATCTTGTATGTGTGTGTGTGTGTGTGTGTGTGTGTGTGTGTGTGTGTGTATATATATATTTTTTTTTTTTTTTTTTTTTGAGACAGGGTCTCCGTCTGTTTCCCTGTCTGGAGTGTAGTGGCAAAATCGTGGCTCACTGTAGCCTCATCTCCCAGGCTCAAATCATCCTCCTGCCTCAGCCTCCCCAATAGCTGGGACTATAGGCACTTACCGCCGTGCCCAGCTAATTTTTGTATTTTCATAGAGACGAGGTTTTGCCATGTTGCCCAGGCGATCCACCTAACCTAAGGTGATCCACCCACCTTCCAGAGTGCTGGAATTACTGGCATGAGCCACCACATCTGGCCTATAATCACTTCTTTTTATCTAATTTCATCACATTCTCTTATTACATATCTTTTGTCAAACTCCTGGGCTCAAGGGATCTACCTGCTTCAGCCCCTCAAAGTGCTGGGATTACAGGCATGAGCCACCACACCTGACTATAGAATCTTTTCTTACCTGTTCTAAACTAGTGCTTAATTATCTTATATACATGTACTGTTTTTTGTCTTATAGGAGGAAGAGTTTTTGCCATTTTAAATTTCTGTTTATTTTTATTCTTTTTCCTTTACACTTGTCTTCAGTTCAATTCACCAATTCTCCTTAAGTTAGTTGCACAAAACAATATATGCCTCGAGCAAGGTGCCAAAGTATACACGTATATTCATTTTGTGTCTTTTTAATTCTAAGGTCGCAAGCCCAGATGAGACTGGTATTGCTTTTGTCATTTATGCAACATGATTTCCTTTGGCAATTCAGTTGTTTCAGAGTAAACTACATTTTTCATCAGTGCCTATTAGACTGTAAATGTATTATTTCAGCAAATGGTAAACCTCCTGTAACTGTGAATAAAAGAATCACAGTAGAAACCTCTAAGTTAGCAAAGAGGGTAGATACTAAAGGGTTTTAAAATGTATCTATTTTTTAGAAACTTGCTTAAGTATATAACTTCCATCAACCATATGGAATGCCCTTAATGTGTAAGGCATTTCACACAATACAAAGGTGAAAACGACATCCATAGATGTTATGAAACAGACGTTTCTAGGTGAGAGGCTCATAATCTGAAAAACAGAAAATATGTTTAAACAAGTTAAGTGTATTGTGAAAAGTGCTATAAGATACTTGTTTTTAAAATGTTGTGGGCTGGGAGTGGTGGCCAACTCCTATAATCCCCACGCTTGGGAAGCCAAGGTGGGAGGATCACTTGAGCCCTGAGTTCAAGACCAGCTGGGACAACATAGGGAGACCACCATATCTGCAAAAAAAAATAACAAATCAGCCAAGTGCAGTGGCACATGCCTATAGTTCCAGTTCCAGCTACTGAGGAGGCTGAGGCAGAAGGATTGCTTGGACCCAGGAGTTTGAGGCTATAGTGAGCCATGATCGCACCATTGCACTCTAGACTGCAGGACGGAGAGAGACCCTATCTTAAAAAAAAAAAACTGTGAAAGGGAAAACTAATTTAGTCAGAGAGGAGTTACAAAGAGGCTGCCTAGACTGGGTCATAAGGCCATCCAGGTATCCAAGGGCAAGCAGGAAAGAGGGAGAGGCGAGCATGTCCATAAACCCAGAAGTGAGAATGAGTGCACTTCCAGGTGGGAGTGATGAGGGCTAGTTGGAGAAGTGTCTGGAATTCTTCACTGGGGCGGGGGATACATAGGAAGTGTCATTACCCTCTATGCGTTTTAGAAAGAAAACATTGTTTCCTTGAGGCCTAAGCCTCATTCCTCTAATTACCATCCTAGATTTATTCTTCCTAGGTATTAAAAACATAAAACCTTCTCATCTTCCTCATTCTTACTCCTTCAGTGTGATTTTTAAAGAGGTTTGCCCAAAGAACGTGAGTTTTAAGTAGCAGTAATGATGATTCTTTCTTCATATGAATCAAGAGGCTTTACTCTTTTTCCCTCACTTGGAAAAAAAAGTGGGGGCTATTTTGTTTAAAGAATATAAGGATGAGACATCACGCCTTTGAACAAGCTTTATATTCCTTCCTTTCCACAAGGGCATCAGTCATTATGAGGCTGCAGACATTTTCTTGAGATGTGTAGGTCAGCTATGTCTAAGGGGATTCGATTTAATGAGAGATTGAGAAATATTCTGCTATCTACCAAAGATATGCTGATTTTAACTGATTTACTGTTGTTGAAAAATTGAAGAAATGTTCAGAGATTTAGGTTGAAAAATCTGTTGTTTGTAAATTTTTCTTTATCAATAAGGTAAAATCAGAAGTCTAGCAATGTCATGCTTTTTACTCTGAGCTGTACAGAGAGGCCTTAGGCACAAGTGGATTTCTGGAACCAGTGGATTTCATAAATTTGAACTAAATTGTATCAGGCATGGAGCGCTGCCAAATTGTAATTCATTAGTTCACTGCCTGGCAGAGTTCCGTTTCCTATCAACAGTAAAACATACAGGTTTCTTCTGGGTGTATGGAATGTTCTCACTTCCAAAAGGCAGATTATGCTTTTATTTCATGTAAAATTTACAATTCTTGGAACAAATAGGACACAAAAAGTCTTGTAAGTTCTTCAGCTATAAGAAGATACAATTTGGAGGAATTTGTAAAATACTATTTCAGTTTATCTCATGTAACTTGGGATGAGAGTTTTATGAGATGAGAAAGTATCCTTAAGAGTCTTTTAGTTCATTCATATAGTCTTGTAACAAAAAAAAAATTATCTCTCTTTAGGCAAAATGATGATGCAAGGACCCTGAGTGCATTTGAGCTTTGGTGCCTTAAAAATGAGTGTGGCCTAGAATTGGGTGGAGATGTTGCCTGCAGCTATACAAGGGCTGATACTTCCTGAGTCCTTTATGAGGCCTCAAAAGCATAAAGTCCCTGAGCATAATGATAAGTTTCTCCTCTCAATTATTATGTGCCTCAGTTTTGATAGATTGAAAAGATGAATTTTTTTCTTCCTCTAAGTATAGAGCAAAAGCTTTGCCAGCTTGTAGAAGGGATATATTCCCCATCCTTAGTCACTGTGTGAAACCAGGTGCTTGAATCATACAGGATCTTCTAACTCTAACAGTGTTGGATTTGGGAATGATGCAGTACTCTTAGATCCCCTACCTAAGTCAAAACTATGCCTATTTTTTTTCAGGCAAACAATAAAAGAAGTAGGAGCTCTGAGTTTACCAGTAGAACCCAATTCTGCTTTTTGCATCTCAGACACAGACACCCACAACCAGAAACCCATGAAGAGATGTGCAAAGGCTGTAGGAAATAAGGTCATGTTCTTTCATTGCATTAAACGTTAATATCCCTAAAGAGGAACAAATTGGGGGATACAAACGTTAAGAAACAATTCCATCCCTACTTATCAGTTTGACTTTAGTAGCAGAGAAATCACAATAAATGGCCCTATTTCAAGATAGTACAGAGATAAAACACATGAATGTGATTTTTTTTTAAAAAAGGAGCTATTGGTACTCATCAAATGATGAGTTTTGAATAAAATGGCCAAAGAGACCCTCAAGAAGAGGATGAGCCTTCCACTGGACTTTGAAAAAGATGGAGAATTTTTCTGGATTAAAATAAGTGAGGGCAGAGGGAACAGTATTTTAAGTATAATTCATATATGGTGCATGTTGAATCTAGTCTTATGATTAAGACTAAACTAAGGTTTACTTAGGCAGTGGATGGTGGGAAGCAATTGGAAGGCCTTGGGCAGTGAGACTTACAAAGTTGGTTAAACAAGAAAGCTAATCTTGTTGTATATGTAGGTTGGATTAAAAGGGATTAAAGACTAACTGTGCTTGCCAATAGTAGTGCAGTGGAAAGATACAGTCTTCCTGGAGTTCTATTAGATTAGGGAACACCACTAACACCTGTGTTTACAAAGGGCGAGTACAAGTTACTTTATTTGCCAGTGGTTTTATTGGTAAATTTAAAACAAGTTTATGTTAGTTGCAAATGGTTTTCTAGTTATTTAGAAATTATTGTTCTCACTTCTGGATATAATTATTGGCACATGTTTTGGATGTATTGTGTTTAAGAATCACATGACTTAAAATACTTATTATTAGGGCAAAACCAACGGATTGAATGAGGGAACACCCTGGGGCCATTGAAATGAATATGAAAACTAATGATTATATTTCTGATTAACATTTGTTTAAGATGTCCTAGTTTTCCATCCTTTTTACCTACTAATGCAGTCAAAATGTGGCTTAATAAAATTAATACTCTCTATTAATACTGATTTTTTCTGACTTGTATGGAAACCAACACTTTGGGCTTTTTGTATTGATTAAAACTCAAATTATGGGCCAGGCACAGTGGCTCATGCCTGTAATCCCATCACTTCGGGAAGCTGAGGCAGGTAGATCACTTGAGGTCGGGAGTTCGAGGCCAGCCTGGCCAACATGGTGAAGCCCCATCTCTACTAAAAATATTTTAAAAATTAGCTGAACGTGGTGGCATATGCCTGTTATCCCAGCTACTTGGGAAGTTGAGGCAGGATAATCACTTGAACCTGGGAGGCAGATGTTGCACGGAGCACTGCACGTCAGCCTGAGTGACAGAGTGAGACTCCATATCAAAAAAATAAAAATAAAATAAATAAAACTCAAATTATGTTTTATTATTAAAATATAAACTGCAAATATTCTTGCCTACATATGACCTGAAAAGACTTTTATTTTTGAAATTTTGGCTTCAAAAGTGAGTATCAATACCACTAAGAAGTGCTGTAACCTTGGGTCTTAGTTTTTTATTTGCAAAATGGGGATTAAAAATACCATATGGGGTGTTCATAACGATTAAACATGCTAATTTGCATGAAAGTGTTCGGCTAAAAGCATAGTTTTTAGAACTCAAATGCCATACAAATGTATTTTTATTACTACTGCCATTATTTAGCTTTAAAGTTAATAATCTTAGGGTTTTTTTTTATACAAAGCAAAAATCTTTAACGTAATTTTTCTTCATGGAAGTTGAAATCGTAATTCCTTTGTGATCTTAGGATAACTAGTAATCATAAAAAATCAAATAAAAATTCGTGACCATTAGCAGTATTTACAGTTTTATTTTCCCTTTAATGTTCCTTTCTTTTGTATGAAAGTTGATGTTTTGTTCAGATTTGTTTCCTTCCTTTCCTGTAAATACAATGATAATGATAATCACAATAATAAATATTTATCAGAGCCTAACAATGTGCTGGGCACTGCTTAAAATATCTTATTGAATTCTCATCACACCTTTAAAGTAGGTACTATGACTATAAAGAATTCATAAAGAAAATGAGACTTAGAAATATTGAAATTGTCATATCCAACATGACACGCATAGGAAGTAAAGCAGAATTCCAGCTCAGGCCGTCAGCAACAGGAGCCCATGTCTTTGTTATATTATGCTACCTGTTTTCATACTGATAGGAAAGTTTTCAAGACTCACAAATTCTAGCAGGCCAAGTTTCTATCTTATCATTTTTTAAATGTAATTATTCATCTTAATATTTCTTCAAGAGACCTACAATATCATTGGCATGTAGTCGGTCTATAAGGGCTATGGTGCCATGTAGTAGGTTAGAGCAGGAACTTGAGAGCTCAAATTTGAGCATGAACCTAAAGGTAAGGTAAAAACCTTTGTAAGTTTTGCTCTATAGGTGCCTTACTGTAGTTGCAGCCTTGCAGTAAAAGTTTGTTCATTGGATGATTCCATTCCTACCTAGAACTGGCAAAATCATATAATAGTTTTCCATCATAGGAATCAAAAACTTAATATAATACATCTTTTAAAGATCAAATTAATGTCTATTTGTTAAATTCATCCTGGGACAGTTTTCAGTGGCTATATTTTTGCCATTTAACATGTAGACTGAAACCTTTAAGAATATGAAACATTCAAACCTCAATCAGCTTTTTCTCAGGCTTTTAATGGTTAATAAAAATGTCTTTATGACATGTGTAAAGAACATAGATAAGGACTTCAAAGGACATCGAAGAAAAACATGACTGAAATATAAAATGCTAAGTTTTAAATTTAAATGAATATGTTGATTGATGCAGAAAAGTGGTAATTAAAAAAAAGAAGTTGGCTTCTTTTGCCTTCATCTTCTCATTTAAAATTAAAACTTGCACGGGTGTTCTAACCAAATGCTGGTTATTGCATATAACAAGAAACAACATAATTACTTTTTTCTTTTTTTTTTCTTTCCTGTGACTCATTGCACATGTGCATGTTACTGTTACCTAGGAGAGGAACCAGTGTACATCAGCTGTAAAAATTCAAAGACTATAAGTATTCCTATAATTGGTCCCTAACTGTCTGGGGAAAGCTGCTTCACACAAAGAAATGGTCTTGAAGAAATCTTATTCAGTAGTATATTTCCTTCAAATCACAGAGGGGAAGAAAAATACAAATTCCAATTAATGTAATTTTGCAGGATGAAAAAAAAAAAAGACATGGAGGTAGCCTTAACATCTTAGATACGCTTATAAATTCTCAAAGCCACTGAGACTTAGTGAATTCTGAGGACTTAAAGTATGTTAAAAAGATAGACCTGCATTTAAATGCTGATCTCAACTTTTCACTGGGGACCACTAAGAAGCCTTTCAGAAGAAAAGACCGGGATCAGCAAAACATGAAATCGTTATAGCAGCCGACTTTCTGGGTCTGCTTTATATTACACTTTTGAAAAGGACATTTGTTTAAGGATATGATAGTTTTATCCTGCATGTAATGCATACTCATTTACTGGGATAGGGGGTGGGAAGAGAGGAAGGATGGAATGCTTTGACAGTGAGGTCACATACCAAAAACAAAAAGAGAACTGGCCCATACCCAAGCTATTTCTTAGCAATTTATCTGCAAAGGCATTCTCCTGATACTCATTGAGGGAATGTATAAACAGTGGACATTGTAAATGTGTCCATGAAATACAAAGAAACAATTTTGGCTATGGAAAAGGTAGTAATTATAAGACAGTCCCCAAATTCCCTGGCCTTATTCCAAATGTACTCAGTCTCAGTTATTATTTCTTCTGGTTTTTCAAAAAATATAACTGGATAGGGCACCTTTTTCAAGCTTATTAACACGGCTGTGAACATGAGTCAAAGAGGTCACTTTAATGTAAGGCAAGCGTAGACTCTCTCCAGGGACACTGCAGGCTGCCTGAACAGGAGAGCTGAAGACTGGGCCCTGACTGTTTAGATTGTAACCAAACAGCATGTTGTTGCTATTCTGGTAGATACACATTCCCAGCTTTATATCTGCGATGTGTACTTCCTCTCACATTTCCTCCTGCCCCACTTTCACCTCTGCTATTAAAAATACCCTAAGTAGATATGAATAATTGCAAAGATAAAACCATTTTATTTTTCTGAAAATTATCTCTCATTTGAAAAATGAAGGTCTGATAGAAAGTTTAAGCATCCTAGCATCCTATTTTCAGCTGCTGATAAGAAACTGAATAAAAAAGAAAGTTAAGCCTGAAAATGATGATTTCGGAAGTCTTTTCAGATGAACTGTAATACTTGCAGAATAAAAAAATGCTGTAGGCTACATGAGGGGAGCAGAGAAACAGTCCATTAGAGCATCTTTCCTACATTGTTTATCTACTTTGTTTGTATAAAAATGCTTCCACTTGCCTCTGGGCACCTATATAACAAAATTCAGAACCATGAATGAATAACTAAACTTAAAAAAAGGAAGCCGGAATCACAGTTGTTTCCTGACAAACTAGAATCTCACTTCCTATCAGAAAAGAGAGAAAAGGAGGAAGAAAACTTCAATATTTACTTTACGAAAATGTTCAGAAAAAAATAAAACAACTCTTAAGTGGAAGTGTGTTTTGACTGAAGTAGGCTTTTCTGGCAGAGTACTTTTAATAAAAGAGAAAGAAGTTGCCAGTTATCCACAAGCATTGAAAGCACTTCAGAATTGGGACTCCTTCATAACTCCTTAATGTAACCACTGCCGCTTCTAAATGTGAACAGTCTCAAAGATTCCTGGAAGGATCTATTTTGGATAGGGTCATTTGCTGGTTTCCGATGTTCCATGCATATTTTTGTGCACTTTACAAAATTTACTGAGCAGATAATTTTTCAAGATTTTCATTGACACAAATAATGGCAGAAAGCCTGAATCAAAATGTCCATCAGAGCAAACCAAGGACAATCATCCTGTTGTGTTTGTTTGGTTTGGTTTATATTTCAGGAGTTTGGCTTCAAAATTATACCAATACATTTCACTTGGAGGAAATGATATATATGTGATATTCTTCATTGTACAAATCATCACATTTTCACATTTTTATATGTGTTTTATGTATGCTTATTTATTAAGTATGTTAAGATATTATAAGTATCTTAATTTGTAATAAGTTATCCTGAGCATGCAGCTTCATTATCTAAATTCTTAGTAAGGGCTTTATTAAATACAGGGATTTCTGTTCTTATTCAATGTCAAGTATAACAGACAGACTGTTTAGCATGAATTTCCTGGAAACATTTGAAGACATTTCAATGTCATTTTATGTTGACTGAAATGAAACGTGGACTATTTCCTCAATTACCTGCCTAAAACATTCAGCAAAAAGAGTCCTATTAAATCTGAAGATTAAAGGCAAGCCAGCTTTATAGCAGACAGAATTAATTCTTAAACTTATTGCCTTGCAAGTTGAGAAAAGGACTTTCTGATTATAGATATTAAGACCCTATAATGTCATCTTTCAAAAGCAAGTGTTAATATAAAATCTTTATAAAATATGATTTTGGTGTCATTTTATTGACAGATATATCATCTCTTTTGAAGTTTGAAGAAAGTCATTGAAGTGACTTTCTAAACACTTTAGGAAGACTTTTCATTCATTATACTAGTATATTTTATATCCTATAAAAAATAGTACAGTAACCATCTAGGAGTAATTTGCCTTTTGAGATGGATGGTTTGCATTAATGCCTCTCTTAGTCTTTATCCATAAGAGATTTCTGTTACTTATTTCTGGATTTGAAGCCATACATATGAATATATGGCTGAAACTTCAAAAGATGGGTTTTTTTGTATAGTCTACCATTTTATACTATAAGACCTATGGAATAAACTATAATGTGGATTATAATAATTTAATAAGGTAAGATTTTTTTCCTATTAAGCATGAATAGTCTCTTCTTGTTATTAAGAAATCATACTTTGTCTTAATTAAGACTCTTGAGCTTCTGTGGTACTAAATGAGGTGCACAAAATCCCTCAACATTCCCATCATGTATGAGAAAGAAAGAACAAAAAAAATTTGACAAGGTAAAATAATTAATTCAGAACACTTGAAAGAAACCTAAGCATCTTAATAGAGAGACACTTCATTTACAAGCATCTTGTTCAGACTAAATCATTAGTTCTTGAAAACTTCCTCTTTGATACTAATATTTAGACAGTCATACAAAGACAGCTTCGGACTCTTATCATGAAAAATGTGTTGAGATCGATGTTTTAAACTGTCATCATCGCATTGTATTATGGTGTGTAATAGATTTTTTCCCTTTAAAACCAGTTAGGAAGAAAAAGAAAGGACTTTCATTCCCCTGTTATTCTATGTCAAATACTAATGATGACAGGGAATCTGAAAATCTGTGAACATCCTCACCTTCCCACGCAGTCCACAGAGGTACTTGTAAAATAGAACAATTTGAGTGGTTTAATGTATACAGGAAATTATTGTAGGAATTAAGGGGGTTAAAGTGACAGGTGGGATTTAAATCACTGACAAACATGAGAGGTTTTTAATTCAAAAGAATGTGACTGCAGAGACAGCATTTCCCAATTCATCTTGCTTTTTGTATGAAGAAAGTACTTAGTGAGTTACAGAACATTTGTATGTCCTCTTTGCCTGCTTTTCTCCTTAATGTATACCATACTCACCTTTCATCCATAGCTTTAAAACGTTAAGTGGAATAAATTATTAAGAACATTGGATCTGATATACAAAGGTATTCTTTGCACACTCTATTAGCATTCTTTAGTAGTGAATGAAAAAATATCCTTCATACAGGGATTTAGGATCCTTGACATTTTTACTCTTTCAATATCAGTTTGGTAGTTAGCAAGTATCTAATGTTTTACACATTTAATTCATGTACTTGTTCCCAGAACGATAGCTATTTCTCAGTGTGAATATTTTATAAAATATATGAGATTTTCACTAATTGAGATGGTTCAGAATTAATAGACACTGGACTTTATGTTGTTTAGTAACAGTTCCAACGACAGGATATTTTGTACAGCAAGCCTCTTCTTACATGATCACTATTAATCAGGATGAAAAGCAAAGATGGAAGAGTATTGTTCCTAGGAGACAGTTATTACAAATTTTACAAAGTTGTAGCACCTTCTTCCTCTTTCATTTTAAAACCTTTCCTTCCTTAAATTATTCCCTGGCAAATAAGCCCGCCATCATTAAAGCAAATTAAAATCCTCTTTTGGAGATTATGTGGCAACACCAGGAAAGGGAATTGCTGTTCTAGAGTTCTAAAGATAGTCCTATTTGCATTTCCTCTTCACACATTTTGATATTAGAAAGCTCTCCAAATATACCTTTTTGCCTTCCTTGGACTAAAGGGAATTTCTTTGAGATAGTTTTGCCCTTTAGGGAGATATTGGACCTGATTTGTCAAGGGAGGAGATGGAAAGTGTGCTTCCTGGCAATGTTTATTCTCCCAAAACGTACAGATGCATAATGCTTATGACTCACCTTATTATCTGTAGGGATGCACTCTTCAGTTTCCCTTTCATCGTCTTCCTAAAGAATGTAACTACTGCGAACACTTTAAATGAGACTGAATTTAACATAGAGTTTCAAATGGAATCCTCTGTCATGAGGAGGCTATATGTATGCAGACTTTCTCTCCCTTCTGCTTTTCTTCCTCAGGGTCTGGTCTATTGTTTGGCCAGCAGTGTTCCCTTCCTTTCTTTCTAGATTTTTGTGACTTTCCTATAGCTGTAAGCCCAACAGAGAAGAAACATCTTAGAAAGCTCTCCTACTTTTTTCAATATAAATACTATGGAGTTGTATTTTATTATTATTATTATTATTTTGGCTAGACCGCTTTGAAGGAAATTGTCTGAAATGGGTGAATATTACTATTCAGCTTCTGAGTAAAAGTGAACAAGGGGAGAAATGAATGACCTGGTACTTGATCCATGTGATCTTATGCTCATCTGCATTTTGAAGTCATTGTGACCAGAACCATTTTTCCAATAACTAGCAGAGGGAATAGTATACAAAAGCCCCAAACCTGGAGCACACCAAACTTAACTACAAGGTTTATGAATTATTAGTTCCTTAATATTAAATCCTCCAACTCATAGGATTGTTGTGAAGCTCAGTTTGGGGCATTTATAAGGAAGTGTGAAGAGTACAATTTTGTAAAAATGAGTTATTAAAACAATAATCACCAGGTTCTATTGTTGTCCAAGATGCTAATAATGTATTTGATGAAACAATCTTATTTAGATATAGTTAATATACATTAGGAGAAAGAAGTGTAATTTTTTAATGCCTGTTTTCTCATTTCATTTTGCTCTCATAACATTTATGAGCTTATTTTTAAGTTTTTGTTTTTTCTTTCTTTCTTTCTTATTTTTTCTTTCTTTTTTTTGATACGTAGTCTAGCTCTGTTGCCCAGGCTGGAGTGCAGTGGTGCAATCTCGGCTCACTGCAACCTCCGCCTCCGGGGTTCAAGCGATTCTCCTGCCTCAGTTTCCCAAGTAGCTGGGATTACAGGTGCCTGCTACAACGCCCAGCTATTTTTTTTTTTTTTTTGTATTTTTAGTAGACACAGGGTTTCACTGTGTTGGCCAGGCTGGTCTCAAACTCCTGACCTCATGGTCCGCCCGCCTCGGCCTCCCAAAGTGCTGGGATTACAGGCATGAGCCACCGGGCCTGGCATATTTTTAAGTTTTGCAAAGGTTTCTATTTCAGAAATCCAACCATAATTTTCCTGGCATTTATTTGAATTCATTTATTCTTTCAGTATTTTAATTTTACTCTTTTTTAATACCACTATACACTCTCAAAGGTTGTCTTTGCTCATTCTCTCACATTCTATTGAGCACATACTACATGCCAAACACTTTTAATTACCAGGAGGAGAGTAGTGAACTAAGCTGTCACCTTTATTTTCATTTAAAATTCAAACATCAGGTATGAACCATTAAAACTATTGCTGATTTTAAAACCACAAAATCAAAATAAATTATAAGTCCTAATTGGTAAAATACCTGTTTTTTATATAGAGTCAGTTTGAGCCCTTTGTCATAGGTATTTTATGTAGAACAATTTTATTTCCATACTGAATCAATGTAAGATCTTCACTAAGGCAATTAATGGTGATACATGAAGCCAGATAAAAGTCTATTAAAATTTATAAATTTACTAAACTGTACAAAATTTTAATTCTGTTTGATTTTTTAAAAACTTACGGTAGCAGAACAATGGGATGAAAAGGGTTTTTCCACATTCTTAATCTAAATGAGCATATTCTGATATTTCCATGTTTCCTCAGGTTCTCATATCAGGAAAATTATTTTTTTCTTTTGATGGTAACATAAAATAGCAGTCACCAACACCACCACAGTATTTTCTAACCCAATATGTATTTAGGTAGTCATATATAATTTTATATAAAATTTCAAATTCCATATTTATAAATGGTGTAGAAGCGACTCTTACCGACGATGAAAATACAGACACTTTGTAAAGAGTTATTGATGCAGAATGGATGCCATATCATGTTGCCTGAAAATCAGGAATGATAAAGGAGGTGCAATCTCTTGAGACTCAGGATTATGGTTACCCTGTATAATACAATACTGATACATCACTCTGTTTCCCAACTTCTTTTTTTTTTTTTTAAGAGAGAAGGTCTTGGCTGGGCGCAGGAACTCACACTTGTAATCCCAGCACTTTGGGAGGCCGAGGCGGGTGGATCACAAGGTCAGGAGTTTGAGACCAGCCTGGCCAACACAGTGAAACTCTATCTCTAATGGAAATACAAAAATTAGCTGGGCGTGGTGGCAGGCACCTGTAATCCCAGCTACTCAGGAGGCTGAGGCAGGAGAATCACTTGAACCTGGGAGGTGGAGGTTGCACTGAGCTGACATTGCGCCACTGCACTCCAGCCTGGGCTACAGAGCTAGACTCCATCTAAAAATAATAATAATAATAAAATAAAGAGAGAGAGAGAGAGAGAAGATCTTACTATATTGCCCAGGCTGGTCTTGAACTCCTGGGGTCAAGTGATCCTCCTGCTTCAGCCTCCCAAAATGCTGGGATTATAGGCATGAGCCACCACACTCGGCCCCATTTCCCTTTCTTTCTTCTTCCCACTACTAATCTTTCATGCCGTCTGCATTTCAACTCATTTCACTTTTTCCACTTACTCATAACACTTAGCCCACTGTATTGCATATGTGCTCTTCTCTCGTTTTATTTTTGTCTATCGTAAGGCTTTTTGGAATTCCAAACAAAATGATAAAGCCATTCTAAACTCTTTAGGATGCTAATTGTCATTAATCACATATTTTTATTTTCTTTTCTACATTTTTAGGCGTCTAGTTCCTTATCTCTTTTGATGGCCCAAGTTGTGCTGAAAAGATAGCTTCCAATAATACATACAATAGCAAGAGAGTAAATATTACAGAAAAAAATGAGGGGGAAAAAGCAAAAGAAAGAAAAATTAGGATCATAAAACTGACCGAGGAAAGAATATATTCACTGAAGTACTGTGCAGACACACAGTGTTCACTTTATAATTGACTTTAAACTTTCTAACAGCCAAGATGATGAGAGAAATGTGCTGCACATGGCTCATAGTGGCCAGGGCATGCCTTTATCAAAATAAGAACAAACTGTTTCTTATCCTAAAAAAAGAGAAGCATTTCTCCTGAAGGTACAAATAAAGAGATCAGTAGAGTGGAGGAGGCACATTGGAATTAGCTGGGGTTTTTAAAGAAATACCAGGTATAGGTTCCATCCCAGATCAATTAAATCAGGATCTTTGTGGGTGGACACCTAGAATTATTACTTTCTATAAAGCACTGAAGGTAATTATTAAGGGCCCTGAGGTTTGAAAACACCTGACCTGCTCCATACCTCTAAAAAGAGGACTGGTTTCTAGACTTGAAGCAGCTAAATACCATTTGTATGTACTTGTCATTATCATTCTCTTGGGTTTTCTGATTTCTAAATCAAAGCACTTGAATTAGTTACTTTAAAGGGTCTTTCAAATATTGCAATATTTTTCTCTTAATTTTTCCACTGGCAAACTTATCTTACCTTAGCTCTAACAGGTTCTGTGCTGTAAAATTTCCAGAAAAAGCTAAGCTATGCATGGATTGTTACCTGTAGCCATCATAATTAATGGTCAGTTCTGGCAATGTGAGCCAGACACTTTGTATGACTAAATGCTGGACCCCAGGAGGTACATTTAGTATTTCAGACAATAATTGACTAAAAGTGTTCTTGTCATAAATAAGTAGCCGCTGATGCTAGCAAGCATGCTCTTTTCTGATTTAACCCTTCCTTAAACTCCAAGAATAGTGTTGTTTTAAAAAATAACACAATGGGCGGGGGGGGGGGGGTGATCAAAAAATCACATTTTCAGTAGCAGAAGGGAATGCAGCTGATGGAATTATCCTATGAAGTTGTATTTCAGAGAAAGAAAACTATTCTATCCTGTCACAAAAATAATTGCAAGCACCAAAAAAAGCGTACTTGAAAATATTTCAGTTGGCTTAATTATTAACTGTTTATCATTTGTGACCAAATGTCAGCTGATGTGAACTGCTTTGGACTTAATGAAAACATAATGACTTTATTTCAAGGGTTCATATGCAGAGTCAGATTGGGTACTGCAGAGCAGATGTCGTGCTATGGTGAAACCTGAACCTATTATGATTGCCTCTCAACTGGATTGGGTAACCAGATGTACAAGTCGTGCACTTTGAAAAGCAAAACTGCTGATTATCAGGACACTTCTAATTTTAAAGTAGTATATTTAGTATAATAGTAGTATATTTGAGATATGTTCGAAATCTTACAATAGTGCATTTCAGTAGCCACTGCAAACTCAAGAAATAGCAGATTACAAGTAAGTTCCTAAATGGTTTCATTTTAGTCACAGAGAATTGAGAGAAAAAGAGATGAAGTCGGATAATTTTGTATTATCACTCTGTTAGTTTCATTGGTAACTTCTGTGCTGGAATCAAATGGGGAATTTGCTCTGATTGCAATATCCAACTGTGCTGAATCTCTGAGCGATTAAGACTTGGTAATAGCGGTTAAGAGTCAATAAGGCTGCTCACAGATTCAAATGGCAATGTTGAGCAGTCAGAACAAAACCCAAATTATTTTAATGAAGCAAATTTGATTCACACATAGTGTGACAGCCGATGTCAGAAGAAAGTCTTCAGTTAATGTTTCAGATGGTTATGTTATTACTTGGGTGATTTGACAGAATTCACCATGGCTTATGCAAAATAAGACATGGCAGATGTCAGGGCAGAAGAAGGTGCACATGTGATAGGATTGACTAGAGTTTTGCCCTTGAGAATTGAACGGAGTGGCATTTCCTTCCTGATACAGGTATTATCTTACTGCTCTGGATCCTTACTATACAAGATTCATTTTCTCAATCACATAGACATACATACTGTTGATATTGTTTTACATTATTTTACCTTAAACCATAACTGTTCCACTTTGTTTCCTCGGATAATTTTGTGTGGCTTGATCAAAGTATTTACTTACTCTCATATGTATAGGCTATTTTCAATAATATATTAACATATTAGCAATAAGTTCAGTAGTTCTGTTAACAGTGGAGGGTATCCAGGTTCTTGGTGTCTTGAACAAAGAATTGGACAAAATGCACAAACAAAGCAAGGACAAAGGGATTTACTAAAAATGAAAATACCCTCCACAATGCGGGCGCAGGCCTGAGCATAGGAGCTCAAAAGGCCCCATTACAGAATTTTTGGGAGTTTAAATACCCCCTAGAGGATTCCATTGGTGACTCGGGGTACGCCCTATGTAAATGGAGAGGATGAAGTAAAGTCACAAAGTCGTTCACTTGGCCTATGCCCTCTGGAGCAGATATTTCCTGTCATAGCTGAAGTGTGAATGGGCCTTATGTTCCCTGCCTCCAGACCCTATTTTCCTTCCTGCTTCAGTTCAGATCAACAGGTGGCACAAACTGTAAATAAAGCATGAACAAACAAAACCCGTTATAATAATATTTTTAATATTTCCTGCAATTTACATAAGTCACATGAATAATGGGCACCCTGTATTGTGTGCTTATGGTGTGCTAGATAATATTCTAAACAGGCCAGATATTTCAGCCTGTTTGGTTCTCACAACACTTCAATGAAATGGGGATGTGTTCTTTTTGCCATTTTGTATAGGAGGACATTGAGGATCAATGAGACAGAGTACTTTGCTCAGAAAATTTCAAATAAATAGTAAAGATAGAATTCAAAACCACTTCATAATATATAGAAGTCGGTGAATTTTTTTTTAATTTAGCTAAAGTGGACTTCTTCCCAGTCTGCTAAAAATTCTTATAAATACCACTTTAGGTAAAAAATCTCTTTCTCTCTGTGTCATAGAACATGATTTATGCATGACTACTGAAAATAAGACTGGAATCAGATTGTTTATGGGCATTCCTTTCAGCTTCAAAAATTTTTAGAAATTTTTTACATAGAATTGAACATATTTCCTCTCCTTTTTTGGACATTTTTGAGATGTGCTTTTTTTGGTAAAAGCCAAGTAATCAATTATGGACAAAGCAAATCAAATAATCCCTGTGGCTGATGACATTTTTAGGCCAAGCAACTTTTTTAGTAGCTGAAAGAGACCACCAGAGAAGGAAGAATTTCCTTTTATTTCTGTATATAAATAGGACATTAGTAGCTTTAGCAGACTCTGTAACAATAGCACTACCTCTCACTATTGCAGACAGAGCTGAAAAAAATGTGGAGAGGTTAAATGTTCTAAAATGTATTATAAAATTACATGTCTCAGAAGCTGAAAGCCAATTTCCATTACAACACAGCTCTGCTGTGTGTAGAAGTTGAGTCATCTCTATTTTGGTAAGTGTTCTTTATCACCAAAGATAATTCATGCTATATTTTCATCTTTATGATGGAGGCACGAGGATCACCCCAAAGTTTTTACCTACGAAATTGCACTTGACAAAGCAGGCTGAGGAAATAGTGACAGATACTCTGGTACATTCCGTTGAGCTTACAGTTTGAGGTTTCATACAAACGATATGATTTAAATAGTTTACCACCCAGTTATCTTCCTTATATTACTACCTGAATATGACTTGGCTCACCCGTATCAAGCCCTGGCTCTTCACAGGAATGACAAAATATTTACCGAACAAAATGATTAGATTAGAAGTCCCAGCTTCTCACATTGCTACACAGCAACACTGCAGGATAAATAAATATAGATAATTTTCTTTTTTTTTATTATTATACTTTAAGTTCTAGGGTACATGTGCACAATGTGCAGGTTTGCTACATATGTATACATGTGCCATGTTTGTGTGCTGCACCCATTAACTCATCATTTACATAATGATTTATGAAAATTATCTACAAGAGATAAACCTAATGTAGATAATTTTCATAAATCATTTTATAGAAACTTTTATTCATAAACACGTTGTGTAAAATGCAGACACAGAGAAACTAGAGCCACAGATATTTTGATGTCTATTACTATTACTATTCTTATAAACTAACCTTTGTAAACTATCAAATTAATGTCCAAGTGATTGATTCAGACTGGAATTTGAGTCTCCATTTCATATATAACATAACTATTATTATTAACTAACATTTGTAAAATTTGGAAAATATAAAATTATTTACATTTGTAAAATATAAAATTAAAATCCAAGTGATTGATTCAGACAGCAATTTCAGTCTCCATTTCAAAGAGATTAGACCATAATATCTGCCTGAACTACACCATTTATATAGAGTTTAGCTAGCCTATATTTCCAGTGAGTACAATTTAATACAGCATATTGAATTCTCAAAGTATAAACTCTCCCAAATTTTCTTACTTTAGCATTATATGATGCAACAAACTCAAAGGACCACCTGCAGGTCTAGACTATAATGTCATGTGGAACACAGGCACACATGAAGAGAAACAGGCACTGCAGTGAAGGGTTGATTCTTCCCCACCTTATCACTTACACAGTCATGCGTCACTTGACAATAGGATAAGTTCTGAGAAATGTGTTGTTAGGCAATTTTGTCGCTGTGTTAACATCATAGAGTGCACTTACACAACCCTAGATGGCACAGCCTACTACACACCTAGGCTACGTGGTACAGCCTGTTGCTCCTAGGCTGCAAACTTCTACAGCATGTTACTGTACTGAATTCTATGGGCGATTATAACGCAATGGTAGGTACTTGTGTATCTAAACCCATCTAAACATAGAAAGGGTACAATAAAAATACAGTATTCTAATCTTATGAGACCATTGTCAGATAGCAACCACTGTCAGATATGCAGTTTATCCTTGACTGGAACATTGCTATGTAGCATATGGCTGTACTGAAAATTTTAAGAATATTCAGTATGGATGGGGAGGAAGTAGTAGTAGTTGAGGAGGCAGCATAGCAGAGATACCAGAGAGACCCTTTCTTGCTTTCTAGGAACAGGATATGTTATTGTAAATGAAGGTAGCAAAGAATCCCCCCAGTCAACACCACCAGGTCTCTAATTCTCCCACTGTTTAAGAAGGCATTATATGAGAGAAAAAATCTGAAAGAAAAACATGCCAGCACCTCTCTTCACTTTGCAAATGTACTACAATTTCTCCTAATTCTATTTTTCTGCAAGTGCTTTTTTGTTTTTAATTGACTCCTTGTAAATTGACTGCACGTATTTTCAAATTCTCCTTGTCCATTCTTGTTGACATCTTCTCCTCAGAACTCTGCTATTTATAAACCACTAATTGTTGGGATCTCATAAACACTGCCCACCAATGTTCTTACCGTGAAATTACCGTTTCTAGTAAAGTACTGGCATTTGGCTAGATGTTCTACTTCGTAATTTTAGAAAACCTTTTTTATGTGAATCAAAGTGAGGAATATTAAAAAGGAGAAAAAAGAAAAGAAATGCTTATTATAAAATGAGATCTATGGGGTAAAAATGAAGAGAGATGTAGAAAATATAAATTGGAAACACATAGCTAGAGTTTAGAATTCCTTTTCCAAGCTAGGCTTTGAGGCAAAATGTCCAGTTTGAACTGACTATGACATCTCCCCAGGACCTTCACCATCCCCTAAATGGCAGAATTATTAAACAGTAAAAAAATTAAAACTAGAAAATATTGTTAATAATATATTTTAACAATTCACAACATACATTTTGGTGTTTCTGAAAGTGTGCTGCATCTTGCCATCAACTGCATCTTAAAACTTAATTGACAAAACTTTTTAATGGTAGGAAATCATAGTAAGTTGTATAAATAATGGTATCATAAAATCAACAAAATGCATTATTATTAGGAATAGTAGATAATGTTAATCTTTCTTATACAGAAATAATTTGGATAATCCTAAGCATATTATACAAGGGACTGGAAAGTTTTCACTTTTCACTTTTCATTGGTACCCTTTAACTACATACAGCTCCTTTACAGTTTCTATGGTACAAAAATCAACCAACACAGCGTGACTTTATCTTTTTAAATAATCAGTTGTTTGAGACAGTTTTCAACATAAATTTTGATGGCGAGTCAAGGAGTTTAAACTGCCGTTTTACTCATGCCAGATGCCACTTTTACATTGTTTTAAAAGCTTCTGGAGTGTATTTATAGATGGCTTGTTTGCTCTCAAGCATGTTTCTGAGTGTGTGTTTGCTGCTGTTTGGCAGTATTTTCAAATGTACCGTAGCAAGAAGCCACCCCACAACTCAGCCTTATATTCCTGAAAACGAAAGTGCTTTTGTATTTAAAAAGAAAGAAAGAAAGGAAGAAAAACAAGCTTTTAAATGAAGAAGAATGCGTATGGGTAGAGGAAAAGGCAGCAAGAGAGAACTGGCTGTAGTTCCAAAATGTCAGTGACTCTGATTCTCTAGGGTCATCTCAATGCTGCGTGAACAGCAGGGCTAGTCATTCTAGGTCCCTTTGGGGTGATCATGTATAGGAACCATGGTGAATTAGAGTGCCAAAAAGAACTGCTTATTCTGGATTATTAAAACAGCTAATTCTGTGATAAAGGGTGATTTATATCACTTATTACAAGTTTGTGTTTTTATCTAAATGAAATGACCTATATCTAAAAACCTCAGGGAGTGTTTTGAATTTTAAATTGTCCTGAGTCCTGATCTTTACTATATTGAACATGAGAAAAGAACAGGATACAACCATTAGGGCTTTAGTTTTTTTATTTAATTGGATATTTTGTCAACGCTGACTTGCATAGTGATATCAAAAACACCTGGAGGCAATCTTAGAGGATTTTATTTTAAAAAGTCACATTATGAGAAGTTAAATTGTTCAATATCAATTATTGGATATACAGAATTTTAAAATCATCAAAATGCTATTGATTTTGAGTGGAATTAAGAGTGAGAGTCATCAATACCTGTTTTAATAAACTTTCAGTTCTATGTTTTTAATGAAATTTGACTATGAACATCTGTAGGTATCTTTAGGTAGAAGTTTTCCCCATTTCAGCCTCACCGTGGATTTCTTATGTGAATCTAATCTAAATTAGTGCATGAAACAGCCGCTCATTCTAACATTGATTTTGATTAATTTATTGCATGAAGAGTCAAACCTTAACTATTAAGATTTTTCTGAGTCATTTTTTTAATAACCTTTCATTTCTAGATGAGCAACACAAGAAAAGGCAATGCAGTCATTTAGATAAAACACAAACTGCCTGCCAGGGATCCTGGGTTTGTTCCAATTCTCCTCTTAGGCAAATCTTTTATCTCCCTTTGATATAGACCAGGGTTCTAGGTTCTATAGTGCACTAAACTAATGAAAAGAGGTTGTCTTTTTCTCAAATGTTGTGACATAGAATTTAGATTTGAAATTATAGAATTACAGACAGTAAAGCATCCTATATTATGTAATCCAACTTTTTAAGCAAAGTAGGAATTCCAATTCAGAATTCCTTTCTGTCTCATTCAGCCTCTATGCAAATGCATCCAGACATATGAAATTCACAATTTTTAAAGGAAGCATATTTTATTATGGGGCCTCAGTTATAAATAAAGCTAAAATCTTCTTTGTTATTTTTATCGGTTGTCCCTATTTCTATCCTGTGAAACAAAAGTGGATAGAACAACTTCTCTCCAGTTTAAGGCCCATCAAAATTATGAAGTGGCTTACTGTGCCCTTCTTTTGTCATAGATATCTCCAGAAGTCACATGTCAAATTTATTTTATATTTTATGTTTTGAAATTTTGCCTTTCTTCTTCAAAAAGCTGATACATAGATTGTATGAGCACAGGAAGGCCCGTAGACAGTCTAGGAGTGGCAAAGTGCTGTTTGAAGTCTTGCTTCTCATGATTTGGGTACCCAATCTTTTTGAGTTTATCTTTTGAGGAGTATCAGTGAAATACTGTATAAAAAGATGCCATTTTAAGCTCTGGTACATAAAATGAGTATTTCAGGAATTCAGAAAACACACAGAGTAGTCAGGATAGGCTTTCTGGATATAATGGGATCTCAGCAGGGCTTGGAGGAACGTAAGAGTTTTAGCTAGAAGTAAGGAAGGGAAACATTTTTATTCTATATGATATAACAATTTGTATTGAATTCTTGAATTTTATTGACCTCCTATACATTAAGAACCCCAATATTTTTGACATATACTTTGTCAACCATATCTGTAGTCATAAAAAGTTATTTTTTTTAATGCTATGTTCTGTACTTGTCATGATTACTATTAATTTCCATCTTGTTGATTTTGACCCATTCTTACAGTCTCTTAGAATTATTTTGAATTTTTTGTGTCATCTGCCATTGTTGCTATGAACTATATGTTACCACCTATTTGACACACATGCCTTCTACTTCTTAATTTATTGATTTAAACATGGTGAAAATGGAAGATCTTTGAATTGCACTTTCGGTTGGTAAATACACTAGAGAGTAAACTTTATAGTGAACTCACCTAAGAAATTTCTAGCTGGAGAAACCATGAACAACTTCTTGCAAGATACAGCCTTTTAATTGTGGACTGGAAGATGAACAGGCATGGGGGAAGATGCAGGTGGGATGATGAGTATATTTCTGGTGATCTAAGAACATGTACATTCTTGGAGGCGGGAAAGTACGGTAATGTAGTTAAATGGGAAGACTAACTGCTAATCGGGAAGAAATGAAAATTGAAACTGAAGTAATAGTCATTCTTTTCTTGTTTTTATAGACAGGAAAATCAACTAACTCTCTGACTCCACATAGTTTCCTAAAACTTACCACTAGAAACTTTAGTCATATCAAAGTCAACTTGCTAGATAATTAAGCCAGACTAGACACTTGAGTTTTTAGTTCTCCTGAATGGAAACCATTTGCTTCCTGATAACAACAGCAGAAATTCTATGGAGTCATTTGACTGGCTTGGTGAAGGTTCGCACAGTCAAATGTGCTGATGGATGGATAGGCAGGCATTGAGTTCTTATTGAAAAATGGTCTTCTATGATCAGAACAAGGATGGGATATGCAGGGCATTACAACATCTGTTAGAACTGAAATTGTATACATAAATCCATCATCTCTGTCTCAACGACACTTGTTTCAGGTAGCACCCTAAAGTCCACGATGTGCTGCCGATTGTAATTGAAGGAAAGTGTTAAAGTGGAAACTAAAAATTGTGTGAAAATAAGATGAAAAGATAAAGACATGTACTTAGTTTCTTTGATATGCTATTTCTTTACTAAACATTCTCTGAATTTTTCTTTTTCTTTTTTTTGCTACACTCCCCCATAATTGTATTAATGCATATTGAAAAATAGCATGTCATCATGCTGATTATGCTATTTTTAAACCTGGTTTAATTTTAGAAGCAACAAATTGTAAGGTTAGAAATCAAGATGTCAAAAGTTCAGAAATGCATGTATTAAAAATTAGGAGATTTTCTATATTAAATAACATGTTAATCTTTTAAGTTTAGGAAAGATGTTGGTTAACAGTGCCTTATTTTCCTTTCAAATCAATTCTGTTCTTTTTCTGGAGCAAGAAACCAGTCACAGAGAGGTAAACTATCTTCCTGGATCAGTGAAGATGACATTGTTTCACATCCATTTAGGAGATGGGACTGTCTAATACAGCCATTTCTTTCATCTCTTCTACAATCCTCACATTATAATAAATAATAACTCATTGGGGACTAAAAGTCCAATTATAGTTTAAAATAGGAGTCTAAATTTTCTATTTACTTAGAAAATATATAATTTGGCCCAAACTATAAGTAAAGTAAACATGCACCAATTTGAGTTAAACGTGTAAATATCTGATCTTTCTTTTCTCTGTTCTCATTTGTCATTTCTGTATTTTAATCTACCAGCACATTTCTCTTCTAATTAATATCTTCAGTTTTCTCACTGAAAAGGGCATTAGAGTATGTAAAAACTATTGTAATAGTCTTTAAGCAGTACACCTGTTAGGATTTGAAGGGAAGGCGAAGGTTAAAGAAAGACACACACACAGAAAGAGGGGGGCTCAACGGCAAATGCAGGCTTTATGTCCAGCATAAAACCTGCAGAAGTAGGGGACCAGCCTAATGCCAGGGCCCACCGGTGCATACAGGCTAGGGGTACTTATAGGTATCGGTGGGAGGGGTCTGGGCAATATGGCTTGCTGCCTGGCAGGATATTGATAAGATGTTCCTATGATGAGGCAGTTCTGGCCCTTGTTTGATAAGATGTTCCTATGATGAGGCAGTTCTGGCCCTTGTTCCCGTGAGATGTCATCATGGTGTTTCTTGGACCTCTGTCCAGCAAGATATAATAGGGATGGTTCTTTATTTGGGCCTTTGTCCACCCTGTGGTCAGGTGGTTAGGCAGGGTGTTTCTCATGGCCCGAACCCCTGTGAAATGTTTCACTTTGACCGAGATCTGCAAAACAGTGAGGAGCTTACAAAATGGTGCAGTTTGTACTAACAATACCTTTTTTAGATTTTAGATCTATTAAGTTTGGATAATTCATCTGTTAAAAAAAAACACTGAAGAACTCTTTCACCTATGCCCTTTACAATTAAGGATGTATGTTATATATGATAGTCATCTTAAAGTTTTGCATTTTTGTTTTGATTTTAAATATTCATATTCGATGTGTTTTGTTTCTAGTAGCAAGATGGTATCAGAAATACATTGAAATAATCCCTTTACTGAAGAGCTAAGTGACTGCATCTATCTCCTGTTTCTTTGTGTGTGCAGAAAGTGAAAATGCTCATTCATAATATGAAAATCTAAGTCTGGTAGGCACCAAGGTTTTAATATTTAATTTTCTACATTATAAAGCAGACTCTTCTCTGCCTTCCCATAAATGCAGAAATGGATAAGATTAATTAAACATTAAACCATTATTCTTCCTAAAAGAAAAGTCTATTGCTATCGTGTTTGATATACTCTCTTTCCAAGGTGATCTTTCCCAAGTCTAACTCTCATGCTTTTTAAAAATTTTAAAATAATTAATAATAAGGAATATGGTCTTTTTACTCTCATTTTTCACTTTAATTTTTTCTCTGCTTTTATTGCAAAAGGCTTTAATAGGAATTGTGAATTGAATCCAGAATAGATAATTTATTTGATTTTATCAGACCTGGTACTTATTCACTTATTTTGTAGTAGTGTCTTGTAGTGTCTGGAAAGATAGAAAAACAAACTTCTTTGCTAGCTCCTTTAACTATAGAGAGAATATACATATATAATATCTCTATATATGGAATATACGATTACCTCTAGCTAAAATACATATATATATATGTATATTTATATGATTCTAGAGAAGAGTATATGATTGTGCCCTTAGCAGAGAACCTTGCTAGGGTTCATGATTATATTATTTTAACCAGTGACTCATTCTTATAGACTAATAAATTCACATGGTACAAAAAGGCCCAAAAATCCTGGACTCAAAATATGGAGTTGAAATAAAGCCAGATTATTAGTTTGAAACACACACACAAATATACACATACAAACACACACACACGTATTTTTTATGCACATGTCTATCATGCATTATTACTAACATGTAACTCATAATTGCTTACACTTTTTAAACCATAGGCATAATTACCATGAATATAATTATAGCAATTGCCAGATTCTGTTCATCACAAAGAGTTGGCTTTGTTTTGTTTTGTTTTGTTTTTCCCTTCTTTCTCTCTCCTTCTTTTATTAGGCAAGGTCATTAGCTATGATATACCTTCTGTACTTTACAACGATGTGGAAGAAAACTCATAGACATATTCAGCATAAAACAGAAATATAACAAGAATGCCGATAAGTAGTAATGTTACAACAAATTGTTCTCAGAGGATTGACTTCTGTCCCAAGGTGGTGTTAAGTAAAAAAAAATTAAAAAAACAGTTTCCAGTAGGCAAGTGGTTATCACCAGGCAGGAGAATATGTCTGCCTTGGGGGACTGACAAAATGATTAAATAGACCCAGCTCAAACTTACCACTGCTATCCCCTTTCTGACCATTTTTGAGAGTAGATGGGTTTTAGTAAATCATTAAATTCATGTACCACTGAAAATTCTTTGAATAGGATTGTAGGCTTGCTGCTCCATCCTCTCCCAGGAGGCACCCCATCTTGGAACACAACGGTGGAAGCTCAACATCTTCTAGAGGAATTCAAACAGTGGAAATAGATGTAACACTATCGTTTATCCACAAAAGCCTCAGTGGTAACAGAGGCTCTACTTCCTACCTTCCACACTTTAACCAAAGCAAAAGTTTACAACAAATAGTACAAATGGTGGGCGAAATGACAGAGGGAGAGAGCAGAAGGGTGATAATAACCCCACTGAGTGATATTAATTAAATTAAATAAATAAAGCCTAAGGAAGGTCTTTGTGGTACCCAACTGCCATAACGTTGATTAACCCTGCTGTGTTTCAGCACGAGGTCATGTAAACCCTTTGACACCATTTATTTGAGATGTCAGTCACATTTCAATAACTTTTCAGCATGGGCTTGTAAGTCCTGTCTCTTCATTGACTTTGAATGAGGCAGGTTGCTTATGAATGCAGCCTGAAGTGTCACTCAGAGATACTTGCATTGTGTTATCTTTGATTGACATGTCTGGGGGTTGTGGAAAAATTTCAGCATATCCAAATGTGCTTCTCTAAACACTGTCTTTACATGAACATTTTCTCCAGGAGAATTGGCTCATGCCCTTATGATGATGATCTGTTATTGCAGTGTTCACTCTCACTGTAGGCGAGGTACATCCTAAAAGGGTAGGTTCATGGGACTTGGGAACTCAGGCTGTGTTTGCAATTCTGATTCCCACAAGTCTTTGGGGCTACAATTTAACTAATGTATCACATTACCTGCCACCTGCAGAGCTTATCTAACAAGCTAATTACTTTGATGAGAATACCGCTGTAATATCCTCCAAAATGGCAAAAACAAGTAGTGCCAAAGAGATCTCAAAACATCTAGTACATCTGGAAAGAAAAATAATAGAAGCATTCCATTCATTAACAAAATGACAGACATATAAACACCTGATTTGCAAATTAACTTTATGGACAAAAAAGTGCTCCCATCTCCAGTACTGACTCCCTTGCAACAGATGACATGAGTTGCTGGTATCCACACTAGTGCAATTAGAAAAGGCATGGTTTGACATGAGGAAAGAAAAAAATATATATATACATATGTACACACACACACATACACACACACACACACACACACACATATATATATATATGATAAAAAAGTCTTGAAATGAATAGGAGAGCTGACTTCAGAGAAGGCCAGAGTAACTTGGCATGCCCTAAAATGCCCTTCCCCACAACACAAGCCTTTGTTCTGTTGTAGTGCAAAAAAGGATACACATACATGCACACACACACTAGCACCCTGCAGAGTGCTCAGTTAGCAGGGAAAGAATCACTACCAAGCTCCATCAAGCTGCTTCATCTCATAGAGATGTATACTTAGACTGGATACAGCAAGACCAGTCACAACAGGAAAACCACTCCACGAGCAGATCCCCATCCCTGCAATGTAATTAGAGATTAAAGGACATAGGCGTCTGGACCGCTATGTACAGACAAAATTTCAGGTTCACAAAGTGGCCTTGGATGAGGATGGCTTCAAAGAACACCCAGTCCACCTGTTTTTCCATTGAGTTCATCGGGTCAGCTGAGTCAGCCTCTTACAGAAGAAAAGCTGCCTCCAGGGCTGTTTGAATTTGTCTCTCTTCATTTCTGGACCAATTCAATTAATTTACTATTAATCTCTGTAAGGAAAATCTTTGTATAATGCAAAAATACCTCTGGAACCATCATGGGGCAACCATAATTTATATATTATGATTTGCTTACTTCCATTGTTTCCCACCTAAGACATAGTAAAGATCAATTGACTTAAGGGAACAGAAATTTTGATTGCCATGAAAATGAAATATTATAGGCTAAAATAGCTGGAAGACACTAAGGATATTTGGAAAGTGCCAGCGTCAGATTTTAACTATTTTAAAATTTTGCCTATAGACATCCCTATTTTATTTTATTTTATTTTGAGATGGAGTCTCACTGTGTTGCCAGATTGGAGTGCAGTGGCGCAGTCTCTGCTCACTGAAACCTCCGAGTCACTGGTCCAAGTGATTCTCCCACCTCAGCCTCCCAAGTAGCCAGGCTTACAGGCATGTGCCACCACACTTAGCTAATCTTTTGTATTTTTAGTAGAGATGGGGTTTCACCATGTTGGCTAGGCTGGTCTCAATCTCCTGACTTCGTGATCCACCCACCTTGGCCTCCCAAAGTGCTGGGATTACAGGTGTGAACCACCGTGCCAGGCCCCTATTTATTTTTAAAATAAGGAGGAAACTTGTCTATTCTCTTCTTGGCCAAACTTGCCTCCTTGCTGCCAGGATACAGGATCATAAATGCCTTAATTAATAATTAGTCAATATATAATGTGTTAAACAGACCTTCGTGAAGTATTCTTGGTATCTAACCACAATGTAATGCTTTGCTTTCATATTTAAACAACTGATCTACAAATTCAATCTTTAAAAAAACCATATGTTTTTAAATTGATATTTTGGCTACTCTGATCTGGTGAGGGCTTATTTTAAAGAGATAAAGTTTCACTCTATTTATGAGAATACTGAAATTTATGAAAGAATGGTGCTATGGGTTGATTAAGATAGTTAAATTAAAATGAAATAGCTTCAGCATAGTAATCAGCCTACCACAGTGTAAAGTCTGAAAGCCCAGGCTCTGGAACCAAATGGTGTCAATTTGAATCATGACCACTACTTACCAAATATATGATGTTACTTGTTTATTTTTAACCTTTTTCACACCTTCAATTTCTCATCAGGAAAATGGGGTTACTGATAGACTGCTAGGAATATTAAATGAGTTAGCACATTTAAAGTATACAATTAAGTTAAATGAGTTAGCACATTTAAAGTATACAATTAAAACAGTGAAGGGTACATGATAATGTGAGCTGCATTTGATACACACACACATATATATACACATGCATACATACATACACACACACACACACACACATATATATATACACACATTTTTAAATTAATTATACCAAACTAAAGGTAGGAAAATGCAAGACCCTGTGACAATGTTAAATAAAGGCAAATTAATGCAAAATGAGTAAGAATATGGGAAAGACAAGTACATTGGAATATGTGAGAGGTGATGATGGAGAACCTATTCTACTTTTTCTTGAGTTCAAAACTAAGAAATAAATTTCAGTTGCAGCTTAGACTGGATGCTGGTGATATTTATTGATAACAGAGATTAGTGACATAAATTCAAAAATCCCTACTTCTTAGGCACCTCTCCTTTTGCATGTACACCATGTTCATAATTATGCTGTGATTTTTCTGTAGCTTAATATTTCTGTAACAAAGGGAAGAGAAGAGATTCTTCTCTCCTGCTGTCTTTTTATTTCCTCTTATCCTAGGCCAAGTAAAGTCACAGAGTTCTTGATTTAAGCTATGTCCTACACCCCCATACACAGAGTGGATCTGGGGGATTTGTTCCTTAATAACCTTTATTATGTTTTCGCTGGCAACAGTAATACACATGATTTGCGATCAGGCTGCCATGTCACAACAGAGATACAACATATGACACCACAGATCAAAATTCACATCCCTCTGACGTCCTAGGAAGGAAAAATGGGTGAACATTTTATGAGTGTCTTCTCTGTGTCAGACAGAAACACTTTACATCTATTATTGCATGAAATTCTCATACATCTCTGAACATTCCCAATTTTATATTCAAGGAAACTCAGGCTCAAAGACTTGCCCAGTCAGAAGTTTCATGAGTTGAACAACCAGACTTTTTCTCTCTGCACTGACTCCAAGCCCAACATCTTCCTACTCCTTATGCACAACCTGGGTTCTAGTCCCAGGCTTGTCACAGGCTATGTTAACTTAAAAAGTCACTCTCCTAATGAGTTAATTTAGAAAGGTTTTTGAGAATCTACTCTAGACAGCAGTAACCATGGGTAAGTGTTAGGGGGAGATGTAAAATCAAAGAGAATCCAAAATCTCCTTCTGTTCTCACTCCTGATTCATTGTATATTTCAAAACAAGAAACCCTTTGTTTTCCTGTCTCCTCTTCCTCCAAAACTTCAGTCAAGACAAGTGAGAACTGAATTATTGTCTTGTGAGGTCAATGATCTACATCAACAATAATGCCACAAGAAGGTAGGATGATATGCTAATAGGTGTTAGGTTATGAAATTTAATAAAGAATAATGTTGCTTGAAAAGTGCTTTGAGTCTATCATAAATTAATACTGGGCAGCCAACAATATGTTTATTGTTTTATAGCAAGGAACTGATTAAGAAGCCCCATAGGACCTTCTACCTTGTTACAAAATTAATTTTTAGCATGCCTTTCTAATCCACAAGATTGTAAGATGCTTGAGGAAAGAGAACAGGTTATTTATATTCTTTTATTTTTTATTACACATATCATATTCCTGCATACATATTGGGTATTCACTAAGTGTGTATTAAATTCTTCAAATAAATATATATGCCTACTACATTCAATATACTCTCACTAATAATTTTTCCAGCTGAGCATAGGGTTTTCATCTTTTTATTTATTTTTCATGAATAGCAAACACCTGAGTGAGCATGCTTAAAACTCAGTTTGGTCTTTCTTATCCCCAGTTGATAGCAGTATAGCATACTACCTATGACACTCCTTCGACAATGTTTAGTAGTTAAAGAGTGCATGCATTTTACTTTTTTGAAACCATGGATTCCTTATTATTTAGTATTTTAAAACAAACAAAAACTTATGATTCAAAATAATTGTACAAATTACAACGAATGATTCATATTCAGTCATGGCTAGGCATAATAGCAAGCATTTTTGTTATTCTTTCTTTAACTCTTCAGATATTTTGTGAATTAAGATACTGTTTGGGAAGATTCTTTAGTAGTGAGTCTCTCATCTCACTAATTAATCTGAAATAATTTATATATTTATATATAATATACATGCAAATAACAGACTTTCCATAATCTACTGTGACAAGGTGTTTTACAAAGGGAAAATACAAAAATAAACTAACTTTTTTAATCACTTCTTGGAAACTTTTAATTTCTTTTTAATATTTGGAACCAATTTGTTCTTTAATATTTTATATCTTGTTTAGATTAAATAAGAATGAAATGGCAAAATTATGAATGTTTAGTTGTAGGTACAAATGAAACAGCAAATTCATTTTAGTTTAAGGCACAAAGTCTCTTCTAATCCTACTTTCATTGTTTAATAATTAAACTAACCAATGATGATTATCGTAACATTACTATAGTAAGACATATATCTGAGTAAAAGAAAATCAAATGAAGTCTTTAGCTAGTGTTTAAAATGAAGGAGATAAAAACATAAGCAACAGAAGCTTTTCTTTCCAATCAGGTGTATGTTTATAAAGGAAGGAAGTATCTTTCTTTGCCTTAAACGTGTGAATAGAGTTGCCGTGTTGGAGCACAGCCAAGTCTTGATTCTCACTAACTGGGGATAGGCTAGTGCAGGAAAGGAAGGAGCTCTAGGTGTTTACATCTCTCAGCATTTCTTATAGGAAATATGCTGCCATATAAGTAAATTTGAAAGCAGCAAACGTTGACAATCTTTATTTATTTGATTTCTCCCCTGGAAACTTACCTTTTGTGAATCAGTTAATAACATAAAGATGGGTAGAAAAAGGGTATTTGCTATAACATGCCTAGAAGGGTTAGTAGATTTTTGTTTTTCCATGTTTGAAGGGAAGAACTGAGCAAATTTAAAATATGATTATGTTAACATATCGATTAAGGAATGAAGGAATTAATGCCCAAAACAAACAGGAAATCTGCACACTAATTTTGATTAGCTCTATAGTGTGACTATTTTCAATGTCTGTGTCACTAACAAAAATAATGACAGAGTTGTTTCTCCAAAAAAATAAAATAAATATCATGGGTAAACTAATCTACTAATTTAAAGCAATATTATTTGTCTGATTTCCCTGGAAAACTGTTTGGTATGATAAAGTTGCCTTGAGCTAAAAAGGATTATTATTATTATTATTATTATTATTATTATTATTATTGAGACAGAGTCTTGCTCTGTCGCCAGGCTGGAGTGCAGTGGCGCGATCTCAGCTCCCTGCAACCTCTGCCTCCCGAGTTCAAGCGATTACCCTGCCTCAGCTTCCCAAGTAGCTGGGATTACAGGCACGCATCACTACACCCAGCTAATTTTTTTGTATTTTAGTACAGACAGGGTTTCACCATGTTGGCCAAGATGGTCTCCATCTCCTGACCTCGTCATCCGCCCACCTCGACCTCCCAAAGTGCTGGGATTGCAGGTGTGAGCCACTGAGCCCGTCTGGATTATTTCCTTTTTATATGTTAGTTCACACTGAGCCTCAACTTTCTCATCTGTAAAATGGAGATAATGCATGCTTCATGAGGTTTTTGAACTAGAAAATATGTATAACATGCCAAAAAAGAGCATGTTATACTCTTTTTAAACGATGAATTCCTTATTATTTGGTATTTAAAAACTAAAAGTTATGATTCAAAATAACTTTGTGAAATTACAATGTGTAATTACACATTGTAATTGTGTAAATTACAATGAACGATTTATATTTAATCATGGCTAGGCATAGGCATTCAAAAGATATTGTTTCCTTTCTCAGGCGTCTCTACCATGTGAGGAGAATGCTTACAGCTTACAATTAAGTGCCATATTTTATTTGTGTAGACACTAATTTCCTTTATTCCAGCTGGAATTGTCACATCTGTAATTCAGTTATTCATAAATAAGGAAAAAAGAACAAAGAAAACATCTCAATCTGGATCAACTAACAAGAGTTGGGGAAAGGACTAGTCAATATATTTAACTTGGCCACTTTAAAATAGATATGTGTACAGCTTTAAAACAATGTGTTTAGAGTGTAGTCATCATAATCAAGGATGCCATTTTAAAAAAACAACAAAACAAACAAAAATCTAGAGCTAGCTGAAGAAATGGAGGCACAGGATAATTACATGACTTCTATATGATTATATACACTTAATTAATAACAAAACTCAGAGAGTGCCCAATCTTTTGCACTACCAAATGCAGACCACTTTCTAAACTTTAAAACAAAAAGATTTTTCTTACAGACATAGCCATTGTCATATGATTTTGCATCAAGAAAATTCTATTCATTACTTTTATACAAGTACTATTTCTAGCCAGAAATTCTGAAAGGGCATACCTTTAAGCAGCATTCTCTCGAGATTCCTGATAATATGTAAAAAAGATTAGTAAGTGTGATACAAAGTAATGTGGAAAGGGCAAGGACAAACACTGTAATTATTCTGTATGATGGGAGGAAAAATAGCCAAAGATTCCACAAAAAAGACATTAAAAGTTAACATTGCTCCAGGCAGCAATATGTTGTAATTCTCTGGCAGAACACAGAGCAGATTTCCCCAATCCCAATACAGTAACTCACAAGGCCTGCAGGTTCAACACATTTTAAAATGATAGCTCATACTCACTGTTTGCTTGTGGGGCAAATAGTTGGATCTTCTACGAGCAAGGATAGGAGCTTGAGTGTCCCAGACTACACTGATGGCCAAAATAAATCATATTTGCAAAATTTATAATGCACATCAACTCTTACAATTCCAAAAATTTTTTAAAGTAAATATTAATATCAAGAAACATCCAGAAAAAGATGAAAAGATTATCTTACTAGCTCTTTGTTTATATGTCTGTCCCGCTTCTCTATGCTGAGTCATTTGCGTGACTTTGTCATTAATTTGTGTCTTCAGAATTTTACCTAGCATACAGTAGGACGTTAGTAGTTGTTAAATAGATTAATAAGTAGATAGATTGTGTTAACAATGGAATGCTTCTTCTCAATAGAATAATGTTTTTAGTTTTTTTTTTTTCTGTCTGTCGTGGCCCAAGTGACTTCCTCAAAGCAAGATATTTTTCCGATGTTTAAAAACATATACTGGCTCTTTATTGCAAAATCAACATGTTTTCCATCATTATATATGAGAAAGTAATTTAAAAGCAGTCCATAAATGAGAAAGTGTATCAAATAAATTATCAATTTATTTCAGCAAGTATTTAAAGAGGACTTAATATTTGACATTGCAGATTCAAATATTAATAAAACCTAATTTTTGTCATATTGGATGAAGTTTTTCTGTGACTAAACAACTGATAGAATGTGACTGAAGTATGAGTAAAGTATATGTAAGCAATAATAAAACAGCAATTGATTTGTTGTGAAGGGGAACAGCTAGGGGTACTTATAGAAAATGTAGTACTTTAAACTGGATCTGTAAAATTAGGTGGCACAAAAAGGAGAAAAAAAGAAGCAAAGGAGCAAGGGCTGGGTAGGTAAAGCAAAGTTGTTGGTGGCAGAAAAAGGAATTAAACATTGATTTCTAACCCCTAATTCCAGGGGCTGGCCATGAGGACTAGTGAAGATTCACATTCATCCCAATGGTCAGTACCTGCATCCACAGAGGTGGCCGGCACACATAGAAAATTTGGTTATAAATTATATGTAGACCCAGAGAAGAACAATAATGCAGATCTAAGTGACTTTTCTGGATGTATCAGCCTTTTTCAGGATATCAATTCAGACCCTTTATTATTATTATTATTATTATTATTATTTAATGCATGAGCATTACATGCAGCTGAATTTAAAAGGCTTGCTTTTAATTCACACACTATAAACATACATAGGCTTGGGAAACAGTAGAAAGTCTTCAACTCTTCAGAAATTTCAATATATTTTCTGTTGTTAGGGACAGTAAGAGATGATTAAAGAAGTGATGTTTTAAGTTATAAAATTAGCGTAAGATGAATATATTATCTTTGTTTTCTTTATATTTTTATGTATTTTCTGTAACACCCGATTGTGGAAGATTTGGTAATGTTAAACAAAAGCCACTGAGTGCTTAAAACCCAGTGTTACCAGCCCAGCCTACTCATGACCACCTGGCTCAGAATTTTTCTATCCATTCTTGCACGATTCTCTAAAGCCCTAAGGATGTCTGTCTGACTCACCCCACCACAGCATGTCCTAGTTGTTTAATAACCACAACAAATAATTGCTTAGGCAATTCTAAAATATGTGAGTTCCATTTCTCAGGGTAGATTACATCATCTGGCCAATCAATACCTATGTCTAAGGGCTACTCCTGAATCCTGAAAATAAAGCATAAAACAAATTTATGTCATTTTCCTGTGTAAGTCACACATACATCCTGATTGCACAGCTTTTCCATCTCCACTTGGCTCTAATTTTTTTCATGACTCTTTTCTGTGCTAGTTCATTACTGAATAGGAAGTTTTACATTTATTTACCTTATATTAGACAATGTCTAAGAATATGTTTGAAAGTTATTTTTAATAGCTATATTTAATTTTAAAAAGAAAGTAAAATTGAAATGAAAATAAATAATCTCAGCTTACTTACTAATGCAGTGGTAGTTTTCATGATGAAGAGGAGGGGGCTGTGTTGATCCAAACAGCTATAATCTCTCATAGATGACTGCTTATAGAAAAGGAATGTATCATATATTTAAATCCCGGCTAAGATCTAAACACACCTGATTAAATAATGTTGACAATAACAACAATATCTTCAACAACAATAAAATCAAGAAACAAACCCCAAAAGAAAAAAACTTCTAAACATTGTAAGGCTTTAGGCCCATAATAGATTTTAGGATGGAAATCTTTTATTTTTCCATCCATTACGGCCTGGCTGAAAGGACTTTCTGATTCTTATTTGATATATTCTAAACATGATCTTACACAGTTTGTGCTTTAATTCACCGTTATAAACCACCTGCTACTGCAAAGAAGTTGTTTTAAATCCCAAGCACAACTAAATTAATGCTCATATGATGCATGCCAGGTCATATAGCTTTTTTCTGAGCAAATAAACTAATTTAAATGAGTTACTTGTTCTACATTTGGATGCTGACCCTGGTAAATTGTGGTGACATCCAGAAAATTATTTGTTAGGAAAAGGTATTTAGGATAAATAGGTTGTAGTGTGAAGGTGCTGTGGTGTCATAGATATAGATATTTAGAATCTTGATTAAATTTTTATCTTGAGTTCAGGCCAATCTTTCATTGAATACTATCATACTCTCTGGCTTCTTGCTTTGCAAAAAACTGTGACCACTTGGAAAGTTAATTTAAAGGTGTATGTGTATGTTTTACCTTGCTTGGCTTGCAAGAAGTCATGTTTATAAGAGATCTTCCACAGACAAAGAACAAATGCTGGGAGCTCACTTTAATGAAGCACAGATAAACAAACAAAATCTATTATGCCATATGGCAATTATGCCATACGATTGAATTTATTACCAAATAAAACTGTTGGCTTATGCATTTCACAGTTTTTACTATACATATCCACTGTTTTACAGGTTTTCTGTAGGTTTACTTGCCCAGACTGCTACCAAAAAATACCCCAAAACACAAACAAACAAAATGCAATTTATTCTTACTGCAGGAAGTGTAAGAAAATGAAATCAAACTAGAACACTGAATAAAAGTACCAACTAGTTGAATCCCACTCCTGCTAGTAGTACCAAGAAGCTAGGACATTTACTCTAATGAAGGTAACATTCTCTCTGTTTGGTTTGGATGGGTGTATCCTTGTGTCAAGTATCCGCAGCAGAATTTTCTACAGCATGCAACTTTTGTTCCTGAAAAGATAGTGGATATTTTCTTACCTTGAAATGACTTAACATTGCCCACATGAACTCATAACTGCAAGTTAGATTGCTAAATTTTACTGAGTTCAGACAAACTCAGTATTGAAACTTTAAAGTCATTTTTTATTTATGGAGCGATGTTACACTGTTTTGAAAATTTTATAAAATTGTTACCTTAATATTTAGTCAACTTGCCCACATTTCTCCTGGAAATTATTCTAACACGTCCTTTTGGGGGACAGTCACTGAGTAGTTCTTGTATTTTGTGGGATATCTTCAAATCCTCAAATCAGTTATATTTGAGATATGACATTTTTATAACTCAAAAACCTTTTTAATTTATACCCTTAATTAGGCCGCATTAAGGAAAGTGATCTTTAAAAAATCCCATCCCTCCTTTATCTGTGAAATTGGACATTTATATTATTACCTCAGATAAGATTGCTTTCTGTGATTCAGAGCTCCAGTGGATTTAAGTATAATTTCATAGCATGGGTACATAGACAACATTATAAATAGCCTTTGGTATAACTTATTCAGGCTACAAATTTATACTTTACTCTTTTTCCTTTCTCACTCTTACTTCCGTGTTTCTCATTTTTCATTAAGCCACTTTCAACATAAAATGTGATGCTCAGTGATGTTTATATTTAGAACTCATCACAACCGCCTCCCCCAAGAACAAAGCTGGATGTGAACCTCCCTTACTTCCACTTGGATATGCAGTTTGACTTTCTCAATGAAGTTGGCAGAGATCCTTAAGGCTGAAAGGGAATTCTTCAAGAAGGACAATAGTGCTTTTCTTTGGCAGTAGGAAAAGATGCAAGAGAACACAATTAATTCCCTACTCTCGCCTTCAATAGCTCAATTCAGCTGGGCTGAATTTACCAGCATCTTCAGTGATTGGCATGGAAAGGAATACAGAAAAGTGGATCTACAGAATAGCTCCTCAACAGAAACAACTCACTTATCTATAACCTGTCAAATTTGCCACCAATTAGTGTCAGTATCATAAATTCTTTACAAATTTTCCAAGACATTTTTTTCCTGTTTTTTTCTTTGATTGGATCTATTCTAAGAATATATCCTTAAAGCTCATCTTTCTCCACTCCATAAGTTTCTTTCTTTTTATTAATGGATAATGTAAAAGTTTGATTATATAAAGTCGTGAATAAAATTTGGCCCAGATCCTGTGGAAATAGAAATTCCCTGAGAGACAACATTAATAATGAGGGGACAATATACGTTTGCCAGAATGGGTTTGACACCTTGATTGCATTTGTAAGGTGCGTTTGTTGTTGCTTTGGGGAAAGTATGTATATTGGGCTCAAAAGAGCATGGAATTTTGAATTAACAACTTATCTTCTTCACCTGGAACATAATGATTTTTATAGTATCTTGTGTATATTGATGGTGGATGGAACAAAGGAGCAATAGGTTTGATTTTATCAATACTGCTAGCCTTATTTCACTTAGTTGAGCTTAGAATGGGAAAATATTAGTTGCTACTCACCCATGTGTTTTGTAGGTAGCTTGAATAAGCTTCAACCCAAGAAATTTTTTTTTATTCAAGTTGAATTCAGTAATAATTTATCTTACTCAGGTTCTAAGAGTGGAAACAATTAGTACTTAATTTAGCAGATATTTCAACTTACTGTCCTAAACTTTTTCCTCCTCCTCCTTCCTGACTGGATAAACATTTTGAAGTTGTGGGGAAAATCATCAGATGATTTTCAGAAGTTATATCAAATTTTGTCAGGATCTCCTTTCTAAATTTTATTTCTAAAATAGGATTTCTTAAATAGAGAGATGTAATTTGAAGTAATTTATAGGAATGAAGATAATATAATGCTTTCACTGAATTTTCCCTGATTCTGTGTGGCCGTGTTTCCAGCATTCTCTGGTTGATGTTGTGATCAATGTTAACATATCCAGCTAGTTGTTTGCTTGTATTTTCTCGTTTACTCATCTCAAAGTCACATGAGATAGGAGCTGTTAATATTCCCATTTTGTTGACAGAAATCAAAGACATATTGATTTTAAAATATAAGGAAGTTATGTTATATAATCCTTTTTTCAGCTTATGAAATGGGTACTTGGAGGATTTAAGTAACTTAGTCAAGGGCACATAGCTGGCAGCATCTGGATTCAAAACTGGGCAATCTGACTAGTGCCTTTAGTCCTAATAAACTAAGCTGTGCTACCATTCTTTAAGTTGATAAATGATAAAATTTGAAAGCGGATATAGGATATATTATTATTATCATCCTGATATATAATGAAAACCTGTCAAATATTTTATTTAATCCATTAATTAATGAAGAAACCAGTAAGATATTCTATTTGGTCCAAAGGAAAATTCAAAATACCACATATTAAAGTCAGATAAGGAATGCCAAAACAAATTTACAAATGGATAAACAACTGGTAAAACTGGTCAATATCCAGAGGCGGATAATCAATCAATTGCATTTCACTGGAGACATTTGCATTTTTATGAATAGAAATTATTTGCATTACTAACTATATTAATCACATATTAATCACCATTAGTGTTCCACTACTGGAAAGTTTACAAGGATCACTTTGTTCTCGTGGGACACCTTTATTTTGGGAAAAGAAATAGAAAAGCGGCAGCAAAAGAAGGATTGCATTGAAAAGGGTCCAGAGATAGCAGGCAGAGAGCTCCTTCATCCTTCTGCTCCTGGGTGGGTTGCACAGAACATGCATTGTCTTCAACCACCAGCAGCACACATGCAAAGCATCCCTGTATCAGGAAGCCCAAAGCTGGCTCAAGGTGCGAGGCCTGCTGTTCACAAAGATATGTGACCAGCATTAGCTTTGAAACCCCACCCAGGCTTCACCAAAACCAGATGCAAATTATAAATCCAATTATTATTACTAAACAATGCTGACAATCTGATACATCCTATTCCAAAACAACATATGGACTTATGATTACAGAATATCATTTACCTATAGTTAATGGATTCTATAGCATTGGGAGATTAGCGTGTGGTCAATCCAAATTAGTTGAAATTAACCCCTGCTATGTACTATTATTTTTCTCCAGTTTAAATTCTATTTGTACAAAACAAAACAAACAATAAAAAAAATCTTGACAAAGACAAAGAGATAACAATGAATAGGAGCTAACACAAACGGGTAAGTGTAAGGACACCAACTAACTGTCAAAACCGTTCACAATTTTATCACATAAAATATACTCAAAACTAAGGCAATTTCTACATAATGCCAGTCTAATCAGATACAAAGGAAAAAATATCCAGGCAATATTCTCCTTTTGTTTTTATCTAGCACCAAATTTTCTGATATAGGGACACATTTGTTATTGACTTTCTACATTTATCTCCCCTCATCTTTTACAGATTTTAGTTTACAAAGTTAGAATGCATGGAAGGGACTGTTACATAGAGGACTGTTGCACAGTTCTGGAGTGGATGTAAAACTCCGTATTTGTAAACATCGTTGAAATTTTACACACATCAGTACTTTGCCTTATAGAGTATGCAATATATTGGTGTAAAGGTGTTTGGAAAAAAAATGTTTATCTGCTCTGCTTCATTTGTCTCATTCCATTTATTTAAAATTATTTCTGTAAAAAAAACTGTAAGAGTACATGAAACTATATAAACTGGCAGATGCCTCATTGAAAGTAAGTGAAAATATTTTTTTCTACAATTTGAAACTTTGAGCTTTGTCTACTTCATATAGTCTCAGTGGAGATATATAAACCCCAAAGAGGCTAAAATTGGTTCCTGGGGGAGATTAAAAGATTCTTATTCTTTTCATGTATAAAGCACAGATTTACATATATTATATAAACAGATATACACTTTATCTGTGGTATTAATGTTTCATGGATTTCACAATTAAGAAAAAATGTCTTAAAAGGCTACTTAGGAGAGAAATTTTAAAAAGGTTGGAAAACAGAACTCCAGTCCAGGGAATCATAAATTACAATATAATCAATTGATGATTTTGTCTGCCTTTTTAAAATATTGAATTAACCAGTTGTTATGATTTAAACAGACTGAACTCAGATTTTTCTGCCGAGTTATAATGAAGCTATGTTATGCCCTCTAATTTGAGTCAAAAAAGTACGTAAATAAGACTTGGCATATATTGTAGGCAGCATTATTATCTGTGATGCACCAAAGTGAACACCTTGACTTCTAGTTAGCTCCAGCCGGTAAAAGAAGTACATTTTATTTCCCACCTCAGTGATTGCATTTCTCAGTGTGATCCAAATGTTTAATGGGCAAAGTTTTGGCGGTTCCTGTAATCCGAGCACTTTGGGAGGCCGAGGCGGGCAGATCATGAGGTCAGAAGTTCAAGACCATCCTGCCTAAAGCAGTGAAACCCCCTCTCTACTAAAAATACAAAAAATTAGCCGGGCGTGATGGCGGGCGCCTGTAGTCCCAGCTACTCGGGAGGCTGAGGCAGGAGAGTGGCGGGAACCCGGGAGGCGGAGCTTGCAGTGAGCCGAGATGGCGCCACCGCACTCCAGCCTGGGCGACAGAGCGAGAGTCCGTCTCAAAAAAAAAAACATGATTTGGCAATGAATAAACTAATGTAAGTTGTTTTTTTCTGTTACCATATGGGAAAAAAAGTAATTATTAATGACGAGAGGAACAGTCTTATATTACTTGCAATTTGTGGGAGAATATTTCTTACAGCTGACAATGTTGTGGTTGATGTTATAAGACACGGACCACTGGAAATCACCTCCATTGTGAATGTGTTAAACATTTTTCTTTGCCCTTTTCTAGGGACAAATGCAGAAGATACATAGTTAGAAATATTTTTTGTGGGTTTTGTTTTGAGTAAAGTTATATGTATCTAATTAAGATTACAGGTTTATTTAATCTACTCTCCCACTATACTTTTTAACTCAGTACTGTATTATACTGTGAATTTGAAGTTAAATCCAATAACATTTCAACCTAAAGGCAGAATATTAATAAGGAATTATAGTCTAAAAGTAGGAAATAAGATTCCACCAAGGTCAGTGATATGATTTTAACTGAAAAGTCAAATATTATACTGAGATTGGGCT
Source organism: Homo sapiens (assembly GCF_000001405.40). Taxonomy (NCBI): domain Eukaryota; kingdom Metazoa; phylum Chordata; class Mammalia; order Primates; family Hominidae; genus Homo; species Homo sapiens. The sequence continues at coordinate 67,113,044 of NC_000013.11, read as the reverse complement.
AAAGTTACAGGGAAAAGGAGGCCCAAATAGATACATGACATTATCTTGCAAAAGCCTTAGACATTTTTGCATTTTAATCAAGTGATAAGAAAATGATACTAGCCTGGGTAACATGGAGAAACTCCATCTCTACAAAAAATAACAAAAAATTACAAAAAATTAGCCAGGTGTGGTGACACACACCTGTAGTCCCAGCTACTCGGGAAGCTGAGGTGTGAGGATCACTGGAGCCTTGGGAGGTCGAGGCTGCAGTTAACCGTGATTGTTCAACTGTACTCCAGGCTGGGCGACAGAGTGAGACCCTGTCAAGAAAGGAAAGAAGGAAAGAAGGAAGGCGGAAAGGGAGGAAAGGAAGAAGGGAGCGAGGGAGGAAGGGAGGGAGGAAGGGAGGGAGGGAGAGAGAAAGAGAGAAAGGAAGAAAGGAAGAAAGAAAATGATATCCATTTTTTTTCAGTTTGGAAATTGTGTAGCTTCACATATTCTTTTAATTCTTTGATAGCACCTTAATTAGTTAATATGCTCTATTAGGCACAGAAGACCCAGTGCAAATGATAATCTCTTCCATGCAAGATTATGATGCAGAGAGTGAAATAAAACAATGTACATGGAGAGTTATAGTGGAATGTATCTGTTCAGGATAAGAGTTCTGCTGCTGATCATAGGCACCACACAGTACCTATGTTTCCTTGGACAAGCATGTTTCTTCACATATTAAATGGCAATCTAATAATTGTGTCATAAATCTACTTTGAAGGTAAATACATATAATGTGTCAAATGCCCTGCCTAGCAGAGAGTAAATGTTCAGAGTCAGTTTAATAATAGAGATAAAGGAAATAATGATGATGGAAATGGTATTAACAACAGTAGTGTAAACATGTCATTGTAAGGAGTATTGAGCAGAAGCACATGTGAAAGTTGGAGCCTGGCTCTAATGAAAGTCAGTCGGAACTCAAGTGCAGAAAATGACACAGGTATAATCTAACTGGCATTATTCTGATAGCAAATTGCACTGTTAAAAATGTGTATAAATCTAATGCGCTTACTGATAAGGTGAGGACTGTGACATGACATAACTAATGATTGGATACATAAAATACATCTAAACTTTTGTGTGAATTTTCTGAAATTAGTTCCAGGCCAGGGTAATAACACTATTAATTATATGAAATTAATAACTTTATTAAAAATAAATGACAGTGGTGGCATAGGAGGCTTAATTAGCCTAAAGAAGTGAAGGTTACATAATAATCTCACTTTTTTGTAGCTATTAATTACATTTACATTTTGTCTTCGGTTCCACTGTTCTTATCAAAGCCACTCAAAAATAAGACTTGACATGCTAATTTCCAGTAACTATTCCACTCCCACTTAAATAACTAAGAAAATATATCTTTAGAAGTATGAGTGGCAAAAAAAGTAGTCAATTTTACAATGGTTAATTAAAAATAAGTAATGTAACAGTGAATTTGAAATTTCTCTAATATTCCCTTTGTAACCTTGGTAGTAGCGTTAGGAACTTAGTAACTATTTTCGTGATGAATCATTACTTGGCTGGTGTTTATTTTTTAGACCTAGCATAGACTAGTATATAGTACAGCCTAAGAGTGGCCCCTTTGGCCTCATGCTCACCTATCCTGAAAGCAAGTATGTTTGTTTGTGTGTTTGTGTAAAATTGTACATAGCTTGAAGGATCACTTGGCTAAAAGAATAAGATAGAAAATGTGCATGGGTTAATATCTCAGAATGATAACGACTATATATTAATCGTACATTTTGCTAGACTCATTACTTGTCTCATTTTGTGTACCAGGTTTAAGTACTTAATTTGATCTTTATGCTTATTTTACAAAAAGTGATTAGAAAATATTATAAATAAACATATATATGCACATATAATTAGAATCTTAACTCGTTTTGGTTAAAGCAGTATTATTCAAGAAGCCATCTGAAACAACTACATGCCATGTAAGGAAAGAGGCATGAGATTCTATTAGATCAAGCTGTTTTTTAATTCAATCAGCCATATGCATTGAGTAGTCACTATGTTCTAAATGCTAGGAATATAGAAGGCATTGGCCTTATGGAATTTGCATTCTAATGGATAAGCCTATAATCCTGTGAACAATTAATTTGTATAATTTCAGATAGTGACCATTGTAACACGAAACAGGGTAACAGGATAAAATAGGTTGCATTGGGTGAGAAAGCTTTATAGGTGGATAATACAAAAACAAATCATCAGCCTAGACTCAGAGAGATAAACAGACATATGTAAATCAAGGCTCAGCCATTTCCTGAGTGAATTATGTTATCTAGATTCAAGGAACTTCTATTTCCTTACCTGAGAAAGAAGGATCACACCAACCTTGTAAAACTGTTGTGAGATTATAAATATTATGTGTATAATGCTTGGAGCATAGGAAGTCTTTGATAATCATCCACCATTAAGAATCACAATAAAAGTCACACAGATCCCTTATGTAGTTGTGTCTTTTCTGTAATGTCCCTTTTTTTTTTTTTTTTTTTTTGAGATGGAGTGGAGTCTCTGTCGCCCAGGCTGAAGTGCAGTGGCACGATCTCAGCTCACTGTAACCTCAGCCTCCTGGGTTCAGGCAACTCTCCTGCCTCAGCCTGCTGAGTAGCTGGGACTACAGGCGCATGCTGCCACCCCGGCTAATTTTTTGTATTTTAGTGGAGACGGGGTTTCACCGTGTTGGCCAGGCTGGTCTTGAACTTCATAATCCACCTTCCTTGGCCTCCCAAAGTGCTGGGATTACAGGTGTCAGCCACTGCACCCGGCCGTATCTCTCTCTCTTTTTTTGTTTTTTGTTTTTTTTTTAAATTTTCTGTATATTAACACTTTTGCATAGCAGTTTTCCATATGATGAGCTTAAACCTAGATTATGAGGACTTTTTAAAAATGTCAGCTTACTTAGATGTTCCTTTGTCAGTCTATTGATTATTAAATTCTTCCATTTGCATGTGCAAAGCCTCCGCGACCAAATTATCAAGCCCTTGAAATCAAGGACCGATGTATTTCTCTAAAATATTACAGAAATTTAGTACACAAAATAAGTGTTATATACATAATAAGTGGTCACTCGTTATGGTTAAAAATAACAATATTGTATAATGCACTTCAAGAGGTATATTTTCCTTTGCCCAGAGATTCATCACATATGTTGTGATTTTTCATCTCATAAATTAAAGAAAAATCAAAGCTTCAAGATGAAAAATAGCTTGTCCTAAAATTAAAAAGAGAAGAAATATAACAACCCAGCTTTTAAAAATTAACCCAAAGAAATATTTTGATTGAAAATAAAATATTTTACTATTTCTAAAATAGCTTGAAAATCGATTTAGTCTTACTGGAGATACGTTTTTGAAATAATTCTCATGTCATAATGCTAAATACTAAACTTTTATAGAGACTTTTATTCAAATAGTTAGCATAAATATTGATTACAGGTTAGGAAGCATTAGACACAATTTTAGAGAAACCTTTTTAAAAATCAGAAGTGAAGGTTTATTTGTGCTTATGAATAGGGAAGATGTTTGGATTTGGACTGATTCTATAAGCAAACCAATTGAAGACAGATGCATTTAAAGAATGAAATATGCCAAACTACGTGATTAGGCTACATTATTGACTTACTTAGGGAAATGAATTTAATCATTTTCATAACACGCAATTACCTAAATCTCATTGGCACAATAGAACTTCAAAATAAACCAAGATCCTAACTGGTAAAAATAATGTTAGGGTCTGAACATAAAGTGGGGAGAGTTTGAGGAAGGGTAGAGGAAGGTGAAAAAGTGGCAAAGGTGGAGAACCCAGTTTCAACAAGCTAAGGATCACCTTTTATTTTTTCCTTATGATACATGAGTACTCTCCATTACCTCTTTAAAAATTTCAAATTTGTGAGAGTCTAAAGTGGGTTAGGTGTCACTGAAAGAAAATTTATAAAATATGTACATTTATATTTTAGTTTACACAGCTGTTCTCCAGATACTGTGTTGAGAATACTTATATCACTTCAAGTAGTCCACATGATTTTGACTAAAATTGACTGAATCTGACATGGTAATCATGGTATTGAGCCAAACTGTTAAAATCATGCTAAAATATTTTGGTGGCCTAATTAATAGTTTTTGCTCTATGGGCCCATATTACAATGTTATTCTAACATTATTAAAATGGAAAACTGCATATTCCCTCAAATATGCATTCATTGCAGTATAATTAATGTATGCTTATTCAAATTTATTAAAATGTTCAACTTGCCCTCACCCTAGTCATTAAATATAGTACCCACTGTAATTAAAATTGTAGATTTATTTGATTAAAAAATGGTGATTTTTACATTCATGTGTGTGAATTTAATTAGTCTGCTATATTCTTGTGGATTAATCTTTATTCCTGTAATAAGTGTTTGGATCAGGCTATATGCCATGCAATACTAATGATACAAATGGAAATTAGTTTTTTCTCTAAAAATTGATATTATTATTGGCCTTAGATGCTATTTTCTACCTTGAAATGGATAAAACAAGTTGTTTATTGCTTTGTCATGAGTTTTTTAATGTATCTGCCTCATTCCCATTAACTGTCACAATTTAACACATTTTACATTAGTATGAATACTCTTTAGTTCTGTATCACTATGTTATCAGTTACTTTTAGCTATTTTAATTATTTTTAAAAGATAAATATCCTGAATCAGGACTGCATTACCTATACTATACTGTCATGGGATCCTTGGCATATCAATTTGCCAGCCAGAAACCTCCATGGCAGACCACACCTTCTGCCTGAGTATTGCTCATGCCTGCTGGGCTTACTCCACTCACTCAGCTTGGCAGGCTGTGCTCAGCTTGCGTTACCAGCCCAGATTCCACAGCTGCCAAGGGTGAGCCAGGTGTGGAGCAGTGAGAGGAGTGTGGGCAACTGAGCACAGGGTCTGGCCACTGTGCATAGCCAGGCATTCTGGCTGCTGTGGCAGGACGGGCAGCTCCAGGTGCTGGCACAGGTGCTGGCTCTGTGCAAGGCTGTGGCTGGACCAGATGTACTGCATGAAGTCTAGATGTGGGCACCCACATCTAGACAAAGGGAATGCAGTGGCACCCAGAAGCTTGGAGACACCAGGAACCGCAGAACCCTAAAGAGGGTGTTACAGCCCTGGCTTGGGGGGCCTCTAGGTCTAGGCTCCTCGAAGGGCTGTAGCTCTTCTCTCCTTGTTGCCTGCAATATGGTGAGCAAGGGGGCATTTCAGCCCTGTTTGTATTACAGCTGTTTCAGTCCTGCCATTTGGCAGGTCTCAGTTCAGGTCTTGAGTTCTGTCTCATGTCCAGGAAGAATGAGGGACATGGAAAACTAGAGGATGAGCAAGGTGGAGAGGAGCTTCATTGAGCAACAGAACAGCTCTCAGGAGACCCAAAGTGGGTAGCTCCTTTTTGTAGGCAGGTCCTCCCAACAATGTCCAGTTGGCAGGAGAGAGGAGACCTGCAGTGGGTAGTGCCTTTCTGCAGGCAGATCGTTCTGACGTCCATAGCCCTCAGTGGAGAGGAGGCCCAGAGTGGTAGTTTCTATCTGCTGGGAGGTTGTCCCAATGTCTCTGTGAGTCTGGCTGAGTGCAGGGTTTTTATGGACTTTAGAATATGCGTGTTGATTGGCCTATGGGTGGCCATGGGCAGGCCCATGAAAAGCACCATAAGATCTCATTTGGGGCTGCCTGCTCCACCTGGAAGTGACAGCCCGGCCCCCATGCTTCGGCTGACACGGGCTTGAAGGAGGGGCTTTTTTATGGGCTTTAGATATGCGTGTTGATTGGCCCATGGGTGGCCATGGGCAGATCCATGAAAAGCACCATAAGATCTCATTTGGGGCTGCCTGGTCCACCTGGAAGTGACAGCCCGGCCCCCATGCTTCAGGCTGACATGGGCTTGAAGGAGGGGCTTCACTGGGGATCCGCCCCTTTCCATCAAGGAGCCTGTCTGCCACCATCAATCATGTCCATGGTGCCCCGGCTGTTCATGCCAAGGAGCACCTGCAGACCTCATGTAGACATCCTCAGCCCCACCTTGGCCTTGCTCCTCGGCACCCAAATTACACAGGGGGCCAAGGCTGCAGTGTGCTGGCATGTTAGCACCATCCTGAGTGCCCACACACAGGGCTGTGTTGCAACAGCTCCTGGGCTCAGCCTCAACTTTGTTCCAAAATTGGAGAGGTGGCCAGGGGCAGGGAGAGGCCAGGGGAAGGCCAAGCAGTGGGAGTGGGCACTTCTGAGCCTGCAGGGGCAGAAGGGTTTCCCAGGCCCAGGAGCACAGGGATGCCCAATCCGCAGCCATGGCTGGGTGGCTGCAGCTGTGCCCAGGAGGGCGGGTCTCCTGCCTGTTCCCAGTCCCCATTAGCTCCACGGAGTGCAAAGCCCTGGCCTCACCTCCTCCGCTGCAGCCAGCATGTTTGCAGTGGCTGCTCCAGATGGGCTGCTGCTGTCATTGATACCATATTAAAATTAGAATTGTGGTGGGGCCAAATTAAGTTTCACCATGAAATATGAAATCACAACTGATGATTAACCTCCTGCTTTTCACTTAAAGATGATTTAATCCTTTGCTACATTAAATACAGAACAAGTCCAGAAATACAGTTAAGCTTAAGATAACCTTGAATATCTTACATTTATCTTGAATTTTATGTGGAACACTTAACTCTTTTAACATGGAATGGTTACATGTATCTACCACATAGTAAGTACTTAAAATGCCTAGGATGGATAAATGAATAACTTGGTAAATAGGAAGCATATATAGAGCAGAGCCCCAAGAGTTTTAAAGTTATCCAATTTAATCTTCACAATCATTCTGAAATAAGCAAGGATACTTTTTTTGACTCCCTTTTACATGGGAGACACTTTATATACTTAATGTCCCTTAATTCTAACATCAATATTTTTATTTTACTAATGAATAGATTTGAAAAGTTGGATGACCTATTCAATGGTATCATCAACTTAGTGGCCATGTGAGTATTGACCAGATTTCTAGCTGACTTAGAGTCCCTTCAAAATTTCTTTCCTACACTATAAACTAATATATAGATATATAGTTATAAATATATATGTATATTTCTTAGATATATTTCTCTATCCTTTAATGTATAAAAACATATATGTATTCTTGAGATTACTAACTTTACTTATGTAGATCATTAAATATTATCTATCTGATATACTTAAATACATTGATCTTGGCCTATTATTGTATTACACATTTAAGCAATTGTCAAAATTTAAGCTTTGGAATTTAGTAAATATTATTGTTCAGATATGTATAAATTTAATTGCCAAAGAGAAAGTGAAAAGCAGCTTACTTTTAAAAAAAGAAACAAAAAACACACAAAAGTGTTTCATAACACAGTTTTAAAAAGATGCTGCATCATTTCTCCTATCACTCATAAAAATCATGTCTTTTTTCTAAATTGAGTAAAGAAAAAAAGCACACATTTATTTCACAGGCATGTTTTATAATAGTTAATACATAGGCTCACTTCATCTCTGGGTACCCAGAGAATTTATTTCAGGACTTTCCTATGAATAACCCCTTCTTTTCCAGTAATCTAGAGTGTGATTCTCAAAACCAGTAGCCAAATAATATGGTGTTTTATGGGCTAATATAAAATGTCCTGCTCCTTATGTTTTTATTTCCAAAGTTTAGAATTTCTTTGCTTCATAGTATTATTTTATTTTACTAAATTACAGAGTAAGAAAAGCTTTTCATTTTATCTGATTTTATTCTTAGAACAAAAATATTACGATCTTCTATATTTTTGTTCTTTTGCCAAAAAGTGTAGGCAATTTTACATCATCTTTTTTCCCAATCAGTTTGTGATCCAACTATAAAAAGGAGACATAGAATACTGAATAAATGAAACAGAAACTCCAAGGCCAAGAAGTGTCCATCTTGAAAGAGTGTTAGTGGCAAGATATGTGACTGCAGACTAGATGTAGCAGTGTTAGCGAAGGGAGAAGATTTGAGTTCAAGAGTACAATGATCCTGTAAAGGAAATATTGCAAAAACTATTTTAGGGAAGAGGAAGTGGTTTTTATTTCAGTGAAGTGGAACTGATTTAAAAGTGAGATTAAGGATTCTCTTATAGAAAGAGGGGGATCCTACAGGTTAAAACCATTTTATTGGCCCAGCGCGGTGGCTCGCGCCTGTAATCCCAGCACTTTGGGAGGCTGAGGTGGGTGGATCACAAGGTCAGGAGACTGAGACCATCCTGGTTAACATGGTGAAACCCCGTCTCTACTAAAAATACAAAAAAATTAGCCTAGCGTGGTGGTGGGCGCTTGTAGTCCCAGCTACTCGAGAGGCTGAGGCAAGAGAATGGCGTGAACCCAGGAGGCAGAGCTTGCAGTGAGCCGAGATTGCACCACTGCACTCCAGCCTGGGCGACAGAGCGAGACTCCGTCTCAAAAAAAAAAAAAATTGTATAACAAGATATGATTTATAAGTTTAGTTATCTAAGGAGAGCATTTGTAAAGGGTTGCATCAGGCAAGTTTGAAATCAGTTTATAGCCACACGTTGAAACCTATGTTGTAATTGGGAAGGAAAATGACTCCAAAGGCTTGGGTGGGCGGGGAATGTCATTACAGCCCCTGTCATTGATATAGCTAACCTGGCAATGCTCCACGTGTCTAAGAGCCCTTTAAAAATCCATGTGAATTTATTATTTTACCATATATTTCTGAAATATTTGAGTTTCCAATGGTTCAATGCACAGACCTGCTAGTTAGAAGTAACAGAGATACCCATGTTTCTTATTATCCTCACAGTTAAATCTAGCCTAAAAGCAACATGATATACTTAAAACTCCAGGACCCAGATTGTAGATGTGGTGCTGTCAGTTGGTTCTTCATATGAGTCTCATGAACTCCATGCCTATTCTTTTCAGGAGATCACTGAGAGAGGAATACAAAGCTTAAAATATTGCTGCATCTTATGGCAGTTGACATCAAGGCCTTACTTTGTATATGTAATATGAGAGCTACTTATTATTTAAGGGTATCTGACCATCTTGAAATTCCTGATGTTACTTTCTGAAGGTCCCTGAACTCTCACAATTGGCCTCTTTGCAACTAGATTCAAAGTCGTTCACTTAGCCATGTACACAACTGCCAAAATGACTCTGTGAATTCCATGCTCAAAGATTTTCGATGGTTCCCCACTGCCTAGTCAATGATGTAGGAATTCCCTAGTCAAGCATTCAAGTCCCCATGCAATCCACCACTCTACTGTGTATTCTGTGAGTACAAGCTAAGTTACTGTTTCTTGTCTGTCATCCATCACTTGTGTTTAATGTAAGTTACAACAATTTCCCTTACTGTAAAAGTAGTATAGGTTTATAGTAGATTAGTAAAATATGGAAAAGAAAAAAAAAGAAAAAAGTCTTTGCTTTACTGCCATTTGAAGAACATCAATATTAATTGCTAACATTGTTAGCAGGTTTGAAATTATATTGGATTTAGAGGTTTATAGTCTTCCAATGCTGCATATTTGTCACCATTTTAAGATATTAGGCAATATATACATTCTATTGGCATCTCTGATTGTTACGTGTAAACAAATATTTGAAAGTGGAATTACTGACTTACAAAGCAGGAAGATTTTAAAGCCTTTCAGTTTATATCAACACATTCACCTGTAGATCATCACATTGATTAACTTCCAAACAGAAATAAAGAGGTGTCCATTTCCCCAATTATTTTCACATATGTTAGTATTTGATATTTTAACTTTAATAATATTTTATTCATGATTTGTGTTATTTTCCTTGTAGCATTTTTATATTTTTACTGAGTTGTAACTATCTCAATATATATAGTACCTAGTCATATATAGTGATATTTTCTGAAGTTTTGTACCTACATTTTGTTACTTTTTAAAAAACATTTAAAAACATGTGTGTAGCAGAGCTATTTTATTTCCTTTATTGTTGTTTCTTTTGCCATAATACTTAGGAAAATATTTTAGGTAATTATTTACCTATTTTTTCTGTATATTTTAATGTGTTATTGACCTACTGTATAGAAAGTGTATTTTTATGTGTGAGGAGAGGTAGGAGTATAACCATGTTGTCTCTCAAGCAGATTTTTCATTAGTAAATTAGTGATTTTTGTTGTCATTTTAATCACATGAACTAAATTCAGGTATATACTACTCTCTCTGTTATTTTCATTTTATCAGTAGTATCTGTAACATATTCTTTCAGAAGTACAGTAGATTTATAAGATGTTTTATATCCAGCAGTTCAGGTCTAATCCTTCTCTCTCTTTTACAGAATGTTTCAATCATTCCTGATTATTTAAACTTTTAGATTAGATTATCTCTGTCATGTATCCTCTTCACACTTAGAGGGAAAATAAACAACTGAATGTGTGTTTTACTTTAAGAAGTATGTAGAATAAATAAAGACGGTAACTGAGCATTTAACCTGTTTTTTTTTCTATTTGAAAGTGTTTTCATTCATCATTTAGAGCACCTTTTGACTTTTGTTATTTAGTATTAAAAACAGATATTAGAGTTCTGTGTCAGCAACATTAATATGTCTGGATGTCAGTGTTTTACATTTGAGTGTCTTTCTGTGTTTAGAATATTCTCGGATTGTAGGTGTAGTTTGCCTGTTTTCCAGAAGAGTCCGTGGAGGCTGAGAAAGATCTAGAGATTGCAAGACCATAAACACAGGAATGAAGGGGCCCTTGTTCTGCTTGAGTACAAGCCTATGATTATTTTTGTCCAGAAACTGTTAAGAATCAAGGGATCTGAGGTCTAATTCTAGCAGTTTCACTATTGTACTGTGCAAAATTCCTTCTGTCCTTCACCTTTGATCCACTTTAACTGAAGCTCTAAAGGACTTGCAATTTTCTGATATTTTAATGTAGAAGAACATTTTAATATAGGACTTTTGAAAAGGGATCTTTTTGCCAGCTTATGATAGAGGAGGCTTATTAAAACTCCTATAAATACTAGGACTACAGTAAAAGGAAGCATTTTAACAAGGACTCGGTAGTGGGACTGGTATACTGGGGAGATTTAGAAATTTTCAATTACTCAACAGCGTTGGTATTCCACAGAGGCATAATGCCATTCCATTCCATTCCATAACAGCCTTAGTATTCCATTTAACACTATTAGTTATCCATTGTTTGTTTTAATTTCTTTCTTACTCTTTTTTGCCTCTTCTCAATGTCACTTGATGTTTATTACTGAAGAGAATTGGTTTAATTGAAGATATTAAAACAAACCTAGAGTTAAAAATCAGTAGATTATTCACTCTGAGGTTAAAATACTCATTGAGTGATAGTTACAGAAATATTATTTGGAGTGTGTAACACCAACATACAAATTGAACAAAAACTCTTTCCATATTTTAGAGTTACACTACTTTACACTGGTTTACATTTTGAGTTCTGTTGATACACATATACACGTATGTATACAAAGATACACACACACATATAACAAACCCACATGTATTTAGAAGGTTCTAAATGGGTGAGGGAAATTTATATCCTACTTCACTGGCAACTAAGCAACCTACTTTGGAATTTTTAAAATTCCTATTAATCACCCTATTACATTGGATCTCAGGAGAAAAGCTGAAATATAAAATACCAATGAGTTTGCTATTCATACATGAAATATACTCCCTTAACTTTTTTTTCCAGCTGCACAGAAGCTCATTCAGTGAATGATGTTTCAGTGGCAGTACATATCACAAATACAGTTTTAAAATAATATGGACTTATAATCAGATTGCATCTAAAGTCTTTTCTCTCTGAAAGCATCAATAGCTATAGGAGAATCAATGTTTACTATATTGTTTTACCTGAGAAATCCCCATTGCTGATGGCAGTGGCAGAGGGTAAGGGTGAGGAGCTGCATGGCTCTGAGGAGCTCAAAAGATTCTTGCTATCAATGATTCTGCCTTCTGCTGCTGAAGCCAGTGCTTCTCCAGACTAGTGGTCATGGTTAGGCAGGTGCGGACCCCTTTCAGAGGGTAAATCAGGCATTCCATTTGTGAGTCACTTTGCATTCCAGAGGAACACACCCATTTTTTTTGAGTGATTGCATATCTTTCCCAGCAGTTTTTATTCTCTGCACTACTTCTTTAGAGGCCCCTTTCCATAGATATTTCGTCAGCAGCCTGAAATACAGATGTTCGACCTCCACTAAACTGGTTGAAAAGGAATGAATAGCTTAGAGCAATTTGCAAGCAACCAAGGAATGAAATTCTCAAAGTGTTTCCTGATATTAGAAGATGATAAGCCAAAGAGGGAGAAAAGAAAAGACTGCAAACATATCTGAGGAAGAGAAGAGCAATGCACGATCTTTTTGGAATAATTTTTGGTAAAGCTGAGGTATGATAGAAACTGCAGTGATTACTTTTTTGTGCTTATTTCTTCAGTTTCTTAGTATTAATTCTTGCGTTAACAGCATTCCTTAAGTATATACATGCAATTTATGATAGAAACATTTCTGCATTTTAGTAGGCTTTACATTTTAAAAGTTAGTATGATTCAAGATATAAATAATTTCTATGTGTCAGTAGGCTGCACTTTACACATATGTTTAAGGGTTTGGTATTTCGTGTTCTCCAAGTAGTTTTTCTTTTTAAGAAAAAAGCAATCTAGATAATCCCTATAAGACCATTGCACAGTCCCCAGTACATACTGAGCACTCAGTAAATTACCTCTTTATTATTTTTATTGTCATTATGTTTACTATTATTTCTTAACCAATAATATAATGAGAATTTTAAAAAGCAATAGGCATATAATCTAATTAATTAATATGTTATGGGTCAGCTGGCCTAAAATGCATTAATAGCTGAAGTAATGTCAAGTTCCTTAGCGACTGGGGAGGAGTGTTTAATGAAGACGTCAACCACTTCAGAAGCAAGGACAAAAACCCATAGACTTAGTGACATGTCTACTCTAATGTTTTCTTTTATTTTCTTTTAAACATAGTTCAGTGATTTAACATCACGAGGAAGAGTGTGTTTGAACTCCCAGAGATGCATAATAGATGTTATACGGTGCCATGGAGCATGGGGACCCATTATTATATTTCATTGTCTCTTTTATTACCTGAGGGTAAGTGCAGGCAATAGAACAATGTGTCAAACTTACATTTAACCTTTGCTAGAGGAAGAAGCTAGATGAAGGGTTGAAAGTTATTTCGAAGTTATTATCCTTAGAGACTCCTCACTCGCTGTTTCTTTGCAGTGAGCGAGCGTGAATGTTATCTGGGCCGGAGTGTCAGCCTCTCATATCAAGTTCTGCTCGGTCCTGTTGTGTTCTCCATGGGGCCCTTCACCTGAGAGCCTCTGCTTTATCTAATGCATTGTAGATGAGTTAGCTTTCCCCACTGTGCGGTCTAGTCAGATGAAATGTGCTTAAAAACACAATATTCTCCATTTCTGAATATTTAGGAAAAGTTATTTCTTTACATGATTTCATTTAGTATATGCTAGATGAGATGCCAAATTTATTGACTGTGGTACACTCCCTTAAGTTAGATATATAGGGCCCGATAATAAAAAGTTAATATTGGAAGTCATTGACATTTACCTCATTAATTTGCATATTTACAAATTGAATGGCAGATTGAAAAATCCATTGATTTTGACTTGAATTCTTGGTATTATGCAAGCCACGTTAATTATTTGACAAATAGCATATGTAAAAGGATGTGGAGAATGGTTATTTAGATCTGTCAAACCAGACGTAGTTACAAGTTCTCTAATAATTTTTTCTATGGTAAAAGAGAAGAACTGGAACATCAAGATAACATTCAGAAAGTCTGACTAACAGCAATGCAGTATTCACAGCGTTTCTACATTCATGTAAATTGACTGTACTCTTTGGTGACTTTGGTGTTGTTTAGTTGACTAGAATGATTGCAGTGACAGAATCATGACAATATGAATCCACAGATTTTAATGCAAAATTCTGATTCAGAGGGTTCAACATGAGGTCATTCTTTACAAAAGATTGCCTGAGATGACATTTCTTTATTGCAAATACTTTGTAATTTATTATCTATATCACTTCTAGAAAACTGAACAATCCACCACCATCTGCATTTTAATCAGGAATCAATTATTTTTTTGTTTCACTGCTGTGTTTTTTGCTATTTTACTATATCATTTTCACTGGTTTATTTTCTTTTCTTCATTATTTCTTTTCTGCATTATTATTTCTTTTCTATATTATTCTGCATTAGTTATTGTCTTTTATGCATTATTTTGCATTATTCTTTATTTGTATTTCCAAGCAATGATATTTTTAACCACACTTTCCTATTACTAAACATTAATTAATCTACTTCATCAAGGAAGAACAGATTGTGGGAATAAAAATTTTCTCCATTTCATTCTTACTCTTGTTTGGTTTTGAAAAATTTTTGGTTACATAAATATAATCAGAAACAGGATTTAGCTAAAGAACTTAAAAATAATTGTGACAATAAACTACATTATTGTACTCAGAAGATAGGAAAGTGACACAATTTCAGAGACTTTGAAAAAAGAGCATCTTTCATAAATCATTTATTGATTTTTTATTACGCTTAATGTTAAAAGGCACTTCCCTAAAGCATATATTCATTTTTAAGAATTATTTAATTCTAGATGTATAACAACAGAGCTGGGCAATCCTTCCAAGATCTCTTAGTTCCATTACTTAACAGATGCCAATGCTTAGAGAATGTCATGATTCAGAGATTTCATAAGTATTTTGACATTTTGCAAATTAATATTTATTGCATACTATTTTGTCACACTATTTGATTTTTCTTAGAGTCATTTGTTCCTCCTGTGTCTTTTGTTGTTGTTCCCGCTGCTTGTTTGTTTCTTTTGAATCTTGGTAATGAAACTATTTTTAGTGTCCCAGTGATATACTTCAGGGTCAGAAATTGTTTGTGTAAGCGTTTTTGCATCCATGTGATTGCATGTATATGTGTGTTTAACCAAATCTGTAAGAATGGTCTTTGAAGAACTGCTTTAGTTCTGCAATATTAATTTTATAACTTTTTATTTATGAGTGTGGATAGCTCTTATTAACTTCATGAGGATGTTGTTTGGCATTAGCTGATTAAAAAACACTTAGCGTATTTATATGGCACTCTGAAGTCTTTATCTTGTAATATACCCCACAACAGTAGGCATCTTGGCTCTTCATTGGTTTTTCTTGTTTTCATCAGTTCGAGGTATGTAGTTTTTTTATATCAAAAACTTATAAATGCTTTTTCCCACCATAAATTTTCTTTAGTGTAGATGCCAGAATGTTAAAATTAAAATTAAATTTTCTTTTTGTTTTTACTGAAATCAGTAATTACAGGTCAAATGATTGTGAGAGCAGAAAATTTACTGAGTGGTACTTGTAAAGACATTTTGTGCAACTACTATCATAAAAAGCTTAGTTACTGTTATAGACATAATTTGTCCCTTGTTTCTAATGGTAAACAGCTTAACAATTAAAGTATTTTTTTTCCTAGTGAAAAGAATGCCATATTGCTATACTTTGTCTTTTATTTGATTTTTTTCAAATTGGTTGCTCCCTACAAATATATGTCATTTGCTTTGTAATGCAGATAAAATTCTTAAATTGCCCATAACTTTCATAACACTAAATGAGAAAATAAATTAACAGGATAGCTTTTAGTTAAACTTACATTTATATTTTTAAATTATTTCGATTTTGAATTTTTTGCTTTTTTTTTGAAACACGGTCTCACTCTATTGCCCAGGCTGGAATGCAGTGGCACAATCATGGCTCACTATAGTCTCAACCTCCCTGGGCTCAGGTGATCCTCCCACTTCAGCCTCCCAAGTAGCTGGGACTATAAGTATGTGCCACCATGCCCAGCTAATTTTTTTTTTTTTTGTATTTTCTGTAGAGATAGGGTTTCACCATTGTGCAGGCTGGTCTCAAACTCCTGGGCTCAAGTGATCCACCCACCTTGGCCTCCCAAAGCGCTGGATTACAGGTGTGAGCCACTGTGCCCGGCCTTAAAATTCTTAAAATATTTTAAAAACTGTGCCAGTCAATCATTTGAAAATGAAAACAAAGCACGGGAAAATGATGTTTTCAGTTTTACATAGGGTTTTTTTAATAAACTTTATTTTTTAGAGCAATTTTAAAGGAAAATTGAAAGTACAAAGAATTCCCATGTATCTCGCCCTCACACATGCAGTTTCCCCCCATCACCATCCTCCACCAGAGTTTTACAGACTTTTACATTTACTATGAAAAGAGAAAGAAACCAGAGAAATAATACAGTAACACAAAATCTGCAGCCCTGCCATCTCTTTTACAGTACACAGTAGTTATCCTTAGTCAGCAGTGTAAGTGATGAACTTTGATAAGAGCAGTTGAAGAGATGTGAACAACATCTAAAAGCTGTCCTTTCACCAACCTGATGTAATTAATCAGGATCCTCTTCCTTGAGATGCTGAAGATTTTTGTTGTGTTGCTGAGAACCTTATCAATCTACGGGGAGATTATCTAGAGGAAGTTAAAGTCAGTATTTTCCTCTCTTTCTACTCTTAAGAATATATCCTAGAGACATGGGATTGAAATAAAAATAATAGTTTTAGTAAATTCTGAATTCAAGTCTTCTGAGTCTAAGAAATAGAATACATTTCAAATGACTTAGTAGTATTTTACGGTTCGTGGCTTTGGTGTGTTGCTATATGAAAATTTAGTTAAAATAATGACAGCAATACCATAAACTGATAAGGAAAGTGCATTCTGTGAAACACTACCCCCAACACATACACACGATTTATCTTGTGTTACTTCTTTATTCATGGCTGGGCTAACCTATGTGGATATTAAGTAAGTGTTTTCCCCAAAATATGGTAAGTTCTCTATTCGGGTATCTGAAGAAAAATCTATTTTCTATAAGATATTAACTATATCTTGGCAAAAAGAAAATGTTGACTCTTATATATGTGCTTGTCTTTATTACTATAATGTGTATAATTTTACAAGTTACCATTCTGTTCTAGTCTTGAGTAACTACAGCTTCAGCCTTGGCATGGGGAAATCAGATTGGCCTTTTAGCAAAGGCATTTAGTTTCTATTTAATTGTTTCTTTTGAGAGAATCAAAATCCTAACTGTAGTTATTTTGACCTTGTGTTGTTACGTAACACAGCCAACAGTACATGATAAATAAGGTATTGTCTGAGACCTTGCTTTATATTTATGTAGTTGGGAAAACAAACTAGTCATTTCCTTGGTGACAGACTCAGAAGGTGACAAGTATTATGGTAGGCATTTTATAGACATTATCTCATTTAATCCTTGCAACAGGAATTCCATTAGAAGAAACTGAAGAGCAGAAAGCTAATAATACATCCAAAGTCACACTGATGTAACTGCAGAGGTAGAATTTAGTAAGTTGTAATTCCTCAATTATTAATTAGATATTTTCATACCTGTCAAACATGTGTCCTCTCTTCCATATTAAAGGAGAAGATGTCATCATGGGCAGTTTTATCTGACATTGTTTGACTATTGTTTAATTTTACCCACATAAACGTATGAACTGACCCTGATAATCTTAAATATATTACTTTTTAAAAATAATAACAAATATTTTTGTTTGCTAATTTTTTAGATATTCTATGACTTTAAATGTAATAACCTAGAGTTCAGATCCAAACTGTAATAGTTAACATACAATCTAAATAAATTCAATTGTGATATATAGAGTTGTTAGGAAACGCTGAAATACTCCTTGGACACAGCTGTATCCCATGCTGGCTGAGTAATTGGAATGCAAGTAACAGTCGGTTGAATAACACACAATCCAAAGACTAATGCCTACTTCTGTGCTATTCATGCTTCAGTGAAGGTAGTAAAAATGAACAAAACGATTTGAAAGAATATTTGTCTTTTTGAAAAAAAAACTCTCATGCTTTTAAATCAAAATATATATGTCATAAGGAGAGCCAAATGTTTCACAGTTTTCCTATCAGGTGAGGGAGACAACTTGATTTTCAACTATAGGTTGCTTTTCAGCTCTTAAAATATTATTGTTTCTTGATTTCTGTTGGAGAGTTTGGCCAGATTCTGGGGCTAGGAAGAAAAACTGCTAAGTCCACTGTAAGGAACAAACCCCTTTTCATTCTAAAGGCAGTGACAATAACATGGTTAGATTTCCCAAGAATGGAATTCAGAAAATTCACAAGATTTAGAAATTGGACAGAAGGTTCATGATTCAAAGAACTGGCTTGACATTATACTTCTTTTGAAAAAAGTCTATTTTATTAAATATGCTTATGAAGACCGAAAAAAAAAAAAAGAAGAAGAATCTGGGAATGTCAGAAGTCCTTCTTGGTAGGTGGTCCAACAGTGCTGGGCATGGATTTATATCATGATATTCTTATGCCACTTCTGTCACCTTGGGCATGTTACTTAACCTTATTACCAACATTTGAGAAGTAAAGATGCAAATACGTGTTTCTAAGGGTAGGAGTCAGTATTAAATACTACAAAATATTGACAGCAGAGAATATATCCCATGAAAGTCAGCTACATTATTTCCTCCCCTTTTTAACCTATGACTATTAGCTTTCTTTGCAGAGCTACCTACATAGTGTTAAGCTACATCTGGCCTGGAGGGTGAAAATGATAACACCAGCAAGAAGGGTTTTGCTGGAAATTCTTTTAAGTTACGGGAATGTGAAATTGAAACATGAGAAATGGATAGCAGCATGATTAGAGTAATTGTCCACCAAGTATTCTCACTAATTCATGATTTGAATTCATGCCCATAATTGCTACAGACACAACTTAAGAATGTTCTATTTTGCCCCTAAATATCCAGAAGCTCTGACTCCTTGTTTGGGGGTATTTATATAATACATCTCCAATTTCCTATGACTTAATACGCTAGCCACAGATTAGAGGGGTATAAAGATTTTTTTTATTAAATCAGCATATGTATTCTTCAGAGACAATGGGAGTACATGGAAAAGAAGAGTAGAAAATTCTTGTTCTACTTTCTATTTTATACCAAACCTATTCACTTTATATCTGGTACCTTTTCTACTATCTCATCTTCTTAATTCCCTAAAACTAGAAAGTAAATTTACCAAGAAAAATTGATAAATAATATTGGAACTTGTTAGTAATATTGACTTGGATTAGTTCATAGACCCCAGGTTGCACCACCATTCCTGTAACACTACATTCTCAAGGTCTCTCCCAAATGGTCCAAATGGCTGACAGCCCCAGTCATGGGCCCCACTGTCTGTAACTATGTAGCCACTTTGCAGGCAGGTATTGACTTTAGTAGCCAGAATCCCTTCAAATCTACTGTATTTAAATAGGTGTATTGGTCTGCTAATGAGAAACATGTGTATAATATACTAATTTTCAAGGAAATAATCACACTGTTTTTATCTAAAATCTGTTACTCCAAGGTGTTTTTGCTTGGTTTAGAGCTCTGAGAGTATAGTTGACAATCTTAATTTTGCTCGTTTATTTATTTACTTATTATTATTATTATTTGAGATGGAGTCTCACTCTTTTCACTCAGGCTAGAGTGCAGTGGCGCAATCTTAGCTCACTGCAACCTCTGCCTCCCGGGTTCAAGAGATTCTCCTGCCTCAGCCTACCAGGTAGCTGGGATACAGAAGCCCACTACCATGTCCAGCTAATTTTTGTATTTTTAGTAGAGATGGGGTTTCACCATGTTGGCCAGGCTGGTCTCGAACTCCTGACCTCAGGTGATTCGCTGACCTTGGCTTCCCAAAGGGCTGGAATTACAGGCATGAGCCACGGCACCTGATCTATTTTGCTCTTTTAAAGACAAACTAATCAAATTTTATTTTTTATTAACTAATATAATTAAACTTCCTTTATAGCTATGTCCTTTAAGTTTCAGACGGCAACAAGTGATATTTCTCTTTTGGAGGTCAAAATATTCTTAGCTCACAACCTATCAGGGTGATAACTGATATTGCATAGCTACTTAGTTTAGAAGTTACTATAGTTTTTTTTTCCCCCTTCTTTACATTGTGGCCTAGTGGTCTACGCCATTAAAAGCTGCAATTCCAGTTCATAAGTGAATCTGATGGCTGGCTGGGCCTCGGAAATGCTTAAGCCAACGTGAGAAACTGATTTATACCTTGCACCTTATTATTTTTCTGTAAGAAACCTAACGATGTTATAAAACTCAACATTAGAGTTGGAAAGTAAAATCTCTGGTTCCTAGGATATTTCTCATTGTGCGTTTTATGGGAAATAAAATGAAATAACATAGGGGAGAAATCATGCGGTTTAGTACCTTTGAGATGACAACTTTAGCAAACAAGGTATGCTACTATCAAGGAAGGCTGGAGCAGCATTAGGCATTGAAACTGTCTCCTCAGTCCGGGGGAATAAAGTACAGGGGAAGAGTTATGAGAGTGGCAGTAGTTCAAATCTCAATGGGCCCTTGAAAATGAGATTTTTGCTTTGCTCTCTTAGGTTTTTGCCTGAATTCTAATAGCTATGCATATATCCAGGTACGTGGTTATTGAGTACTTTTCTTTGCAATCCAACATATGTTTCACAAGGAAATTAATAAAAAAAACATGTTATTGAAGTTTTGCTTTGCTACATATTGAGTGCTATTAATTTATAGAATCAAAAACAAAATACTGAAAATAATTTTTTAAAAATCTGCCAGGGATAGAGATTGAAATTGCTTTACATGCATGTATTGTAAGTATCATAAGCCAGAAATACAATAGATCCTCGATATAGATATAAAGAAATTTAAAATTCCATTTTAAAAATCTAAGAACAACCCAAGTAAATGGACAAAATCAATTATTTCACCTTAAAGGTAAGATCAAAATGAAAATAAGTTAATTTAAAACTCAAATATTAGCATAGAATATCAAGTCAAATCATTACAGAAACTAGATTAGAGTATCTCCAAGGTCTTAAATATTGTTTCTGTATTTTAGGAATAAGTATAACACATTCCCTTTAGAAGATTATCTTAAAACCTACACACCTGATAATTATAAAACAATTTGAAAAAGCATGAACCTTAGTAAATAATAAATAATCCTTAAAACAAAGACATTTTATTCACTGGGGATAAAAGTACATGATTATTTCTTAGGAGTCACTTGTGGATTGACACTATAAATAACATCAGGAAATTGTAAGTGTCTATGACATGACCGAGGAACTATTAACAGTAAATTACTCTCATGACTGGAACCACAATTGAATTTTAATCTGCTAATTTTTACATACATTTTATAAGTCTAATGATTACATTGGTATTAATATTTTCATTATGCAAATGAAACCACTAATAAGGGGTAAAGCAGGATCAGCTATGTGAGACTTCAAAGCCAATGATCTCACAGCAATAATACATGTGTCCTTGAAGGAAATGCTGAGCCAATTCAAAGGCTGTGGCTGCCATCTCAGATTGTTGGGCATATAAGCTAAAATCTACATGTAACAGTAAGAGAACAACATTGGCAGCAAGTCCTTCAAATGACGGCAATCAACATATTCAATGAAACATGAAAATATTTGTAGTTGGAGGTTTAGAAACCTTAGCTTTTGTAATTTATGACAAAATAGATTTAAATTTGAAAAATCTTCACTGTATTAGCTTCACCTCTTGCATTTTTCATGAAGTGTTTTGTGTAGATAAAACATAGATTTTATTTTGAATTTCTCTTTTATGTACATTTATAATATTTTAAAGTCATTTAAATAAAGAACATATGTGATTTTAAATTCCATTGCACCAAAGGGATGTAGAACTCATTTAAATTAATACTTGAGTTCAAACATGTTATAAATTTACAAAGTCATTGGAGGAGAAACAAAGTGAAACATTTTAGGAAGCACTGAAGGGAGAAAGAAGTTGAAACTGAGTCATTTCATAACCACTGCCAGATCTAACACGAAGTTTGGAAGAAAAGTACAGTGAAGTTCTAAAAATAATAACACACTTTGAGATCTACAGTCTCTCTAATGTTAAACAAAAATAATTTCAGTTAAGGCTCTGGAATAAGATGTAAAATGAATACTGGTTCTACTAGTTCCTCATTGTGAGAACCTAGATGAAGTCATTTAAACTGTAACCTGCGACACCGTTTCTTCATCTACAAAATAGCATCTATATCTATATTAGATTATTTACATAAGTTTAAAAATGTGAGCATCTAAAATGTGGTTGATTCAAGCCTTTTCGTGTTGTAATATACCCTCAGAATCTCATATCTTCTTTTTTTCGTATTTTCTGATATGCTTAATGATTTTTTTCATTTTTATTCTTTAACATTTCAGAACTTCATTGTCATTTTACATAACCCTTTTGCTTGTAGCTGGTAATTGTTAGTTCAGTCACTACTATTTTTTTCCTTTTGATGTTTAACAATATTCTTTATTCACTCCAATTTCTAAGTTATAACAGTGTTTGCCATACAGTAAGCTAAAAGTAAGCCCTAAATGAAGAAAAAAACACCATCTTTATTTTTAGGTACAATACAGGATTATGCCTCCTAATATATTTTTAACCCAAAAATGTTTATGGCCTGAAAACATGTATTCGGTAATAAAATTTTACACTAGTATCCAAAAGCCATGCTATTCAAAGTGTTGTCTAAGGACCAGCAACATTAGTATCACTTGGAAGCTTTTTAGAAATGCTGAGTATGAAGTCCTACCCTGGATATAATGAATGAGAATATGCATTTTCACAAGTTCCCTCACAGATGATTCATATACATATTAATATTTGAGAAAGACTGCCCTAAAACATTTTTGTTCAACTGTAGTCTTCATTAGTAATCATTTAGTCCATTCATTCAACAGATATTTATTAAATACTTATTTTGTTTTCCTGAAATTCTTCCATTCTAATAGTTTGAGATTATGGTCAACGCAAAGGGGCTAAGGTTGATTTTGAATGACAAGTCTCAACAGACATGAGCTCTTTAGTGTGGGCTTGTGGAAAACTTGCAAAACCAATTAAGAAAAATAAAAACGGCCAATCTTGTGCATTTGGGGTGCTATTAATGCTACATAGCAAGTGTGAATCATTGTAGTTACATGTACAGGAAACGCTGACTCCAGAAACAAGAAGGGTAAAGAAATGACACCACATATAGAATCTCTATTTTTCATCTAAGGATCTCTCTATCAACATCTGAAAAGGAACAAAAAATAAATGCTGAAATGCAGGTGAACGTAAGTGAAAAATTTCATGTTCTAGAGGATTGACTATTGACCAAAGAGGTCTTTTAAAACATTGTTTCCCTTGTGTATTTAAAATAATTTTAAGTATAACATATAGCTAAATACTTACATTTCTGGAGCTCATTTTTTGTCCAAGTATGATGAATTTTTATTTAAAAAATTGCAAAATATTCACAAAACTCTATGTTGCTTGACGGCAGAGTCCAAATATGTTTATCTTTCTTGTATTCATGGCCTAATGCAATATATGGGTATGGTATATGTGGAAAAATAAGTACATGTCCAATAAGAATGAATTGAATGAAACTTGTCTGTAGCCTTTGGATCCATTCGCTGGAGTCTTACGCTACTTCAGGTGAATCACTGCTATGCTATCTCATCAATGAGAGAAGGACCAAAGACATTATATTTCTTGGGTTTTATTAATAAGCAGATAACTTATTAAAAAGCCAAATAAAATACAATCCCATATAAATGGACAATTCTATTTCTGCACTTGTATATAATAAAAGTGAAAATGTGATATTTGAATCTCTAATTAAACATCCCCTACACACTATTTCTTTTTATTGTTAATGATATTCTGCCTCTCAGTGTGGAATTGGATTTAGAAAGTGATGCAGGCATTATTAATGACCTTTACCTTTCCTAATTTTGATATGTGTAGTCAGAAATAACCTTAAAACTTCACTGGGTGAAAAAATTTTGATGAAGGCAATGCATATACAAGGGAAATATGCAAGAAAATAGAGTATGCTTGTTTATATGCTTTCAAATTCTGTCATCTTTCTAGTTGTGTTTTCTAATCTTACAGCTACTGCTCTTACTCTTCTTTCATGCCACAAATTAGATATAGTTGTATTAATTCAAGTGTCAGAGACTTGAACTGCAATCATTGTCTTCCTTGTAGTGTTCTTTGAAATAAAAGTAGAATTGCATAGTTAAACTGCTCAGTAGTATTTTAAGACGTGTTTGATAAAGCAAAAGATGTTACAGAACTTAGGACACCTAGTTCTTAACTCAGATACTCTGGAGCCTGATGTTATATTATGCTTCAATCCATTAAACACACGTTTTCCCTGGTCAATATAATTATTATACTATTTGCCTAATTCTTCCTTAGACTTTCTAAAGAATAGTAATAACTCTCCCTCTTTAGGGGAAAACAAGTTGGCCAATCTGTCAGATGTTTAAATTTATTAGATGAGATACTTCACTCATGATTAGGATTTTCTTACGACTTTTGGTAAAAATCTAAGTTATTTTATATTAACCTTCTAGGAAGAATCCTGGGTGATGGTCTGTAAGGAAAAAGCCTGTTTTGTCCCTAATGAATTCTCTATGCGAGATGTATCAGTGGCACATAGTAGATGCTTGATAAAATTTGGTGAGTGAATGTATGGCCTGCGGTCTAGTCTTGACTTAGAATATTACCTGAACTTGTTTTCATGCTAACTGATAGATGCTGGGTAAAACTAAATCACAATCTAAAATGATTTGAGATCCAAGAGGCATGGGTTAATGTAATGTATTAAACCACACCACGACCTCATTGGCAAAACTAGAGGTAAATGTCACATCAAGCCATCCAAGCAGAAATTCTTATTCTTTAGGCAGTAAATCTCAGGGAATAAAAAAAAAAAAAAATCTATGAAATAGACCAAATTCCCTATCTTTCACATTGCAGAGTAGCCGCAATTCCTAATAGTGAGGCTCAGCAGCTTTTGGGCTGATCAGGCTATTTTGGTGCTATATCAAGAGAGAATTTTGACAGTCTTGGCTTGCAATTTAACCTCCTTCAGAACTGTTACAATTTGGTGCGGGAGTATCCACAGAATACTAAACATCTATCTTGTTTTAAAAGCAGTCATTCTCTCATAAATAATAGCTGTATTTCATGCATGATCCTCTTTTTGTTCTGTTGCTACAGAAGCAGCCAACTAGGCAACAGAGGAAGCAAAAGTAAACTCACATATTCCCAGTTCTCTTGGCATCACTGATGAAAATGTCTATAATGCTTATGATGATCCAAAAGAAATCAGAAGAAAAAAACACATTGGCCTGTGTTGTATAAGTAAAGTGTGTGTAACAGGAGGATGGGGCATGCACAGCTAATGTTTGCCAATGGAGAGGAACAAAGCTTGGAGGGAGGATATTTTACAGCTCCAAAATGTGCTGCCGTTCATGGAGGCTAAGAGATGAGCATTTAAAATATTTTTAACTCTCAGAACTTGCTTTTACTATTTATCTGTGAGTAATGGTTGAATTACTTACTATATTAAAATTTATTTCTTAAGGAAGATTAGAAAGTATAAACCTTTCTGTAGATTAGAGTAAAATGGGGTTTGCGACATATTTGTAAAACTGGTACTAAGAAGATTTATTCTTGTATCCTTTAATCTTTGCTGTCATGGAGCATATCAAATGCTTTTCTAAGGCCTAAAACTCAGAAGACTAGTGAGAGTTTTTAGCACACATGTCTTCTTGAGGGAACAGTTAAGCCCCTTCTTTGAAATACAGGCTGTCCAGGTGTTATACAGTAGTAAAGGACCTTAAAAATGACTGTGCAAGCTGAAACCATGCAAAGAGATCTTAATAATCAATGGGGAAAATTACAACTGTTCTGTATCCTTTAATTTTTTTTTTTTTTTTTTTTTTTACAAAACATCAAAACTCTCTTCTTGATGGTTACGAATGTACAGGGAAATGAACAAACAGTAAAACTAACTTTTTTAGTGCTGTAGTTTACAACCTCAGAAACACTGAGGATTAAAGTTTTATTCTCTGCAAAAAAATCTTGTCAAGAGTAGTTTAAACAGTGCTTGCCTTATTCTTCCCATTGAATAACTTAACATAGAACATGCATCTTTTATATGCTTTGGTAAATTGTCATATTCCTTTCTAAGTTTGTATCAACTTGCAACATTTTATCATTTGCAGTTTTAATGTTTTGAAGTATCTCTAAGAGTTTCTTTATTGTAAAGATTTTGCCAGTGTCACTTCCTCTGGGACATCTTTATCTTTTTCTTTACAGCCACTTTGCTCTTTTATATTGATGACTTTGCCTTCACTAAGTTCACCTGGCTACAGATCTAGTCTCTTGAACAACAGTAGCATCAGCTCAGCTATTTCTTTCTTAACTCTGTTACATTCCATCCAAATTTTACTTCTGATGTTATCACTTCGTTTCCTGGTTGCACTTTCATCTTTATTGGCCACTTACCTCTTTCAATTACCTATTTTTGTAAAACATCATGTGAGTTTATCACTGGGAGACAGAGGCAGCCGAACTATGTGCTTGGCTGTCTGTGCACTTTAAAAGAAGTGCCAAGTTTGGTCACTGATATTTACATAGCAATTTCTGAATTGCATGGCTAACAGCAAAGTTTGTGCTGTGTAACTGTACAAACCATATATCACCCACTGTTAATACAGTATGGTAACTGAAATTTGAACCAAATTGTTGGAAGACTGATGTTATATAACAAAACCATGGTGACTAAAATTGATATATATTGGAAACATGCAAATGAGGCCTGATATATAGATAATTTGTTATTGAGTTATATAATTTAAGATGCTTTATACATAAAGAATAAAATCTTTTTAGATTCTTTATCTAAAAGCAAACCACTGGGGATCTGTAGGGGATACATGCTTTGTTTTCACCCATAGTTATGCTTGTATAGAATTTGCCTCAATAGAGCATTAATATTTTCCTTAGTTATAAACATGATTAGGGAGAAAACTATAGGCTATATAAAGCTTAGTTTCACAGGATTGTCTGAGGCGTCCTTTTGGATCAATAATTTTTGTTTTTCACTTGACGGATTCTGAAACCGAACATTACCTATTCGCATGTATAAATAATGAGGCTATAGGGAATTCATTCATGTTAACTAGGCTAATAAGAAAATGCTAATTTTATATTGAAAGATCTATTTACCATCCACTGGCCATTTGAACAAACTCCTTCCTTGTCCAAAGTCAAGCTTGTTCAGTCAAGGGATGAAATTGTTTGTTGGAATATTGCTTGTTAGCCACAGAAACAGAACAAAGTAGGTCTCAAGCTATTTTCTGTTTGACCAAATAAGCACATTCAATAACTTGTCTCTCTCTGTTTGAGAAATCTTGCCCTTTAGATCAGGGGTGCCAGTTATTCCAATCAAAGTACCTTACCTTCTAGTTGGTGTGAAATGCGTATTGACAAAATTAAATTTCCAATGCTTATTTGTCAACATTACTTATAAGTGATGAAAATGAATTCATTTTATAACACTTCCCTTGTAAATACTTGCACTTCACAGTTCATACGGTAATATGCCTACATACATTAGAAAATGGCACATAGTAGGTGAATATTAAATGTTTCTTTATCTTTCCTTTTCTTCCTATTAGTTTTTTTTGTTATGTTTTGATAATCTTTCTTTAAGGACATATAATATTGCTTCCTGTAGAGATTATAAAAATCCTTAGGATTCCCCAGGGCTATATTCACAGATCTCCATCTTGATTGTTTTTGCAATGGAATTTCTACCAGAAAACCTCTTTAAATTATTGATGTGAAGATTCATTCATAGAATAAATTTTTCACTTAAAGGAAAACATAGAGAATGAAATTTTCAAATATTTGACCCCTAACAGTTAGGGTATATGTTACCAAGACTTGTAGCTTCTAATCAGCAAATATACTTCCATTATAAGATGAAATGGCAACATATACATATATATATATATATATATATATATTTTTTTTTTTTTTTTTTTTTTTTTTTTTTTTGAGACAGCATCTTGCTCTGTCACCCAGGCTGGAGTGCAGTGGTGTGATCTCGGCTCACTGCAACCTCCACCTTCCGGGTTTAAGCGATTCTCCTGCCTCAGCCTCCTGAGTAGCTGGGACTACAGGCGCCCGCCACCACGCCCAGCTAATTTTTATATTTTTAATAGAGACGGGGTTTCACCATGTTGGCCAGGATGGTCTCGATCTCTTGACCTCGTGATCCCCCCCCTCAGCCACCAAAGTGCTAGGATTACAGGCGTGAGCCACCATGCTGGGCCGGCAACATATGTTATTGAACCAGTTTGGGGTCCTCTTACCAGGTGCAGTAATATTGGATAGCCACACTGAGGTTTGCAGCTGGAAAAAGGAAGGACTTTATTTGCAGGTCACCAAGCAAGGAAGTCCAGGCAACTTAATGGTTAAGTCCTGACCTCCCCAGTGGCTTGCAGGTAAGGGTTTTTAAAGGAAGGAGTATGGTTTTGGCCTAAAAGAGCAAGGTATCTTGAAGCGGGGACTTACAGTTCATAGGTAGATTCAAAGAGTTTCTGATTTGCAGTTGGTTAAGGAAGAAAAGCTTTATTTAACAATTTGGGATCAGCAGAAGAGAATGTCAGCTCTGGCTCATGAGTGGGACTTTCTCTAGGCTCCCTAGGAAGAATTTAGAACAGAAAGAAGAATGGGGTCAGAGTTCAGTCCCCAGTTCTCCCTTATCTGAGGTCTGTGTGCCAGTGAATCCATTTGGGAGTTTCTGAAAAACAACTCAGAGACACATGTTAAGATGTTGCTTTTAGTTTCTATAAAGGAACTATCCTGTGGTTCTAGCTTATTTGGCTACTGTTTCAAGCTGCTATTACCTTCTTGCTTCTTATGGTGCATATTCACTTCTCAGGGCAAGCTAGTGCCTGAAATTTCCCTTGAAGAAACTCAAGGTTTTCCTACATTTCCATGTTTGGGGGTCCCAAAATCCCCTAAGAGTGGTGATCTCTGCTCTGTTTGGCATATACTAGAAACTAGTGGGGTAAATGGTGTATCCATAAACTTTTAATCCGTGTCCTACATTTACAGGAATTTTCATGGGCTGGAAAATTAAAACACACTGAAAATCCTTTAAACTGAATTGTTAACCCATTTCAAAATGAGTGTTCCCAGGACATGCTAATAAATTCATTATGTCATGTTTATGTTTGGAATCTCATAAAGGCAGTTTCTAGAACAGCCCTCTCTGGTGTTTCATAGATGCAGCTCTCAGGATACCTTGTACTAACATAATGTATACTCTGACATCTTCCATTTAGGGAGGCCTTAAGGCTCTGAGCTCGTTTTTCTGTTGACCATTTTCACGTCAATTTTTTTACTACTAGCTAAAAAGCACCTTTCATAGAAAAATTAAAAATAAAAGGAAATACTTGGCTCATGAGATCTTGTAAGGATATTTAGTAAAGTCCCAGAGCTGATTATTTTCCTGTAATTCTCTGTTTATACATTAAAGAGTCATATTTCTTTTTCCTGGTTGAAAGTTGACTTTTTAAATTGATATATAGACACTCTCTTCTTAATGCCAGTGACATAATTTTTGTTACTCTCTCTAATTGCTTATGTAAGGCTGATATAAGAATGATTCCCAGTAGACATCACCAAATGTACCTAACCCAGTTATGTTTTCAAGCTGACTTTTGTTATTGTAACATGATTAAAATACCACATTAATTATGCAAAACTCTATAAAATTGAATTCAACAGAGAAAATAAATGCATTTTAATAATACATATGTTATTTATATATATTTTTGTTGAATGAGATGCAGAATATATCATCAATTCACAGAGATTAACTATACTTTTTATACGGTTATTTTATTTAATCTTATCCAGTTAGAAGAAGAAAACATTTTTCAGGGTGAACTAGGACTTTATATCCTTTCCATTAATTTTATTTTAGCTTCATAATCTAATTTGAATACTTATGTGGTCTATTGAAAATTTCCAGAGGTATTCCAGTATTCTTTATACTTGGGTTTTCATTTAAAAAGAACAAATAGAATCAATGTCAGAAAAGATAAAGTTTCAAAGTTTGCTATTATTTTTATTTAAACATAGTAACAGAAAAATTATTTGGTCTATCCTTTACAAATTCGTATATGGTTACAGTTCTGAGCACAAATATTTTTGGAGCAAGGTACAGACATGGAAATGGTAAGATGTACAATTGGCATATAAGGATTGGTAATTAAATTTTTTCTCAAATGTTTTTTAAGAAATAAATTGGATATGTAGAACGAGGGATAACATAATATAAAGAGATAAAACAATTGGTGCAATTTTGATTTAAAAATTAAACCACAATTCAGAGACATATTAAGCAAAAGGGGTGAGTGTATAGGACTTAAATTATGTCTTATCAGAGGTCAAACAAGATCACTTGTAAAATAAATTTAATTATTCAGAATAGACAGGACATGGAAGCAATCAGAATGTTCATAAATGGATGAATAAAGAAATGTGCCACTTACATACAATGGCATATTATTCAGCCTTGAAAAGAAAGGAAATCCTGCTGTTTGTTACAGCCTTTAATCTGGAAGACATTATGCTAAATGAAATAAGCCAAACCAAAGACAGACAGATACTGCTTGCTTTCATTCATATGTGGAATCCAAGAGTCGAATTCATAAAAGCAGAGGGTCAAATGTTGGTTGCAAGGCGCTGGGAGCAGGAGGAAGTAGGGAGGTGTTGGTCAAAGGATACAAATTTTCAGTTATGCAATATGACTAAACCGTAGACATTTACTGTATTGCCTATAGCTAACAATACTGTATTGTTTACTTAAAAATTTGCTAAGATGGTAGATCTTAAATGTTCTTATCACATGCAAATAATAATGGTAATAATAATAAATAAAAGAATGGGTGGAAAGTTTTGGAAGGCACGGCAGTGCTTATGGCATAGATTGTGATGATGGTTTTACAAGTGTACATTTATCTCCAAGCTCATTAAGTTGTATGCATTGAATATACAGCTTTCTTATGCCAATCAGGCCCCAATAAAGTGGTTTAAAAATTAACTAAATTAAATTAAAAATTTTAAGAAAGAAGAAACATTGAATAAAGAAAAATAGTTAAACTCCTGATTTTTGCCAGTCAGTCTCTAGGAAATAATTGAAAGTAGGAAAGGAATGTTACATTTCAGATATTAATAATAATGGTAATACTAAAGGTAGGACAGGATTTTAACATTTTAGAACAGAAGATTTGCAGTACATAGTAGTGAATATAGATAATACTTTTATGGTTTCAACATACCTCAAAATTAACCATATAAAGTAACATCCTGTTCTATGAGATGGTCATTAAGCTCAGATTATGTTTTGTTATCTGTTTTTTGTTTTGTTTTGTTTTCTTGAGATGGAGTTTTTCTCTAGTTGCCCCAGCTGGAGTGCAGTGGCACTATCTCAGCTCACTGCAACCTCTGCCTCCTGGGTTCAAACAATTCTCCTGCCTCAGCCTCCCGAGTAGCTGGGATTACAGGTGCATGCCATCACACCTGAATAATTTTGTATTTTAAGTAGGGATGGAGTTTCACCATGTTGGTCAGGCTGGTCTCGAGCTCTTGACCTCAGGTGATCCATCTGCCTGGGCCTCACAAAGTGCTGGGATTACAGGTGTGAGCCACTGCGCCCAGCCTTATTAACTGTTTCACAAAACAAAACAAGCCAAAATAACTGCAATGCTCAAAACATAACCACTAGAAATAACCATTTATTATATGTGATTGCCATTATTCTCTATATCCTTGTCTTATCTCTGAGTCAGTTCCTTTTCCTACTACTAATGTAATAAATTGAACAACATTGAATCCATAAAACAATACATATGGATATCTTTTTTTCAAAATTATATTGGAAAGTTCTTATACCATCACTAATGCCTTAATTTAAAAGCACCTTCCATTAAGTTTGATAAGCAAAAGTTTAATGGTTTGCTAATCCAAAAGTTGCTACACTTTTTGCAAAATAATAAAAGTTATTCCATTGGGTTTGACAACAAGTTCACTCAAATAATTTCATGAGTGTGTTTTTTTATTATGTAACAATACATGTTATCATAGGTAATACATGTATACTTCATAAAGTGGTTAACTCACAGGTTGTTTGTTCTGTTGACACTTCTGTTATCCACTCTGAGCATTGGTTGTATTTGTTTGCTGCCATCTTAATAGGTTGCTAATATAGGACAATTAATTTTAAGGCAGTTTGCCTGAATACAAACAATGTGCTTTAATTTTATCTATTCTGAAATCGCAAATTGTTTTATTGATTTTGATTTGCTAATACACTTTAATGCACAAATCAGTCATAGTTACCAGTAAACAGCATCACATTGAACCTTAACAGCTCACAGAAATATAGTTTAATAAATAACTAATCTGAGTGACACCTAAAGAGTGTCCTTTGGACATTGGTTGTCAGGCCAAAATGTTGCTATTGTAGAATGTATCCATCACAATAGTATTTTTGAAAATTTTGATCCAACTAACCATTTTACACATTTCTCATTGAATCTCCAAAGTTGGTGTTCTGAAATCTAGGTGAAATACGTGGATAGGAATCAAAGCATTATCACAGTTTATTGGGTAATTTGTTAATAAAGCTTTAGAGTTTTAACAATAATTAAGGAATGATAAAAATTATGTTTTAAATTACCATAAATGTTATTAATTTACTAAAATACTGTTTATCTTCCACATATGAAAATACATTTGATAATAGAAAAATCCAAATTCTGCCAAAATATGTTTAAAGAGGTGCGTTCTGAGTCAATATGAGTGACCACGGCCTAGGTCACACAATCTCAAGAAGTTCCGATAAAGTGTGCCCGAGGCAGCCAGATTACAGCTTGATTTTATGCATTTCAGGGAGACAGGAATTGCAGGAAAATCTAAATCATTATGAGGAAGGTGTACATTGATTTGGCCTTAAAAAGATCAGACATCTCAAAGCAGAGGGCTGGGGAGATCATAGGTGGGTTTTAGGCATTCTTTAGTTGGGAATTGGTTGGGAGAGTTAAGCTAATGTCTAAAACTTGAAATCAGTAGAAAGGAATGTTTGAGTTAAGATAAGGGGGTTGTAGAGACCAAGGTTCTTAGTATGTAAATGTAGCCTCATAGGTGACAGCCTTCAGAGAGAATACATGGAAAATGTCTCTTTCCAGACTTCAAAGGTGTCAGGCTCTCAGTTCATCTCTCCAGATCTGAAAAAGTCTAGAAAGGGAGAGGTCTGGCTACATTAATGGAAGATTAATCTGATGCAAAATTTTCCCACAAAAGACAGCTTTGCAGGGTAATTTTAGTCCGATGATCCCATGGCAGCCATTTCAAAATATGTTAAAGAAATATATTTTGGTATAAAATCTTTTTACTTCCTTCAGCATCTGCTATATGCCATGTTATGCTGTATACCAGAGTCAGGTTGGAAAGTAAGCTACATTATATAGGGTTCATAAAACCTGTCTGATGAGATTTTATGGTGGTCATGACCACTAACCAGGTCCCTTAGATAGGAATTTGGGCAAGAGAAAAAGAAGGTCATAGTCCTCACATTTAAAAACTATTATTTTATGTAGTTTTATATTATTTCACACAGCTTATTATGTTTGTAAGTGGTAGATAATTATAGATTTCTGACTGTTATAATATTTTAATGTACCTTTTCTTTTTTATGTGCTGAAATGTATCCTGAATGCCATGCTTTTTGTACTCTACAAAAATCCTCCATTCCATGTCTCGTTATTCTTTAGTGTATTTAGTATATTTCAGGTCATAGTAATTATATTACACACTGCTACCATGTTGTTCAGGCTGGTCTCAAACTCTTGACCTTGTGATCCGCTCACCTCGGCCTCCCAAAGTGCTATGATTACAGGCGTGAGCCACTGCGTCTGGCCTTACATGTGAACTTCTTTAACCACCCATGACTCTCAGATTGTGTTCATGACTATAAACTGCCATTTTCTTAGTTTCTGATTTGTAGACTAGGTCCAGACTGGCCACTGCAGGACTGTAACCGAGAATTGCTTTCTGATTTATTTCAATGCAGTGAAAGATTTAGATATAAATGTAAAGAGGGGCTGTAGATCACAAATATTACTTTATTTAAAGAATTTAATACATTAAATAGCTGCTGAACTTCTAGAAGTTCCAAGCTGCTGTGTTTCTTCCTTACAAAGATAGTAAGGCATGGTTCATACCATCAAGGCACTTAAAGTCCAGTGGGGTCATGGAATATTGTTTCGGAAGAGCTATAAGTAAAGAACTTTTTATAAAAGTTCACAAGTTGGAAAGATTACAGAAGGGATATATTATGAGGCACATTTGGGATTTGAGCTTACCATTTTATGGCCACATAAGGTTTAGAAAGATAGAAAGAGAAGGAGGGTATTGTAGGAAGAGCAAAGACAGAGTTGAGAAACATGAAACTTTTTTGAGGAACTGTGTGTCAGTTTGAATCCTCCAACAGAAGCAGACACTAAGATGGTAAAAGACCTACAAGGCATTCATTGAAGAATAAAGGGGAAAGAGCTGAAGGAAACAGGGTGAGCCTTGAGATTAATGTGGGTTTCACACTTACAAAAGAAGAGGTGGGCAAGGAAGGATTGGATAGAAAGAGGCTCGGGACTAAGTGCAGGTCTAAGAAAAATTTGACCAGCTGATGGCGCAGCTGGGAGCCACGGTACCAGCACGAATTCCTTGGACACTCAGCCTTTGGTGGGAAGAAGCCCAGGTGAAGCATGGCTTCAGTATTGATGGGTGGCCACTGAAGACAATGGCCACTATGGCTCCTGCAACAGGTTTGAAGGAAATTTGAGTGGCGGATATCCATGGACACCTCAGCCATCTGCAGGAATGCCAAGTAGTTTCCTTTGGCTGGAACGTGTAGAATATAATGCAGGGAAGAAGCTGGAACCACAACATGAGAGGCCTGAAATGGCATGATTAGGAATGTGTACTTCATCAAATGGAAAGATGGAAAAGTTTTAGACTTGTATGTAGAAATATCATTTAGAAAGAATTATCATTTAGGACTATATCTAAATCGATATACATGTGAATTTTTTTTTAATGTGGGCATGTTGGCTGCACAAACCCACTTAATATCTACTCTAGTAATTCACCTGAAAAATGATGACCTCAATGTTAGTGGTAGTTGTTGAAATGCAATGTGAGGGAAACAGATTGACAATAGAATCAAATATTGGGGTGAGATAATAAGGAAATTGAAAGAATGGGAAGAGAAATGATTCCCAAGTTTAAGTCTAGATTTCTTGAACAATGTTGATGTCATCCGTTTATTCATATAATCAACAAATACGTATTCTATTATGTGCCAGATACTATTCTAAACATCAGTGATACAAAGAGACAAAAATGGAATTTACCTTTTAGTGTAGTGAGATTATCAATATCAAGTGGTGATATTTGTAAGAAAAGAAAGTGGAGGGTGTAGAGGAACAAGGAATGCCAGGGAGGTGAGAAGAGTGATTGTTTTTTTAAATAGGGTGATAAGGGACACCTCAGCAAAATGATGGTTGAAAAACAAACAAATAGTTGGACAGGCAGACCAGTGACTATCTGAGGCAAAATAACAAAGGAATCAATAAGGGCAAAGGCCCTGTAAAAGCATGCCTGATATGCTCAGCAGACAGTAAGGGGCCAGAGATTTGGAGAAAAGAGAGTGACAGGGAGGATAGCAGAAAACAATTCCAGAGATTAATGGGCAATGTTGATCAGGGAGTGGGAGCTTTGATTAGGGAGTGGTATTTTTTAAGACAGTGCACAAAATTAAAGGTCATTTTTTGAACAGAAGAAGGCTGTGATCTGTCCTCAGTCTTCACTCTGCTTACTCTTGAGAAGAGACCATAGATGAGCAAGTTCAGAAACAAGGCAACCTTATGCAAAATTCTTTCAATACTAGGCAGAAGATGTTAGCAATGAGCGTGGTGGGAAGAGTTCAGATTTTGTATATATTAATCACACATAATCAGACGTTAAAAACTGCTTCCCTGCCATTATTAGCCATATTTACTTCTCAAAGTTTGTAGCAATGGTAATAAACATATGTGTTATGTTACTTCAAATAGGAAAATTAAACTATATTGTGCATTCCATTGAGTGGGGCCGGTGATCTGTTTGGAATAAATAAAATATATCATTCTTCTTCCAGTAGTCTTCAGAAAAATAGCTCGTTTCACAAAATTTTATTATTACTTCTATTAATAGTTTTCATAGAAATTACAGAAGACTTTGCAGATGCTGATTCATTTGTGGAAAATGTGATTTCCCTTCCTCATAGTTTAGCTCTTGATTTAAGTAATGCTTCAGTGGAGAAGTCTTTCCTGACAGAGAGCCCACATCACAGATTTCCATATCACCACTTAGTCCTCCCACGGCCCTCCTTATGTTACCTGCTGTGACACTTATTTTTTGCAAATCTTGTGATTTAAACTTCTCTCTTCTCTTTAGCTGAGTAGCCCTTTCTACTGAATGAAACTTCTTCTTCGGCTTTATTATACAGCTATTTGATTTACCAATTAATTACGCATGTTTATAGTTATTCACATATTGAAAAGACATAGATAGCTTCTCATAAATTTATTAAACCTCATCCATTCTCACAAATTCAAATGCTCTACTATGCTAAATCTCCATATAGGAACTCACTCCCAAGTGGAGATTTACATTTATTACTGTCTTTAAGAGATCTGTAACTGAAATAATAACAGTAAAATATTTAGGGCAGTGTCTGGCACATAGAAAGTGCTCAACATGCCTTTCGCCTCCACTCCCATACTATTATTTGGTGATCATACTAATCATTTCTTTTTTGAAATGGTTGAAAGGTTCGATGTTATAAGTGGAGTGCTTGCTTTAAACTATAAACATTTGTTTATTTTAATTTTGATTAAACCTTTGGTATGAAAACTAAATCTAATAATGTACTCATATCACTGCATTCCAATATTTTTGCCACGTTTTTCCCAAATTCTTCCAATTTCTAAATTTATGCAGTTGCATAATGGGGCTATCAAATATTCCACAAGGTAGTAATAGTCTTACAGTTTTGACAGATTATGGTATACCAGTATTATTATTATTATTGTCATTTATTTGTTATTTTCTTAATTATTGAATAAACCACATTTGAACAATTATAACTAGACT
Source organism: Homo sapiens (assembly GCF_000001405.40). NCBI lineage: Eukaryota > Metazoa > Chordata > Mammalia > Primates > Hominidae > Homo > Homo sapiens. Next base: position 67,075,753 of record NC_000013.11, on the reverse strand, counting down.
AATCAAATGGAGTGTTTTACCCTTGTTAATAAGAAAAACACTAGATCTTGTGGCAGTTTTCATCTGAAGTGGAGAATGTATTCGGTTATGTATAAAAGTGTAGAACGAAGGACATAGAAATAAGATGTCATGGAATTTTAACTTGATGTGAAAAGAGATAGTAAAATTTTAAGAAACTTTCTAAAATGTGCCCATCATAATTAAGAAAAAAAACCCATCATGATTCCTCAGTCCCTCCAGGAAGAATGAATTATTGCCAGGGAGAGGCTGTAGCAGAGAATGGCAAAGCAAGTTTGAAATCCTAGGTTCTCCATTCTTGTACCCCACCTAGTGAGCATTAATAAGAAACTGCATTTGTCAGTTTCTTTCACTTTGTTTTTATGTCAAATCAGAATATTCTCAGTTCGTTTCCTTTTTTTTATTTTTTCCTTTTATAACTGACCAATATAACTTTCCCCTTTATGCATCTTCAATAAGAATAATAATCCTGTTCCTCAAAATATATGTATTGGATTTATGTGGGCTACGTTTGGAGCAAAACAATTTCAAAAGAAAGAAACATTGAAAATGATAGATGTAGATGGATTATATTCCTCGGTGTCCTGAAATGGTTTTATCATTTGGCTATCTGCTTCTAAGCATTTTATTTTAAAGAAGAAGTTGCATTTTTTTTTTTGTCACTATCACACTAACGTACTAAGGGGTTGCAAACAGAAGTACCCATGACAATTGATCCATATTCCATTGGGACAACAGATGGCACCTAAAAAAAAATGTCTAAACTTAGGAAGAGCAAATCCTATTTTCAGATCAGGTTTACAGAGTGCTTGATAGGGTACCAGGCAATTATATTCTCAAGTGTAAGAATAAACTAATATATATTGAGGACAATAAATCTATTAAAAAATTTCTTTTTTGTGTGAGTTTATAACTTTTTTGCTTATTAATACTAATAATTCTACATGCTTGTATAATTCTTGTTTGGTTAGAGATTATAAATCATACATTAAAACACATTAGGCAACAATATGTCCTCCAAAGTTTTTTCTTATTTTTACTTGACTTTTATATTTTTACACTTGTGTGAAACCAGTTCTTGTCTCAGTTTTCTTTCCGTAGATAACATTATAAATGAAACAACTTCTTGAGTGGTACTTCAGGAAGTAAATATCCTCTTGGATTGGTTTCAAGACAAAACTATTTTGTATTGAATTTTACTCCATAGCCTTTGCTATTATGGGGAGGTAGATAGGTAGATAAACAGTGTCTTAGTCCATCCCAGATGCTATAACAAAAATACCGTAGAGCAGGTAGCTTAACAACAAAAACTTATTTATCACAGTTCTTGAGGCTGAGAACTCCAAGATCAACATGCTGACAGATTCAGTGTCTGGTGAAGACTCCGTTTTCTGGGTCATAGATATCTGTTGTGTCCTCATCTGGGGAAGGGGCGAGGGAGTGCTCCCTCTTTACATTTACAAAGGCACTAATTCCATTGACGAGGGTAGCTTGTGACCCAATCACCTACAAAAACCCCCACCTCCTAATACCATTACCTTGAGGAAGAATTTCAACATATGAATTTTGAGAGAACACATTCAGTCTATAGCAGTAAGATAGATAGATAGACAGATAGATAGATAGATAGATAGATAATAGACAGACAGATAGATAATAAACAGATAGATAGATAGATAGATAGATAGATAGATAGATAGATAGAATTTCATCTCAATGAGATTCAAAAAGGATATGGACCTAGTCTTCTTTCAGAAAGTCTATAGTGCAAAACTGCAGTGAAATCCAGGTTAAGGCCCCAAGTGTTACCACTAGAAATTAAAACCTCTTAAAGCAATTTAAGAGGTAGACGTTTAGTAGAAGTACCTCATTTTATTAGAAATAAAAGTATTTTTTATGTTGAAAACCTGGGTGTTTATTAGAAGTAATAGACATCTAGTTAGCATTCAAGAAAAGTATCATACAAAATGAAAGTTACCAAACATGGAAACTTCTTTAATGTGAAGCTGCATAACATAAGTAATGCTATCAATTAAAACTGGAAAGTATACATACCAGGAGAGCTTCAAAAAATCCTCAAAAGTTTTAGATCTTCAAAATTTTGAGATTTTGAATCTCAAAACTATGTACATTTAGAAAATACGTTTTATTGCACATAGTTATATAAGAGATTGGTTAAAGCAAATAAATTTTAAAGGTTTAGGATGTGAGCAAATGATTCACACATTTTTTTTTTGCCAAAAAGTTCTATTTTTTATTTTCCACAATTCAATTAGTCAACTTTAAGCAGCCTCATGTAAAAACAAATTATTTTGATTACTTTCAGGTATGTTTTAAACCCTCCCTTTCTGATGAATTTTGGAATGTTTTGATTCTTGATATATAAAGTTTCATCATAATATTATTGAAAATTTATTATATTTGTAGTAGAAGGGTCAATAACACTTCTTGGGACAATTTTCCAGATCCATTCACCTTAGCTTTGCTCTGGGATACCATTTCTCAAGCTGTGATTCCCAGACCATTTGCATAAGAATGACAATGGACACTTTATACAAATTCAGATCTTTAGGCTCCACCTGAGACTATTTGGACATATATACCACGTAACCTGCAATTTTAACTAGCTCCTTGTGTGATTATTGGGTGTATAAAGCCTAAGAAGAAATGAAATTCAGCGAATCAATTGAACATGTTTAAATGTGGTTGTATAGCACCAAACTGTTTTCTTCTCAAAAATATACAATTCATTCCTGCATGTGGTCAACCATTATTTCAAAATTTTTCTTTTGTTGGAAGAACAAAAATAAATTTGTTAGCCTTTGAGAATCATCTTGTATACAGTTTTTGAAACTTTCCAGCAGTAACAGATATTTCTAATGTAATACATATATCTGAGATTTATTTTTAATTTTAGTGTTTACTCATGCATTATTATATAACAGAACACATGGTGCTTGTAGAAATTTTGAAATATTTACCGTAATGCCTCCACTATTTTTTTTTAAGTATATTACATAAAAAATTCCTTCTCTGCTTCTTGGGTTTCAGCATTCAGAACTTCACCCTCCACTGTCAATAATTTGGGATGAATATCTTCATATAGATTAAGTGTAGGAAAGAAAATGCAATATCTCTTTCTCACCCATCACAAGGTTCATGGCTGGCATCCCTATAAAAAAGGAAGATTAACAAGAGAAAAGCATAGCAAATATATCTAACCAAAGTATTTAATGACATGGGAGTCTTCAGAAATAAAGACCCAAAGGCCCAAGGAAAACTGTGTTTTTAAGGATAGTCATGCGGAAGTGTGATTGGCAGTCAAGAGGGTACGATCTAATGGGAAAAATGCAGGGACCTCAGCAAAGGCTGTTCTAAATTTTCTGAGTTTGAGTGTCTTATCCCTTTCCTCTGGGTATAGGGTAAGACCCTTCTAGAATGAGGGTTTTATGACCTACTTTCAGGGGAAGTAGAACAGATAATTCTTTTTGTGGCCTCAGGGGGAAATGGTGATAGATGGTCAGAGAGTGACCTTTTTGCTTCTGTGGTTTTCTCAATTTCCTTCAGTTTAAAATACTCAGTGCCTAGGTGCCATGTTTTGGGGCATTGTGTTCTGAGCTTCACTAATACCTACAGAGAGATCAGTAGTCACTCCTAGTCTGCTCAGAATTACATCTCTTAATGATTAAAAATAAGCCTTATGCAAAACTCTACAGCTTTCAGTTATCAAACGTTCAATTGCATAAACCACATTGTAACTTTGGTATTTTTTTCTGAGATTTATAAGGTAACAGATTATTGAACCATTTTATTTAAAGGATTCTCTCTTTTTTTTTTTTTTTTTTTTGAGACAAAGTCTCCCTCTGTTGCCCAGGCTGGAGTGCAATGGCGCAATCTCAGCTCACTGCAAGCTCTGCCTCCCAGGTTCAAGTGATTCTCCTGCCTCAGCCTCCAGAGTAGCTGGGATTACAGGTGTCCACCACCACTCCCAGCTAATTTTTTATTTTTAGTAGAGATTGGGTTTCCCCAGGTTGGCCATGGTGATTTCGAACTCCTGACCTCAGGTGATCTACCGCCTCAGCCTCTCAAAGTGCTGGGATTACAGGTATGAGTCACTGCCCAGCCTAAAGCATTCTCTTAGTATTGAATAATTTCTCCGAATTTTTTATTGATAAACTTTCAATAAATTTGTGTTCTATTTACATAGAAAAAAATTGTTAAAAGTAAGTTTGCTAGACAAATATTATGGTAACTTTAGTTTTGATAGATAGTACCAAATTACTTTCACTATTGCATAAATTTATATCCCTACCAAGGTTTTGGCAAAGGTAGAAATTATCAGTTTACAAATTTTTAAATTTTGCCAATTTCAGAGTCCAAAATTATATTACATAGTGATATCAATTGGCTTTTTATATTTAGTGAGTTTAGCCTTTTATGTTTCTTCTTTTGTGATTTAAATAGTGTTGAACATTTATTTGGTTTAAGAAAATATTACTCCCAGTGGCTAAGCATGAAAGAGAAAAAAGGAGTCACTAAACTATTACATTTGATTATTCTATCGTCATGAAATAATTTGGCTCTCCTTGTTTTTTCTGTTACGACTGGGGGTTGAGGGAGTGTGCAGGGCAGGGAGAGTTGATTTTCCTTAGAAGAAAATCTCTGAAGAGATAGTGCCTCTTGTTTGGGAAGTTAGCGAGAATGAATATGTAAATCTGAGTGTTCAGATTATTGCCTCAATTTGCTAGAATGGCATTTTGTCAAAATATATGCCAGACTACTTAGAGTTTAGGAGCTTGATAAAAATACAGACAACTGCTCCAGACTTACTGAGTTAGAATTCTAGAAGGTGGGGCAAGAATCTGCATCTTCATATTGCCTAAATATAAACTGTGAGTACCAATGTTTTCAGAAAAAAAAGAATCAACTTACATAATTATTAGATTTTACATTCCAGAACTCAATTGAACCAATAATTAGAAATACCTACTACAGATCACAGTGATTTTTTGTAAAAAGGAGAGCTATTAAGATGCATAATTTACAGAGAAATATACATTAAGACTGAATCTAATGATTCTAGATGTCCTCTGTATAATTTAATCAGTGGGAATTGCAATGCTTAGATGAAACAGGAAAGGCTCAACATAAAATAGTTGTTTTGCTTGTTCTCTGTAATCATTATAAACAAACACAGCAGGTAGATTACTGAAACAATTGTGAGTCTGAAGAGGAAAAGTTTAAAAGTAATAAAGGCTACTTTCATGCTAACTGTAAGGTGTTAATACCTCTCACACTTAACAGTGAAAGGCTGTCTACTTCTCTTTACATTTACTGTTACTGATTTCAGAAACCTCTTAATAGCTGTTGACAGATTTAAATGAACTTTCTTTTTTGAACCTGTGAGGGTGAAATGAGACTCTCTTTTTCTTTACAGTAGTTATGCTCCACAACAATTAACATCAGGTGGAGGTTAAATTTTATGATGGGTGTCTTTACCTTTTTTTGGTAGGAACACACAATTGAGGAGGTAAATCTTAATTTAGTCCACAATAAAACAAGGTAACGATATGTAGGCATTAAAAAAACTCTAAATGTAAAATAACCCTATTTTATTTAAAATATATTTTTAAATAACTCTATTTTATTTAAAATATATTTTTATATTAATAATGTAATACTTTAACCTGCATGACCTAGTAGCAGGGTTGATAAAAATCAAGAACATTTCAATTAATTTTGAAATACTGTATATGAAAAGATAGAGGGAAGATTAATGAATTTTGTAAAAAAAAGTTCTTAGTCTTTTCCTTGATGTGACACAAAGGATGAATGATATTCTCATGTCCAACATAATCCTATGAATATACCCAACATTTGACAATCCCAAGATTTTTATGAGAAGCAGAGCAATTAGTACCAAAAATTCTTTATCAATTAATCTGCTTAAATCTGTTCCCATTAGTACTGTTTATTCAACAATTTAATTAGAGCAAATTTCCTCACAGTAAATAAATATAATGATTTCTTTACCATAAAGAAATATTGTGGTCTGCAAAAAGCAAATTCAGAAAGAAAGGAGATGGTCAATTATAGAGTGTGAAAAGCACTAGCGTGAGATCAAGCTGCTCATTCTCAGCATGGACTGGGAAGCAGGAGGGAATTAAGCAGGCTTGTAACTGGTCTGATGCTTTTGAGGCTGACGTAATCCTATTACCCTATGGTTTCGATGTAAAGGTTTTCTTTTATTTTGTTTGTTAGTAGATTATTACATTAAAAACATTAGAGTTAATTTTTTAAAAGAATTGTACAGGTGAATAGAATTTCAAACTTATTTTCTTTTGAGTATTATTTTCTCCAACACCTAACACCAACACAGAAAATAAGGGCTGACCCTACATTCAACTCAACTCTGTTTATTTGGGGTTTCAGAGGAATTCAGAGGTTGCAAAACAATACTGTTATTCATGATGTTCTTTTCCTTAATGACAATTCTCTTTTTGAAAAAGCATATTTGTAGTCATTCTAGAAAATTATTAGAAAATGAGTATTAATATGATAAAGTTTTATGAAAATTTAAGTTAAATGCATTTTATTATATGCCTTAAACAGTGAGAATTAAATGTGAGGCAAGTAGTTTTATTTAGTGTTCCTTTCAATATAAATGTTACTATAAAAGCATTCCCAATCTTAAAATGTCAGGGAAGTTTTTAAAAATGTCAGGAAGACTCAAGTTTTATGTGCAACTGATTTTTGTTTAGAGACCTTTCTAATGAGATAGGATGACAATTTTTAATTCAGAGACTTACATTTTGTATTTAATAACTTGGATGACAAGAAAGTAACATGTGAGCACATTCTGTTAGGATTAGTCCTTGGTCCTTACTATCATATTTTCACATAACAGGATAATTTTAGGATTCAAAGTTGTTGTATTCATTGTTTTTACATAAATAGTTGATGTGTTAAATGTGTCACTTTGGCAAATGTTTGAAAAAGGGTTATGTTGGCTTTATTTTTTCTGCTTTAAGTTTTGTGCTATAGGGTTCTAAACTGCAAGCAACAGGCTGTTCAGAAATGAGTTTGAGGTTTGGGATCAAACGCATGTGCTCTGTTATTGACTTTGCCATTTACCTGTTGAAACAGAAACAGGCTATTTAATATTTCTGACTTTCAGTTTCCTCATATGAAAAATGTAGATACCAATATTCACTCTTAAAGGTATTATGATTAAATATAATAACTATGTAGCTCCTAATTTTCTAAACAGACTAAACATTGGTTCTCTTTCCTCCTATTTCTCTTCCTTGAGGATAGAGACCACATTTCAGGCACCTTTACATATCCAGATTATAATAATGCATATTCCATGTGTCATGCAAAGCTAACTTTTGTTGATCACTGCTTTTTGAAAAAATGAACTTTTAATAAAAAAACTTTTCATAATAAAATAAACTTTTAATAAATTAATAATTTATTAAATAAATAAACTTTTAATAAATAGAAACCATATTTTATAGACTCCATTTACCTAACACTGAGATATTTTAAAAGAACATTTAAATGTGATACTATTTTGATATATGCTGATCTTATTAACACTATTGCTTATGATTTTACCCTGTATAGTTAGAAAGCATTTAGCATCGACTTATATTTATTATACTTGTTTTACACTGCTTTCTGAAGTTATTTTATTGTAAAATAAAAATGTGCTATGTTTAGAGGAATTTGATTAGAAGCTATCAAAACTACATGCTGTCATCACAACTGGTTCTAACCAAATGCAAGTAATAAAGAATTATGAACTTTGAGTGACCTAAGTTTGCCAGACCTTTACCGGATCTAGTTGAAGGCTTTTCTGACCAAGAACACTTACATATACCTGATCCTATCTACCAAACTAGTTTTCAATCTTTAATGTTTTAGTATATCTTGGATGAAACTGCCCCCCCCATCGCTATTCCCCACGATGATCAACATTTGAACCCCCCAAATTCTTTACTTATATCAGTGACTTACGAAGACCACTTCGCCGCTGTCAGGCATTCTGTTAATATATTCAGATTTTTATTTTATTGTTGTTTTGTTTTATTAGCTTTGGTGATTTTTTAAAAACTTTTTAAAAAAAGTATTTAAAAAATAAAATCACATGGTTACAGAGTGTCTACTTTGGGAAGACAGATGATTTTTTCACACTAATGAAGTATGTGCTATCCGATAGGGTAGCTGTGATCCACAGGTGGCAACTAAGCATTGAAATTTGACGAGTCCAAATTGAGATGGTCTCTAAGTAATTCAGAAGCCAGTACACAAAAATGGAAATATCTCATTCATAATATGTTATATAGATTACATATCAAAATGATACAATTTTTGATACATGGGGTAAAATATATTATTAGAATTTATTTTGCCTATTTCTTGTCACTAGTAAATTATGTCTAGTTAGTATTAAAAATTATATATGTGGCATACATACTTCTTACTGAGTGATTCTAGTGTCGAACTTGCCAATTGTGTTCTTTGCTCATTAACACAGACACCTTCTCCCACAATTAAATTGAAGGAAAATATAGCATGTAGTAGGATGGCTAGAAATAGGAATGAAAAATTTCAGCTAAAATTCTTGGTTTAAAAGAGAAGAGGAAAAGCATCAAATAACCGCAGCAAGCCTGACAGCCCTAGGTTGTTTCCAGGCCCTAGTCATTTATCACTCTTAGAAGCAGAGTTCTACACTGTTAATAGGCAACAATGCTATTGAGGATATAGATCCGTGCATTTCATATGGATGTGTTGTGTCTGTTCTGAATATAATATTAAGGGAAAATTATAAGTGCATATGCATATAATCTGATTAGGGAAATATATGTCCTTGAACAAATTGCAACCAAATTGGACATACTGGAATTGGTTATACAGGAAAAATTATTAGATGTTTGCTAATGTGGAAAAGTAAGAAGTGACTTATTAAATTTCATGTTAACTATATCTGCTATTCCTGCAGTAAGAAAAACACTGATAAAATCCCTAGAATTTTAAACTAATATAATAAAAAAAATTCTGTATGAAAGGCCTCATTAAAAATTCTTAAGCATTTATTTTAGTCATATATTTAAAAAAATAGAAGGTTTCTCCATATCTGGCTTAAATTGAACCATGCATTCTCTACTCTCTTTGGGTATTAAAACTGACTAACCCAGGCCGGGTGCGGTGGCTCACTCCTATAATCCCAGCACTTTGGGAGGCTGAGGCGGGCAAATCACCTGAGGTCAGGAGTTTGAGACCAACTTGGCTAACGTGGTGAAACCCCGTCTCTACCAAAAATACAAAAATTAGCTGGGTGTGGTGGCAGGCGCCTGTAATCCCAGCTACTTGGGAGGCTGAGGCAGGAGAATTGCTTGAACCCGGGAGACAGAGGTTGCAGTGAGCCGAGATGGTGCCATTGCACTCCAGCCTGGGCAACAAGAGTGAAACTCTGTCTAAAAAAAAAAAAGCTGACCCAAATTATGGCCTGCTGTTTAATGACTGTTAAGCATTCCACTGAGTTGATAGGCTAAACATGCACAAATATATCGTTTCCATTTAAAAAATACTATGAGAAACAACCCTGAACTCTCACATCATCAAGCACACACATTATATCATTTTTGAAAACTAAATTTCTTAAGGTAGGGGTGTTTAGTGAAGGAAACACATATTGTAGCATGTGATTTTTAAAGCCATATTATCCAGAAAATTTGAGTCAGCTTTTACTTTTACTAGCACTGTAGGAGACTGACTCTTTTCGAATCATGATATCTTTTAATCTTAGTCTTTCAAAACATGTACTGATTTTTCTTTCCCACCGTGATTGCTAAATATTCTAATTAGCATGTGACTTTTAAGCATAGTCTTAACTTTCTTAGATATAAAATCAAAGTGCCACCAAAGGAGTGACAATAGCAAAATTCTTATTTTTCATTTCAAGTGAAAGACTACTGGCCCTGCAGTAAAACCTGCTCTGCCCCTACTAACCGTAAGGCTTTATAATTTTCCTGCCAATTATTTGATTCACAGCTTCTTCATTTCAAAACCAGTGGTGGTGGTAGACAATATTTTCCAGCAGAATTTTTGAAGCTCAAAATTAAAATTAACCCAAGTTGTACAAGTATCCTCTAAACTATACTATTATGGTGTATTTAATAGAATTTTTAGCCATTACAGGTTTCTAACATGTATCATTATAATATGATTCATCAGCTTCCAAGTTCAATTCTATCTCACTGGGTTTTACTGCAGTTGAAGTTTAATTGATATCTAAAACTAGAATGTAATTTTAGAGAATTGAAAAAAAGTTGGGAAAGAATAATTGCACCTTTAAGTAGAAGATAAGCAAGTATTTGTTTTCATGTATTCTATTAAAATTAGACTAATAAAATAACACTTTTCTTTGGCAAATGACCAAAGCTGAGCTCTTAGAGTGTGCTCTTTAAAAAAATGCTCAGCCATGGCAGAGAACACGCTCGTTTTTCTTTTCAGTTTGATTTGTCACCATTTAGTGGGCTTGCAATAAAAGAATGATGGAATGCATGATTAACATCATGTAAGCATGCTTCACTCTAGTTTTCTGACAAGATACCAAATCCTCTGAGTTTTATGTGAGAAGTAATCCTAAGATCCAATGTCACCATAATTCCCCCAAGACAGTTTAAATATTTGGCATTCTCTCTTAAATCAAATAATCCCTTAGGTTCATTCAGGTTCCATTTTTGGAGATATATGTATAAATATCTGTCTATCTGTCTACCTCTCTGCTATCTATCTATCTATCTATCTATCTATCTATCTATCTATCTATCTATTTCCACACAGGCAGATACACACACATACACAGATACAAAAATACATATACTTTACCCCTTTGAATGCCCTAAGGGATTGTTGAAATGTGTCATTTGCTTCTTTTCATAGTACTCTAATAAAATACATTAAAAATGTGTGCAATGTCAACAAATTCCATCTTTTGGGAATGTCCAGAACTGCAGAAGAAATATAAAGAGGAGAGACATTTATTGTGATTACTAGACTGGAGTCTCAGTAGGCTAGGATTATTGTAAGTAAAATTGATTTTGTCCATGATTTGATTTTAATCTAGTTTAGCAGAATCATATTCTACAAGGAACAGATATTTAATTTAGTACATTATGATGAAAAGACTTCAGTTCAGAGAAGTTTAATGCATTTGATATGATAAAAGCACTAACTGATTGTTAGGTTTTTAAAAATAGTTATTCCTTATTATTTTATACCATTTAAATAATTTCCTCTGTTTGTAATGTTTATATTAAATCTAGAAAATATTTTAGGCTCTTGCACTGGTACGCAGGCTGATTGTCTCTATAAAATGCAGCAATTTTGGAAGGAATAAATAGGATTTAAAATTCGCTGCACAGGTTGTTTTTTTCTGATCTAGAGAATTTTCTGAGAAACCACTTGCCATAGAATGAGTTGGAGCTGTCTAGTTACAAGCTACAGTTGTAAACAAGGGTCTATGGAAACCAATCTCCTGTAATTTTCCAGTCTACTGTTTTCTAATATCAGGGAGTTAGAACACTTGGCAATTTTGAAGATGCTGCTCAACAGAGGTCTCCAGCACTTTAACAGTTGGGACCAGATGGGACAATTTTCTGAGGTTAACAATGAGGCCAGGAGAACTATCCAAGCAAAGAAAAGAAGCAAAGAGGGGATTCATAGAGTGGAGTATCCTATTTCTTTTTTCTATTAAATAATTTATGCAAAATGTTCTTGCTCTCTCTACAATTTTCCTATAGGCTGGACTCTTGACACTATATAAATATCATATCAATTCCTCATAGTACCTATCACTCTGCAACCTATTTGTTGTACACTTTTGTGTTGTAAGAAATAGAAACAATATCTACTTTGAGCACATTTGTGTTATGGCTGCTCATTCCTTTTCTATAAATAAGCTATTAAAACCATGTCTTAGCTCTATGTCATTAATTTGCTCACAGACGTTTTGTTATATAAAGTATAAAATCAAACCCAAATGGCTCTATGCATGAAACAGGCATTTTGCTATTGTTTTTAAAGCAACGAATTAAAAAGCATGTGAGACCTCATTGGCAAATCGGCAGTATAGTATAGAGGAAAGGAGGGTGACCATTATCAGAATCAGAATGTGGTAGCATTTTTTTTTTTTGCCTTGGAAAGCTTTTTAAATTCTATGAGCCTCAGATTCATTTAGTAAGCTAAATGGAATTTTAATAATATCTACCTGCAAGAGTTATTGTAAGTATTAAAATTATGCAAAGTAGTTAAAGCACCTCCCCAAGCTTAGCATGTAGTTGGACCTTAATAAATGGCAGCTGCTGCTTCTGGTATTTATACTTCCTGGCTTTTTTTGTGGTAGATGGTCCCTTGTGAATGGTACACAATGAATTGTGGGCTGGTATGAGGTTTATCCCTGCTGGGCTGGAGCATGTAATTGCTTACGGGAGATTGTCCAGAACTCTCTACCTCACTATGCCATAGCAACCAGCAATGTTACGGGTAGTACTTGCTCCATCAGCTAAGACCACAAAGTGAGTACAATTAACAATAGAGCCACCCGCTGACCTGAGATGGACTTGTAGTATGAGTAAGAAATACACCTTGTTTGCTTTAAACCATTAAGAATCTGGGGCTATTTTCTGCAGCATAATCTAGACTATCCTGATTTGCATAACCTTTAAGTAAATATAGAGTACTAATACCATCATAATTTCACCTCTTAGGCTCTGCTTAGCACTTTTTAACAATAAAAGCTGATCTTGATTAGGAAGCTTTAATGCATGTTTTCTGGATTGCTTCTCTTCCCTCTTAAAAGAAAGAAAATGAATATATCCTATTTTTCTGAAACATATTAGAAAGGACCAAATCTACATCATCAATTTAATTAAACTAAAGCATGTTTTGCTAATTTCTCCACAATTGTCTTAGGACACAAATTCATTCCCAAATCTTCTGACTTCAGAATACTTTTATAATTCCGTAGATTGCTGTATGAAATATATCTGTATACAATTTTGCAAGTTCAAGAGCAAAGGAATAGTTCTTTAAGACCAGTATTCCAGATGTTGTACAGAACACACAATTGTTCATAGTTCCTGATGATTCTCTTTTTCTTCCTTTTCAATATACATCAGTCTCTGCAAATGTGAGTTAACAATATACAATATGCAATATGCAGTCATACAGTGAAATACCAGGAGATGTGCTTGCCTTTTATATTATCTGAGATGGTTAACATTGTGAAAGAAATCTTGCATCCTCTGCAGATTTCTCCCTTACCATTCTTGGGAACTACAGAGAAGGCTTTTCTTTTGTCACATGACTCCAAAGCATGCTTGTGCCCATTCAGATAAACACTGGAATTTTTCCTGTAATATGTTGAGGGATTTGGGACACAGGTCACAAGCTTAAATGTGCTGTATTTTTTTCATTTTTTAATCTATCTATCTAATCTCTCCAATTTCTTGTCTATGTTTCACTATCTGTTTGGGCAAATAAAATTGATAGTGGTACCTTGATTTGCTGTCACTTGGGGCCAGGTGAAACAGTGTAAGACACATCGCCCAAGCTGAATCAAGGGAGCACTTCTTCGGCCCATGCCTTATCAGTAATCTTTGACTTCCACCAGCTGAAACTGCTAGAGTACTTTACTCTTTTTCCTTCCTCCTCAAAATTCAGGAGTAATGAGAATTCCCTGCCGTTACCGCCTACTAGCCCTGTACTGAGATTACATCAGTTCATTTAGCTGGAGCTTTTCAGGCACTCCTTGGCAGGAATTGATTTCCTTATTTCAGTCCTTTTGCCTTTGGATTCTGCCCAAAAGACGATTCAAGAAAGGAATTCTGCTCTTACAAGGTCTGTTTCAGATAATTACCTGAAAATGTTTGAGAATGTAAAACAGTAGGAAGGTTGTTTTTCTTTATCTGTAAACCCACTAAGAACATGTGTATAATTCATTTTTTAAAACGCACCTTTCTTTTTGAGAGTTTGTTGAGGGGTAAGAGACATGAAGGGGAATGAGAAAGTTAATTGATTTGGGTTTCAAATAGCTTTATTATAAATATTCTAAAGACAAAAGGTCCAGGAATGACTCCACTAAAAAGTAAAATTTTTGGAAAGGACATGTATTTTTAAACCAATCCTTTTTTCATAAGTCATGATGTCATTTCAAATGTGCTTCTTGCCAGTTTTCAAACCATAGCTTCTATGCACTTGAATATAGCAATTATTTTGTAACTGTGTTGGATATACATATATACATATATATATAGAGAGAGAGAGGGAGAGAGACAGACAAACAGACAGACAGAAAGATATGGTTGAAACATTGTTCTTACTTTCAAATACCTTGCAGTTCAGTTGAGGTAGTCAAATAAACAGAAAAAAAAGCCTGTTGATAACTTCTGTGATTGAAAGAAACCCAAGGTATGATCTCCAGAAGTATCTCTCAACTGCTTAAATTAGGGTAATGGAAACAGTAGGAGATTTGGGGTGGGGAGGAAATGTTACTTATTTGAAAGAAAAGGTTTAAGTTTTTGTTTTTGTTTTTACTGCTGCTAAACAACACATATTATCTTTTCTCCATATTTCATCTGACATCATCTAACTTCATATGAGTACAAAAGCAGTAATTAAAATTTTAAATGTCACTTAACTTGTCAGCTATTGAAAATGTAGCTTTATTTGGTTCTTTAATCATGATTTTTAAAAATAGGACAAACCAGAATTTATTTGTCAAATAAAGTACTCTTACTTCCTTCACAAAGATGTGATGCATACGAGTTCTAGTTTTAATGATCTTAAAGGAAGCCTTTAAAGAGAATACAGCATAGAAGCTTCATATATTCCTAGTAATGAGGAATTGTGGAGGGAAATATCCAGTTCACATCACCTAGGAAAGGATGGAGTAGATGAACTAGGTCTTTGTTAATTTGATGCCCTACTTGGGTCTAAATCAGTGATTATTGCTCTGAGAGTGATTTAAGGAAACTAATTTGGGGAAGGTGGAGGAAATGAAAGCTAAAAAGCTGATTTAAAATGCCACCGTATTTCTATTATATGGTGATAATTGTCAGAATTATGGTGCTGGCAGTGAGAATGGAAATGAGGGGATTAATAAAAGAGTCATTTAAAAAAACAAAGTGAAAACAATACTCAGGTCTTAGAGAGTGATTAGGTATGACAGGTGAGAACAAAGAATAGTTATCATTTATTTGTGAAGTGACATAGCAGATTAAAAAACAAAAACAGGAAACAAACAAAGCCAGGTGTTCGTGGTTGAAGAAATCCTAGAGTTGAAGCTTAGCCCTCCACTTCCAAGATGTGAGCGTGTGGGGAAAATTACCTCACTTTTCAGAACTTCCATTTCCTCCTGGATAAAATGGGAGTAATAATGCATAGAGCACAGGGTGGCTGTAAAAATGATACAGAATAAAGCATGGGAAATACTCACCATGGACGATCTCTTTTGCTCCTATTGAGTGCCAAGCCGGGCTCAGACACTTTATCTACCTGACCTCATGAAATTCTTCCAGCAATGTGTTATTTGCCTTCCTTTGTGAATCGTCATAGTGAAGATCAAGTGATGTTAGTAACCTGCCCAGAGTCACACAGACAGCGATAGCACAACTAGAATTCTTATCCAGGTCTCTCTGAATTTAGAGCCACACCCCCTCATACTCATACCCCCATACACAGCTCATAATAAACAGCATTTCTCCATTTTGCAAACATGTTTGTTAAACTTTTTGAGCATCTAGTGAAGTGGTGGGCTGTCATGCAGAAAAAAAAAAAACAACAAAAAACAAAAAACAAACAACAGAAATACACAGATACAAAATGTTGTTGTTATGGATGCCGTTAAGGCAGTAAACACCTCTGAGAAACTGATAGCTTCAAAGTTAATTTCTGTAAAATTTTTTGAAAAGTTAATTAGAAAATTAGTGTCACAACAGAAATAAATGCATCTCTTCATTCAAGACGGTTTACTCTGTTAAGCTTCCTGTGTTACCCCATATGATTAGGCACGTGTTTAGTAGCTTCATTAGTGTCTTGAAAGGACACTTGAGCCGTATGTGCCTGGACTCTCTTCCCAAGACGGCCACATGACTATACTTCTTCTTGTATAATCCCGGTCACTGCTCTATTGTGAGAGGCCCTCTTTGACCACTTCATTTGCAATCACCCTCCACAACATGTTGCATTCCATACCTTGCTGTATTTTTCTTTATAACACTTATATTATATATAGTATATACTATATATACCATATATATACACTATATATACTATATACTATATATATATATACACACTATATATATATAATATATATATATATTTGAAATTTGTTTTTTTTTTTACTCCTGTCTCGCCATTGAAATGTCAGATTCACGAGATCATGAACTTTGTGCTTTGTCCTCAGCATCTAGAATAATGCTAGCACACCGTAGGGAGCTGATGTCTATTGCATAAAAGAATGAAAGTTTCTGGGTAGCAAGAAGTTATATGTGAACAACTGTGCAAATGTGCTTGCTGTTTTAGATAAAGGGAGAAAGAACAGGAAGGAGAGGACCAAGTTAAGCCTGAAATTTTGGTTCAGGATTCTTGAGAGGCCCTGTGAGAGCTCAGACTCTCCCAGGGAACAGCTATGTAAGAAGAGGAAGAAGAGGGCAGCATGAAGTCAGGTGCAGTTGGAAGGCCCTAACTTATGCTGTGGTTATCTACTAAAATGCCCCTTAAGCAGTCTTTATTCAATAAATATTGAAAGACCTTTCTTTTTAAAAAATACACCTAAAAACAAGGAGAGTACATGTGTTTACAATTATTAGAAAGCATATATTTGCAGTCTAGCTGTATTTGATTAATTTCAGGATATGGGCTTCCCTTGCCAGGTGGTCTCCATCTCCACCATCTAAAAGTGCTTTTCAAAGATGTGCTAACGTATGAGTACAATTACTTGTACCTGTTTGAGAGTCAGATGTGAGGCAGTTACACAGTGTTTCTATTTGACATTGATCATGGGCATACTGTTATTGCTATTTAAGATTACCCACCATCTTCAAAGCATGAAAGTCTATTCGCTCTCATTTATAGGAATACTTTTGTGGCGGGAGGAAAAGTATGTGTAGTTATAAGTTCAATTACAGCTTTTGGTTTATCAGTGGTAGTGTCCTAGACTAGACCATGGCCCTGACGAGGGCAATGCAGTGAAAAATGAGGATCATACTGAGTACAATGGAAACTTAAAATGAGATTGGGTTTAAATTCACAGCTGGGACGTGCACACTTGGCACAGGAGAACACAGGGTCACTATAATAAGATAAGGAGTGTTCAATCATATCCTGCAGAGAAGCTAAGACACTGGTTTTGTGGCTCTTGTTTAAAAGCCTAGAACTTTTTCTTGGATGATGTGTATGTTCGCACGTGTGTGTGGACGTATACACATAGACACAAAGATATATGTGTACATTGAACAAATAAGCTTTATTTACATACTGAGAGATAAAATTTCTGAAGTCATGAAAATTCCTTTTCCAATAACATAGCAAACATTCTTTTACAATGTTTTAATAAAAACAGAAAATATCAGATAATATAACGTATAAGAACTCTGACATAATGCCTTCTTGTAAATTTATAAAGCTATTGTTTAGGCACACTGCTATTCAAATTGGATATAAATTGGGAATGTGTAAGAAAAATTTAATTTTTGGATTTTTAATTACACATTTATAATTACAGAGTTTCAGAGAACACTATGAGTCAGAAAAAAATATCAACAACAATATAAAATTGCAAGGAAGAAAAAGGAAAGGAAGAACACCACATTTTACTGGTTAGCTTATGATGGTCAAGTGTATTGATTGACCTGAGTTTTTCTGATGGTCATAGTATTTATTATCAGAGCAAATTTAAAAGCTAAGTATCATGTCTATTTTTAGAGAAAAAAAAACAGAATTTCTGAGTCATTCAATAATTGGGTCACAGCCAATTAATTGTCATTTGTAGAACCAGGATTCAGACCTAGATCTTTCTGAATTCAAAGTCAATCTTTATTATATCTGGTCTTATCCAATTTTCATTCCCACTCGCCAACTAGTTTGTGACATATAGGTGATTTTCTGTGAGTGGTAGATAATACTATAGCTATTGTTTTGTGTTTAAAGCCTATAATCTGTTTGCCATGCCTCCCCAGGAAAAAAGTTGCCATATAGTAAATCAATGATATTGAATTCTAGGAAATCCGAGGCGCGTTATCCTTCCACTCACTAAGTAACCATGCCAGTGAGATGGACAGTCACCGAGACTAAAGGTCATGCTTCTCTTTGGTGTGAAGTCAGCATTAGCACCTCTTTCCCAAGCTCATGTTAATCAGATTAAGACCCAGTTAGTTCCATTCATCAACCAAGCAGCCACTACTCTAAGGAAAGTATGTTTTGTATCATGCATTTCAATCTGGAGATTGAAAACACAAATCAGAATTCATAGGGTAACTTTGTTAATCTATGCGTATTCCTAACCCCTAGGAGACACTTCAAAATAGTGTGTCCTGAGTTGAGCACAGTTGGTTTTCAAATGAGCCAATCTTTAACCAGAAATGGTAAAAAGACAAGAATACTCAAATCATAGTTATAATCTATATATTTAAAATTAAGTCTCTGTATGGTCATGAATCTGAGACTATCTGACAGATATGGTAGTAATATAGACACAGTATAAATAATTGTTCATCTTTGTATCCAAAATTTTTTGCATAGTGTATATAAATTTGTACATACATTATCAGTGCTATCTTAAAAGTTTGAGTTGAATCTATCCTTCCTGTCTTCATGATGGTGTGGTAGATGATGATGATGATCAGGATGATGATCATGATGATGATAAAGCATCCACTGACACTCACTAAGTACCAGGCACTATGCTAAGTGCTTTACATATATTATCCCATATTATTGTCATAATACGTCATAACCAAGTTACCATTTTTATCCTCACTTTGCAGAGGAGGAAATACATGAATTGAGAGGTTAATCAGTCAAGGTTTTTATATTATTATAGAGCCATGATTTGAACAAAGGGGTTATAACTTCAGAACATGGGCCCTTCAGTTTACATTTTGTTGTCTCTCATGAAATGCAAGTAACTCTAAGGAGGCTAGGGTTATCCCTAAATTATTCCCCTGAGACAGACTTCTATCAAGAAAGCTTCTTTATCATCTGTAATATTGAACCTCTGTCCTCTCTTTGGGGGAATATAAGTAATAATTGACTATGCATCTTATTGGCAGCAGGAAATTAAATAAACACAGAGATACAAAAAGAGACATAGAGATACATAGATAGATGTTATCAGGTCAGCTAGCTAAATAGAATAGATGGAGTGATCAGATCCAGAAATAATCACATTTTTGTTAATTAGGCCTTCAGTGCTGTTTTTTAAGTGCCAAACATTCTTCTACACAAATAAGCACTTGACTGTTAAATAAGTAAATTGTAACCCTGGCCTCATTTAGTACATTAACCACCTTATGAGAATTAATAAGACCTCTTAAAATAGCTTAATATATGCAACTTCACCTTTTAAAATAACAGCAATCAGTTTTGAAGATTTCATTTTAGCAAATCTATACATTTTTGCATGTTGTCTTCTAAAATATTCTATTTATTTGTTCTTTTTTAAAAAATTTCATCGAGATGGGGTTTCACTATGTTGCCCAGGCTGGTCTTCAGCTCCTGGCCTTAAGTGATCCTTCCTCCTCAGACTCCCAAAGTGCTGGTATCATAGGCTTAAGCCACCGTCCCTGGCCCTCTGTGTTCTGTAATTATTGCACTGTTTGTATTTAGACAATATTTTTGTTAGTGTTTTTAAGGGTTTTTTTTGGATACAAGGTCTCACTCTATCATCCAGACTATACAGTGATGTGATTATAGCTCACTGTAACCTGTTATTCCTGGGCTCATGGCATCCCGCCACTTCAGCTCCTGAGTAGCTGGGACTACAGGTGCACACCATCATGCCCAGCTAATTTTTTTTTTTGAGATGCAGTCTTGCTATGTTGCCTAGGCTTGAACACCTGGCCTCAACTGATCCTTCTGCTTCAGCCTCGCAAAGTGCAGGGATTACAGGCGTGAGCCACTGCACACAGCCCGTTTGTCTTAGGATATAAATCCACCTGCCCAGGAAGGTCTAGGATACATAATTCTATTTGAATCAAGCCAAAAATCTTAAGGGGAGTATTGTCCACTTAAAGACACTCAGTGAATGTGAATTGTATGACTACTGATTCTGCTTATAATACCTGTTCAAATATACATGTAACTATCTTAAAATCTTAACAACTGTACCAGAATTTTAGAAAAATAACTTCACATTTATAAGCTGGAGCCTGTCAGAGTTCACTTTGACCAATGTGTCCTATAGGATCTATTACTCTTATATTTAATGTTTTGACAAATGTACTATAATAATATCAAAACTCACATAGCAAATAAGAATAATTTTTTAGTATGTGTAATATTTTCCCCAAAGGGGAAAAGCCCAGATAGAATGAAAAAAGTTCAGTGACTTTTAAGTGCAAATAATAAAATATAATCCATAAAATGGAAATTGAGTTTCATAAAAGGACCAACACAATAGTGAGAACTTTAACAGGAATTTTAGGAAGAATTTAGACCCTCAAGATAAATTTAAAATCATACGGTTTTCTGACGTTCTAAGCAAATAGAGCTGTGCTTATTCTATATTTGCCCAGCCCAACATATTCTCTCATTTCCCCTTTCAAATATATGTATTTTTTGGACCATTCATTGCCTACAAGTCAGAGTGCTGGATAATATGACAGATGCAGGGACATAAATGTTTCTGATTAAGGACTGTGATTTCTCTCAGGTTGATTTTGGGCCTGTTATTTCTGTTTAACTCTTTAAGCTGCTTTGATTATAACAAATTTCTCAACATTGATTATAACAGATTATAATCAATCTCAACAGAGATTATAACATTTTCAACACATTTCTCAATAATTTTAAACATTGCAATATATTTCTTTTCTGCGATGTTGAATGTTAACATAATTGTCAAAAACTTGCATATATCCATTATATGTGCATTAGAAAAAGAAAGAAAGAAAAATTCTGAAGCTCTACCAATACTAATTTATCTAATTTCTGAGGCTGCTAATTAGGGCTTTTAAGACTCTTGAATAAATTATTTTCAAACAAAAGTAAAGTATGTAGGAGATCAACTATAATGAAACCAACATCTTTTGAGCCACTGTGTACAAAAGCTCACACATTCCAAGATAAAATAACCAAAGGTCTTTGTCTGCTTGTCTGTGGGTGTGTGTAGATAGGTAAATAATAAAATATATTTAGATCTTTATTTGCAAATTAAAAACATGAAAATAAAAATAATACAATTTCAAAAGAGCGGGTGTTTAAATTAACTCTTCTGTTAACTAAGTTAGTGTCCTCAGTGTGAACTATTAACATTTTGAAGAGATTTTGAAAATTATTCTAAATGCATGGTCAGAAAATTTTTTGTAATGTAATGGTTTGTCCCTTCCTTTCTTTGCCAGTTATTTCACCAGTCTGTTACATTGGGTTGTTGGTTTTCCCAACGTAGGGATGTGGTGAGGGAGGAGGGCGCAAATTGGCAATGTGTGTCCTTACACTGGTGACTAAGAGCTTCCATAATTGTAGAGCATTTCATAATAGAGAACTCACTTTCACTGAAAAGAGTGGGATAATAATATCTAGCTTATATTGATTTTTAATGAGCATTTTATGAGTTAATTGTTATAAATTGTTTGGAACAATATCTGGTATATAGTAAATGCTCATTAAATGCTAGGTGTTATTCAAGTAATCATGAGATTTTTGCTTCAAACATGGGCCTGGATAAATACTGAAATTATAAACTTAAATTGTGTCATCTGTATTGTTCATATGCCTAATGTAAATGCCAACTTGTCTTAAAAGGCAAATCATACACCTTATTCTACCAGTGAATCACAAAGGTATTTCGTATTGCTTAGTTTGTTTGAGTGCACAAATATAGAAGGAGATTAATTCAGCATAAAGTCACTCCTTTTGAGATAGCTTGTGGTCTGGAGAATAAAGAGGCTGTCTCTCTCCTAATGTCTTCTTTGTATATTTTGTGTACCCTAATGTCTTCTATGTTTATTTTAGTCAATGCTCCCCTACCAGTATCCTTTGTGTTTTTTATACTGTTTACTGGAATTTCCCCATCAACCGTGCCATACTTTATTTTCTTTATTCTATGACACTTTGCTGTTTCTTGTCCTATGTCCTGTTTCGTCTGTGCTATTTGTGGCTTTCATATCCTTATGCTTCTCTCTTCCATTCTGCAGTTCCTGGAGGATAGAGCAAAAGTAAAGTTCTAAACATATGTGTGGCACTTATTTGGCATTTATTTTTGGACAAAGCTCTGCTACAAATTCCTCTTTTTTTCCATTTAAAAAAATGAGTTGGATAACCTAGATGGAAATTAAAATTCCCATTTTTTTCTGCTTGTAGATTGTGCTCAATGTAAGTTCCACTCTTTTGATCTTTATTTCATCCACCTTGAGCTCTCTCCTGCTCCTACTGGCTTCTCTGAAACAAGGCATTCCGTAGCTCAAAACCTCTCCACCCTGTCTCAGGCTGTGTGCTGCATCTCTAGACCATTAACTCACTTCCAAGCTCTGATGGAACGGCTTACTTGTCATGTCCATATGGGCAGCACCATATGGATATCTGCAGCACATCAAATTCATTCTTTCTAAAATGGGACACTCTACTGCTCTGCCTGTGTAGCTTATCTTAGTAGATAGCATTAACCACCTCCTCCAACTAGAAACCTTGAATCATCCTTTGATCCCCCACCTTCCGCCTCCACCGTCGAATAAATCGGTTCTTTCTGCCTAATACATATCTCATGAATTTATATACTTATATATAATCTATATAAAAATCTCACTTCCCTAAGTCAACCCACATTCACTCCCTACCTCTACCAGGGCATTTCATCTGAATGGCTGCACCTCCCTCCTACCTTCTTCTTGTGTGCACCTGGCTTTTTATATGCTCTAATGCAACCTACAGTTGTGATTTTTTTTTTCAGCTGCTGCTAGATTGATCTTCTATAATGCAAATAGGATCCTTCCAAGTAAAACTTCCCGTGGATTTTTCACTTAGCCTTCAGATAACCTCCCAAGTCCTTAACTAAGCTTACAAGGTGATCTGAGAGCTGACCCCTGCAGACCTCACCTTTTTCAAGTTCCTGGAGCCCATTAACCTCTTATTTCTTTCTTGGCCTGAGGGCACACTTTTCCACTGCCTGAAATCATCTCCCCTTTCCTTTCCCTAACCCCTTATTAAAGGGCTAACTTATACTCTCACCTTAGTGCCACTTTCTCAGGACGTCCCCATTGACCCCCTCTTACTGAGCCCCTGGCTATATATACTGTACTCCCTGCTTGCTTGCCCTTATCATTCATGTTGCTTATTGATATCTCCCAGAGTTTAGCAGCACCAAATAATTATTTTAGAAATAGGATTTGGAGGCAGAAACACAAGCACCTAATTCCAACTATATCACTTATAGCAGAGTGACTTTGAAGATGCCACTTAATTTCTCTGAGTTTTATTTCTTCCACCTATAAAATTGGACAATAATGTCAGTCTTGCATGGCTGCGGTAAGTTTTAATAATATCATATAATAGCTAACACTGCCGGGAACACTTAAAACATAGCATAAATTGTGGCTATTATCCGAATATTTCTCAACATAAAAGTTTTTCAACTTTCCAATTAGTTGTATAATCTATTCATTACATCTTCCAAAGATGTAACTTAGCAAATCATGTGATAGCTTAATATATATAAGGAAGAAAAGAGAGAAACTGAAAGTCAGGATGGTTTCTGCTTGCCAAAATTTTGAAGAATGACCAGCTTCCTTTAAGTCTTTTCTTACCTTCACTGTTTGCTAAAAATTTCTTCTCAAGCCTGTAATTCCAGCACTTTGGGAGGCTGGGGTAGGCGGATCATGAGGTCAGGAGTTTGAGACCAGCCTGACAAAATGGTGAAACCCCATCTCTACTAAAAATACAAAAAATTAGCTGGGCGTGGTGGCACGCACCTGTAATCCCAGCTATTCGGGAGGCTGAGGCAGGAGAATCACTTGAACCCGGGAGGCGGAGGTTGCAGTGAGCCGAGATCACACCACTGCACTCCAGCCTGGGTGACAGAATGAGACTCTGTCTCAAAAAAAAAAAAAAAAAAAAAAAAAAAATCTTGTATTGTTTTCCTGGTATTTCGCTTTTTTGAATTCTTACTTCAGATCATGCAGACCCACCTCCCAAAAAGATGACATCACAAAGAGAGTGAATCAACGCTAATTTCAAACTAGCTTCATGATTTCTTCCCTTTCATTAGTGTGTTTGTATTTCACAAGCATCTTTTGGAGTAAAATATGGCTTAACCCAAATGCTACTGTAATAGGTGTTTTCACTGCTGAGGTCAGTCTGGTGGGTAGATATTATGGAGCAGGTTATGTTTATGGAATTTCTAAACATTAGCTGAGCAGAGTCTGATCCCTTGTGCTACTGCGTCATCATTTGTGGCCATTAATATAATTCAAAAACCAAGTGAAAGAATAAGATTTTGAATCCCCCAAAGATCTATATCTATTGCTTGTTGAGCTTTTAGTTGTATTTTTTATTACTAACTCTTGACATGTTTGTATATGCTGAAGATTTCAATTAAAATAGACAGTAGGGTGATATTGAATCAATACATGTTGTTTTGTACCTAGGGAAGAAGAAGCAATATGAAATATGGAAATCTGAGAGAATGTAAATGCTCTAGGATCTGCTGTGAGACATACACTCCTGCTTGTCAGACAGACATGATTTTTAGAGCAGAGAATTTGCTGGCTTAAAGAAGACAACTTGCCAGTTTCATTAGTTTTGTATCTTACGC
Organism: Homo sapiens; assembly: GCF_000001405.40. Taxonomy (NCBI): domain Eukaryota; kingdom Metazoa; phylum Chordata; class Mammalia; order Primates; family Hominidae; genus Homo; species Homo sapiens. Next base: position 67,050,693 of record NC_000013.11, on the reverse strand, counting down.
TAGACAGAGTCACTGTTCCAATCATTAAAGTACCCATCCTAAGCTTCCATTAAGTTTGAGCCAAATGACAACATATTTTAGAAGTGCTTTGTACAATAACAATATGTAGCTGCCTACTGCTTATAGATGAGTAAGCTTGTGATAACTTTGCTAGACACTGGGTTCTACTCTTTTTCATTCTTGCTTAGGTTTAATTAACATGAGCATGCCAAGAACATAATTATTAGTGCTTCTTATAAGTACCTGGTGGAGATCACATTAAATGAGAGTCATTCTTAGAATAGACAAAAATTTGCAAATGTAAACTAAAATACCAATATGGTAGGAACTGAGTAGGTGGGATCACCAGTTTTCATTATGATAAAATTGCATTTTTTTTCCCCTACCTGCTCAGGAGTGTTTGGAGAGTTCAGACAGATTAGAGGAAAAAAGCAATGAAGTGCTTAAACATATTTAAGGAACCCTTCATAATAAATGCTATCAGATCATTGGTATCTCTTGCAACCAAATTTAGGATGGAAGATCTGCCTGCAAATAGCAAATCTCCAGTGAAGAAAATAATATGTTTTTATTTTTAAAACCAAAGTATTTCATTATGTTGTGTCATTCTGTGCACCCCACACAGTATCAGCCTGGGATTCAGGAGAACCTGCAGGAAATCTTGTGAGAAACATTTAAGGTCAACTAGATAACATTTTCATTCTCTATGATTCCCTCCGAATTTACTATTGTTCATTCTGAAGTCATTGTTCTCAGAAGGCAAGAAACAGAACAAACACTAACTGTTGGATATCTTGTCTTGTTGTCTATCTGCAGAAATATTTGGCTGCATGCAGTTCTGCAGAACATAGTAGAAAAAAGTATTTATGTTTATAAATTTTGTGTTTTTTCCTGAACATATTATTTTCCTACAGACTCTTTAGATTTCTTAAACTGCTGAGGTACAAGAGTTTCCCAAATTGGCAGTTATTGCTTAGACTGGCAAGGTAAATATCTCCTTTGTTTGAAAATTTAACTCTGAAGAAGATATGGGGATATTCAGAAAGCTACCAGTAAGTGCTCGGTGCCTTGTTTGAAAGCACCTGGCTCCTTTATCGCCATCCTCAGACACAGATTCTTACAAAAGGTGTTAATAAGTTCTTGATATATACATATATGCCTCTTGGGCTTATGCTCCACCAACAATGAGGCGAGAACTATAATAATCTGCCCCTTGAGAAAACTGTTCATTGCTGGGAAGAAGAATCTGATGAGCTTTCCACAATGATTGGAATAGGTTTTATCCCTATTGTTATAGATGTCCAAGTGTGAAATATTATATAGCAGATGATTTGTTAATTTTTCACAGTTTACATATTGCTACTGTTAGAAACATTGTCCTTAATACATCCTCATAAAACATTAATCAGAACTGTATAAATGATGTGCTCAAGATTATTTTTAAAGCAATGTACTGGGCCCATGAACTCATTAGCCCTATGTTGTTCAATTTTTTTTTCTAAATGTATGCACAAGTTTTAAAAAGTACAGAAAGCATAGTATTAACAAAAGGCACTTTTCATTAGAACAAGAAGTACTGATTACGGAAGGCTAAATGTTAAAGAGAACAAACATTTTTTAATTTTATTCTTATTAGAAATATCTGATTACAATGCACTCCTATCTACAAAGTAATTTGCCTTTCAAGGGTGACTCAGATTTTTGGTCTCCCAAGGCTTTCAGCACATGGCAACACCATAAACCCTGTAGTATTTCAGTGTTGTAATGTCTTCCAGCAGTTTTGCTTTTAACTCAAGCTGTCCTGGGCCTTCATGTTTGCCTGCCGGTATAACAGAAGAACCCCAGCAGTAGATTTAATTCTAGAGACATGATATGAACACCTACTGTGTGCAAAACCGTGTGAGTCACTGAGCAGGAAACACCTGTGAGTAAGGCAGAGGCCCTGTCTGTAAGCTGCCCACAATCTAGTGGGAAAGGTACAGGCTTTACTGAGCTTTTAATTAAAGCCAAATAGCTTCAGAGGTAGCAGGCCCAGCAAAACTCCATTCAGCTCACATTTGTTCTATTCCCCACCCACACATTTACTGTTATCTTTTGTTTTCCCATGCAGTCTGATTTCTTTCTTTTGGCCTCCTTCCTCTGAGGCTGAGAATATACATCTGTGTGGGAGGAAATGCCCGGAGTTACTGTACAACCACATGAAAAACAAACAGAAGGGACAGGCAGCCTGCTCTGCTTTCAGCGGCATGGCCTTATTCCCCTTCACTCTTGACAGCGTCACTTTAGGCCCTGAGCATATGGGCCAGGGCTTGTCTTCAGAGCCACTTATGGCACATATATAAAATTTACTGTACCTTCCTGGAAAAATGCAGTGTTTGCAAACCACTTGGGAGAGGGATGGATTTATGGATGGGGAAACATATACCCAGTCAAGCTATTAAACACTGGTTTCCATGCCATTTTCAGCCACTAGGATATGAATGAGGGGCTCTCATGTTAGGCTCTAAGAAGAGCAAGTCTTTGGATCCTTTTTGAAATAAATTACCTTCAAAATCTCCTTTAGGGATAAAGCAATTTCACTATTCACAGTTTAGAGTCCTAGGTTTTTGAGGTCGATGGTCAGGGATCAGCCAGTGGGCAACACATGTAATGGCAGACATAGCAGGAACATTATTTTTCTGTTTCTGAAAAGAAACACAATATCAGAAACAGCCTTTTCTTAAGTAATTAATCCCCCTAAATTGATTTTTCAAGGAAATCCGGTTCATAAATTGCACTGTACTTTTGTTGGTAGATAAACTGGTAGCGTAGAGTGCTTTTGGTTGAATGATCTTAAAATATTCATGTGGGTCCTTAAATCAACCTTCCAATTTGGCATTAGCATTCCCATTTCACCATGCAAGATATTTTTAAAATCAAGAGAGTTGGCTTTTGATGTAAGTAAGCATATATTAGAATACAAGAACTTGGAGGCATGCTGTTAGACCTTGTTTCACTTGGAATGATAGAGTACATTTTAACTAATAGGTTTAATTTTACTAAAAGGCGTTACATTAACTCCTCCCTGAATTTATCTATGAAACTGTATCAAGAATGTCTCATGGTGAAACCGCAAACCCAAATTCATAGGCAGCAGAGTGGGGGAAAGAAATAAAACATTCACAGAGAGGATCTTCTGGATGTCAATTGCCAATGAACAGAAGGAGGAAGAGTCCTTTGTATGTAACTATATAGTTTGCATCACTTAACCTTTAAAGTGTTGTGTGACTTATTTATATATGAGAAATATAAATGCCACTGTTGTCTATTGCAGATGTCATCCTAGTTAAAGCTATTATTAGAAAAACATAACTTTAGTATTTAAAACTGTTTTCTTTTTATTTGGGTGGGGTTCAAGGAGGGAAAAGAATGGCAAATGCATTTTAGCAGGTGCTGCTTACTATTTAACTCCAAGATTTCATCACAGTGGAGCTTGTAAGCACCATGCCCTTTTGGAAAAAGGCATTAGAGTGGGTGTTCAGAAATCTGAATTTTAGCTGCTTTTGGCACTAGTTGTGTAACCAAGAGTACATCATTATCCTGGGCTAAGTGCTTCTCCCTCTTTCCCCATTAGCACTTTAATACGTAATATATGTATCATATCTTACACATATCTTGTTCTTACTATGCAGGCATAATGGCAAGTCATTTATATGCATTGCTCTATTTGAAATGTTCTATCGGAATATTTTCTAGATTATACTGAAATCATCTGTTCATGAGCCTAACTCTCATATGTGACAGAGATTGTCTTATTGACATATTAGGTGCTTAGAAAAATTTCTTAAGCTGAGCTGACCTTCTGTACCCTTCTCAGTTGTTTGTGTTTTTATTCTGTCAGATAAAAATAAGTTTATATTTTCTCCTCCTCAGGATGAGGAGGATTTTCTTAGTGTGTTTTTTCTATTGTTGTTAAAATATATTATGGCATAGTCATTTTTGGTTTACATTTCCTCTATCACAGACCATTGATATACCAATTTTATATTTATAGCTTAAATGACTCACTCAGACACAGTGAACTAAATATATTCCCTCAATAGATTGTTCATAGTGATAAAATAAATGAAAAAAAATCCTAGATCCTCACTTCCATGCAACGCTAAAACATATAGCAAAGACACTGTGTTTGCCAAAATAGTAATTTTTACATTGATCATTGTGAACTTGACTTTAGGTTTCTTTAAAAAGCTATGCCTTTTTATATTTTTATATTTGCATTTGTGACTCAACTATTAAGATGTTACTCAGCTTTATCAATTTTATCAAACAGGAGAAAGTTTGTGTGATTGACCAAGATCTGCTAGTCTGTCCCAATCCAATCTAAAAACATCTTTTAAGAGTTATTTGCTAAAAGAGTCTTAGGCTATATCACTTAAAACTGAGTGTAAAATCCATTAGCAGCCCATGCTAGGGGCTAATTGCTAGAGTGTAATCTTGGCAACATTTTTATAACTGCTGGAGAAGCCCACATAGCTAGCAGGGTACCTTAATTTATAATAATTATATTCTCAAGGCATTGCATTCTTAACATATTATAATAGTTTGAATAATAGCATGGGCCACTGGCCAATTGTGGAATTACAATCTGTTGAGATGAAGATTATCTATTAGTATAAACTAAGTTTTCAGTTTATATTTGGGGTGAATGAGAGGAGTTATAGTTAAACACTCTTCCTTTTATTTCTCATTATTAAAATGCTCAAGTATCATTCAGGAGGAAGGGAAAGGGATAAAGAGAAAAATAAGAATAAGGATTAAAAAGAACATAAAAGTAAACACAAACAAGTGTAAAAAATAATCAAGGAACAAAAATTACCAAAGTTTGATGGAAAGTTGTTCTGGACTGCCAAAATGAGGCTAAGGTTAACTGCTTTTGAAAGTAACTCGAAGCCTCACATCATATTCAATTACATGTTATTACTAGACATGATAAGAGCATTGAAAACTTGTACCTATTGATGATAAACTGTGACAGAGTCTCCAATTTCATGACTAAATAGCATATTTCAAAATCCAGAGTTTAGTGGCCTTTGAGGTAATTTGAAACCTTACTTTTAGCCACAGAATAGCCTTTTCTGTTTTTTTTTTGTTTGTTTTTCTTGTTGTTGTTTCTGGGTAATACCACTGCATTATCAAGCTAGAAACCAAGTGATCTAAAGTGGAAATGAGAGGTGGAGAGAGAGACAAAGTTGTTGAGTGACTTCAAGGACCAGGTATAATTGGCTAGACACGTGGAGATGGAAAGAGGTATTCAAAGTAACATAGACTGTGATGGAAAAGAGAAAGGACTGAAAGGAAATTGTACAATACGCTAAACTATCTAGGTTAGCTGGGACATAGAATTTATGTAAGGGATGGTAAAGAATAAAATAGGAAAGGAAATTTGAGTCATGCTGCAGAATGGCTCAAATACTCAACTGAGAACATTGATCACATCAGGCCTTACAGTTGGTGATAGGCCATGACATAAGGATGCTGGGTAAAGGGTTGTGTTCCTAATGTAATTTCACCCAGATCTCTGCTGAGCCTGCCTCTTGGAGAGCTGAATAAACCTGTCCTGTCCCCCTAATTCTCTATATTCTGTGAATGTCTCAATCTTTCCCCAACAATTTGTGAATTTCCAAAGCCTGGCATTTCCATTTCTTTGCTCCATTTCTGTCTTCTATGTTTGTGCAATCTCTGCTTCACCTGATATCTGGAAGTATATCAGATTCATCTTCCTAATTTTTGCACCAGATAATCCACAACATATCTTTTGTATTTTTAGTAACTGCAGATTTAACAGGCCATGCTCTGTGTTTCCTCTTCTCTACTCCTTCCCATTTCATTCATTTTCTCTCCCCTGCTGAAATCCTGATGCAAACTGACATTTTTGCCCTTAAGGGACTCCCTCACCACCTTCATGAATTTGCTCATATTCTTGAATAATTAATGTTCAGTAAGATTTAATCACAGCCTTTTCCTATCTGTGAAACTGTAGTGTAAAGTCAGCAGCCTTTGGAAGATCCCAGGATATTCTTTAACATCTGCCATTTCATTTATGGTACTCCATTGAAAGAATTAGACTTGTTTTTAAAGGGATGGCCTGGAGCAAGCTTAGGGCATAATTCTCTTGGGGCTAAAGAAATAAGTGAGATATTGCACTTTGTACGTGTGTGTGCATACATTGTGGACAAACACACTTTCATATGTGTAGGAAATGCAATGAATACTTTTGAGAAGCGCTAAGGATGCCATGTGGAATTGGCATTTGGGGTATCATTTTGATAACCATACAAAATGTGATGTGAATTTTTGTCTCTTCTTTTTCTAGCCTCACTAGTAATAAGATGTTGTAAGGTTATATTTCTTACTATTTTCTGAAGCAAAGAGTATTTTTTAAAAAATATTCTTGCTTTTTTCCATTTTTCTCTCGATTGAACAAAGGTTCAGGATAAAGAAGTTTGAAAAATTAACCCAATTTATTTCTTTAGCCCTGACAACATTTTTGGTTGTCTGCCTAGTATCTGTGACTCCACTCCTTATTCTCAGTAAGAACCCTTATTATGCTTGGGTGTCTTCCAAGACAACCCCCATTCCAGGGATGGAATGTTGTTAAAATGAGTTAATCTTATTAATCCTATTCCTCTTTCCTTGAATTAGGAATTGGCTGGCCTAAACCAATTTGAGCTAGTTCAAAGAGTGGTCTGCAATGACCAGGTTTGAAGTTTCCATGCATTTAAAACAGCATATACCCTGGAGGTTTAGGGAGAATAAAATAAATAAATAAAACAGAGTATGGAAAATCAGCACTACTCTCCTACAGGGCATAAACAAGGCTATGTATATTTAATCATGATTATTGTACTGGAAGCCATCCTATGGCCACAAAAGTTAGTAAATTTCTGATGAAGCCACTACAGAGCTCGGCTGGCCATTTTAAACCACCAGATAATCCAACCCTAATTTGCTCTAACTATGGATTCTTGTTAAATGAGCCAATATTTTTCCATACACTTTAAGCCATTTATCTCCTCTTTATAAATCAGCCTAGATGTCTGTCTATTATTTTAATCTATAATTTCAGCTATTGCTTATTTTTATCTCATTGGCCCATAGACCCTATAATTTTATCACATTATTTCCAATGTTCTACTTCCTATATATTTTATCCCTGTATTTGGCATCACCATCCACTTTGTCACAGAGAAAGAAACTTTCGATTTTCTCCTTCCTCTTCCCCTTTCCTTTTCACATCCCACCGATCACTACATCTTCCTTATTCAAACTTCTACATATCACTTAAATTTATACAATCCTCGTATATCGACTTCAACTGGCTTGCTTCATGCCACAATCACTCTTTACATGGATTGTTACAATAGATGCCAATCACTCTCTCAGCCTTTCATCTCTTCCCCAGCAATACAATCTCCAAGCTGATTCCAACAGGAACTTTCTAAAATAAAATATTGGCATGTGATGTTCCTGATTAAAATTTGTAAGCAATTTCTTATCCCTTGAGGATAAAGTTCCAAGTCTTTTGCATGACATCTAAGACATTTTTTCTTTTGCTTTGTATACATTGCCTAGGTTATTGCTGTATGAATCTCATGTCCCAATTATACTAAACTTGTAAAAATTCTTTAAATATGACATTTTCTCACAACTTGTGAACTTTACAAATTCACCTCCTTCTATGCAATCCCTCTAATTTATTGTTTTGTATGGCAAACTTTTTTTTTTAATCCTCCAAGACTGTCAGGGATTACCTTTTATGTAATTTCTAACCTAACATTTCTTAGAAAGCATTGGTCCTTTCTCTACAGGGTTCTCATAGTGTCATTCCATGTTTCGCTTAGAACATCTAATGAGACAAATTCTAGTATTTTCTTGCCTGTTTTTCTGCCAAACCGTGACACTTGGAGCTAAGCACCATTTGTCATTGTATTGCTGTTATTCCCATTGTGCCTGGTGCATAATAGACAAGCAATATTTGTTTTTGAATGAATAGTAAGAAAGACAATTGCTAATGTAAAGAGTAGAAGCTATCTGTATATGACATCAACTCAACTTGTTAAAAAAGAAAATTTCAGAGAATTAACTGCTTTTGTTTGCAATTGTCTTTGTGATAACCCATGGCCAGTTTTGTGTTTGTTTTGTTTTTGTTTTTTTTAATTAGATACTTGAGATCTTGATTTCTAGTTTTATATTCTTTTTCTCCTTTGGCATGATCTGATGGTTTTATAAGGGGCTCTTCGCCCTTTGCTCGGCACTTCTCCTTCCTGCTGCCTTGTGAAGAAGGTGCTTTGTTTCTCCTTTGTCTTCCTCCATGATTGTAAGTTTCCTAATGCCTCCCCAGCCATGTTGCACTGTGAGTAGTCAATTAAACATCTTTCCTTTATAAATTACCCAGTCTCGGGCAGTTCTTTATAGCAGTATGAAAGTGGACTAACACACACACATACACACAATCCCCCAAATCTCAGAAGACTAATACTATACAACTGTACTTCTCTTTCACGCTACAAGCCCCATGCTTGTGGAATAACTCCATCCCACACAGTCGGCCAGTCAGGGATCCAGACTTACGAAACACCCCCATCCTGGAGATGCATCACTAGAAACATGGGCTTTGGTAAGGGCAACAACAAGGAAAGAGAGAATGGAGAATTGTACAAATGTTTTTTATAGCCTCAACCAGAAATGACATACTTCATTTTGACCACAATTCAGTGACCAGAACTAGTTACATGGTCTTGCTTAACTGGCAAAGGGGCTGAAAACATGAGGGAATACATGGGATAGCCAGTATTTCTTTTTTCTTTTTTTTTTTTTTTTTGAGACAGAGTCTCACTCTGTGGCCCAGGCTGGAGTGCAGTGGCCCGATCTCGGCTCACTGCAAGCTCTGACTCCTGGGTTCACACCATTCTCCTGCCTCAGCCTCCCGAGTAGCTGGGACTACAGGTGCCCACAACCATGCCTGTCTAATTTTTTGTATTTTTAGTAGAGACGGGGTTTCACCGTGTTAGCCAGGATGGTCTCAATCTCCTGACCTCGTGATCCACCTCCCTTGGCCTCCCAAAGTGCTGGGATTACAGGCGTGAGCCACTGCACCTGGCCATAGACAGGTACAGTCTTAGGGTACCTGTTTCATAGATGAACTATAGCAATCTAGTCTTGGAAAAGTTAGTAAAATTTTTACAGCTTCAGGGAGAGAAAGTAAAGATCTGTTATGTACTTCTTTCCAGTAAGTAATACTGCTTTTCATTTGAAACTTAAGTTTTAGAATTTCATTACTTATGGTTTCTCCTTATCCATGGTTTCACTTTCTGTGATTTCAACTACCTGCAGTGAACTATGGTCTGAAAATGTTTATGGAAAATTCCAGAAATAAACAATTCATAGTTTTAAATTGTGCACCATTTAAATAGCACATGAAATCTCTTACTATCCCACGCCATCTCTCCTGGGATGCAAATCATCCCTATGTCCAGCAGATCCAGTTCTGAAATAAAATACCCTTTGCTTTGGAAAAATAGTAAGAAAAAGAACCTTTTAACAACATTCTATTACTAGTAAAAAGGGTATATCTAATCTTTTTTTTTTAATGTTCTTGACTCTTCTGTTCTTGCTTTTTCTCCTCATTGAGCAAAGATTCAGGATGAAGAAGTTTCAAAAATTATCTCAATTTCTTTCTTCAGCCATGCCAATATTTTTGGTTTTCTTCCTGGCATCTGTGACTTCACTTCTCATTCTAAATAAAACCCTGATTGTGTTTGTTCCATTCAAAATGAAAATAAATATTTTTATGACTTTTAATACTTAATCAAACTGCAATTTGATGTATTGTTATAAACTATACTTTATATTTTTCCAAAATTACAAAAAATTTTACCAGCAAAAGTTATTAAATATTTCTTTGTTTCTAATATCCCTGACCTCCACTTCCCCACCACATTCTGTATTTCAATATATATTTTTTTTAACCTAAATGTCATATTCAGTTTGGGCTACTGTAACAAAGTACTATAAACTTGGTGGCTTATAAGCGACAGAAATTTATTTCTCAGAGTGCTGGAGGCCACAAGTCTGGGAGGATGGTGTCAGCCTGGTTGGGTTCTGATGAGGGCCCTCTTGCAGGTTTTAGATTACTAACTTCTCTTTGTACATATGCTCACATGGCAGAAAGAGAGCAAGAGAGCTCTCTGAGGTCTTATTTTTCTCTAGAGACTGGGTCTTGCTATGTTACCCAGGCTGATGTTGAACTCCTGGGCTCACACAGTCTTTCCGCCTCAGCCTCCTGAGTAGCTGGGACTAGCAGGTGTTTACCACCACGAGCAGTTTCAGGGTCACTTTTATAAAGGCAGTAATCCCATGCATGAGGGATTCACCCTCAAGAATAAATCATCTCCCAAAGACCCCACCTCTGAATAACGTCACACTGGGGGCTAAGTTTCAACATATAACGTCTGGGGGGACATAAACATTCCATCCATAATACTGATTAAAGGGGCCACTGATTATGAAATAGCCCAATTCTGAGTTTTTAATATGATCTGTATGTTTATATTTGTAAACAAGTCACATTAATGTGATTGCTATTGTGTAAGTGCTTTAGTATTATGGACTGTTTGCATAACATTTCTGACAACAAATGCTTGTTTTTTTTTTCTTTTTTCCACACCAACCAATTCTCAACTTTGTAAACAAATACCAACTAGGTGAGCTACACTTCAATTTGATTTTTATAGTACACGGAGTTAGCACAGACACCACAAATGAAGTTCTTAGTCTCACAAGACTGCACCCACTTCAGATGCCAATCACAGTTATTCAAGGCCTAGGGTACCCACACTTTTGTTCAACTTCGCTACAAAGTCGGAGGTTACCAAAGCTCCCTTGTCAGGTTTGAAAATTTGCTAGAACAACTCATAAAACTCAGGGCAGTATTTTACTTATTACTGATTCATTATAAAAATATTATAAAAATACAAATAAACAGCCAGGTTGAAGAGGTATATAGAGCAACTTCTGTCACTAAAGAAAACTGATCCATTTGCCCACACACAATGGAAAGCTGAACACCAAAGCACTGGGTTTTTGTAGTGAGAAAGGTGTATTGTGAGTCAACTGGTAAGAAGACAAGAGGAAACACTCAGATCTGTCTCCCCAAGCTGGGGGCTGGGCCAGGTTTTATAGGGATGGGGCATGAGGTGTGGTCTGATTGGATCTTGCAGTGAAATGATGCTGGAAGCCAGGATCTGACTGGATCATGCCGTATGGTAACAACAGGACTTGATCTGATTGGATTCTACATCTTGCCATTCTGTATCTGCCTCTTAATACAGTCCTTGCTCCTTGGTCCGGTACTTAGGTTCTGCCTGTGGTTGCATTTTGGGTTCACCTGGGCATGCTCAGGTTATGGGACCTTCAATCTGGGGGTCCACGGAAACTGAAAAACAACTCACAACCTTGTTACACAAAAGTTGAACCAGACTGGTCTGATGCAGTTCCAATTCCAGAAGGATCTCCAATATAAGAGTCCCCTTGGATCTGGAGACACATGGATGCATTTGCCAATGCAGAAGTTCCGTGAACCCCATCATCTGGAGGCTTTTATGAAAGTTTTGTCACATAGGCATAATATATAATTAATTCAATCTCCTGACCCCCTCTCCTCCCTGGTGTTTTGAGGTGGGGTCAAAAGTTCCAAGCTTCTAATCAAGGTTTAGTCTTTTTGGCGACCAAGACTGGTGAAGCCACAGTACAGGACTGCTAAGACTTGCCTCAGAACAAAAAACTCTTCTATTACTCACAAAATTCCAAGAAATGTAGGAGCCCTGTGTCGGGAACCAGGGCAAAGACCCAATACTATAACAAAAGATCCTCCTACCAACGTGATCACTCCAGATATTACAAGGCTTTTAGGAACTCTGTGCCAGAAACTAGGGGCAAAGATCAAACTTACATTACTTATTCTAGCATAATATCACAATAGTATGAAGAAGAGTGGATTATCTGGCTAGGTGTTTTTGAGTATTAGATTTGTAATTTCATTGGGAAATTGGATCTAATTTTGGTTCAAACCTAATTAAATTAGATTTAGGGTATGTGCATCTTTCTTTAGGCAGCTTGCTATAGTATCACATTATGAGCAATTACATTAAAAATTAATACTGTAAACATCATACCAGGTTACACTTTCTTAAAATCCTAAATACATATACATATTTATATTTGACTGTATTTATATGGTATTTATGTTTGTCATCACTTTATTCTTATTCTCTCAAGCCTATAGTGATCTTAAAATATCTTTTTAAAAAGTTGGAAATGTGTGGCTTTTCTGAATGTGATCAAATTTAATTCATTTTATATTCTAAAGTTCCAAAATGATTTCTTATACTGGGATCCAAAGTTAAAGGCTATTTCCTTGATTCCAAGTGGAGTTTTGTGCAACTTGTTTTAAAGCATTTGTGATTTCTGTCTCTAGTCGAACAGCTGTTTTCATCTTTTACTTATGAACTGTTATTTACATCATAATGTCAAACTTCTAGCAATTATTTTCTTTACTGGACAATCTAACAACCATATTCTAATAGTTATAGTCTTCCTCCCTTCACGCCCCTCATCTTTCTATTTTCATTTCAATGATCTTTTCACTATTTTTATTACCAAAAAATGTTTTATACGTCAGTATTCTGATATTTTTATTGCTCAGAAAAACATTTCTTCACTGGTCATTAATCCAGGTTCTTATAGAGTAAATAAATGACTCCTCCACATTTTCAACTTTCTTCTTTACCATACGGTCCAGTTGATTTCACACTGCTGAGATACTGAAGTATGGCAGTCATATATTTTCATTTATGAAATGGAACAATCCTGAACCATCACCCGAGTTTCCATCTTTCATTCCTCTGCTCTTGGTCAGTACTCTTGGTGCCAGAAAAGAACTTTCAAAATATATCTGCCACATGAAAGCCACACTACAGTTCTCACTGAAAGAGCTATCCTAGTATCAGTCAGATTTTCACAATGTAACAAGAATAGCAGTGTGTACTCAACATAAACCTGAAAATTCCTGAAAGATAGTACTTGTAGATCAAGAATAAAACCTTAATAATTTTCTATTTATATTCTGTCAATTTGGGTCATGATAATTCACAAGGATAGCCAGAGTCACAAACAAAAAACAAACAAACAAAAAATCCTTTAAAATAACACTTTTGGAGTAGAAAAGTTATGTTGGATTTTTAAATTTGTTTATAGAATGCATACAGTAAAGCTGCAGAAAGTATAAATATCCCCAGGCTCAGCTCTGAGGGTATATATGTAAGTCAAGAAGCCAAGTTCATAAACCATTTCGTTGCAAGTCGAGCGAGTAACATAACTGCATGATTTAACACTGATAAAGAACAGTTCCAACACTACTTAGCCCAGAATTGAAAAGGAGTTAAACAAAAATCCAAAACTTCTCCTGAATAGATTTATACACCCTCAGCCCCTATGAAACTGCAACCAGAAAATAGTGTAGGATTTCGTGGAAAGTTGAAGGGGATGTAATCAGGGATTGAGGGGCACTCTAAAGCTGCTTTTAACTAAGTCTGTGGGGTAATCTGAAAACTAGATCCTCCAGCCTAGTGCTGGGTGTATGTTAAACCCTGGTTTTAATTTACAACCCATAATATAGTTTCCTTGGCAGTGATTCATAAATGTCCATTTCATCCGGACAACTGCTGCATGATAATGGCGCTTTCTCCGGAGCAGCTTCTATCTCTACTAAGCCTGCTTCTCAGACCACGAAGGCTTCCGCTTAGAGAATACCACCCAATGCCAGTCTTAACAAATGCATAGCCTTATTGAAAGTGTGCTGGTGCCTCGCATTGTTATGCAGGTCCATGGTCATTAAAATTTTATCATATAAACCCTGCTGTCTGCACAGAAGAGGAATTCAAAATGTTGGCAAGGGATGATCATATATTTTATCGGAATCTCCTGAAAGGGAAAACCAACATGTTTAGAGCAGGAAGGAACCCAAATAACATTGCCTTTAATTTAAATATAACAACATGTCAAAAAACCTGAAGTTGACATTTATCTACTACTGTTCATTTCATACTTTCCTTGAATGTCTCAGTTTTCTGAAGTTGCATGGCAGTTTGATCCAGTTGCATGATATGATTTTTATGTTTCTCCTGGAAAGCTGATATTAATCAAAGAATGCCACTGAGACCTGAAGCTGAAGACAGCAAGCTATTGATTGCAGTGTTGACTTATCAAAGACCTGAGAGATTAGTGGGTTTAGAGCTTTATGTAGGAATAGAGATTTGAATGGCTGGAACCTGAATTGAGGAATGTACTTTAGCTTATGCAAGTAGATAAAATATGAAACAGTGGGGACAAAAACCAACCTCACTGTACCTAAAACATTTTCTTCAAATGCCCATGCTTTCCTCCAACAAAAAAATCTCTTCCTACAATTGTATCTGAATACATTTTGTTTATTGTGAGATGTGGCACTTTATGTTTTTTGTTTGTTTGTCTTTTAAGATTTAGAACAGGCTGTGACTCTACTAGAACGCTGATGTGCTGTTCCAATTTTGGTCACTGACATGAGTAATCATTTTGAACAAAAGTTTATTAGAGTTTTGGAAATATATATTTGTTCCTCCTTGTCACCCTGAAACATTTTATTGTTTGGAACAGCTTGAATGATCTGCTTTTGTAAGTTTTCAAGGTTAAAATTGGGGTGTGGCCAGATGAAAACTTTTTAGGGAATGTGAAGATCAACCAAGGACAAATATTGGATTTGGGGCTAAGTTTTAAATATTTGTATTATTCTTTGTAAAGATGAATTCTCATCATTGGTAAGCAAGCTGAGCATCTTTTAAAGATAGTGAAAGATTTCCTTATATTTATCTTTTCAGCTTTTTGAATAGTTGTGGAGTTTGCTGGGGAGAGACCTTGATCTCAAGAAAAGTTCGTTTATGTTCACATTTACCTTGGGTGCCTTATTATTACTATTCATTTTTTTTAACAAGTCAAAATTTAGTATATAATATAATTTTAATTATAAAATTATACTATATCATTTAAATTTAATATAATTATATATTTATTTCTTTAAGCAGTATTTGTTTTCATAGAAGTCTAATTTCTGAGTTTAATTTTAAAAGACTCACAAAGTAAGAGAAACATTAGGTTATGATGAACAGCTGTAAGTGTTCACTTAAGAAACTGAAAGCTGTATGTCAACTTTATAAACATAATTCAACCACATGGGAATTCTGAGTAAAATGCCATAGATAAAAATTGAAGTTACAATTATATGTATGTATATGTATGTGTGATTTATATGCATATAAAAGCTATATGCACCACATCCAAATAAGAATAAACCTTGATATGAACTTTTGACAAGAGACACATGCCCTCTACCTGATTTGCAAACTTTGGACAGTATTTACTTGCCTTTCACTGTATTCTGTGGTGTACCCTTGGTCAAAAGATCTATTTATAATATGATTGAGCAAATTCTTCAGCTTGGAACTTCATATACACCATGAAGTTGATAGTCATTTGATAACAATTGAATCCTCTTTTCCTTTTCTTTAAGCATTATATAACACAGATGTGCATATATGCACATGTATATACATGTACATGCTACCATATTTCTGAACAACTGCCATATTTTGGGACCATGATATTCATAAAGCAATCACATGCTTTTTTTTTTCATAGGCATGATGTATCATTCTTGGCTTGTCTTAAAGAGTTATGCAAATTGTCTAAACTTTCAGCAGTGATATGTCACTGAACTTATAGGCATTTAGTAATAATTCAAATAGTTAAAACAATTTTTGAACAGACTAAATTTTAAGAAATAGGTGATGAAATAATGTGTACACCAAACTCTCGTGACACACACAATTTATTTAAAGAACAAACCTGTACATATACCCCTGGAACTAAAAGTTAAAAAAAAAAAAAAGAAAGAAATGGAAGGACTTTCTAGCATAAAAGCATAGACCAAAACATGGCCATGGTATATGGGCACAATTTTCCTTCAGAGTTGGTTCTATCATGTGTGGCCCAGAGCGCAGTGAGTAAAATATAGATCCGTATTATACAATGTACATTGGTTTGTGTTTTTATTTATTCATCATTAGCTGCATATGCTGGAAGGTTGTCAGCTATATATTTCGACTCTAAGAGGTCTTTAGTATGAATGGCGTAGGCATGATCAGTATGGTAAATATTTAAAGAATTGGTCTTAGATCATTACATATATATGCTATTGTTTAAACATTAAATAATGTATAATACATACTTAAGATGATATCACTGTCCCTTTTATTTATAAATATTAAAACGCAATCCTGGCTGGGCACGGTGGCTCATGCCTGTAATCCCAGCACTTTGGGAGGCTGAGGTGGGTGGATAACAAGGTCAGAAGTTCGAGATCAGCCTGACCAATATGGTGAAACCCCGTCTCTACTAAAAATACAAAAATTAGCCAGGTGTGGTGGCATGCACCTGTAATCCCAGCTACTCAGGAGGCTGAGGCAGGAGAATCGCTTGAACCTGGAAGGTGGAGGTTGCAGTGAGCCAAGATCACGCCACTGCACTCCAGCCTGAGCGACAGAGCAAGACTCTGTCTCAAAAAACAAAAACAAACAAAAAAACACAATCCTTTTAAAGTTTGTAAGTTTCATCGGTGATTTTCTTATAAAAGAATTTCAGAGTCTGAATCTCTTCCTCATCCTCACTGTCTTCCGTGAATAAATGTTTGTTTGTTTACCATTGCTAACTTGAAGTGAGCACCAACCCTTCAAAGAATGTTGACTATCTTGCTTCTTGAGATAGTCTCGGGATGATTTCTGGTATACAAAATACTCAACCAACTCTTCTTAAGCGTTAAAGACACTTAATAAGCTCATATTGCAGAAAGCAGAGTGATTGGCAGTTCTGGAGTCAGTGGCTCAGTGGTACGAGTATAGCATTTGTGAGGAGTAGCCTTTTGAAAATTCTCTTGGTCTCCCCTCAAGTTTACGAGATGCCTGCCACAGCACCCATCATCATGACCTGACTCTGTCATTCCAGGCAGAAAGACACGTAAAGCAACATACCCTGATTAGCAAAAGTTATACAACCCCAACATCTATTTGCTCACAGATTGAATAACAGAACATTCCTTTAGGTACAGAAAGAAAAAAGGGGAAAGAAAGAAAACTTCCCTTTTGTCTTTTTGTACCTTATCTATGACACATGAACTCAGCTTCTCTTTCACTTTACAAGAACACTTCCTGACCAATAGGTAAATTTTCTTTTTCTCTTTCATTTTTACCTTTCCTTGCTTGCCTGGAGCTATCATTTATTTCAACATTGACTTTCTCTGCAGTGACCCAGAGCACTAATTATGAAAAACATTTCATTATCCTGTTTTAATATTCAATAAAAAAAGAAGTACTGATTGGTAGCATGTAATCACAGAAAAGAGAGAGAAATATCTTAATTTTCATTGTTTGAGGGTGACTGTTTATGGCCTCCTTGTCTGTGCCTCGATGTAGAAAGAATAGCAAGAGAAAGTAGATAGAAAGGCAGGGAAGTAACTGCAGCTTGTATTTCCCCCAAACCTAATTTTTTAAATTATGCATCACATAAGTAAGAAAAAAAAAAGGACAAATTAGAAGAAAATTTAACAAGCAGACTAAAAACATAGGCTACTATTAGAAATCAGTATCTCAGATTTTGCAAACTGTGAAAACCATACTGGTAGAACTGCAAATAATAACTGACTGAATGCTTCAAAACACAGCAGTTGCTGTGCTTAGGAGGAAAGCTCTTCAAATTGTCACTCAGTAACTTGTCTGCAACAGCATCAATTTTGTGATATATTAGGAACTATCTTCTTCAATTCTGTGCTATGAATATAGTAAAACTAATGATACAAATGCTTCATGGTTATAATTCAAAATAAATAGCATGGACATTTGTCCAAATAGTCTCATAATGAGTCTCAGTCAATACTGTGCTAATAACATATAAAAACACCCTGGTTTTGCATGTGCACCTTAGAACAAGGGAGGTAACTTTCTTGTTAATATCCATAAGAATTTTTACATAAATGCAAACAATTCTACACTGCTCTTAAGCTGGAATTATTTGTTTAATAAATTGTTCTTACGAAGAGTGATGTTGACCGGGCACTGTGGCTCATGCCTGTAATCCCAGCACTTTGGGAGGCCTAGGATGGCAAATGGCTTGAGTTGATATGTTTGAGACCATCCTGGGTAGCATGATGAAACCCCATTTCTACAAAAAATGCAAAAAAAAAAGGCAGAAAAATATATAGTTGTATGTGTGGGGTCATGCACCTGTAGTCCCAGCTACTTGCGAGGTTGAGGTGGGAAGATGGCTTGAGCCCGGGAAGTGTAGGCTACAGTGAGCCATGATTGTGCCACTGCACTCCAGCCTGGGTGACCGAGTAAGGCCCTTCCCTCACCCCCCCAAAAAAGTGGTATTTAAACTTTAAAAGCCATTTAGAATTTGTGTTTACATCTATAATCTATGACTGCCGGCTTTTCCACTGGAAGCTCAGTAGCTAATTGCAAAATTTCTGTTGGTGCAAGTGCACCTATGCTCTCCATAGAATGCCTCCTCTTATTGAGACTTATTTGAACATTTTTTCAAAATTATTATTTTTTTCTTAATTTACCATTGGTAAGTTGCTACATCAATGAGGTCTAAATAAAAGACCAGAAGGGCTGTGTATCTTTGACAGGCATAGTTTCAAAAGCAGCTTCTCTTGACAATGGAACAATGAATCTGCTACAATATAAACATTTCTAATGCTCCAATAAAAGTGTGCTAGAAAGGCAAATGTTTCAGATATGAATAATGGAAATATAAATCAAAATACCCCAACAATAAAAAATCTAATATTTTGTATAATTATGTGATTATTATTTTTATTATTTGAGATGGAGTCTCACTCTGTCACCCAGGCCTGGAGTGCAGTGGCACGATCTCAGCTCACTGCAACCTCCATCTCCCAGGTTCAAGCAGTTCTCCTGCCTCAGCCTCCCTAGTAGCTGGGAATACAGGTGTGTGCCACCACCTCTGGCTAATTTTTGTATTTTTGGTAGAGACAGGGTTTCACCACTCCAGACCTCAAGTGACCCGCCTGCTTCTGTCTACCAAAGTGCTGGGATTACAGACATGAACCACCTCGCCTGGCCTGTATAATTATATTATAAACATTGACTAATAAACATTTTGGAAAGACAGGTGTTATTTGAATTGTATTTTACAGGTAGGAAAAGAATTAAGGATTCTGAGAGAAATTATTATGGTAAATTGTAGAAAATGTAGATAATTTTTTACTTCACTATATATAATTTAATTTTAGAAATAACTGCTGATTACAAAAATTATGAATGTTTTCAACTTGAGATTATACTGTAGTTTCATTATTGGTTCTTTACTTAACACCCGCTTTCAATGTCGTTTATGGCTGGAAAAAAAATTAGGCAGCTAACTCAAATTAGTTACAGATAACTCAAAGCTTCTGCAAATGGTTCAATTTTTTCACTCACTTATGCTTTGAATACAAAGTTAGTAGGAAGCAGTAACTCCTTTTCTTTATTTTACTCTCAACACATCATTTTTGAAACTATAGCATATAGTTATAGGGCTAGTTAGTCTAAGTTTCCTATATCAGTGTCACTAAGAGTATGAATAGATTACTCTGAATGAATAGTTAAAAATACTAAATAAACAAACTGACTTTAGGAGTTTGGGTGCTTTAGATCTTCTCATACCTACTACTTTTTACTTTATAGTCAAAAATGAAAAATTTAACTTTTTAAATTATAGGGTGACACCTTTATTCAACAAATGGAAGAAGGTAAACTTTAAATACATGGAATGAGCCCCTCAACCTTCATGATAAAGGTGCTAAGGAGATATAGAAAGCAAATCTCTTTTATTAATATATAATATTTGTACACATTTATGGGGTACATGTGATATTTTGATGCATGCATGTAAGGTGTAATGATCAAATTGGGGTATTTAGGATATCCATTACCTAGAACATTTGATCTTACAAAGGTAGAGAGTGGAATGATGGCTAACAGGGGCTGGGAAAGGTGTGTGTGTTGGTGGGGGTCGGTGGTGGGGGGATGAGAGGTTGGTTAATGGGTACAAACATACAGTTAGGTAGAAGGAATAAGTTTGAGTGTTTGATAGCACAGTAGGGTGACTATAAACTTTTTTTGATGAAGAGCAGGACAGAGGGGACCTCTGGTAGAAGTATCCTCTTAGCCTCAGTTGAAGCAAGCTACTCTAGAATGGACTGCTGTGTCTTAAAAATCCTTTTAAGAATTCTGAATTGCTAGAACAATTATTGTCTCCAACTATGCCCATTTGTGTGTATTGAAAATAATTCATTATTGGTTTAAAGCTATAGCTCCAGAGCTTGAACCCGGGAGGTGGTGGTTGCAGTGAACTGATGTAGTGCCACTGCACTCCAGCCTGGGTGACAGAGCGAGACTCCATCTCCTAAATAAATAAATAAATAAAGCTATAGCTCCAGAGCAGGATATGCATGAGACATATCTTCATCTACTCCTGCAAGATGAAATGTAGTCTCTTTCTGATAATGAAGTCACATAACCAGCAAAAGAAGCCACTGGCTCAAATATTGCAATAATGTGGGTGTTTCAAGGCTTCTGCTAATTTTTATTAATACAATAACTTTGACAGAAAGATAAAGTGTTCTGGCTTGTTTCAAAAAATACTTATTAAATTGAAAAATTTACCTGGAAAAGATGAAAACATAATATAGAAAAACTAAAAATATTGAGTTGGGGAGTAGAAAAATGGAGAGTAATGAGAAGTTGCATTAGGTGAGTATTATTATTTATGTTTAAATGTTCTCGTCAGAATTTTGATATGTTTTCCTAATTGGAAAAAATGATGAATAAGCTTAGTTCCATAATGCATATTGATCATTCAAAAGCACAGTGCAAACTAAAAGGCAAAACATCTTAGTCAAGGCTCTTAAAACACATTCAGGGAATTATGCCAGTAAAGGAAGCTGCTTTCTAGGGAACATAGGGATATATGAGCTTTTGAATGAAGAGATTAACCACTGAAGAGCTCTTTTTAGAAGAGATGGAAAGAAAAATAAAAACATAGGAGATACCAGAAAAGATAGATAATTCCTTAGGATTGAGGACAGAGCCTGCATAAGAGTGTATATAGAATATTTTACAGAGCTAGAAAATTAGAAAGAGTGAGAACTTGCAAAGACTGCGTTAAGATTCCTTTTAAGTAGCCATTATATTTTTCTCATACTTCTTAGTTTGCACATTATATTTTTCTCATACTTCTTAGTTTTCACATATAAATCTCATGTAAGGACAAATGACAGTAGGATACCACCATCCCCCTTTCTGCTCTTTCTTTGTGATGAGAAAAAAAATTTCCAAAGTTCTTTAAGTATTTTATCAAAATTGCTTTTTAGTCTTTCTTGGCCTGCTTATGAGTTCCTTGAAAACAGATCATATTTTTCCTCATTTATTTTTATTTTTTTGCATAACCAGTGTTTAAGTTACTGATTAAATAAAGTTAGGGAAATACATTAAGAATTTATTCAAAATTGCAGAGTTTGCATAGGCTATTTTTAGACGCTAACTTCATGACAGAAAACGTGATTTTGCCAGAACTCTTTTTTGGTGCAATTCAACTCTGGCAGTCTACATTAGGTTAAGAAAGAACAAAGCTCTTTGAGGATGCCAAAATGTCTCGTTCTCCTGTTTAAATTTATAGATTATTCATTAAAATTGAGGTTTCATTTATTCTAAAGTGTCAGTGTGTGTATTATAAATAGATATTTAAACATTTTCGAGGTGAGAAGAAATACATATTAGTAATTTATTTGGAAGAAAAATATGTTTAGGATGAAAGGACAAAAAAAAGTTTACAAATTAAGTCATACAGCCTTGGGTTAACTAACTTTTAATAAACATCCTTATTTTTTGTTTTCTTGATGTGTACACTTTATTTTTTTATTTTTATTTTATTATTATTATACTTAAAGTTTTAGGGTACATGTGCACAATGTACAGGTTAGTTACATATGTGTACATGTGCCATGCTGGTGTGCTGCACCCATTAACTCGTCATCTAGCACTAAGTATATCTCCTAAAGCTATCCCTCCCCCCTCCCCCCACCCCACAGCAGTTCCCAGAGTGTGATGTTCCCCTTCCTGTGTCCATGTGTTCTCATTGTTCAATTCCCACCTATGAGTGAGAATATGCGGTGTTTGGTTTTTTGTTCTTGCGATAGTTTACTGAGAATGATGATTTCCAATTTCATCCATGTCCCTACAAAGGACATGAACTCATCATTTTTATGGCTGCATAGTATTCCATGGTGTATATGTGCCACATTTTCTTAATCCAGTCTATCACTGTTGGACATTTGGGTTGTTTCCAAGTCTTTGCTATTGTGAATAGTGCCGCAAGAAACATATGTGTGCATGTGTCTTTATAGCAGCATGATTTATAGTCATTTGGGTATATACTCAGTAATGGGATGGCTGGGTCAAATGGTATTTCTAGTTCTAGATCCCTGAGGAATCGCCACACTGACTTCCACAATGGTTGAACTAGTTTACAGTCCCACCAACAGTGTAAAAGTGTTCCTATTTCTCCACATCCTCTCCAGCAACTGTTGTTTCCTGACTTTTTAATGATTGCCATTCTAACTGGTATGAGATGGTATCTCATTGTGGTTTTGATTTGCATTTCTCTGATGGCCAGTGATGGTGAGCATTTTTTCATGTGTCTTTTGGCTGCATAAATGTCTTCTTTTGAGAAGTGTCTGTTCATGTCCTTCACCCACTTTTTGATGGGGTTGTTTGTTTTTTTCTTGTAAATTTGTTTGAGTTCATTGTAGATTCTGGATATTAGCCCTTTGTCAGATGAGTAGGTTGTGAAAATTTTCTCCCATTTTGTAGGTTGCCTGTTCACTCTGATGGTAGTTTCTTTTGCTGTGCAGAAGCTCTTTAGTTTAATTAGATCCCATTTGTCAATTTTGGCTTTTGTTGCCATTGCTTTTGGTGTTTTAGACATGAAGTCCTTGCCCATGCCTGTGTCCTGAATGGTAATGCCTAGGTTTTCTTCTAGGGTTTCTATGGTTTTAGGTCTAACGTTCAAGTCTTTAATCCATCTTGAATTAATTTTTGTATAAGGTGTAAGGAAGGGATCCAGTTTCAGCTTTCTACATATGGCTAGCCAGTTTTCCCATGGGCACCATTTATTAAATAGGGAATCCTTTCCCCATTTCTTGTTTTTCTCAGGTTTGTCAAAGATCAGATAGTTGTGGATATGCGGCGTTATTTCTGAGGGCTCTGTTCTGTTCCGTTGATCTATATCTCTGTTTTGGTACCAGTACCATGCTGTTTTGGTTACTGTAGCCTTGTAGTATAGTTTGAAGTCAGGTAGTGTGATGCCTCCAGCTTTGTTCTTTTGGCTTAGGATTGACTTGGCAATGCGGGCTCTTTTTTGGTTCCATATGAACTTTAAAGTAGTTTTTTCCAATTCTGTGAAGAAACTCATTGGTAGCTTGATGGGGATGGCATTGACTCTATAAATTACCTTGGGCAGTATGGCCATTTTCACGATATTGATTCTTCCTACCCATGAGCGTGGAATGTTCTTCCATTTCTTTGTTTCCTCTTTTATTTCATTGATCAGTGGTTGGTAGTTCTCCTTGAAGAGGTCCTTCACGTCCCTTGTAAGTTGGATTCCTAGGTATTTTATTCTCTTTGAAGCAATTGTGAATGGGAGTTCACTCATGATTTGGCTCTCTGTTTGTCTGTTGTTGGTGTATAAGAATGCTTGTGATTTTTGTACATTGATTTTGTATCCTGAGACTTTGCTGAAGTTGCTGATCAGCTTAAGGAGATTTTGGGCTGAGACAATGGGTTTTTCTAGATATACAATCATGTCATCTGCAAACAAGGACAATTTGACTTCCTCTTTTCCTAATTGAATACCCTTTATTTCCTTCTCCTGCCTAATTGCCCTGGCCAGAACTTCCAACACTATGTTGAATAGGAGTGGTGAGGGAGGGCATCCCTGTCTGATGCCAGTTTTCAAAGGGAATGCTTCCAGTTTTTGCCCATTCAGTATGATATGGGCTGTGGGTATGTCATAGATAGCTCTTATTATTTTGAGATACGTCCCATCAATACCTAATTTATTAAGAGTTCTTAGCATGAAGGGTTGTTGAATTTTGTCATCATCCTGGTACCAAAGCCGGGCAGAGACACAACCAAAAAAGAGAATTTTAGACCAATATCCTTGATGAACATTGATGCAAAAATCCTGAATAAAATACTGGGGAACCAAATCCAGCAGCACATCAAAAAGCTTATCCACCATGATCAAGTGGGCTTCATCCCTGGGATGCAAGGCTGGTTCAATATACGCAAATCAATAAATGTAATCCAGCATATAAACAGAACCAAAGACAAAAACCACATGATTATCTCAATAGATGCAGATGTGTACACTTTAAAAATGAATTCATTAGATGTAGTTTTAGTTTGTCTTCTTGAAAATGTAGAATACCTATATATCATAAAAGATAATGTGTTTGTTATTTTTTAAAAGAGCATAACCACCAAAGAGCTTAAGAGTAGGCCCCAAATCAGCTACATAGTGATAACCCTAATATAATTATTCATATACATTTATATGCATAAATGATATATAAATATGCTTTAACTTGCCCTTCTTCATTTTAGAAACTTTTCAAACAGATTTATTAAGGTAAAACTGACATTGAATAAAGTGCATATAAAGTGCAATTTGATACGTTTGACATGTGGATATACCTGTGATATCATCACTACTTTCAAGGTAGTAGACATACCCAACACTGGCAAAAATTTACTCAAGTCTTTTTCAAATCTTCCTCCTCTTCCTCCCAGTAATTTTTAATATACTATTTTTGAAATGGAATGACTTTTAACTTAGCACACAGTGGATATTCAACAAATGCAAGTTGTGTAAATCATTATTACATTCATACTCCAAAGCCATTCTTTTAAGAGATGATGATTTAGTTAATTTCTGATACCAATGATCTGGTCATAATTATATATTTTTGAATTTGCTCCTGCAGTGTGGAAAGAAAAGAAACATTAAAAAAAGAAGACTTTCTCAATTGCGTTAGGGATTTGTAAACACCTCATGAAGAAAAAGGAAACACATTCATATTCATTTTTCTTGAACATTCACAAATTGCATTTGAAATGACTTGTTGGTTGATGTTTTATTATATTTGTCCAGTATTCTAATAAGGAAGTGTACCACATGGCCTGGCTTTTCACAGAAGGGTCAAAAGAAAATATACCAAACCATTTCACCTATGTATTTAGAAAAAATAAAAAATTAGCATATAGCACCACAAGTAAATAATTTCTTCTTCTTCCCTAGTGTTTGTACATGCACACACATATTTATTATACATTTTACTGAGACAAAGAATGTGTAGCTCCCAATTTATAAATAATAACATATACTTCATGGTAAATTCCATGTGACTAATTGGTTCTTAGAAAATACTTTTGTTAATTAGCTTCAAATGACAAACGAATATACTTGTGACATACATATTGGTTAATATTTTCATTTATGTAAGTAGATGAAACAACTAAAACAATGAAGACTTAGTTCAGAACGTCACTCCTTCATCAATTATGTGAGTACTCCTTTGTTAAATCAGAAAATGTTATTTTTAAATATGGAAAAGAGTATTTCATAATTTTTTCTACTATTTGCAATATAATAGCAACAGACATGACACATTTTAAGTTTATTCTGCATTATTACTATTTTCTTCAGTGTCTCAAGTCTAGGTAATCAATAACACCATAAATAAAGCCCTGCTAAGTAGTATTTGCCAGGTTTTATGGTGTAAGGACTTCACCATGGCCAATTTCAAGCTACCAGTGTCATATCACTGAATGTGTTCAGAAGGGATGGAAATAGCCTAACCAATATATGCTATTTCCACCATACAGATACAATAAGTAGAAAAAAACCTCAACAGCATAAATTATAGTAAAAGAAGAAATTTTAAATATAATTTATTATGTGATAAGTTTATATACATTATTTTTAATAATAGCTAAATATAATAACTGGCTCACAAAATTTCTTAAAACATAAAAGGTATTAACAACTCCAGTACATCATTGTCTATAGAGTACTGCACACCTCAACATAGACACGATGACCCATGGCCATTGAGCATTACTGTAGTTACCCAACTCTGATACAAATGTTTGCTTTTTAGTAATCACCAATTTTTGGTCAACCTTTGTTAATATCAACTTCAGTTTTCAACAGAATTTAAATTTCTACACCTCTTGATCTAAATAACCAAGTGTTTTCCCATTGTCTCTTTAAATTATCCAGTAATTGTAGGTAAAATACCCAGATCAGCTTCTGGTGGCTTCCTAATAGAGTTTAGATTAATACATGAGCTAATAGTTGCCTGCAGGTTTCACTTGTCTGAAGTGCTGAGGCACAAAAAACTACAGCAACCAGAGCTACTGTTGTTACTATTTCTCCTCTTCATCTTCCCCTTGTTTCTTTTTTTTTTCTTCCATCTTTTTTCTCCTCTGAATGAACACCTTATAATATGGAACATCTTTAATGTACAGTTTGGTCTGTTATTGATATAATTTAATGAGTTTTGTTTATATTCTTTCTGATAGACTTTTCACTTAAAAATTGTATTTAAGTTTTATTCTTTTCAGTTCAACTTACTTTGTTTTTAAGTGTTTCCCAACTGCTTTTTCTTTCTTTCTTTTTTCTTCCTGTTGGTTGCTTGTAGTCATGGCAACAACCTGTGGTCTGTGGTTAGCCATTGCAAGTCTCTCCATTCAGGAGCTTCGGAAAGGCTGATCAAGTGCCAGGAATACGTGTTGATTCCAAACTTCAAGAGCATTCATTTATTTGTCCAGTCTTTGATACAAATTGAGAGTTCTTTGCTCTGTTTGCCTCCCCTCAGGCAAACTCTCTTTCATTTACTTGTTTCAAATTCTTGACTTGGCTATTGGGTGTCATTTCAATTATCTGTTAAAATTAAAAGATCCACTTCAAAATGTCTTTATTTTATGTGCTTTCCTATTTCCTGGAAGTTGATTATGTTGCCATATATAAGACAGAATTTTACTACAGAATTTCTGGTATGTCTTTGAAGTCCTGCGATTGTGTTACAAAGGATGCTAATGTGATTGCTTTTTTATGGGTAAAGGAAGGCAAATGACAGTTGGTGGTGAAAAGAAAAAGGAGTGTGGGGACTGGAGTACTAATTTGGAACAGGTGTTGATCATTTTTGCCTAGAATAAGTAGTGTAACTGTAAACAAATATTCTTCTAAAAGAACGGCTCAAAGCTATGAAGGCTAAAAAAAAAAAAAGGATTTTCATGATAGCTTTCCTAAACCCCTTGCTGAAAAAGAAATGTTATTGTAGAACAGAAGTTTCAAAGTAGTTAAAAGTGGTTGGTTGGAAGTAAGAGCTGAAAGAGAAAACTGCATTGCAGTGATTGGTTTGATTTGGTGAATAAATTGCTATTTTCAGATTCAATTTGTATCAATAGGCAAAGACCTGTACACCTGCAGAACCTGTCACACTCAGTATCCAGGGCGCTGAAGCAGTTAGTCTTCAACAATAGGTTTAACCTTTTGACAATAATTGCACCCCATTCCTGAAGCCTCAGCATAGGAGAGGAGCCTTTGATGTCTGAACGTTAAGCAATACTCTTTTTTTTTCTCTAACGGAGAGGACACCACAATTTATAAACTTAGAGAATATCACACAAAATTCTGCCTCCTTGTTTTTAAAATAGGTGAGGGTGTTGAACGGCTAGAAAGATTCATCTTTATTAAATGTGACTGAACACTGGAAGTGCGAGATACTGTTTCCTTAAAGAAAGTAAAGAAATCACGTTTTGGTTATTTATGATGGCCAGTGTAGTGGGCTGAGTTAAACAGGTACTTGTGAAAGTATTGAATAGTTCCTGGCTAAAAGGAAAAGTAGCAAAATAATTTAACACATTTTTCACGTTTCAAGGTGAGGGTTGTGCTGTAATAACATAATCTTCTGTGGTTTTGATTCAATATTCAAGTCTCTAATTAAAGACCATCACCTGGCTGGGTGCAGTGGCTCATGCCTGTAATCCCAGCACTTTGGGAGGCCAAGGTGGGCAGATCACCTGAGGTCGGGAGTTCGAGACCAGCCTGACCAACACGGAGAAACCCCATCTCTACAAAAATACAAAATTAGCCAGGCGTGGTGGTGCATACCTGTAACCGCAGCTACTCGGGAGGCTGAGTGAGGAGAACCACTTGAGGCGGAGGTTGCAGTGAGCCCAGATCACACCATTGCACTCCAGCCTGGGCAACAAGAGCAAAACTCTGTCTCAAAAAAAAAAAAAAAAAAAAAAAAAAAAAAAAAAAAAAAAAGAACATCACCTTGTCCACCCTTTGACTTAGGAGCTGGAACATTCTTATGAAATAAAGAAAGCTCCTATTTTTAGGCCCTAATGCATACAAATTAATCACATCATACATATTTTTTCTAATTTTCCACTTGGTGAATATTTTAAAAATCCAAGTGGTATGTTATATACATACTTATATATACACCTACATACATATATATACACATAGAGAAAAAACAAAAATAATTTACATTTAAAAATTACACTATCGCCAGGCATGGTGGCTCATGCCTATATTTCTAGCACTTTGGGAGGCTGATTTAGGTGAATCACCTAAGGCCTGGAGTTGGAAACCAGCCTGGCCAACATGGTGAAACCCTGTCTCTACTAAAAATACAAAAATTAGCCAGGTGTGGTTGTGTGCACCTGTAATTCCAGCTACTCGGGAGGCTGAGGCAGGAGATTTGCTTGAATCCGGGAGGTGGAGGTTGCAGTAAGCAGAGATCGCACCACTGCACTCCAGCCTGGGCAATAGAGTGAGACCGTCTCAAAAGAAAAAAAAATTACACCATCATCCTTCATGAGCCTGAGCACATTCATAGTGGCATATAAACTTTTAAACCCAGAAGTATAAAAGAAAAACTATGTAATTTCTTTCAATGATACTTTTCTAGTATCAAAAACTTTTATGAGTACTTGAATAAAATAAAGCTATAATACTTGTCATGTAAGTATTCATTCAAATATTTAAGGATTCCTTTTTCCCTGTGACGTTCATTTATTAAGTATTTACTGAGTACTTGGTGCTCAGGCAATGTTCTGGATGCAACTATGAGTGGTTCTTGCAGAATTCCACTTAATCTCTTCAACGGGGATTACAGGTATTGCAAAGTATTCTTTCTTTGCTAGTACTTGTATAGTACAGCAATATAACATAAGCAGTTGTCACTTTGCTTTGTGAGTTGGAGGTCTGTATTGGGTAACTTATGGATGAGTTGTACACTGAATGGCAAGAAATGTAAAGGAAGACTGAAACTCTTAAAAAGAAATATGCTTCTTTTATTTCTCACAAAGAAAGGAAAAAAGACAATAGAAATGCCAAATTATAATATGTGTGTGTTTATATAATGAAAACATTTGCATTTAATCATATACTTTGTTTGAATGGTCTTGTTTAACCTCAGTTTTCTCATACAAATTTTCACTGGTGTTCTAGTAACTACCAACAGAAATCTCATATATTCAGATTTGTGGGCTCAAAATACTGAATAAAAATATACCATAATCCCATAGGATTCACAATTAACAGATGACAGATATATAATCTAGTTAAAACTAGACACATTATTACTGGTGTTATGATGATGATTCTCTTCCCATGACTCCACATATGATATGTTATAACTGGCTAGATTGACTTATTTAACCTCTTTTCAGATATTTGTTTATTGACTGAAATCTACATGGCATTTTTTCCCCGCAGGGATTTGGCTAGTAACAATGCCAGCTATATGTTTTACTGTTTTGACTTTTCCAGCTGCTTTATTGATGGATAGTCATTTCTTGATTTTTTTTTCCTTTGCAATCAGTTTGAGAATAAAGTAATATCTGCATTTTGTCTTCTAACGTGGGAATTCTTCTTCAGGGGTTCAGTCCTACCTGGCCCATATTTTGCTTGTTTAGCAATTCAGACATATAAATATTGCTTGGATTACTATGGATCTGATAAAGCTTTACTTGAACAGTGAATTCAATAATTTTGACTCTTCACGTACTGCAGATTTTATTTAATGGCAGCTTGTTAATGGTTGGTAGGAGGGGACAGATGGTTGGATGTGTTGGCATAAGTCATACATAATATAGCATAGTCAAATTCAGATAAGTATCACACAAATTAATAAAAGCTTTTGTTGTTGTGTTGTTTATTTTGCTTTTTTTCCCCATAGATAGATTCTGTTTGTAAGCAGTTTTTGTAGGTAAAAAAAAGAAACATATACTACAGACACAGACTCAAAAGAAAAATATAATGTAACTTGATACATGCTCATTCTGAAATGTAAAATATTATGGAAATTCAAAGGTTTACTTGCAGGAAATGTACAAAATTTATTAAGTCCATCAAACATAAAATAATTTTATAGCTAAAGAATTCTTAGTTTTGTGAATGAATGAGTGTATTCAATGCAGCAAATTATTAGGTAGAAATTGCTTTATCCAGATTCATCCAGACAGTCCTCTCTCCCAGTTAACTGCAATACAGCCAAAAGAGTTTGCTCATTGTCCCTGAAGTGTGCTTGGTACTCACCTCTGCTGCCCTTGAAGTTTTGTTCTAGCCTTTCTAGGAGTCTCTTGCAGCTTCTTTTCTGCCATCCTGGTAATCCCCGTCCCTGTCAGCTCTGAAGTTTCCTTAGTCTACCATAGCTTGAGGTTACCCCTTATCTCCTTAAGCATTTGCTGAGCACTTACTAAGGACAAGGCAATGGTCAGGACCTAAGCACACATCAAGGAAAGACTACAGTGCCTTCCCTCATTAGCCCTACAGTCTTGTGGGAGGTGCATAAAAAGCAAATATTAGATTGTAATATGTAGGATATGTAGATTTTTGTTTGTTTGTTTGTTTAAGAGCAACTGCGTGGGCCAGCGTGGTGGCTCACACCTGTAATCCCAGCACTTTGGGAGGCTGAGGCGGGAGGATCATGAGGTCAGGAGATCGAGACCATCCTGGCTAACACGGTGAAACCCCGTCTCTACTAAATACACAAAAAAAATCAGCCGGGCATGGTGGCGGGCACCTGTAGTCCCAGCTACTCGGGAGGCTGAGGCAGGAGAATGGCATGAACCCGGGAGGCGGAGCTTGCAGTGAGCCGAGATCCTACCACTGCACTCCAGCCTGGGCGACAGAGCAAGACTCCATCTCAGAAAAAAAAAAAAAAAAAAAAAGAGCAACTGCCTGAAGGTGTTAAGGAGGGTCTCCTGGGCAACTATTTAAACTGGCATTTTAAGAAGGAAGGGAAGATTCTCATGAGAACTTTGTGAGGGAGGACATTTCAAGCAGTGGAAGAAGAAAACTTCTGAGAAAATAATAACATGAATCAAAGTGCTGTTCAAGGACCTGCAATTATCTTAGTTCTGCTTGAGAGAACAGTGAGAAGCAACTAGGGCAGGTGGTGATAGTGGTTACAAGATTGGGTATTTGTGAAATCATGAGATCAGAAACGGTCTTATTTGTCAAATAAGTTAAGCTAGAATTGTATCATGGTTTTGAGTTGTGAATGTGACAAGATTATATTTAAATTTCAGAAAGAAAATGTAATCGTCAGTATGCGAGGATGCATTATTGAGAATAGAGGCAGAGAGACTAGAACAGGGGCATTCCAGTGAAATTGATATTGAGATGACCCATAGTTTTTTGTTTGTTTCTTTCTGGGAGCCTCGTCAGAGAATTTGTTTAATTTAGTAACTCATTATTGGCTATCCCTTGTATCTTTTTTTTTCCTTTTTTTTTTTTTTTTGAGACGAGTCTCGCTCTGTTGCCAGGCTGAAGTGCAGTGGCACAATCTAGGTTCACTGCAACTTCTGCCTCCTGGGTTTAAGCAATTCTCCTCTCTCAGCCTCCTGAGTAGCTGGGACTACAGGCAGACGCCACCACGCCCAGCTAATTTTTGTATTTTTAGTAGAGACGGGGTTTCACTATGTTGACCAGGATGGTCTCGATCTCTTGACCTTGTGATCCATCCCCTTCGGCCGCCCAAAGTGCTGGGATTACAGGCATGAGCCACCATGCCTGGCTGTATCTTAAGTCATATATTTTATTTATTTATGTTTCTTTTGAAAAATGCAATATTAATCAATTAATTTACCCATTTATGACTCTTTTCTAACTAAATTGCAAGTTCATTTACAACTCTGATGTTATTTACTTCAGATAGCTTTTCATATCTCCAGTATAATTCACACATAATTAGCAATTAGTATTTGCTGAATGAATTTGAGACTCATTTTAGCTATTACAAGATAGTGTCCAAGAATGGTAACATGGGAAAAATATATTGCATGTTACTGATAGGTGAATTGCTTCTAATCAAAGAAAAATTTGTAAAATCAAAAAAATTAACAGAACAAGAAAGACATGTGCCTGTGTCCAAATATTTGTTCTTAAGTCCAGCTGAGTTGTATATCTCTGGGTCTTTAATAATGTTATTTTCTTCACCTATACTGTTGGTTCTAAATTAATATGTACTTTATGGAGTACTTCTCTGAGATTATTGGATGTGTAATTTTTCTCTGTGTACAGTAAAAATGTTTAAAATTTTTGTCCTGATTTACCACATTGATAAATTTATGTGCACTATTTTAATTACCCATAGACTGTTCATTGCAATGATTTTTTTAAATTCCTGGAGAGATTTTGTTCCTCTTGTTTTGGAGGAAGTTGTTACTAACAGTAACATTTGCATATTACATTTGGGATATAATTAAGTTCTAAAAATACTAAAATAGTAAAAATGTTTAAAATATCATTTATCCTATTTCTCTTTCATGTTTGAGACAAAAATTTAAAAATAGAACCATCTACCCAGTAAACCTGGGATCATGGGCACACACACAGTAACAGGTGGGTACCACTCCTTTTCCCCTCATGGTGCCCATCTGCTGGTACCCATCTGCCTTATTCTTGTAAACAGGGGTATTTTAAACTGTTAGGGAATATCAATGCCTGTAAATTGCTTAGAGAGTGAGATTTATTTAGATTCCCAAAAGTGATGGTATAATTCACTTAAAGTGAAACTTCATTTATAGTAAAACCGAATGAACGTTCAGAAATCTGAAATGTATTGTGTTGTTTAAATTGCATTTTTGGTTTATACATAGCCACATTTCTTGGAGCAGAGTTTACTTATAAAATCAAATTGAATTGACTCTATTTCTGTTCAACTTCTGCCCTAAATGAAATCATTCTATTTTTCTAAACAGTGTAAGACAGGACATGGCCAGCTTTGTCTGGCCTATGTATGATACACATTTGCTCGATGTATCAGCAACTTCTTTTCCACACACTATGGCTATTTCAATAGCATCCACATTGCTAAGTTCAGAACTATTGGAGGTTGCACATTGATTGTATTGCCCTTCTGAGAGTGCTAGAAATGCTCTCAGAGGGAAAAAAAAACCCTAGTAGAAAATATCATTGAGCACTTAATGGGTGCCCTTGGGTCCTATGTAGTAGGTGCTATTATTGAAAAAGACTGCAGTGTGATAAGCACACTCTTGAAGGCTTACATGGTGAATTCTTAAGTAGAACCTACACATAAGTATAATAATACAAAAGAGCAAATGCTTTTCATATCAAATCATTATATAAGACTATTGCTAAAATATTAGCTATGAAACAAGTCAAATGTGCTTGTATTCTGAGTTTGATAAGTAGTAGCTTTGGTGATGTGATGGGTCAGTGAACTATTGGAGAGAATATGGGGAAAGTACAAATAAAATTTACTGGATTGAGACCAAAACTCATTTTCAAGAAGTTCATTTGCTGAGTTTTATAGGAGATTTGTAGGATTGTAAGGCTTGAGGTAAATTGGCAAGATGATTGGGAAAATGACACAATAACTTCCTCTCTATAATGGCTTTGAGCCAATCCACTTATTTGTGAATCCAATTTATCAAATTCATCTCTTAAATTATATAGCCTGCTTTTCTTGAGTAGCTCAAACTGTTTTACGGACATTATCTCATTTGTCCTCATAAAAAGATGGGAAGTTTCTATTGAATGAATGCTTCATGGAGTGAATATGTTAATGAACGGAAATTCAGAGTAAGTGTTTTTAATCCCCACTGTATCACCCACTGGCTTTGTGACAATGATAAGTAAGTTAATTTCTATTAGTCTTATTTTCTTTATGCTATGAAGAAATATTCATACTTTTAGTATCATGGAGAGTAGTGTAAGGAGTCATGATGATACTTATGAAAATTCTTGAAATTCTTCCAAAGCTAAGGCAGGCTCTAACTTTTAATAAACCTAAAGGTACACTAAAGCATGTTTTGGTATTGAATTAACCTCATCAAAAATCAGGTTATACTTGTGATATATCAGAATGATTTTAATTGCTGAAATTCACTCTTAAAATATATGTTGAGCTCCAAATATTTACTAGGAATTGTGCTGGTGTGGGAATTGAGGTGAATATTATGGCCACTACCAATCAGGAACTTATAATTTCACTGGAGGGACAGCCATGCAAATAATTTCATAAAACAGAAGTAGCTGAGAGCTATAACTACTGACAGGAACAATGAGCCATAGGAACATAGATGAATGAGAGATTACTTTTCCTTGGGTAGAATGAAGAGAACAATTATGCAAGGACAGAGATTAGAAACTGAAGTTGGGACTAACATGTAAAGCAGTTGAATAGTAGGTGGATGTTGAATGCTGTTGAGAGAATCATCAAAGTTTTTAAGCCTTTTGAATCTGTTCAATGTATGTTCTATTCTAGGTATTTGAAAGGTAATTGTGATGGTGGTAAGCAAAATAGATTAGAAATCAGTCATTGAGAGAAATAGCAACAAAGAAGGGTAAGTCTGATGATTTACAAATGATAAAGATGATTTATCAAATCAACTTTGATGATTTCAAAGTTGAGCGACTGGCTAGGTGGTGACACCATTGAAATACCAGAAGTAGAGAGGATAAGCAAAGCTCAATGGAGAGAAGGGATAACTAACAAAGTTTGATTTTTGTAAATTAAGCTTCATTATCTTCTGTATCCCACATTCCAAATCTCACTTAAAATTCAGGCCATATTTTTCACATTCGCCCACATATCTTCAGATTTGATACTTACCTGCTTACAGAGTCACAGAAGCCAGTGAGCCTGTCCAGGGAGTGTGTGCAGACTGATAACACAAGAGAGTGAGGCCCAGGTTCAAATAGCAATTAAAGGGGTGTCTTCAAAAGAGTTACCAATGCAGACAGTGGGAAAAGGTGGTAAATGAGGAGCCAGGAGTCAATAATCTCCATGTATGTTTTAGAAGAAAATCGTTACAAATATGGAGTATCCTCTTGTTAAATGCGTTTGTGAAGTCAAGGAAACTTGACTAGGACCAAAACTAATTTTGGAATTGATCTTTGGAATTGACAGTTATGAATTCACTGTGAAATGGGAGGCAGTGGTTATTTTAGAGTAAAAAGAAAAAAAGGGTAGACAATTAATTCAAGAAATTTGGTAACTAAGAAAAGGAGTGGTGGGGCAGCTTCTTGCAGAGGAGCAAGGCTCAAAAGAGGTCTTTGAACATGGAGGATATTTTAAGTTATTTACAAGCACAGAAATGGTGGATGGAGGCAATGGAAGTTCGGAGGGGAGAATAAGATCATAGGAGGGGTAGGAGATCAAAAACACAATTCAAAACTAATTGGGCCACTTCTTCCCAAGAAACTGTAAAGAAGTCAGTTAATAGTGGTACAGAAATAGGTCACCTGCTGAAGGATTGGCTATGTGTGTGTGGGACAGGGCAGAATTTTGAGTAGAGTGGGTGTGGCTCAGAATCTTGTTAAAGAAAATAAGAAAGGAAGCCAAGTAGATATGATTAAGTGTGCTTGGTAGAACTAACATAAAAGCAATGATGTTATCAACAGAAAATCATACCTCAGGTAAGTAGCATAATAGAGGGAACACTCTGGGGAAAGACTGAAGATTCCAATTTTTTCTTACAAGTGAATAAAAGTTCTAGAAGACACCATCAACTTAAAAGGATATTATGCGAGGAAAGCAATATGAGAGCATCCAGTATAAGACTGTGCCTGGGCTACCTGTTGCAGTTTCTACCTCTACATATTGCTAGTTCTTTGTTTCTACAAAGGGCATCAATATAAGACAATCTTACTTACTGGCCAGGCTCAGAAGAGCTGTTTGGGGACAGTATTTTAGTAAAAAGTGTGTATCGTAAGCTAGTATTACTATCACTTTACAGAAAGTAATTCTTCTTTTAGTGGGGACAAATAAATTGCCTAGATTTATTGAAAGCAAAAGAGTTCTGACTAGTTTCATATTTGAATGGGAAAATATATGTTTTGATCTCTGTTTTTAAACACCTTGAATATGAAGGAAGCAGAAAAGTTTCTGAAGAACAAATAAACAGAGTTTGAAATAGGCTGAGGGACAGAGTGTTGGGTTACACTGAGAATTAGAACAAGAGCATGGGACACAGATGATGCTTATCTCGTGATGATAACAATTGTTCTGGTACTGTCTGTCATCTGCTCTCATGGTCTTTCCCCTCTTGTCTGTTTTTTTCATAGTTAAGGTCAATAGTCTTATGTTAAACCTGTTTTTCTCAAATATAGAATTGTTTTTATACGGGACATTGTATTTTTCCTATTTAATCTTTGATTTTTTTTTGTTATCCATCAACAATATCCAAGGACAACCAATTAAGGATGAATGAGGCTATCATCTGAGGAATGATAAGTGAGCAGGCTCAGTCTATGTACAAATAATAGGTTATGTGGTCATGAAGCATGAGTTTCAATGATATATTTAAATAAAGCATTGTGTTATAATTATAGTGTATAAAAATCAAAAATTTAATTGACATCCAGGTGCTTATATCATTGAAAATAATCAGAGATATGGATAAAAAATTATGCATGCAGCTGTTTACCACAGATAGGTGGTTAAATAAATCTACATCCAGAAGATGAAATCATGATTTTTAAAAATTTAACATTCAATGATATAGGATAAAATGTTTATGTCATAAAGTTAACAAAAAATAGGATATAAAAGTATGATCCATATTTCAGGAAGGGGAAATATGTGTAGGATTGTGTGTGTGTGTGTGTGTGTGTGTGTGTGTGTTACATTAAAAAACAAGTATATGTTTAGGATATGGCCTCGAAAAACTGTAACAGGATTTTAGCACTGGTTATTTCTGAGTGGTGATTTCATGGGTGATTTATGTTTTTCCAATACATTCACCTAGATACTCTAAAATTTTTACAGTGACCATGTTATCACTTTTCTAATCATAGAAATGTTATTAATAAAAAAGACTACTATATGATCACAGCTATAATTTTGTTATGCCACAATTTTTATGGAACACACACACACATGCACACATTGACACATTGTCTGAGTCTTAAATGAGTACAGTGACTTCACCTAGTAATTGGGCCTAATTATCTCCATGAGGTCTGAGAAGAGTGCTCTTTTCTCCAAGATGTCTAATGCCAGCCAATTTACACTTAGGTCCGCTACAATTGATCTTCTGGGCCTTTTATAATATAGTAACACTTCGGAATTTTCGCTACAGTGTGACTCTTTAATCGTTTTACATAAAAAAGGAAATATTTGTCTATTTTGAGTGTTTTAGCGTTAACTATTTGATTTAGTTGGAGGAGAGGAGGGCAGGAACCATCCCAATTATGGGGGCAGAAGCTGGATGAGTCAGAGGCTGTCTCTTCTGTTCATGAAATGGAAAAAAATGCGACTCACTAACCATTCAACGTATTTGTAGTCTTGCTGTTCATTAGTCCATTAATAGTATTAACTGGGTGGAACAATGATTCAGAATTTTCTTATCAGTGTTCATTCATCAGGAAAAATCTTGAGGTCCCACCATTTATTTTGTTTTTGTTGTTTTTTCTTTCTTTCTTGCATCAATGAAAAGTTAGACAAAGTAATTCAATATTGTTGGTAATAACTTACTTGTTGTGCCTTGAAAAAGAATGTAAATCACCAGAGAAAACATGATGGCCAGGTTTACTCTTACTTTTTCTCTCTCTTTCTCTCACACATACACACACGTGCACATTATTAAAATACAAAATATATTTTATAATTTTTATAATTTATAAGGTTACATTTATTGAATTTCTAATAGTTTAATATTCTATTCAACAAGTAACAATAGAATCACTGTTTAAAAATCTTTTAAAATCGATTCTTTCAAAGTTGGTTCTTTGAATAAAACATTAAAGAAACCGTAGAATGATTTCAGATTTGCCAAAGAAGGAAAGAAAAAGGAAGAAAGGAAGGAAGGCAGGAAGCAAGTGAAGAAAAGGAAAGAAGTTACTGCTCTACATAGGATACTCTATTCAAGGCGAGGTCATGTATTTAACTTTAGTTTCATGATTTAACTGATAATTGAAATGAAATGTGTTCTCTTTATAAAGCTATAAAGAAGAGTGCTGTTTTTGCTGAGTAAAAGAAAGATGAATTTCAAAATAGGTGCTTCATTATTTGGGAGGACAGGTTTACTGATATTAGTAGCGACCTAGTCATATTTTCAAGGAACAAGTGATCTAAATGTGAACATCCCCTTCAAGACCAAAACATTTTTGCAGGATAATTTTAAGAAAAGCAGCCTACAATATTCAGCTCTCCAACCATCATGCATGACTCACTCCAAATAGGTTATTTAATCTGTTAGTACTGTTATGTTTAATTTGATTAGTCTTTTTGACACTTCTCTAATTAAAAATGAAATGCCTCAGGTCCTATTACAACGTTCTAGTGATGTTTCATATGGGACACAGTCTCTTGCATT
Source organism: Homo sapiens (assembly GCF_000001405.40). Taxonomy (NCBI): domain Eukaryota; kingdom Metazoa; phylum Chordata; class Mammalia; order Primates; family Hominidae; genus Homo; species Homo sapiens. The sequence goes on along the minus strand of NC_000013.11, from coordinate 67,011,571 downwards.
ACTGTGATGGGTAGGTGCTGTACAGAAGATATTTCATTTTTGGCATACGAATAATACTCCTCAGTAGTAGAGTGACTGCTAAGGTATTAATTTAACAGATATCTAATGAAAAGCATTCTGGCAAATTTCCCATCTCCCAAGATTAAAATAAAATAGTTTTATTTTAGAAAAGTGGTAATTATTTTAGTTCATCTTCATGATATGCAGTTGGTAAAATGCATTTAATAAATGATAAATTTGTAATTCACTATTTGAATAATGTTTTTGTTCTGTTAGAATTTAGACTATAAATGCAGGATATAGACACATATTTTTCTGTTTCCTGATGTTTACGTTGAATGTAGTGTGTGCCTAATAAGTACTGGGGGGGTGACAGTTCCGTAAGTAAATATTTGACATTACTTTATCATAGAGTTGATGTAAATAACATCATGATTAAAAGGGGCAATACAAATGATATATGAAGAAAAAATGTGGCACTATATTTAATAGAGTCAGAATTTGTAAGTTATTGCCACCATGTCATACATATGTCTTCATTTCCTTTTTCTGTAGTTTTACATTGATGTAGGAAATTGTATTACTCACTTTTAAGTCATATGAATATAGTGATAAATATCACAATGTCTGTGAAATTCTTTTGAATCCATAGAAGGGTAACTGGCAGAAAAATAGAACTAAATATCTAATCTTTCTACTTCAGAAAAATGGAAGTCAAATAATCCAACATTTTACTTTACCCACTAGTTTCTACCTCCCATCGATGGTGGCTAATCTGAATTTGAATTACTTTTCTTTAAATTATTAATAGTAAAGGTCCAGTTGTAATGTAAATATGTCCTGAGGTGTATTTTTGTCATCAAGGACAAGAAATCACTGCAGGAGTCCAGAATTGTCATGAATTGGGCAATGCATACATAACTAAGGAAAAGAGTATGGCAAATAGAACAGAATAAACTAGTAATAGAAGATCCTAGGACTAATAGGACATTCATCAAATAATAGCCATCATCAAAATCTGTTAGCTGGCATGTATCAGTCTGAAAGCTATAAAAATGACATTGGAGATCTCTTGACTTCCAAGTATACCTGTTTGTGCTGTTGTGCTGTAGCTAAGTGAAGTTAGCTTCCTGCCTAACAGGCTTTTATAGGCAATAGAGAGAAGAAAAATGATTGAAAGGATTTCCCCACTGTGAGGCACCCACCGTGCCTCAACATAATGGATTACAGCTGCTAATTTACCTGATTAGGTAAATTAAAGTTAAGGCTTTGGAGTCCTGTAGTTGGGGGTTTGAATCCGTGTTCTATACTAGCTGGGGACTTTAAGGAACTTATCAACATTTCTAGGTTCAGTTTTATCTTAAAACAACAACCACTCCAACAATAATAGTAGTTAATTTTAGGGAAAAATTGAGGTTAGATCATATTAATATGTGTAAACCTCTTAGCACAGTACCTGCCCATTAGTCAGTCTTCAATAAATATAAGCTTTTATTTTTATAGTTATTTTAATTAACTTGATTAACTTGCTCTTCACATTTCCTGAACATCAGTTAATTAGCAGATATGTAGTTTGGTAAAGTGACATCCAAAAGGATTTTATATTTGGACTCTTTAGAGACAGTCACATGCTCCTTACATTTTAAGGCTGGTAGGACATTTCTTTATTAAATATAAAAATTCCAATGTATAGTGTTTACTATGTGATCTGTTGCATGTCTTTGTTTTATTGATAATAACTATATTGTATTTAATACATTCAACACTAAAAGCAAAAAAAAACTTAACTAAATGCGAAGTATTTTTAAAAAGAGAACTAGTAGCAATGCAAGGCAGTTAACCATCAATAAAAAAAGAGTTAGATCCGTTTAGTAAATAAATAAATGGTCTTGAGAGTCAACGATGGGTGGAATCTGCTGTGGGAGAGAAACAAATGCAGAGTGAGGGCTAAATCTCCTGACTAAATAAGGAGTACAGACCAGAGAAGGCACAGAAATGAAAAAGAATTTAACATACTTGGAGATCAATTAAAAATCCTAGATGCTTGATTCAGGGGAGGATTTAGGCTTTTTGTGACTTGAGGCTTATATATTTGTAGAGCTCTCTTTAAAGAAAAGAATACAAATTATAAGGACTTTGAAGAGGCCTGTACAAATGAGGGGACTTGCAACTTTTGTGTCAATTTCCCAATAAACCCACCTCTATCTAGCAAAAGAAATTTGCACTAAGTACAGTGAGATAAGTAGGGTGAAATTATGAACAGCTCTGAAATCTGGAAGAGGAGTTTGCAACTGTGTGTTAGAATTGCGCTTCTCAATGTACAGTCCCATCATCAGACTCATATACAAGCTTGTTGGGAAGGCAAATTCTAGAGCCCAACACTAAATTTTCTGATTCAGAAACTCTGAGACCAGTAGCCTGCGTTTTAACGAGGCCCTAAGTTGGTTGAGATGAACGCTAATGTTTGGTAATCACTGTGTAGAAGGTTAGGCTCTGAGCTGCTATAATGAAGATGTTTGGTAATAAATAAAAAAATATAAAAATAAAAATAAAATAGTTTTGTTTTAGAAAAGTAGGAATTATTTTAGTGCATCTTTATTACATACAGTTGATAGAATGTGTTTAATAAGTGATAAACTTGTGATTCAATATTTTAATGTTCTTGTTCTATGAGAATTTAGACTGTAAGTTCAGGATATACTCCATCAATGAAAGGAGTTTAGGTGCACCGTGGGTATTCAGAATTGGCTAGATTAGAAGCGGATAGGCAAGTGATGATTCTCTTACATTGATAGGTATACAATGAATATAAGAAAATATGTAAGTAAAAAGGAATTGACCAGATATAATTGCTACATGTTGAGTAGAAGGAGAGGGTTTATTTAAGATGAGTCTAGGCTTCCAGACTTCTTTTTGGACAGTAGAAGAGAAAGTAAGAAGAGGTGATTTGATGCAGGGTAAAGATAATATTGGTGGATGGAGAAAGTATAGAAAATTCTGTTTTGAATATGCTGACTCTTATTTATCACTGAGGGATATCTATGTAAAAAGTCTATAGTAGCCAGTGGGGTAAAGAGGACTGGAATTTGTTGCCAGGACTGAAAATATAGAGTCAGCATATTTCCCGAATAACAATAAAACAAAACAATATATAATTACATACAGTCTTCACCTCACAAAATATAAACCAACAGTTTTATAGATTGTGTACTAGCTGATTTCTCCTTGCCTAAATTGTTTACATAGAAAAGAAATGTGATACAGTTCTTTTCCCAGTGGGTAGCTAGTACTTAGAAGAAATTCCACTGTTAGTTATAGTGCTTTTTACTCTCCAGTAACTTTGAATAGGCTCTAGCAATTTTAACTGCTAAAAAGAATGTAAACAATAACAAAGGATTTGTTGAGAACTTTTCATTATTTTGTTCCATATTATTATGTTTTTTCTTATTCTCTTATTCCAAATCTATGCAACTGTATCTGACACTGATGAGAAATTATTCTAAGTTTAATAAAATGTATGTGAGCTTTTGCAGTATATATATAATAAATATATTTGTGTTTCATGAAGGATGCTAATATGAATGATAAAGTAAGCTTCAATTTGAAGCCTTCCCATTGAATACAATCACAGAGGACCAGAAGCATTTTCCATGTACCAGTTGTTCTAAAAGTAGTGAGATATTTTCACTTTATGTTTTTCATGAGGTAAAGTTGATATATTCACGAATACCCCAACCACTCTCAAATTCAGGAAAGACACCTGGAGAAAAGTGTTAACCATATGCACAAGGACTCAGAGATGCATCAGTCCTGGGATTTGTTCACACAAATTGTTGATCAGCACTTGTCAAAATGAGGAACACGGAAACAAAAGTGGACATTACCTGCACGCACATGAGGATTCTTATTCAAATTCCAATATATACACGGCCTGAATATACAATATGGTTCACAACTTTTTGCTGAATGAGTGAATTTAAGTTATTTCTTACTCCTCTATATCCCATGCTCCCATAATGTTTTCAATTATGCCACAAATAACTGATGCAGAAGAATTTTAAAGCCAACTGAATACCATTTTACTAATAACTTTTACATTTTGTTATTAAATTTATATTTTAAAATTAAATATTAAAAACCCCTCAGAAACCCACTGTCTTAATATGTTTTAACTCTTCTTTCAGTCTTATACTCATACATAAATGTATTAACAGATTTACTATCTTCCTATATGGAACCTATTTGTGTTTTTTTACTCAAAATTTTATCTTTTAATACTTATAAATTTTTTTACATTTTTACAATTTTTTTGGTGGCTGTACAATATTCAATACCATGACATTGAACCAATGTTCTGAAATATTTTTAGCTATTTCAACCCTTAAACACTGGTGTTTTGGAAGTTTTGGAGAATAGCTCTTTCTACTGTTGCATACTTAGGAAAATTTTCCAGAAAAAAAAAATTCAGAATAAGTTTTGATACTCTTTGGAGTTTTTCAAGGTAATATGTTCACACGCTGGTAGTAATGTTGAAGCATTAGTATATGCAAATACTTTGGATGTTGACATTGGAGGACAAATTAGGCTTAGATCAATTTCCGTTCTTTAAAAAAGTATTTTCCTTTTGAAATTACATCATTTCCCTTTAAAATGGAATTCTATGTTTGCAAAAATATTTGAAGTTGTATTTTCCTTTAAATGTATAAATAAGTTATGAAATTGTAATGAAGTCATTATTATAAATAAGTCACTTATATCTTATTGAAATAAATACTATATAGCTATATATTAGATCTAATAATCAAATATGATATTAAATATAGTAATGTTCACTACATAACAGGAGCTAAACAAATGAAAATTACATCCAAATAAGTACTCCCAAAGAGACACTTTTAGAATAAATGACCTTAATTCAACTTAAACAGCTAAAACATCTCTGTGTTTTTAATATATCCCTTCGCCAATCTGCTTTCTTCTTCTAGGTCATTGAGTTCTAAGTTATGGTCCAAGGACCTGTGTGAAAGGGACTGCAGAAAATCGCCAGGGATATGACTACAAATACTTATTTCCAGATCTAACCAACCAAATCTTTAGGGATTGAGACTTGGCAATCAGTATTTTTGATACATTATTCGGGTAATTCTGATAATTTCAGCCAAGATTCAGAACCAATGACCTAGATTATCACAGAAGCCTCTTCCATTTCTATTCCGGTTTTGTATTTTATACATTCCTGCACAATCTATCCTCCATGTTTCAAATTCTTTTAGGTCTTGGACTTAGGGTGTTATAACAATATTTCTCCTTATAAGATCCAATTTTTTTGTTTGTTTGTTTGTTTTGAGACGGAGTCTCTCTCTGTCGCCCAGGCTGGAGTGCAGTGGCACGATCTCCGCTCACTGCAAGCTGCGCCTCCCGGGTTCACGCCATTCTCCTGCCTCAGCCTCCCGAGTAGCTGGGACTACAGGTGCCTGCCGCCAGGCCCGACTAATTTTTTTGTATATTTAATGGAGACGGGGTTTCACCGTGTTAGCCAGGATGGTCTCAGTCTCCTGACCTCGTGATCTGCCCGCCTTGGCCTCCCAAAGTGCTGGGATTACAGGCGTGAGCCGCCGCGCCTGGCCTATAAGATCCAATTTTTATACTGTTATGTAATGATGCCTACCACAGCTTTTTAGATTAGTCATCTAAAAAGGCCATTCTGTCTAAGGCCATTCTGGCTATAGGGCAGGACTAAATACCTATGAAATAAGCAGAATTATGTTATTAAAAGAATATCAAAACACCCTACTCATACTTTGCTCTCACGGAGAAAATGCAATCATCATCTGTTACCTAGCTAAATGCATTTCTTTACTTTGGAAATTAGAAATAAGCATATTATTTGTGGAAGATATTTAAAATGTATGCATTGCCATTATTATGGTTTAATTTAGTATAATTGCTGCTGTAGGATTCACAAGGACCTTAAGATGAGTTTACTGGCAAGGATAGGGGATGTCAAACATAGTGAGCATACACGGAATATTTGGGGAAAGTGAAAGGTATTCCTAACGTTTTAAAGTATGAGTGTGTGTGCATTTTTGTGTTTCTGTGTGAGGGGAATGAGTTCTAATGACAAAGTAATAAGTATTATCTGAAATTGTTGCATAGAAAATCCTACTTAGTTCTATTTTTATATAGTAAGTTGCTAGCCCAGCAAACTTACCTAAATCTTCAAAATGAGTGGCCAATTATTTAAAGCGAACTCAAATAGTAAAAGAAAATCCCCTGACTTCACCAAACAACTTCTCTTCCCTACTCCTCTTCCTACAACTTTTTTTTTTTAAAGAGATCAGAGTTTTGGGAATGGGACTCTTCTATTCAATCAATGGGGAAAGCAAATGGATGTTCCCATATGCAGAAATGTCCGTGATTCTGCTTGCCTTAATTTTTGAATATTCCTCTCCTCTACTGATAGTTTTTAATAGAAAACACTTGGAACACAGTATCTGTTCTCTTTCTCCTATCCTGCTCTTTACAAAGGAGACTTAAGTTTTATATCAGCTAAATTACAGAGAGGAGGAAAAAGATCCCAAAAATAATTTGGAAAGGAATATTTATTGCTAGGTGGACCACTTCAAAATAGTCCCCTTTCTTCCTTAGAGAAAAATTTAAAGATTGCTTGGACAATGCTGATAATAATAGCTAAAGCATTTATTTATTATTATTTGTCAGGAGTAACAAGAGGCTTAAATAAAATATCTCATTTAATCATTCCCCAAATCCCATAAATTTGATACTATTTCTTTATCTACTTTCTGCCAAGAAAACTGAAACACAATTCAAGAAACATTTCCAAACTCACACATTTTCCCAAGTGAAAAAAGCTGGATTCCAACCTGGACTCCATGGAAGCCCATACTGTATTGCTTACTGCCAAATTTTTAAAACATATTGATTTTGAAATATGTTATAACAAAAATGAATGCTATACATTTCTTTCTTTCTTTCTTTCTTTCTTTTTTTTTTTTTTTGAGACGGAGTCTCTGTCACCCAGGCTGGAGTGCAATGGCACAATCTCGGCTCGCTGCAACTTCTGCCTCCCGGGTTCAAGCGATTCTCTGAGTAGCTGGGACTACAGGTGCCCACAACCATGCCTGGCTAATTTTTGGATTTTTAGTGGAGACAGGGTTTCACCTTGTTGGCCAGGCTGGTCTCGAACTCCTGACCTCAGGTGATCCACCTGGCTCGGCCTCCCAAAATGCTGGGATTACAGGTGCGAGCCAACACAACTGTCCTATAAATTTCTTTTTTAAAAAACTTTAAGAAGCCAATATTTTGTGGGAATATTTTAAAGGAATCTGATAATTAATGTATCATATTGTGAAAAGTCAGGCTTTTAACCATATGTTTGCACTAAGCAAATGTATATAACAAAAAAAAAAAGTTAATTTTTACCTCTGTGACCGAATCCCTTCTAGTAAATAAATCAGAGTCCTGATAACACCACACTACATAATAGGGATGTTTTTCACAGGCATTTTTCTCTTCTCAGTTTCTCAAAGAACTTCATCAAAACTAATGGGACTATAGAGAAGATTTATCAGAGGCTCGGTCAGGTCTGTTACATTTCCCCTGCACATGGGAACGGGCACATCCATCTGCCTTCCCTAGAGACTAGCAGGATACAGAACTCGTGACAGATATACCTTTTAAGGAGACTATTTTTTAAAATAAAGGCTTTTTCTTCCTGTGCTATCTCTAATAACGAGGAGCAATCATTAAAAGCGTTCCTGTAAAGCGTTATTTAATTTTGTAGTTATAATGAATAGACTAGAGAGTAAAACATCTTGAGTGTATCATGAGTAATTTCGCAGTGGGGACAGGCTCTTTGGCAGTGCACAAAGTAATAAAATTCCTGCTTCATACTATATTGGTTCTCTTTTCATCTTCATTTAAGTTGTTGGATGTGATGTTTCCAGGTACATTCAAAGTCCCGAAATGCTAAATCTATCTAATAATATGTGTATCCATCAAGGGTTGATTAATATTAAGAAACATATCTTGTGTAGATATCCTCACATAGAATAAAAGAGTGAAATGCGAAAGTAAACTTGTACCATTATAATTCCTTAAAACAATGTGATAACAATACATGTTAATAATAAACATACTATGGAATAAGGAGAGGAATCTTTTTTTTCTTTTTTACCATTACTTAAAGTTGTCAAAGCCCAATTCAAAGGGCCAGAATGTATTTTTATATATATAAAATGGCTTTTTAGTAATCAAATAAGACCTTTGTTGCAAGGAAGTTATTTGTAAAGTCGCTTTTGACATATAACATAATACTTTCATCAGTATGTTTGCTCTGTACAATGAATTTCTAAATCATATACACTTACCATGTATGTGTATGTATATGTGTATACAATTACAATTGTGAGAAAGCTCCTTAAATAAACCAGGTCAACCAGTTTGATTGGGAGACTGAGGAAAATGGGTCTGGTAAAGGTCAAGGTGGTTTCATAAACCGATTAGTGGCTCCATTAACATCATCTCTAAATTTGACTTCTACATTTAACATTAAAAACAAACAAATTAAAAAAAAGCCTCCATGTACACACAGGGAGTACAGAAAGGCCCAAGACATAGATGGCTGAAAATGAAAAAAAAATACTAGTAATTGCTGTTAAAGAACCATAAAATAAAAGAACTAGATCAGATAGCCTGATAATTAATGGACTGGTCAATATGTCCCATTTTGAACACAATTTATTATATTTTTAAATTAGAGACAAAAATACCAAAATAAAACTGTTAATTAAAAGTAGAGTTGGATGGCAAATTTACAGGAAAAAAAGAAGTTCATAGAAGATTAAATTCTCAGGAAGAATAACTTTATTTCGGTGAAAGTTAAGTTCTGAGAAATTAGATTTAGCACATCAGTACTGTTTGGAAACAAAACAGAGATCATTATTGATCTCTAAAAATTGGTGAGGGTTTTTTTTTATCTTCTTAAAAAAGAGAAATGAGAAATGTAAATATTTAATTCTTAGACTCTTGATTAATTGTAAAATTAATTTTAAAACAGAATAGTGACTTTTAGGACAGACTTAATAAATTTAAAAATTCAGACAAACATATTTGATTACCATTCTAACAGTATAAAATACAATATCACGTATATGCCTAGATTATAAGCATAAGCATTTTAATATAAATTTTGAGAACTTCATTGTATCCATTTTTAAATTTGAGTTTAATTAGGAAGTTATTGACTAGCTTATGAATTTATATAAGCAGCTTTAAAATCCTTAGTAAATATCTGTTTAATAGTGAGGTTATTGACATAGCAAATTAAATTTTTAATAATAAATATTTTTCTTCATAATTACTCTGCTTTCTATATTTTAACAATTAATGGTGTGGCTTTACATAAAACCAAATATTTTGAATCTTTTAAAATTTTCACCCCAAGGAAATCTGAAGATAAAGACATTCTACAAGAGAATCTAACTAGCTTACTTCTTATATAACTAGTGTGGCTGTAACTCTTTCTGAAAACAAGGAGCACATTTCTTGGTACTATTTCACATAATCAATATTTATTTAAGAAGTGATTCAATACAGTGGAAACCCGCATTTTTGGACAAGAACTGTGAGGAAACATCAATAAGCTGAAAATCTTCCTGATCATGACTAAATTCTTACAAGTTTTCTGCCGTGTAGTTACCTGTACTGGGAGAAATTAAAACAAGGCAAGAAAGAAGTAAAAGCTAAAGAAGCCTAATATAGCTAATATATCCAAGTTTGGGAGTGACAAAGATGGTCTCCTCAAGGTTCTGCTCTTAAGCGGGGTACCTGGGATTCACTGTTACCTTGGGGGACTCTGCCGTCCCCTCTGCCCCACTAAGCGTACACAGCCCCGTCTGTTCCTGCTGTTTCTTAGATCCCATGTTGCCCTCTCTCTCTCTTTCAGTCACAGCCAAACAACACTGGTCCTAATTAAACCAAGGGGATTGACATTCTCTCCTAGGTACTTAGAATGCTGTACCAAGAGCATTCTCAGACCATGCCAGCCAGGGAACAAGCCACTGCTTTTCCCTTATTGGGATTTCTCTCTACCCTTGTTTTCTAAGTAGTGAGAAATTAACAAACTAAAACTTGGGATTCCCTGCAGCATGGCATAGCTCCCTATTCTTGCCCCTTTACAACCGGTGACATCATTTTCAAGGACATAATTCTTAAAACTCTCAAGACACAATTTTTAAGTGTTGAGTTCAGTTTTAAAATCAGTTTGCTGTTTTACATTAAATACTAATTAATGTGGTCAATAGAAGCACAATAACTATATTTGAATCGTAATCCAAACATCAAATCTCCACTTTTATTTATGTATGTTGTTATAAAAACAAGCTTATCGGCTCTCTAGTTGGAAAATAAACATTTGAATCAGACACACTTACTTCTGTATCGAACTTATTAGCTATGTGACTTTGGCAAGATAGTTTGCCTTTCTAAAGTCTTGGTTTAATCTTTTGTGAAATGTGGGTAGTTGTAATTGCTATTCCTCATCTACCATTTTGTAAATAAATACTTAGAAAACTGACAGGCCCATAGTACGTATTTGATAAATGCAAGTCAAAAACTACCAATAAAGATTTTCTATAAATGACTTTAGCACTTTAAAAGGATCAGGAAAGTAATATTTTAAAACAGAAGAAAATATTTTGCTATTTGTCTCTTAGCTTTACACTATTTAAAAGCACTGTGAATATAATCACTTCGTCATGAATTAATCTGGAAATCCCCTTTTTAGCATGGATAGAAATTAAGAATGGTATTAGTTTCTTACTGCACAAAGAAATATTGATTCTATTATTTGTGAACTTTATTTTCCCAGAAACGTGATTGAAGAATAGGAATGATGTCAAGTTACCTATTCCTTTAATAGTTAAATATATTTAGTTTAACTGTATAAAAACTTTTTTCTTTTTTTCGAATTTTTGTAAATTTATTTTGTATCCTCCAACTTTATTGGATTTGTTTAGTAGTTTTAACAGTTTTTCTATAAAGTCTTTTTTTTATTTTATTTTATTATTATTATACTTTAAGTTTTAGGGTACATGTGCACAATGTGCAGGTTAGTTACATATGTATACATGTGCCATGCTGGTGTGCTGCACCCATTAACTCGTCATTTAGCATTAGGTGTATCTCCTAGTGCTATCCCTCCCCCCTCCCCCACCCCACAACAGTCCCCAGAGTGTGATGTTCCCCTTCCTGTGTCCACGTGTTCTCATTGTTCAATTCCCACCTATGAGTGAGAATATGCAGTGTTTGGTTTTTTGTCCCTGCGATAGTTTACTGAAAATGATGATTTCCAATTTCATCCATGTCCCTACAAAGGACATGAACTCATCATTTTTTATGGCTGCATAGTATTCCATGGTGTATATGTGCCACATTTTCTTAATCCAGCCTATCATTGTTGGACATTTGGGTTGGTTCCAAATCTTTGCTATTGTGAATAGTGCCGCAATAAACATACGTGTGCATGTGTCTTTATAGCGGCATGATTTATAGCCCTTTGGGTATATACCCAGTAATGGGATGGCTGGGTCAAATGGTATTTCTAGTTCTAGATCCCTGAGGAATCGCCACACTGACTTCCACAATGGTTGAACTAGTTTACAGTCCCACCAACAGTGTAGTGTTCCTATTTCTCCACATCCTCTCTCCAGCACCTGTTGTTTCCTGACTTTTTAATGATTGCCATTCTAACTGGTGTGAGATGGTATCTCATTGTGGTTTTGATTTGCATTTCTCTGATGGCCAGTGATGGTGAGCATTTTTTCATGTGTCTTTTGGCTGCATAAATGTCTTCTTTTGAGAAGTGTCTGTTCATGTCCTTCACCCACTTTTTGATGGGGTTGTTTGTTTTTTTCTTGTAAATTTGTTTGAGTTCATTGTAGATTCTGGATATTAGCCCTTTGTCAGATGAGTAGGTTGTGAAAATTTTCTCCCATTTTGTAGGTTGCCTGTTCACTCTGATGGTAGTTTCTTTTGCTGTGCAGAAGCTCTTTAGTTTAATTAAACTAAAAACTTTTTTCTTAAACAGTTAAATATATTTAGTTTAATGGTATAAAAACTAATTATATTTAGTTTAAAAATTCAAAGAACATAGAACCTTGAAGTATAGTCCTTAGAACTATAATTGGGTTTGCTCCTCTTCCTTCACTTCTTTTTTTAAGGGATCTTCCTTTTCTACTGTCATCTATTATCAATATTTCTACTATTTGCTGCTGACTGAAACCTGTATCTCAACTTTGCCTGACATTTCAGGCTGTATTAATTGAATTTAGATATTAAATGACATTTTAACTGGGCCTTGAAGTGTAAGTGTGTGTTTGTGAGACTGAGGACAAATGAATAACATGCACAATCTGAGCAAAGGCAGAGAGATAGGCAAGAACCCAATTTGCTTGGGAAGCAAGACGTTCTAAAGGATGATTGGCTAGGGAAATGGCTGTTATTACAGGATGGACAGAAGGTTGATTTTGATGGCAAAGGACTCTGAGCATTTCAAAGGAATTTATGGTTTATCTTGGGTTATATTTGCAGTTGATAACAATTGACTGAAGTATTTTGTTGCTCTTTATTTAATTTTTTTAATTGAGCCTTAATAATATGACATTTTGTGGCGCTTTCATTGTGTAGAGACTTCATGGGCAGCATTAGAAAGAATGAATTGAAGAACAACAAGGAATAAAGGAAAGAAGAACAATTAGAATTTAATTACAACAGTCTGAGTGGAAGATTGATGAGAAACTGAACTGATAATTGAGTGTAAGGGCTGGTTATAGGAGACATTGCAGAGACAACTGGCAGGAATGTGTGAGTAGAAGTGGACCTGGCTAACTATGAGGAAGAGGGAGAAGTCAACGATGCCTGAATTATGTTTTCCTTAATTTTGGCAACTGCTGAGATGAAAACTTTGTTTCTTTCACCAACTAAGTAAAAAGGGGAAGAGGAAGTTTGAAGAAGTAAGGGAGATGTATAGGTTTAATTTGGGAATATATTGATCTGAGTGACACAGACACACACACACTCAGGTTGGAATCACAATAGGAAGTAGGATTGTGAGAGTACAGAACTCAGAAGAGTGAGCAGAGCTATAGACAGATATTTTAAAACTACTAGCTAATTGGCATGTGTGGTAGTTGAAGACCCATTTATGGAGTTTCCCAAGGAACAACTCTATTGGTTGACACATTGCTATTAATTTTCTTCAATTCCAAGAACTCCTTAAACCAACAATCTCCAGATTATCATCTCCTTGCTATTCCTGCCCTCTTCTAATCTCCTTGATTTGTTCCTCGGGCCCTGGCACATTCTCTTCTCACTTGTGGACACTGTTGCCACTCTCTAAACTGGATTAATCATTATTTACCCTGAAGGCCCCAGTGGGTGTCCAATTTAGATAATTCTTCATATAAAATTTTCTCATATCACTTTGCACTCTCATTGTATAATATCAAAAATCACAATCTGCATCTACATATCTTTATGATTGCATTGTGAGTGCTAAGAGAATTAAACAAACAAACAAACACAAACTGACAGGTTTCATCCTCTATTCTAGTGTTTCATGTAACCTGGCCCAGAATTTTTATTTTTTCTTTCTTTTCATCCTGATATGGTTTGGTTGTTTTGTTCCCTCTAAATCTCATGTTGAAATATGACCTCCAGTCCAGGCGCGGTGGCTCATGCCTGTAATCCCAGCTCTTTGGGAGGCCAAGGCAGGCGGATCACGAGGTCAGGGGATCGAGACCAGCCTGGCCAACATGGTGAAACCCCGTCTCTACTAAAAATACAAAAATTAGCTAGGCATGGTGATGTGCGCCCGTAGTCCCAGCTACTCGGGAGGCTGAGGCAGGAGAATGGCTTGAAGCCGGGAGGCGGAGTTTGCAGTGAGCCAAGATTGTGCCACTTCACTCCAGCCTGGGCAACAGAGTGAGACTCCGTCTCAGAAACAAAACAAAACAAAACAAAACAAAACAAAACAAAACAAAACAGACCTCCAGTGTTGGTGACGAGCCTAATGGGTGGTGTCTGGGTCATGGGAGTGCATCTCTCATGAATGGCTTGGTGCTGTCCTCCTGGTAATGAGTTCTCCCTCTATGAGTTCACATAGGATTTGGTTGCTTAAAAGAGCCTGGCACCTTCTCCCTCCCTTTCTTGCTCCTGCCCTTGCCATGTGATATGCTGGCTTCCCTTCACCTTCTGTTATAATTGTAAATTTCCTGAGGCCCTCACCAGAAGTAGATGCCAGACCATGCTTCCTGTCCAGCCTGTAGAACCATGAGCCAGATAAGCCTCTTTTCTTTATGAATTACCCAGCCTCAGGTATTCGTTTATAGCAATGCAAATGAACGAACACACTTCCTAAATAAAAGATTCCATGAATGAATGGATAAGTTTCTTTTGGATATAGCCCAGTTTTCAAGTTCCAATATGATAATATTACCTTAAGTCTGTGTTATCTCTTGAAAGGGGTATTTAGGAGTCTAATAATCACCTCCCACATTTCCAGTGTCTTTCATATCTAATCAAACTTAACCACCACTTCAAAGCACAATGCTATTCCTGTCAACAACTCTTTTTCTCTGTTCTTTTCTTCCTTGATGCTAAAAACTTAGTTTTCAATTCTATACTGAATTTTCTATAAAAATCCTTTAATTTTGCATTTGGAGTAAGGTCTCCACCTAACTTGTTAGCTTTTTCTTTTACGATTCTGCAAGAAACCAGACACTTACTAGCCAAACAGTACTATTCACATTTAGACACATTCATTCAGGGATTTCATAATACTATCAGTTTACTTGTACATTTATTCAGTAAACATTTTTGTGTGCTTACTGTATGTCAGTTTGGTACTAGGCACTGAGCATACACATAAACTTAATTTATAATGTTGATGCTATTTCCTTTCTTGAAACACTCTCACACTAGCAATGCTTATTAAAATTCTTCACATATCAAATTACTTATTCTTTAACAATTAAATTTATTTAGTTTAAAAGTTGAAAGAATGTAGTAGAATCTTTTTTCAAATATCTCTTTCTCTGTGAGGCCTACCTCACCCACCCTAATTAAAACTATAATCACTCATTCCCAGCATGAAGAACTCAGAATCCCAACTATCCTGTGCTTTTTCTTTTTTTTTTAAACACTAATGTTCTAACATGTCATATAACATATTTATTACTGTGTATTGAATATTACTTGTCTGTACTCACTAGAATACAAGCTTCACAAGGGCAGAGAGTGGTGACTATTCACCAATGTACTCCAACTACCTGGAAAAATAGTAACATTCAATAAAATGTCCCGCTGGTAAGATATTCTCTTAATGAAACCTCTTCTGAGAACCCAAGCTTCAGTTTACATAGCACTTTCCTTGTGCCTCTCAGATAAGACAGAACATTTTCCTTTACTGTATCTTCCCATTAAATACAAAGCTCTGCAAGACTAGACAGTGTTGTTCACATATTTGTATCTTCTGGAGAGTTTAGCCCATCAGCCGAATTAATTGCAAATAATTATTGAAAAAAAATAAATGAAGTTAATACAATAATTCATAGTATACAGAGAAAATAATCTGTATCATTTTTCAAATATTGTGACCCAGTTGGGTCTAAGTAAATTATTGTTTTCTTCATTTAGGTTCTTTTAGTTTGAATTCAGTATATCAGAGGATTTTTAGACAGCAGTAATGCAGATGATATGTTCTCTCTGAACTGCTCGAGTATATTTGATATACATAATTTTTCAATCTTTTTATAGAATGAGATTGAGGTTTGCCTGAAAGAAGAAAAGCTCAAGAAGCAGTAGTCTTTGCTACAGGAAGACACACTATAACAGATGTTCTTTTCTTTTTTTATAGTCACAGAAAACCATCTTAACTTTGTGAAATTAAAGGGTAGAACTGACACAAACATGGAACAATTCTAACTTCCTAACCCAACCTCAAAACTTAGGGTTTGAAAATTGGTTACAGCTGTTCCTTTCTGTTTCTTAGGGTTTTGTTGTTGTTACTGTTGTTTTTTTCCCTTAGTGGTGGACACTTTTATGCACCAGCACTCAAGCAGAGTCTCTCACTGCAGGTGCATTTACCATTTGGGGACCGTGCTGCCCTTGTTTTGTTAGCCTCAGCATTTTTAAAAACCTCACTTCGCCCGTGGTGCTTGTGAATATATCACTGTCCACCTCTTTTGCCTTTTGTATTTACCGTGTCTTATGCTTCAGCCTTTCCGATGCCCTTGAGAAGCCATAACCATGCTTTACATTTGAAAGAGTGCCAGCTCATTTAATCAGGCTGAGTTTGAGAGGCATGGATGAATTTATTCTATCTAACATTTAATAAAAAATAATTTAAAAATGTGACTTATGCCATGACATGCTTAGCATTACCCTTCCGGGTTTAAATTTGAGAGCTGTCAGCACCCTCCGTGGTCTGGAAACTGACATGTTATCAATCAAGTGCGTGGGTGACAAGGCCGCTGATGTCCTCCCAAGGCTCTTGTTTAATAATTAATTTTTCATTGCAGGCATGTTCCGTAAATGGATTACAAAACTTAAGCCCGTTTAAAAGGTTTTAGAAATTCATTATTAGTTTTAAAAGATGAATGCACAAATTAACTATCCATGATAGATGAGGCATACCAAATATAGCCAGGTCCTATGTGGTTTTGGCTTATATTTATATATAGCGTAGAGTAGGGTAAAAAGTCAGTACAGTTTTATAGAGAATGTCACTGAAGCACCGAGGAAGTGATTCTTTCAAAGGAGACTCAAAAAAGGAGATCAGATGACAAAATTGTGCTTTGAACATTTTCATCTTTTCTGTTGCTCTCAGAAGTCCCCAGCCATCTAGCCTCTGGACAGGCTCAGCTCTATTTCTGGAGTCAGTACCTCAGCTTGTTTTTACCACAGAATAATATTATGATTTAGAATGAAAGAATTCTTATCAGTTATCACATCTTAATTTCCTTAATTCAACGTCAGTGCCAGTTTTTAAGCTGTTATCTTTCAGCTCCAAACCCACCAGCTTTGTGATTCCCCGGGCTAGTCTCAGCGCTCTGCATATCCGCTTTGCCATCTGGCTTCTTAATAAGTTTGGCCAGTAGGGCACGCTAGAGGGAGACCGAATGGCGGGGTGAGGGGAGCTACTGCGTCCGGCTTTGCAGGCCGTTCCTTTCAGGGTTGCCGCAGCAATGGCACTTCATCCTGGCAGCAGCCATTTGCTGGTTGCAGTGCCAGTTTCTTGGTTTCTTTTTTGCATTCCTGGAATCAGTTTCATCACTCTCTCTTGGAGTTACCAAGAGTCGCCAGTCAGTTTCCTCTCCGTGGAAGGCTGAGTCCCAATTCCATAGGGCTCTGTGCCAGACTTTTAGTCTCTGATAACTCCGAAATCCTTCCTTCTGTTTCCTAAGCTCTACAGGTATTCTAGTTTTTCTCGCAATTTTTCATTACTAGGCTACATCAGTGTCCTTTTTCTTTCTTTCTTTTTCTCACTTTTTATTTGTACCTTTAGTCCTCCAACAATTAACAATTCCCCATGTTAAATTCTCTCTGTTTAAACAACTAACGGGCTCTCTGTATTCCAACTAGATCTCGGCTGATGCAAATGCCGTAGACAATCAATCGATCAATCAATCAGCAAATCCAATTTCCCTCTAGCCACTAAAGGGACTTAATATAATTGAATGATTATAGAATTCTGATCCCATTTATCTCAAGCCATTGAAAATATTTTTCGTGTGATTATAAGATACGTAATTTTAAAAAATGATTTTCTAAATCAGGATTCTTACCAGATTATTTCACAGCTTATTCACTCATTGATTGCTTTCCTCCCACCCTTGTTAGCTTTTGTATGCCTGTCCTGCATTTTAAACCAAGGTATGAGGAGGATAAAGTAAATAGTAAATGGTATGATAGTGGCCAAAACTTTGAATCTTTTTCCCTATTCATCATCTTTGTGCAAGTTGGTAGGGAGGTCCACTAATTCAGCCTCCCCATTCCCTGTCCCTTCAAAGTAAATCAGAAGCTTCAGGTAAAAAGCAGAGAAGCTACCCAAGTTCTTTTCATTTATTTTATCATCATACTAATAATTTTGCTTTCTGAAATGATTACTCTTACAAGCAGCAAATATATTTTTTAGGAAGTTAGAATTATTGATGTCACGTTTTCATATTCAGTATCCCAAGTAAATATCAGGTAAATTCAGGAAAATAAATACAACCATTTTCTTGGTTAATTGTTTTTAAATTTAATATATGTTCATTTATTCTTTTAAATATATATTTCATAAATGGTGACTATGTATTCCATGACATAAAAACTAAGTATTTTTAGTGGGAAATTCTTTGTGGAATCACTGAAATGATAACTAGTGTTAGCAATACTTCTGTTTCATGAGACGAGTCACTTTATGAAGATTGCAAATTATTTTTTGTCCCCTCTAGAGTTCATTTCATGGGAAATTTAAATTTTATTGTCTTAACTTTAATGTTAAACATTTCCTTCACATATGGTATGGCCAGACATGTTTTCTTCTTTGCTGCTATTTTACATTTTAGATGTAGTCCATTCAGGATCTTTTTTTTTTTTTTTAGGAGTCAGAGCTTGAAGTGACGCAACACTTTCACTCTTTATCTCTGATTTACATGCTAATAAAGACAACTGATAGACAATATGATATACTTTGGCCCTAGAAGATCCTTAATGAGGAAATTCTGTGGCCTGTTTTCTCTTCTGTGCTATTTTTTGTCTTCTAAGGCAGGCATTTTTATCAGTTCAGTTTGTTGCTGTGACTAGTTCAAACTTGTTCAGGGCTTTATGCCTGAAATAAGTAATCAATTAGCCTATATATATAAATATATAACCAACCATTACAATTATCTAAGAATGTCAGGGAGTTGTGAAGTGGAAACAAATTAAAGAGTTGCAAAATTAAAAGAGCTCGTCTTCCAACAGAAGTGTGCTGACATATATTAAAGAATAAATGAATTAAAGTCACCAAAGAGGAACAGGAGTTAAAAAGAAGACCATTGTTTAGATGGAGTCAGGCTGGTGCACTGCCAAGGAAAGCAAACAGGATTTCTGAAGGCTTGGTATGAATTTCAGCTTGCATCATTCCGCTGGAGGGGGTGATTTCCCCAATATCATGTTAGATCCATAGCTTGTTCTTGACAGAGTGGCAGTACCTTTCCTCCACTGCACTCTCACCACTAGCATAGATGTAAAACACAGTAAGTACTCAGAAACTACTTGAAGAGTGCAGTTATCAGTAGAGATGATCGAAACATTTGTTTTTCTAGGGAATATCTTTGCCTTTCTTCTTCCAGAATCCTCTGGTTATAATGTGCTCACTGCTAGGTCACCAGTCATAAAACATTATGTAGAGGTTACTGGTCATTATCCTAATATATTTATCAAAAAATCTGGAGTATATGAAACTGCCTTTCATTGTAACATTAGACAAAAACATTTATTCTATCAAATACAGACTTAAAACTGCCACCAAATTGGAAGAATATGATCTTAAATTTAAAAAAAACCCATATACTTAAACACAATAATCTATCTTTATCTACCTTCCTAAACATTAATGCATGAGACTTCTCTTAATATCATGAATATGCACTATGATTTTTATGTTACATCTTTTTCTTGTTTCCATTTATGCTAGTGAAATTTATTAGTATCCTTCATTGAAACACTATTATTTTCCATGGAGGAAAATATTTTATTTCCTTTATGAAAAGGGTGCTTTACTTCTGAAATACAGAATTCATTTTGTTTCGGATTCTGTTTGTTTGTTTTCACATCAACTTCATTCTAAATGTTCATTCAAAATTATTTTTCAGACTTGAGTTCAGGTGAAAATGTTAATGGAATTAAAAAGTAGTTAGTCAAATGAAATTTCAATATATAAGTCAAATTTGAAGAAAACTGAATTAATAAAGGATTCTAAGTTTATAAAGAAATCAAAATTATGCTTTCAAAAATATTATGTAACTGGAGAAAGTAATTTTATTTTGAGATCTCTCATGATTCTTTAATATATATTTTTTCTTATTAGTATGCAACCTTTTGGTAACATATATAGGAGACAGTTAATTTTGGTAAGACTACATAATTCATACATTCTTCATCTTGACATACATGATCAAATACTTTATAACGTCCACTAGCCTTGCTCTTGTCCACTGCAATGGAAAAAAAAAATGTGTCTCATCTACTCTTCTCTATTTATAGTTTTTAGATAGTAATGGATTGATCTTACAAAATTGGGTTTACACCTGCTGATGTCTTGGAGCTCCCTCTTAATCCTGTCATATATAGAGATAAGTTATGCACTGTTGACAGATTCAGGACACTGTATCACAGAAAAATAACAAGAAAATATATTACCGACTCTGGTCCAGATGAGATGTGTAACTGGCAAGTTGGAGTCAAGGACGTATTTTTTTCTAAAAACCCGCTAATATTAAAAATATATTCAGATGAGCCTTCTGGAAAAGAAAATTAACATTAAACAATAATAAGGAAACCAAACTTGAGAGATAATGCCCAGGTCCCATTTTCATGGATATTTTATGTAATAAGCGTATTGTTGACTAGAAAAAGTTATCTGTTATAAACAACATGGAGCATTTTTGTCAAAGTTTGGATAAGTAGGAGTTGGAAGATGGAAATATATTGATTATCTGCTGGATGATGATTACATCAAATTAAGTAAACATAAATATTATTATTACTAGAAATTCAGTGTGGAAACATCTACTTTACCCTCTTCAGAGATGTGAATTTTTGAAGTGAGAAATTGCTATCAATTGTGCTTGTCACTGAATTATATATATATGTATATTTATGTATACATGTTTTTATATATATGTGTTTATATGTATATATTTGTTTTATATATGTGTATATATGTTTTTATATATAAAAGAATATACATATTCTGTATATATGAGTATATACAAGAATATGATATACTAATGATATATTCTTTTACATATAAAAAAGAATATGATATATTAAGCAAATGTAAGAACCTAACCTATATGTATATGTATATGTATCTTCTTACATTTGCTTAATATATTCTTTTAGAGTATGAAAAATGTTATATTCTTTTGAGCAAAGGAAAGAGAGGGAGATGATGAACTGTATTAACAAGTACTGTCACTCAAGTTTTCACCAATCCAGGCATAGCTAATGCTTGGAGTTTGTTGCTTATAATTGTTTAAAATATTCCAAGTTGTAGAACTTTATTCTGTTTAGCACTCAAGATATAAAGACATACAAGATGATTATTTAGGCTTCATCCAGTTTAGCCTTTAGATTAATGGGGTCATTCACTGGACTATTATTAAAATTTGCTAAGGCTTTAAAAATTTTGCAGATAATTACAGAAAAACAAAACGAAGAAACCCAAAACATTTTTTCTTCCATCTTAAATATCTTTGTTAGTTACAAAGAGTTAATGATACATTTATTATACTGCTATGCACTGAAAATTTTGTTATCAGTCTTTGAAATGTGCTGTTACAGAGTGCTTATTTGTTTCTTCTAAGAAAATGGCCTAGGCACTTAGCAGAATAGTAATTCTTAATTGTTCTACAGTGCAGGTAAAAATGCTGTTAGTGTGAGGAAATATACCTTTTTGTTCAATTTTTTATGTTCCCGTTTTGCTAATACCTCACCCTGTTCTTTAATATTCTCTGAGAGTCTGAGGAAGTGGCTGCTATACCAAGTGCATATTCAATTAGACATTCTGTCACATAAAGTGAGAATGTAAATTTTAACAATAATTTAGATATCTAAAATAATTCACAAGTACACAGGATCGTTAGTTCATTATTCATGAATAAAGTGATTTAGAGCTGAAGCTGAGATGAAAGTCTTCCTGGTAAAGAGGTTGAGTGAAAAAAAGACTTGGGATCATGGAGTAATTTCATAAAGTGCTATTTCTACAATCAGGAAGTGACATTCATTACTTGATAAAATTAGTTGAGGAATACATTTTATTCTGTTTCTCAAATAATTGTATTTGTATGAGCATAGGAAGCAAATCGTTGGAAAGATGAAATTAAATTTTAGTACATTTAATGGCTACAATCTCTGTGTGAAGGAACTTTTCTATTCCTAATAGTGATGTGACTTTCTAACTTCATAAGGTCATTTGGGATTTTGGTGGGCCAGATGTGGAAAATATTTCTAGCTAATTTAATGAGTGATAACCATAAACTTATCTATAAAATGACTTTTAAAATATTCCACATCCCAGCTACTCCACATTATATTAATTGAAATCACAATGAATTCATGATTTGTAACATATATAATATTTATTCCAATACTTATTCACCATGGTTGGGAATGGAGTGTAAATCTTTAATTCCTGCCCCCAAAATCCCTTCTCTTAGACTCACCTATTCTGTTAGTAGTCCCAGTTGTCACTTAGTGTATATGTTGTGCTCCAAACAAGTTTGCTGCATGTGAGTATCTATAACATGAATATCTCTAATATGAAATTTCTAACATATGAAAGAAATTACATCTCCTTCATGTGTTAGCAACTTTGCACATCATCTGGTTGTCTTCATTGGCTTTCCATAGTCTTCTGTAATCGCAATCAGTAATAACGCTCTGGATAAAGAGTAGCAAGACCTCTTAGTTTAACATCACCATTGCACTACCTATGAATTCAGAAGCTGTGAACAAGTCATCTAATAGTTCTAGACGTTCATTTCTTCATCATTAAAAATAAATAAGAATAGATGACTGTCCCTATTGAATCAAACTCTGAAATTCTAATTTCCACTAATTATTTCCTCATTCTTTCATTTGTATTATTTCCAGATTCCTTTATTTACATTCCGTCTGGGAAATACTTTGTGTGTTCCACTTTCTAAACTATCTAAGCAATCACAACCTTATATAGCAATACTCTCCAATAATGAAAATTCAATAAATATCCCAAAGTCTGTGTCATCCTTTCTGCTATGGAATGTAACACCTTGTCCAACTTCTCTTAGAATGTAAAATTCACAAACATGCTATTTTGTGCTTAGTGAGGATAAATAGCATAAGGAGCTGTTGTTTCCATTTTCCTTAGAGTTCTGAGAGTAGAAAAGGAAGGGAAACTGGCAAACATGCCAAAAGTGATATTTTGTTATGTAAACATCAGACTACGTGTTAAAAGATTACCTGTAAAATACAAGGTTTAATTTTTCATATTGCAATCCTGAACAAATTTCTATGGCCTCAATTAACTAAGAAATATTTCCCAGTCAACTTTCATTTCTTAGGAAGTAAAGACTTTACTTGGGTTTTAGAAATAAAAGTTCCCAAGGTGCAAGGATCTCTTGAGCCCAGGAGTTTGGGAACAGCCTGGACAATATAGTCAGGCCCTGTCTCTACAATAAGTAAATAAATATTAGCTGACCATAGTGCCACACACTTTAGTTCCATCTACCAGGGAAGCTGAGGCAGGAGGATCACTTGAGCCCAAGAACTTATTGAGCCCAATAAGCTATAATTCTAGCACTGCACTCCAGCCTGGGAAACAGACAAAGACCCTGTCTCAAAAAATAAAAACAAAAAATAAACTAAATTATTAAAATTTCCACTTAAAATATTATTTTGAATAGTTATTTATGGTGTCAAGGAGAACATTCTGAATCCATTTGACATTTTCAAATAAGACATTTATATGAAGTTAAGAGCCATTTCCCTTGCTTAAAACCATAAGAATATCTCCCAGCCTGTTCATCTGATAATTATTATTTAAAATAAAATTACAAAAAAATTGGAATATCTTTTCTAATCATGAAGCTGTACCATCACAGTTTTGCAATTATGCAATTCTTCATAATATAGAGTCTACCTAACAATGACTTAGTTGATTAAAAAAATGAGGTGCGTATCAGCTAGCTCTTCATTTCATTTTATAAATTTATTAATATAATACATATTACATTACGTAGGTTGTTGAATGTGGCAATTCACTCAAAAAGTGCAAAACAAGGTCAAACTGGAATGCAGATGAGGTCATAAACTTTTAAAATAGTCAATAACACAATTAATGTATCAACAGCATGTGCTATTAAGCAGTAATGTAATGATGCCACTGATCACACCAGGGTCCTCTGAGTGTTTATAAACAGGCAAGGAAGCTGGGCTCTACAGACATTTCACATGGATGCTGAAGAAAAATAGCAGTGTTTATTTAGCCTTGAAATTGTTAAAATAACTCTATTTTGAATGCTTCCAAGAAGCTCAAAATATACATATTACAAAGCATATATTGAATAAATAAAATGGAAACATCCAAAATCTAAATCAGAGCCAATTTTATTTACTTTTAAATTATAAGAACATACATATTCATTGTAATAAATTTAAGTAAAACTAACATTTGAAAATTAAAAATCAAATCTCTGCCCTCTCAAATGCCATTTTTGCAAGTAGTCTCAATTAACAGTTTAGTTTGAATTATTTCCTCAATTTTTCTATCTGTGATATAGGTAATATATCATAAACATCATCTGGAATGTGTATGATATATGCCTATTTATTATATATACATAGATACTATAGTAATGGAACCACACTATATCTATTCTCTGTGGTTCATTTTTCCATTTTATTCAGTTGTATGTTTGTTTTCATTTTATTTTAAACACTTTAAAAATTATTGAAAATGAAACAATCATCTTGTGTAGCAGTATGTAGGTTAATATACAGTGGAATTGAAAATATCTTCCTATCTATTTTTAAACATCTCAAATCATCATGGTTTTAGTACCCTAAAATCTGTTGGAAAATCATTATTGAAAGTCTGCTATAGAAGTATTAATAAGATGTTTAGCTAATTATATTCCTAAATAAAACAAGTAGCTATATCTATGTCATTCTTCTCCTCTTCAATTGTGTAAATGAACTATCTAGTATTTGGACTTTGCTTATTTCTAATACCACAGTTTAAAGGTAACTTCAAGTTATACTGAATTCCATATCCCAGTGAAAAACAGATTATTCAGTTGCATTTGTTTTGTCATGATCATTAATTCATAAGGGTGCCAAGAAGATGCAGGAAATGCTTCAGTTTCTACTTTGGGTGATGTGATGAAGAGACTTTATGATATGGTTTGCCTGTGTCCCCACCCAAATCTCATCTTGAATTGTAGTTCTCATTATCCCCACTGTCATGGGAGGGACATGGTGGGAGGTAATTGAATCATGAAGCCAGTTACTCCCATGCTGTTCTTGTGATAGTGAGTGAAATCTCATGAGATCTGATGGTTTTATAAGGGTCTTTTCCCCCTTGGATCAGCACTTTTCCTTCCTGCTGCCATGTGAAGAAGACATGTTTGCTTCCCCTTCCACCATGATTATAAGTTTCCTGAGGCCTCCCCAGCCATGCAGAACTATGAGTCATTTAACCTTTTTTAAAATTAATTACCCAGTCTCTGGCAGCTCTTTATAGTAGCATGAGAACAGACTAATACACCTCACCACTAAAAAATAGACAATGTATTCATTTATAAAGTTTTATGTCATATTCATGGCTAAGAGAATGGATATAATGACTACTGATTTGTGGCTAGGATTGACTGTCATTTTTCTGCACATTTTTTTCTCCAGATTGATTAAGGGTGTGCAGCGTTGCATTGAAATTGAAGAGCATAATCCACCCCAACTCCAACATGCAAACACACACACATACACAACTAAACATTTATTTTACTAATTTACATGCTTTTGTAGTTGAGAGAAGATTAGTTATCGTTAGTCAGTCACCCTGCAGTTATTATTACAGATTGAACAGTACAGCAGCTGAGCATGATTCACTGAATAAGTAAATTTTGTACCAGTCATGCAAATGAGCTATCCTGATGCCTGGCAGAAACCAAAATACAATTATAGCCCATAAACTTTGATACAGTCCATAGCTGAAGAAAAAGACAATTCCAAGCTTGTTACCATCTGAAATTTCAAATAACCTTTAAGAGAAAAAAAGAACATGTGTAAGCATTTAACTGTATATACAATGTACTATACTAGGAATAGTTACTTATTCATGGGTCAAATTATGGAAACAATTTAAATATGTAACATAATCATAACTGCTTAAGTTTGAATAAATTTTAAATTAATATTTTAATAATAATGTAGCTTACAGGCTACACATGCCCAAAGGTACTTTCCTATTCATTCAACAAAGACAGGATTTATTGCCAGGGATTGATCTTGGCACTGTAGTAAAGAAGACAGAAAGAATATATATTCTTGTCAAGGTTGAGCATAAAAGAATTTTATCTTGCAATAGGAACCATGGAAAAGGTAAATATTGAGGAATAATAGTAGAGACTATAACAGACAGTGATGGCTAGGCCAGTGAGGTACAATTTAATGGAGGATGAGAGCTGAATTGTGTTCCAAATGATCCAGGCAAGCAATAATTAGTAGAAGGAGTTTATTAGGCAGAAATAACAGCAAGTGCAAGTAACCTAAGGCAAGGATTCCTATGGATTTTAGAAGAACTGGGAGACAGCCAATGCAATGGGAACAGGGAGATTGAGATGGGGGGTCCACACATATAAACAAAGTTTTAAAATTGTCCTTAGAAAACCATATAGGAAATTATTAAAAGCCCAGTGACCCCTAAAAACAGAAAGAAAATATACACATATCTCCTTTATAAATGTTTTTGTAAATTATTTTGCTAAAAGAGAAAATGATGGTCAAAGTCATTTAATGGAATCATGTTGATAGTAAATTGAAATTATAGTTAAATTATTCCCTTTGCAATTCATCATATGTAGATAGATTTTCTTTCTGTTATTTACTTTCTTGGGACTAACCAATGTGTAAGATTCCATTTTAGCATTAGAATCTTAAAAAAATTTTTTGCATTCATCAGATCCAAATATTTCCCTCTACCCTTTTAAAAATGAAGAAGCCAAAGACCAGATGGTTTCAGTGATTTGTCCTAGGTCAAAACAAGCTGTACCAGGGAAGGCTCTAGAAGTAACATCATCAGAGCACTCAGGCAGTATGTGTTTTTCTATTGCAACACATGCAAATCTGTTATGGAAACACTCAAGAGGTGGAAAAATGAAGTTGGTTTGGAAATGTAGACTATAGCTATCTTAAAATCATCTGACAATTTACATCAGTACATAAATATCTGATTTAAGTAATTGTTAAGGAAACCCTTGTAGATGGCAAATGTTATTCCAGCCATTTTTAAAGAAATATATGGTGAGCAATTTCCCTGTTTTGTGTTACAGTAACTGGAATCTGACGTAGTAAAGAGGTTTCCTCCATCCTAGTCTAATATTTGATAAAGTTACAATTTCATTTACATCTGTTTTCATAAAATTGTGAATGTTATAATTAGGTGTGAATATTTATATAATATGAATAAAAGATATATAAATTATAGCAGAATGTCTATGATTATGAGCATCTCTTTCTTGTATGTTTAGTTGTTATTTATTAGAATATAATGCTCAGGATGAGAACTTTTACAAAGAGTAGCTTTTCAATAGAATAAAATATTTTTCATTGGATTATCTCAGGGAAAATAAGGGTGAGTTTGTGACACTGGGGCCTGCCTGAGGGTGGAGGGTGGGAGAAGGGAGAGGAGCAAAAAACAAAAACAAAAACAAAAAAAAACAAAAAAAACGATTGGGTACTAGGCTTAGCACCTCCTCGGTCACAAAATAATCTGCATAACAAACCCCTGTGCAATGAGTTTACCTGTAAAAGAAACCTACACATGTAGCCCTGAACCTAAAATAAAAGTTTTTTTTAAAAAAGAGTGAGTTTATGAAGTAAAGTTTTATGATTTCTGTCGCCAGAGCACACACATACTTGTGTTTTAATTTGAGAATATTTTTAAAGCCATCTGCAGCATCTCCAGTAATTCTGAGAACATAATCAGTTCCCAATTACCTTCTCAAAAGGATAAAGTAAAGCAGTGAATAATCCAAAGACTATTTATATTTGGCTAATTACATTTCTGTTTTCTCCTTTTATTTTTTTTCACACTCACTTTTTCATGAATTGGAAATGAAAACTTTTTTTTCTTAGTGACCCAACTCTAATGGATAGTAAAGGGGAACAAAGCATTCTTTCATTGTAAGTAATCGGCAAATTTCATTCTACAAAGTGACTTTTTATTTTTTTAATTTTTAAATTTTTTTATGTGCCAAATGCCTAATCTCATTTATTATTTTTATTCATTTTTCTTCTTTAACTTCTAGTTTGTGTTAAGTTCTGGGGTACACGTGCAGGACGTGCAGGTTTTTTTACATAGGTAAACGTCTGCCGTGGTGATTTGCTGCACAGATCAACTTATCACTTAAGTATTAAGCTTAGCATCCATTAGCTATTCTTCTATTTGATTCCTAACTATGAGCTTCTACACTGAGTGGGACTCCCCTATAGGTGAACTGCCCCATTTCTCAGAACTTTTATAAACATTTTACTTGACAAACATAAAGAAGCTTTGTCTTTTTCCATTAAGCTACATTTTTTCTCTAATAACATCTTCAAATTTAAAGGCCTAATGAAAATTTCACTCTTGAAGTCATAGAACATAGAGTAAATTTGAATGTAAGTCAAGACCAAGAATCAACATTATTATTTTGAAAAATACATTTATAAAATTATTCTGTTTGAAATTAAGAAACAAATGTTGCCAGCGAGATTGAAGAATCCAGGTGTTGTTTTCTCTTTTTCCAGAATTTCTGATTAAAGAATGTGGAGTCACTGTTTGTTTACAAGGTAGGGTTTCAGGGGAGTCCTACCCTGAACAAGTTAGTTTCGACAGAGGTGGCAGAAATTATCTAAGACATTTCTGAGAGGAAGACTTGGTAGATGAGATGAGTAGGTGGAGTGATCCTCATTCCAGGAGAACCCGGGGTAGGTAGGGCTTGAAGACAGTTTTCACATATTTAACAAATTTAACTATTTTTAGTCCTACCTTTATAACCAAATATTGGATTATAATGTAGCTCTTATATTCAAATACTTGCCTATGCCTACTTTTACATACTTGGTGTAATTATGACTTTTTAGTGTTTCTTGGAAGTGCGTTCTATAGGCAAACATATATTTTATAGTAGCGGATATAAGGGATTGGTTATTGTATCAGGCCATTTATGCATTGCTATAAAGAAATACCTGAGACTGGGTAATTTATAAAGAAAAGAGGTTTAACTGGCTCAAGCACTCACTGCAGGCTGTACAAGCATGGGGCTGACATCGCTCGGTTTCTAGGGAGACCTCAGATAACTTTTACTCACGGTGGAAGGCGAAGCCGGAGCAGGCACTTCACATTGTGAAAGCAGGAGCAAGAGAGAGAGTGAGTGGGGCAGGGGTGCCACATGCCTTTAAAGGAGCAGATCTCAGGAGAACTCACTATCATGAAGACAGCATCAAGCCATGAGGGATCCGCCCCCATGATCCAAACACCTCTCACTAGACCCTACCTCCAGCATTGGTGATTACAATTCAACATGAGATTTGGGCGGGGGACCAATATCCAAACAATATCAATTATTTAATTTTATATTTGTGTTACTGGTAAATAAGTTACTCTTAGAGTAATTTTCTGTTATAAATTTTACCTGTGTGATAAATTTTAGGGATACGTTAATTTTCAACTTTGCTCTTCAGTATTTAATAATATTTTATGTATTTAATAACATTTTTAATAAGCATTATTTTAAGTATTTAACAATGTTTGCAAATGACATTGTGAGAAATCAGGAAAGTGTATAAACATAGGTTGCATCCAATAAGTAAAGAGTTTTACTTTATGGAATAGCAAGAATTTAAATAATTAGTTAATCAAATACTTTTTTTCTTTTTGCTGGAAATTGTATAATTAATAGGATCTAATAAGATGTAATAATTCAATAAGTTTAAATTGAATCAAATTTCAGATAAGTAATTATAGTAAATAATGAAGGAAAACTAAATCCTGCTCAAGTACTTTTTTTAGTATAAATGAATTATCTTTTACTTTTTTTTTCTTTTTTTTTTTTTTTGAGAGGGAGTCTCGCTCTGTCACCCAGGCTGGAGTGCAGTGGCACGATCTCGGCTCATTGCAACCTCCGCCTCCCGGGTTCACGCCATTCTCCTGCCTCAGCCTCCTGAGTAGCTGGGACTACAGGCTCCTGCCACCACGCCCGGCTAACTTTTTGTATTTTTAGTAGAGACGGAGTTTCACCGTGTTAGCCACGATGGTCTTGATCTCCGCACCTCGTGATCCGCCCGCCTGGGCCTCCCGAAGTGCTGGGATTACAGGCGTGAGCCACCGCGACCGGCCTACCTTTTACTATTTCATGCTTAGTCTTATTTTATTATATTCTGTAAATGTCTTTATGGACAGTATATATTCTGTTTATTTGTGTATTCTGTTAATAGCTATAACATGTAGAATATAGTACACGTTTAAAATAGATTTTATGGAAAAACACATGGCGCTTACTTTAATAAGCATTGCACAAAGGCTGACTATGATAAAATGAATATAGCTTATAAAACAGCTTGGAATCAGCATGCATGTTTTTATCTATTTTTTGTTTACTTCATTGTAGATTTATACAAACGTTCACACTAATGGTCTTTACTACTTAAAAGGTTTAGTTAGGATATTTGTTTATTTGACAAATATTTATAAGCTCCTACTGGGTGCCAAGTACTAAGCAAGGAGTAGGATATAAAATAGTAAAAAAAAAAACAAAAAAAAAAACAAAGAAAAAAACAGGAAAAAACAAAATTTTTATGAATCCTAAAAATTAGCAATTGATAGAATTTTAAATAAGTGAGCATGCAAAGGAAGATATGATTATAAATTGTGATAAGGATTGTAATGGAAAAATAAAAACATATGAGAAAGGGTAAAGGGACCAATTTTATATCAAATCAAGAAGTATCTTATAGGAAGTAATATTCAAATTGTGATCTGAAGGATAGATAAAAATTTCTAGAACACAGGGCAGAGATTAAATTGGTTAGAAATTGTAGAAATTGGCCAAGATAATAAATCTTTATCTGATTTTAGATGAAAAACCATTTTAGGTAGAGGAGTGCATAATCCCATTATACTTTTACAAGATTACCTTGTTTGTCTTGTGGGAAATGGACTTAGACTTGGATGGAGTCATTTGTGTGTACGTGTGTGTGTGATGAAGATCATCTCTGGATGGATTGAATGGGGGTGGTGTGGGAGATAGAGGCATTAAGAATGTCCCCCAGTTTGGGAACATGAGTAAATGAAAACGAGTTTTGCCTTCATTGAGATCAAGAAGTGAAATAAGGAACAAGTTGATGGAAGGATCAGAAGTGATGATAGATAGATAGATAGATAGATAGATAGATAGATAGATAGATAGATAGATAGAGATGGATAATTTAAGTTAGTGTCATTGCTACATAAATAGTATTTGAAACAATGGGAATAAAATATATCACCTTGAGAACAGAAAAGTATTGAGCACTGAGCTATGAGAAATTTCATCAGTCAGTAGTTAAATAAAGAATTAGATAGGAAAGAAAGAAAAAGGTGGAGGGATAGGAGAAGGTAAATAGCAGATGGTGGAGTGGGCAAAGCTAAAGAGAAAAAAGAGGGATAGGCAAGAGACAAAAAAGAAGGAGAGAGATTCAAGTACAACATAGTCAAATCTTATAAAATGAGCACAGAAAAGTGTTTGTGATTTGACAGACACAGAGGTTATTGGTGGTCTTAGAAATGTAGTGTTTGGAGTTGTAAGGGGGGGATATGATCAGAATAGGTGGCTGTTTCAAGAATTTTGGACATGAATGAGAGAAGAGAAAGTAGAGATCTTGAAGGAGATGTGGATTTGGCTGTTTTATCTTAAAATGAGAGTCACTATAGAATATTTGTATGTTGTTGTAATATTCTATTAGAGAAGAATGCTGAAGATTCAGGAGAAAGAAGCCTTTGAGAAAACATAAGGTGGAACAAAGGGAATGGGCTCTAGATCACAGATAGTCATATGAATTTTTAATAGGAAGACAGATATCTTCACTGTTTATAATGAATAAGGTAATAGAAACAATAGATTCAGAACCATGTAGATTTACAGACTTTGGATAAAATATGAAGGAGTTTCAAATGTCTTTTATTTTCTCAATGAAATGTGATGCAAGGTTTCATTGGAATTTATACAAGGGCATTCAGTTACTAAAGTAATGGAAAAACATAATTATGAGAAGGTTTGCCTAGGCTCCATCTTTGCATGCATTCCAGGTTGATAACCCTCAAAGAAGTGAAAACTCCAAGGTTTTTGTTTCATTTTTGTCTTGGATTTCACCTCTTTGCTCTGATACTGATATTTTTTCTGAACTCAACACTTATAACTTGTCGAAACAAAACAAAACGTCATGTCTTTCTTTGCTACCCAAATATGGATATTCAACATTAGAATAAAAGATAATTTTGTGTTGTTCCTTATAAATAAAATGTATGTTCTTTATAAATACAAATGTATAAGATTTTTGGCCTTCATAACTTTATATAACAGTACATATATATCTATGTAACTGTATGTAAATATATACATGATTTTGGCCTTAATAACTTCATACATATGCATATATAAATATACATATATACATACATTCATATTCATATATATACACACATATATACATACATTTATGTACATATATATGAAGTTAAGGCCAAAAATCATATACATTTATATACAGTTACATATGTATATTTATGTATTCTTATGAAACAACATATTATACAATTATATATAATATATATATTCTTATAGAAGATAGTAGCATAAACTAAGAAAAGAAGCAATCCATATATAAATCCTTACATAAATCTCTGATCTATAATTCACATACTTCTACAAAAGAAGTCTGAATAATTATATTTTGTAGTCTATGTAGAAAAACTAAAATAGGAGCATATGTGAATGTCTCATAATAAATTTTACTTTTTAATCACATATATCTGCACAATAGGTACCTTTAAGAAACTTGTAAAATAGCATACTAAGGAATAGTATCTATTTTTCTTGCAGTCATGCAGAAATTGCAATTGCTTTTATTTTGCAGATGGATAATCCTAAGCAAGGAGAAAAATCAGTGTTTGTTTTTTTTTTGTATTTGGTTTGCAGAGTTACTTTACCCTAAATACCTTACAAGATCTATCTGAAAATTATCATTTAAATTGGCTCCTGAATTTCAGCATCTGAACATAATTCTCCCATTTTCTTATGGTCAGTGACAGCAACAATAACAGCAACAACAACAAAACTCCAAACTAACAAGAATTAAAATGCAAGACAATAACAAACTATCAATAACCTGAAACTATACCTTGAAAACATCATTTCTCTTATCTGGTAAATTAATCTTTTATATGTCTAATTAAACAATTGAACATTTTAGTGTTTCTTTTCACTTACGAAAGGGCTTTAAAGTGTTTTAAGGGATACAACAGGTATGAAAAAATATTTAGCAAATTTTCACTTAACATTATTAACATCTGTCTGCATTATGTGCTTCCTCTAAACATTATATTTTTGCCTTTAAAATCGGCATTCCTTTAATTGCCTTGTAGCTATTTTCTATGCGAAATCTGGTGGGATAGAGCATTTCCACTGAGGAGATCAGATTTTACCAGAAGCACCATTTCCCAGCACTCTTTTCTGGTAGAAGCTGGGTTCCTGGTGGAAATGATGCTGCTTTTAGGATGATCTGAAGTACTCTGGAGAGATACCTTCTGCTCAGTTACCATTCAAGCTGGAACCTGCTATGACAGTTGTCAACAGTGCCCTTTCTGATGTCGCCCAGTTGTGTTCCATTTAGAATAAGTACTTAAAGAGACACCTGCTCGGAAAGCCAGAATAGAGAAGCTGCATGATTCTGGCAAACATATGTAGACAATAATATCCCTTTCCTACCTTGGGCAATAACTTAATAAAGCCTTTAAGACAACAGAATCTTAAGTAGTCATCCTTTTTGTTGTTGATGAGAAGGAGGGATATGGATACCAGCATCAAAACTTTCTTTATGTGCCTACAGCTGTGATCTGGGCACTACCACGTTATCCTGCTGCTATGACTCTCCAGCCATATGCTGCCGTTTATAGTACAGCCTATGATTCAGGCTGCAATGCTTGTGAAATTGGCATAAAGGCTGTCATCACCGTACTCTAAACACCCTGCAAGCCAGATTTTTCTTCTTCCTTTGAAAATTAGACGAGATCCCCCAAATGTCAAGCATATAGATGGTATATATTCTAAACATATAAAGGTGTACCATTCAAAAAGAGCAAAATATTATTTATTAATTATCACAGAGGGAGAAGTATAAAGATAATCTATTAACAGAATGAGAAATAAAATGACCCAACCCAAACCTATTAAAGGTCTCTGGTAAGTAAGGAAAAGCATTTAAAGATGACAGACTAAGTCTTTGGATCACTGGGGTGCAGAGCAGTGGTCTGCTTTTCAACATTAGTGTTTAAATGGAAAACAAAAATCTAAAATTAGTTTCAAATTTCAGAAGCCTGATTTTATGATTTTATCTTTACCCTCAGGAATTATACAATGAAAAAATGATAATAAAGGTGGTCCTATGGATAAAAACAAAGGTAAAATAAACTCTCTGCACTTTCCCAAACATCAGATTTATCCTTATTTTTCTTACTTGATTACAGATAAAGTGTAATATCCTGGACTAGATACAGGTCATACAAATGACAAATTACAGTTTGTATCTGTTTTTCCCATCTACCCTGACTTCCACCTAAAGGCGCTTGTTCTGATCCTAGCTCTACCTGCCTTGCCTAAGTATTGACTTCTGTTGTTCATATTGGTCTTGAGCCTTGTTGGGTTTATGGAATTGCTACTCCCAGTAAAATATTGTATGTATGGTAATAAGACATGTGTCTTATGGAGGGTGATCTACAGTTTATTTATGAAAAGTCATTTGAAACTCAAAGAGTTATTTTACTGGAAAAAATTCAGGTACTGAAAGATTCCATAGAGAAAATGAGTTTCACCCAAAGGGCTCAGATAATCCTCAAACCATACCCATATGAAAGTTGCCCAGTATAACTTTAAATACATCTCCAGTTTATGTGTTCTTTAGATTGACTACTTTACATAGACTACTACCATATCTTCTATACATTTCTATTAATTACTTAAAATGAATAATCAATATTTTTCCTCCAATATTTAAAACTAAAATAAATAAATAACTGCATGCAACTGAAAAGTAGTTTGCCAATGAGGGGATTTTAGAATTGAAGAATATCAGTTAGATGGATTGGATGAGACAGTAGGCAGCAGACACTTTGTGTATTTTTTTCCTCAAAGGACAGAGGGACCGTCTCCTGTCTTACTTTGTACATGCCCTATCTTTCAACAGAAATATTTTCTTGAAGGCCCTATTTTTCTCTACCAATTTCACCTTCTTATCCTTTCTTTAAAAACGTAGCAAAATTCACCTCTTATAGACTGTTTTCTGTGATTAACTGTATCTCACTGATTACTGAATTGCTCTTCCACAGGTTTATTTAGAAATGTATTACTTTCCACTCATTGTAAAGTTCCTCTTGGAGGGGGATGATATTATAGCACTTGGTGTATAAATATATTGCCTCTTACCATATTTTATGGCAATTATTTCTATTTCCTCTACTATACGGAGATCTTCCCAAGGTCAAGTACATTATTTTTGTATTTCTGGCACCTAGTTATCTGGTTCCTGGCACATAGTGGGCGCTTAATAAAGGTTTGCTGAATGAGAGCATTAATGATACAGTAATGACTGTTGAAAGATTCTTCCGTCTCCTTGTCCCCTGTTCCACCTCCCTCTCTTTCTCTTTGCTCTAAAAAATGTTTAGCATTGACTCCATGTTTTGAATTTCTCAGAAATGATTTCATTTCACTAGCTGGGTGCACTTGGGAAAATTACTTAATGTATCTGTGCTTTTGTTTTCCTAACTATCAAATGGAAACAATAATAACTATCTACCTAGCGGGATGGTTTTTAGTTTAAATAACTTCATAAGCATAAGCCATTTATGACAATGTCTAACACAGAGCAAATGTTGAAACCATTATTAGTCCTTATCCTAACAAAAAATCCATTGAGATAATTTGTCGTTAGAATGGATTGTATCTTCCTTCCCAAATAGTTCATATTTTATTGAGATCTCTCCAAATAGCGTTAAAAGTAATTCTGATTGTTATAATTCACTAATTTGAGGTCATTTAGATTTCTGCTTTCTATGACATGGCCTATCTGTGTCTCTTCTGTTCACTATAAATTCCACTAGGATAGACAGAGATGCTTTCTAGGCATTTATCATGCTAGTTCATGGTGAAGATAAGGACTTTTTAATGGAAGCTTTAAACCCACAATTTTCTTTTATTAGTTTAGTACAATGATTAATATTCTCAAAATAAACAAAGGAGTAAAAACCTAAGCATCTCTAACATAGACAGGCTTTTATTAGTGTCATATCAAAAGTCATTTAACTACTATGTGGTTAAAACTGTCTTATTTAAACCAGGTTATGTCATAACACTGTTGCAGAAAAGGTGAATAGTTCATATCGTACTGCATGTTCAGTCGCTCACAATTAAACTCCACAATATAAAATTTCACTGTAAAGCTGTTTTCAACTCTCAACTGGCCTAAGAACTGAAATTCTGTATATGTGCAACTTGTCATTTATGAATGGGATTTGTTTCTAAAATGTGTAATTAAGCTCAATTGTTTGAAACTAGAAAGATGCTTTAATGTGCTTTAAGGAGTTAGGCGCATAGAGTAGGTCACAAACAATTTGCCAATAAATTACCGCAAGAAACAGTTCTATAGAATATTACTAATACATAACTGTAGTATGGGAAAATGCCTTCAGAAGTTAAAAATGAGATGCCAGGACTGTCTCCCCCTCAACTCTGGGCTATAATCTACCCACTTCCCTACTTCTTTTCCAATCCAATTTCTGTACAGATGGAGGCAAGCCTTCCTCATTCCAAGACTATAGTTGAAAGCTGAAACTTGAACCACGTAGGCATTAGAGTGACTCTGAAAAGGGGTTGTAACTTGAGAGGGAAGGAGAGAAAGGGGTTAGGTCAGGGAAAGCAGAGCTGAGATTTTCTTTTCTACAATCCTTTGCAGCTACTCCATTACCTCAGGAGCTTCCAAAGTTGGGGGCACACTCCCTGAGAGGTAGTTGAGAGGATGCATTGTAGTGTATGGAATATATTAGACTCTCATATCATTTTGTTCTTGGAGATAAGAAATAAATTTAACCTTTTGGTATTTAAAATACAGACAGACTCACCCCCATCACGAAGGTCATTGTGGTCATGCGCAGCTTTGTAAGGTATGCTGAGGGAAGCGTAGGTGAGTTCTAACATGGAACATAGTGGATCCTTTATCACACATTTGCTTTCACTGTAATGTATCATGTTCCAGCTTCCAGTTTCCATACTCCTGTTAAGCAAAATAGCAATCCTATTATTCTATTGTAACTAAACAAATTCTCAGCAAGTGTAGATGTGTTTGTTTTCAAATGGACAGTGTGCAAAAGTAAACAAAATACAAGCAAATGCTAACAAACCTTGGGGAAATGGCTCCTCTACTGTTAGAATAAGTTTTAGGTCAGACACATTATACCTTTTAAAAACTAACATGATCTGATCCAATAAGAAGTAATACAAAAAATTGAAAATGTAAAGGTTATTTGAAATCAGTTATTTAAACTGTCCATCTGTTATGAATGATGACTTTCACCCAAGGTTTGTATCATGCCTTGATAGGTTAGCTAACAATGAAAGTACATGGATATGATTAAAAATGAATAGATGATTAGCAGGTTTATCTTCACGTTTTATTTTTTAAACTGATTCATGTACATGATCAAAGTATTTTGAAACACTGGCCTAGACACCCATTCTGTCACCTCTTCCTTTTTCTTTGAGGACCTCCAATATTGGTCGTTTCCTCCTCCTTTTCTAGCTGTCTGTGGAGTTCTGTCTAGTCTCATGAGCATTCTTTTAATTAAATAGCCATGTTTGGGCATCTTGATTTTAACAGTTTGCTTTTGTTCTTGCTTGTATCAACTTATGTTACTAGAAAGGATTAAAAAAATAAAAGTGAACCTTTAGATTTCTGAAGGACTAAAGCATTATTTCAAAAGGCATCATAGTGTTCAGTATATGGCTGGTGGGAATTAGGAGAAAAGGTGATTGCTGAAAATTTGGACCAAGGACAATGTTCTAGGGAAGCCACAAGAACAAAATGTAGAGCTCCTCAAAGAGCTAATTCTCCCAGTGATACTACAATTCAGTGAAGTAGGACCTGAATTCAAAGGAAGCCAGGTAGCAGTTTCAGAGTATGGTTACATCCAGTTATGTTTTACAGGGTGCTGATTGGAAAGAAGATGGATATACTACATGGAAAACAGGGAAAGAAAGAAAGTCTCTAAAGCGACTTTGCTGTTTATCTGATACCGGATGAATTTATATTTGCCCATATAATGCATGGGCAAAGAAAAGAAAGTGACTAGTCATCTAACTTAGTTTATTTCTTTATCTTATTTCATTATTTTAAAGGCAGGACAAGTACAAGTGTGAGTCATAGAGTTAAAATTTCAATAAGAATTAGCAGTGACTGAAGTTTCCAAAACCAGTTTCAGAGTTTCTGTATCAATGTAATGGAGACGAGAGCTATGTCAGAACATTCTTGTGAAAAAATAAATGTGATAGCAAACCAGGATTTCAGACTGACACTTGTGGAAACTGCCATAGATCTCAATAGCTAGGCCACAAATTAGTTATTTCAGGACTTATTGTAAACTATGCTCTAGTGGTTTGAGAAATATGAATTTAAAAAATCACAGATATGCTTGGTGAGGAGAATAGCAAAAGTCATTTATTAAGGAGAGGAATGACTGAAAACACATAATTTGCATGACTTAAGCCGTGTTCTTCTTCAGGATATAATACTAGGTTATAATGCAAGTTAAGAAAAGGTCCATCAAAAAATAGGGCGGTATGCAGAAAATATACTTTTAAGAGAAAGTTATTAATTTTTTTCTAGGTTTTATGATAATTGTCTCATCCTCCTCTTCTACTACTATTTGTGTCTGTAATTATTCTTGTATATTTGGTAGAAAAACACAATTAATTATTCTGTTTAACACAGAAGATGATGTAGCTATGAATATCTTTCAGTAATTCTATGTCTAATAACTAGAAAAATTACCCTTGTAAGTAATTTGATTTCTTGTGTTGCAGTATGATTCTGTGTGTACATGTGTGTGTATTAGCAATACATTCAGGTGGAGCTTTCTAGAATCAGTGTACAATAGTATATGTAAGATTCAGATGCAAACAGTTATCATGGCCCAACTTAATTTTCTTCCTTGGTGTTAAGAATGTTTCCATTCGATGGAGGTTATATACCTAAACCAACATTTATAATAACATTAATTATATTAAGATCATATATTATCTAATATATTAAGATCGAATATTATCCTTCCATATGGTACACCTTTAACAATAGCTCGAAGACTTAACTGAGTGTAATTAGAATAATTCCTTACAAAAATGTGAAACAGCAAGGACTAATTTATTTTTATTTCTTTAACTAAAATATGTTTTGGGTTTCTAAGTTCTTTCAGATATATTATTTGACAAGACTTTCTTTCATTTTATTATTCTTGTTTTGTTTCTGCTCTTCATCAGGACAAACACATGTTCAAGGATACCTCTGAAGGATGGAATTTATGGGCTGCCTGTTCCAGTGTGCATTAGATTTGCAGTCATTGAATAGATTAGTTTAAGCAATTAAAAGAGACACCATATAAACCTTACACAAGCATATAATGATGCCAGGAGGCAGTAATGGCCTTGGGAGAATATAAATCGAATAATCAGAATAAGATTATATTGTGGTTCCTTTTCAAAAATGCAAAAGAGAAAATATAAACTTTTTCATGCATTCATCCTTGATGTTATTTAATGTTTTTGAGAAGACAGGAAAATGCGATTTTTAAAAAAGGGATTTTTAAGGACAAATCAGTAAACATTATTCTGCAGGTTTGTGTTTGGTTTTGTTTATATTCATTTGCATATTATGGACTGCTGTTTGCATAATAAGACCACTGTTATTTCTAGTTAGTCCATGGGTGATTACACATATGAATAACACAATCGTGTATCCTTTGTGATATACATTATTGTAATCTATGAAAATTTCCTGACTGTTCTCAGCACTGAAGACGAGTGAATCACAGTACAGAGTGTTAGAGGACAACTGCACAGTATTATACTGCCATTTAAAAGGCAGAAGAGTCTAAAAACTCACAATTTGTCCAAATAGACTTCAAATATGCAGAACTGTGGTTAGAAAGCTGAGCTCATGCATGGCCACAGATCTGCACAACTTGGCCCTCTTTGATCAATATCTAGGACTGACACAATTGCACAGTGATCTGCATAGATAAGATGGTCAAATAATTAGACTGAATAGGCAGCCATTCTGACACTGATCATTATAGGCTAGACATAAGAATTCGATATAGGTTAGCCCTTTGTTAAAAAGATAAATAAATAAACAGATGCCCTCAGTGACTTGTATGTATAATGGAGATGGGGAATGGATTGGGGAATAACAAATTTCACTGCCAGAAACACTCCTACTGCCCTCTAAAAATGTTAGGATCAGTCTCAAAATTGGGAAGGGATCCAGAGTGAGGACTAAGGAGAAAAATCCTGGATATGTGTGAGAATGGGGGCTAAGCATTTTTTTTTTTTTTGCTTTTTTTTTTTTTTTTCAGACAGGGTCTCATTCCTAGGCTTGAGTGCAGTGGCATGAACCCCTGTAAGCTTGAATCCTGGGCTGAAGCAATCCTTTTGTCTCAGCCTCCCCAGTAGTCAGGACCACACACATGCATCACTACACCTGATTGATTTTTATTATTTATTATTTTTTTTGTAGAGATGGGGTTCTTGCTATGTTACCTATGCTGGTCTTGAACTCCTGGCCTCAAGTGATCCACCCTCCTTGGCCCCCCAGAGTTCTGAGATTACCAGCCTGAGTCACCATGCCCAGACTTTAACTCTATTTTTTTCTTAAGGGCTGCCAAAGAAATAACTTGTTATTCTCAGTATGCACGAAGACCCACATAATACTACACATTTCAACAAATTATTTTTTAGGTTCTTCTGCAGTGAAAATTATGTGAAAGTAATAATCATCACACTATCTCTAGTTGTAATGCCACTAGATTTTCTGAAATTCTAATCAGTTTAAAGAAGCATCAACCTGGAACAACTTGTCTAGGTGTGAGATGATCTAGTTTTTCTTTGCAAGAATGTCTGAGGCAGGTTTGTTTTTCCATTTCCTCTTTCAGAGTGTATTTATAATTGCATTAAAAGGGACAATTGTAACTAGAATAACATCTTAAAATGCACATACATGCACTTACTTTGGATACATAACCAAGAACTAAAATATAGTTGTTATTAATATGATTGATTTAAGACTTGTGATTTTTCCAGAAAGCACTTTTGCTTTAGACTTTCCCTCTCCAAAATAAAAAGCAGCTAATTGTGCTTCGAGAGTGTATACATGTCCCATTTCAGATTTATATATGAAGAAAATCTCATAACTGATATTAAGAAAACATTTAGCTTCTATAATTGAGTCTGTGTATATCTGTGAAAATGGAATTTTGATAAAAAATCCCATTTTAGATGCTTTAGGTTAAAGCACAAACGTTTCTGAGATTTTGGGTAACAAATAGTATAAAGTGAATCAATCAATGCTTGTTATTGAAAAAAATGGTTTGTAAGAGAGGTATTTAATTGGTGTGCATAATCCTGTTTTATGCAGAAAGTGCTGGGCAAGAAAGTCAAATTGAGATTTCTCAATCATACTATTGAAATTCAAGAGTACTGTACAACATTCTTTCACCTGACAGGATTATGCTATCAACATAATTGTAGGCTCTAGACTGTAGTGATTTCAATTTATTATTAGTATATAAGCTGCTGAATATAACAATGGGCAATAAGCTGCTGAATATAACAATGGGCAATAAGACATTGAAATGGAAAGTGTCCACATATAACATTCACTTTTTGAGGCTCTGAATTCCAAAAAGGCTTAAATGATGGATTCTAAAAAATAAAAATCAGTGGGCTTAACACTGATTCATAACAAAGTATGGGTTGAAAATTAGGTGCGTTGCAAATGTTAAAAAAATCAAAAATCAAATCACTAAGCGGTATTCACAGTAGCGAGAGTACCGAATAAAATTCATTTTTAATTTTGAAAAAATTGATTGACAGCTTACTGAAATGCTAAGAAATAAATTAGCAATGCCAGTATGGCTTTTGACAGTCTTTCCTCTATTTCAGGGAAACAAATAGATGAATATGCTCGACATGTTACAGCTAAAGGGTTCCAGTGATACTTAAAGGGAATCTTTGTGTTCTGTGGTAACAGGCAGGCTGTGGATTGAGAAGGTCCCCACTGGAATTCTAGCTCTCCTTAACTGATATTCAGTCATTCATATTTTTAATTTCTTTTTCTAAAAAATGTGAATAGCACACTAAATGGTTGTTATAACAGTTAAAGATCATATATTTGTGGCTCCTAAAACATAATAAATAATCAAATTTGGTAATATGTGGATATCATCTTAGAAGGAGGTTTCTGGTGTTGTGATATGGGCATTTGTACTTGGACTATTTTTTAACAATGATTTTAATGTATGATAGGTTATGCTTATCATATTTACAAGCAATGCACAGTTGAATTGATAGCTAATGTATTAGCCGATTAACAGAATCAAAGTTTAGAAAATCTTAACCAATGGAAACAATATACCTGTGCCATCAGCATGAAATAAGGTCCTCCACTCTAATACAAGAAACCAATAAAAGAAGCAAGGTCGAAGGAGTCGTGATTTGACAACATCTCATCTTAAAGACTTAGGTAGGAACTCTTAGTTGATTGTAAGTGGACTATGAGTCATGCTGTGATGAGAATGCCAAGAAAAGCTAATGGAATCTTGGGCATCTTTAATAGAAGTATACCGTACAAAGCCATGGGGGTAATTCCCATAGTTGTCTGCCCTGATCAGAGTAGCTTGAAGATAATGTAATGTTTTGGACACTGCATTTTAAGAGACATTGCAAAATTAGAAGATGACAAAGAAGCATCTGGAAATAAAGCCATGTAAGGATAGTTGGTTGGGAAAGTGTTATAGTCACCTGCAAGTATTTAAAAAGCTTTTACATGGAAAAAAATAAACTTCTTTTAAACTTTATCTGACAAAACATAAGATTACTGGAAGTTATATAAGCAGGTAAATTTGGATTTTCTGTAATGAAGTAGCTTCTTTCTAACAGAACTGCTAAAAATGGAATGCTTTCCCTTATGAGGTGGTAAATCTCTTGCCAATGTAAGTGTTGAAGCAGATGCTGAATGATCTCCTGTTAGAACTGGATGAGAGGCTCCCTCATTCCACAAACATGAACTGAATACATGCCAGGTACCAGGGCTTCAAAAATAATAAACAGAGACAAGTATATGACATAACATGGATAATAGCATCATTTTCTAGGATTCAATGAAGGACCATCTAAGCCACCCCAAATCTTCTAATTATCCGGTAAATGTAAATTCTATAGTAGAGTTTAACAGGTTAAAATACAATGATCAAATTAAAACTTGGATGTCAAAATACTTAGTCTGATTTAAAGACTTTTGCATAGCATTTGTTAAGAAAAAATTTTTTTTTGTATTTGTATAATTTGTTGTTATTTTGCATTCAGTGTTATAGTCTTGTATTGGACTTATCTATGGATTTGGGTAAACTTGTTACTTATTAAATATGCATGTATGTCTCAATATTAGGAAAATTTCTATTACACTAAAACAGCACTCTCCTAAAGAACTTTCTGCAGTGATGGAAATGTTCTATATGTATGTTAACCAATGCAATAGCTGCAGGCAGTTTC
The DNA here is from genome assembly GCF_000001405.40 of Homo sapiens. Classification (NCBI taxonomy): domain Eukaryota; kingdom Metazoa; phylum Chordata; class Mammalia; order Primates; family Hominidae; genus Homo; species Homo sapiens. The sequence goes on along the minus strand of NC_000013.11, from coordinate 66,967,430 downwards.
TGAGCACTCTGAATGTGACAAGTGTGATTGAGGAACTAACTTTCAAATTTTATTTAATTTTTATTAGTTTAAATTTAAATAGCTATATGTGGTGAATAGCAACAATGTTGGACAGTGTGGCTTTAAACAACTGGATTAATTTGATATCACTACGAATAATTCCACCTGTCAATTAATGAGCATACATATATATAAGACTAAATGAACTATTTCTTCTCCTCACCATTATGAGGATTTAGATACATTCTGCCATTTTAAGTGATTTTTTTCTCTAACATAACTTGGAATCTGTCTTATGTTTGACAGAGTATAGTATACTTGGTTCTTTAAATCTGACTTCACAATTTTCAGGTTGGGAGCTACCTTGGCATAGTCCTCCTTCCTTGTTCCTTTTCTTTTACATTGATCTGCCAGTTTAGCACTGAAGTTTGCATTTGATATGTTTATTTATTCATATATTTGGGAGTCAGACTACGGTCTGCTTTTAGTTTACCCATTTGGCTTGATGCCATTCCATTCTATTTGCTTACATATCCTGATTCAAAGTTACTAATAACTCTATAATAATTTTCCAGTTTTCTTCTCTATTTCATATTCCTTGTCTCATTCTCCCACCTCTTCACTGTAGACTTCATTTTTTAATATTCTATTGGATGAGCCACTGCAACTATGAACACTGTCATGCCCTCATGACCCTTCAGCAAAAGAGCTCAGGCACAAAAATCACTGTGAATAGTTTTTACTTCACTATAAAGGCAGCTAACAAAATGTCATCTTAAATCATAGAATTATAGAAATTTGTAGCAAACATGAATTGAAGAAATGATTAAACCTCTCTACTGCTTTTTGCTAAAACTGCTTTTCTTGTCACTTCTACTCTTTCTAGGAAATATATCTGAGTATTTCCTAGTAAATGATTCTATTTTCCTGAGAACATCCTCCTTATTGGCAGCCTCGACTGAGGGTCTATCATTACAGACGCCATACAGAGTAGCATGCTGAAGAATTTATGTACACACCTTCATTTAGCTGTTTTAAAGTTTGGAATTGTTTTCATCACCCACAGTTTCTACTGCATCGCTTGTTTCTTATTCAGATTGGTATTTTTTATAAACATGTTTTATGTTACCTCATTTGATACTTGAAACAACTTAAACAACAAGTTTGGTAGGAGGGGTAGTCAATATTGTCCCTATTTGGAAACGAGGAAACAGAAGCTCAGAAACCCAAGGGGCTTGCCCAAGATTTTGTGTGTACTGAGTTGCTGAGGTGGGAGATGAACCAGGCCTTCCCTGGCTTAAAACCCCTAATCTCCATGTCTAGAAATAAGAAGAGCCAAGTAAATATATGATACATATTTTTTTAAAATATGGCATGCAATTCAGCTATTTCTTCATGTATATCGTAAATTAGTAATGAGAACAATTTCAAAAAGATTTAGGTGACCTAAATTCAATTCTTGAAAATGTAAAGTATTCTTTGACCTTGAATTTCTGGCTTTTTCTCTTAATATATGACTTGGTATTGATTTGCATGTTTTAAAGAAATATATATAAAATATTTTTAGATAAGAATTTACATCACTTTCACATATTTTGTCTTATGTTCAATGCAATTACTATAGCTGACATTAAAAATAATCAGAACTTATTCTATTAATATGGTAATAATGTTATCACCTTCATGATGTTATTAAGGCATAATGAGTTGCTGTGATTAAAGATAATCATTTATTCATAAGCAATACAATAAATAAATTATGGAAACTTCTGCAATCAATTAATAATAAAATTCTGATCTAAGATGTGATGGCCCCGACGGAGGGAAAAAAAACAATTTAATATAAATAAAAGAAAAGGAGACTTTTAAAAGGTCACATTTGGAATCTTTGAGCTGGTTGTTTTTGGGGCATTTAAAGGAGGCTGCAATAGCTTGATGAGTGTAATCTGGAAGACTTCCTAAGCATATGGAGTGGTGAGAAAAAGTGGCACAGAAATGCTAGCGAGGAAAGATGAAAATTGGATAAATTAAGGGAAAATCCTGGGGGAAGGGAAATGCCTGGAGGAAGGAAATGAGAACAGATGTTGAAATGGCCATTGTGTTTTTTGACATCAGGAGATTAATTTGAGTATGCTCTTTAAAAGAATAAGCTCCTATAATAGTACAATAAAGGGCTACACTGGCTGAAGTGGTTAAGGAAGGTTACATGATGTAAGTTTCCAGTTTCAGCATATTGATTAAAGTAGAAATTAGAATTAAGACTGTCCAATAATGGGTAAGCTGGAGTTTTAAATTTTATTCATTATATAACATAATTATTTTATTTTAAACTGTGTGTTTTTTTCTTCTTCATGTAAGGATATTTTGCAATGTCAAAAATTTTAAATACTTTATTCATTTCTAAAAAGAAATGTTTAAAATTTTTTCTCCAAAATGTGCAAAAACTTGCTGACTCTAATTATTTAATGCATTATCTCTAGTAAATGAATATATATATATTTAATAGTTTTAGACTTTTAGTTGACAATTGTTAGGCAGATACAAAGTGTGTAATTCAGTAATGCTCTTGAATTTTCATGTGCCCCAGATCTCTCAGTCAAAAAAAATTACAACATGAATTAATCTTGAGCACACACATTCACTTTAAAAGAGTATTTATGTATAGGTATTTGTTCTAGATAAGTGAAGGAATATTTCTGAAATAGCATCTTGTCTATCATTCTGACAGACATTTTGCCAAGAAAGGACTCAAGAGATTAAAAAAAAATTCCTTAATTAAAAATTTGTTAGAATCCTGAAGAATATTTTTTTTTTTTACATTTTGCCCAGGAAAGCATTTCATAGATGATTTCTGCTCATAGATTGAGATATAAATAGATTGAGTCATAAAAGGCACACAGTAGGTCCATGTTACCTTAAAGCAATCATTGAAGTGAAAAAGCTAATGTAGAGAATTTGACAGTGACCTGGTAGATCAAAGCCAAGGAATGCAATAGCTTTGGGTCATAGGGGTAGAATTTCTTTCTCTCTCAGTGCTAAAGTGTACAATCACTACAATTCATTTCCCTAATGGATTTTTGTTTACTAATACCATTAGATTTGTTTTGCCTGTCTTTATCTGGTATGCTTACCCTTGTCTTAGAGGAAGTAACAAATATAAGCACAGAGGGAAGTACTCCATTTGAGCCTAATCTTTATATGCATTAGACAGCATTATGTTCTCCAGAAAGTTATAGAGAATAATATTTTGTTACATGTCTGTATAATGCTTACTCTGTTACCAATAAAGATATCCGTGTTATCTTTGGTTTTTTGAATATAAGCAACAACTAAGTTTGCACTATTTATATATGTTTTGCAGTTAGAGAACTCATAAATTATCCACATAGATCTAATCTATTATTTGTTTTATTATTAAGTCTGTAAACTACTCATAGTATTGCTAGTAGTTTTAATATTTATTATATTACAATTTTAATGTGTTACTTGACACATGAACTTAACCTAAGAGAACATCTAACATGTTACACCTATTTCCACAAAAAAATATAAAAAGTTTGCATTATCATAATTGTTACTATTCACAAGGTCAGAAACAAACAAGTTTCTCTGCTTTTAGATTGATAAACCCATATTTCATTGGACGTTGACTTATTAAATTTTGTTTTTTATTATATCCCGAAAGAAGAATAATGAATATTTGGAGTGTTCACATGAAGAGGGTGGTCCTGTCTTTGTAGCTTTTGCTTAACCCATGTGTTTATAAGATTATTTGAATATTATATCACATAATCTCTGCATTATTTAAACGGGAAAAGGGGACAAATTTTTAAGAAGTGCTAACACCAATGATAAAAATCAAAGTCTATCAATGTGGTGCACTTAGTAAGGAAATCATTAAAAATATCAAAGTAGTGATTTTAAAAATTTAATTAGATTCCCGTTGGAACCTAACTCCTGGATATTCACTTATGAAAAGGAAGTAAACCAAAGAGCAAATATGAAATGCTGGAAATGAGATTGTACTTAAGAGCCAAGGTGTAATTTGGGAATTTATGCAATGTTTTGCGCCTCTCTTCATAGTACAATAATCCAATGTTTGATCTTTGCACTTTGCCTTTTCCTATAATTTTTCAGTGATCTGTTATAGGAGTCTCCAACCCCAAGGCTATGAACCGGTACCAGTCTCTGGCCTATTAGGGGCCCAGGGCCGCACAACAGGTGATGAGTGTTGGCAAGCAAAACTTCATCTGTACTTACAGCTGCTCTCCATTGCTCACATTACCGCCTGAGCTCTGCCTCCCATCAGATCAGCAGCAGCATTAGATTCTCATAGGAGCACAAACCCTGTTGTGAACTGAGCATGCGAGGGTTCTAGGTTGTGTGCCTATGAGAATCTAATGCCTGATGATCTGTCACTATCTCCCATCACCTGCAGATAGGACCATCTAGTTGCAGGAAAACAAGCTTAGGGTTCCTAATGATTCCACATTATGGTGAGCTGTGTAATTATTTCATTATATATTACAACATAATAATTGAAATAAAGTGCACAATAAATGTAATGTGCTTGAATCATCCTGAACCAATACCCCTGGCCCCCAACCCCAATCCATGGGAAATTCTCTACGAAAATGGTTCTTGGTGCCAAAAAAGTTGGAGACCACTGATGCATTATAAATAAAAGGGAAGATCTCCTTATACAGCCAAGTGTGATGTAATAACATTTCAGTCAATGATGGACTGCATATACAAAGGTGGTTCCATAATATAATAATACAATATTTTCTATATTTAGATATGTTTAGATACACAATACATACCACTTTGTTATGATTGCCTCCAGTATTTACTACAGTAACACTAGGTTTTGTAGGCTAGAAGCAATAGCCTATACCATATAACCTAGGTATATAGTGGGCTATCCCATCTAGCTTTGTGTCTGTGCACTCTGTGATGTTCCCACAATGACAAAATTGCCCAATGACACATTTCTCAGTTCTAATCACCCTCATTAAGTGACACATGACTGTCATTGGTGGTGTTTTTCTTTGGAGGTGTCTTGGGAAGTACTTGAGAAGCTGTTCTAACTCATTCAGTTTTGCAGCTGTGCTGGAGTACCTGCAGATACCTAAGATCCCTATCTACCTTACTGTGGATCTAGGAGAGTGACATGTGTCTTCATTTAGAAGATTAAAATTCTTAGTCATACATCACCAAACTTTATTCATCAAAGATCCTTTTCCTTATCCCTCTCTCCAATGGAACCAATTTGACAAAATGAATTATTAAGAAATTGCTTGTTTTACAATTTTTATTAGCCAAAGATATCTATGTTTTTTTTTCTTTTCTTTTTTTTTTGTTTTGTTTTTTTGTTTTTCTTGATGGGGTCTCGCTCTGTCGCCAGGCTGGAGTGCCGTGGCACAATCTCGGCTCACTGCAACCTCCACCTCCCGGATTCAAGCAATTCTCCTGTCTCAGCCTACCAAGTAGCTGGGATTACCGGCACACGCCACCATGCCCGGCTAATTTTTGTATTTTTAGTAGAGACGGGGTTTCACCATGTTGGTCAGGCTGGTCTCAAACTCCTGATCTCGTGAGCCACCCGCCTCAGCCTCCCAAAGTGCTGGGATTACAGGTATGAGCCACCGCACCTGGTCATCTATGATTTATAATCAAAGTTTATCATCAACATAAAAATTAATGTGATTTTTCTTAATCAATTTCATTCTAACCAAAAAATTGATATTTTTGGCTTTGCAGCCTTACATTGGGTTAACATTTAAGTTACATTAATTTTCTGGAGATGGGGACTCACTATGTTGCTCAGGCTGGTCTCAAACTCCTGGGCTCAAGTAACCCCCTCACCTCAGTCTTCCAAAGTGCTGAGATTATAGACCTGAGCCACCATACCCAGCCTTTCATTGATTTAATTTAATTTCAATATTTCTTAAATTTTGAAAATGTATATATAGGCTTCTATTCCTTCCTTTGAGGTCCCACTTAAGGATTCCACTGATTTTGTTAGTTAAATCAATAATTATTTATTTAGCATCAGGTGATGGGTCTGGTATTGGGAACACAATGTTGACACAAAAGTGGCTTGTTTTTTGCCATTATTGTGCTCAAAGTCCAGCAGACCTTATTTCATCAATATAACCCCCATGTCACATACAGGCAGAGAAAAAACACTGAACTCTCTGATTGTTTTCATACCACCACTTTTAAAATGAAACACCAGTGGAGTATTGGAACACATACTTTAAATAGAATTATAGTGTTTGTTTTGGTTTTATTTTTAAACTGTATTTTTTTTAAAAAATAGACATGGTAAATTTTTTGTACTATAGTCAGTTAAAGTCAGTACAAATCAGTTGAAGACACAAATAGAAGATAGACAAAGGTTTGAATACACAAAAGTATGTGTATATTTATTCATTAAAATTGATTTTTACAGTTGCTACTTTTCAGAGATGACCAATAAATCAATTGTGTAGTGTTTTGATTATTTTACCAATTGATACTCTAAACAGGTTAACCTTCAATAGAAACAAAACTCAAGATGCTTAAATATATGTGATTTTGAAAAACAAAATAAGCATGATTTTTACACTTTAGTAAGCTGATTGAGTGTTACTAACATGAGTTGTGTTAGTGATTCTGTACCTCTTCGAAGAATATTTTCTTCATTCTATACAGTGCATTGAGACTGTAATGAATTGCTACTATTTTATGTTTTCTTAACTGCCCAGCTATAAATTTTATAAAAGTAATAATTGTAACATCAATGGCTAAAATATTTACAGTTTGTAAAGAAAAGTTATTTATATCTTTACTACTTCATGTAAAATCCAAAGAAGTAGATAATAACATGAGAGTGACCTTCATTATTTCTTGGGCAGAATTTAATTAACAGAAGAACAACTCCTTCCATCAACCACTGTGGCCCTTTGAAATTCTTTAGAGTGCTTGAGTTTCCATCATGAATTTTTTATAGGGTTTTCAAAATTACTGAATGAAAGACAGTAGATGAAATATATGTAGATTATAACTTATATGGTAGTCAGCAAAGCACTCTGATTCACATAGTGTCCAATGAAATGGCATTGCTTAGAAATATTTAATTATATGTCACTTTAAAAAATTAAAGCCATTCTTTTGTGATTATTTTCTTTTAAACTGCTTTTGTAAGATGTTTATAGAACACTGACAACTAATTTTGGCTGATGATCAAAAGCTCTGTTTGAAATTAAATATATTTGTAAGTGAATGTGAGGTCAGCAGAGGTGTTTTGATTTCAGTCCAGTTACAAAAATTTAAAAACGGATCTTTCTTGCATGTCAGTCAATTTGCAAACAAAGCTTTCAGATAATTCTCTGAGACTTTGTCCTTTATTCTTCTTCGTGTCAAAATTTCTCCCTAATAAGTATTCTGATTTGTTAGATGCTGTTTTAGAATACTGAGTCACTAAGAAATGACAATGTTCTTAGGAAGTTAAATGGGTTCAGAAACTGTGAAAAACTTTGACATAGAGTCTCAAGTATTTCATAAAATATGCTGATTTCCAGTTTATTGATTAAGGTTCAGTGACTTAATAAAAAAGGTAATCCAGCTTCTTAGTTCAAGTTATCAGGTCATGAAAGTATATTATTTTATTTTTTCTTTCTTTTTTTTTTTTTTGAGACGGGGTCTCACTCTGTTGCCCAGGGTGGAGTGCAGTGATGCAATCATAATTTACTACAACCTCAAACTCCTGAGCTCAAGTAATCCTCCTACTTCAGCCTCCCGAGTAGCTGGAACTACAAGTGTGTGCCACCACACCCAGCTAATTTTTTATTTTTGCAGAGACAGGGTCTTGCCATGTTGCCCAGGCTGGTCTCAAACTCTGGGCCTCAAGCAATCCTCCCACCTGAGCCTTCCAAGCCACTGAAATTACAAGCCTGAGCCACTGAATCAGGCCCAGGATGTCTTTTCTTAAGTAATTTCTTAATTGATCATTTCAATTATTAAGTTTACAATTGGCCAAATATTTTCAGAATTTCTTTCTTATTGAGATCATGCCATTCTTGGTAATTTACAATTGACAGATACTTTTATAGAAAAAAAGTGATGTAGAATGTTGTTTGTTATTTTTTAAATTTTAAAGTCACACTTTCCTTATTGTACCTGCTATCAAATTCATTTAAGATTTTTGGAGGCTCTAAGTGACATCTCTTATATGTGCTTCATGTAATGTGAAAAATATTACCTTCAAATAGGTGTTTTTATCATGCTCTTTTAAAAGGTGACTAATTACTGAAATTTTTCTAAACTTAAGGATGTAAGTCTGTTATTTAAAATTATATTAACCCACATAGGCTCTTACATTAATGTATGTACTGTCTTGTTACAAACTGAAATATTTGTAAGTGATTATTTAAAACTGAAGTACTAAAAGTGGAAGAAAAGCTAAAGGTTGAGTTTAGTATAGAAACAACAGCAAGTTTTCAAAGAAAAACTACAGTCAGACCAATAAGATGGGAAATTTAAATAGTTTCATTTCTGAGAAAAACGTCTAAGTATAAAACATAGCATGACGAATCTCTGCAGAGAGAACCACCTCCTCTCTAGCGTGGGTACTTAGCTGAGTGACACTTCAATGGAAATGGGGAGAGCTCCTATTTATGTTTAACTTAGCTTAAAAACAGCAGCAAAGCTCTGTGCCTAATATAGAAATGCTCTCAGAAGATCTAGCTCATTTCATGAAAAAAATAAAAGAACAAAAACTTAAAAAAAATTACATCAATGAATAGACTGTCCTAGTTGTACTTCTAAGAGAGAAAAATGAATGGAAGGATTTTTTTTGGTAATGTGATATGTGTGAAAAAAATATCAGCCCTTCAATATTAACTGCTATACAGTATGTGTTTATAAAATTAAAGCCACTTAAATCCATGTTACTGATTCCCCATCTTTCTCTATTCTGTTTATTTCTAGCCTCATAAAATTTAAGGCATGTCAAGAAAGAAACTGAACAATGAATTATTCTATATCAATGCAACTCCCTGACTGTATTTTGTCATCTGAAGCAATCTCTACTTCTTTAGATTTTATTATTTCCAGTCTACAAAATTAGTCATAGAATTCCGTGTTTTTCATCCAGTCCGTCTCATACCTTGAACTTTGTAAACACTCCAATTGTAATACTCAGTCTCCAGGATTATCCTCTTGATTATTAGCTTTCATTTCAAGGAGTTGCTCTGCTACAACCATATTGTACGCTCCGTCAAATTCACTTTTGTGTTTTCACTGATTTCATTTCTTCTGCCCTCAAATTGGGGTGCCTCTTCATCTTGAACATACCTTTATGTATAATTCTTCCTCTTCTACATGTCAATCATATTTCTCCTTGTTTTTGAAGCCAGAATTCTCCAGTTAGGTGAAATAAACCAAATACCTTCATTATCTTATTCTTAAAATCTTATTATATTAATTCATCATAAAAAGTGTAATGTCACCTCTCAAATTTTACTAATAACTCCCTTTGTATTTTACGTTTGTATTAGTTACCTCAAGATACCAAAACAAAATACCACAGACTGGGTGATTAAAACCACATAATTTATTTCTCATATTTCTGGAAACTGGAAGAATGAAATCAGAGTGCCAGTGTGGTTGGGTTCTGCTGAGGACTGCCTTCCTAGCTTGCCTTCTTAGTGTGTCTCCACATGGCAGAGAGAGAGAGAAAGAGAGTGAGTGAGAGAGAGAAAGAGAGAGGTATCTCTGGTGTCTCTTCTCATAAGGACAGTATTCCATCATGAGGGCCCCATTTTCATGACCTCATCTAAACCTAATTATCTCCCAAAGGCCCCATCTGCAAATACCTCATGGAGGGATGGAGGGTTAGGGCTTTCATTTCAGTTCCCAGCAACTTTTCTAAAATATTTAACATTGCTGACTGGTCTTTCTTTAGGAGAGAACCTGTTTTTCACTTCATGACATCCCACCAATGCATCTTCATTTACTTTCTCTGTCAAAAACGTCAATGAGGTCACAGATTCCCAACAGGCATCGCATTTGCAGATTATGTGAAACTTGGAGGGGTAGTACTCTGTTAGAAGGCTATTTTGTAAGCTGGACAAAAGTAAGTGTAAAAAAAAAAGTTCATTGCAGCTACCTGCACAAGTATGGTTGGAGGATTATGTGGCTTATCAGCACATGTCAGAAAGATGTTGGGATTTTAGTTTCGGGAAGTCTCAATATTAGTCAATAGTGTGATGTGACTGCCAAAGTGCAAATGTAATTTTAAGCTACTTTAGTCAGCACACAGCTTCCAAAGTAAGGGAGATAAAAACCTCACTCTATGCTGTATCTAACTACAAAGCATTGTTATGTTAAATTGTGGGTGCTATAATTCAGTGATAATATTAGGGTGAATCAAAACCAAGCCTTTAGAGTAGCCCCTGTGAAAATATAGAAAATTCAGTCTGGAGATAAACCAACTTGGAAGCCAGGGTTTCAAATGCCTCATATATTGGAATAAAATGCCAGCCCAAATTAAAAATAATTCCTGGGTATGTTTTGGTGGGGGGAGAGGGGAAGAAGTGGGTGGAGTGCGAAACAGCAACAATGGCCTATCCGAATATACAAACACTTAGAGATATGACACATAGTCACATTTCTACTTTGTTTGTTTGTTTTTGAGATGGATTCTCACTCTGCTGCCCAGCCTGGAGTGCAGTGGTGCCATCTCAGCTCACTGCAACCTCCACCTCCTGGGTTCAAGTGATCTCATACCTCAGCCTGTCGAGTAGCTGGGACTACAGCTGTGTGCCACCACGGTCGGCTAATTTTTGTATTTTTGGTAGAGAGGGGTTTTCACCATGTTGCCAGGCTGGTCTCAAACTCCTGACCTCAGGTGATCAGCCCGCCTCAGCCTCCCAAATTGCTGGGATTACAGGCATGAACCACCACCGCACCTGGCCAAATTCCTACTTGTAATACTGAAGTCACAGCTATGGCTTTTTGACTATCACATAACCTCACCTTTTTAAAAATACTTAATTTAAGCCTCATTATTGTCGGGGGCTCAGTCATTACTAAGGTCACCTTGGGGGCTATTTAACACATCATCTCCATTTGCAGGTTATTTGAGAAACAGTATTTTTTGAACTTGATGTTATTCCTAGAAACTTTTGTTTCAAGCCACAATTAACCATATATTCGTTCCTGTTTTTAGTCATCAGCAGATGACTTTTGAGCCCCTCCTAGCTGTCAGGCACTGTTGTAGGTACAGGTAATAGGGTTGACTCAGTGAGAAGAGTAACAAAGCTCAGCCCTCTGTTTTTGTTTGTTTTTATTTTTTTGAGATGGAGTTTCTGGGGTGCAATGGTGCAATCTCAGCTCACTGCAACCTCTGCCTCCTGTGTTCAAGCGATTCTCCTGCCTCAGCCTTCTGAATAGCTGGGATTACAGGCACTGGCCACCACATCTTGCTATATTTTTATTTATTTTTTATTTTTAGTAGAAACGGGGTTTCACCATATTGGCCAGGCCGGTGTCGAACTCCTGACCTGAAGTGAGCCACCACACCTGACCAACAGCCCTATGTTCTTATATTTGCATAACAAGAGTACAATTCATTTGTAGTTCATCCCTTATGTATCTGTTTGTCATTCCCATAACAAACGCAATTTCTCCCTTGAATTTTTAAAGTGATCTTTAAAATGTATCTTTTCTAAGTTATAGAATACTTGCAAATGTTAGTTCATCCCTCTTGACCAGTTATTAAAGTGTGTTTAAAGTACTTTGTCATCTCTTCTTAAATAGTTGACCTCTTTACACATCCAAAATAAAAACTGATTCATGTTTGGAAAGGCTGATGTGTCTTTCTCAAAGAGGTCTCATAACATGAAAGAATCCTTAAAAGTCCCAACAATGTGACCCCTTTTGTTCTGAGGCATAGTTTTCAGAAAAAAATGACACCTTACATTTAAGCATTATATGTGCTTGATAACCTTTAAAAAGTGGAATGATGACTCTTCCTGGCTCCAAAGGATCATTTTTTGGGGACAGGTCTCAGCTCATTTTATTTATTTTCATAGTTATAATTCTTCCTTTATGCTCTCATAATTTTAATGCTCTAATAAATAAGCTGATTAGGAGAGTAAGTTTACTGTCACTGAAAACCCTAACATAGAGCTGGGTGACCAACATTTGATTGATTGATATTGATTGAAAAGCTCTATTAGGGAATCTTTAATTCTGTCAGAATTCTGATCTTTCACATGATTTTAACCTGGCAAGAGGCTTTAAGTAATCAGATGGTGAATAGTCAATAACATGCTCTTGAGCAACGGTAGGTGGTGATCAGAGTTGTGATTTAAAATGTTCTATCTCAGTGGCTCACGCCTGTAATCCCAGCACTTTGGGAGGCTGAGGCGGGCAGATCACGAGGTCAGGAGATCGAGACCATCCTGGCTAACACAGTGAAACCCTGTCTCTACTAAAAATACAAAAAATTAGCCGGGCGTGGAGGCAGGCGCCTGTAGTCCCAGCTACTCAGGAGGCTGAGGCAGGAGAATGGCGTGAACCTGGGAGGCAGAGTTTTCAGTGAGCTGAGATCACGCCACTGCACTGCAGCCTGGGTGACAGAGCGAGACTCCGTCTCAAAAAACAAAACAAAACAAAAAAAGTTCTATCTCAGGAAGAGCAAGTTTAGGACAAGGGCCCCTATTCTTGGTCTGTGAGAGGGAGGGCATGCTGTTTTGGTATTGCACTTTGTGCCCAGAGCATAGTTGGGTCCATGGACTGAGACCTGCAGTAGTGTACATCTCAGAGATTTTGTCCAAGATGCTATGGAAGGAACCCAAGTATCCTTTGCTGATAGACCCAGCACCCTTGGTAAGTCTGATCATTCAAGGTAGTGTTTTCCTTGCAATAACCCAGAAACAGCTCTCTCTGTAAGCTTCAGCTTATCCAATGTTTAGGGTAAAAAATTGTAGGAGTCCATGCAGTAAGTGCAGAGCCATGGGCCCAGGTTAAATCTGAAATCACTAGGAGAGTGTTTTTGTGCCAAGGACTTAATCTCTCTGATTACCAGTTTTATGGATAAAGTGAAGAAAATAGTTTTTATCTTGCAGGATTGTTGTGAGATTATATAAGTACAATATGTACATATATAATTATGTATTTATACATATGGTACACACAAATACATATATAAAGAGAGAGCATTATAAGTATCATAGGATCATAAGACATGGGCTAGGAGCAGTTGGGGAACATTAAGAAAAATAGATAATTGTGTTATTTCAAGGTGGCAACAGCTCCTGATACTTGGTAGATGTTATTGCCCAGCCCCACTGTTTTAGATGGATGGCCCTGCCTAATCAGAGGCTTCTTCATTTGGTATTTTGCGCTGGATAAATTTAGCTACCTAGTGTGAAGCATGCTGGCTGTCACATGTCCCTGAAATTTTAGTTGTTTTCCTGAACTGCAAAACTACTATATACCAATTAGAAGCAAAGCGGAGGGGTGAAGTAAAGATGACTATTACGTCTTCCGGTATCTCTGCAGGAAAGAGAGTATGATCTTCTTGGTCTTCTGTGATGGCCCCTATTTAATGTAAGCTCACCCAGTAGAATTCTGAACCTGAGGAGAAAATACATACACTAGATATACTAGGTACAGTTACTGTGAAGAAAGCTATTTCACACATATACCACATGCTGGGTTTGTTGGTGAAGGGAATGAAGTGGTAAATGAGGATCCACAAAGACTTAACATAAAACCACCCACCATTATTAATGGGTGCAGGGGTAGGACAGACTTGTGATGAGGAAAGGGCAGGAAAGCAGGAGAGAAGGGACAACATTGATACAGTTATCAATCACTTGAATAATATATTGTAACAATAAGACTGTACACTAGAATTCTTGCCTTTTTTTGTAGGAAGTTTATGTGTACATGCATACAAAATATAAAACAAATATTGCAATGACTAACCTTGTAGTTAAGAGGAGTGGAGTGCTTAATCAATTATTCAGCAAGTATATTTTGAACATGTACTGTGTTTCAGGTGCTACAGGCACTGGGGATATGGGGATGAACAAATCCAGCTAGATAACTGACTCCAGATAAATATTTACAGTACTCTGGCATGTAGCTTCAATGTTAGCATTTTTAGGTGGAAATGTTAAAAACTATATTGTCACATATGAATGATTTTTTTTTACATGTGGAACGTTATATGGACTAGTGCCTCTAACATGTGTTTATATATGTATGTTTGTGAATACATGTTCTGGCTTTATTTTTTTCTCAAAGATCATATATCTAGTAATCTGTATTGGTGCTTCTTGTTTTTTTTTGACTATAGAAATATTTTAATTCATATGCTTTAATTACATTAGGTAATAATACTACAGTCCATTTTACAAGTTAAATGTATGAGAATGTATGAAATAGAAATGATAGGAAAAAAACTAAATATGGGTTAAGAACACAAATTTTTCTGAAGCCAAGAGACAAAGGAAGATGTGTAGCCTCCAGGGCCCACACAAGAGTTAGGAGGCAGGGAGGGTGACAGGTACAGTATCGGTCCCGGTATGTTTATTCCTTCCTTGTTTATACTAAGAACCTAAGTTCCGTGCCCCTGCTGTCTAGGTGTGAGAGTTTAGGCTGGTCAATAGAAGATGGTGGCTTGGGAAAAAGAGCCATCTGGTTACCTACACAGAGCTGGGGCCCTGGTGGCCACAGGTGGGTTCTGCCATTGAGAGAGTTAGAGGCAATTATAGCATTGAGGAATGGGTAGCCAAGATGTAATGGAGGTTATAGCACATAACTGATACCTCTTAAATCAGTGACCTTGCATTTAATACTTTGCAATTGTCTGGCTTCGTGCTACTCTTTACACTCTAGGGTAAACTATTCCACTGTTTTGATGAGGAATTTATTTTGGATGAGAGGAATCAGAAAAAATAGAATATAAAAATAAGAAACACTCATTTCTAGAGCACCGATGATATGCTAGGTACGTTCATGTATTTGAAATAAATCATTAACTTACACCAATTTTTAAGACATGTCTGTGAAGCAGTCTTATAGCACTATAGTGGAGAATGTCAGCTTGAATAATTAGAACAGTGGTGGCTGTAGATGCAGGAGGTTGAACATCACTCAATAAATACAGGGAAACAGACTTGTATCAATTACTACCCAAGGTGCCTTCCACAATGCATTGTGCTTTTGCTGGAGAAGCGTATGTACCCTACAGTGTGCTGTCAGCATTCTGCTATATCATGAAGGGGAAACTAGACTGTACAAAACCATATAAGATGTTCATATGAGGAATGTCATATTGAAGATACAACAAAATTCAGAGAAACGACTTGTATAGTTACCAGGCCTTTGGGAAAGCCAGCTTGCTTACCTTAGCACAGATGCTCACCCCTACTTTAGTTAAAATCATCTCTAGTAACAGATGAAAGAAATAATTACAACACCCCCCATGTTTATTTTATAGGAAGGGGATTAACATACAAATTCACCTCTCCTTTGAAATTTTCTTTTAACAGCTAGATCCCCGCAGGCACTTAGAAGATAGAAACTGTATCTACATACAAAAAGGAATGAGGAAATTAGGTTGTTATCAAGAAAGGAACATGTAACCTCCAAACTACCCTCTGTTCAAACAAATGCTCTAAAAAATTCAGTAAGGAAAATCTAGATAGCACCATCAAATCTGACTATTTTTATGGGGAGACCTAGCTTTGGTGTTTTGACATTTGCATCACAATGGATAGTGACTCTGTTAGAAGCGATGGGCCCTGGGAGAACATTTTGCTCAGACACTCCCATCTTTGCTCTCTTCTCTCCAGTTCACTCCCCCAGCATTTAAAATAATCATTCAGCCTATGAGAATAGGTTCTTTGATGACAATTTCATTTGTGACTGCTGCTTATTTCTCATTTGAAGTTATGAGCTCAATTACGTCTGCATTCACTCTTTCTGATATGAAAAACAAACAAAAAACAAGCAAGCAAGCAAACAAACAAACAAAATAAACCCTTGTGGATCAGAAAATTACATTCAATTTTCCTGATTTTCCAGAGACATCTTTCAATCCAGGCAGCTCTTGTAGACTTTCATTCACTGAACCCTTGGATGTGTCACTATGTATCTTCACCTCATTTATATCACTATTTACATTATTACAAAAAAAGGTATATATTTCTTGTGCACTGAAAAGTGAAAAAAAAGAGAGAAATAAATGTGTACTTAAACCCTTTCGTCATTATGAAGCAATTGTTAATGATCTATTTGTACGCGGCACTGTGTTAGAGGCTTTGCAGAGTAAGTGAGGTGCCCATTGCACCACATACTTTAGCTTTCCAGATAAGCAAGGATGAGGGTAGGATGGGAGATATTTCATCCAGTAAACATTGAGAAAAATAAATTAAATGATAAAATTCAATTTTTTTTTTGCTTATAAGCCAAGGGTTAAATGTATCTGATAGAAAATTCACATTCAACCAGCTGTCCTTAGTAATGAGAAAAAATAAATACACAATGGGAAAACCTGTCCTATGCCATATGACAGATGGATAGATAGATGGCTTGTGGAGGCAGAGCTGTTTTTGGTTAAGTAGACAATTTTAAGCTCTTCACATGGTTTTAATTGTTTCAGAGGTTCACATGATCACCTATTTGTTTTGTCAAGGTCCTGGCAGTGCTGAGTTGATATTTTCCAGGGAAGTATTTTCTGTGTGTAGATACCTATGGTCACCTGTTTTATTTTTCTTTAAATTCTGGCACTTTTGATTATTAAACATTCAGAAGACAATCTCTTACTTACCAAATATATGCAATGGCCTAATACACAAAGAGAAAACAATATTTTCCCAGAACAAAAGCTAACATCTTAACTAGGAATGTTAAAACTAAAAAAAAAAAATCATACACATATATCTTTTATGAAGAACTTTCCATGTTTCCCAATCCTTGATATTTACATAAATTATCTCAACTGTTTAAAAGATTCCTGCATGGCATAGCATAACAATAGTGATTTTGTAGATGAGGAAATTAGCATTTCTGAAGATTGAATAAGCTTCACATCTGTAAATCTCACAGCTATTAAGTGGCAGAATCTGGATTCAAATATTCTTCTATCTGATTTTGCTCAGTTGCTGCAGGATGTCACAGGCACAGGAAGCAGAAGCACTAACTTCTGAGGAATTTGTTGGATTAAATTGGAGCATATACAACCATTCTTAAACTGTAGCTAATCTGATTTTGCTTTAATACAGTTATTCTTTGTTATTACTATATATCACTTAATTTAATATTTATATAAATCATTTGATAAGCGGTATTATTTTTCATTTAATGTGATAATCTTGTTTCCTGAGATAATTAAACTTCTGGTCATCATCTAAAAGTAAACAAAGTGAATATCGAACCTAGAAGACATGGTCTTCTAATCACTAGATTTTTCCACTAAATTAAAATTATTGCAAGTTGCTTGAATAGCAGTTTAATTTTGACCTTAAATGCCTTTCTATGTCTGTTTTCTTTCTTTTATATATTTAACCCATTTACTCGGAACTGGAATCAGGCAAATTGTAAAATATAGAAGTTCCTATTTCAGGGTCTTCTCTCTCCTGCCAGTATCCTTTCGCCTTTAACTTGTTTCTTTACTCATTTTTCCAAAGCTCTATTCTGTTTCTTGTTCCATTCCAACTAGTCGATGGAGATGATCCTTGATAAAAGATTAAGGTTGTGCATCTCCCAGGAGTATTTACATTTTAATGGGGGTCTCTTGCTGATCAAAAAAGCCTCCGAGATGCAGAGGAACGAATTCTAAAGGTACAGGCATGAGAGATATTTTTAGTTAGGAGCATCTGGCTTGCCCCTCTAGTCACATCCCATAAGCTGCCTACTCCATTTATTTGTAAGACCTTGGCTTTGCTGTTTACAGTGAGAAGATTCCTGTAATTGCACATGCTTTTTCGAAGGTTTGAATCCTGTCTTAGAGATGGTGTGATATTGGTACCTCCATGTTTATTTTCTCTCCTAGTTCCACGTTTTTGATGACTGGAACAAATTCCAAAAGGCTTTTTAATGATGAACAAAATGAAAATCTGTTGTTTTAGCATATTTGGAAAAGAATAATTCAGCTGTCACAGGATGAAAGACTTGTCTGGAAATGCCATCTTTTCTTTGCCGTGCTATAATGCACACCTAAAAGGGAAATACCATTTTGGATAAATGCTAGAATCCTCTTAGATATAAAGAAAAGAATGCATAATAAAGCACCCAGAAAGCTTTTGTCACTTCACCTGCAGAACTCTCTCTTTAAAGCATATTTAGCCAAGCTCGTACGCCTACTTGTTTTATCAAATGAAAGAACTGAAAAGATTAAGAGAAGTTTTTTTTTTCCTTTTAAGCACTGATTTAGCATGTATGCTAGATTAAATCGTGTGCTCTAACGTAGTAATTTTCTATGCAAAAATAGACACCCTACTGCGTAGTTTCAAACCTAAAATGCTGAATAATTTCCCCAAAGGCTCGGTAATTAAATGTGATGATAATGCATTAAAAATGGAAAACAATTTAAGGAGGCTTTCAAATATATTCTTGTAATGAAGAAAGTTGCAGAAACATCCTGAAAAACTTGGTCTTCATTTAGACAGTCAATTAATATCCTAGTATGAGACTGCTGAGTTCAAGATTCCTCCTTGACAAAATGCTAAAATTTGCCACTCATTTTGTTTTTTTATATGAAATTCTCTAGGCATTTACCTGTTTCCTGTTTTACAGCATTCATTTTTCCCTACATTCTGAGAATACTTTTGTATCATGGAGTTTACAATTAAAGATAAGCTTTTCAGTGCCATACTTATTTTTTTTTTCTGTATCACTATACGTACTCAAGAATGAAGAAAAAAAATAAGCATGAAAATCTGGATCCTAAATACAAATTCTGCATTCCAACTAACTTCCCAAGAGTAAGCATGACTAATTTTGAGAAGTGAAAAAGGAAGATAAAACTACAATAGCTCATTTAGCAAACAAGTTTTTAAGAAGTCCCTAACCTTTATTTTGGTTGACTGGTTAATCATTAATCACAAGCTATCTATTAAATTCCTACTCTATTCTAGAAACTATACTGGCATGAACTGCATCTGTTTCTGAAGTCCAAATAAATATTAACATTTATACAGTTTAAAGTCTGTGAATAACCTGCTACTATTTCCAAATGAACATGATGAACAGACCATTTCTCCAGAGTCCTAATTTGTGTCAATATCAACACTATACTCTGAGGCATACAACTTCAATTTATGAAAGTATCTTTGAAAACTGCATTAGCCCCCACACATCCACATAAGTTGACAATGTCTTGTCGGTTTTACTTCCATAGCATCTCTCACATCATCCCCCCATGCTTAAAAAATTCTTTCTACCACATTCTATTTTCCTCTAGGTTAGATAGTTCCAATAACTACCTGATATTTCTCCCTTCATCCAGTGCTTCCTCTTCAGTTCATCCAACTCACTGAAGACAGATTCACCTTGCTCAAAGAGACCTGACTGCTTCCCAAATAAAGCATAAACTTATTAGCCTGCCCATATATGATCATGTACAATGTCACCCCCAACTTACCTTTCTTATCTTGTCCTGATTGTTTCCCTTAACATATCCAAGTTATTAGCAGAAATAAATGATTTATTATTTCTGAGAAAATTATCTCATACTTTTCCAACTATGGACAGGACAGGTGCTCATGCTGATTCAATGCCTTTGGTCTAGTCCTCTAATCTCCATTCACATCTGTCTCCATGAAGACTTTTCTACCCACACCCCCATCTTCCACCAACAAACAGTAAAATAAGTTGTAGCAAGATGTCATTCTTTGAATTCTTCAGGCTTTACCTTTATTTTTCCAGACAATAGTTTTCTGACTTGTATTGCAGTAATCCGTGTATTTGTCATTACACTCATAATAAGGGGTATTTTTTGGAAAAAGAACATGATTATCAATTTATTTTTATAGAAAAGATTATTTTTTACAGTAAAATTTACACTACAATCTTACTGTATCTGACATTTGGCTTCCTCAACTGTAAAAGAGGGGTAATAATTTGTTATTATATGGCTATTTTTAGTTAGATAACACTATGTGAAATTGCTTTAGCACAAGTGTGTTTATTTTACCTCTCATTCTGAGGGGTCAGAGATATAAATGTACAGAATGAAAAATTTCAAAGAATTGTCTGACCTTGTATATTCCAGCCATTGCAACCTGTCCTGCTGTCATGCCAACCAGCTACACCTCAAAGAGATGCTCGTTGGCAGGACAAACTTGTAATTGAACACACCTGAATCTTATGCACTAAAGTCAATCCAGTTTAATTGCTTGGTTAACATTTTTTATCCTTGTGCTAAAATGGGACTTCTAAAGTAAGTTTCTCTGTGTTTTAAAGTTAAGGAGCCCATTTTTGTTAAGGAAGAAAGATTCATAACACAAACATAGTACATTTATTCAACATAAATTTTGTATAAGGCATATGTACATTCATTTTGCAGAAGAAAGTCATATTTTTTGGGCTATTCTTGAAAAAATTATATTAACTATATATTATACCTTTTGGGACTAAAATTCTATTAGAATTTTTTTTTGTTTCTAAAATATATACAATTTGTGATATGGTCAGAAATAGGTGAAAAGATAGTTTTACCATAAAATCCATAAAGCCTTTTGGGCTTTGAGAAGCCCAACATTCTTGGGTTCTCTAGTTTTGAAAAGCTGTTATAATTTAGTATTACATATTAATGGCCCTTGTCATGTTTTCCTTGTTTACTATGATTAGTACCAAATATTTAGTACCATAGTATGTACCATTTTTGTATATACTATAAAAATCTTTTTAAAAAATTAGAGATGGGATCTCGCTGTGTTGCCCATGCTGGTCTTGTACTCTTGGCCTCAAGCAAGCTTCCCGCCTTGGCCCTGCAAAGTGTTGGGATTACAAGCATAAGCCACCATGCCCAGCCTTGCAAAATATTTTTAAGTGTGCAGCTTGGATGCTATATGTGCTCATAAATGTGAAGGTATGATAGTTTTTGTGTTTTTAAGTTTTCAATATTATGTAATTATACTAATATTTAATGAGTATATATTTGTTCTCAGCTGCTCAACACACTAATCATATTCCCTTTTGTAGGATTTTATAACTTTTTATTGGTGTTTATTTTGAAATATTTTAAACACTCAATAAAAATAGGCTAATGGCATGCTCAGGCATCTCACAAAAGAAAGAAATATATATAGTCAATAAAAATAAGAAGAGAAGTCATTAGTGACCAGATGAATGCAGATCAAGACCACAATTTGATGCTATTTTCATCCATTCAATGAGGAAATGTTACAATACCTGAAAATACCAAGTGTTGGAAAACTTTAGAGGTTTTTATATATATTATCAGTAGAAATGTAAATTGGTACCATTACTTTGAAACAATTTGTTACATTTTGAAACTGTAATTCAGATATCTCAAAGCCTAGCAATTCCATCCTAAGACACATACCCATGAGTATTTCTTACACATGTACACTGTAAAACACATACAAGAATCCTGGTATCTGTACTGTCAACAGTAATATAAAGCTGTAACATGGGAAGGGAAGAACAAGTGTCCACTCATAAGAGAGTAGATGAAAATAACTGTGGTATATTTAATGAATGAAATATTTTACAAGAGTCCAAATACAACAATACTCAAAAGCATGGCTGCGTCTTAACAATATAATTTTCAGAGAAAAAATATGTTTCAAGGGACTACATAGAACATGGTTACATTTTATAAAGTTAAAAGAAAAAATAACCATTAAAATGTATGGATACACGTAGATAAAATAAAACTATATGAAAAAGTAAGTAACAGTATTTTAGGAGAGGAAAAAGAATGCTTCCCTTTTACCCTTCTAGGTTCTTTGGCTGAGCTATAAATTAAGTTGACATAAGACAGGCTAATGGGGGAAAACAATTTTCACTATGTACGTATGCACAGGAGTACCATAAGAATATGGCACTCAAAGAAGGGCCAGATGATCAAAACTCATATAGTATGCCTCACTACAGAAAGAACTAGTTGCTTGGGGCTGCTGGGGGAGTGTGAGGGAGACAAATTATAGGAAGATGAGGGAAAGTAAGGAATTGTGAATAAATGTTGCCTTTTTAGGCAGGTAAGTCTCAGATGGTAAAAGCTGGCTCAGAGCAACACTCTTCCTGATATAGATACCTTTACTAATAGAAATTTCCCTTATAAATGTAAATTTCTTTTATAAAAGGTAGCTTTTCAGAGCTACTTCTATGTCTGCAGTTTCTCAAAATAATCAGCTAGAGATATTCAATATGCCAAAGAGGTTAATGTTGGGGTGCTGTATTCTGGTATCCTGCAGTCAGGTTTTAGGGTAGTGTGTCCTGAGCCACAACAGAATAATCAACTCAGAATTTAGGTTGCTTATCTTAAATTGGAGTTTTGCTTATCTTAAATTGGAGTGTGGGAGGGATACAGTTAAATCACACACACACACACACACACACACACACACACACACACAGAGACGATTAGAAGATGGGCCTTAAATGTGCACCAGAAATAGGTATCCCAACAATGAATGATAAAATTACATTTGCCCATTCTGCCACAGGCAGAGCTGTGTGCACAACCTCAAACCTCCCCAGGGAGGGTTGGTTATCCACTAAATATAGAGCATGAAGAAGTAAGCATAGCATAAAGTGTGTTTTCCAGGGGCAGCTGGCTTAAGAAAAGAGGACAGAATGGGAGGGATCAAACTTTTCATGACCACATCCCCTTCCAAACTCTACACTCAGATAATTCTTAGCTCAGGTAAGAGCTTAGGTAATTCTCTGGGCCACAGTTTCCAGTTAAAAACTGAATAAGGTAAAGTAGAAAATATAGTTGGCATAGTGCCTGTCACAAATAATAATTCAATACAAACCACTCAGTTTTTTTGTAGGAAGTACTAAGAAATGAGACAAGAAGCTGAAAATATTTATGAAAAATTGCATATTATAGAAACTAGAGAACACTTTATCTCTTTATGCTAAATATGTTGTCTGAATTTTTCATGTTTAAAGTTAAATAGATAGTTGCATTAAAGAAACAGAGATTTATTAGAAAAATATAGAACATTTATTGAAAATGTATTTGGTGCAAGAAATAAAGTAGGTCAGTTGTTAAAAAGCATTATGGTTTTGAACTATGCCTAAATTGTTTATAATAATTACTATAATCTACATATGCCTTGCACAAAACATATGTTTGATAAATTACTTAATGATTCTCAAAGTTATTTACTAATCATTATTTCATTTGATTCTCACAATAGTGTTAAGTTATAGACATATAAACATTATTATTCAAATCTGCCACTGAGAAAAATAAATTGCTACATTTTTAAGAGGTAGAGCCAGGGTCATGCAGTTTGTATTTAGGAAGGCAAGGATTCAGAAAGTCACTTCATTGGTATCCAAATCACATTTTTATCTTGTTTCAAGCAAGCTTCCTGGCCCATATTGGTGCCATCCAAAGCAACGTATATCTACAGTCTCATTTTCCTCCTCTCCATGCCGATACAGATGAATTGCTTGAAGTTTTCTCATATTCCTAGATTGACAGAAAAATTACACTAAGAGACATTCCTTTTTTTTAATGCAAAGCATAAATACACATATCCTTTGGTTATAGAGATCTGTATCAATCTCCAGGAGTCTCCAGAGAAAAGCTGTAACTTGACACGTCTATAGTCAATTTGAAAAAGGGGTTTTCAAAATGTAGAGTAATTTTGTTTCAGTCTAATGGAGATCATTTTCATGTAATTTCAAATTTTCTAAGTTCAGTAAACCAAAATTTTTGAGGAACTAGAATTACCACTAGAAAAATTATTGAGGATAGTGGAGTAGAGAAATGTCAGTACTCTATGATTTCCACAAATCTTGATTATCTACATAGAAAACTAGGGTGAAAATTCCAATGAGATTTACTAATCTTTCATTGTCCTACTTGAAACAGACAACTGTGCCTAAAACCAAAAGAGGCCGAGCAATTCATTCCATGAAGGCACAGTAGGGAAAGGTAGATAGAAAAATGATAGAGTGAATTATTAGAAAAGGAGGGAAAACACATTTTATATTGCAAACCATTGTAATATAAAATGTAATGTAATATAAGACGTAATATTGCATATGAAGGTAACAACCTGACTTATGATTTCTTTTCCTGTTTTGCAAATGCTCTATGAAGATATGTTGTAATAACTATGTTTACTATGTAACAGTATGAGAAAATGATATTGAAGTAAATGAGTCATAATGCTCCTCAAATTAGGGTATCAAATAAGGTTAAGTAAAGCCTCAGGTTTCGTGTTAATAACAAGAGTGATATATTGAAGGCCATACAGGGAAAGCTGTGAGATTACAAGCACCATCTCTGTTCTTCAAGTTTGTTTTCCAAACATTTTAACACAGAATCTGTGGTCAGTTTTTCTATGGGTAGTCAAACACTTGGCTCAGGCCATTTAAGGAATAAACCAGAAAAACAATTCCATCATTTAAATTAAGAAACTCAGTTTCCATAATAGATCTTTACTAGATTCCTTTTACCTCAGCAATTGTGCAATTCTGATGATTGAACATTCCTGTTGAAAGGATAAGGATGATTTTAGACAAACTTGAACAGGATCTCTTGAGACTGAGCCTTGGGCCTTGGACACTTATATTTGATTCAGAATAAACCTCTAAGTATTTTACAGAGATGACGCTTTCATCAACAATTCCTTAAAACTTTGATAAAACTGTTGAATTTTTGAGCCTTAATTTTTTCATAAATATTTCTTCTTTTTTAATTATCTACAGAATCTGTAGCAATGTCACTTATTTGTTATTGGAACATTTCTTTGTTTTTTTCTTGATCAACATGGGTAGAGGTTTTTTTACTTTCACGCATCTAAACAAATAGGTGAATTCATCTATTCATCAAAGAACCAAATATTGGTTATGCCAATTTTTTTCTGTTGTTTTTCTGCTTTCTGTTTATTTATGATCTATATCATTTCCTTTTTTTCTGGTTATTACCAGTGATTTTGCTATTTTTTTCTAAACTATTGAGGAAGAAACTATGCCCTTGTTTTTAGACCTTTTAAAATTACTAACAGGAATATTTTCTGGTATAAATGTTTCTAAAAGTACTGCTTTTGTGGCATTCCACAAATTTTGATATGTTGTAATTTTATTTTCATTAAATTCAGAGTAACTTCTAATTATCTATTTTGTATATTTCTTTGGCCCATGGGTTATATTGAAGTGTAGTACTTCGTTTACAAATATTTGAAAATTTTCAGAAGTCCTTCTGTCGCTGATTTTTATTTAATCCCATTGTGATCAGATAATATACTTTGTGTGAGTTACTTTTTTAATTTAGGAATTGTTTTATGCCTCAGAGTAGGGTCTATCTTTGTACACTTCCCAGGTGCACTTGAAAATAATATACATTCTGCTATTTTTGGGCCAAGTATTTCTTAACGTTAGTTGCATCAAGTTAGTTGATTATGTTGCTAAAGTCTTCCATACCTATTTATTTTCTGTTTATTTGCAGGTCTATTAGTTTTTACTTCATGTATATTGAAACTATGTTAGTTGGTGCATACATGTTTAGGATTGTCAGGTTCTCTTAATAAACATCATTATGAAATGGTCTCTCATATTCCTGGAAATATTTCTTGTTCTAAAATCTACTTTATGTATTATTAGCATGCCCACTCTGGCTTTCTTTTGAATGGTGCTAGTGTAATGTATCTTTTCTATCTTTTTGTTTTTAGCTATCTGAGTCTTTATATTTAATGTACGTTTTCTATAGACAGCATATTAGTTAGGTATTGCTTTTTATTCATTATGGATGTCTCTGCCTTTTTATAGGGTTGTTGAGACCATTTACATAAATGTTATTCTTTATAACATTAGATATAAATCTATCATCTTGCTGTTTGTTATCTATTTGCCCCATTTGTTCATTTTTTTGCTTTTTCAGACTTGTTTTGGATTATTTTATAATATGTTTTTATATTTATTGTTGGACTATTACCCATATATTTCATTTTTTTTAAATTTTTATTGGTTGCTTTAGGGTTTATAGTAAATGTCTGTAACTTACTACATTCTATCTACCAGTAATACTATATCCATTCATATATAATACAGATATTTCACAATAGTATACTTTTATATCATAAATACTGTAAGTTCTAATTTTATAACCAGGAGCTCCTAAAAGTAAAATTGTATTTTATTTTGAATTTTGGGGTAGTGAATCCACTGGTAATTACAGTATGCCTTTTACATATTTTTCCTACAAGTATATAAACCATGAAACTTCCCTTCAAGTATATATTATGAAAACAATACTTTTTCATAATTTGGCCAGTTTATTCATAAGAATCCTAAAGAGTAAAAGCAATCAATGTGGGAAAACACCTCCACAGCAGCAGATAATATTTTTACCTTAAAATTATAACACAAGAAAAACAAGTACAAGAAAAATGAATGACTCTGAAATTTTTTCCTGTATTTTGCTATTTTTCCTCTTTTTTGACATTTTTACTTCTTTAAGCTATTTTTACTCTCATATAATGTACTTTGGAATTTTTACTAATTGGTAATTATGACCAATCTGTTTGACAAAAAAGTAAACTTATTTTGGATGTCTACAGAAAAATTTTGTTTCTCGGGGCTTAACATACTGATTTTCATTTTCTTTCATTACAGTTTTGATGCTCTTTATTATTCAAAAGTTAAACATGAGATATAGATTACACAAATTCATTTGAATAACACCCTAATAATAGTGATTAATAAGGTACTAAGATAATCAGAAATTTGAGAAAACTTTTTTTTATATGCTGTTTAATCATCACCTCAAATTGCTCTCTATAAACACAGAAAACGCTTACTGGTTCTCTGAAAAAATTACTGACTCACAACATGTTTTTGAACAGCAATGACGACAACAACAACAACAAAATATTACACTGCAGGGTGATTGTGAATAAGAACTCAGCTGACAAAATGACTCATTCGTCAGGATGTAATTTAGAACAAGGTGTTAGGAAACAGTTGTATAAGTGCCTTCAAATTGATCCAGTTTTCATTAGAATATGAAGGCCAATGAATTGGAAATGGGACTGGAATGAAAAGAAAATTAGAATTAAAGCTTCTATACGAAGCATTTAAGTTTCACACAGACTAAAGCATAAGTCAAATGGTATTATTTCTTGCCCGTTTTTGCCTTCCTTACAAGCATTCTTATTCTCCACCTAGATCCAAATCTATATTATGCTGCATCAAAAAAACAAAATAATTTTTGAAATCCAAAACATGTAATGAACAGTCTTTTTACAGAATATATAAAACATTGTTAAGGAATTATACATCAAATTGAAGAACTAAGTATTTATAAAACAATACACATAGACCTCTCTCGTTCCCAAAGATGTTGATACACAGCTCTAGAAATAAATATTACCTGACAGCATACTAAATGCGCCTATACGTTGAGCCTTGTAGTCTTCTATCAGTCATTTTCATTCATAATTTTTAACTTGTGAGTTTTCCAGTTTTAATTTATTTAGATATATACACTTTAAGGCCAGGCATGGTGACTCATGCCTGTAATTCCAGCACTTTGGGAGGCTGAGGTGGGTGGATCACTTGAGGTCAGGAGTTCAAGACCAGCCGTGTCTCTACTAAAAATACAAAACTTGGCAGTGTATGGTGGAAGCCACCTGTAATCCCAGCTACTCGGGAGACTGAGGCAGGAGAATCACTTGAACCTGGGAGGCGGACGGAGATTGCAGTGAGCAGAGATCACACCATTGCACCCTGGGCAACAGAGCAAGACTCCGTCACACACACACACACACACACACACACACACACATATATTTTAAAGTGACCTCACCTTTCTTAGAAGTTTATTAAGTAAAAATTATCCTTTGGGATTCTTACTTGTTTACATTAAGTAAACACATGTTCAGAACACATACACAGTTCAGAAAACTAATCTTTCATGGTTTTTAAATTGAACTTCATTTGATCCTAGAATCATGATTCTTCATTAATACAATATATTTAAGAAAAAACAATAATATTTAAGCAGTGTTTTTAATGATTGACAGTGATATTTTGATTTTACATGGAATCTTATACAGTATAGATTGCTCAAAGTAAATTTTTAATGATTCAACATTAAAATACAGGACAACCTGAAGAAAAAAAAACATTGGGCCCAAATACAAGCAAAATCCATTATCTTAGAGTAGTTAACCCATCATATGCTACTTGAATAAATTGATATGCCTTTTTAATATAAATATTCTAGTATTATATTTCAATACAAATAAATACATTGATAGACAATTCTGAAATTAAATTACATAATATAAACCATGCAATTTTTATAATTCTATTACAATAATTTTACTTGTGATATGTGTGCACATATAAGTTCTTTTAAAATGATCTACATATATGAAGTTTGCATGTAGACGGACAAGTAAAAAATGTACACATATTACTCAAAAGCAAAGCGTGATTATATTAATTTAACAAAAATAATTCTCTGGCCTTCCCTCAGTCTTCCAGTGATGTTATGGTGATGGGCTTAAGATGAAAGAGTGGAGGGAAAAAGTGAGAACTAAGAAGGAAATAAATTTCCTTTTTCTTTGTCTATGATAACATCAATGTCAGTCGTTTCTGCATGAAGATAGGAATTACTGATGAGAACATTGCAAACTCTAAATAACCATCACATATAAAGATTGCTTTTTGATTTGTGTGTGCTGCAGTTGTACACAGGGTTTGCCACAGCTTGTTTCTTTCACCTGAATCCAGTCCACATCCCCCATTCACAAAGAACTGTGGTGCAAGCATCATAGAAGTCTACAACTGAAAAACTACAGCTAAATTAATAGAGTATTGCATCTTGCAAACTTCGGTCTAATTCTGTGGCTCTTTTTTTCAAATAGCAATGCTTTATTTATTCTGGTATATCATGTTAAGGAAATTATTCTATTAAATTCAACTATGTAACTATAATTATTTTCGTTTAAGAAGCCCTGTTGATGCCTTCTTCTTTTACTTTTTCCTAATGATAACCAATTATGTCATTGTGGTTGAACTCTTGTCTACCCATCAGTTATCTGTGGGAGTTAAGGCCAGGGTTTCTTAGTTTGAAAGACTAAAATATCTGCCACTTATGGAAGTTACTACAATCTATTCTGAACCATAGGGAATGAACTCTCCTTTTAGAGCACTGTGGTGTAATCCACGCACAGTTCTGACCCATATAAATGATTATGATGTATTTATTCAAGCCAGGCATTAGGCATGATAAAATAAAAACTTAAGCTGAGTTAAACTTAAAGGAGTTTTATTGAGCAATGAATGATTCGTGAATTGGGCAACCCCCAGAATGACAGCAGATTCACAGAGACTCCAGGGGTACCTCATGGTCAGAACAAATTTATAGACAAAAAAAAAAAAGGTAAAGTGATGCACAGGAATTGGAAGTGAAGTACAGAAACAGTGAGATTGGTTACAGCTCGGTGTTTGCCTTACTTGAACGCAGTTTGAACATTCAGCAGTCTATGAGTGGTTGAAGTATGGTCACTGGGATTGGTCAATACTCAGCCATTGTTACAAGTGCATATACTACTAAGTTAGGTTTTCCACTTTGTCTGACTGTTAAGCTAGGTTACAGTTCATCCACAAGGACTCAAATATGGAAGTACGGAGTACTACTCAGGTCATACTTAGTTTGTTTAAACAGGCATAAAGCCGTGAACTCGCAATACAGATTCTGCCCTTGTGGAGCTTAGAAACAAATTGTGGAGACAGGCAGTAATAAGAATAAAGAAGAAATATATAACTTCAAATAGTGATACATATGATGCAGATAGAGAAATCTGATCCCAATTTTCTATTCTACATATAACGACTTCAGATAACTAAGAACAGGCGGTTTAGAGTTAGAATTTCTGAATGTGAAAGTTGATACTACAACTCCGCAAGTTTCTGCAAGTTAAATAACATTACTGAGACTGAAAGTTGTTACCTAAATCATAGGTTAATAAAACCAATCCCGTAGGGCTCTCACTGTTACCAAATAGGATAATGCATGTAAAATCCATAGCCAAATGTATGGCACATTGTATACATTTTAAATGGATAGGGCAGTATTTGTTATTACATGAATCTGACAAATCAAGGTAGATAATAAAACTGGAAAATTATATTGAGAACCATAACGATGATCATGCATACTTATATTTTATTTTTTATTGCTTGAGAAAAACAAATTTACATGACCTGAATGGAAATTCTTCTGCCTTTCCAAATTATGCGCCACGCAGTTTTATGAAGTAGCTTATATACAGTTAGATCAATAGGTTATTTAATCTTTGGTACATTTATGATATATGTCAAACAATTGTTAAAAAATCTTAGATTTACTTTTAGAAGAATAAATATTATCCCCATTTTACGGGGACTGTTAAAGTTCAGAAAGGTTAAGGAACTTGCTGATAGCTCACTATTATTAATCAATGAAACACTGCAATTCAAACTTATGTGTCTTTGGATGCAAAGATGTCATTGCTTCTATTATTATATTATTAGTTAATTAATGTGCATTTCTCAATGACTTGTTTAGTAGCCAGTTCATGAAACAGCCATGTGTGAAATCAGGTCTCCTATGCCTATGTAAAGAGATTTTGTTTCCACGCACCATCTTATTTCACTTTAGTTTCAACTTATCATTTATACTGTTGTCTGTATTTCTTTTGAATTTTAATTTTGTCACCCAACATGATGGCATAATTGAGTTAAATTTTTTCTTCCAGCAATGGAAGAAATATGCCTTTAAAAAAATTAAAACTTTCTAAAAATAGCCCTTAATTGTTCTTTGCAAAGATCTAGATCGAGTTTTTGGACCCAAAATATTAATTGGAAAACAAACAAAAAATCTGAATCTCAGAAGAATACTACAGGCTTTCAAATTAGAAAATGGTTACAACTGAAAAGTATAGATCCCTGATGTTAAGCTGTATCTTGCATTATACTTAAAAAATATTCCAAATGAGACTGATTGAGTGTGCTAACACCTCAAAGCATAACATGCATAAGATATTTAAGAGAAACCTGGTATCATTTTTGACCCAAAGAAATGCCTATTAATTTTAATTTTGCGAAATATATTTCATTTTGTTTGTTTTGTTTTTTGAGACAGAGTCTCGCTCTGTTGCCAAGCTGGAGTGCAGTGGTGCGATCTCAGCTCACTGGAACCTCTGCCCCCTGGATTCCAACGATCCTCCTGCCTCAGCCTCCTGAGTAGCTGGGACTACAGGCACTCGCCACCATGCCCAGCTAATTTTTTTTTTTGTATTTTTAGTAGAGACAGGGTTTCACCATGTTGGCCAGGATGGTCTTGATCTCTTGACCTAGTGATCCGCTTGCCTCAGCTTTCCAAAGTGCTGAGATTACAGGCATGAGCCATGGTGCCCGGCTGCAAAATATATTTTATAATTAATATTGAAAAGGGTTGTTCTGTAACTAACTTTGTGACTAGTAGAACTATTTAATGATAATTTAACATGTATTTTTGTTTCCTTTAGTTTGAGCTAAGTATTCTTATTGTTTTGTGATTTCTCTGTTAAGGTCTATTTTGTAATAAAAAAATGCACTTCCACTTGAACAACTATTATGTAATAATTATACACAAATTTTCCTATGCATTATTGCACTAGAATTAATAGTAACTGTTCACCTAGGTAGAGCTTATTTTCTTCAATTTATTTGCACATTGTATCACTTTATTTCTATTTTTATAAGTTACACCTAGTACATTTCAGTAAAGATAGGGAAACACAGAGACCCTTGCGTTAAACTCAGTACCAACTTGAAATTTACTTTGCTTACCTTAAGTGCTCAATTTTTTAAAGACTGAATAAGGCCAGGAATGGAAACTCAGGCCTGTAATCCCAGCATTTTAAGAGGCTGAGGTGGGAGGATCATTTGAGCCCGGGAATTCAAGACCTGCCTAGGCCAAACAGTGGGATCTCGTCACTACAAAAATTAAAAAATAGTCAGGCATGGTGCATGCCTGTAGTCCCAGCTACTCAGGAGGCTGAGGAGAAAGGAATGCTTGAGCCCCGGGTGTCGAGGCTGCAGTGAATCGTGATGCGCCACTGCACTTTAGCCTGGGAGAGATTGAGACCCCGTCTCCAAAAAATATTAATAATTAATTTAAAAATGAATGAATTAGTGAAGTATAAAAATGCAAACACGGCCGGGCGCGGTGGCTCACGCCTGTAATCCCAGCACTTTGGGAGGCCGAGGCGGGCGGATCACGAGGTCAGGAGATCGAGACCATCCTGGCTAACACGGTGAAACCCCGTCTCTACTAAAAATACAAAAAATTAGCCGGGCGTGGTAGCGGGCGCCTGTAGTCCCAGCTACTCGGGAGGCTGAGGCAGGAGAATGGCGTGAACCCGGGAGGCGGAGCTTGCAGTGAGCCGAGATCGCGCCACTGCACTCCAGCCTGGGCGACAGAGCGAGACTCCGTCTCAAAAAAAAAAAAAAAAAAAAAAAAAAAAAAGCAAACACATGGAAATTGAATACAATATCAAAAGGAAATGTTATCTTCATAAAATATTCACTAAAATTTCCTCAGCATACAACTATTCTGCTTTTTGCTTTATCTGCTTTTTGTTCCTATGCTTCAAGGAGTTTTTGTATTTTTCTTTTTCTTTTTTTTTTTTTTTTGGGACTGAGTTTCACTATTGTCACCCAGGGTGGAGTGCAATGGTGTGATCTTGGCTCACTGCAACCTCCGGCTCCCGGGTTCAAGTGATTCTCCTCTCTCAGCCTCCTAAGTAGCTGGGATTGCAGGCACTCGCCACCACACCCAGCTAATTTTTTGTGTTTTTACTAGAGACGGGGTTTCGGGGTTTCACCAAGGTGGCCAGACTGGTCGTGAACTCCTGACCTCAGGTGATCCGCCCACTTCAGCCTCCCAAAGTGCTGGGATTACAGATGGGAGTCACCGCACCCGGGCAAGTTTTTGCATTTTTCTTAGGTGGTAGAGACTGGTGAAGATGTTTGAATAATAATCAACTTATTTAGATAACCACAATGCCATATTGTCAAGTCATTCTGCTGAGTCAATGCTGATTCACTGGGCAACATTTAGTGGGGGCCATTTGCTTGTCTAGTAGCAAGGCAGGCAGTAGGCAGGCAGGCTGTAGGTGTGATGAGTGTATTTGTCAGCATGATTTGTATTTATATAAATGCCGACATTGAAAAATTGATTAATTTTGTTCAGCATGATTACACGTTAAGTAGATCTTTGTCTTCTTTTAGTTGGAACTCAATGTTTCTTTTTTGCCCCCCCGCCCCCTTTTTTTTTTTTTTTGCCTAGCTTATGTTTTTATAAAATTTTTGGATTCTAAGTGTTTCATATAAAAACAAATGTCATGTTTTGAACTGTTTAATTAGAGCTGAGGCATATTAATACAAATTTTCTAACTAATATTTACAGAATCCAAGACACTTCACGGGGTTCTAAGATTTGATTGATGACACTTTTCCTTGCCTTGTTTGCCTGACGTTGAAATTGCTGAAGATCTAAACAGGAGAACTGAACATTTTGTCTTGACAGAAAAAGGAACAACTAAAAATATCTCTTACCCTAGGTAGACTAAGGTACTTTTATAAATCTAAGCTATGAACCAACTAGGACATTCTTATTCCTAATTTAGATACTGGGGTCTAATAAATCTGCTTTGCTATTGTAGCAATACAAAGTTTGAAGTTCTTCCCAGTGGGTGCCAAACTTGGCTGTATTTTTTGGATCATGAAAGAATACCAACTACAACATGATAATATATACTGTTGACAAGTCATCTTAATCTTTCCTATTGAGTTTTACAAAACATTTACTTACCTTGTTCAGCTGAGAAATTGAGAAATTTATTTCCTCTAAACTGATTCTTTAATATTGTCTTTGTTGACAATGCTAAAAATATACTGATGTCATAGGTAAAAGGCATTTTAGTTCCTGGATTATTAAGAAGAAAGTTCTTTATTAAAATAAGGCATTTGCTTTCTGACAAAGACTCAAATAACACTAAGAAATCACATGTTCAGGATTTTTGCCTAAAAAGGCAAAAATATTATGTTGGTTTCCTATAACACTGAGTAATATTAATATTATGGTTCTCTGGGTAACAAAATATAACGAGTGTCCAATACTTCTAAAATTTTTACTCTATAACTTAAATATGGACCTTAAACAGCTGAAAGAATAAAATTCTCAGAAACTCAGTAAATTTAATTATCTTAACTATATATTAACATATTGCATAATATATTTATATATTTATGTAAAAATGATGTTAATATTTTCTAAACAACTGGCTACTTTGTACATTTTTGGCACATTGCTGAACATTCTAGAAGTGTTTTAGCGAACATATTTTTACCCTAAATTATTTCACTATGATGATACTGTATTCTGAATTTGTAATGTATAAGTTAAAAGAGCTTTGCAAGTTCATTATATGATATATATACACATATAAATACATATGTATGTATGATATATACATACGTGTGTGTGTGTGTATATATATATATATATATATATGTGAGGATTTACACATTTAAGCCTAGAAAAAAATAAAAAGTTTTTTTTTCCCCCAAACTTTCAAAAGTGAATGATTCGGCTTCTTTTCTCACAAGTGGGAATTAAATAGGATATTTAATTAGAATATGCTACCCTTTAAACAATTTCTCTGGAGAAGTAATGCTTTCAGAATTTATTTCTTCTATTTGGTTTTATTTGATTTTGCTGATATAAATTTTGAATATTCATCTGATTTGATGGTTATAGCAGAATTATTTCAGAAATTGCTTTGGAATTAAAGAATTATGGAGGACTCCACGAGTTCGTTTCTTCAAAGTGATTTATGGCTGAAAGACAACAGAAAGGATGCTCCTGGCTAAGGCTGCTATTTTATGGAGGAAAAAACTGAGACACGGGAAAGCTAAGTGAATATACTTTAATATTAAACACCTAGCAAGTGGCAGAGCCAAGATTTTTACTCAAGGCTTCTGCATCCTATGAATCAAAAGTGCCCTGGTACTCTTTCAAGTAAGCTGGATCATGAATTATTCTGTAAGGTATCCAGAAAGAGACTGCACAATTTCCTTCCTGTTACGATCACAGGTACTAATGTCTGTGTCCATTTGGCTACTGACTTTCCTCTCACTAATCTACCATATACTTCATTCATAATAATATAACTGTTTTATTCAAACACAAGGAAGCAAACACATACACCCACACACATAAACATACATATATGCACTCTAGTACCTTACTCATTTTCAGTCACTGTGAATATAAATTTTCTCAGCCACTCCATAGGACTTTGCAACATAAGTGTTTTGGGTGTCGGGGGGTGCTGATTGGTAACCATATTGTCATTTCTGGAAAATCTTCACAAGCATTGAAATGATTAATAATATTAAACCAGAGTACACTTAGTTTAAGAGAATCGATGGCTGATGATATCAGGTGTTGAGGACTTGACACAGGCAACCTACGGATAAACCTGTGGAACAGAAAAGTCATGTGCTTGCTGCTTCCTACTCTTGAGAACACTAGAACTACAATGCATTAGAAATTCTATGAGTGATAGCATTTGCATCTTTGACTTCCTTCCCCCCCACCACCATTCTCAAATATCATTAACTTCAGAATAAAATTAAACAGGTTACATTTCTTTCCTACATCAATCACATTCACTTACATTTTCCTGAGGATACAGCATAAGCCTTCTGATTGGCCAAGTAATTTATTTTTTTGGAGACTCCTCAACCATATATTTATAAATCACTGAGTAGGGTGAGTTGATTAGGGATGAATTCATTTTATTCTTATTCCTAATATATTGTTTGTAAAGGAGACCCCATGTAGTCTGAGAATACTTTTACATTTTTAATTTTTTACTATCATATGGCTAGCTCATCTTTGAATGTTAAATGAACAAAGCAGAAAAAGGTGACATATATAAATGGAATTGAACTCATAAATAAAAATACATAACATTCTATTCATAAATAATGCAGATTTTACAAAGCTCTAAGCTGATTCCTTTTTTGAAGTAAGTAGGGTGGGGATAGTAGTTCAGTGAGCTGCAGTCAACAAAACAGTTGAAAAACATTAGCTGATGTGGACAGAAAAGATAGGTTTCTCTTTTGAAAATTTTAAAACCCTGAACACATTCAGTGTGTGCTGCCACTTAATGCATTGTTCAAGTATTTCCTGCACATCCAATTTTTATGAGAACCTTAAAAGGCTTCTGGTAGACAGTTTAATCACATTTCCTTTCACCACTTGTATGTGTGCTTCTTATATGGAGGTCATTGTCATAAAAAGGAAATTTGTTTGGTTTCCCAGTGTGCCTTCTCATTTTAATTTTTTTCGGTGGGTCAGAAAATGTGGACACCTACACAAAATTACATTAAAAGAGGTAACATTGATGCCATTATGCTATTGCTTGTTTTTTTTCTAGATGTAAGCTACCATTAATATGTGCAAAATACATTCTTGTATGTCTCTAGACTTGGTTCCACCTTCTTCCCTCCCCTCCAAAGGAATTAATGACCATGATCATTAATAGATGAATGGCAACAGGACAGTTGTTCATAATCCCTACAATATATGTGTAGTCAGATGAAGTAATCTTGTAAAAATGGTTTCATAAAATTTTCATGCTCATACTTCTTCAATGGCTTTTATACCAGATATCCTATATTTATAGATCAAAGGCTATATGGAATGCAAACAAAGCTCTGAAATGGAAAACCAAGCAGCATCCTCTCTAGTTTCATTTTCCACCTGTAAATAATCTTTAGTTGAAGTTTTCACCACTGCTGTCACTGACAGGGCATAGGAAAGTACTAGATCAAAATTGCTCTTTTAGATTATATTTTATAACAGGAATAATAGAGGAAATAAATTTTGGTCATTTTGTAAAAATTACACAAAACGATCTTTGAGGTCACAATTGGTGTTACAGTATTGAATGACTGTCATCTTGGAATGAAAACAGAATGCTAAATAGAATTACCTTAATAAAATAAAGGTGCATAGAACATTGGTTTGAGGTAGTACTCTCAAAGTCTCTGCAGGGCTAGATCCTATCATAGGAATATCTTTCAGACAAAAAGACCACATCTCCATTTTATGAGATGAATACTGGTTTCTTATTAATATAGATAATCAGAAGGCAGAGATAAAATTCTCTGTTTAACCGGATAACTACCAACTGGTAGTATGAGAATATGAGCCTGATTTTGCCACTAGGACTAGATTATACATCACTGGAGAGCTTGGAAGAGCTCAATATCTCTTTCAGTTTTCTATTTATTTTACTGCCAGAAATTACAAAGATCTTTGCATGGTGCACTTTATATGAAAATTCAGTCTCACTGTGTCCCTCAGTATCTACCAACATTTTCCTTATTGTGAAGGCTAGATAAGATTTTTAAAATATGCAATGCAGTAACAGATGCATTCCAAAAAATACACCACTACCTTTTATCATAGGAACGAGTGTTTTTGTGTACAAATTATTATGGTATAGAACACAATATTTAAAAAATTTAATAAGTCAGCTAGGTGTGGTAACTCACACCTGTAATCCCAGCACTTTGGGAGGCGGAGGCAGGTGGATCACCTGAGGTCTGGAGTTCAAGACCACCCTGACCTACATGGTGAAACCCCATCTGTACTAAAAATACAAAAATTAGCTGGGTGTGGTGGCACATGCCTGTAATCACAGTTACAAGGGAGGCTGAGGCAGAAGAATTGCTTGAACCCGGGAGGTGGAGGTTGCAGTCAGCTGAGATCATGCCATTGCACTCAAGCCTGGGCAACAAGAGTGAAACTCCATCTAAAAAATATATAAAAAATTAAAAATTAATAATTAAAAATAAAAAAATAATGTCACAAGTTATAAGGCCGCCAAACATGAAAGAATATCATAATAAAATAAGAAATCTAGTAAATAGGGTTTTATAAGAGCATAAAAATTTATTCTGTGTTAATTGACTAAAATATTTTATAACTATAATTTTGATAGCATAAGTTTCTATGTTTTTGTGTATAATTTTAAAGAGGAAAAATGAAAACATGTTCATATTTTGCTAAAAAGTTATTAACTTAAAGGTAAGTACATTTAAAAGAGCATAATTTTTTTCCTGTAACATATGCATTCTCTATCAAAGTTATTCTCTGTCCAAAAAGCATTTTTCAGCATTGCAGATGGAGTCAAGAGATTTTTTAAATAACTGTACCAGTCATGACTATGAAAGTATAGTCCTACTTCACCCTGATATGGAAAGTTTATTAACTGGAAACACAAAGTCATTTTTTTTTCCCTCGTTATGTCTGTCTTAGTCTGTTCAGACTGCTATAACAAAGTACCTTAGTTTGGGTAACTTATAAAAAATAGAAATGTATTTCTCACAGTTGTGGAGGCTTGGAGGTTCAAATTTAAGGCACCAGAAATATCTGGTTGAGGGCCTGCTTCCTAGATCAGACATGGTGACTTCTTGCTGTGTCCTTACATAGTAGAAGGGGCAAACATGCACCATTCAGGTCTCTATTATAAGGGCACTAATCTCATTCATAGGGGATCTGCCCTTATGACCTAATCACCTCCCAATGGGCCCATCTCTAAACACTGCTGCACTGGGAATTAGTTTTCAACATATGAATTTGGGGGAACACAAACCTTCAGACTATAGCAATGTGTAATATGGTTTTAGATGATTTCCTCAGTATTCTGAGCTTCCATTTTCACAACAGAAAAATGGGAATAATACTATCCACCTTGTGTATTGTTGTGAGACACGAAATTCCATATTAAGAGCCAGACAGAATAGAGTGTCTGAACCTTGTGCTAAATACATGCTAGAAGTTAGTACCATCTTCATCATCATGACCCCACCCTGTTATAAGATAGAAGCCAGTCAAGTCTCCTTTAACTTGGAGAAAAATCAGAATATTTCTCTTTCATATTTTACATTAAAAATAAGAAAATTGAGACCCCAATAGCTGATCTGCCAAGCCAGGCAGCAAGTGTGCAGCAAACTGAGAAGGAACCCATGGCTCGTGACACCCAGTATAGTGTTCTTTCCACCTGATTATCTTCAGAGAGAGGAAATATGTTAAATGTGTCTTTCCTAAAAATTTCCACCCTTACTCTGGTTGTGGCAGGGGTGCAGAGAGAGGGATATGAGTTCAAATAGGACCTCAAATTAATTAGTATTATTTGATCAATGGTGATTACTTTGGCTACTTATTTTCCAGCTAACAAATGTGTATTCAGTAGGTGTTATGGGCAGAATTGTGTTTCCCCAAAATTAATATGTTGAAGTTTTGACCCCAAGTACCTCAGAAGCTGACTGTATTTGGCAGCAGGATCTTTAACAAGGTAATAAAACTATAATGAGGTCACTGGAGTGGGGCCTAATCCAACATGACTGGTGTCCTTATAAGAAGAGATTAGTACACAGACACTCATGGAGGGAAGAACATGTAAAGAAAAAGAAAGAACACAGCCAGATCTATAAGCCAAGGAGAAAGAGGACTCAGAAGAATCTAACCCTGTCTATACCTCATTCTCAGATTTCTAGGCTCCAGTATAGTGAGAAATTAGGGTTTTCTTTGTTTTTGTTTTTAACTTTAATTTTAGGTTCAGAGGTCCACGTGCAGGTTTGTTACATAGGTAAACTTGTGTCATAGGGGTTTGCTGTGCAGATTATTTCATCACCCAGGTATTAAGCCTTGTACCCATTAGATATTTTTCATGAACCTCTCCCTCCTCCTCCTCCTATCCTCCACCCTCGAAGAGGCCCCAGTGTGTGTCGTTCCCTCTATGTGTCATCATTTTAGCTCCCACTTACAAGTGAGAACATGCAGTGTTTAGTTTTCTCTTCCTGCGTTAGTTTGCTAAGGATAAGGGCCTCCAGCTCCACCTATGTCCCTGCAAAGAACATGATCTTATTCATTTTTATTTGTTTTTTAAGCCACCGGTCTATGGGACTTCATTATGGCAGCCCTAGCAAATGAATATACTAGGCACTAGGCACTTGTCTGAAACTGTAAATTGGTCATTCAGAGCTGAAATTAAACCTAGTCATTCTAATTTTAGTGGAAACATAAATATAATTTCCCCAAATGAAGACTTTACTATTTTCCTTGGAATAATGACCATCTGAGAGTCAAAGAAAAACAGTGAGACCGGAAATCTCTCATTAGAAGGCCATACTAATGTTATTCTAAGACTTCCCTAGCCTACTCCTCTAAAATCACCTTGTACTCTTGTATGCAGTTGTCTTTCTGATAAAACTCTTTATGTCATGCTTCACTGATTTTTTTGTGTATCTATCACCCCTAAAAGAATGTAAGCTCATGTAAAATAGGAACTCTACCAGCAAGCACTTAACACAAAAAATTGTAGTGTGTAGCACATGTAAGTACATGAAAAACGCTTGTGGAATTAGACTGAAACCTCTTCAAAATGCTGTTCTGAGTACCTATGCTATGTGAGTGACTGCTTTGGTGGTAAAACAGTTTTACAACATAATCTCTTAAATACTTCAATAATTAAATTTGTTTGGATGGTTTCCAGGAGAGACTGCTCATGCCCATGTTATTATAGTGATATTCTAGAATGGTAATTTTGGTTCTTGGTTGTAGAGATCGTCCTTGGTACGTAAGAGCTAATTAACATAGCAATAGAAACGTTAATCCACAAAGCTTACAAGTGAAAAACCCAATTAGGGTGATGTGATATTAATTAGAAGAAAACAGGAAGTTTGGATTAGGAGCCTAGTGATAAAGCATGAGCATCAATAGGGTGTGTGTGTGAGTGGGTTGGGTAGTGAATAAGGTGCTGTCCACACAGGGCATTGCAGCTTTAAGCAATTACTACAAGATACTGTGAGGTACCTTGCAGGCATTGCAGCTTTAAACAATTACCATAAAGTACTGTTATTTTTACAGTATTTCCAACATCATTTAATGAATCTAAAGAACAAAGGTACAACATAAAAAAGTGATATCTTCATTTTTTTTCCAGGCACTATATAGTAGTTATGAAAGGGAACAGGAGAAGTTGTAATCAGGAGAAATCATTTAAAAAATACATGCCCTCCCATTGCTTAGACAAGGAAGGGGAGTCAAATGCAATGTGAAATACGTGAGGAAACTAGTTTTCTATTTAAACTCATACTTTGGTTATTAAAGATTCTCTGGGAAAATATGCTTTAGGAAACAAAATAATCTGTGGAAATATAACATCGTAATTTGGGTATTACTATTGCCATTGCTGTTTTATTCAGATGATCATGTGTACATAATAAATAAATGAAGCTCGGCAATGAATGATGATTAAATTATATCCAGAGGCAAAAATTCACTTTACAAAGTATCATTGAAAATTCTTAGGAAAGTATTTTATGCTACTATCTACTTATTTTATTACATATTATTATATTATGATATGTTTGTTTGTATAAACGTTTTGATAAAGGGAATATACATTAAAAAGTGGCCAAATATGCTATTTAGAAAGAGGCATTTAATATGCAATATGAATAAAGAAAGAATGTACAAAATCAAGTTAACAAGCTTAAATAGAGGATCAAGAAATAAAAAGTGAAGACTACATATGTCAGCCTTGAACTAAGAAATGAACAGGAAATGCAACTAAGATAATGTGCAGAGAAAAACACACTTTTATATTCTAGTGTCACTTAGTTAAATCAGATCTGTGAATTGTGGCTTCTCCCCATAGAACTACAAAACAGAATACATAGAAAATTCTTAAAATATTAAGTGAATTCATATGAGAAAAAAATATTTTATAAGGTGTATATTATAGATACGGTAAGCCAAAAATGTAAATGAAGGTTTTTAGGATGCTGAACATGGGGAAGTAAGTTATTTTCACTATTGAAAACCACTCGATTTTTAAAAATAAAATGGCTTGAACAAAGAATATTTAGAAATTGTATTTTAAACTCTCTGAACAATCATCTGTCACTGGCACCACACTTCTCAGTCCATTTAAAAGTATTTAAGAATAAAATATTAGTAGTTGAATCAAATTGACAGCGAACAGATTTAAACTTTATTTTTAAGCCATTTATGCCTTTTAGTTTTGTAATTTATATTCTTTCTATTTCCAATTTGACAGTTTCAGATCATTTGCTGAGATCTTCCATGTTTTTTATAAAAAAAATCATGTTTATATTTGTGTCATTCATTTATACATTCATCGTACTTTGTCGGTATTGAAAAGTATTAAGGGCTTATATTCTGCCTTCCAGTGTTCCAGTTTGCCCTGTGGAATATTGCCTTCTACTAATCCAAATCCCTACAGATGGAAATAGCAATATAGCTGCACCAGCCAACTCAAAATTCTAAACATTCTAACTCTGAGCAGTGAAATTCCTTTAATATTGAGCATACCTGCAGGTATTATGTTTTACATTTTTGTCATGAGTATATATTTCATGTATGTATGTAGCTATGCTCATGTATATATAGTTTTTATATAAGTATTAATATGCTCTTCAAAATATGTATAAGACTGATTATATACATTTGCAGATTATATGTTTGTTTGATTTTTGATTAGTACATTAGGAAATTTCTTATATATGTTCTTTACATGAAGAACGTCTCTAGTATATTTAAGTACTGGTAGAATCTAATTTTAAGTAGAATTATTAAGAACATCAAAATTCTTACCTCCACTCAGACCTAATTTAAAAAGATGATTGAAAATATGTACAAAGTACAGACACTATATTTTTATGTAAAGCAGATGCTTAAATCTGCAATGTGTTTGAAAACAATAACGTGGTAGGAAGAATACTTTAAAATAGGAATATTTTAAAATATTTTCAAAACAGTATTACCTGAAAGGGTTAATGCTTTAAAAATTAATCCTGAGCTTTATCTGTATTTGAAGACTTTCTGAGATAAGAATAGATATGTTGTTGAATATAACACCAGCGATTTGATTTGATAAGGGTTTAGAAGAGGGGTTTACAAATTACAGGAATAGTTTTTAAGTGATGCACTATTTAGGTTACAGGATTTGAGAAAAGGTGGTCTCTTTACTTCTATAGCATCATTTTCTTTTCTTGGCCCTCATGCTTCTTGCTTTACGTCTGTACCAACATGAGTGTGTGCTTTTGTAGTTGGCCCTAAGGTTGAAAGTTCACTGCAGGGAATAAATGCCGCAGCAGGATTCTGTATCTTTAAACGGTTTTTAAACATAAAAGTATTAAACCTCATTAGTATGATAAGTACTGTATTTAAACAGAAAATGGACATTTTCATAAAATAGTTTATAGTTAGTAAAATGAAATAATTGTGGAGATGCATTAATAAATTTTTGCAGATGCTAGTAACCATGTCATCCTCATTAATAAAGCAGTAATCGAAAAGTGCAATGGCAACACTTGGGCCCTCTAACCCTGCCAGGGAATTCACATCTGGGCTTTTTAACCAATTGGCTTTGTGACATTAAGCAAATTACTTAATCATTCTATGCTTCAGTTTCCTTATCTATTAAAATTAAGACGTTGGTGGTTGTATACATTGTATTGGGTAGTTATAAAGAACAAAAATAAGAGTATATCTGAGTTACCTATAGCTATGTCTGGCACATAGTTATCAATGTTACCTATGATGATAGATTTTTTATTTTAAACTGGATATTTTAAAAGCCAGAATTATATAAATTAGATATTTTAATTGTCTTGCTTAAGATAAAGTCTTTATAATTCAATTTACAGATTAAAAATGTTTGAATACAAAATTTTTAGAAAGAACTCTGTTATGAAACAGGGTTTACATATAATTATGTATACAACTAGAAGATGATCTGTGTTTTTCTCATTTTACTTTTTCTATATAGTCAAGATTTGGTGCATATAATTAGCTATG
Organism: Homo sapiens; assembly: GCF_000001405.40. Lineage (NCBI taxonomy): Eukaryota > Metazoa > Chordata > Mammalia > Primates > Hominidae > Homo > Homo sapiens. The sequence continues at coordinate 66,923,266 of NC_000013.11, read as the reverse complement.
AAATGTGTGTCAATTATAAAACTGTTTATGTGTACTAGCCAGGTGCAGCAGTTTATAAATTAATTCTGTGAAAATTATTAAATTATTAATTATCCAGTTTCCCCTTATTCAAATGGTGAGCCTATAATTATGTGATTATATACTCACCAAGTATTTAGTTTTTATCAAATTATACATAGTTTTTAGTTATCTGAATCATGCTATGTTAACCGTGTTTTATTTTCAGTTTTTGACTTACGTATAAATATTCTCATCCCTTTCAAACTCTTGTGATAAGATAAAACTAAATATTTAATAATATGTAAATACAAAGTGAAAAAACACACTTCTAAAGTGTATTGGTTTCTAAAAAATTAATAATATAATGAGTTTTCTTTTAAAGATGAAAAAAATGAATGAGTTGGAAAAAGTAGCTAAACTTGATAGCATTATCATTTTTCCAAGTTGTATACAAGTTGTGGTTGGCTCTATCATCTGAAGAAAAACTTAACTCTAAAACTGAAAAAGAATAAGCTCCTCATTTCTAATATAATAGCAGCAAATTAGAGTTATCTGCAGTAGTAGCAATAGGAACAGATAGCATTATAAATCATCATATCATTGACAGACAATTACATTCACAACTTTCCAAGCATGAAGCAGTAGCAATGTTTATTCACCAACAAAGTTATTCAAGCCAAAAGCCCAGGGAGGCTATGAACATAAGGAAGTTACTTCTGGGTGAGTTGTTGGAATAAGTTTGTCCTATTACTTTACTCCTACACATTTGTAGAATCGTGAAAATTAAAGATACAAAATGTCTATTAGCATTCCTTGAGTTAGCTCTCCTGTCCATTTGGAAGCAAAGTGTACTACAGTTGTCTTATTCCCAGGTTAGGAAGGGAAAGTTTGCATAAAAATAAAGCAGGGAAATACTTCTCCTGGTATTGAAGAAGAAATAACTGATCAATTTTTAATAATTCCAAATAGAACATGACATTTACAGCTAGATATGTATTTTATATAATATCAAACATTTTTATAAAATATTAATAATTTTTGATGAAGTACATTTGTATTATACTTGTTTCCCACACAATTGTTTAATCAATTCACAGTCAATCACAAGATTGACTACTAGTTTCAGTTAGGAGCATTTTCTGATACATGAATATAATAAATTGAAGACATAATCTGGTTTATCTTTATGAAAATAAATATTGACATTACCTACAAATGAGATAAGTTAACCTAAGTCACAAGTCATCTCAGGGAATAGTTGACAAAGTTTTCATAAACTTTTTTTGTTCTTTCAGCAGTGATATTGACCTTAAATTGAACAGTAAATTGACCTTAATTGTTCTACAAATTGATTAGCTATGTGAAATCAGCTACTAATGACTTGAATACATTTCAGGACAGTTTAAATGACTGTTGAAACTATTACTCTTAGAATCGTTTTGTATATTTATCCAGAAGTTTTGCTAACCTCTCACCTCAGCCCCGCTGTACTCAAAATAGGAAGCAGTCAGATAACAATTCCCCTTTTATTAAACTACTTTTTGTATACGTGGTCCTCCCTTGAGGTCTGATATTCTGAGACATAAATCCTGTGTATTAGTCTTTTTTTATGCTCCCAGTGAAGTTTGAATATGTGCTTTTCTCCTGCTTTATGCAAAGCATATATTCATGACATATGTGTGTGTGTATTCATGTGGCAAATTTTAGATCCGTTAGGACTTCCGCTGAAATTGGCTTTGACTTTATATATTCCTGGTAAAATAAAGATGGCTTATCAAAGGACCATATGCAAAAAATACAACCCTTCACTCTAGTTTTGTCAACTGGATAAGGCAACAGAACATGCTCACGATGACTGAGTTGCCTAACTTACACAGAGAGCTATACTAAATCTAACTTTGCTTTTTCGGTTTTTTAAAAATACCCTTTCTCTCACGTAAATACAATGTCTGCTTGCATAGTTCCCATAATTAAAGGTAGTTAAATATATTGCATTTTAAAATGCTATTCAATATTTATAATTTATTTATTTTGACAGTATACCAATTATCTGAAGTCTTTTGTCTTGAATCTTCTGATTTACCAGGGGATTCTCTGACACAACTCAGTTATCTGCTCTTAGATTCAGTCTTGTAGGTAGAGATTTTTGCAAGAGGGAAAAAGAACTTCTATGAGGTTAAGTATATATTTTAGGATCTTTATGCATTATGAAATTCAGTATAAGCATTGATCATCTTCAGTCAAAGAAGAAACCTTCATTCCTAAATTCTGAGATTCACTCTAAGATAGTTTTATGTAAATGGTAGTGTTGCAGATTTTGAGGATAAATCTGTAATCTGGTTTTACTATAATTTCAGAGACATTCATAGGAAGAAGCAGTTTTTAAAAGATGGTTTGAAAATATACAAACATTCAGGAAGCTATTGTTTTAGGATACCTTTGATTTTGGAAAGGAGTATACACATATCTTTTTCTCTGAAAATTATAGCTCACTGGAAACAGGAATTCACACGATATAATTGATTTGGAGTATGAAATGCTATGTAATTTTCAATATATCCATGTTACATAAATGCAGAAAACTGCATAATTTTACATTACATGGCTTGAGGATTGGGGTTTTGTGTTTGTTTTTGCCTCAACAATTGCCTGTGAAAAGATGATGAATTGTGAGGTGGTTACAGGCTTTAATTTTTTGATTGAATGGAGGAATTATATTTATAGAAGGTCATTCACTCTGGTGGGGAAGGTTATTAATATAAGAAATTATGTGCTGAGGTAAACCACCTCAGTCAGACAGTGAAATCCATCATTCAAGACTTGTTTAGGGACATGCAAAATACACTGTAAATTGAGTGTCTCCCTTTCAAGGGGATTAATGCTACAGCTCAGGAATTTTCAGAAAGTTGTGATAAGGGTCCTGAGGTTTAGTGACAGTCAGAATACAGTTAAGCTTTTCCTTTTTTACCTGGAAACCTATTCAATTTTGGGATACTTTCTTTCATTCTTATTCTGCATATCTTCTTTAAAAATGCATAGGAAAAATCTGTCTAATCCTATCATTCCCCAGCAAAAGTTAAAAGTACATGTCTTAAAATGTGTGGGTTTATTAAGTCATATCTCTTACATGTAAATACAAACAGTGTTTAGATATCAAGTATCAGTTTTTCTGAACAATAGTATGCCAGTGCTTATTCTTGGAACAGTATCTGTAAGGGGAGCAGATAGCATATTATTCAGGTTATTGTAGGGGTAAACTTGTTATTGGTTACATGGATATATTTCAAGAATGTAAGGATGTTAAAAAAAACATTACCCTAATCTTCTATTTTGAAAAATGAACATCAGGATAGTTTAAAAACCGAATAAGAAATACGAATAATATATATAATTTTAAATTTTAATATTAACTGAAACTGACTTTGTTTAGTCCCTCATACTTTTCTAATTATTTCACATCTAATTATCTCATTTGAGTTTCTTGTCCACCTTCCTTGACAGGCAGAAGAGGGTTTTTTATCCCCATAGGGAGATTGAGGCCTAAGTGTTTTATCACTTGCTCATGGTTTTACACTGAATACAGTCCTTTTTTCCATTACAACACTCTGAGGACTGTGCCTCCGTGCAAACTCTCTGAACTAAACAATTCCAAATATTCAGTTTCTCCAATTAGCCATAGCAAATTTTTGTAGCTCTATGAATGGCAATGTAATGTGTGGTTCCACAGCAGAATTTGAAATTGAAAATACTGAGCTTATTTCAAAACAGTTTTAAGAATCTATTACCTGTCAGACACTATGCATAGCACAGAAGACATCAAGGAAGAAATAGACAAAAACATGCACACAATTAGCATACAGATGAATGAATGTTAAAGAAGTTATATTTGCTTCAGATGCCAAGGGGAAAGAGGATTGAGTAAGGAAGGTGTAAGCTTGAATTTTGGACAAGTTTGTTTTAAGATGCCTGAAGAAATCTCAGCTGAAATATTTAGCAAAAAATATTTTGTTTGTTTGGGATGAAGCATAGAACAATTAGTCCTGAAGCAGTAACTTTGGATGTCATCACTTAGATATATATTGCAGACAACTGAATGCACAGAATTGTATGAAGTTCCCCAGAGAAATACTAAATAGTGAGAAGATAAAATAACCAATAATATAGACTTGAGAAACACCAACGTGAAGTATGTTTCCAACAGGAAAGGAACAGTAAAGGATAGTGAAATGAACAGAGACATACAGGAGGGGAGAGATTAGCATTCTGGAAGAAAAAAAGAATGATGGCTTTCCAAGAGTAATTTTTGTCAAGTGTTAGCAAAGCTGAAGCATAACAGAATTAAGTAGGTTGAAAATAGATGGTGCAGAATACTCCTTCCAAAGTGCATGATGACAGAAATAAGTGGAAAACCAAAGGTTGAAAGCACAAGTAAGAGTTCAATTAATTATAAGTAAATTTATTTTGCCATGATCAAAAAATATCATCATAAATCTTTTACAAAAGAAGTAATAAAGTTGTATTATTACTTAGATTTAAATGCATTTGATATGTGGGGAGTACTTAGTAACCTTATCATAATAATATAAAATAGTGGGTCTATTTTATTTATGAGTACATACTCTACTTCTCTATTTTTTTACAAGAGGAAAAAATTAGTAAAATTTATTGCTACCATGATTATAAAAGCTGTTAAAATGGTAAATTAAGATACATTCATTTTATTTTTGCCTAAGTAATACTGAATTTGAAAGTTTGTTTCTCTTTTTTTGCTCTTACCATCAAAAACAATAATAAAGTGCTAAGTCTCCTACCAGTTTAAAAAGAGAGTCTTAATAATGTATAATGTTACAATTATAAAAGTCAATGTTGAACACACTTCTGGTTATAAGAAGCAAAAATTCACTTACACTAGCTAAATTAAAATAGCGATCTCGTGGAAACCAAGGAGAAACAAATGAACACTAAAGTCTTTATCTAAAATGGAGGCAAAATGATAAATAAGGCAATTTTTCTCTGTGCCTCTCTCTCCCTCTCTTCCTCTCCCCTCTCTCTTCCTCTCTATTTTGTACTTGCACATTACTCAAAACATCTGTTTACTTTAGACTGTATCTTCGCAACTTGTACATGGCTACAGTTGGATTCTGTTATACTCTAGCCCCTCAATTTCCATCTCAATCACCAACTGAGACCCTCTTCATTTCCTCTTAGCTTAAATGTTCACAAAATCCCTGGGAAGGAACCAATCATCCTCGAACATAACCATACACAGTTCATGACACTGGTCAGTCACCCCCAATTTTCCTTTTCTGGACACCTAAGACATATCATTTTCCTAATGTACCTGTTTTGTAGGGGAGAGGGAATGAGAGAGAGGTGATTATGTCCTGTATGTAGGGATGTCTCTTCAGGGGATTTGGGTATAGCAGAGGGAGCTGTCCTTAATAGTTTATCATATACATGATGTTAAAATGAAAACATGACACCTTAAACTTGCAGAACTGTTTATATTAATAAGGAGCATTATTACTCTGAGGCATTTTAGTAAGGGAATATTCATGTATCTCTTTATCTTTTAGTAGATTTAAAAGAAAACTTATGGCAGATTCTGTCTTGCGTATGTTCTATTTGTATCTGATTCTCACACCAAGTATTTGCCACTTCTTTTCCATAAACTTATTTTACACTGAGTCACTGAATAACTATCATAAAAACAAATAGCATGTCAACACATTTATTCGACCAGAGCCCTCTTGAGATAATATCTGGATTTTCATCAAGACTGTAGTGATTAGTGTTTCTGATTATGATAATCAAATAACTCATTAGTGGTTATGTTTCAAAAAGGATTTGAAATATAAAATGTTTCTAGAATATGGTGAGTCATTTGGCTCAGGCTTCTCAAAGATGGTAAAAAATGGAAAAGACAATTTTAGTCCTTAATATCTTGCATCAGTAAAATATATGTAAGGCAAGTGTGTACCAATTTTACAAGCAACATATTCTCAAAGGCCCAGTTTCGTGGCAGGCCATTTTAAAATGTATGCTTGTTTACACATGAAGAATAAATTGAGCAAAAGTTGTTGCTATGTCTAACTTGACTAAGTTGACATCAACATAAACCATCAAATGAGTGGATAAAAGTTTCAACAAGTGAAGTGTGTTTTATTAGCTGGTGTTCAGTTTATAAGGTAGGCAATTGAAATAAGGGAAAGTAGGAACAGACTTTATTTTTAAAGAAAACTTCATCTGCAAGTAGTTTCAGTTTAATGAGCAGCAGAAAATAAGGTTTTGTTATCTTTTGTATGTACTTTCTATTGCTTGTTTAAAAGTTTGTAACTATTTGCTGAATGCACACTTTATTAGGTGTATGTGTGCATATGGGTTTTCCTTCCTTCGTTAAGCTTCCCTTATTGTGTTTAGCTCTTTATTTGAATAAGACGATAAGCAAATTTCTATTCTTCTTCATGCTTTAGAGAGCTCACTAAGGAATAGGAATGGAAATAATATTCTGTAGTTTTGAAAAGATATGTACAATGGCATCAGCTTAAAAACACAAAGTACAGGTTGGTAAAGTTCGGTCAAATCTTGATCGCAATCAGCCATTAACACAACGGGATCCAAGTTATATGAATAAATTACATATACAGCTCTTAGACTCAGAGCTATATTTTTATTGTATTCACATACATTTTATTAGAGTATTTGATTTTAAACTCACCAGATCCTCCTTTTTAGCTGATCTTTTAGAATATCCAATTGGCCCTTTTGATCTCACAGATTCTGAAGAGATATTTTGACTTAAATAAAAGGTGTGTTTTATGAATACATTTTAATATTGAGTTAAGCAGATAGTTCCTTCAGATTTGGTTTAAAGTGTCTCCAGGGGAAGTTTTCTTCCCCCTATTAATGGCCATCTGGATTGAATAAGCTAGTGGTCTAAATCTAGTCTATTTTAGGTATTTGTTATTAGCCTTTTGCACAGTAGTGATCTGGGTGAATTGTGAGAAACATTGAGCAGAGTTCAAAGGTACTTTCAAAAGGATGTCAACATATAATTTAAAATACGGGATTGAGAATATATCTGAATTTGTCTTTGCTTCAATTATCTTAAAGGGAATTCAGATAATTTTTACCTTATGTCATCTATATAAAATACATCATTCAATGATCTCTGAATATTTCATCTCAGAGAAGTTAGTCTCTATGCTTTCATTTCCTCATCTATAACAGAGGTGAGGAAAAAAATCTGTAATGCCCCTTTCAACTCTAATACTCCATGAGTCTACCAGATATTGAAGTCACCCAAAGGGAAAGGAATTGCTACAAATTCTTACTTGCAAGCACAATTTTCAAGCCCTGTTTCCAAGCTCACAGTTTCTGTGCTACGGAGGGGAGAGAGAAAAAGACCTAATAGAACTTAAAAAGAGCTAGGGCTAAAAGAAAGGCAAAAAGGGATTCAGAGCTACTGAGCTCAGTGTCAAGAGGATGAATCATATTTACACTGATTTCCTGTTTCTTTTCATGTTGAGTCTCCAAGGAAGCCAGCTACCTTATGCTGCTGCTTTCTTCTACTTTGCTGCATGCACATAAACACCCCACAGATTCCTACCCTTTATAAGCTGAATAAAGTTATGTATATATATTTTACATAATCTGTAGCTGTTTGGGTGATTGCAAAATATTCTGGATTGTAGGATTACTTTAAACAACATCTTGCCATAATGATATAAGAACACCAACAGAAATTAGTGTTGTGTTCATGGTCTCATACTCTGTTTATCTTAGATCTCCTGGTAATCAAATGATAAGAAAAAAATACCTATGTGAGTAGTCTAGCAACATCTTTTATTTTACTTCATTGAAAGGAAGTGAAAAAGTTCACTTGGACTTGTTAGATCCTTATCATGTAAGGTTGAATAAAAAACTTCTATAAAAGAGCTTAGAATTGTAACAGAATGCTAATACAAGATCCCAAAAAGCCATGCTTCAATAAATAATCAGACTTTATATATTGTTTTTCCTAAAATTATTAGAATGTATATATTGCTTTTCCAAAATTATTTTCCTGAATTATTTATTATTTTCATTTCAAAGTGGATTGCTATTATCAGTATCATTAATATTAAAATAAATGTTTTATAAAATGTTCTCTATATATTGTTTAATCATGTTTAAATATTGCCCCCCACCTCCATATCATAGAAAACTACTATGAACTGAAACAATAATCCTTACTTGAAGTAAATGTATTTATTTTAATATCATTTTAAAACAAAAATACGGTTGTTCTCCAACAAAGAGATATCCATTCTGTATTCTTCTGAAGAACACTGCAGGAAAAAAACACACACACATTGTAGAAATAACACTATCTACTCTCCTGTTTTTGAATTTTATTCTTCTTTCACCACCATTTTGAATTTTCTAAAATCATATATATGTTGCTGAATATATCTGTGAGATGTAGAGAATTGATCAAAATGAACTTTGATATACTGTCAACTCTTTGAAGACAAAATTATTTCTTATATGTATTTTTAATGAAGTTCAAAACTATTTGAATGAATGAATGCATGTATGCGTTTATTTGAGAGAATCTTCATAAAAGTTACAGCATTCAATGTGCTTTTTGAGGAGAGTATACAATCACATAGTATTTTATGATTTTCTTCTCCAAAAATGAAATGTGTTTCTTAGTTATGCTTCATATTTATTAATATACATTTTCAAAGTAGGTTTTTGTATAGGTTTCTGTAATCTCTTTCGGTTTCTTTACATACCTCCTTTCATCAGGAAAACAATTTCATGAGGATAAATCAGAGAAGTGTTCGTATTCCACAGAGTCTTCTAAGTGTTACAGTTCTGTGGCCTGAGGATTAAAAGATAAACAGTAAAGTAGTTTTGCGGAAGTTATATTAGTTTGAAGCTTGGAGACAAAGGAAGTAATTCAAAAGACAGACTCTATTAACAGTGACTACATCTACAGACATTTCCTTGTTTGTTAAAGTATATTCCTTCAGGGATTCTTTACCCAGACCTATAAGAAGAAACATTTTTAAGACCTTGAAAATAAGCATGTTTCTCGCATACTTTGATTTTGTTCCTTAAAACATACAGAACTTTCATTTTAAAAATAGATTTAAAAAAACACTCTGGCCTTTTAAACATTCACAGTTAGTTAGGTTTTAGGCTTGTTGAAGAGTTCCTATCCAACATCACTGTAATTAGTTTCTTTAATTTGGCCTGATTTATTCTAAACTATTCCAAAAGGTATTCAAAGCACCAATTCTTTTTCTGGAAAGAAAGTGGAGGTAGAGTCAACAAACATCAGGCCTTTGATTATGGTGTTTTTCTCTTTGTGAATTAAAAAAACATGTGGAAATGAGAGTTAAAAATCATAATTTAGTTTTAATAGAGTAACACATATTTTCAGAGATATCAATGAGATAAGCAAATGTATAACTAAAGCCATGGTGAAGTTTCATCTTTCCTACAGTCCCTTTAACAACGAAGCATTTAGATCAACTAATCATTTATTTACATCATTTTATAGAAGTCTAAAGTTAGAGATATTAAGCGAATGAGCAAATAAAAATCTATCAAGTTTTGAGGTAACATGTATAATAATATCTTACATTTTCGACTTGGATAAGCAGAGGAGATCCTTTGGTCTAAACTTACACAGTACGGAGAAGGCCACCAAGGCTGTGAAACTAAGTCAGATGATGATAGAGCTGAGGTTCAAGCCCAACACCCCCTACATAGCCGGTGGTACATTTCCAGGGTATTCTGGAACATCCTTTTTACTCTAAATCGGTAATTAAAAAGTGAGACATTTTTACTCCTAGATACTGTACAAGTTGCATAAATGAATTTAAAATCAAAACATGAAACACTCCACTTGCAAAAACACAATTTGAAATGATGTATTCAGAGTGTAGGGTTTGTTTGTTTGCTTTTAGTGCACTATAAAAAAAAGAACTTATGCACTCCTTTCTCTCTCTCTCCCCCACCCCATTCTCTATGGATCTATACTCTTACAAATATAAATTCAAGCTTCAGGGTTGGTTTTATAAAGTTTTGCACAGTAAGAGAAGCATAGTAAACCACTGAACTTTTTAAAGAATTTGCCTTGAAAAGACAATATTCAAATAACTGACACAGCCTTGAATTTTAAACCCACTTTAAAGCATGCCAGATTTGAATCTCCGAATTTATTACCTGATTTCATTGGCTGAAGGTTGACTTGCAGACTGTTTCTAAAGACTGGCATGCACATAGCCAAGGCTAACATTACGTTGAAGGTTTATGTTGGGCAAACAGTTTTCATAATACAAAGAAATATAACCAAAATACTAGAAATTATATTCAATTTAGGCTTTTAAAACTCCTCTCCTTACCACAGAAATTTCAAAATGTAATTATAATTCTTAGTGAGGATATTTTTTCAGAAAGATTTTGCCCTAAAATCCAGGATGCATTTATGCTAAGTATTACATAGATTAACTTAGTAAGGTATATGGTTTATTTATGGCACTTTTATAAATTTATAAATAAATATTTGTATTAATATAATGTATAATTTTTCAAATATTTTAAAATGAAATATTTTATGCATATATAGTACTTGATTTTGTTTAATGAATATTCCATGAATACACATTTATGCAATCACTTACATGAACAAGATAATCACATACATAAAACATGTATTCATAAGCATGGTGTGTATGTGTGTGTGTGTGTGTGTGTCCACACTTATGAATGTAATTCACAAATGGCCACCTTTGTATAGAAGGAGAATATTTTCTGCCTGGAGAGCCCATCGCTATACACCTGGGCTCGTCTCCATTTTAGGCTCATATATGCAGTTAATGGAACATGCTATAAACTAATACTGTTGTTTTCCAACAAGTCAGTTTCAGTATGTATTTGTCAGTATTTCAGAACTCCTTAGAAAGTTTAGAAAAGGGCTTGACTTGTGTATTCTGAAACACCAATTATCTGGAGAGAAAATGAAACGCAACAGTAGAAATCAGCAAAGGCAACTGATTATTTTTCCATCTCTGAAGTCTTTCAATTTAATCTGGAAATGTTCACCCTTAAATTCCTAGTGAACACTTTTAAAACAGGACCTCTCCAATTATATTTGAAATTTAATAAATGTTTAGTCAATCTACTTTTATCTGTGTTGCAGAAATTTCCATTTTAGTTTTTCTTCAAGGTACAAATACAGTTAAATGATAATCATATGGGGAAACTCCCAGGGATTTTATCGCAGTAAATAATGAAATAAATTGAAATGAACTGCAAAACAATTGTCTTAAATATAATCCTGACTAACCCTGGCACCCAAAAATGTCTGTTGTTGTATTCCTTCGAATACGTTTGAAGAGAAGTATTTATTTTCATTTCTTTTCAAGGGTCTGGGAAGTTCCAAAGTCCTGCATTGCTTGCATCCACTTATTTAAAATACAGAATTAAGTTGCAATGTGCAAAGCTGACTAATAGAGCTTTGCTCAAGCAATATAACATGTAATCCTGTAATTTAAAACCTTTCAATGCATTATTGCTCTTGTGAAATGGCTTTACAGTAAGGTAATAATATAAGGAGGGAACCAATGGAAAAATTGTAAAGTGTAGACCATTAGTGTTTGAAGTATACTTTCTAAGGAAATTTTATTTCAGTGCGTGCTCATAGCAACTGGGTTAAAAGAATTGCATAAAACTCATATAACATCCATGAACCATTTAAAGAAAAAGTGACATAATGTGCACAGAAGCAGCTACGATTTGTGATTCTCATAAAAATGGTTTTGTTTTGTTCCTCCTTGGTTAGTAATGACTTGAAATTGCATCCAGTTTATCTCTATTAAGTTAGAGAGGTTAGAAGTATAGTAATTACTTATGAAGGAATTTACAGCCAGATGTGGGCAAATACATGATCTTATTCCTGTTTTTATTTATTCATTTAGCAGAATTGTGTTCACACCCCCATGCCCAGCAACCTAGCACATCTGCCTTGAACAGTCTTTGGCACATTTAATGGTCAGTTCTGTTACTGCACATTTAGAAGGAACCTGCTGAATAAGTTTGACATAGAGTTCTATTGCTTAATTCTTGATTGCATTACCAAAATTTCTATAAGAATACAAAAAACTATGTTTGCCTTTCTCTCCACTTTCATTAAATAGTTTGCTGAGAAAAGGAGAATAAATTCAGCCTAACAGAGCTTTCTCCAAAGCTAAATGATTATTTATTTTGGGAATATAACTCTATTGCTATCTCTGTCTCCTTTATTTCTGCATTTGTCAAAAGTTTCTTAAGAAAAGCCTTGAAAGTCACACATAGACAGAAACTCAATGGAACACGCATTCTCAGGAAATGGACAATGCACAGAGTTGCTAAAACTTTATAGTAACCAAGATATTTATGGCAAAAGATTTCTCTGAAATACCACTTACGCAATAAAAGGCTAGGATAAAGCTATTTTTTGGTTACGGTACGTGGCACCTAAACATTTTATTAAATTGTTAGAATTGTTTGAAAAATGTCAGCCAGCCTATGATAGAGACCATTAAATCTTGGAATAGCATATAAAAGTAGAATTTCTAAACAAAGAAAAAAAAAGTGTTTTATCTGGTACATAAGCTTAATCCACTTACTGAATTACTTCGGACTTTAAGATCCTTAGCATTTTTTCCCCAATCCTCTTTTTACTTAAATTTGTAAGATTTTTTTACGCATAAAGCATTCTTATATCTTAACTGTTTTGGAACGTACTGGTTCCATTTATTGTACCATAAGGTAGGGAATTGAGGTAAATATTATACAAACACTTTACAAGTGACCCACTTGCAACAACTAAGTGCACAATAAGAAATATATCTTATCATTAATTTCACTTGATCACATGGAACTATAACTAAGGGAAGCCAACTGGTCTATTTAATGGCCTGTGCCAGAAGACTATATAAAATCAGCTTTTGTTTTCTCATAAATCCCACGTGCAACAGTCAGTTTCTCACTGTTCATTGAGCTGTAGTGACTACCTCCATCTGGCTGGACCCTCTGCAAACCTGGTTAAAAAATAAAATGGCTTGTTGGAACAAAGGAGAAAGGAAGTGCTTTTGAGGGAGAAGAGAGGACTTTTCCTACCTTTGAGACATCAAGAAGGAAGACAAAAGGGTATCTCTAGGTGGAAAGATCTGGAATGGGAATTGTGAGGACAGAAGAGGACTTACATAGAGGAATTGATGAGCATTATCTGTAGGGTCAAGAGAGTATTGAAGGGTGTCAGTCAACTTGCAGTGGGGTTGAAGAAGCTCTGCTGCCCCTAGAAGAACTGAAAAGGTGAACTTTGCAAAATCCACTGGGTAGGAACATGTGTCAGGGTCCCGAAGTTGAACATAAGCTTATTTGTTTGTGCAATGGATAAATTCAAGTTTACCTAGTTAGTTAATATATTACTGTGACAAAGTTACTCCTTGTCATGAACTGCCAAGAGTTCAGTTGGAGGAAGAAAGCATGATGACTAAGCCAAATGCTCAGCGCACTGCAAGCTCCGCCTCCCAGGTTCACGCCATTCTCCTGCCTCAGCCTCCCTAGTAGCTGGGACTACAGGCGCCCGCCACCACGCCCGGCTAATTTTTTGTATTTTCAGTAGAGATGGGGTTTCACCATGTTAGCCAGGATGGTCTCCATCTCCTGACCTCGTGATCCGCCTGCCTGGGCCTCCCAAAGTGCTGGGATTACAGGCGTGAGCCACTGTGCCTGGCCTCTAAATGGATTTTCAACATGTGTTTTTTTAAAAGGATATGTTTTTTTTTTTGTAATTCTGTGAAAAAGGATGCTGGCATTTTGATAGGGATTGCACTGAATCCATAGATTGCTTTGGGCGGTATAGTCATTTTAACAACATTAATCCTTCCAATCTATGAACATGGGATATTTTTCCATTTGTGCAATCTATGATTTTTTTTAATCAGGGTTTTGTAGTTTTTCTTGTAAAGATCTTTCAACTCCTTGGTAAAATATATTCATAAGTCTTTTTTGTAGTTATTGTAAGTGGGATTAACTTCTTGTTTTGGTGCTTGACTAATATTTATTGTTGTGTAGAAATGCTACTGATTTTTGTGCATTGATTTATGTCTCAAAGTTTTAAAGAAAAAAATTTAAAGAAGAGACTCAAAAAAGCAATTAAAAAAAAACAGACTCTGTATACTATAGATACAGGTAACATTTCCTTCATATCATTTTAGGGTCTGCCTATTTTTCTTATTTCACATAAGCAATCCCTGTTTTTAAATTAATGTGTATTATAGCCATCTACAATTCTATGATATGATTGCATTTATATAACATTTGGTTTTAAAATTTATCATACGACATTTTCATTTTAAATCAAAATATGTGTCACTGCACCTGAACACTGATTTGTTCAATAAAGTTTGATGAGCATTTTAGCTCCATTTTCTAGTTATGATTAAAGATAACAAAAATAAGCAAAAAAAGAAGGTACATAGAAAACATTAAAGAAAAGGCTGTGAGTATAGGCTCAAGGTTTCCTTATTTGGGCCAGAATAAATTTCAGGATACTAAATGATCAGAACAAATTTTCAGAAATAATAAGAATCTATACTGTTGGTCACTTAAAATATAAATTTTATTAGTTTCTAGATGTAAGTATAAAGATATGTGCTTTGATGAAATAATGATTGGGGGTGTTCTAAGAGATCTTTTCTTATCTTATGAATAGAAGATTGTTCCTGTGTCTGAGAAAATATTTTGGAAACAGAACCTGTTCAATATGGGTGTAATTGCTTAAACAGACTCCACTGAAGAAAACACTTTCTGAGGAAGTACTCAGTTTTATCCTCTCTAGTCCTTTCAGTTTTGACAACAACACGAACAGTTAAATGATTCCAGAGAGAGAGCAGGAGAAGAAAGAAAGCCATGAGTGTATAGCATCCTTGAAGGCCAGTACATAAATGAAACAAGAAGAGGTAGTACTTAGTTGTGTTGCATTAGATAAGAACTGAGAACTGCCATTTGCATTAGTAACGTGAAAACCATAGGTGATGGTAGCAGGGCCATTTCAGTGGAATGGGCGTGCTTGAAACCTAATACATGTGGATCTCTAAAGAAATGCATAGAGAGAAGTTGAAGATACCAAGTTTAGACAATTATTTAAAGTAGATTCATTTCTGCAAACATAAATTTCTTTGGAATTATTAAACAAATGTTCTGTTTTAGAATTCTTCATGAAAAGGATCCTTAGTTTTTTAAAATGGGTAGGAATAACGTTTTCAGTGGGAGTTTTTAAATAAATGGAATTGTTATTTAATGAAACCTATAGCACAAAAGTACAAAACTATTGCCTCTATAATGACTGCAAAACTTCTATGAAAGTGCTATTGATTTTTAGTAAACAATCTTGATTTTGTAAGAAGGTAGGAGTAGTAATAGAATAATAAATAATACTAAGCATTGCTACTGCATTACCATTGAGTTGAAAATGTAAAGAACCCCCTATTTAGCAAAGAAAACAGCTGTGTTTTTCATAAAAAGATCTTCCATAAAACTTTTGTTGTTCTTGCTACTGTTGATTATTTTTCTCTTAATATGGCTAGAAGTGCTTTTTTGAAAATTTATTTCAAAAATGAAAGAGTAAAAATACCTGATTATGTGAAAACTTTGAGCAGATATGTCTATAGGTAGTGAATGATAATTTTCCCAGGAACTACAATGGATGTTTTGGAGTGGCATGATTTATCCACATATTGCAATACAGACTTTCAATCATAGGTGATGAAAAATAGCAAACTGGTCTTAAAGTATAAAACAAATGTACTTTCAGTGATTTTCATTGAATATGATTGTTGTTATTGAGCTTTAGACTTCTCAAGTTTGATTTACATATGTACCCCCCAATATAAATCTGATTTAGCAAATGCATCTTACCCATAATTCAATACGCAGTTATTTATATTAAATTGGGCAAACAGTAAAATTTTTTGGTGGGATGAACCTTGAGAGTTTTTTATTTTATTTTTTTCTTTTTGAGGCAGAATCTCGTTCTGTCGCCCAGGCTGGAGTGCAGTGGTGCAGTCTCAGCTCACTGCAACCTCCAGCTCTCGAGCTCAAGCTATTCTCGTGCCTCAGACTCCCAAGTAGCTGGGATTACAGGCATGCACCACCACATCCAGCTAATTTTTATATTTTCAGTAGACGGGGTTTTGCCATGTTGACCAGGCTGGTCTCAAACTCCTGACCACAGGTGATCCGCCCACCTCGGCCTCCCAAAGTGCTGGGATTACAGGCGTGAGCCACTGCGCCCAGCCGAGACTTTTAAAATAAATCTTTTTTTAGAAAATGCTGCAACTCTCCCGGAAGTAGAAATTTGTTAGGGAGGATTCATAGTGATTAAATTTTTTCCTGTAAGAATTTTTTTTCTTAAAAGTTTGGGTATTTATAATAGTTAATCTCAAAATATTGTTTACAGTGTTACTTTTTTCTTTTATTTTGCTCTGAGTTATATATTAATTTGCAGAAGAAATTTACCTCAAAAGACTCAATTTTAAAAAGTAAGGAAAGAACAGTAAGTTAGAAATTTTCCTTTCATGCCATTCACTGTTCCAAAAACAGGAGCTGCTCCAGAATGAAACACAGGAGAGGCTTGGGGGTGAGATCTTTTAGGGATGGAAGGACTTAACTGGGCATCACAATGATATTCCAAATGCGCTCATTTTGTTATGTTGCATATTTTCTTGGAAAAGTTGGAAGAAAAAGAATGACCTTTAAAGCTCACTCTTGGCACTGTTGGCCCTTATATTAAGTCCAATTCTATAACTTCTCACTATATGTTGTGCTATTGAATTAATGCACTGATAGTTTCTGTCTGTTCTGAAATCAATCCTCACATTCTTCATGTTTGAACTATTATCAAATTACTCATGGCTCATGAGAATTCATGTTTTCTCACCTTTGCATATGCAGTTCCTTCTGTCTCAAATGTGTGCTAACCATGATTCCCTCATCAGTCCACCTCTCGAGACTCTCTATTCATGTATCAAATCTGGGAGTCTATGCATGCTCTTCTCTGTCCCTTAGCAGTCTGCATACATTTTCAGGTGGCATGTTCACTCATCATGGTGGTTATTTATTTTCATGTATTGTTTCAGGGCTAGAGTGAGAGTATTACAGATATTAAATGCCATATCTTGATGATCCAGTACAATTCTGACACATAACATGCACTCAGTAAAAGTCTGATTATCAAACAAACAAACAGAATAAAATGAGTGAATGAATGAGTTATAGATGAACCCATTAAGGGAGATATGGTACAGTAGAAATTGCCCAAAATAGAGTGAACACTTGTCCTGCTTTTACAGGGCAAATCCTTCAGCAAATGGCACTGAATATACCTGAACCTGTGTCTTCCTAATCTGTTATAGGATGGATTATGTTTTCTACCAGTCTACAGAGGTTCCTTGTAGATAATACATAAGTTCTTGTATTTAAAGCATAAAGTATTATACAAATATAGGATTTTTTTTTCAGGTTCAGACACTTTTATGATATATCCATGGGGGAAAAAAACAATATGATGGGTTAAATTTTAAAAAGGAAGAAAAAATTCTATGGAGCAAGATATCAGATTGAAATCGGAGTGAGGCCAAAATTTACTCTAGCTTCCTGAGGGCTAGACAAGGAAGTTTTAACCTTAACCCAAGGATTCTAAACTCTGGCTACACATTAGAATTGTCTGAATATTTTAAAAATATTTATGTCTGAGCTTCAATTTAACTGATGTGAGGTGGGACTCAGTCATTGACATTTTTAAAAATCTCCCCAGGTGATTCTAATATACAGTCAGGGTGAGACTCACTGCTGGGCCAGAGAAATTTAGGAAATGTTTCTTAGGAGAAAAACTATATGATACATGAAACCTTTTAAAAAGATTAATCAGCATGAATAGATATGTGGAGAGGCTAGGGATAGGAATTGAATAATTAAAATGTCTATGGACATCACAGATGAAAATAACTGTTTTAAGGTCTATGCTTTTTTTTTTCTTGAATGCCAAAAAAGCTGCTGTGAAGCCTTTGTTGCTAACAGTGAATTTGTTCAGACAAAAAACTTAGGAACATTCAAATAATTAACATTACAAGGGAACATTTTACAAATTACACATGAAAGTTACTTAGAAACAGAGGTTAAAATGGCAATCACCATTTGTTGAATGACGCATGAAAAGAGTTGCTAGAGGAGGTAAGTTTTGAATAGAGTTAAAATTAAATTGTAGAGAGAGAACAGATATAAAATATTTTTTCATGCTAAAAGGCTTATAGTGATGGATATATGGATTTAAAGTCATGCCTTCTTAGTTGTCACATAGCTATTTATTTTAAACAAATAAAAATAAATGAGATAATTTATATCTTCAAAATGTAATGACAGTGCTTTAACATATATTTAAATATATAAAATGATGGTCTTGAAATGAAAATAGAGTGAACACAATATATTAAAATTCTAAAACACATTTGCTTTTAAAAATGTCTAACAGTAATTTTCTAACAGATTTTACTTTGAGATAGTAAAGGTAGCATTTCATTGATGAATAGGAAACATGGCATACTAGTTTTGAAAAGAATAGTCTCTTTGCTTGTAATGTAATGAAATCGATGCATATATTATAGTTTTATTTAAGAAGAAAAGGTATATATCAATGATGAACCTTTTCTGGGGGCACAACAATATCTTTTTATCAAAGTAGAAACCTTAAAACCTACAAAGTTATGTTTAATAAATGGCCAGACAGCAATACTTACAAATATTGCTTGCCTTGAGTCTAATAAAAGATTTAGAAAAGAAGTAAGAAAACAGGAAGTGGAAAATGTCTTATTTTCACATGAAAAAGTTGTGTGAGGAATATGGAAAACTGTCATTTTAATATGTTCACAGAGAAAGGCCAAGCCATAATGTAATATCTTATGTTCTATAATTCATGTCAATTTCCAGGTAAATTATTTTAGATAACCTGTTTTTTAAAAATGCTTTCTATTTAGTAGAAAAATAAGTCAACTAGTATTTTAAGACACTACACTTCTGTTTTTTTCAGTTTTATCTATTTCAAATGTATCACTTATAAAGGTAGTTCATGTGGTAGCTAAGGATATGGGGAATGGTTCCCAAAAGGCTGGGCAACAGCACAGCTTTGTTGGGGGAGGAATTATGCTTCAGTCTCCTCTTCCTTAAGTGGAGGTAGTTAATAATATCCATGTCACAGGCTAATATGTGTATAATATATATCAAACTCTTAAATAATATCTCACCCAAATAGCACCGTATAACTTTTAGCTACCAAAGTCATAAATGTAATAAATAAATATTGCCTAAAAAAGGTAAAAGTAAAATTACTAAATTTTATATTTCTTTAGTTTTAGTAAAAGTGTTTTAACAATTTGTTTATCCTGGGACAATTAAAAAATCTTTATGGTAAAGACTCAATCTTAATGCATGTATCTCTGGGTGTGGACCCTTGTTAGCTCAAGTGGTATTCCTTTATTAGGCTCATAGCAAACAGCCATGTCTCTCAATGGACACTCTAAATGTGGAGTAGTTTGTCACAATTATTTGGTAATCTCTTTCAGTGTAACTCACACAGCAAAAGTGACAATATTCCTGTCACTCCTCAGAAATGTCCCAGCTCCACGGGTTTCCACATTCAGGAGAATGAAGAAAGCCATTACGAGGTATGCCATATATCTATAGAGAACATGTTAGTACTGATAAATTTTCATTTTCCTCATGATTTTAAATACTCTATCTTAATTAGTATTATTGTCTTTGCCCATCTCTTCTGTGGTCACATTTTTATACTAATGTTTTTGAAAATAATTTTAAGTAAATAATTTTAGAACAAAAATCCAGCGATATATATCTTTTTTTTTCTGTTGAGTAATGATCCAACTCTCAAACATAATGTTAGTAACATGGAATGAAAAGTACTGATTTTTACCTATTTTTAAAGAAAGTAATAAGCAACTTTCTTTTAAAGCTAGATGTTCTGGATTGATTCATATTTATTAATTGAACTAAAAGAAAGGCACAACTATTTTGAAAGGTTAATTCGATTCATCTCCCATACTGAGGAAAATGAGAAAGACATTGCTGCTTAATATGACTAGTTAAATTTGAATTTTAATGAAGTTTTCCTTTTTTTTTACTACTTTATATCAGTTTGATCTTTTATTTCCCTGTATTTTTGAACTTGAAAGACATTACTTTCTTTTTTAAAAAAGTTAGTTCATCCACATTAAAAGGTAGAAGATCCATAGTTGTTCTTTTCTTATTCTTTTATGTTGGAAGGGTTTTTCCAGTGCCAATTATTCCAGTATGGCTGGGTATAGAAATCTACTATCTTTCATGTATTTTTTTTTAAGTCATGGTAAAAAAACACATAACATACAACTTACTATCTGAGCCGTTTTTAAGTGTAGAGTTCAGTCGTGTTAACTATTTTTGCATTGTTGTGAAATGGAAGAAGATTCCCATTTTTAAAGAATTATGTTTTAATAGTTAACTAATATTAAAACATACATACTGTTTCACGTATTTTTTTACAGCTGTAACATATAGACTGTAGAAAGAGAGGTAATGCATGTGTATGCGTATGTGTGTGTGCCTGTGTGTGTATTCTGTTTTCTTACAGAACGTAGGTCCCCTCCATTCCCTTCAAACCTTTTCTTAATCATGATTAGTAAAAAAAAAATTGTAATAATTATTGCTTTTGCCATCTAAAGGAATCTATTATTTTCAAAAATCCCACTGGTAATGTATATTGAAGAAACTACTTTGATTAATATAAACTTAATATAGAAAGCAACTTCTTTTTAGATAAAACATTAGTGGAAGTTGAAAGAGGATTGAGCAATATTTCGAACAGCTCTATCCCCTAATTCTCTGCATATTTTTATTCTATTTCTTTTTCTTTGTGTGGGTCTAAATACTTAGAAATGATTTTCTAAACTTCAGCATATATACTTTTTTATATTTTTCTTTCTTTTTTTATCCAAAGCCTAAATCTCTTGAACATTGAGAGAAGAACCATAGTTTCCAACCCTTTGATTTTTTCCTCTTCACTGTGTATGTTTCAACTATCTAAGATAATACAATTGTTCCCATTAATTACCAACAATAACACAATAGTTCTAATTGGATGGCAGAGAAAAATTTTTTCTCATAAGTAAAGATTAAGGTAAATAGTACAAAACCCTACCCAGGATGTTGTGCAAGTCATTAAGATCCAAGTGGATTTCAGATTTCTAAGAATTATATTTATTTTTATAACATTTTATGTTTGTGTTTATTGACTTAACCATACTCCTCAGAAACCATATTCCTCAGAAAATCCCTTTGATTACCAAAGGTGGTGAGATGATTTATTGGAGATTTTCGTATTTTTCGTAGAGAATATAAATGAGACATAATTCAAATAATTTTCTATAAATCATACTTTTTTCTCCCTTAGATATTTTATAAGGTCCGAAGCACAGGAAGACAGCTTGCACAGGGTTTGACTAAAGGTCTAGGGAATTTGAAGAAAAAAAATGACATCTAGAGTTATGATGTTTATTTATATTATTAGTCCATTTGTGAAAGAACAGTGAAAGTAAATCTACTATAGTTTATTTATAAACAAAGAAGACAAAATATTTTTATAAATCTTTCATTCCGTAAATTCTCATTTAACCATCATTCTCCAGGCCCATTTTCTCTGAATGGTTTTGAACTAGGTTGTCTGGAAGGTCCTACCCATCCCTGATGATCTGTGATACTAAATAATGATGACGATATTGACAACTTATGCTTATTTAACAGCATAGTTTTCTACAGTTAAATATCTTTCTGTGTTAAATAGTACCTCATACTCTGTGCTAGGGACTGTTTCAAGAAGTTTATATGTATATTCTCCCATCATTCACATTTTGTCCTTGGTTAGTCTAAACTGTTTTTGATCATAATACATTTAATTTCTTTAACATGCATTTTGTATTAAATTCAGAGAGACAATATCTGAAATTTCTTATAAAATAAAACTTGAAGAAAACAGATAAGTGATGTCATCTTTCGAGTTTTTTTTAAAACATTCTAAGATGCAAGGTTTCTGTATAAATGCTTAATATCTGTAGACCAATAATAAAATGGGCAGTTTTAGTAACCACTTTTTTAAGGTTATTAATCTAGTGTTAATTATTCTTGAGAATTAACAATGAAAGGTGATTATAACCTACAAAATTGGCATCTGAAATGTTATTTTTCATTATATTTAATTCTGTACTGAGCCTGGTAAGTGCAGGTATTTTCCTAATTTTTATTTTTTCACAATTTATATTTCCCCTCCCTTTTAATCACCTTAATATAGTAACAAGAAAGATGATTGTTCTGTTTAACACACACAAATATTTAACTGTAGAAAACTATACTATTAAACAGAGTCATGTTCGGTGTCAATGAGTGCTGACTAATCTGGATGAAATTCTTAAATTTATATTATGACACTAGATACATAATAAAACCGAGACTGATGTGACCAGCAAGCTTTTAATTATTATTAGCTTGTTATTAACCTATCACTCTTAATTTAGATGTAAGAAGTATTGCTTACTTATAGAGAAATGTTATATCAGCTATTGAGAAAAAGTTGTGCCAGACCCTATTCTAAGCACGTCATATGCATTATAATAATTCTTCTCATCTACCACTAGAGTATAAACATGCTACAATTTTATGTACTGCTAGGGTAAAATGCTGCCAATTTAACTCTGACAAATGCTTATTTTTGATTTCTTTAATATTTGTCCTGTTTTAATACATGCAAAAATAAGGGGTTTTTAATATTAGAATTGTTGGAATATAGCTTATTTAATTCTGACAGCAATCCCATTAGGTAGGTATGATTATTATTCTTATTCTACAGATGGGAAAAGGAGACACTGAGAGGTTATGTAATTTGCTCAAATGCACACAGACAGGAATGAGTGGGCTGGAAGATAGCCACAGCCACATGGCTTCAGAAACTGCAAAGATAACTATGCCATGATATTATCTAAGTAACAGCAAACAAACAAAAAACCTCACAGGCTATTTGATTGTCAGAGACCAGAGATTACCTATGCATATTACTGAAACATAACGTGAAGATAACAGCGATTGAGTAGCTTGCCCTACCTCTCAGAGCTAGCTAGTGATAGCATTAGAATTCGATCCTAGAATTACTGATCCCAGAGTAATCTAAAGACTTTACCTTCAAACACAAAGTTTCCAAACAAATGTTAAATAAAATAGTTTATACTTGAAGTTCTTTCTTAAACTAGATTTTAAAAATGGTGTGGAATTTAAACTGTCATGTTTAAGTTTTCTCTCCCTGACATACCTTTTGTCATTGGGTACACAGAAACATTGCAATGATTAAAATCGAAGCACCGGAATAAAAAAGTGCACATTGTTTTTATGCCATAAATGCATAATGCCTTTAATAAGCATTTTTGATCCGTATTTCATTGTCACTTTGTTTCTATTATATTTCATTCCCTTTTCCCATGAAACAGTATATAATGCAAGCAGAGCTTTCAGTGTCTGTATTCTGCAATCTGTAGGAAAATGTCTCATAGTTATTGGAATTCACACAAGACTGCATCTCAGTATGAGTAGCTCTTCCCTGTCACTGTTTTTGATGCTTGAGCTAAAGAATATTTTACAAAATGGTTTAGTGTTCAGTGTATGAATTTTTGAGATAGGACTTCTCCCTTGTAGGGGTGAAATCCGAAAATCAGTGTCAGATGGAAATCTTAGCTCTAAGAGTTAGGGAGATTGGTGGAAGGGTTTTAAACTAACTGTGAATTTTAGCCTCTAGACTTTGGAAATGTGGCAGTTATCATGAGTATGAAATTCATGGATGCAGATGGTTGATTAAGATATCCCAGGATGGGCCACTGCTATAAATCTCCACAGAAAAATTGAGAAAACCATTTTGATAAGGAACATATTTTTGACCTTTTATGTAAATTCATAACACAGGTTTTGCTGGATTCATTAAATGCGTATAAGTGAAATAACCATTGGTTTCATAAAATTGCCAATTGAGTCATGTGATAGAAATATTTAATAGAATTAAAATATGTCAAATGGTGAGTAAGAGGGGTGCGTGAGAGGAGAACTCCCATGTATTAAACTATTATTATGTGTCTTGTATTTCACATTTTCTACCTAATTCAAGACAACTGTCTTCAAGGTAAGTCTAATTTCCCTCCACATTAAGATAAAGTTATGGGTGCCTAGGTGATCTTGAGCCTACATCACCAACCAAGGACACACTGATAGCTAGAGTACAACGGGGCTCAGTTTGTTACACAGCCTAGAACTCTATTGTTTAAATAATACCAAATGGAGCAGGAGCAAAATGGTAACATTATCTGCTACTTTTAAATAATAAAATAGGAAAGATATAAAGCCAAAACCCTTTTGCTTTTGTCTTACTTGGTCTTTTATTTTCTTTTTAAAAAAATATTCATACACGAAATCTGATTTAGTGTATGAATATTATACGACACACCTTTATTTTCCTGTTATTGCTGTATTATGAATATTATACCACATACCTGTATTTTCCTGTGCTTCATGATTATGTAGTCATATTACCCAAGTATATTTACATAATTATGTACAAGCACACAAATAAATATGTTCAGTCCTTAGAATAGGTGTTCTTGTTGATATCAGCTTTAAAACTAAAATAATTAGGTAAATCATTTAGCAATAATTCTCTGAAGATTTTTACATTATATTTTAGAGTAATAAAGTTATTTACAATTAATAGATATTTACTAATAACACTAAATTTTTTCTTTCTTCATAAAGACAGCTTTTTGGAAAACCCCAAGGCTAGTAAATGACACATATACACACACATATATGTTATTTACATACTTAAATACATGCATACATATTTGGGGAATAACTCCTAACATATTAAAATATTTAAATTGTTAGTAACATTGCTCTCCAAAGTGCAATAAATTAAGAAAAATGATAAGCAATATTTTACATCTCAGTCACTGTGAAACATTGCATATATAACAAGTATTAGAGAAAGCATGTTGGGCATCAGTCTGGCTCACTCACTAGATAAAGAAGTTTTTCACCCTTTTACCATGAAGGTTCCAAAACTGCACCTCAGAAAAATGGCAAATAAAATACATCATGGACTGGAGAATTGTTAGAGTTAAGTCCTGACATGCCCAACTGGGAATAGTCAAACATCTTATGCCATTTTAGGTAAGATTGACCTGGAAAATAATTTCTAACAAATCACAGGACAATTTCTGGCTACAATTCCAAATAGCATTTAGGAATCTTTGCACTTAATATAGATCTGTTATGTGAAATGTGTGTTATATAGAGATAAATTTTCAAAAAAATCATTAAAATATTTGACAGGCTCCTATTACTTGCTAAATAAGCATATGTAAATTTGTAACAAATTACCAAGAATTTAAAGAACTTATACTGCAGTAGTATAGAAACACTACATACACTCATGTCTAATGCCTATGTATAATACAATTTTCTAGAAACATGAATGTTGGTTTATTTCAGACTATTGAACTTATGCTTGAGAAAATTTTGTGTTAATTTTAAGAGGGATGTAGGCAAATATGAAAACAGGCATATTTGATCAACCCTCTACTACATGTCTCTGCTTTCTGATGTGAATTGATTTCATTTTTTAAATGGGGCCATCAATATGTTCCTTAAGTCAAGTAAACATGGATAGGGTACTAGACATCCCTTCCTCTGTTTTTTGCTCACAAACACAAAGTTGAGACTTCTTTAGAGGGGAAACAAGTTATCCAACCTCTCTTTTTTCATAATTATGCTGAAACCAGTCTATGAGTCATATATTAATCTGTCTCTCCTTTCTTCCCTCCCTCTCTTCCTTTCTTCCCTCCCTCCTTTCCTTTCTTCCCTCCCTCCCTTCTTTTCTTCCTTCCATAAATATTTATCCAGCAAGTATACCAGAGGCAACGTTATGCATGCCAAGTACATCATTTGTGTATACAAACATGGTTCTTTGTGTTTCAGATATTACAGTCCAAGGGAGTATACTCATATCAACATGTTACCATAAAGTGTAAGCAGTGCTAAAACAAGAGATACTCAAGATGCAAGAAGAGCACATCATAAGAGCAATTTAACATAGCACATAAAAAGTATGTTGTTATAAATAAGACTTGAAGGAGTTTACAAAGTGAATGATCAGGAGTGATGTGTTGGTGTGTGTTGGTAGAAAAATGAGAATTTTACTTAAATATACAGCCTGCGTGAAGGCCAGGTGTCAGGAGAGGACATCCAAATTTTAAGGAAAGTTCCACTGGTTCTTTGTCTCCTCAATGCAGACCTCTTTCCTGGCTCCGATCTAAGACCTGGTTCAAAATGCAAAACTGCAGTGGCTATTAAATTTTATATTCTTAGTATAGTATCTAAACACATTTTTAGTTATTAAGAAACATGACTACATAATGTTTTTCAATTTGTGTTCAACGGACTCAGCTTTAAAACTTTTAAATACTTAATTGTAAATGCAGATATGCATATTTACAGATACATTTGTACAAATAGATTTTGATTTTTATAGAAATTATTATACATAACAATTTTATAATTATGTAAATCTGGCATATGGTTGCATATGTATGTAAATGTTAATATCCAATTTTACATATAATAGCCTCTTATTATTATTTTTTAAATTATACTTGAAGTTCTGGGATACATGTGCAGAATGTGCAGGTTTGTTATTATTATTATTTTTGTAAGTCACTTATTATTAAAAACAGCATACATTTGTGGTGTTTTCCCGAGGCTAAACAAATGTACTTGAGCAATGTGAGTGGCCTTATGAATTACTTCATTGTAAATTCATGGAGACATTTTTAGTTGAGTTCCCGTGTATAAATCAGTTATCAGATTTTCCACCAGTTCAGTATTTTTTTCAATTACTTAACACTCTATAAAGATTGATCATCACCTTCTTTAACTTTTTATTAAACACATTCTGCCAATTCTTTCTTCACCACAAAACAAATGGGCTTGGTTTTGTTCACAGGAAGAGCCGCATTTGACAGATTTGCTGATGGTGTCAGTGTTGGTCGCAGGCTTGATGGACAGCACCAAACCTTGCTGTGGCCCAGCTCCTGCTAATTAGTTGTTTGAAGCCACTCCGTGTGCCACAGGCATAGGCTTATCGGCCAAAGATATCTTTACCATTCAGCCTGACAGCTGTGATGCAGCTGTTCATGTAGAAAATGATGCACAAAGAGAGGGGGGATGAGCCTTTCAGATAAATGACAACCATAGTATCTTCCACTGAAGGATCCTAAAGATATAACAAAACAACGAAAATGTAGAGTACAAAACAGGTGTAAATCAATATCTGTTGGATGAGTGTGGAACCCACACATGAAATGATAATAAATAATATCAGACTGTGAGAGTGAGAGGAAAATACAGCTGCCTTGCAAGTTCTTTTAAAATCCATTGAAGTTGCATGTTCTCGTAAATAATGCTGCTCAAGCATTTGCTTATTCAATTAATGTAGGTGTGTGGAGTTTTCAGAAGTTTCTGCACATGTGCACAGATACTAATGCGAAAGCTGGCCAGAAAGCCTTGTATTTGAACATTTGCAGAGAACATGGTCATGAATAATATATTGCGATGCTAAAAATCTCAGGATATTGGAGACACCCTGAGAGGAGTGACAGTCATCCAC
The DNA here is from genome assembly GCF_000001405.40 of Homo sapiens. NCBI lineage: Eukaryota > Metazoa > Chordata > Mammalia > Primates > Hominidae > Homo > Homo sapiens. Next base: position 66,895,425 of record NC_000013.11, on the reverse strand, counting down.
ATATATGTGAGAAGGGTGTAGACATGGCAAAGCTAAAAATATAAAGTTACTATTCCTTTTTAGAAAAGTGTGCTTATGTTGAGTTAATAATGAATGAAATTCTTTTTCAGTCCTTGAAGATTGAAAACTGTGAGATCCCATTTTAACTACTATCCACATAAACTGGAAATCTAATGGAAAGTACCTATGGTTAGAAGTACACATTGACAAATCAAATTAAATAAATATTTTCACATAAACAGTTCGTATTATAAAATACCTATTCTAATTTCAAAATACGGACTGTAAATAATCTTTTAATATAAGATACCTAATATTGGCCGGGCGTGGTGGCTCATACCTGTAATCTCAGCACTTTGGGAGGCCAAGGCGGGCAGATCACTTGAGGTCAGGAGTTTGAGACCTGCCTGGCCAACATGGTGAAACCCTGTCTCTACTAAAAATAGAAAAATTCATCAGGCATGGTGGTACATGCCTGTAATCCCAGCTACTTGGGAGGCTGAGGCACTAGAATCACTTGAACCCAGGAGTCGGAGGTTGCAGTAAGCTGAGATCGTGCCACTGCACTCCAGCCTGGGCAACAGGGCAAGACCTTGACTAAAAAAAAAAAAATACTTAATATTTTATGAGACAGTTTTAAGTATATGTATATATTAGAGGTTTTACAAATCCTAACAGTGAGTGATATTTTAAACTTAAAATAGACTTTTGGATGTTTGCAATGGATATTTATTAGTTTATAAAATATTAGTAATATTATCATGCTCTATGGTCACATGTAATAATAACATCAGAGGCTGTGAGATATTGTTTGGTGTTTCACCAAATTCTGGGAGAAATGGAGGTTCAGTTATAGTTAGTCTTATCATTGGCTCTGTAGTATCTAAAAGTCTGGATATAGCAGAAGAATGTTATACCTATTTAAATTGCCTGATACACTTATTTATGTCCATGAAATAAAAAAAATTATGCAGCTAACATAACCTATATAATCTCAGGGTTGACTTGATTTTAGCTTATACTTCAATTTTATATAATTTTGAGTTTAAAAATGTTAAAAGCTTATTTACAAATAGGAAGCATAATATAATCACTCTAATTGTTAAGGAAAAATTATTTGAATTTTTTTTTTCTTTAGATAGTTCAGACAGTGTATTTATGTCAGAATGTAGGTGTATGGTGCATATATTAAATACAGATTAAGTCGTTAAAAAGAATGAAGTAAGCAACGAGCTTCTCTTTAAATGTCATTTATTTCTTCAATTTTGGAATTAGAATAAACTTAGATCATTTGATGTCTACAGAATCTTATGCATGAGAGAGAAAGAGAGATTCTGGGGCCAAAACCATCAGGAGATCCATATGCCACAGGTCAGACATCGAGTTTGAAATTGAATATTAGAATTTTGTTTTTAAATTTTATGAAATAACTAATGGATTTTATGAGGGAATTGAACGGAAGGACTAAAGACACAGTTTAAATGATGATCGGCAAGTCATACAGTGAAATTAATGTCTTGCAACCTGAGGATGAGGACAATTTTTAATGGAATGTAAGAGAGTAGAATAGAATAGGTTGTATAGAATAGAAAAAAATAGGTTAGAATGGAATAGCATGAGGAAACAATGGCAACGTGAAAAATTAGAAGAGAATAAAACATATTAGGTTATATTAGAGTGCATCTCATATAGCATAGTTAAATATTATTTCAGTTAAACTTTTATTTTAGTTGTATATGTTATTGCGTGCACATGTGTTTTTATTGCATCTCAGTGTAGGTTGATTATTGTAAGTCAAGGTCCAAAGTTTGAAAACCACTGACAAAAAAATAGCTCATACTTATGTACCACTTCTTATTTATCATATATTTCTTTAAAACACTTTGATTGTATTGATTAAACTAAAGGTAAAATCTCCTATGGCTTCTTATTTATGGTTGAATAAGTGAAGGCATCAAGAGATGACCTGTATAGTCATTTAGCAGATAAAGGGCTGTGTTGGATTAAACCCCAGATAAGCTGTGCTCTTAGCCACTAATCTAAGGCTTCTGACAAAAATGGCAGCAGACCCAGGATTGGAGACTAGCCCTCTGATTCACAGTGTGATACAATACTGTTTTACTTAATCAGTTACCTCTTCTGTTAGAGCAAATCCCAATCCTAAATCAGAATTTATTGATATATGTTTCATGGATTATTTGTCCGGACTAAATGAAGTTGAGAAGGTTCATCCTCCATGCATTCAACTGGTGATTCACAATCAGATTTACATAAACATGCATTTAACAAACTTAAAGTTAATTAATCTTATTTACATTTGTTTAACCCACTCACTTGTAAAATTATTTGATTATAAATGATACTCAAAGAACACATATTCCATACAACTTATTTTGGAGAATACTGGCCTAGGTCACGCATGATCCTATGTGATTAAACAGATTTTCTAATATTATAATCAAGATTCTTAAAATTTAAGTACAGTTAATCCTCCATTTTTAAACAACATGCAAATCAGAAATTTAAAAAGACATAAATATATGATATCAAAGGTGTGCTTGTATGTGTACATATTATCTGCATACTTGTTATGAAAGACGTAAAGGTATTTTTTGAAGTCCCTGCTTCTACCTTGTATTTTAGATATAATCTTCAATAATATATGCCCAGCATATTATTTTCAAATGAATATTCATTCAAATAGCAGAAGCCCAAAGACTTTCTTACACAGCCTAAAGCCTTCCTGATTTTGGTATTGTTTCCCTTTATAAAATATCTTTTTTTTAAGGGACTTACATGTCTTATTACAAGTATGATATCTTACTTTTTTCCATTCATGCCAATATTTAAAAAATAAGATAAACATAATTTTTCTGGTTTCTAAACACTTTACAACGTAGCAAAGCCCAAATGCTGTGATATGTTGAAATGATTGCACAAATACTGCTCTATAGTGAAGAATGACACACATGTAGCTAAATTTTGGATGTCAGGCCACTCCAGTTTCATTGTTAGGTAATGTATAAAAGCTTGAATTTTGCATAAAATGGACATCTTATTATGGACATTCTATTAATTGTAACATATTAAACGTACATTTTATATGGTTTAAAGTATACTTGATAAAGGTAACTACTTATATATATAATCTACTTACATTACGTGTGTGTGTATATATATATACACACACACATTATATATATATATTATATATATACACACACATAACACATATATATACACACACACAATGAGGAGTATACACACACACACACGTAATGTAAGTAGATTCACAGTGGCCACTTTTATTAAAAACTAGCTAGTTAGATTCATAGGGTAATATCAGAGGAGAGGAAAAAAATTCTTTAATTGATACTTTATTATAATATTTCAAGTTTTAATAGGCCACATCATTTATTTCCAACTTCAAATTGGAATAAAAGTGAGAGGAATGCCAGCACAAACTGTTTTAGAGTCTGTTTTCTAGCTACAGAAGGTGAAGGGCCCTGATATCCAGGACTCACATTCTCTCAAATAATTCCAGTCAGTGCTGGAGTCTAAAGATGATACAAAAAGCAAACCAAAACATAAAACAAAACAAAAAAAAAATGGAATACATGTAGAGTTTATAGTGAATTATAAAATAATGAAGTTCACTCATTTAAAATATACTAAATATGTGAATTTAATCCACATTCAGAAATGGTGTTTTTTAAAAAGCATACGTTGGGGAAGCTGTTTATACTTTTTGAAACTGATCTCATAGTCTAATACTATTCTATTGCTGTATAATTATTTCCATATTTATCCCTGGAAGCCAAGCTACTTTTAAATGCTCTTTCTGGCTAAATTATGTCAGTTTTGACTCAATAGGTATTTAGGACATAACATCTATCTAAAATAAACAGCTAGGATACAATTTCAGCAAATCTTATATTACTATTTAGTTTTAAGCAATTTGTAGGCATGCATTTTTTCCAAAATTTCACAGGATGTTTAATATTTTTTCTAAAGTGGTGGTTGGTTTGTTCATTCATTTATCCGCCTAGTTATATAGGAAGCATTTCCGCTGAGGCCATGGAAAGGAAAAAGCAAGAACCATTTTGGTGAGCCCAATCTTGATTCTGAATGTATTTAGAGAACATAATATGATAGTAATATCTTAAATAAGACAAATATTGATACAATAAGGACAGCCAAATTTATATTCAAGATATGGATTGGAAAAATACATAAACAAATGGTGGTAGTTTGCAATATAATACTATGCAGCAGTAAAAAGAAACCACTGACACAGGCAATACCATGGATGAACCTCAACACTATCGTGCTAAGTGGAAGAGAAAAAAACAAGCAGACACAGAAGGCTATATGCTGCATGATTTTATTTCTGCGACATTCTGGAAAAGGCAAAGTGATAGGGACAGAAATCAGATAGGTGGTTGCCAGGAACTGGGGATTGAAGGAAGACATTAAGTACAAAGGGGCACAGAGGAAGTTTTTGAGGCAATATAAATGTTCTATAACTTGATTGTAGTGGTGGTCTATCAAAGAAAAATTACACTGACAGAGTTAAACAGACAAGGAAGATTTTATTCAAGGCTACTGCAATAGATGAGAGAGGTGGAACTGAGCTCAATCGAAACAAAAGGCAGGAGAGTTTTTAAGCTCTTAAACTAGTGGAAAAATATTGGAGGCTATTAGGTGATAGATTGGTCGATGTGATTAGGCCATTTGAGTTTGCTAATTGCCTTTTTATCAAAGTTCGGCTCTTGCCTTCCCACTAAGACTAGGAGATAGGGGTGCTATCTTTCTTGATGAATTCATTTCAAAGGGATGACTTCCAGGTACTTGAGAAAGACCATCCTCATTTGTAAAAGTGGCAATCAGCAACCTCCCAAAAGAGCAGAGAAAGAATTTACAATTGCAAGTTTTCTAGAGTAAATGCCTTAACCAAAAAAAAAAAAAAAAAAAAAAGTTCAGAAGTCTACAGTTAGGAAGAAGTTTGTCTAAAGTTTAGTCAAGCTAAGCAGAAGGTTAAGAGTGTCTTAGTCAGGTTCCATGACTACATGTGTTTTTCAGAACTCATAGAATTACTCCTAAAAGGTTGAATTTTACTATATGCAAATGATAACCCAATAAACCTGACATTTTAAAAAGTGTAGCTAGGAAAGATGTCATTATTGTCAGAGAACAAGAGCAGTAGAATAATGATGCTATGCAGGAAGAGAAAAGTAAGATTATCACCCTAGAGAATGAATTTTTTCTTTTCCATGTAGAGAACATCTAATATCTTTCATTAGTGACATGATAATTTACAAACCTAATATATTGCCAGATACCCGGGCTCTGCTAAGAAATACAAAACAGAGACCATCGTTGCTATAGATAATAAAATGGGTTTGCTTGCATATCTTTTTGTTTACTGAATTGTTAAGAAGAGCAAGAAGCTGTTACCCAGAGTAATGTATTTGATTAAAATCAATACACCAATATATCCAAATGCTATCCCCAAACTCATCATCCCCATGGCTTCACAGAATTGAAGGAATTGTCCTATTTTTTCGCCAAAAAGCGATGTACATAGTCAGGTAAAAAACATCTCAGCAGGAGTGAATTTTGCTTTATTGAATTGTGCCTCTTTCTCAAAATGCAATAGTACAGTGGCAGAAAGAGAAAAGAGAGGTTCTGTATTTTGGCTCTATACTGCTGAATGCTTCATTTTAATTCTAGAACCAGAGAGTGTTTACTCTCCTGGTAGTAGCAATCGGAGGGCAAAGTTCTCATTTTCACCATGGAGTAAGTGACAAGGAGTTGGGAGCAGGGAACCAAGATCTCCAGGGGACAGTATGCTTTATGTATCTTATTAACAGGAATCATAAGTGTTTCTCCTCCACTTGAGTCACTTCATTGAAAATACAAAAAGCTCATTTACCAGCACCCATAGGCATAAGAATCATGGAAGCAATCAATTAACACAAATACTTTCCCTCTGAAGCTTGCTCGTGACCTTGAGATATGTGACGAATGACTTAAAGAATGAAACAGATAGAAGTTTCGTGCTAAACCAAAAAAATTATGTTCTTCCACATGTTGAAGAGAAATAAAATGGAGAAAGCCAGATATATGTTTAGTTTAAATAAGACCCAATAAATTCTATAACTGCTTCGTGTGGCTTTGGCCTCGGATCAGAGGTACCCAGTCTACACAGTAATCAGGACTTTCTCAATAAACCTCAGCCTGTTACAGTTCTTACCACATTTACTTTCTCAATACGATAGTACTTTACAGCTATCTACTCGCTTATGGCCAAAGTTCCTAGCAGTTATTGATAACCAGACCATAGACTTTACATCTCAACCGCACAGGCAGGAGGAAGGCAATCAGCACAGTGAATTTCCTAACCTGGATCTATCTTCCTGAAAGTTGAATATGATGACTAAGTTCTACAATTGAGCTTGTGAATCTCACTATGGCAAAACTTCTTATGTCATTTTTATTTTTAGCTCTTTGGCACAATTATAGAAAATTATTGTAGGAAAATCACAGCTTCTGTAAAGAGGAGCCCTGACTGCTTTTAAGAGCTTCTGAATGTTGGGAAAGCTCACAAGCTCTGTGCAGTGCATTTCTTTGTAGAGAAAGGCAGATAAAAATTTGTTTACTAAAAGAATGAAGTAAAATTGCATGATACTTTCAGATTGTCTTTCCTGTTCTCTGCCTCCTTTTTCTGAACCCTGCCTTTTCTGCCCTTTGCCTCAGCTGATATTAAAAATGTCTACTCTTCTAAGGCCCATCTTTCTCTTCAAAAATCACTTTTCTGTGATTTACCTGCCCATTTTCTTTCCTCTTTTTAAAATTTTCTTTTTTTTATTTATTTTTTTTGGGGACAGGCTGATATTTATTTTTTATTTTTTTATTTATATTTTATTTTTTTCTGTCACCCAGGCTGGAGTGCAGTGACGTGATCATGGCTCACTGCAGCCTCTACTTCCTTGGTGCAGGCTCAAGCAATCCTCCCACCTCAGCCTCCCGAGTAGCTGGGACTGCAAGTTTGTTCCACCACACCCAGCTAATTTTTATTTTTTAAATTTTTTGCAGAGATGAAGCCTCACTATGTTTCCCAGGCTGGTCTTGAATTCCTGGGCTCAAGTGATCCTCCCAGCTCGGCCTCTCAAAGAGCTGCTATCATAGGCACGAGCCACTGGACCTGGCTGGTGGTCCATTTTTTTGAGTGTGCAGCAGAGCTAATCTTGGGGAACATATAGTTGATGAGAATGGCAATTTTGATTAGCCAATTTCCCATTTCACTCTCACTGAGATGCAAGTGAGTAAAATTAATTAGCATAATAGCCAGAGGTGTTTGCAAGCTGAGTTCAGTAAAACCATGTCACAGTAATTTGATATATCATAGAGTGACTTTTCAAAAACTAGAAAATATGTGGATAGAATTTCAGAAAACTACCTATATAACAATGTACCTTTATCATCCACATTATACATATGATCATCCCTTGATTTAAAAGCAATATTATGACTTTTAGGTTTGTAACAATAGACTTTTTTAGATATCCTTGTTATGTGGAAAAATGACATTAACATTTTGCAATCAGGTTTTTTTAAGTAGCTTTATCAATATGAGTATGCTTTAACTTCTAAATTAGTGCCTAGTTTATTTACAATACCAGAGATGGTGTGAAATAAAGATATGAATGGAAGATCTCAGCAATATTCTATAACATATTTCTTACATAATATTCACTTCTGAATGTATATTAGTAATTAGCGCATTAATACTAACATAGCTAGTGCTTACGTATAGCAGCAGCTAGTAGTGATAGTACTTTCCGTGATTTCATATTGTTACAAGTGCATGCTGTTTATGAGGGCACTCTATAGTTGCAAATTAGTTCATTCTTTGTTTGAAAATTTCAAAATGCCTTTACTAACATCTCCACATTATACAAATATACTTGTGTTTCCTTTCCTACTTTGTTTGTTAAAAAAAATCTCTGCTGTAGAAAATAGAACGTAGCATTTTTTTTTTCTAGGGCAGAATGCACGTCTCCGTTTTTAATGCATGAGCAGGCGTTTTGGTTCATTAAGCTCAGTGGCACTGATAGTAAACTAAAGAGGAATGAAAGGAAGAGGAACTGAAATACCATCATCCCACTAATGATACTGAAGCTGCTCAGCTTTATTGGGAGACTGCCCAGACATTCACTAATAGAAGGCATGGTCCAGGATGTGAACTTGGTGATGCGGTGCCAAAATTGCAAATCCAGAAAAAAAAAAAGGCATTGCTAGAAGATTTTCTGGAATAATTTAATGAATTGTCTAGAAATACAGGGTGTGTGTGTGTGTGTGTGTGTGTGTGTGTGTGTGTGTGTGTGTTATTATATTTGTTGGTGGGTGAATTAGAGAGAGAGAGAACACAATAGAATAGAGAAAGGTTAAAAGAAATAATGAGATCGGGGAGTATTCAGTTACCTCAAGGCTGTGTTAAAAAAACACAGCAATTCTATCACAAAAGTATATGTATCTCAGAGTGCATGAATTGTAGAATATTCAGATAGTTTGTTGTCACTTTATAATTTGGAGAATTTAGCTCCTGAATGTTAAATAATTTTGAAAAACATCTTTCTTTTAAAGAAGGGGCTAGAATGCCTGCTTCTTCAGATACCCACACACATCCATATCACACTGCTACTTAGCTGTTTACTGATACCTAGTTATAATAATTAACATTATGATTTCTTTCATAGATGAATATTATTGTTCCAAGTTCACCCCTGCAAATGAGGGAGTATACAGAAATGTACCCTTTCGAGCTGGAAGGAAGAAAACAGATTCTCTGTTCAAATTGGGCTTATGCCCAGTTTGAACAGAGAATCACTCAGCTGTGGATGGCAGCTTTCGTGGCCTCTGGCTAACACAAACTCCTCAGTGGCTTTTCAAAGCCACTTAGAATCAAGTTCCAGCAAGCTCAAAGTAGAAGCTGCAGCTGCAGACACTGAGGAACACCTATGTAGCCTAGACTCATGCTCACAGCCCCCTTTCTGATTTTAACTCTGCTTGTTTTGCGCGGGAGGTTGGAAGGTAAATAGAGAAGGGGTGTTTCTTTCACCCAATGTTCTCTTCCTTTTCTGCAACCCCTCAGGGTGAGCTAAACCTTTTGGAAATTGGCCAGTTATACTCTGAAAAACACAGATCAGAGATTGAGCTTAGTGACCTCTTTGCCCTTTAAAAAAGAGCCAAACAGAGAATTCCCTTTTATAAGTTTAATGGCCCAACAAAGGCAAATGAATTAACAGAACAAAAACAGTAAGAAGGTCAGTTGTGATCACTGTACCTGAGTTCATGTTCTCCATTGAAACGTGGTGTGAAAATCGATCCATGGTTAAAGCTTTTCCTGCTGAGGACACTTCACTAATGAGAAAAAAAATGGCATTTTATTAAAATACCAGAGGATCCTATGGGGTAGAGCATGAAACATATGGAAAACACGGAGGAAAAATCTAGCAGAGATATCCTTAAATACAAATTAGTTTTTAGATAAAGAAAACAGTTTCGTGAGAAGAAGTATAAGCTATTTCTGGGTCTAAGGTATTTGGAGCCCAGCAGAGATCTCCATTTACTATCAGTGGTATTACAATTCTTCCATTCTACTTCAAGTTTTATTCTTATAAGTTTCAAAATAAATATAGAGGAGAAATTAAGTTTTACCAAGTAGGAGACTAAAAGGCCTTTATTAAACTAAAAGCATCTTAGAATTCAGTAACATCAGCTAGTGAATTGGAACATTAGCTAGTTTGGCAATATAAATGCATAATCCCAATTGTTACTTGAACTCTTTCTCTCTTTCTCATAAAGAATTCAAAATCTTAAAAATATTCTATAATATAAATTATTGTTTTATATCATCATGGCTCAAAACTAAGTACATTTAATACAGAATAACCCAGCTAATTAAGTATATTGTTTTAATCTTCAATTTAACATACATGTACTAGCATATTGCTTATCTACTGCTACACATATATATTTTCCTAGGCATTTTAGAGATACATATTTATTGAATTCCTAACTCCTACACTCATGTTTTCTAGAGCTTGAGACAGATCCTACACATACATCTTCATTGCCACCCATTTTGAACTGTATGCTCTAACAGGGCAAAAAGTTGGAAGAAGAGTAGAAGTTGAGATAGATTCAGGCTGATATATCAAGGAGTGTCTCAAGGAAATTGTGTAATTTGAGCAGAACATCAGAGAGTACTAGGAGAGCATCAGAAGATTAGAGCTTAATCAGGAAAAAAAATATCATGGGAGTAGTACCGTCTAGGCAAATGAGATAGCAAAAGTGAGGGGCAGAGGATGGAAAAATTCAGGGTATATTGTGGTACAGGGAGTACACTATCAGGAGAGAGAAATTTTAATCAATTTTATTGCTGATATGAATTTGTAAACCAGAAATAATATTCAGGCAGTAAAGACTTACTGAGATAGGCAGTAATAGAATATAAGAATATAAATGCTTTAAAATATTTTTGAGAGACATAGAATGTAACTTGTCATTTTTTTGTAGTTCCCTAAATTTATCGTAAAGAAAATTTCTCTTTCATGCAGTAATGTTTTGGGAGATGAAAAAGAAGATAAAACTTAAATCAATTAGATTCATTTGGCATATCTTCTTTCTTTCCTTTTCTTCTTCCTCAAAGGTATCTCTTCTATTTGAATACCTTAAAATGCTGCAAACTTGGTCAGTCCACAGAATCATTTATGGTCTGACCAACTGTCAGTATGTTAGCTAATAAAAATATTATAATGTAGGAAAGCCAGTCTTGCTTTGGAATCCTTTTCTTATGCTATTTTTCCTTTTACCTTCTGCTCCTTCAAAATGAACATCACCACCACCAACTCAGTCTCTCAACATACGTCTACAGAAAATCAGCCTAACTCACAAGATTCTTTCAATACTGCAAAGACTTTGGATGGCTTGGTGAGTGCAGGACATTACACTCACACAAATTAAGAATCAGAGACAAAGTTAAAATTCCTAACAGCGATGTGCTAATTACTATATTGCAGATGCTATGGGAATACACAGAAACAATTGGATTCTGATAGAGGCCAAGTTGAAGAACCAGTAGTGGATGAATTTTAAGAACTATCTTAAATAATGACCAGAAATTCAGTAGGTGGGAAATTAAAAGCAAGAACGCTTAAAGTGGCCAGGCACGGTGGCTCATGCCTGTAATCCCAGCACTTTGGGAGACAGAGGCAGGCGGATCACTTGAGGTCATGAGTTCAAGACCAGCCTGGCCAACACAGTGAAACCATCTCTACTAAAAATACAAAAATTAACTGGGCAGGGTGTGTGCCTGTAGTGCCAGCTACTCAGGAGGCTGAGGCAGGAGAATCGCTTGAACCTGGGAGGCAGAGGTTTCAGTGAGCCAAGATCGTGCCACTGCACTCCAGCCTGGGCAACAGAGTGAGACTTGGACTCAAAAAAAAAAAAAAAAAAAAAATGAACGCTCAAGATGAAGGGAACAACAGACAACAGGTTAGAAATGAAGGAGCTAAGGTGTAAGCATGCAGTTGTGTACAGGAGAAGAGTGAGCACTTCTCAAACAATGTCCAATGAGAAGGTGTTCTGTGGAAAAGCAGCAGCGACAAACAAGCAAACACAAACACAAAATCCTAACACAGCCACTATATCATAGTGTAACAAAGGCAAATATTAAAAACCCCAGGTTTCTTTCTTGAAGGCCTTTTTTTAACTCCTTTAATAAACTAATGCATTTTATTACTCTCTCATAAAAGGAACATTCCCTCATTAAAGAAATGGTTGTGCTTAGAACCATTATTTCAAGGGGTGTTTAATGGGACTGGTAGTCCATGGAACACAATGTGAGAAAGGCTGAGTTAGAATATCTTCAGTCAGCAAATGAAATATGGCTGTTTTTGTTAGAGAAAGGGAGACAGAGGTATTCTACATTCATTGGATACCTGAAAATGGGACACATTCTTTCAAACAAACAAATGCACACACACACACACATTAGTGCTGATTATATATCTGGCAACACACCTGTGACACTGTAAGCATAATGAAAAATGAGTTAAAACCCAGCCTTAGTCTCTATGTAACTCACAGCTGTGTTCAAGGTTTAAAAAGGAGTTAAATTATTATTTTCACCTCTAGAAATAATTGAACATTCGTAGGTAGCATTTGATCAGAGCCTTAGAGGTGATGTAGATATATATAAAGGGATTTCTAGGCAGAGGGAAAAACATAAATCAAAGTTTGTCCAGGGCTTCAAGGGGTGGTGAAGAACCCTGGTTTGACTGAATGTGTGCAGCATGTGTTGAAAATAAAAGATGAGAAAAATGAGAAAAAGTATTTAATTTTATCTGGACACTGAAGGACACTGAATGTCATGATAAAGACTTTGAAAGTCATTCTCTAGATAGTGTGAAGTTGTGAGTTTGTGAATTGTGACATCATAAAAAGGAAGAAATGTGGAGGACTTCACGAGGTCAGTATTATTTATCTTCAATTAAGATAATGTGGGCTGATAGACCTTATGCACTGAGGTATTTTGTGGATGACAGTTTTGTTTCATGAGATTTATATATTTGTAAACATCCTCCTATAAAGGGACTTCTTTCCCATTAACTTGTGTCATAGTAAAAAAGTAGTTGCTGATACCTTGGATTTAAACCAGTGAACACATTGCCATTGAGTGGCTGCTTTGTGAGTATGTTTTGATGGCATACAAAATTAAATTTGTATTAAATTTATCAAAGTGATAGTCTGATTGAGGGTAAATTATACTTACATATATGACATTTGGAGGGCAACTATATGCTATATTGAATGGAATTAAAGTATAAATACAATCAATTTAGAGTACAGGAACAAGAAGGCAACAAAATAAAAAAATGGAAAAAACAGAGCCAAGTTTTGATGGAGGAAGAAAATTTGGAAAGGTAGAGAGGAACCATTAAGTTAAGCTGGAAGGAGAAAGCAGGAGCAAAACTGTGGCATAAAGTTTTGTTGCATCATTTGCCTGGCATTGGAGAGGAAGAGGCAGGATTCTGACATCACAAATAAATATTATTTATGGAGGAGAAGTTCATTAAGGACATAAAAGGCACATTATGACAATCAAGCATTTCAATTTAGACCAACAGTAGAATATTTTTAGGTTTTTGAAAATGTTAACCAGAGTTTCTCCATGGCACATGAGATAAATGTTAGTTTCAGAAATGATGACATTACCACAAAGAGAACTTCTGAGACACCAGTGTTCCACAAAAATAGAACACAACTTGTTTTTTAATTTAGCGGCTTGGCTCTCTAGCCCAAGTATTCAATACAATAGTAAGTTACATTTACACAAGTGTAAATTTACTTTAAAGAGAGGATTGTGTTATACTCAGATTTAATAGTTTATACATAAAATAATGTCACTACTAAATTAAGAACAGGTCATGTATTTTTAAAGTGTTGCTTAAGGTTATCTTAGATAAACCTGTAAAGTTCTCCTGTTCTACCTCCCTATAACACTAGAGATATTTCCTTCCCCAAATTCCATATACACACTGTTTTATTTCTTTGTCCCATTTCTATGGTTATGAATTCAAGAATATACACAAATTAGATATTTATAGAAGGCATTGGAAATAATTCTGGAGTTTCAGAAATAGAATTCTAGAAAACATATTATTTTCCCACACCTTGTAAAATAACCCATTGTAAATGATTTTGTTATTTTATTTTGTGAAATATCTTCAAGTAATATGCTTCAGAATCATATATTATTATATATCCCTTATTGAATGATATGATTTGGCTTGGCATCCCCAACCAAATCTCATCTTGTAGCTCCCATAATTCCCATGTGTTGTGGGAGGGACCCAGTGGGAGATTATTGAATTATGAGGGTGAGTCTTTCCTGTGCTGTTCTCTTGATAATGAATGGGTCTTACAAGATCTGATGGTTTTAAAAAGTGGGAGTTGCCCTTCACAAGCTCTGTCTTTGACTGCCGCCATCCATGTAAGATGTGACTTGCTCCTCCTTGCCTTCTGCCATGATTGTGAGACCTCCCCAGCCACATGAAACTGTGAGTCCAGTTAAACCTCTTTCTTTTGTAAATTGCCCAGTCTTGGGTATGTGTTTATTAGCAGCATGAAAACGGACTAACACTAATATAAAACACTTCCCTAACTCATAAATCAAAACTGCAAGTTATAATATTTCACTAATAGTTCAGTTAACTGCATTTAGTAGATCACTATTACATAGATGGCTGTCTAACTACTACTAGCTGACAACCTATTATTGTCAGGTATATCTGAAATACTTTGCATGAATTATTGAATTATCTCATTGAAAACTCAAAATGTATTAACACCTTTCATTTTTTACCCAGGAGATCACTGAGGTGTAAAAGGTGTAGTAATTTGCTCAAGGTCATACAACAGGATTGGAGTTGGGATTTGAATTGTGACTGTAGAACCTGCAATTGTTACCACAACATCACACTCAATATTATCAGAAATTTTCTAGCAATAAGCAATTGCTCTCTAGTTAATTTTTTGAATTATTATGACAAGTTAAAGGAAATAACCTAATATGTTCCTTGATCCTAGTGCCCATTCTATGCCTTATTTATATCATGTCAATGAAATACACTGTGAGTTAATTCTTCTCATGTTGCAGCTAAGAATCCCTTTTTCTTGCATAGACCTAAGAAGGGAGTCAGACCTTGAGATAGTTTAAGTCAATTAAGATTATTCATATTGAGACTAGAAAATATTAATTGATAGAGGCTGGGAAAGATACTTGAATAAAATCAGATTTTTTTTCTTTAAATGTAAGCTGGTTTTCCTATCCAGAAATGTAATTATTTGTTTTTCTACTATTTTTCTGTAAACCAACAAAGTTTCAGAATCTTTCTGCTAATGATTGCCTGTTTTTAATTACTAAGAATAGACCATCCCATTTGAAAGGCACTTGTCTCATCCCTCATCAATTCTCATCTATTTTGAAGTTGTTGCTATTCACAAATGATGATGTCTTACGCTTGAACTTCATAGGATGATTGTACCCAGGGGCTTTTTAGGCAGCTGTGTTTAGTGTCTCATGGATATCAAAAGTAATGCCCTCACCATAGCTTCCTAACAAAGTGCTAGTTATATAGTAAGTACTATGAATCCAAGCAGTGTTTTATCATTATTCCACTTACTTTGATTTATTCTTTTGTACTTCAATAGCACAATGCAGCCAGCCTCTTGTTTGTTCTATTCACTGCAGCTATGCATTGAGTTGAGTGCTTTGCAGCTATTCTTCCTTCCATAAAAACATCTTCTTTCTTGTCCTGTACCCTGGAGCATTTTTTGGATTTGCTTATATTCCTTCTGTTTGTGTGTTGGTTCCAGGATTTGTTTGCATTCATTTGTAATAAACTGTTTTTTTTTCTTGTCTTCAAGCCAAGTTACTAAAATTATTTAAATGTGTCAGTAATGTCTAAAGGATGTCTTATTTCATTTCCTGTTCTGCTTTTTAATTTTATTGTGTTAGGAATTTTTCAACCTATTGTACATTTAATTGCAATGATTTTTCATTCAATTAGACATTTGTTGTGTTGTCTTACAAATGCGTTTTTGAGATTTCCTTTCATTTTTTTTCATATCTCTACATCTGGACAAAATAAGTAGAGCCATTTTTTGTCAAAGATATCTTTTAGTTGAGGTTATTTTTAACATGAACAAGGTGAGGAAATGTACTTCTTTCATATTTGTGCTATTTATACATAATTAATCCTAAATTGCTATTTGATATTTGGAAGTGCATTAGTTTCTTTTCCAAAGCTATCATGTCATCTGTAATGATGTGTGTGTATGTCCATCTTACAGAAGAAAAAAAATGGCAGCCAACCACTGGGGACTACAAGGAAAGCAATCATATTTATTCTGCCAGGCTCCCTCATTCTAGGCATATTGTTTTTTTTAATCATCTATTTTCAATATAAGAATACATTTTGGAGTAGAGGCTGGTCTATGACTGTTGCCAAAGCAATTATGTAGCCAGTTGTAAAATTAGCTTAAGATTTGTATTTGTTTGTTTTTCTGCCACCCTAGAGAATGCCTCCGCTAGTATTTGGAAAGTGGGAATTCCTACTACATAACAAAACTCAAAATAAAAGAAATATAATTAATAATTGTGCATATATATAGATTTTTTATTTGACTCCAGAATAAGGCACTACTCTCTACTCTTTTTAAATGAGCTGACAGCAAATCTACTAAGTGTTTTTCCAAAATGACTGTCTACTCCATAAGAGAAGCATACCTTTCACACATAAGAGCTTCACTGTTTCTGTAGTGATACCTCCTCCTTGTTATGCTGAATGACAGTGTATCATAATCGTACGTTATTCACACTGATGCATGCATTTCCTTGTTTAATTGTTTACTGTGGTTGTGATGCACTGCCCAGTTAGTGGACGCCCAATAGAAAAGAACCCTTACAAAACACTTGAAGCTATCTTTCCAGTGTTCTTGCTTGTTCTATACCACATCCTTTACCTTCTGATCTCTGCTTTTTTATTAAGCCCACCAAGATTCCTCCTTAATCTCAAATCCCCAATGATTTTCCTTTGCAGATACCTTTGTTTATAAATAGAGTTCTCTTACACTTTGTCTATTTTAAGTCCTAACATGTATAATTTGTCACCTATTTCACATTCCACTTTCAAGTCCAAAGATGCTACAACTTAGTTGTTCATTTTCTGTCTCCACCGTTGTACCCAACATCATTCTCCATTAAAGATAAAATCGGGTGTTCAAGGCCCAAATACAAGATTTTTTCTTTTTAAAAAAATTAGTCCCGGCCCTGCGCTATGCCTCACGCCTGTAATCCCAGCAGTTTGGGAGTCCAAGGCGGGCTGATCACCTGAGTTCAGGAGTTCCAGACTAGCCTGGCCAACGAGGTGAAACCCTGTCTCTACTAAAAATACGATAATTAGCCGGGCGTGGTGGCGGGCCCCTGTAATCCCAGCTGCTCGGGAGGCTGAGGCAGGAGAATCGCTGGAACCAGGGAGGCAGAGGTTGCAGTGAGCTGAGATCATGCCCCTACACTCCAGCCTGGGCGACAGAATGAGACTCCATCTCAAAAAAATAAATAAATAAAAATAAAAAATAAAATAATAATAATAAAAAATTAGTCCCACGGCCCTTACATTTAACCTCTTCATGAATTGGATTGCCTTTACTCATCTCACTGTTTCATGCTCTGCATCTTCTTTTTTCTCCCTTAGAACTCAGTCATTATTTTTGTATCTTTCACTATCTGTGAAGACATTCATGAAAGTTTTAAAAAATCTCTTAGATTGAAGACTGGTGTCAAATGCTGATCAAGGAAAAGAGAGTATTAGATGAAAAGTTTTGTCTTCTCTAATTTTTGTTCTGTGTTTAGCAAGTTAAAAGTTAATTTAAGAACCCAGTAAGGTGAAAGGGCTGGTGGGAGTCATTGAAGTGAGGAAGTGTTCCCTATTTTTTACTGAGTTCAAAAGAATACAGTGCCAGATAAGGTATTTTAACTCGCAGGAGCCACCCACCAGAGAAAAGAAAAAATGTAGGTTCTAAGGAGTTGAAGAATATTTTTTCCCTCTATGAACATCAAACATTGTGTACCTGAAAGGTACAGTCCAATGAAGATGTTGTTCCTTGACTAAGGTGTTGGTTTAAGCATAAAACTAACCATAAGATGCCTAGAGGGAAAAATTGTAGTAAAAAGGATCTGATTGCTTTCACAAATCTCTGAATCTCAGAATGGGCAGAATGCAGGCACATTTTCCCAGAGGAAACCCCTAAACGCCTGTTTAACTGAATCTGGTGACTCCAAGGCTTATGTAAGCTCATATTCTCTAGTTCTTTGACCACTTATGACTCAGGATTCTCCTTGAATTTAAAAGCACTTTGGGAACCTTTGAAAGTTTGAGGTTTAAAAAAATAATAACAAAAAAAAAAAACCACTAAACCTTCTAGGAGAGAAAGTAATCCAATGGTAGTCACATTATATATATATTTTAAATTTTGCTTTATTATTTCTAATACTATTTCCAATAATTTCTCTGATATAACATATATATTTCATAATTTACTTTTAGTTTTGACTATGAATTAGGCTACAGACTCTGTCCTTGACCTAAAATTGTCCATGAAGACCATGTCTAGTATTAGAAATAATAGAAATCTAAATTTTCAAAAATAGCATACACTGGTCTCTTTTATTATTTTAAATATAAATATATTTTTTGATGGTTAAAAGACTGACTTTTCTATCTTTCAGTTAATGCATTTTTTTTCAATTTGGTAAAGATTAAATTGAACATCAAACATTGTCAGGAGCTTTCATATACATTGTCGTATTTAATCTACTCAGTTAAATCTATGAGATAGGTATTATTTTCATAGTTAGATTGTAAAACCCTTACCGTATGTGAGAGGGATCCAATATCAAGTGGTGAGAGCTGTCTGATTTCCTGGACAATATTCCAAAGATATATGTAACTTTAGGACATTGAAAAATATCGCCATATTAATAAAATAGTATTTGTGAAACTATCAGATTTTCTTTACTATAAGGTTGCATTTTGCCTGCTGATGTTTAAAGTATTTTAATCTCTAGAAACCTCTTTTCTCTACTGATTTCAAAAATTAATTCCTCTGACATAATAATATAATTTTCATGATTCACTTTTAGTTTTGACTATGAATTAGGCTACAGACAGTGTACTTAAACTAAAATTGCCCATGAAGATCATGTCTACAAAACAAAAACAAAAATCAAATATCTGACATTGGATAAACAGGCATTTCCTCAAATTCATTCTACTAAAACATAAGTTCCATTGGTCTTTTTGGCATGTTGAAGAGCAGAGATATGTATTTTAATTTAGAGTCAATAAATCGGATTTGAATTAACAATGTGAAACATGATGTTTTGTATTTTTTTTTACCTTACTCCTTCTAATTCAAGATTATTTGTTATGCCATACTTTCATTCTTAATCAGCAGTAACTGAATATCTGATCTGTAGTTATGATCTTATGTTTATGCTGAGAAAGACAGATACACAGTAATTGAATATTTTTTTTTACTTTCTTACTCTCTGATTCTTGATGAATATTATTCACTGTAATTTATAGTACTAAGTCTAATCCACTCTGGCTATTGGTTTTAGTAAGTTATGACAATATTTTAATGAATAACTTTATCAACTACTAAATATTGTGATAATTCCCACTAGACACTTATCAATACATTTATCATTCATATGATAGCACGATGGATAGCCGAGTTTGCAATGAAGATATTTAATGTCTTGATGAATTGTTTTGATGGTCAGCAGTATCTAAATTTAAAGTCCAAACTCAACGTTTTATAAAACATAGGCATTTGGAATTGGCTGTCTTTCAAGAGAAGGGTAGGACTTCAGGACATGACAGGCTGCCTGACACGTAACATGTGTTTACAGTATTTAGGGAAAAAGGCAAGTATATATTCCAGTTCCCAAATTACCAACTTTAATAATCTATACATTCCAGTATGAATAGTTGTCCAGGGTCTCTTCACCCTTTAGCATTTGTAAACAACTGTAAATTGTTAGCAGTAAACTATAAATAAACTAGAGAAAGATTACTTTTTAGAATCTAGATGACAAACATATGGGATTATATAGAAAAGTCAGGGTAAAACGTGATTCTTATGGTAAGTGGGAATTTTTCCTTGGTTGACATTTAAAAATACATAGTGCAGTTCTTTTCACTGAAATAGACATTGGAATGGAAACTGCCCAAACTCTCTCGTGTAGAAAAGAAGAAAAATGTTCAAAGCAGCCTTTTACCTCTGTGCTTTGTATGCTTTGTGTGTCTGGCATCATGTGCACTCAGTGAGAATCCACACGTGTTGATGTTTACCTAACAGCGGGATGCACAATTTCCTACCACAGTGCATAAGAAGACAAGCATAACATATGCTTGAATATTCCAAATAATTTGTTAGAAGATACATGTGGATCTATATCTAATATGAAATTAATTTTTCACACACACAGAGTTCTGTAACCAGATTTTTACACAGTGGGTTGTGGTATTGTAATCCCTCATTTATGAGCCATGTGTTTGAATTATGCTACTTGAATTATCAAAGTCATCTTGCTGTTTGAATGCCGCTGGCATCATATTTGAAAAAGTTTTATAATCAAGTCTAGCTCCTTTAGGGGAGATGTTGATACTGACCCTGTAGGTGGTACAATAGATGTTAGTTAGTGGCCTGAAGTTATTTTTTTATTTCATGTATTTATGAAGTGTCAATTCCCCTAAAGATACCAAAATTCTGATAACTTCTCATTATCTCCTCCTCCCTCCCCCTTCTACATATCTCTCTGTCTCTCTCTCTCTCTCTCTCTCACACACACACACACACACACACACACACTGCTGCTTTTGTACACACAATATATTATCTGCCTCCTTACCTCAAAAACTCTGATGGAGAAAAAAAATTAATAGACTTTTAAGTCTGAAACATTTTAACAATTTAACAGAGGATTTGATATTTAGAGAAGCCTTCAAGCCTTCAGATGCCCAGCTGAAATGCGTCTTATCTTGTTAAATGAGAATTATGTACTGTTTCAGGCCCAAAATAATGATGCTAAGTGTATTTACTGAGCACCTATCTTATGTTAAATGTTTCCCTGCGTATCCTCATTTATCTCATTTACTTCTCTTAGTTTTGTAATATAATTGTTACTGTGTGAAAGCTATGTCAAGAGAAAGGAGTTCTAAATTTTACTAGGGGGCACAGTGCTGCCCTGCCTCTAGTTTAGACTGGCCTTATTTTAATTAATGACTGACTGTGGTAAAGATCCATGAAGTATGTTTATCCTATCTGCACATAGTATAAAGTAAAATCTACAAGGCAGATGACAGAATCAGGGTAAAAATGATCTCTAAGTGACTACAATAAAAAAGACAAAAAATAACAGTCTTACATGTGATGTTCAATATGAGTTAGAGCCAAAGAAAAATGTAAATACAAAATGCCTTTGACCTAGCTTTTCAGTAAAGCTGAAAAAATGATGTTAAGATTTGCAGGGCTGAGTTTGTCATAATCTATTATAATCCAGCAAGTTTAGATTGCTACTGAAAATGATAATATTCTCTTACATCAGATTAAGAAATGCTCAGGATGTATATTAAGAAATTTCATGGAGAAATACTGTCCCTACTAAAAATACAAAAATCAGCTGGACATGGTGGCACACACCTGTAGCCACAGCTACTTGGGAGGTGGAAGTGGGAGGATCACTTGAGTTCGGGAGACACAGACTTCAGTGAGCCATGCCTGTGCCACTTCACTCTCTAGCCTGGCTAACACAGTGAGACGCTATCTCATAAAAAAAAAAAAAAGAAAGAAAGAAAAAAAAAAAAAGAAACGAAAAGAAAAAGAAGAAATGTAATGATGTGATTGACCTTAAATTAGATTGGCCAGATCATATATAAAGTATTATATTCAATTCTGGGCACCAAATTTTCAATGACGCATATCTAGAGTGTAGTGTGTGCAAAGGAGGAACACTTGTAGCAAAGCAATCTGGACCCCATTTCCTGTGGCAACCAGGAATATGGTATATCTGGAAAAGAGGAAGGCTTGGGAAGCTGGGGATGGGAGTGGGAGTGTGGGAGGAGCTATGTTTTGTCTATGTGTCCTTCAATATTAAAAAGATCATCTTGAGGAAGTATAGTAAACACATTTATAGCATTCAATAGAACCTGTACAGGGAGATTAGGAGAAAAACCTGACGTATTGAAAGACAAATCTTTCAAAGAGGGAGAACCACAGTAGAATATCAAGCCCACAATGGAACAGGTTGGCTTGGTGAGTAAAGAGCTTCTCGTCCTTGGTAATGCATTTCTCATGTTTAAAAATAAATTGGATTGTTTGACATTCACTATTCCTTCCCCTATGAATGCTTAAGATTTTATACTTTAAATGTAGGATGAAGTAGAGAGAAAATAGCTTATGCATATTTTAAATATATAAAAATGTCATTCCCCCTATAATTTAATTTTTATTTTAAATGTTTTTATAGATATTAGGGTGACATTTCATAGCAGGCAATTATAACATAAAATAACAAAGTAGACTGACGCATGAATATTGCTAACAAAAATAAGATCTTATTCAGACATGGCTTAGGTTGACTTTACTTTTTTGCTTAACTTGCCAAGGTAATGTTTTTCAGAATAAATGGGAGAAAAGGAATGCTTTATAATATTTAAAGGTAACTTTTACAAATGCATCTATATACACATTAAGAGGTTAGATATTAGAACTCAAGTTTTAGACTTATAAATTAAAAATAAGAAGCTATCTTCTTCCTATCATCATTCATAGATAAATGGTGTGGGCCATCTCTATATTTAATCAGTGTGTATGTTGCCATCATCCTTTCAGACACTACAATCCAAGTTTACAGGTATTGTTTCTCAAAAATATTTCTGATTTCAGAAGAGCACGTTCTTTGAGTATGTATATAACTAGAGGGAGAAGTAGAGGAGATTCAATTAGCCAATATATTTGAGCACATCTATTTAATTTCAAAGACTTGCAAGTTGAATCCCACAGAATTTGACCTATGGGATACCTGTGTTAAAATATCATATTGATTTTTTAGTTTTGCATTCAATTGTTCTCACTGAAGAATATAATATGAAAGATATGAAATAATGTTTTAAGAGAATAAATACAGGACACAATTTATTGTAAAAAAAGCCTTTATTAAATTTTAATAAAATTTCTTCGTGCTGTTTTTAAACTTTTTAACTTACTATGCTCCTTTTCCTAGGACTGTATGATTTTGTAAAGAATTACTGTATGCTTAATGCTTCTCTAAACATTATATCCTTGCTAGATGTGTGCTGAAGACATGAGCACAGCCAGATATGGTAAAATTATTTCAACTTTATCCATCAAAATTAGAATTGAAAAGGGCATGTGAAAATTCTGGATGGAAAAAAAGTAGAATCTTATGTTGCCCTATGAATTGACTCACTAACTCAATGAAAATAAATTGCTTTTACTAATACTCATCCAAATCTGGCAATAACATAGTTGAAGCACATAATGAAAGCTATATTTCACCATATTGAAGTCAAAGATCTACAATATATCAGCAACATCATTAATTTTGACACTGTCCTCAGATTTGGCATATACTTTCATAATTTAGTCATATGTCCTTTATGGGGACTCTTCAGTCTCTAGTGCTGTTTCAGACAGTTCTATAAGAGTTCAAAGTCTAGTAGTAGACGACATGTTAAAATAATCAAAATGCAGTTTTACAAATATTCCAGAGGAAATGTGTAAAAGGAATTGTGGCTCATTCTAACTGTGGAGCTTGGAGAAGGTATTCCATAGAGATAAATTTCAACCTGTGCCTGGAAGGTTAAATTTGTTATGCAATGAAAGTAGAGGAGTATGTTTCAGACAAAGAGAATAAGAAATGTTGAGGGGGGGGTGGTAATGAAATAGGCTAGAAAATACATTGACTTTGTCTGCCTGCCGGGAAATAGGTCTGAAAATTTGCACAAGGATAGATCAAGATTTGCCTCATATAACAAATATATATAATGTAAACATTAAGCTGTTAGTGACAGTGCCATACATGTACGGTAGAAGACCAATCTGGCTGCATATTGATAGAGGGATTAATACATGTTAATCTTATCCTGATTTAGAAGGATGAATTAGAAAACCATCACAAAAAGTGATAATTAATAAGCAATAAGTAACAGAGGGACTAACTACGGTAGACCATCATGATCATCTTACTATTCTTATGCTTTATGTTCAATTTCTCCTCTGTGTGAAGAGGAATTTAAGAGTATCGTGTGTGAACAGGACTTTGATTTTTTTTAATTTTATTTATTTTTTATTTTTATTTTTATTTTTTATTATTATTATACTTTAAGTTTTAGGGTACATGTGCACAATGTGCAGGTTATTTACATATGTATACATGTGCCATGCTGGTGTGCTGCACCCATTAACTTGTCATTTAGCATTAGGTATATCTCCTAATGCTATCCCTCCCCCATCCCCCCACCCCACAACAGTCCCCAGAGTGTGATGTTCCCCTTCATGTGTCCATGTGATCTCATTGTTCAATTCCCACCTATGAGTGAGAATATGCGGTGCTTGGTTTTTTGTTCTTGCGATAGTTTACTGAGAATGATGATTTCCAATTTCATCCATGTCCCTACAAAGGACATGAACTCATCATTTTTTATGGCTGCATAGTATTCCATGGTGTATATGTGCCACATTTTCTTAATCCAGCCTATCATTGTTGGACATTTGGGTTGGTTCCAAGTCTTTGCTATTGTGAATAGTGCCGCAGTAAACATAAGTGTGCATGTGTCTTTATAGCAGCATGATTTATAGTCCTTTGGGTATATACCCAGTAATGGGATGGCTGGGTCAAATGGTATTTCTAGTTCTAGATCCCTGAGGAATCACCACACTGACTTCCACAATGGTTGAACTAGTTTACAGTCCCACCACCAGTGTCAAAGTGTTCCTATTTCTCCACATCCTCTCCAGCACCTGTTGTTTCCTGACTTTTTAATGATTGCCATTCTAACTGGTGTGAGATGGTATCTCACTGTGGTTTTGATTTGCATTTCTCTGATGGCCAGTGATGATGAGCATTTTTTCATGTGTTTTTTGGCTGCATAAATAACCTCTTTTGAAAAGTGTCTGTTCATGTCCTTTGCCCACTTTTTGATGGGGTTGTTTGTTTTTTTCTTGTAAATTTGTTTGAGTTCACTGTAGATTCTGGATATTAGCCCTTTGTCAGAAGAGTAGGTCGCAAGAATTTTCTCCCATTTTGTAGGTTGCCTGTTCACTCTGATGGTAGTTTCTTTTGCTGTGAAGAAGCTCTTTAGTTTAATTAGATCCCATTTGTCAAAAGAACAAAGCTGGAGGCATCATGCTACCTGACTTCAAACTATACTACAAGGCTACAGTAACCAAAACAGCATGGTACTGGTACCAAAACAGAGATAGAGATCAATGGAACAGAACAGAGCCCTCAGAAATAACACCGCATATCTACAACTATCTGATATTTGACAAACCTGAGAAAAACAAGCAATGGGGAAAGGATTCCCCATTTAATAAATGGTGCTGGGAAAACTGGCTAGCCATATGTAGGAAGCTGAAACTGGATCCCTTCCTTACACCTTATACAAAAGTTAATTCAAGATGGATTAAAGACTTAAATGTTAGACCTAAAACCATAAAAACCCTAGAAGAAAACCTAGACATTACCATTCAGGACATAGGGATGGGCAAGGACTTCATGTCTAAAACACCAAAAGCAATGGCAACAAAAGCCAAAATTGACAAGTAAGACTTTGATTTTGATTGCTCTCTGTGGACTCATTCTTACCTTCACTTCTCTTCTTTCCTTCCATCCCAAAATATTTTTGATTCTCTAATCCCAGTCTTTTAGCTACTAAGGAAATAGTAGTGAACAAAGTAAGAAAAGGGTGACAGGGAGTGTGTATATGTTTGTGTGCTGGGGGTTGACGTGGTGCTGTTGACGAGGTTTCTCAAATTCAAGTGGAATGAGCACATACTTCACCAGCAATAAAACACCAGTCTAATTTTTTAACAGTTCTTTTATAGCAACTAAACATAAAGACACGCAGAATAAGTCCTCAGATTTTTGCATCAATATTATCATTGTTCAAAATAATTATGTTAGAGAACAGCATATGGGCAAAAAAGAAAGATGGGAAACAATACAATTTAGAAAGGGAACATTCCAGTCTTTATAATCTAAGAAATCTATGTTTAAATCCCAATTCTTTTGCTTCTGGTGTAAAACCTTAGGAAATTTTTTTGACCTCTCTTCAAAGAGAAGAGAAAAAGATGCTTCAGTTTTCTTCCCTAGAAGGGTTGCAAAAATAAAACAAATAAATACAAGTAGTATTTAGCCTACTGTAGGCCTTCAAGAAATGCCAGTTTTGACAATGATGATGATGATGAAGTTTCTTTTAATGCAAGGACACTATTAAAACTCTTCATTGCTACTACTGTTAATTGTTAAAATCAGCTTTAATTTTGTCACCTTTCAATCACCTCTTCAAGTGTCCCATCTTTAGCGAGGGGCCAGGAACTGTGATGAAGGACATCTTACTATAGGCAGTCTTGAACCATGACTGACTGAGAAAAGATACTGAATGTATGCTTATTTTCATTGAGTAAACTCATAAAAGAAAATATTATGTGGTTTAATATAATCTGAATTTCATTGTATAGTCAGTTGAGCCAAACCTATGAATTAATAAATTTTTCTCCCACAGCATAACACATTTGCTTATATTACATTATTATATACAGTTCTTAAGCGTATATTTATCATGCTAGTCTGTAAGTTACTCAAAGATAATCATATTTTTCTCACGTTTTAAAACTACAATTCCTAGCAAAGTGTCAGGCAAATGGTAAGCATGTAATATCTGTTCACTAAGTCTGATATACAACTAATTTTTCCCAACTTCGCCTTGAAGTGAACAAAATTTACCAACTAGGATTCAATCTACTCTTGCCATAATTTCATGTCATATGTCTCTTAATCATTGTACTTTACTGCAAATTTATTTCACTGGCAAATTTCACAGGTAAAGTATTTATCGTTGGTTTTTATTTACTATGCGCTCATGTCTGTGATGTTCTTTCTTCACATGATGACAGATAAATAGTATGAACACCTTCCACAGAACACCCAACACATTTTTTTTCTCAGTTCTTAATATTTTTTTGCACATGGTTGATGTTCCTCAAATATTTATTAAAAATATGTAAAAGTACATTGGTAAATTTGTGTAAATGTATCTATGAGAATATGAAAACCACAGCCAATGATTATAAATGATTCTAGTATTTCATTATAATTGTATATTATCTTCTATAAAAAATTTGATGATGACTTGAAAACGAGTTAGTCAATGTTATCAAAATTCACCATGTAAATAAATGTAATTATAAAACTAATTATAGAATTTTGTCATGGTAAAATTACCTAATTTGCCCAGTTGTACTGTTATCTTCATAGACTAGTATTGAATTTAGCCATGCTAAATTTGTACTGCATATTACATTTTAGCAGCAGTTTCAGGAACCCAGTATTAACTGTCAGATGTCACTTTATATCAGTGAAATTTGAATCACTCATTACATTTCGTCATTTATATTATGACAGTAAATCAGTCTAGGAAACCTATTTAAAGAGATTTTAATTTTAGCTAATTTATTATTTAAATAATATACATTTCAGCAATCTACCAATTATATTTATATGAATACATACTATAAAGTATGCTTTTACTTAATCAGAATAAAATTAATTGAAATCCACATTAATTTGCCCATCAACTTACAAAAAGAACAGGAGGCTTTTTATGCTTGATTTTAAAAGGAAAATGAAAAACAATGACAGAAGGATAAAAAAAAGGATTTTTTTCAAAAAGTTCATAACACTTGTAGGGTCAGATTCTATACTTGATCCCAACAAAATGATTTACATTATAAATTCACATTATGAACATTATAAGGTTTTTGAAAGGATTACTTTTTGGTAATAGCAAAACCCAAGTTGTCAAAGAAAGATGATAGGTTAATATACATCCCTTGATAATACATTTTGGTTGTATTTTTCAATAGCATGGGTTAATAAATTATTTTTCGTTCCACTTTCAATTATTCAGCACGTTCTATGTTTTTAAGGTTTTTTTCATAGCTATTCTCATCAAACATACATACCTCTGCTTTATCTTTTGCATTTGATCATTCATATGAAAATATTAAATTATGTCCTTTTCAGTAGCTCAACATCACACACTGCAGCCTCCCTAAAGGGAGGATATATTACTTAGAGATAAGCAATTAGGTATTTTAAATATTTAGATACCCAAATATCATTCTACAGTCTTAGTCTCTCTTATTGAGACAAATTGTTCCCTGTTTCTGCATCCATAAACATCACCAGAGAGAACATTAATAATCCTTAGATATGTGCCTCAGTAGAAACTGGGAAATAGTATAATGGGATTTTAACTTAAATGAAGACCAACTGTGAGTAACACTTACTTTGCAATGGATCCTTAGGACCTGAGAGATAACCACTAACAAGAGAATGATCATTTATCTTTTAGTTTTCTCTTTCTGTGTGAGTTCAAGAATAAAAAGCTCAAAATACAAAACTGAAAGAGCAATACAGCCCTCAGCGCTATTAATTGTTAAATGCCAAAAAAAAAAAAAAAGAAAGAAACTGATTTGGTCATTAACATAAACAATTTGAAAACCATCCACAGTTAGTGTTTGGTTTTCCAGTAATAATATGCCATTTTGTTAGAAGAATTGTGCTTTCTTATAAGACTTACTGTATTTCAGAAATGTCAGAAATATATCTCTCTACTGTGAAATGATGGTATCCACATACATGTGAGCAAGTTTTGTTTTATTTTATTATTTTATTTTATTGAGACAGAATCTCGCTCTGTCTCCCAGGCTAGAGTGCAGTGGCACAATTTTGGCTCATTGCAACCTCCGTATCCTGGGTTCAAGTGATTCTTCTGCCTCAGCTTCCTGAGTAGCTGGGACTATAGGCGCTCGCCACCACGGCCGGCTAATTTTTGTATTTTTAGTAAAGATGGGGTTTCGCCATAGTGGCCAGGCTGGTCTGGAACTCCTGATCTCAGTGATCCGCCTACCTCAGCCTCCCAAAGTGCTGGGATTACAGGCGTGAACCACTATGCCCAGCCATGAGCAAGTTTTTGTTTTTTTGTTTTTGTTTTTATTTTTGAGTCTCGCTCTGTCCCCCAGGCTGGAGTGCAGTGGCGCAATCTCAGCTCACTGCAAGCTCTGCCTCCCGGGTTCCCGCCATTCTCTTTCCTCAGCCTCCCGAGTAGCTGGGACTACAGGCGCCCGCCACCATGCCCAGCTAATTTTTTGTATTTTTAATAGAGACGGGGTTTCACCGTATTAGCCAGGATGGTCTCTATCTCCTGACCTCGTGATCAGCCCACCTCGGCCTCCCAAAGTGCTGGGATTACAGGCGTGAGTCACCGCGCATGGCCGAGCAAGTTTTACATTTTTGTCTCCAACATCATTTATTGCCCAGACAGAGTGATGATGAACAGGTTTAAAGTGATTCTGATTCAACAAATATTGTGTGCACATATTTATTCCCGCCTTTTTTTCTCTCATGTTCTTGTTTCACTTTTCTCCCACCATAGCAAAGCAATATGCCACACAGCTTCTATTCACAATTTGTTCTTGTATAGAAATGGAAAAGTTTAATAAAAATGAAAATGTGTGGTAAACGAATGAACCTGATACAACGAAATTTAAGGATAGCCTTGAATTCTACACAGGCCATATACATTTCTCATTCAAATTATTTGTAAAAACAGAAAAGGTGCATTTTCAAAAAACTTGACAACTTAATGTTACTACATATAAATTCTGTTACAGCTGCCATAATTCAAGAGTTTACTTTGGAAGTAACTTGAAAGAAGTATAAAATGAAAATGATCTCTACCACACTGGAATGAGGCTTTACCATAGGACAGTGCGAAGGAAGCGGACATTTCCAATGCATCCCACATCCCTCCCTGTAATGTTCATCAGGCATACCTACACCAGAGGGAAGATACATTTTGTGAAGTGTCTTAGCAGAGACCCACTGGAAATTATCAAATGTCTATTATCTAATACTTCTGACCAATGGAAAAATCAAATAATTAAAACTGCCCCTGTAAAAGAAAAGCTGAAAAGGATCAAAAGATATAATTTTTCCATAGGTTCTACTTACTCGAATAAAATTATTTAGTCATTTTAGTAAAACAAAATTCAATTGATAATGACAGCATGAAAAGAAATGTTTAAAATTGTAAAGAACAATTTGACTATATATAAAAATAATGAAATACAACATCCTGGAATTGAATGGCCTGTTGGTACATTATTAGTATTCTCTTGTGAGGCAAATGTGTCCACATACCTGAAGTGTCCATTAATGCCCATAATGAGTACAACGGATTTTAATGTGCCTGTAATATACTTAAGGGTCAAATATTTTAACCACGTCTAAAAATTCATTTTAAAATTTTTGGCCATGTTTCCAAACTATTTAGACAGTATCTTTTGGAAAAGAATAAAACTTTATTTTATGAAGCAAAAACTTCATAAAAGTATGAAGATTCTGTTTTAGGGATATACACTGTTAATTTTTAATATATTTGCAAAACTTAATGAGAAGAATTTGATTTAAAGATCTTGGCATAATTCTTTCTCTTGTATTTGTCCTCCTTCTGTAGTTCTCGTCTTTCCTGCAGGTTCTCACCACGGCAAAGTGATTGAGAACATGTGCTGGGCTTTCTTTCTTAGTACTTTTGTTCAACACCTGTTCATTTTTGCTACTTTCCAGGCAACTGGTCAGCTTTCAAGTTTATTTGCATTTTTAAAACGATGCACAAAATAAAACACCCTCAGATCTGATTAATGCTTCCTAGTTTCACTTCTAAAACAAACAAACAAGCAGTGCAGTCCAGCCACCTGCAAAACACTAAATGAGCCTTGTGATTAGTGGGAAAGAGAGAATTCCAGAGAAATTTTGGGGGCAGGAAAAAAGTGGGCAGAGTTTGACTATGGAGAAAATTAGTTTGCTCACACATTTTGGATAAAGTGAAATATAGCAAACATTCTAAATGTCCAAATACATTTTGAAATGTGTTTTGATAGTGATGTAATGAGATATTGAGAGTAAATCATCCACAATCACATCTGTTATTAAATAACTTAAAGGATAACACAACCACCAAAAAGAAGCCTATGCAGATTTTAGAATAAAGTTGGTCTTGTGTCAAAACATCTGATATTTGCTTTTGTCTTTTCACGCCCCCCACCCCCCTTTTTGAGGAGAGGGAGGTGCCTGGCATGAACCTCAGGAACTGAATGGTTCTGAATGACAGAAGAACCTCAGAAATATTGCCATTGTGACCAACAAAATGAGACATGCCATGCAGAATGTTTTCACTATGACTTCTCATAATCCTATGAACTATCTTTATATCATAATGTCCCATAATATCTGATATGCTCTGGCTGTGTCCCCACCCAGATCTCATCTTAAATTGTAGTTCCCATAATTCCCATGTGTCCTGGGAGGATAATTGAATTATGGGGGCAGTTACCTCCGTGATAGGTAATGAGTTCGCACAAGATCTAATGGTTTTATAAGGGGCTTTTCCCCCTTTTACTCGGCACTTGTCCTTGCTGCCACCATGTGAAGAAGAACGTGTTTGCTTCCCATTTCACCATAATTGTAAGTTTCCTGAGGCTTCCCAAGCCATGCTGAACTGTGAGTCAACTAAACCTCTTTCCTTTATAAATTACCCTGTCTCGGGTAATTTATAAACGAGCAGCAGGAGAACGGACCAATACGATGTCTTATAGTACCAAAATTTCCCTAGAAATTTTGCATGTCACAGTTCATAAAGTTACATTAAAAAAATTGGTATTCACTTTGTGAGGCAGATCACTTTGGGCAGATCACGAGGTCGGGAGATCAAGACCATCTGGCTAACACGGTGAAACCCCGTCTCTACTAAAAATACAAACAAATTAGCTGGGCATGGTGGCAGGTGCCTGTAATCCTAGCTACTTGGGAGGCTGAGGCAAGAGAATGGCGTGAACCCGGGAGGCGGAACTTGCAGTGAGCCTAGATCCTGCCACTGCACTCCAGGTGGGCGACAGAGTGAGACTCCATCTCAGAAAAACAAAACAAAACAAATAAACAAAAATGGGTATTATACCAAGTCAGTTTCAAAATATACTTAATCATACGTTTTATTTAAACAACTGAAACTCATAAATCGATTTTCTGGGATTTGTTTAATGATCATTTATTATTTGCTGGGCAGTATACTAAGTGCATTTTCCATGCATTATCTCAATTAATCCTCACAATCAAATTCTGAGGTAGTTACTATTATTTCCACTGCTTTACAGATGAGAAAACTGAAGTCCAGATAGATTAGACAACTTTCTAAAAGTTTCATTACCAGAGAGAACAGATCCAGAGTTAAAATCTAAGCAGTTTTTATTTGTATCTTGCTTTTGTTTGTTTATTAACACTACTGCAGCCCTATTGTACATTTAAATTCGCCTCTGAGTACAAATATTTACATATTTTAAAGTTACCAACTATTTTTAAAGAAATAGAATGTTATGTACTTGAAAATGTGACTTTCAAACATTCCACTGTTAAGACACATGCAATATTATACAGATAAGAATTTCTTACCTGTGATGGACTGCTAAAAACAAACACAAATTTTTATTTTCCCAAATATCCAAAATATATATAATACATTTTTCAATATTTAGTTTTTCTTTTGTTATTAAAAAAAATTATGCTATCTTATAACTATTCTTTCTACTGGGGTGTTTATTAAAATGACAATATACAGAATAAGTGGCACATACCTATTAATTGAGAATGATAGACACAACAATGATGAGTCATAGGTCATTCTTTTTGAGAAGGGGACCCTCAACTGAAATTCAGTAAATTAGGAAAAAATGGACTTCATTTCCTTAGCAGTTTACATTTCAGATAGTTTAAAAAGAGTTAATAAAGAATAAACAACTAATTTTCATTGCACTACTATAAAACTAGCAAAAGTAAAATACATCTATCCATATCAAGTTAAAGCAGGAGTTTTAAATTTAACAGGCATTGGGGTGCAGGCTGTCTACACAGCAGAAGAATATGGGAGTCCGTGATAAGCAATGATGCAGGGAATGTAAATCTTTTTGTTCCTCTATAACAGGGAAATAGGTGCTCAGTTAACAAAACAGTATTTTTCTCAATTTCTCGATTCTGAAAATTGCTAGACATATCATGCTTTACAACCCTACACCCACACACTATAGACATATGCCACGAGTAGATGCTTTGCTGACTTGAAGGTTTCAGCAGTGATTCTTCTTGCATGCACTTTGTTTTGAGCTAATAGAACACTCACAAGATAAGAAAAAGAAATGCTTGGACATGCACCATCCCTTTCTCCAAAGATTGTTAGGCACTGGTAATTGAAGTTTGAGAACATATTATTTAAATGACTACAAAGCTAATGTAAAGGTAACAGAGCCATGCTGCTAATACTGTTTAGAATAATATTGCTATGACTAATGATGGCATATTGCTGCAAGTTCAATGTGACACAAACAACAAATGAGACTGTTAAAGTCCATAATTAGGTTATGGAATTCTCATTTTGTTCTCACTTTTGCAGCAGTCTTTCTTTTATAAAATTGGGATTGCAAGAGAAAAGAGAGGAGATAAAAATGTATAACAATATTTTTTTTTCCACAAGGGCTTGAAACCGTCAACTTCAATACAGATGTGAATTTCTTTCTTTGTCCTGTGATTTTGTTAATGGTAGTGTATGAAGTATAATGTCGGCACTATTTCATTTCTCTGAAAGTAGTGCCATTTTATTTATTTATAGACATGTAAAGCTATGGAAATATTAAAATATTTTTCTTAGAGTTAAAAATAATGGGTGAGTTGTATGTAATGGAAGCAACATGGCCCACTGGAGGCATTTACTGTCCAGAGTGGAATAGCCTTTGACTGATTAAGTGGACAGACTTTATTGACTACGTTATTAAATATGAAATCTATTAAACTTAAGTACAACCTTTTCCCCCTTCAAATGTTAACATCAGTGCCAGTGGGAGAGTAAAACTTGTGACATTTAGAAAGGAGAGAGAATCAGATGAGATTTACCAGAAAGAGGATATATAAATAATTGAATAGGAATGTCTGTAACAATGCAGCTCTTTTAGATAATGTGTGACAAAATATTTCTCTGTTTTCTGATGGGGAAAAGTTTCTAATAGAGGGCTCAATCAGTTGTTCCTTAGACACTGCAATCAGGGTAATTTTGGAGGCTTCCTTCCAAGTTCTGATTTATCACCCCAGTATCCCAAGGGCCCTCCATGTGATTGCCTTGGCACTGATATTTATGCTGGATGAACTGAAAGTGCCGCACTTAACTCGATATTATCCTTCCTTGGGTCACAAGAGTACTATCTTTCAAGTACATTTGGGTGATTTTCACACCACCCCATATCTCACCTACACTAGAGGTACCTCTTCTTTGCAACTTAGAAGGAGCCACTAGACCTGTTAATAAAATTCAGCAAGTCTCAGTAAACATTTCTTTTCCCAGCTGGGATGCCAGTTCAGAGAAGAGGAAAGTCAATGCACTCAAGTGGGATAAATTAGTGCATTGGCTCATAGTACCAGCTTCACAGCTGTGTCATGATTTCCTTTAGGGGTCTAGGAAAATGTAGCTTTTCATGCCTGATATTCTTTCTATTATTGTTATCTATCCTCTTCAGAGGTGTAAAGAAATGACCTTTCCCCTGGAAATGCCAAACTGCTTCTTTCAGAGAGACTGCTGCTGCTTCTAAAGAGTTAGACCTCTGTTTCGCTCTTTTGAAGAATCTGCCATTGCAATCACAGGTAAAGTACTTAGCAGGAAGAAGACAGTGCCATGAGTCTCTAAGGTAGGCTCAGTCTCACAACAGGACACTGGGGTTTGCCACTGCCTCAGCGTGTTCAAGCTGCCAGAGCACTTCTTGCATGCTGATATCTTTAGATAGCAAGACCTTCACTGTCCTTGTTTACATTCTTAAAGTGAGGCTTTTCTCTCTGCTGAAAGTTTGCAAGCTGACAGCTTTGGAATTTGAATTTTTCCATGTCTTTTCAGATCAAGTGCTGTGGCACTGACGGGAGCCTCCCACAATGCCTCCTTATATTAGCTTCCTGTAAAATTGGGACCGGAAACTGGTGTTAGCTATGTTCACCAGCAAGCTGAACCTTGGGACAAGGGTAGCAGCTCCCCTCCACCACCCCTCCCCTCCCCCAGCCAATAAAGCACAGAAGTGGCATCTTTCCAGAAGCTGCTGCGAATGCTTATATAGCTTTAGGTAGAGTGAGGTCTTATGGACTGTGGGTTCATTCACATAGCTGAAGGTTAGGAGGGAGAAGATTCTCCTTTTTATCCCTAGCCAAAAACAGACGCCACTCAGGACAGGCTTTGTTAGACTGGAGTGGACACTGGCATTGTTTGGAAATATAAACTGTTTGCTCTGGCGTCCTTGACTCTATTACCCTCATTTCATTTACATAACATTGAATGATTGGCCTACTGCATAATTCCCTATATACTTCTTTATAACCCAATCTACCTTGTAGTGCAACAGACTGACTAACGACCTAAAAATACAGCAGGCCATAATAAATCTAGGGTGCAGATGTCTGTAAATTTGTAAAATTTGAAAATCCATTTCATTCAAATGGCTTGTGCTTTCTTAGGTTACAAACAAGTTAACTTTTGTATTAGTAGGGGTGCATTTCCTTAAAAACAAAGGATTACAAAGCAATCAGTAATTATGTGACAATGACACCAGCATGAATTCTCCGCATGTACCTTCTTCATGGATTATATAATTGCTCTTATACTGTATTTTCTCAAAATAATTTTAAAATTTGCATTTAGAAATGCCTTCACACTCAGGTTAATATTGATACAGGAAGAAATTACTTCATTTAACTTTGGTTACTTTATATTACTTTACCTGAAACAGTATTATATACTGGTTTAATCACGAAGTTTCTTCACTAAAGTTGCACTCAAATGATTTTTGTGCCTGAAAACACATGCAGACTTTCTTTTCCTGTGAGCATTTAAATAGTGAATGTAAAACCCATAGATAGTTTTTATAAGATTTTGCATAAATACAATTAATCAACCTAACCTAAATTTTACCCTTGAACTGTATGTAAGCTGAAGTGTTAGTTAAGAGTTGGCATTTAAAAGGCCCTTCTTGTTCAAATACAAACACTAATAGAAATTAAAATGAGGAAATGCCAACCAAAGGAAAGATGAATCATACTACCTATTACTACACCAAAAAGAAAATGTTAACAGTGGTGGAGTAGAGTCTCGAGTGTCCCGCAAATAGAAAGGTCTAATTAGTGATTGGGAGAAGAAAGAGTTTCACTTGTATTTTCTACTTTCAAATGTGTAAACTAACATGACAGCCATTTGTTGTTCTTTATAAAAATCAGGACTTACCAGGCACACATGTTCAGGAGGGTAACATGGACAGAGATGTAAATGAATGTCTTTGTTTTCAGATGTTTTCAAGCAGCTGATATTCAGGGCACTGAACAGTCGACTTCACAAAGCTCATTTATACCAATAATTACTGTAAAATATTAAATAAAACTATGTAGTGATGTTGTAGACATCATAAAATTGATATCAGAGGAAGTCGGAGAGACAACAGAAGGGGCTTTATGAGGCATTAAGTGT
Source organism: Homo sapiens (assembly GCF_000001405.40). NCBI lineage: Eukaryota > Metazoa > Chordata > Mammalia > Primates > Hominidae > Homo > Homo sapiens. The sequence goes on along the minus strand of NC_000013.11, from coordinate 66,858,880 downwards.
CTGTTGTCAGCCAGACATTCTTCTAAGCACTGTGAAACAAATATCAATAGAAGTGTGAGGAGTTGTTACCTAATCAAGGAGTCAGACATGTAAACAAATAATTACAACTTGTGAGAATTATTACAATTAATTTATTATTAAATTCGTATCAATAAAATAGAAATTTCTAGGAATATTCAGAAATACTTAGCAAACTCTGTCTCATGGTTGCCATGATATGAAGGTGGCAGGGCAGAGAAGGCTTCAAAGATATGTTAAAATTTGAACTGATTCTTAAAATATAAAAGAGTATTCAGGAAATAAAAGGGGAGGAAGAAGAAGGAGAAGCTAGGAAATTCTACACAGAGGGAAATTATGTGCCAATGAGTGTTAGGCTTAATGTAAGTGTAAGTAATCAAAGTGGCTGGCCCAATGGTGTTAGGTTTGGACATGGCACAAGATGGATTTGAAAAGACAGAAATACAGGCCACTTGTAACCTTGTATGTCATCTAACGAATTTGGACATTTCATCTGTACCACAAGAAGAACAATGACGTAATTTAAGCAAAGTTTATAAGGATCAAAACTGATTTCTAGATAAAATAAACAAAACGAAAACTCAAGTAAGTTTTTGAAAATAACTGTCCTATTGTTTTTATCAGGTTTATGGAGCTTGTTATTTAATGGCATACTCTCCACAATGTAATCTCTAGGAATCAAAAGAGAAAAAACAAATCAAATAAAAATGGAATAAATTTACAATGTTTAAGCTTTGGGAAGAGGCAGAGGTGACTTTAGTAATTTAATTGTGTTATTTATCTTAGTAAGGATGCTATTTTAAAGGCACATTAACTAATTTGATGAAAGGAAGATTCCACAGAGTCTAGTCATCCCAGCACTTTGATAGTGGGATGCTTCCTGGGTTATTAGGCGCAAGGTAGGAGATAAGCAGCTCAATGATTGAGGGCGTGTTTTTTGTTTTGTCCCTGGCTTTGAGGCTTTGGGGATACTGCTGTGACAAAGCAAATAATATCAGTATGTCTATGAATTGGGAGGAAAAGGTGCTGTACTTTCAGTGTGTGGATCATATTTTGTAAGAAATAATTATGGGACAAAATGATCTATGAAGCTTTCATGTGTACTACATTTCATTTCCCTGTCAAATAATACTAACCAGTCTGAAATCACTCATTTAGTCGGAATGGGATGATTATACATAGAAAAAAAATATATGAATATACAGCCCCCAAATAAAGAATGAATTTGTTTAAACTTCTGATGAAAAATATGTACTTTATATTAGGGTATCAATAGGTCAATATGAATAAAGTTCTGTATTTGTTTCCTGGTGACCTCTAGACATTGTTGCTTTTAGCACACCAATTTTCTGCAATGTACAGGTAGAGCACCTACATTTTCATAGACTGCTTTCTTGTTTCTTCAGATTCTTTTTTCTTACCTCCTCCACTCTCACTCCTTTGCACACTTATTGCTAATCAATAAGATGAAAACAAAATTCTTGACTGCTCATTTATTTTCTAAGGGATTTCAGTAAACCAAATGTACCAATGGAATAATGCTTATTTGCTCCAAGGTAAATTAGTCCTTTGAACTTCAAACGTGAAACATACATTATGGATTTATAATAAAGCACACCTCTCTCAACAGCCTCTGACCTCTTCAAAGACTTTGCTATCAAATATTGTTAGCATTCAGGGACCTTAGAAGTTAAGATAGATGCAGAGAATTTAGCATCATGGCTAGAGAAATTTAATGGGCGTGATTAAATTCTTGAAAAATAGAAAGTTAAATAAAAAATTAAAAGGACTAAAATAATACAGAATTATTTTAAAGTGAAGAGGTTGATGGGTTAAGATGTTGAATATTATACAGAGACTGACAGATTCCTTATACTCAATTATGTGGTTTTTGAAGAGAAAGACTTTATTTTTATATGAAAAAAGAAATGTTCAATAGTGTATGCCCCACCTACAAGGTAAATCCATTCCTTTTCAAGGTAAAAAGACTTGTACCTGGTTATTAGGGTATATGATTGTAGAAACGCTATTTTGGTGAAAGCACATAAGTATAGATGAGATTAAGTGATGAATATCATACGTTTGGCATAAGATATTATTAATATCAATGCTAAGACGGTTACTGAAAATCCATATTTACAATAAAAGTTTTATTTTTATAACGCCATGGTAGGCTTACATCGCCTACTAATTTGTGGGCCTCTGGCAATAGTGCTAATCAAAGGGACAGGGTGGATAAACCTCTTATAAAAAATTTTAATGGGGACTCTTGATTTTTCAGAGGAAGGATAATGAGAAAAAACACATATCCTGTGTCTGAAAAAACACTGGGAGAAAATTAACTTCCTGTTATTGTTGCTACAGGTTTTTAAAAATACTTTCAAGGCAGAAACTATTTTTTTCAAAATAAGTTATTTATTGTGGTTGATAACCTATTTTCAAGTGATCAGAGAAACTAATTATTACTTTGTTCCATATTTATTGTGCAAGGCTCAGTGTCTTACATGCATTTGAACTCCCATTGCTTTCATAAGTTGAAAAGAGATTACCTGCAACTTTCTCATAGCCCCTTGATGTGCAGTGTGTTTTACTCTTCTTTTACAGTCTCTAAGATGGTAATAAAAACTTTAGTTTAAACTAATCTATTATCTGTCAAACCTGCCTCAATGTGTGAGAAATTACCAAGACACTATCACTTTTTAAGGTTCCTATTTATATGCGTTATTGAAGTTAGTAAATCATTTATTATTATGGAAAGTAAAAGGAATAAAGAAAATCTGAAGATAAAACAGTATTTATTGAAGTAAAAACCTATACCTATAGTGTATTCAAGTAATCCACCTTTCTCTATTTACCTCTCTATAAAAAAACTTAGTAAACCATGTTCATAATTTTTTTGAGATTCATGATTTCATGTCTTTTTATTTTATTTTGAAGTCATTTATAGAATTTCTAAGGTTTTATCCTTTCAATAGATCTTATCCATGATAAAAATGTCTCATTTTTACACAAGTAGATAGTATATGAGTTTTTTATGTTTATTCATATATAAATACCAACAAATTATCATTCCCTGTGAAAAGAACAGAAAAGACAGTAAACCAGTACATTATCCAAGGGTTTGACTTCCCAGCTTTATCAATCATTCACTTTGTGAAAATTCCTGAACTCTCTGAGCCTTTTTTGTCAGTAAGTTGGGATAATAAGGACAATAATAACACATAATTAAGAGGTTTGCTATATATATATATTCTTTAACATAGTGTCTGGAATAATAGCTCAATATATGTACACTATTTCAGTACTTTGTCAGTTAAAGAGCTGTTTATATTTCTTCAAGAAAAAGTCTAGCAAAATCAGAAAATGAATGAAGGCTCCAAAAGCATAATTGTACTCTTTAATAACAGTGGTCCCATCACAGCAGATTGGGAGATTTGTACTTTGTCAGCACTCAGCACATATTAAGGAAACAATCAATCAAGACATTATTACAACACAGCAATCCGTAATCCATTATTCATTTCTGAAATACTAGTTGTAAGGCAAAGGTTGGAGCTGATTACTCATCTTATGTTATCATTTTGTAGTGAATGAGAGAAATGACATCTTTCTCATGGACCAAATTCACATTATTGTTAAATACAATAGAATCACAAGGACATGATCCAAGGGCACAGACAAGTCATCTTCCCATTAGCATTGGTAGCACAATGCCAAACCCACTTTTACACCTTTTATAATTTCCTCATACTTCGTTACTTATGAAGTACAAGAAAGGGGAATTTAGTGTTACCTAAATTTTCAAACTCTGTGTTTAGATTTCCATTTAGAAAGGAATGCATTCAGGTCTTGTTATATGCAATAGTTATGTTCTATAAAGTCACCTCAAGCACTTTATTTGTGAATTCTGAAACGCTGCTCCTAGGGGAGATAAAGATTTGGGTTCCTGGAAAACTCTGATTACATTTCCATATATCAATCAATACAGACCCTTGTTTTATATACGTTTCTGTTTAAAGACACCTTATTTCACACATACTGTTGATTCGTTAACGTTGAACTCCTGGCCAACAACAATATAACTCGTTCCTGAATAAAGCTTATCTAACACATTTCCTCTGTAAAGCATATCACAGAGTTTTTGTGCTTAGGAACATTAAACAGCACTTCAGCACCATGTTTGGGGTCTATTTCAAATGGCAAAATCACCAACAAAAGCAAAAACATACAAAAAAAAAAGTGGCACTAAATAGACATTAAAAAAGACACTTGGTTACAATATGAGAGCTGAAACAGCATTGCCTTGTTCAACCTCAGCTGGGAACATGTGCATCCGTGACTCAAATTTTTCAGAGCTCTACATGTCTGTGAATAACTGCAAAAATGTTGTGAATATTGATTTGTGCATTACAAATTTTAGCAAGTATATACATTCACGAATATAGAATCCATGAATAATGAAGATTCTTTATTCAGAACCATTTAGGAGAGCAATGGTACAAAGATGATTTTATAATAAAAAATAATAACGAAAGCATTTATTGAAGAAATGTCAGGTCAGGGACTTTATATTCATTTAGCAGCCATGACTATACTGCTGTTTTACAGACAAAGAAAAGTAAAGGCTTAAAGAAATAAAACTAAGGTCATACAACTACAAGTGGACTAGACAGTGTTGGAACCAATGTCTGCTCAAGTTCAAAGCTTCAACCACTATGCTATACTTCTCATTATAAGCAGTACAATACTCAATTATTCACAAAAGAGCAATACTAGTAGCTAAAAGAACAGCATTTTACATTTTAGTGCTTCTTTGATTTTTGAATCTCATGTTCAAAGCTTTACCTCACATCTTTGACTATGCTATTGAAATGTAAAATAATATTTTCCTCTTTGTATATTTTGTGAGGCTATATTTTTCTCCAATTTACATCATTTAAATATTTTCATAGTTTTCTCAATGTATATTCCCATTAAAAATGATTCATAGCTGGGTGTGGTGGCATGTGCTTTTAGTCCCAGCTAATCAGCATGCTGAGGCATGTTGATTGCTTGAGCCCAGGAGTTCAAGTCCAGTCTGGGTGATATAGCAAGACCCTGTCTCCTGAAAAAAAAAAAGGAAATGATTTATGAATCAGTCATTATCCCAAGGTTTATTTGTAAGTGAGTCTTTTGGAAATTTTCTATATAAACACAGCAGGTAGTGTCCTAAACCAGCCCCTCTAAGCCCATTTATCTCATAGTGAAACTACACTGGAAAAAGAACACCAATAGCACTTTTGGAACCACCTTCTACAACAATGTTTCCTTGAGAAAACACAGTTCCTAGTTGAAAGGCTAAAAATATATATCCCTAGTGCAATTGATTAGGAACTCACATTCATTTGATGAATGACAGGTATGGAGACTCCTCCAGATCAAAGGCATTGCTGGAGGTCTGAGAAAGGAAATGGATGGGACTCCAGAAGCTTTGGGGCAGGAGAGTGTGAAAAGAAGGAAACACTGAGATCTGAAATTTGGAAAGAGTGAAGTAGCTGAGAGTAAGGAATGGAGACCAGAAAGATTCCTAGTCATTTTAGCACTCTTTAGATCCTCTTAGAATCAGCTACTACTTAACTGGTATATTTTATCATTATTATTATTATTATTATTATTATTATTGCTACTATTCAGATTTTGACTGGTAAACTAACTTTTTTTATAACCACCATTTGTTGTTTTTGACTATTTCTGTACTATACTGGAGAAAATAATTCTACAGATTTTAAAATTATAATTTATATTCTTATCTCTAATGTTCAGATTACATCAATAATTAGAGTATTTAGTGCTGTTAATGAAAAGAAACAAGCTTCTCAAGTAATTTCTTACTATTTCTCTTCTTCTCTTTTTTCCTTCTGCGTTTGCTGTGTCTCAAATTTCAGTGTAAATAAAAATCACCTAAGGACTCTATTGTTAAAAAAAAATGTATAGATATGTGGATGTCACCTCCTGATAGTCTAATCAAGTAGATTTGCTATGGAGTTCAGGAATCTGTATTTGTAACCTGTATCCCAGGTATTTGGCATAGAGATTACATGGTACACCGTCTACTTGAGTCATGCGACTTAGAGCATAAAAGAAAATGAAGTTCATACATGAATGTTACCAAAGAAACTTTACTTACAAATATGCCAAAGTAAATGCAATCAGCATTTCAGAGAGGCCAGGAACAAGTTCTATAAAATATCTGATCACCTTATTAGGAAGATGAAGTTGGTAAGAAGGGTGTCACTTTGGGGGAAGGGGTGTTGTGAATTTGGCCTTGGAGAAGTTATTCCTCTCAGTCTCAGTTCTCAAGAGGAAAATGAGAGATTATACATATGTATCTTTCCTGTTCACACCTTCTCTTTTTCTCTTTTAACTGGTAATTAGGTCATTAAATGTTTTACCTTTATAGGGTTTAAGTAGAATAGGAAGAGAGAAACTAAGATCAGAGAAGGATGATTAACAATGCTTACATCAACAGATTGAGAGGGAAAATGATTAATGAGTCTTTGTCTAACAGATAACATAGCTGAATGACACTTTCTAGGAAGATGTCCCTCTGTTAGTGAGTGGGCAACATTATCATTATCATCACTGTCATCATCATCATCATCAATATTATAATAGTTATCAGCATATAGAGCTACTATGGATTGAGGATTAAGGCCTACTATTACTACCTTGTAGAATGATATGTTGAAGTCTTGACCCCCAGTGTGACTATTTGGAGATAGGGCCTTTATTGCAGTAATTAAGGTTAAATGAGGTTATAAGGGTAGAGCCATGAACTGATAGAATTAAAGTCCCTATAAGAAGAAGAAGAGAGACCAGAGCTCTCTCTTCATACCCACAATCAGAGGAAAGGCCATATGAAGACATAGGGAAAAGACAGCTGCATATGCAAGGTAGGAAGGGAAACTTTACCAGAAACCAGATTGGCTGACACCTTGATATTGGACTTCCCAGCCTCTAGAGCTGTGAGAATTAAATTTCTGTTTTTTAAGCCACCTAGTCCACAGTATTTTGTCAAGTTTCTTAGCAGACCAAGAAAAGAGTTTTAACATATTCTCATTTTGTTGTGCTATAAATTCTAAGACAAATTAGTATAAGCCATTGGTTGTCAAAGAACCCAAGTCTACAGTAAGTTATTAAAAGTAATGGCAAAATCCGCAATAACTTTTGCACCAACCTAATAACTTGCTCAAGGTCACAGAGTCAATAAAATGAGTGTGTGTGTGTGTGTGTGTGTGTGTGTGTGTGAGGGTGATGCGGGTGGGTGTTACATAGAACTCAGGCAGTTTAACTTCAGAATCTAAACTCCTAGAGATGAAACAATACATACTTCTCATAGATGTGTGTAATTTAACTCTTAAATTTTTAGTATGGACATACAATTTAAAGATTTTACTTTTAAAAATCACTGTTCATTTTAAGTTATTTTTTTTTGAGAAGTTTTGCAATTCATCATTGTATAAACCTACTGTTACATGTTGAATAGGCCCTTTATCAATAAATTTATTTGTATTTCTGTTTTAAAGAGCTTGTGAATCTTTATAATACAGACGAGAATTTTGCAATTCAGTCAGAGGAGATTATTTTTCTCTAATAGGTTGAAATATTTCTAGATACTAACGCTTTTGTTGCAGAATTCAAAGGAAAATTGTCTAAGGGCAGCATGTATTTTAGAAGAGTTTCTCACATGCTTTCCTGTCTTTTGTTATACTTTATATTTTCAAGTTCTTTGAAAGTAGGTACATTGCCTCATATTCAAAAGGCGTTAGAAGAACCTAAACTAGATTTCTATTGGTTTAATTCAACATTTCTTTGAAAATATGTAAGTTGTCAGAGGCAGAATTTCCTCAAGGAGGTCCGAAATTTCAGTTCAGAAAAGACTAGCTTGTCTGTAAGTACACTATTTCAAAGCATTTAACACTGTGATATAACTTGAGAAGAACAGGAGACTCCATGTAAGATATCTGAAAGATCAGCTGGGCGTATTTTCAAACAGAAATATTTCCTACAAAGATTGATTCCTTTGTTTGAACTAAAACTTTTTAATGCTTCAGCTCAATGTACAGTCATGTCAGAATTTGCAGTCATTGCAAATGGAAAATAACAAATATGAGGGGGATAATCACTGGAATATATTTTCACATCAAGGGAAGAAATCATTTTTGTTATCATCTTTAAGTGAAACTTCAATAGATTTTAAATTTATCAGATAACTTTCTGAACAAAGGAAATGATAACCATGCCTTGTTGTTTAATGTCTTTTCCTATTATGTTGCTAATTTAACTTACATTTTTTTTTTTTCTGTTTTTTTGAGACAGAGTTTCACTCTTGTTGCCCAGGCTGGAGTGCAGTGGCACAATCTTAGGTCACTGCAAACTCCGCCTCCTAGGTTCCTCCTGCCTCAGCCTCCTGAGTAGATGGGATTACAGGTGCCTGCCACCATGCCCAGCTAGTTTCTGCATTTTTAGTAGAGATGGGGCTTCGCCATATTGGCCAGGCTGGTCTTGAACTCCTGACCTCAGGTGATCCGCCTGCCTCAGTCTCCCAAAATGCTGGCATTACAGGCGTGAGCCACCATGACTGGCCAATTGAACTTACTTTCTGATAGTTGTACCTTACCATCAAAATAATATGTTTCTCTAGTGGTGTCACTTTAGTGTTCTTAAGCAATCAGTCAAGATTTCTGCACCTCCTTTTTAGTGGCACAAAATTATTGTTGTAATATTATAATACAACAATAATTGTATTATTATAACAATAATTTTGTGCCACTAAAAAGGAAATTGGTAAGTGGAAAATTGCAAGAACAACTATCTACTTCTCCCCCAGGATATTAAGTGGCCGCTAGGGACTGACCTTTCCTTCCCTGTAGAGTGATGCATACTGAAGAACAGCTGTGCCCAGGCATCTATGCAGCCTGACCTGACATTCCCTGTATGCTAATGTGCCAGCACCAAGGTCAGTCATCGTTCTCAGCAATGTCTGTTTCTGGTAGCTCTTCTTGAAGACTTACGGGTGATAAAAGCAGCGTCTATTGGTAGCTCCTTATATTACCAGAGACTTCTTCCAATCTCATTTCTCATTGGCACTGAGTCTGAATCACAATTACACACCTCTGATTTCTGCTCCTTTGCCTTCTTCAAATGACTTAATCACACATTCTTCCCTGAGGCTGGATGTTAGATTTACTGATTCTCCTAGATTTCATTACCTTAAAGCGGCACAGTTCTCCCATCCCACTCATGCCTTAAAGGCATTCCCAGGTAAGATTTGCAATCTCTCTCTCTCTCTCTCTCTCTCTCTCTATATATATATATATATATATATATATATATACCTACCTATGATTGTCATAGATGTCATATATTGTCATATATAGTCATATATAGTCATATATTTTCATATATATATGGTATCATCCTTGAATGTCTTATCACATGGGATCCCATAGGACACCTGGGTAGATACAAACCTGATAATTCATCAAATTCATTGTACCCTGAAGAAGAATGTATTGCAACCTATAATTTAACAAAACCACATGCATTGCCAAATTAAGTATTCTTTCTGGTTTAACAGAACAGATGAATGTCACTGGATTTTGCACCTTAATAGTAGTGGTTATAGTAATATTGGTCAAATGACCATATATCATCAATATATTACCATGGAAGAAAAATTAAGCAATAGAAATCTTTGGATACCCAATTATTATGACTTGAATAGATGATAAAAGTTGCTACAAAGGAATCATATTCTAAAACGCTAATTTATTAGAACTGTTAACTTAAAGGAGATCACACAGAATATTTGGTAGTGAAGTTACTGTATGCTCTTTATAACCAATGAAAACATATTTTGGCTCCTCTATTTTTTTTTTTTTTTTTTTTTTTTTGAGACGGAGTCTCGCTGTGTCACCCAGGCTGGAGTGCGGTGGTGCGATCTCGGCTCACTGCAAGCTCCGCCTCCGGGGTTCACGCCATTCTCCTGCCTCAGCCTCCCGTGTAGCTGGGACTACAGTTGCCCGCCACCCTGCCCGGCTAATTTTTTGTATTTTTAATAGAGACGGGGTTTCACCGTGTTAGCCAGGATGGTCTCGCTCTCATGACCTCGTGATCCGCCCGCCTCAGCCTCCCAGAGTGCTGGGATTACAGGTGTAAGCCACCGCGCCCGGCCGATTTTGGCTCCTCTTATACATTCTAGAAATCATATTCCCAGAGTATGTGGTGTTATCTAAACTGCATACTGATGATAAGATTTGGGTTGTAGAGTGCTATTTATATTTAGCCATTAGTGACAGAGTGTGGATATTTATTAATACTCCCACATTAAACCAATTAAATTATACTACTCAGGATCTGCTGTTAATGCTTTTTAAGCGTAAATGTTTGATTGATTAAGTTCTAACAAACAATTAAAATGACTTTTTTATCTTTTGGTAATGTAAGAAAACAATAAAATGTGAATGGCCACTTGAATATAATCTTGTCTGGTTTTAGCAAAAGCAGAGGTGAAAAATGTAATTGTAGAGTTTAAAAAGTATGTTAGTTATTTCTAAATTGTAAATGTCCCATAATTATATATATAGCTTATTTTTATTAAGCTTAATACTTTTAATATTCTCTTCTAATATAGCAAAATAGGAGGGGAAATCATTCTTTTAAGTAAAAGCAATACATCTTTTATTCAAATATTACTTGCTTTTTAGGCATGGATATAGGAGATACGCTGAAATACAGGAGATTGGTGTTTCTTATAAGCCATGGGTAATAAGAAATCAGAGATAGTGGAAGAATCAAACTAAAAACATAAACACACATACACAAATACACAAATAATCATAATGGCTCCTCTTATAAAAGATTTCCCTTTCTGGAGATTCAGTTACCCATGGTCAACCACCATTTGAATATATTGTATGGAAAATTTTGGAAATAAACAATAACTTTTACGTTGCCGCCTCTGAGTAGCGTGATGAAATCTCACACTGTCCTGCTCCATCCCATGTGGCCTGTGCATCTTCTGTCTCTGGGCTCTATATGCTGCCTGCTCGTTAGTCACTTAGTAGAAGATTGACCTGCAGTATTGCAATGATTGTGTTCAAGTAACTTTTATTTTACTGAATAATGGCCCCCAAAGCTCATGAGTAGTGATGCTGGCACTTCAGATATGTCGAAAAGACGTCATAAAATGCTTCCTTTTAAGTTAATAGGTGAAAGCTCTGGAATTAACAAGGAAAAAAATAGTATGCTGAGATTGCTAAGATCTGTAAGAATGAATCTTCTATTTGTGAAATTGTTGAACTGTATGTTGTTAGAATTTTCTATTTTATTATTAGTTATTGTCATTAATCTCTTACTGTGCCTAACTTATAAACTTTATTATGTATGTATGTACAGGAGAAAAAACCCCTGCAGTTTCAGGCACCCACTAGGGATCTTAGAACACATCCCCCTCATAAGGGGGGATATTCAGTTTAAATACATACAAATAGAAATGTATTTTATAAAAACTTGTTGGTGTGAAATAGCAAATGTCTTACTTTAAAATGGCTTATAATCACAGTAAAAAGGAAAACAACCTATTATGGAATCAATTTTATTAAAGAAACAACTTGAATGCTTTACATGAATATTTAGGTGTATGAAAATGATTTTAAATCAATCTTTTTGGTGACAACATTAATGCAAATCTTTTCTAAAAGAGAGGTTACTTAATAGGTTTAGTGTATTCAACTTAGAAGATGTGTTATTTAGACATATTTTTATTTTGTGTGTCTAGTTTCTAATATTTATTTATTTACCTGATCAGAAAAATGGGGGAAATCATTCATTTGAATTTTGAAATCAGCTTTTAATAAGTTATCTTATTTATCAGGAAAAACTGGATTTAGTGATATACTCTGTGTGTGTTTGTGTGTGTGTGTGTGTGTGTGTGTATTATGAGAAAGGGAGAGAGATTGATAGAATGCCCAGAGGAAGATTTTGTTCTCTTTCATAGCAAGTTTTACTATTACAGCCTTTGCATAGAAAATCAAGGAAAAGAAAATATACTTTAAAAATTGTTGATAATTTTGCTCAGTGTTTAAAAAACTTTCTTAGTCATAGGCATATGTTTTTCAGAGATGGATATTCACCTGATACAAAGGGACTCTAGCTTAATACAGTGAATAATAATTTTATTTCTGGCAAGAAGTGAACGAGAAGGAAAGCGAAGATAAAATATAAAGCAAGAGAAAAATAAAGAAAAAGGAATGTAATAACTCTCACAAGACAAACAATATGAATCATATTCCTAAAAATACAGTTTTTAAAAATATGAAAGAAATATTTACATTATTTTAGGTGATTTAATTGTTTTCCACTTCTAGTATTTTAGGTGGCTAAAAAAACATCTGGTCAACATGTTGGTAGTGAAAAAAGGCATTCATATATTCTATCAGTCAGCGAGATTGAAATCTGCTTATTAACAAAATATGTTAACTAATTTTTATTGACATTTGAGATTTCCTTGCATATTTAGACAAAACAAAATTTGGTTTTGCTATTGAAAAGGTATTACGTGTTTAGTAATTTTTTTCCAAGTTCTTTACAAATCATTTTCTAAATATATACCAGTATCCTGTATTTAGCTCCCAGAAAGCTTTAATTCACTGCTTGTATATAAGCTGTTTTTTTTTTTTTTTTGGTCTTTTTTTCCCCCTGCATTATCTATGTGTGTTTACATCCTGGATTGTAATGGCCTCAGTAGAAATGTTATGGCCCATCTTGTTGATAATCCATATTTTAAACTCTCTAAATACATGGATGACATTATCAGCTATCATTGTACTGATCCCCACTTGAAGTATGTAAATACATATTTACCAGCTTAATCTGTGTCTTGAAAGGCCCATATGTGTGTGTTTATATGATAAAGTATATTTATGCATGTTGTAACTATTTATTATTAGTAGTAGTATTAAAATAATACACAAAGCTATAAGTTACATTTAACTATGAGGGACACATTGAGTTTGAGAACTTAACATTTTCCTTTTTGGGGAATTGTTCCACAACCTATGGCAAAAGTATTGATGGCAGTGGCGGCCCATATGGAGCAGCCACTGCCGTGATGCCAGCTGCAGTGAGGGAGGTGCAGTTGGCACTGTGTCCTCCACGGAGCAAGCAGGAGCACTGCCCTCCTAGGTGCAGCGGCTGCTGCCCAAGCTAGCGCTGTGGATCCAGGCATCCCTGTGCACTTGGGGGCCGGGAGCAGGCAGGATCCCTGACTTCCCAGTCGCAGCTATAGCCACCCAACCCATGGCTGTGGACCCAGGCATCTCTTCACTCTTGGGGACCCAGGAAGCCTCCCTGCCCACACGGGCTCAGAAATGCCTGGTCCTGCTGCTTAGCCTCTCCCTGCTTCCCGCGCCAGATCTCAAAGCAAAGGTGAGGCTGATCCAGGGCGCTGTCACAACCTGGCCAGGTGAACACACGCTCACGGCAGCGCTGAGATGCCAGCTCCCTGCTGCCTCAGCCCCCTCTGGACTTTGGGCACCGATGAGCATGGGAGGGAGGCTGAAGTGGGGCTGAGGGCAGCTTGGCACTGGCCTACAGCTGCCCCTTAGCATAAGCCTGGGCACTATGAACAGCGGTCGGAGGCAGACAGGTTCCTGGGCAGAAAGGGGCAGGTCCCTCGTGAAGCCCCACCTTCAAGCCAGGGCGGCTTGAAGGCTGGGGGCCTGGCTGCAGACTGGAGTGAGAACTTATGGCTCTTTTTTCAGGCCCACCCATGGCTGCCTATGGACGAGTCAGCATACACTTTTCCCCTCTGAAACCCGTAAAAAACCCAGACTCATCCAGACAAGCAAAACTCAGGCAAAGGCACCAGTGGCCATAGAGTTTTCTGGCTGGTGAAGCAACACCCCAAGTTTCCCTAAACAATATGCTCGTGGCTTTTGGGCTTTCTTTTAACATTTTATTTTCTTTGCCCTAGAGAGTATGAACGTGCTACCTAAGATTCTATAAGAATATGAGAAGTGCTTTTTGGATTTTATTTTTCTTTTTTGGACTAAATTACTTCAAAAACATGGACATGTGGCAGGATGAGGTAACTTCTCTAATAACCAAAACAACCATTGCATGAAATATAAGTTTTAGACATTCTCCACTTTACAAAGAATTCTTACAGGCTGGATACTCATGGTTACCGTGCTACTTAGGTTATGTCAATTTTAGGGACTTTTTTTTTTTTTTTGAGACAGAGTCTCGCCCTGTCACCCTGGCTAGAGTGCAGTGGCACGATCTCGGCTCACTGCAACCTCCACCTCCCAGGTTCAAATGATTCTCCTGCCTCACACTCCTGAGTAGCTGGGATTGCAGGCACCCCCCACCATGCCCAGCTATTTTTTGTGTTTTTAGTAGAGACAGGATTTCACCATGTTGGCCTGGTTGGTCTTGAACTCCTGACCTCGGGATCCACTCGCCTCGGCTTCCCAAAGTGCTGAGATTACAGGAGTAAGCCACTGTGCCTGGCCAATTTTAGGGACTTTCATGCCGTTTGTAGTGTTTGGGAGTATATTCTTGTCTTATTTCTCTGAAATTTTATCCACTGATTCATGCTAGAAACTAATCTTTTTTATGGTGTTGAATATGAAGAATTTGGAAAATAAAATCAAATACAGGATTAAATCGTAATTTGAATATTTGTAGGGTTTCCTCTCTAAATTAACTAGATTGAGAACTGAACTCAATCACAGATTTTCCACACACTACTCACTCCCCATTTTTCATTTTGTCAGTAGTTGCTCAGATATTCTTGAAAAAAAAATGTATTAGAAAGTGAAGTATTGCTACATTTTAGAGTCAGGTCTACTCGTTCCATCATGCATTGGACACCACAGAAGTAAGTTTGGTAATTTAAGCCCTGAATGCACTTACATACATGATATCACCCCAAAAGGGCATTTATAAGGACACTTGTTGACTTGTAGTTTGGATACATTCATTTCAGAGCCAAACACTGTCACCAGCAGGTACCATCTCTTAACCTCATTCCTCTGGGTTGTTCCTTTGAAAGACTTTGCTATGGGGCCCCAGAAGTAGGCCCAGCTCATATGTTCTCAGCATGCAGTCTTCTCCAGAGTGTACACATTAGCTGTGATATTCACCCCATCTCCCTATGAAAATGAGCCACAAGGCCATCCCTGAACAAATATTAGTGTCTGTGAGGACAGAAGGTGCTGTTTCTAATGGGCCTTGCTTGTCCTTGGCCTCAGATTCAGAGACTGAAGGTGAAGACGTTTGTCCGGAGCAAATTTGGACACTGTTACTAGAATAAATGAAGTGGATTCCAGTCTGAAGGCAACAGCAAATATTCAATACATGTGGCCTTTGTATTTTAATTTTAATAAGTTTAGACTGTGTTCACCAGAGCATTTTATAACGTGTGTGTAATTGCATGTATATGTGTGTGTGTGTGTGTGTATGTATGTGCATGTGTGTAGCTGAATACTTCTTTAATAGACCTAGTCTTCTAGAAAAGTTTTAACTAGTAAAGGCAGATATTTTTGTTGGTGATGTTGGGAGGTTTACAATATTTGGGCTTTTCCATCTGTCTCTGTCTACATGTAAAATACAACCACTTAAATCTCAAAGCAGGGAATACAGTAGCACCCCTTCTTAATGAATGTTCAGTCAGAATTATCTTTGCTGAGGGCACACACCTGTGTGTAGCTGGCATCTCAAACCTGGGTCTACCTGAAGTTCACTGCCGATAGTAATTGATTTTCTTCCTTCAGTCAGCTTAACATAGATCAAGAGTGAAGTGGCACTTGGCTACACACACAATCTCAGCAGCTGCAATTTTGCTGTTGCCTGTCATACAGAGCCCTTCTTTCGTGGTTTCCATAGAGGCTGGGCATGTTTCTGAATTTAATTTTGAAACACTGCCTGATTCCTTCCTATATATCTGAGTTAGAGAGACATCTCACACTACCAGATCTGAAAAGAAAATCACTCCCTTCACCCTCATCCAATTCATTACTTTCCCTCTTCATTAGTGCTTGGAATAGTTTTATAATATTGAATTCCCATTACCCAAAACAGGAGATGATATTTTATTCTTATTTTTGAAATCTTAGGATTAACAGTTAATGTCATTACAAAAACACTGATGTATACAAAAATTGATGCTATTTTGTCATTTTATTCACAAATTGGAAGTAATTTTATGCTATTCTAAGTTCAGAAAAGAGATGAAATGTCCCTATTTCTATAATATGAGGAAAATAACACAGAATTTTGGGGGCTAAAAGAGGTCAAATCGTCAATGGGACCCATGCTGGGCTTTTTTGGAAGTCTCATACAAAGCCTAAAAAAAGTTTCAAAGGAAAAGGGCGAGAGAGGAAGAGGGGCCAAGAATTACACTTTTCTGTTCAATGCAGATAGCTTTCAGGAGTGGGATTTGAACCACATTAGAATTAATTTACTATGTATACATAGGGAGAGCAAGTAAGGGAAATAAATTTTCTTTTTCAGTATAATGTTTAAATAAGACTTAGGTCATAGGTAAATTATTTTGTAGCAGATGTTGCCCTCAGACATAAAGGTGACTATATGAGGATTTATTGGATTTCAAAAATGACCATACCATGTATAAGAAAAATTAAGGAAAAACATAATTTTAAATTATGAAGTTAAATGAAGCTACATTTGATGTTAGTAAAGTATCATATTGTGTGCCTAGAGAAGTCTATGCTAATATTCCTATTAAATTCTCTCCTACCTTTTCTGCTCCTAATTTCCCAAGCTAAGAATCCTGGAGTTATGCTAGATTCTCCCTCCCCTCATCCTCACCTCCAGCTGTTCTCTAACATCTGTAATTTCTCCTTTTGGAATGTCATAGTTTTTCTCACATTGTCTTAACTGATCCCATAATCACTTTTACCGGAACTAATGCCATGATTGTATATTTTCCCAAGTACTTTTCTAGTAGGAAAAATAAAGCAATAGAATCATTGTGGGAGGACTCCAGATAAAACTTCACATTTATGTTAAACCCTCCATTTTTCATAGCAGCCATTTTTGAGCTACAAAGTAAACATTAGTGTTTCCATTAACATTTGTCAAAATAATAATTTTTATTATATTTGATATTGTTATGTAAGATATTCACATAGCTCAACAAAAGTGAATCTCCAACAAAAGTGGATGGAATGGGTTATAGATCAGACTTTTCAAATATGGCATCATTTTAAAATTATTATTATTCTTGTTTTCTTTATTGTTATGAAATATGTTGAGTATAAAAATGAAAGAGAAAATTTGCTGTTTAAATTGCTTAACATTTTATAACCTATAGCTAATTCCTAATTATATCCCTTGATCTTAACTATGTGAGAAAAGAATTTATTTTCAATAGCATATTATGCTGTTTTAATTTTCACTGCTTCTAGTTCACTTAGTTAAACATGAAAAACAAGCGTGGGGGGAAATCACATAATTTTCATGGAGTACACATAGTAGTAGAACGATCCCTGATTTTTTCATACATATGTTTGTCAAGAAGACTTTTATATGTGCCTATATTTATGCATTCCTTATTTAGGTGGCTGTAGGCTGTTGTAAAACTCATCGTCATTTTCTTCATTTTTAAATTTTGCTACCTTTTAAAGCTATCTGTCTTTTAATAAATTTGGATATTACAGAAATGCTTAGATTTAATCACATTTATTTTTTGAAAAATAAATTATCCTTAAAAAATAACATACCTTCATGCTACAGTTTTTATTTAAGCTGCTCATGAGGCAACAATTACATGAGAATTCAGAGAGACAAGCCACCGAGGTACCGTTTTCAGTACCCAAATGGCTTCTACAAAACAGAGCATCCAGGGGTATATTTTCTTTTAACTTGACTTCATCTCTCTCTAATTAGTAGTGTGCAATGTACCATTATGATGCCTGCTTCACCCCCTTGGTTCTTGCACCTCCCTTCGGGGATTTCCCAGCTGTTTTGCTCTCCTGTTGTAATTGAAATCTTACTTGTTCCAGCCTATAATTGATAGTGAACCCAACCATTTTATGTTTGTCATGCAACAGATGTACAACAGAAATACTCAATGTAGCATATGGAAAAACTGCCCTACTAGAGTGAAATTAGAGCCATTCCTATAGCACAGCTCCCATTCTCTCAACAGTTTAGGTTTTTGCCTCCTTGCAAGTGCTTTGTTGCTGCACAAGTCAATATAAAATTCTGGTAGTTATTTAGTAGAGAATGTTTTATCTTTAACTTCGTTACATGATTGTATATAGTAAGGGTTACACAGAATAAGATAGATACGTTAAATAAAACAGGGTTCTCTGTATAATTCTCTTGTCAAATTATTTTAAATTATTTTGATTAAATAATTAACCTTACATAAACATATCAATGCCCATGAATAAGTCAAGATGTATTTGAATATTTAACTATATTTTTATTTTCCAAATACTTGCAAATGCAAAAGGAATCTCCAAGTTATCTAATTCTGATTACAACTCTATTCAAGAGCCAGTTTTTGCTTTGAAAAGAAATACTACCTTTCTAATGTAATATAAAAGATCTTTGAGTAGTTGATTCCATATTAGAGGATATATTCAGTATTCAGAAAATGGTGCTAGATTTTTTTTAATATTGTTTAACAGACTTTTGTATGGGTATATTGGGCCCTCAGTGGCTTGACTATTGTGGGAAGAGATGGTGTGAACAGAGCACCACAAGGGCTAAGGGAATTGACCACATCCTAGGAATGGCCAACAACCTGTCCAGGTGGAGTGAGATGCCCAAATGCAGTGTCCATGGCACTAAGATTTTTAGGCAAAAGTCTCATGAAGTCAGATCAAGAAGGCAAAATATGAAAGAAGAATATTTGAATAGTTGTGAATCAGAAAATATGATGAATGGCTACTTCATAGTTCCAACTATTCTTTTCAGTTTTTTTCAGAACCCCAGGCAATCCCTGAGAATGTGAGGACTAGGGTGGCAGTGAAAAATAATTGACAAGTGTTTGGAGGTGGGATAGCACACCAGTCAAGAGCTTTACGATGCACATCAGAACTCTAAGCCCTGGTGGAGACAAGAAGGGCTAATTAGCTAACTCGGGCAGAGGACTGCATGACTGACGGTATCAGAGAGGTATTTTTGAAAAATGATTGATAATATGATAGTAAGTACATCTGAAAATGCAGAAGTGGAGACAGGGAGATGAAGATAAAGCTTGTTAAAATATGCAGGTAAGATACCTGAACTGAAGAAGAAAATGGCAAAGGCCACTGCAAGTACCCATCGCACAGGAAGACGTTTCAGAGGCGTAGCTGGCGTGACTGGCTGCCACACTCCGTGAAGTATGAAGCAAAAACTAGAAAATGACCTAGGTATCTGTAGCCTGACTGACTAGAAATGCTTTGCCATTAGTAAAAGAGGAAAGACACTAGAGAAAAGAAAACGATAGATTTGGGGATACATTTTTTAAAATTGGGACATCATATCTTGGAAATTCTGTTGAGATATCTAGAGACAATGTAAGGTAATTTTTCAGAAGCAAGAAACTGGAGTGCAAGAAAGAGAGATGTCTAGTTGGACCTAAAAAATACAAAGTGATTGTTGCACATTAATAAGTTACATAATATTATATATATATATCTCAGAATATTCTATAAGATGATATTTTTGAACATCAGTATGTTGAAAATTTTATAATATTATTTTTAAAGTTTTTTTAATACTCTGTCTTTTGGAATAAATAATGTTTATACAAAATGTATTAGGAAACTGATTAAAATTTCATTATTATGTTTTTCACTTTACAAAAGCACAGATTGGATAATCATTTGAGGGAGTTAGTTTCTTTGCACTAGTTCAAAATGTATTTGCAGTGCCTTTTTTTGGTTCTGAATTATTTAAATAAGTGACATTATTTTTAAAGTGATCGTTTCTCCCTTTTGAATAAAAGTCTGTTACTAGAGATTAGTGCATCATACATTATAAGCAGAAGAGAGAAATGAGTTGCTCTAAATAATTCTAGTACATCATGTTTTCCTTTTAAATGAAAAAAAGAATAAAGTCACAACACTTATATTTAACTGTGTTTGTAATAAGACATGGCTATAAACTCATACATTTTATTTCGACTGTAATATTAAAATGCAAACATTCACATGGGTTTTTATGTACCAGAGTTTTTCATGCTAGCATGAAAAATTGTGTTAATATTGGTTTAATTTTAATGAAGTAGAACAAAAGCTTGTAAAATATATCAAATACATTTTAGCTATTAATATCAGAGCAGGTTCTCTTTTGAAAACCTGGCTAAATTTAACATTATTCTTAATGGATATATGAATGTGTACAAAGTATTTATTTTATTTATAGACAATTCAGACCTTATTTTTTTCCAAATAACTGCACTGACAATGAATTTTTTTTTTAAAAAAAGAATTGAATATTTTTAAAGATTAAGGGAAATAAAAATACTCCTGCAAATATTAAGTGTAATGTGCATGGTACTACTCAGTTGATTTTGCTGGTCTACATTTCTCAAATGTCTACAGTGTACCCAAAGAGACCTTTCAAGAAGAAAATGGAAATAGCTTTCCAGTTAGACTGTAATGAGTTGTTGAGGTTTGCAGAAGAATAAAGGGGAGAAAAAAATATTATAGAATGAAATATATGTTCTGTAACATGAATACATATTTAGAAACCTGGAAGTCATGGTAAAAAGTACAAAACTGGAAAATTTGATATAGTGGATTAATTTCATTTTAAATTTTTTATGCTTTAATTTTAATTTTTGATGTTAAATTTTTTTCTTTATATTTCAGTGAAAATTTAGTGTTCAATTTCATTTATATCATCTTCTTATTACCATTGCGTTTCCTGGCACTCTTTGATTGAAATGGGAGAGGAAGAAACCCTGTGTTCATTCCCCTGGGTGTGTGTTTGGCAGTTGTGTCCTGAAACTCTATTGCCTGGGGAGTGCTTTTATCTCCTTGAAGCCTATTTGATGAAAATATTACCAATACCTCATAGTTACACAAAGATGACTGGAAAGGTCGTTTTTTAACGAGAAAGTCATTTGGGCATAAAGAATTGAAATATTTTGCACTTTTTCTTAGTAGGAATCAGAGCAGAGCGACATTGGAAATAAGAACAGAAAGAAATGAAAGTTTTCTGTCCCCTACACAGTGTTGTTCTCCTCCTTCCCTTCCTCGTTACTTAATTTAGAGAAGGGAAGCAGAAAGGGACAAGGAAAAGAGAGTAAAGGAAAGGAGGGCAGTAAAGTCATTAAAAAGGCAGAACAACTCAGAGTTGGCGCAGAGGAACGCAGCGGTCGTGGGCAGGGTCTTTGGAGCCAGGCTGCTCCCGCTCCACCGTATGTTTTTGCCTCGTTGTGGGCAGGTCAGTTAACTTCTTCATTCCTCACTTTTCCCCACTGTAAAACGAAGCCACTAACAGTACCTTACTTCATGAAGACCAAGGGAATTAACACTCGTGGAACATTCAGAAAAGGACCTGGGAAATTTTAAATGCTCTGTATTTATTAAGTACAAAATAAAGAGAAACTCAAAAGAGAACTCATTTTGGGGAGATTTTGGAATTAAGGAAGAAAATTTTTAAAATAAAAAGCATCAGCTAACAGTATACCTCAAAAGTGCAAGCTGAAGCAGTTGACCTTCAGAAATTCAGCATGTTCTATAACCTAGCAATTCCATCCATGCGTGAGAACATATGCCAAGGAAATCCTCATTGTTTCCACACAGGTGGTCTCTTATGTGGATGCTGACAAGAGGTGATGGGGAGGGTGCTGATTTTTAGCGTATACTTGGGCACATTTTAAATACTGGAGCTTTTCTAAGCAAATTTTGTACTCGAGCGCTGTTATTCCTCTGGTAGAACTACATGAGGTAGACTATTTTATAGGAAAGTTTTGAAGCTCAAAAAAGTCACTTATTCCAGATGGTACATCAGAGATCTGGAATTCAAGAAAAGAAAATCTGACCGAGGATTTTACTTTTACCCACCGATTGTAACATACGGAAAGTCAGAAACAAGGCAAGTCCCTGATGGATTTATTAGGAAACATTACTCAATTTCCACAAAGCCCTAGAAACTCTTCTAGACAACAATATAGCAAAAGTTGGGGAAAATGGCATTTCTGGTTTCAAACAGCTCAGTTTTTGTTGGATAACACAGATTAAAAGTAAAAATTACTGCTTAGTGAAATGAGTGCTGATGTAGGTGCACAGAGAATAGATTTAACTTCTGCTCCTGTTAAGTGTAGGATTGAGGTGAAGATACAACAAAGAAAGGAAATTGAACGGAATTATTAAGAGGGTCAAGTTTGATAGGCAGATAAGACTAGGTATCAGCAAGACATTTCAAACAAAAGGAACATTATGTAATTTTTTAAAAAAATACATGAAAATAATATTTAAACAAGGAAGGAATATGATAAAAGAAGGATAGTTAGTAAAATTTGGATAACATAAAGATTATTGAATCTCCAGTCGTCAAATTTATCCTAAACTACTGGGGAGAGGTCTCATGTCAGATTTTGATTATCGAGAAAGAGGGGTCAAGAGTATAAGAGAAATTGCTTTTTGTTTTGAACTTCAGTGTCCACTATTGTGGACAATATCAAATTCAAACAAATATACACTTTATTTCAACTTTGTTTCCCCATGTGACTAAATGTTTTTCTCATTTTTATTTCTATCTATTCTGTGTATAGCTGCTGCTTTCTTTGTTTCTCATGTTTCAACTCACTTAATATTACTTTAATGTTCAAACTTTGGTATTTCTCACACCTGGAAAAAGATATGCTGGTTCTTTTATATTTTAAAATGATATGCTTTTGATTTTTAACTTTTATCTCAAATTAAGTGTCTAGGGTCATATTTAAGTTTTTTTCATGCTTGCTTTTTATAATTGAGGTAAATAACATTTTTTGCCCTTGACAATCTTTAATAAGTATGTATTAAACGGAATGGGGAGAGGATAGTCAAATTAAAAGCAGTCCTCTCTTTCAGTTGTATAATATATAACAGTCTTCTAATACTTTTCATGCCAAAGAAATGAAGTCCATTGGTTGTAAATGTATTAATTCAGATGTTTATAGACATTCTAGCATAAAAAAAAATTGTTGGGTGGTTAGCAGGAGGACAGGTTTTGTAGCACCATAACAAATCCCCAAAGAAAAGTTAACCCGGCATATAACACAGATTCAGTGGGCAAAAATAGAACTGCAGATCATCCATCACTTTTGTGTCGTGACCTCTGCTAAATCTACTAACAAATTCTGTGTTATTTAATCACAATGACAGACCCAAATACAAATGTCGTGACTTTGCTGTGTTCCCTGGGTCTTGCCATATCACCATCACCATTTTATATTCCCTTCCTGGGGACACTTTGGAAGATTTAGAGGCTTTCAGCCTAATCTGACTGGCTCCACACAAACAGCTGGAGCTTTGCCAAGAGCCGAGCTCGATTATGTCAACAAGACAGCCTCATCCACAGGGGAGCTCCAGCCGGGTGTGCGGGAGTTCTGGGAACCGCCATGAATTAGCTTTATATGCTCCAAGAGGCAATTTCCTACAAAAACAGACTTTAAAAGCTGCCAGAGGAAATTGTTTCCCATTGGAACTAGGCCTGGCTGACGATTGTCTTCAGTGACTATGTCAATTTGGTAGTCAGTCCTCAGGACATACCAGGCCTTGTCCTTGGATTCTGTCTCTCCACAGAACCAAGCCCAGTAAAGCCTGCATATGTAAATAAACTTCTGTAATGATTATGGATCTGTCCCAATTATTTAGGTTATTGTTTTTAAGTTTAAAACTTAGCTAACTAGATAGATATTTTCTGACCTCAACTTAAATAGTATTCCTGCTATTACTTAAAAGAGAGCATTCTCTTAAACATAGCATCCAGGTTAGGAAGAGGAGCAAAGCGTTCCATGGTTCATTAGCCTTTTGCTGAAGTGTTAAGTGGATCAGTAGGAAGCTTCACTTACAGATGTATTTAAATATTAGTGGCATTTGAGTAAACATTATGCATTTTGATTCTTTGCTATATTTCTTTTCATAGAGTGTTCTAGCTGAAACACAACCAGAAAGGTTAATTTTTAGATTCCCCAATGTGCAATGAATTGGCATCTTACAGTTAGTGTTAAATAGCTACATATATGAACAATACAGTATACTACCTTGTACTTCCTTCAAAGCAAATGTCCAAGGGTTCGAAAGCATTCTAGTGTTTTTGTGAGATTCTACAATGTTTAAGATATCTATAAATAGTAATTTTGGGTACAGTTGTATAAAATGCATTCCTTGAAAAGTTCAGAAACCAAAAGACCATCAGGGGCTGGGAGTGGTGGCTCATGACTGTAATCCAAGCACTCTGGGAGGCCGAGGCGGGTGGATCACCTGAGGTCAGCAGTTTGAGACCAGCCTGGCCGTCTCTACTAAAAGTACAAAAATTAGCTGGATGTGGTGGTGGGCTTCTGTAATCCCAGCTACTCAGGAGGCTGAGGCATGAAAATTGCTTGAGCTCGGGGGACGGAGTTTGCAGTGAGCCAAGACTGCACCACTGCCCTCCAGCCTTGGCAATAGAGTGAGACTCTGTCTCAAAAAAAAAAAAAAAAAAGACCATAGGTATATAAAATTATATTCAGGATAACAAATAACAAGTTGCCAAACAAATGTTGAAGGGACATCAATGTATAAAGATTATGTATATATGAAGTGTGCCATATTGCAAAAAATTGATTTATAAATTAGATTTTTTTCATTCTACAAAAGTTTTTTCTCCCCATAGAAACAGATATTTTGGTAGCAGTTTCAATGAACTTCAGTGTTTGCCAGCTCATTATCAGCTATTCAACCAGCACAGGTCATAGACAAGTCATTTCTGTCACTGATTGGCTACTATCCATATTTTCCTAAATAGCACAGTAAATAATTTGCTTAAATTACAAATTTATAAAACTGGTTTCTTCGTCCTCTCCAAGGTTTAAATCTGGAAACTAATGATCATATACTCATAAATGCCTATTCTGCAAACATTTGATTTTTTTTCTATATGAAGTTGTTAACTTAAACTCAAACTATAGGAAGAAATAGGGAGAAATGTCAAAATTACTATATTTCAATTATTCACCCATTAAAAATTAGGTTTCTATCACATGCCCTTGTAAATATAATCTTTAGACATTGTGAAGACTACAAAGATGAGAAATTGTGCCCAATTCCAATGTGATTCCACTCCCTAAATAAGAAGGACAGCTACACTGTCAGTATAGAAAACATAGAATGTTATGTACCAGAGACGTACAGAGTGAGTGAGGAAGACAATATTAGGGTACCCTCTGCCCTGGGGTGGAAAGAGGATCAAATGAAATGTATGGAGGAGCTGGCATGTCAGACTGAAAACAAGCTGAATTTACACATATAGAAATACAAATAAAGGACCGAGAGAAGTCAAAGGTATCAGTGTGAACAAGACAAGATATGGAATCCAATGAAGAGATTCAGTCCCGTTTTGTTAGAAGAAAGAAAGGAAATAAGTTTGGGCATATTATGTAATGTTACTCTGAGAAATCAGTAACAACATTAGAGTAGCAAGGTTAGAGCAGCATAGCTCTCCTCAAGGTACATGTACCTGGCATTAACGGGCAGGATTGTTAGGAAGGGTAAATACTTGTTGGCTACGAGACCACATGGTAGAGTATACGATTTAAAATATGGACAATGAGAATGAAAAGAAAGGAAAACTTTGAGATAGAAATAGAGTTGACAGCTGATTCTGTTATGATGTGAAGAGGTGGGACACTAAGATTCAGAGCCAGAGCAATTTGGGGCATGTTGGTTCCATCTGCAAGTATAGGTAGTAGAGGAGGAATACAGGGGGTAGTAGAAATAAGTTCAGTGCTATTTATGATTAGTATATAACTGGTATCGTATCATAGTGACTCAAGATCTTGGTAGTGCACAGGACCAGAGAAACATTTGTTAATCATCTGATTTAAGCTAATGGTTAAACATCTCTGAATTGACATTAACAGCTATTTGATAGGATTCCAATCACGGAAAAATATATACATTTTAAATTTTGTTTTATTGAATATTTGGGAAAGCCATTTATGCATTGTAACCTAAATGTATCCAGATGGTATCATCCCATATGGAGGAAAATATATAATGAGGTTGTAAATGGATAACGATTACTCATTCTTAATATACTTATTCATGCATATCTGTGCATGTGTATACTCAATATACACATATATAGATGTGTTTGAAAAATATTTCTATAAAATATTCATATTTTGTAGAGATTTGATTTTGCATAAATGTCTATAAAGTGTTAATAATTATTATAATTTATCATTATTCAAGATAAAATGTAGGGAAAAACGTGGTATTTTAGAGAGTTAAAGTGTGTAAATTTTTGCAGTGTGTTTTAGATACCTCACTAAATGTAAGAATATTCTAATTCTGTTTCAGTTATTAATCACATTTAAATAGAGTAAATTCAACTCTATAAAACGTCATACGGCATACATTTATTATAAATTCCAGTTCTGTTGAAAACAAACTATGCAATTTTTATTTATAATCATTAATTTTTTAATCTTGAATTGAATTTTGTTCCTCTCAGCTAGCAATGTTCCCTGGTTGTGCTGTTATTATGTCAAAGAGAAATTTTTTTAGGTAGTTGATTAGTTACTGTCATCCTTTAACTCTGAAAACTGTAGTGGCCTCCTATGTTTTGGTCTGTACCCAATACAGGCACACAGCTGTAGGAAAAGACAAAGAATGTATTTGAAATCATTTCCCAATGTTATGTCCCCTAAAAAAATGATTTATAAGGAATTATGCAGACATTTTGGCACTTTTTTTTCCACAGTTTTTATTACACTTGTGACTTGTAATTCTATAAACAGTGTTGTCCCAGATGCTGAGTGTCATCTTCTTATACTAGGGTAAAATCCATACTTAAATGCTCCCCACTAATTGTAACCCCAAAATACTAACCTGGTGACTCACATTATAAATCTGAGGTTGAAAACCAGCAACTCATCATGACAACAATTGATTTGGACACATCTTAATATACAGGCTCATTTCTCAGCCTCAGTTTTAATTTGGTGCTTGAGATGAAATTCTGTTTATGAAAATTAAATAGAGGTTAACTGAAGATTAGGCTGTTCTGCTTTTTAAATGTTCTCGGCTTTAATATGACACCATGTGACATCCAGGTTTTATTTCTGTTTGTGTCGGTGTCATCTTCCTGACTCACTTCCTCAAACCAGCTAATAAACACAAAAGGTGAATACAAATTAGTATGCTTGTCACAGCTGCTATCACTCTGGAATTCCCTTTTAAAAATTCAGAATATGAAAGATAAGTAAAACAATGCCTGCTTATTGCAGCTTAATTTCTAGGAAAGATTGGTGTCCAGAAGCCACATCTCAGGCAGTACTCTGTCAATGTTAAAGAGCTTTTTAGCTAGAAACAAAAAAGAGGTTGTAGATGCATTTTCAAAATGCAAAGTGCTGCACACAAGCCAATAGAAATAATAGTAATACACTTTGAGTCAACAACTTAGTATGCACCAAAGATCAGTAAGACAGAAAGAGACACTACTGCCCAAGAATTAATTTGAATCTTATCTGTAGATGCATCTGTCCATGGAGAGCCTGATTCTCTATAACTCATATTTCCCTTAAACCTCCTAGAGTCTGTATGTAACAAGCTATGATATAAACTCATGTCTGTGTATTGACCTACCCTAAGGGATATTTTTAATAACTGCAGCTGTTCACATTTTATGTGTTTTCTATTAGTGTTTTCAGTATGGCACTTGTGCCCCAGGGACAAAACTTGTGTAATATAAAACTTAAAAAGTAAGTTAAAATTTAACATAAATATTACCTAGATCTAATTTACATATATACTAATACCTTTAATTCATTCTTTCCTTCTCTTTCTAGACCCCCCTGAAATTTTTTAAGTTGTTTATGCAATTGTGAAAAATAATCAACCATGTAATTCTTTATTTAAAATATCCTGAGTTGACTTACATATTTGTTGGCCATGGTTAAATTGAAATAGCTAAAATTAATGCATGTTGAATTTATTAGAACTGGCTTAAGAATTTTACTATATGGACAGCTACAATTAGGTAACAGGCCTTAATTTAAATCCCCACTGACTCATAATTCATTACTTAATTTCTTGATCTTTTCTCATAATGTAAATATAATTGATACTTTTAGTTATATGTGCCCAGTACGTAAGCATATGCATGTATTAATGTTGCATCTTTAGTTTCCATTATATTTAATTAGAATATATTTATTAACGTTGAGAATTCTGAGATGTTGTTTATTTATGAAAACAAATTTAGTGTGACCTGCTTGTTTTTGGAGCAGTCAGTAATGAAGCAGCGTTAATGACCTCTGACAAATCAGCCAAAGTGCCCCAAATGAAGCAGCCTCTAGACTTTAGAAAGCCAAGTCCAGGTTGAACAGTCATATGGGTGTGAGCCACCTGTCTAATCAGCTAGTGTTCATTTCACTTCACATTATATTGAAGAGAATATAATGTGAAGTAATATAATACATTCCTACTTCTATTACTAAAATTATATTTTATGGGAATGCTGCTAGCCACTGAGAATCGAAGTTCATGTTGCATATTTTTCTTTATAGCTGAAAATGTTTGCACTGGCTTTATCTACATTAGGTTTTATTGACGTTTTTGTAATGTTTATCACTTGGCTAGACCAAATTGTTGTTATTTTATTTTGCTTACCTCAACAAATTCAAAACTAAAGAAAAAAAGTTGGAACAATTTTCTATTCTTTTATATAATTTTTACATGTGTTAGCCTTAGGGTCAAATGTAAAGTAGCTATTTTTGAATCCAAACTTTGGATTTCTGAAGAAAGATTTGATAAGTTAAAAATAGGCTAAAAACTTGTATTTTGAAATAAATTATAGAACCCCAGATTTCTAGAACAAAATCTATAGTTTTTCAATATTCTAAATGAAATTTTTTTTTTTTTTTTTTTTTTTTTTTTTGAGACGGAGTCTCGCTCTGTCGCCCAGGCTGGAGTGCAGTGGCGCGATCTCGGCTCACTGCAAGCTCCGCCTCCCGGGTTCACGCCATTCATGAAATTTATATTTATTTTACTTTTCGTAATGTCAGTTTGATTGAGAAATAATTTATAAACAGTAAAATTCACCCTTTTCAGTATTTAATATGTTTGACAAATATATACAGTTATGTAACTATCACCACATCACTCCAATAATTTTCTCCAGTTCCATTGTAGTCAACCCCTCTCCCAATCCCAGTCCAACCCAAGTAAACACTAGTTTTTTGTCCCCATATTTTTTGCCTTTTCCAACTATATATTTCTTGTCATAAATATAATTTTATAGTTTGTAATCTTTTGGTTCTGCTTTTTAAAAAGATTCCCGGCCGGGAGCGATGGCTCACGCCTGTAATCTCAACACTTTGGGAGGCCGAGGTGGGTGGATCACCTGAGGTCAGGAGTTCAAGACCAGCCTGACCAACATGGAAAAACCCCATCTCTACTAAAAGTACAGTACTAGCCGGGCATGGTGGCACATGCCTGTAGTCCCAGCTACTCGGGAAGCTGCGGCAGGAGAATCGCTTGAACCCAGGAGGCGGAGGTTGCAGTGAGCTGAGATCGCACCATGGCACTCCAGCCTGGACAAGTGCGAAACTCCGTCTCAAAAACAAAAAAACAAAAAAACAAAAAAAGACCCACAGAATCTTTCTTTTTCAATAATGCCATTATCAATTCCTTTATATGGTTGTATATAACACCTAATAGAGATAAACATCCTTATTGAATCTGAGTGTGGCAGAAGGTATACTTTTAATGCTGCTCATATATATATAAATATGAACTTTTTTTATCCCCACATTGTTGTTATTATTATTATTATTATTATTATTTTATGTATGGCTTACAACAAAATTTAAGGAGCAATCATTGTAATTCTCCAAATTATGTTTAATAAGTTATTCAGTGTATTTTTGAAATGTTTTTGTTATTCTATGTTTCTCCCTCTCTCTGTCTCTTTTTCTTAATATATTAATATTTACCAAGGCAAGACAGTGATTTATGGACATTTAAATTAGTTTAGCTTTGTTCTGCTGTTCTAAAACATTGTGTACTGTCTGATAGACTTTTAAAAAACAGTGCTTTTCCAGGATGATTTATGATATGCAGTATTGTTTATAGATGCCCATGGCTTAACCTTGAAAAGTCAATTAAGTGACACAATTAAGAGAGATATGAATAGTGGTAGAAAAAGCATGTACTCTGGATAAGTGGGGGTAAATCTAGTATTTGTTATTCCTGTCAGTAATATTGTCATTAGTATTTTTTAGAGGTTTATTTTTTATGGTTATAAATTCATGTCACTCTTCTGCAATGGTTACATCAGTGGAATGCAGAAATTATCATGCTTTGGGGATTAAAATTACCTATCACATAGAACTTCTGAAGTTCCAAACAGTGCCTTGATTTACCTTCTTATTCTGTGAGGTTACTGATTTTCACTTACACTTTCATTGATGCTCAGCCCTATAAATTAGTTATTAGTACTTTCACGTTTTAAACTTAGTATTCTGTGTTTTTCTTTTATTTTGTTTGCCAGTACTTTTCTTAGATGTTACTTCACATGTCAGTTTGAATTTAATTTCTCAGTGGCTATGTTTGTCATTTTATATGTAAAGAAACTGGACAGAGAGAAGATGCGATCTATTTTTATATTTTTTAACAAGATAAAAAGGAATAATAGGTAACTTTTTTGTTTAATTAATGCATTTTAAGAAAATATGTAATCCCTGGGGTAAGTTTCTTATCTTTTGTCCTTTGTGGTATATCTCTAAGTATCCCATAGGGATTGGGAATGTAAAAGACTATCATCCTCCTTGTCCCTGGTCATCCTCTAGGTGAGTCTTCCTTACCCATCGGTTGACATTTAAAGTGACTCCACTGCTTACAGTTGATCGTGGGCAAAATATGAACTCTGATTTTCTTTCCACCAGCTGTCAAAATCTTTGTGTAAGTTTATCCATCTCTCATGAATGATGCAAAATTACCTGGTTGCTCTAGGTGTTTGGAAGGCTTTCTTCTTCACTCCATATATCCTAACCATCAACAAGTCCTGCCAACTCCACCTTCAAAATTTAGCAGGTGCCTGAAACTTTCCCTCACTTCAGCCACCACACCACCACCACCCACGTCCAACTCATAACCATCTGCTGCTTAGAGTATTATAGAAGCCTCTGAGAGCCTTTATTTTTTTTCTTCACTATTATCCTTCTATAGTGCCTCAAGTGATCTGGTACCTGCTACCTCTCTAAGCTTTCTCTTTTTTTTCTTTTTTTTTTTTTTGCCATTTTCCTCTGCATTAATATCCTATTAGTACTGTAACAAATTGCCACAAACTTAATGGCTTAAAACAACCAAAGTTATCTTACAGTGAGGGAGGTCAGAAGACCAAAATCAGTTTCACTGAGCTAAGATCAAGATATCAGCAGGGCTTGGCCCTGCTGGGGGTTATGGGGAGAATCAATTACTTGCCTTTTCTTGCTTCCTGCATCCTTAGCTGTTGACCCCTTATTTACATCACTCCAACCTCTTGCTTCATGTCTCCTACCACTCTTCTATAGTCAAATCTTCCTCTGCCTCCATGCTATAAAGATACATATGACTACAAGTATATTCCACCCTTACAATCCAGAATAATTCCCTCATCTCAAGATTCTTAATCACATCTACAAAGTCCCTTTTGTCATATAAGGTAGCATTTACAGGTTGTAGGGATGAGGAGTCATTATTTAATTTAGCACATCCTCTGAATTGCTCTGCTGAAACCAAAGCTGGTTTCTTTAGCAAATCAAGGTTTTACAGCCTCCAAGTTTCTCTGTTGTTTTTTCTGTCCAGAATATGATTAGTCTCATCCTTTAAGTCTCTGCTCAAAGCCACTTCCTCAAAAATATCTTCTCTGACTCTGTTTCTAAAATCTTCCTTTCTTCCCACTCTTTAGTTTTGTATTATTTTCTTCATAGTTCATATAACACTAATATTTTATTTTTTTTACTATCTTATTGCCTTCACCACACTAAGGTCACAGCACTTGCCCTGTTCATTGAATCATTTCCTGGATTCACAGTACTGGCAAGGACACAGTAATCTCATAAATATATATTGAGTAAAATAATATACTATTCCAATTATACAGGCAAACGGCCTAACAGGTGTTAATTAAATTATTTAATGTCATGCAACTATTAGTGACAGAACTATTTTGTCTCAGATATGTCTGACCTCAAAAACCTACATTCTTTATATTATCTCTTTTACTAATGGACTGTAACTTTATCCATGGCCTTTATAATGTATCAACATAAGCCACAAGAAGAAAGAACCAAAACCAAAAAACCAAAAACTAGGGAATCCTGGAGAATGATATTTTTGATAAGCAGTCTTGGAAACCATTTTTGTTTCTTTTCTGACATTGTGCCATTTTGGAATCCATTCCATGACTCTGAGGTGGATACAGGCACAGGGAGTGACTTCTTTAAGTTTTTGAATATGTTATACAATATAGTCCTTAATATGCAAATTATCTTCAGATCACCATAAAAATGATTATGGAATGTTAAATATATTCATTCTTTGGGTAGTTTTTCATTGAAATATTTAGGAAGTCTTTAGGTTTTAATTCAGTATTGAAAATATAAATTTATACATAAAATTGTTACTTTTTATTTATTATTTCTTTAAAGATAAGCATTAATGTATCACCAAATGATTGCGATCAATATGCAAAAAAAACTATCATTCTTTTTTAAAAAAATTAGGAATAACCTTCTTCTATAATGCCATGTAGTTTGTGAGTTATTTCGGCACCATTTATTGCATCAAGCTGTTTGTCTATCAGCCATATTCTTGAATCACTGCATTCATGTAGAGTAGTTGTTGGATGTGTGAGAAACTAGAATTTTATCATGTTGACTTTGTTTTGAAACATGCCTACTTTTATCATTTCCTTTGTAATTTTTATTAGCTAAACAGATAATCTCACAAACTTGTATTACAGTTTTTAAAAGTTTTTGGCCGGGCGCGGTGGCTCACGCCTGTAATCCCAGCACTTTGGGAGGCCGAGACGGGCGGATCACGAGGTCAGGAGATCGAGACCATCCTGGCTAACACGGTGAAACCCCGTCTCTACTAAAAATACAAAAATTAGCCGGGCATGGTGGCGCGCGCCTGTAGTCCCAGCTACACGGGAGGCTGAGGCAGGAGAATGGCGTGAACCCGGGAGGCGGAGCTTGCAGTGAGTCGAGATCGCGCCACTGCACTCCAGCCTGGGCGACAGAGCGAAACTCCGTCTCAAAAAAAAAAAAAAAAAAAAGTTTTTATAACACTATGCTATTAGTGTTAATTACAGTTCATACAATACGATTTACAACAAGTTCTTAATATTACCCCAATACGGTAAGAAAAACATACCTGTTCGAGAGAAGAAGAAGAAGAAAAAATATATATACATATATATATTTTTTTCCTGTGGTCATTCAGTGGCAGACTAAATAAAATGAGAACATTCTAGAACCACTTTTCTCTTTTACATTCTTAAAGAATGCTAATACATTTAGAATTAATTTAAATTAAAATTTTAAAATGACATGCTATTTCTGTTAACAATACGGACATCTTAAACCTTTCGAAATATTTTATTCTTGCATAGTTTAACCCTGATTCACAATTTAGCACCTATGCTGGTAAGAGAAATACCCTGCAGCTTGAGATACCTGGCACTGGGACACGAAAACAGCTACAAAATCTCTCCTGTTATGAGGATAGAGTCTTTTAGACAGATTTAAGACTTTCACTAGGGACATTTCTGGAATACGCTCCATTGTCTCACCTTGATCATTTTGTTGAGTTGAAAATTGAATTTTAATGTTCTACATCTGATGATTGGACTTATATGTATGTGTGTGTGTATATATATATATGTGTGTGTGTATATATATATGTGTGTGTGCATATATATATATATATATATATATATATATATATATATATATATATCAGAGTTTCGCTCTTGTTGCCCAGGTTGGAGTGCAATGGCATTATCTGGGCTGACTGCAACATCTGTCTCCTGGGTTCAAGCAATTCTCCTGCCTCAGCCTACCGGGTAGCTGGATTACAGGTGCCTGCCACCATGCCAGACTAATTTTTGTATTTTTAGTAGAGACGGGGTTTCACCACATTGGCCAGGCTGGTCTCAAACTCCTGACCTCAGGTGTTTCACCTGCCTTGGCCTCCCAAAGTGCTGGGATTACAGGCATGAGCCACCGCGCTGGGCCTTAATATTGTTTTTAACATTTAACTATATATATATATATATATATATATATATATATATATATATATATACTTTCAAACAAATGAGGGCAAAATTTTAAAATTGGCTCTAGCTGTCTTTGGCAAATCAATAAGGATAAATTTACAAATTATTTTGAAAATATATTAGTTAAGACAAGTATTTCTAAAATAGATTTAAATTATTTAAGTAGATTTAATATGCTTAAAGGAGATTCCATTTTTCTATGAAGGAGAAAAACTTTTTAAAATGCTCTTTATTGAGATGATTAATTTTGACTGTACAGTAAGTTATGAAAGAAATTTTTGATACAAAATAAGTAGGGCTCTATAAAACAAGTTTAGATTTCATTCAATTTTGGAATCTATATAGTACTTTCCTAAGTAGACTGCTTTATAAATATTAGATGTTTTATAAGTTTAGGTTGAATGGATGAACACATTTGATGTGACAACTACATAGAAAAGGAAACAAAAAACTTGACATTTTTACTAACTAATATAGTGTCAAAAAATCAGTTTTGTTTACTAGAACAAGCCTTTTTATGGTCTGAAAATAAAATGTACAATAAACATTGTGGACAATTGTATGAGTTCTATATTGAATTATTTAGAATATTTAATTTATAGCACCAATGCTGAGATGAACCAAATATACATTTTGAGGACAGGACAAGTTTTTAGCCGTATCTCAAAAACCAATAAATTTTCCTGAAAAACCCATACATTATCATTCACAATTAAACTTATATAAAGATGTCCTAGGAGAGCCATTTGCAAATTATCATCTTCATCCTATACTGTGAAATGTCTACTTTTAAAACTCTGTCTATTTTTGCCTGCATGTTCATGATATATATTAGTGTCTGCATATATATACTGCAAATTCAATATTTTGAAGTAATTATCTTTATATTATCTTTATAATATAATTTATCTTTATATTTTATACTGTTAGTGTAGTTCAGTACATGTTTATTACCTTCTTCTCTCTTTCCTAAAAAAATTGCGCATGACTCAAGATGCTGCCTTTATTAGATACATTATATGAAAATGGTGTGGTCATCAAAAAGGCAATTCTTACACTTTAATATTTATGGACAGCTAAAAATGTATAAATGCATATATTTATAAAAAAGTAGAACTGCTTTTTTTCTGTTTGGCCTCTAAAAATAAATTCTCTAATATGTACAACTTTGGTACTGTTAAATTTATAACCTAATGGAGAATATGAGATAGACTACATTTCTATTTCTCAATAATTTTGCATAAATTGAAAGTTTTCACTTATTTTTCTAAATATATGTATAATTATGTATTACGATATCTAAAAACTACATAAAATATTTGTATCTATTAAAATACATATACAAGTTAACATTTTAAAATAGAGTTTTATACACAAATATATTAGCAATTCCTATATAGTATATATGTGATACCGCATATTTATCCAGAATTCAGAAAATTCAATTGTTTTTATTTAATATATATCCCTTTAATATAATAAGAGTGTAAGTATATTAATGATTTTAAAGATCCAGAATATCATCCGAGTGCAGTGGCTCACACCTGTAATCCCAGCACTGGGAGGTGGAGGCAGGCGGATCACTTTAGGTCAGGGGCCAACATGGTGAAACCTCATCTCTACTAAAAATACAAAAATTAGCCAGGCGTAGTGGCGCATGCTTGTAATCCCAGCTACTTGGGAGCCTGAGGCCAGATAATCCCTTGAACCCAGGAGGAGAGGCTGCAGTAAGCCAAGATAGCACCACTGCCCTCCAGCCTAGGTGACAGAGCAAGACTCCCTCCAGCCTAGGTGACAGAGCAAGACTCCGTCTCAAAAAAAAAAAAAAAAAAAAATTCCAGGACATCACAAATTCAGACGAGTCTATTGTTTAGTATAGCTCTAGCACTACATCATGGAAACATCTTTTATAATGACTTTGAACATGTCACAAACTGAACGTATTTTCTTCATACTTTGGTATCAATATTGGTAATCCATAAAACGTGTTCATTTTAACTTTCATTTAACTTAATGAGAGATGTCTGATTTACTAGTAATTATATATAAATGTGAGAGCATGGTAAACATTGACATCTGCATGCCAAGAACAAATAAATACATGAAACAATTAAATCTTATATGAATGTATATATAAGTGGAAAATCTTAGTAGTTATGTCTATATATGAGTGTGTGTGTGTGTGTGTGTGTGCGCGTGTGTGATGGGTCAACCTTATTATATAGTTGTAACTCTTGAAGAATGGAAAGTCAAGGGACTACTGAGCTGAATCATGCTGATGTGTACCAATGTGTTAAAAATCCTGATATAGGTTGAGGCATCAAATTCAATAATAAAAGAAACAGCTCTCAACATTTTACAAAAGCAATGTTCATATAGACAGCTATTTTACAGAGTAGTCAGTTGACATAAAAATCACATTGAGAAACTCAGTAAGAAATTTGTGAAAATGAATGTGCAGGATAAAAGAACTGTCTCCAGGCAAAATTAACATGTTTCTTAGCTAAATCTTCCAGACATGTTGCTAATTATTTCCAGTTATGGTATGAAGGCACATGGGGAATTGAATGAACCACAGGAATCCTTGCATAAGAATAATGATTTCGTATGAAACAATTAATAGGTATTTTTATTCTTAAGTTGGGGATTCTGGACACAGAATTTGTAGAACTACTTTGAAATTAGGATGACTTAATAAAAAAAAGTTCCTGCATCATTTACCACTCCAAATTTATTTCTTCCAGAAAATAAATGGTCTGGCTTACTCTCTTAAGAATACCATTTAAAATACTGACTTTTTCTATGAATACTGACTAAGTACTTGGTAGGAGATATGTTGTACCATTGCTAGTGAAGTATGACTCTTATGAGTTTGGCTTCCCAGAATGTCTCAGAGGGATATAAAATGGTCCATTTAGCTTATGTTTATATAAACCCTATTACTCTGTAAGGTTCAAAAAGAAATAGCTACTATATTTCCATGATTCAATTTTCCTCTTGTTGCCTATTTCTTTCTGATCCTCTGAAGTATCTTCATTTTTTTTCCTAACCCACAGGTCTAAGAAGGATCTGAGTGAGAAAACATAATCGTACTTATTTATCTAGTGTAAAATACTGCTTTCAGCTGAACATAAAAATGGAGATCAACATTTCCACCTTTAACTTATAACTGTATAATAGAGAATTCAAAGTCATTAGTGATATAAAACATTTACAAAATGTAAATAACTAGAAATTTGGTGCAATTTGAATCTGCTCTATAATCAGAACTTGGTATTCGAAGCTTATGAATAGAATAATTTTGTCAAAGGAGGGAATCTTTTTAAATTTTTTTTAAATTTTAAGTTCAGGGGAACATGAGCAGGTTTGTTACAGAGGTAAACATTGTGTCATGGAGGTTCATTGTACAGATTATTTCATCACCTAGGTATTAAGCCTAATACCCATTAGTTATTTTTCGTAATCATTTTCCTCCTCCCACCCTCCACCCTCAAACAGGCCCTAGTGTGTTGCTCCCCTCTATGTGTTGTCATAATTTAGCTCGTACTTATATGTGAAAACATGAAGTATTTAGTTTTCTGTCCCTCTGTTAGTTTGCTAAAGATAATGGCCTCCAGCTCCATCCATGTCCCTGTAAAGGAAATGATCCCATTCTTTTTTATGGCTGCATAGTATTCCATGGTGTATATGTACCACATTTTCTTTATCTAGTTTATCATTGATGGGCATTTAGGTTGATTCCATGTCTTTGCTATTGTGAATAGTGCTGCAACAAATGCACACATGTATCCGTCTTTATAAGAGAATGATTTGCATTCCATTGGATATATACCCAGTAATAGGATTGCTGGGTCGAATGGCATTTCTGTCTTTAGGACTCTGAGCAATTACCACACTGTCTTCCACAATGGTTGAACTAATTTATATTCCCACCAACAGTGTATAAGTGTTACTTTTTCTTTTAATACTCAATAAGTTAAACAGAAGATAGAAATCTAGGGGTATCGACTAAAAATATCCTTCTAGGAGTAGGAGAAATAATAAGTTAAACCAAAACCTGCTTTTATCTTGCAGTAGTATTTAATACAGTGCATAGTGTATAATATGGCTTATGTTTGTGTTTTTTTTGATGACTAAATTTGTCATTGAAAAGTCAGATAAGCATTTTAACCTAAATATTTACAAAATATTTAGGATATATTTGTATCCTAATATATGGAATGTATGGAACAAATTCAATATAAAAATTTATTGATTATTCATTATATCATACTTATCTTAAAAATTACTTCCAATGAAGAGTAACAGGTAAGCATTCTTTTGTTTAAAGTACCCATAATTATCTTTTCTATTGAACATCATGGTTACCCTTTCTAATAAATTAGAATAAAGAGATTATTGTAAAACCTATTTATTTATTTTTAATTTATTTTTGAAAGAGAGTCTTGCTCTGTCTCCTAGGCTGGAGTGCAGTGGCATTATCACTGCTCACTGTAGCATGGGCTTCCTGGGCTCAAGTCATCCTCCCACCTCAGCCTCCTGAGTAGCTGGGACCAGAGGCAGGTGCCACCATGCACTGCTAATTTTTTAATTTTCATTTTTGTAAAGATGGGAGTCTCACTCTGTTGCCCAGACTGGTGTCTAACTCCTGACCTCCAGCAGTCCTCTCGCCTAAGCTTCCCCAAGAGCTGGGATTACAGGAGTGAGCCACTATGCCTGGTCAAAAGCATATTTCAAAAGTTACAACAGATACTCTCCCTAATTAACTATTTTTAAGGGACTCCCTGAAAGTCCAATGAGAAGTGTCGTCCTTTCATTGAATCATTTCCAATAATAAAGATATCATATTTTTTATCGTAGTAAAAGTCATTATCCCCAACTCATCTGGACTACAGATGAGGAGGTAATCAAATCCCAAGCCCTTCTCTAAGGTCCTTCCAAGGTTATTCATTTTAGTAAATAAAGAGTCAAGCAAAAATACCTTTTGAAAGGTTTTTTTTTTTTCTCCTCATCAATTACTTTGGGAGGAAGCAAGTGGAAAGTTTTACAATGGGGTACATAAGTAATAAAGCTTGAGTGGGCATCCTGTTAAGATTTGGGCACCTGATTAAATTTGACAAACCAATGGTTCTCGTGCTTTCTCTTTTCTGTATTTAGAATATGATTTTCACAGTCAAGCATTTTATCTTTCCTATGCTCAGTTGGAGGACCTGATGAGCTGGAATATATCTGTTGGTTTTGGCTACCCTCATGAACCCCTTCTTTGTAGGTTATTTTGTTGTCATCATGCATATTGACACCCATTTTAAGTTTAAATTAAACCTTTTGGATTTTCATTTGAAATAAATCATCACACCTTTTTTGTTTTTTTGTTTTTTGTTTTTTGTTTTTTTTTGAGACGGGAGTCTAGCTCTTTCACCCAGGCTGGAGTGCAGTGGCGCGATCTCGGCCCACTGCAAGCTCCGCCTCCTGGGTTCACGCCATTCTCCTGCCTCAGCCTCCCGTGTAGCTGGGACTATAGGCGCCCGCCACCTCGCCCGGCTAATTTTTTGTATTTTTTTAGTAGAAACGGGGTTTCACCGTGTTAGCCAGGATGGTCTCGATCTCCTGACCTCGTGATCCGCCCGCCTCGGCCTCCCAAAGTGCTGGGACTACAGGCGTGAGCCACCGCACCTGGCCCATCACACCTTTTTGACAGAAAATACTGATTTGTCTTATATTTCTGGCTTGACCAGGATTTACAGTGTGGAAGGAGACTACAATGTTATTAATTAGTCTATTGATTTTATATATTCTTGAGTTTAATTTTTTTCATGTTCTTTTCTGCAGATACTATGTCACAGCATGAGTTTAAGATGTCATTTTCTGTGTTTATTCTGTATAAACACTTTTTCTAAAAACAAAAAGTTAAATACTAATTAAATTTGGATTTGAAGTAAATCCTTCTCTCCTGAAAAACCTTATCAAAATGTTTTGAATTGAAAAAATAAACAGAATAACTTAAACACCACTTAAAAACAGCAATACAAATATAAAATGGAATTTTTAGTCCTTCTTATTTTTTTACACATTTTAATTAAAATATATGTTTTCTCATTTGCCCAAGCTAGTGAATCTGCCCATGGCTAGGAGAAAGGAACGTAATTATACACTTAAATTTAATTAATATGCTGAAACCAGTCAAGAATTCAAACCTCGATAAAAAATTTGTCCTAAAATGAAAGTGTTATTAATGAAGAAAGCCAATTAAAACTGTCCGTTGAGGGGAAAGTCTGTATATTTTAGAATCAGCATCAGTGATTTATTTGTATGTACTTATTTTGGCCCCTAGTGTGATAGTTCTTTAGAATCTTAAAAATAATTCTTG
Organism: Homo sapiens; assembly: GCF_000001405.40. NCBI lineage: Eukaryota > Metazoa > Chordata > Mammalia > Primates > Hominidae > Homo > Homo sapiens. The sequence continues at coordinate 66,817,962 of NC_000013.11, read as the reverse complement.
GGATCAAATATTTATCTATATAAAAATAAAAATCAGACCGGGTGTGGTGGCTCACTCCTGTAATCCCAGCACTTTGGAAGGCAAAGGCCAGCAAATCATCTGAGCTCAGCAGTTCAAGGCCAGCCTGGGCAACATGATGAAACCCTGTCTCTACAAAAAATTACTTGGGGGTGGTGGCATGCACCTGTGTTGCCAGCTGTTAATGCTTGGAGGGCTGAGGCAGGAAGATTGCTTGAGCCCAGGAGGTCGAGGTTGCAGTGAGCTGACATCAAGCCACTGCATTCCAGCCTGGGTGACAAAGTGAGACTCTGTCTCAAAAAGTAAATAAATAAATAAAAATAAATGAAAATAAATTTAAGTGCATAATATCATTAGTATGAAATTACTAAGGTGATTTTACTAAGAAAGTCTAAGTATTAAATATTACAATGATATTTTATAAAAATTATCATCAAAAATAGAAAATGCTAAGGTATTTATATGCTCATGTAGTTTCTATCTATGAGTATTGTAAGACATGCTGTAGAATATTGTGAAGGGTTCATTAGAGAAACAAGTTCAGTAATATGTATCAAACAGAAAGAGAATGAGAGGGAACACATTTTATAAAAATTAAAATTTCTAAATAAAATAGTATCCTTTACAGTATGTCTTCTGCACACTGCTTTCTCTTAAAGGAGTTAATAAAATTCCAAAATTTTGTGACCTCATTAATATGTTATGCAGCTCTTGTGGAATGGGGTCAGGACCCCAGGCAATACCAAAATCTGAGGATTCTCAAGGCCCTTATATAAAATAGCATAGTATTTGAATATAACTCTTACACATCTTCCCATATACTTTGTCATCTCTAGATTAATTATAATACCTAATACAATGTACATGCTATGCAAATAGTTGTTTGCTATATTGCTTTTTAAATTTTTATTTTTTATTGTATTTTTTAATGGTGTTTTTTTTTTTAAATATTTTCAATCTACAGTTGGTTGGTTGAATTCAAGGATGCAGAACCCTCTGGTGGATAAGGAGGGCTGACTTATAGTCAGCTCACATTATCCTTTAAACATGCAATACCATCAACACACCACCACTTACCAAAAAAAAAACCTTGTTTTACAAAAACTTGTGTCTTTTAACATAATTTCAATCCACGGGGATTTAAAATATTGTGCATGCCACTGCGCCCGGCTACTTTTTGTATTTTTAGTAGAGACGGGATTTTACCATGTTGTCACACTGGTCTCGAACTCTTGACCTCGTGATCCACCTGCCTTGGCCTCCCAAAGTGCTGAGATTAGAGGTGTGAGAAACCACACCCGACCCAAAATATTTGTGATATTACACCTAATTTTTGAAATACCAAAAGAGGAATTTATCCTCCTGCTGTCTTCAGGATGTGCACAAGCCTGGAGAGGGTAGGAAGAGAACATTAATGCTAACTTAGATAAGAAAAAAGGAATAAATTTAAAGTATTGTGACTGTGAATGGTGAGTGTGAGTGTGTGTGGGGGGAGGTGGAGAGAGAGAGAAAAAGCCACTTGTGTGCGTACCCATATTCATGCACTTGGGTTCTACCTGGGCTATATTATCAATTGATCATAATCCTACTGATCTAGGACAGGTTTAGCTTTAGTGTGTTTGTTTCATAAACACCTGTGCCATCTAATCTAGGGCCAGATCACAGTGTCCTGGAAATAGTGTGCAGTTATTTATGTTCCATTCTGCACATTTAACATTTATATGTATTTGGAATAGTTAATTTCTTCACACCTTAATTTTCCAGTTTGTAAGATGGAATTACAATTGCTTAGAATTGCTTTGTTTCCATGAATGATTTATGTAAAGCACCTGTCATAATGCCTAGTGGCACTCAATGAACTTTTGCCTAAACTTTGAAATAATGTCATGGAAAGTAACTGCATTTGTATTAGAGAGAGTTATGTTATAACATTAGGAGGACAAGCCCAATGTAATATTTGTTCTTAATTTAATTTAAGAGTTCAATTTATAGATCTAGTGCATTTGAAGCTGGTTATTTTTTTAACTTTCATGTTAGGTTCGGGGTGCATGTACAGGTTTGTTATATAGCTAAATTACATATCACAGGGGTTTGATGTACAGATTATTTCACCACCCACATAATAAGCACAGTACTTGATAGGTAGTTTTTTTCGATCCTCACCCTTCTCTGTCCCTCCAGCCTCAAGTAGGCCCTGGTGTCTATTTTTCTCTTCTTTGTGTCCATATGTAGTCCATGTTTAGCTCCCACTTATAAGTGAGAACATGTGGTATTTTGTTTTCTGTAACTATGTTAGTTCACTTAGGATACTGGCCTACAGTATCCTGCAAAGGACACGGTCTTGTTCTCTTTATGGCTGTGTAGTATTACATGGTATATATGTACCACATTTTCTTTACTCAGTCTACTCTTGATGGGCATTTAGGTTGACTCCATGTCTTCACTGTTGTGAATAGTTCTGCAATGAATCTACCTGTGCGTGTGTCTTTATGGGAGGTCAGTTTATATTCCTTTGGGTGTATACCCAATAACGGGATTGTTGGGTTGAATAATGGGATTTCTCGAATTCTTTGAGAAATTGCTGAACTGCTTTCCACAATGGTTGAACTAATTTACATTTCCACCAGCAGTGTATAGCAATCTCTTTTCTTCACAAACTCTCCAGCATCTGTTATTTTTTTGACTTTTTAATAACAGTCATTCTGACTGGTGCGAGATGGTATCTCATTGTGGTTTTGATTTGTATTTTTCTATTGATTGGTGATGTTGAGCATGTTTTTTCATATGCTTGTTGGCTGTGTGTATCTCTTCTTTTGAAAATTGTCTGTTTAGGTCCTTTGCCCACTTTTGAATGAGATTATTTGTGTTTTTGTTCGTTTTACTTGCTGATTTGTTTAAGTTACTTATAGATTCTGGATATTAGACCTTTGTGGGATGTGTAGATTGCAAATATTTTCTCCCATACTGTAGGTTGTCTGTCTACTCTGTTCGTAGTTTCTTCTGCTATGTAAAATCTCTTTATTTTAATTTGGTTTCATTTGTTAATTTTTGTTTTTGTTTTAATTGCTTTTGGTGTCCCTGTCATGAAATCTCTGCCAGGTCCTATGTCCAGAATGGTATTTCCTAGATTATCTTCCAAGGGTTTTCTAGTTTTAGGTTTTACATTTAAGTCTTTAATATATCTTGAGTTGATTTTAGAATATGGTGTAAAGAAGAAGTCCAGTTTCAATCTTTGCATATGGCTAGCTAGTTATCCCAGCACCATTTATCGAATGAGAAGTCCTTTCCTCATTGGAAGCCGGATATTTTATTAGGAGCCCAATAATGGACATTTGGAGTTTTGTAACCAGAGAGATAAACGTTAAGTTTTTTGTGTGTGTGCATCAAACCAAGATTGTTCCAGGTATGGGTGAATAAAAGGCTTCTATTATTATACTAATTTGATAAGTATTTATTCTGATAAAATTATAACCCTTTACAATAATGGCATAGACATTTAATAGCTTTTACATTAATATCTAAGGATACTTTAGAATATAGCATTAGATACTGTACATTTTTCTCATAAACTTCAACATTAATTAATAATAGCTTAATAAATTTCTGCTAAAGAAAATTATAAGGGGAAAATAAAAAATTAAGCTGCAGTTGCTGGAGCTTAAATTTCCATGGTGATTATTTGTAATTACTCTGAGAGTAGTCATTGAATCCATTCTGAACAGGCCCATTTATTTGGAGGGAACTACTTTCTTCATATCCCATCTTTTAAAAATTTTTATTAACTAAAAAGAGCGTTAAGTACCTCCATAAAATATTACGTGTTGACTTTTCAGATGCTAATAGCCTTGGTGTCTACTTTTTCCTGTCCCCAGTGGATAAGCTAAAATGTAGTGGCATTTGTATGTTTTACTTCAGTGCTACATTTACACATTAATGTGACTGTTTTACCAATTAGGACTAAGCTGCTGGTAGTTTGTGTGTCATTTGCTGTACTCTTTCTTGCTGGTATTTTAAAGCCTGTGCTTTGGTAGTTATCTTTACTATTTTTCAACTTGACCTCTGATTTTTTTTATTTAGACCAATTATCTAAAAAGCCTAGGTTATTTTTGAACCTGAATTTTACTATATTGTGCATAATAAAGCACTAATTATTGTTCTTCTATAAGAATACTCGAAGGACCATTTGTCATATAGTATATAGTACAGCATGGTTGACAATAATGGTTAACCTGTTATATTTGATAAAGAATAGAATAATATGCAAATCATACTGAGTAATGCCTAGTCACCATGAAATAAATACATTATCAAACGATATATTTTTTCTTTCAGATTTTTATTTATATGTACAATAAAATCCAGATAAATACTGTTTATGTTTATCTTGATACCTGTTTCCTCCTCTCCTTCCTTCCTTCTTTCCTTCCTTCCTTTCTTCCTTTTCTTCCTTCCTCCTTTCCTCCCTTCCTTCTTCCCTTCCTCCCTCCCACCCTTTCTCTCTTCCCTCCTTCCTCTCATCTCCTTCATTTACACATTCAACAAATATTTGAGTATCAACTGTACACCAGAGGTTGTACAGCAATAATCTCTATTATTAATATTTTGGTTAAATAGTAGGATACATCCACTTTTCTTCATGCTTCCTTTGCTTATGGTTAAATTTGATTCTAGTTTTTATTGCTGTCGGAATTACTTTAGGAATTCTGAGAGTTATAATGCCTTGAGTGTCCATCTCTGTTCCATTACATCATATGAGTTGGCCAATGGTAGTGATCTCTCTTACCAACCAGTGAAAAGAGTTGGTACTGGTGAACAGTCAGTCCCCACAATCATCACTGATTCAATTCCTAATGCTCCTGTCAGGAAATAGGAAAATGAACAGTTCCAGATGAACAATTTGCACTCATGGGTGTGAGGAATTACACAGATTGTCTGATGGAGGGAGAGTGGTTTGCTCTTTTGGAGATCTATCCTCATTTTGGATACTACAGAATGACGAGCCTGAAAATGATTAGCCATGGATTTAGGATGGCGTTGGGACAAGTTGGTGCCTGTGATGGTTGCCATCGGAGTCATAAATGTCAGGTCATGAGGTTACCACTTGGCCTTTATAGGACAAAATAAAGTTTAATCCAAAGAAAAATGATGGAACTAAATAAACCTATTCCTAATTATTTCCTAAACTTTATTTTCTCTTCTGTAACAACTACACTGTGGTCACTTGGTCATAAGATTAGTCCTTGTTATGTATGTTACTGCTCATGGAAACAACATTGCATACCTAGATGTAGTACTCTGCCTTGTTCTATTTTATGGTATTCAGTTGCTCTGTTTCTTGCACATACTTTTTAATCCCCTCAGGCTCCAACAGTGCCCTAGGCAGTGAAATAAGAATAGAAAATGAGTTGCTTCTAGACAAATCAGGTACATTTTTATGCAAATAATTTCTTCCTTAGTATCATCAGAGTACATTAATTTGCGTGTTTGACATAGTGATTTATCAGTGTCTATTCTTTGTTATTTAAATATTAAAATCTTACTGGCCCAATAAGATTTGGTTGGAATGGTGGCTAATCCTTCCAGGATTTTTTTTTGTTCAGTTTTTCCTTAGCTGTCTAGTTTAGTACTATCCATTTCTCATACAATTTATTGTATGGTAATGTTAGGGATTTTTATTCCCATGTTTTATAGGTTGTCACGTTATATATTTTGGCACTGCCTTTTCTTCCATTAAAAAACTCTCATAGTTATTATGCTTATCCTGAAAGTTCTGCACGTAAGAAAATATTGAAAGAAGAGGCTCAATCCATAAGCAATTTTAGAGGCATGAGAATTATACAATGGACTTTGGGTACTTAGGGGGAAGAGTGGGAAGGGGGTGAGGTATAAAAGACTACAAATTTGGTGCAACGTTTACTGTTTGGGTGGTGGGTGCAGCAAAATCTCACAAATCACCACTAAACAACTTCCTCACATAAACAAATACTGTGTGTAACCCAATAACTTACAGGAAAATAAATAAAAATTTTAAAATATATTTAATTATACTTTACTACTTACTTTAGCTAGGCTTGTGAAGATATTTTGGGTCAAAAACTTTGTAACCAAGGAAAAGAAAGAAAGGAAGAAAGGAAGAAGGAAAGAAGGAGAGAAAGAGAAGGAAAAGAGAGAGAGAGAGAGAGAAAGAAAAAGAAAGGAAGGAAGGAAGGAGAGAAAGAGAAAGAAAGAAAGGTGAAGAAGGTAGGCAGATGGAAAGAAGGCAGACAGGCAGGCAGGAAGGCAGGTTAGGCAGGCAGGAAGGCAGGTTAGGCAGGCAGGAAGGCAGGTTAGGCAGGCAGACAGGTAGGAAGGAAGAAAGGGAGGGAGGGAGGGAGGGAGGAATGAATCAAACTTGAAATTGACTGCCAGTGAGCAAAACTTTTTCCAAGTAGCAACTATTAGGATTTGGTGTAACATTTTAAGCATAGGAAAAATAGCATTATTATGGAAGCTGAATGGGAGTATTATGCGTAAAACATTTTTACTACTTATTCCCTTCATGATTACAAAATCTTTGACAATCATATACCTGGTGCACAGGAAGGTGCTTAATATAGGACCACAAGGGCCTTAATAGCAGAATTGTTAATCCAGCGGTTTTGGGCCATGTGCCAATTAGAATTTCCTTTTAAAATAGCAAGCAAGAATATCTCTTTCCACTTGTTTTTCTCTTTGGTCAATACAAGACTCAAGAGGCTGTGAATTAATAATTGAAATCAGCATTCTTAATATCTTGGTATTTACAGTTTTAACAATTTTTTTACTGAATTAAAATTATATTTGTAAACAAATTTGAGGAAAAATTTTTAATAGGCATGATTTATTTTTGACCCAAATATGCCTGTGCTAAAATAATGTTCAATGAAACTACAATAAATTTTCAATCTTTTAAAAGAAAAGGTTCAATGTAATTATCAGTGTTAAGACAATTACCAGTGATGAATATCATGAAATAATCATATTAATATTAGGTAAAGGGAATTTTGTATTTTTTCAGTTTCTTCATCCATAAAAGAAGATAGCAACATATATCTTGTGTTGAAACACTATATATATTATATATATATGTACACACACATTCAGCTTCTAATAATTAATACATCTTTTTCTTAAGCTTGAAATATTTCACCAAAATTATAGTTGTTACTGGAAAATATTTTGCTCTCTAGTAGTTATAAGATTCTTTACATCTCTGGTGTTTTTTGGATAGAAATTTTGCAGCATAATATAAGCTCTCTTAAGAAGAGTGATAAAAATAAAGAATACTAGGGATAGAAGTTTAATATAAGAATGTTTCATCATATACTTAGGTGCTCACTGTTGTATATATAAAGTAGCATAAGCAATATTAATAGCTAATATTGAGTAACTACCTGCTCCCAGTACTTTACATTTATTATATTCCCAAGAATATTATAAGCTCTATATTTTTATCTAATTTTCAATAGATGAGGAAACTGGGAATCTGAGAACTTAAATGACGTATCCATTGTCTCATAACTAATAAATGAGATGGCTGAATTTAAATTCCAGTCAATCTTTTGAACTGTAAGGCTCAAAACCTTCCCTATTGATTGCTTTTGATTAGCCAATTATTAAAAATATCATGTAGAAGCCACTTTAAATTAAAAAAAATTCTGTATTTATACTAACACTCTGCTTTCAAAAAGGATATTAAATTCATAAAAAAGGATTCTAAGCCCTATGCTTAAAAGTATTTTTAAGTTAACAGAAAAAAGGCTAATATACAATGATTATAAAATATGAATGCTCAATGGATTATGTCCACATGGTTTTATGATAGTAAGAAACATAGCAAATAAAGTATAATTCCACAAACATACAGTCATTTTGGTGAACATTTTCCCCATATATTCTCCTCTATGTTTAATTTTTTTTCTCTGAGCATTTCATGTACCTGTTTTATTGCTGGGTCTTGTGTATTTTTCAATACTGGAGTTAGTATTATTTTTAAATGTTGCTTTCTTTAGCCACTAAGGACAAGGACAATATATGGAATATTCTTATAAAATTTAAAAAGGCTTTTGATCCTATGTTGATCACTTTGTTAAATGTGTTTTCAGTTACCTTCAATAAATATTCATTAAGCACCCTCTTTTTTTTGCCAAGTACTAAAGCTATTGCTGGAATTACAAAAGCTAATGAAACACAGTCCCTGCTTTCAAGAGTCTGTAAACAGAGCAAGACATTAAACAAAGGAATGCACTGAAATTAGAAACCAGTGACCTGAAAGTCTCTACATGTAGATACTAAACTGTTATAATCATGCACCATTGCTGCATATACACACACAAAAGTAGTCTTGATGATGATTCTAAGCAGCAATTTATCCAAGCCATAGGGAGAGAAAGCCCTGCTACCATATTTAGTTTATCTCTAGAATGTTTTGATTTTTTCGTACTTTGACTACAGATTTGGTAATAATTTAAGCAATGTTATATATTGCAGAGTAGACTTTTAAAAAAATGGATTCCACAAACTCCATGAAGATTGTGTGATCTTTGTCATTTTGCCTGTTTTGTCATATTAATTTAAACAAAATTTTCTATAAAAGGTAAGACATATTCAATATATTGTATACACGGTAATTTTTATACCTAGCCTCAAGGTACTCTTCTATTAAAAATGTATTTAAAAGGCCTGGCGCGGTGGCTCATGCCTGTAATCCCAGCACTTTGGGAGGCCGAGACGGGTGGATCACGAGGTCAGGAGATCAAGACCATCCTGGCTAACACGGTGAAACCCCGTCTCTACTAAACAATACAAAAAATTAGTCGAGCGTGGTGGCGGGGGCCTGTAGTCCCAGCTACTCAGGAGGCTGAGGCAGGAGAATGGCGTGAACCTGGGAGGCGGAGCTTGCAGTGAGCCGAGATAGCGCCACCGCACTCCAGCGTGGGTGACAGAGCAAGACTCCGTCTCAAAACAAACAAGAATGTATTTAAAAAATTTTAAATCACAAGAATACCTTTAGTGGGGCTTCTCAAAATATAATGTACATACAAATCTCCTGGAAATCTTGTTAAGATGCAAATCTGCTTTTAGTAATCGTGGGTAAGGCCTGAAATACTGCATTACTCATAAGCTTCTGGGTTCTGATGCGGCAACTGGGTTAGGGTCTGCACATTAAGTAACAATGACTAATAGTATTAATGAATAAACTACAATTTATAAATATGCATTCTCTAGCATATTTCACTCCTGTGATCAATTAGCCTACTAGTGCTTTACAGGGAAGCAGGAATATAAATATTTTCAAGAAAATTGAATGCAATCATCTGGGATTTGAAGGACTTACCAGGCAACTATGAAGAACTGGTTTACACGTCCTCAAATCTGTTAACGGTGTGCTAATTCTGTTTTTTTGTTTTGTTTTGTTTTACTTTAGCAGTGAAATAATTTGGGAACAAGTTGCCCTATTACTATGTAATTATTTTTAAATATATTATCGTAAATGTAAAAAATATATATCTTGTATTTGTTATAAATAGTAAACCCATATTGCCTATATCTTTTTTTATGGACCATAATTTTTATAAACCTTTTATCTGGTCTATGTTGCTTTATAGTTTATTGAGGATATAGTATCAAACTCAGAAAATAATTAAAATTAAGTGTCAGCAGCCCTACTTTCCTTCAATAACAGAAAGAAATCAAACTACCCAAATACAATTCTTTCCTCATAACTGCAGAGATTGACTTTGCTCCATAAAATGGACTTATGGACTATGATTGCTCTACATATTTTTTGTTATTAGATAGTAATGTCTAGGTTTTCCTTCAGGTATGGTCACTTGCCTAAATCCAGATGCAAATTGAAGGGGAAACTACCTCCAAACACTCCTAAGCACAGATGACCTGTCCCCTGGTCTGGTTTGTTAGAGCAATGACTGCCAAACTCTCCTCCATCTACCCCCATAACACTCAACCACCCAGCCCTCTGAGGATGCATTGAGAAAATAGAAAATACTGAAATGCTGTATATCTGACTTCTTTAGATTTTACCATCCATGAGTTCATGAAAGTTCATAAACTTCTTATAATTATGAACACCTCTGCAAAGTAAAGAAAGGTCGATAAGTTTAATATTTATCAATTAAGACATTGTACTTTATATAACACAAAGGATTAAAAATTCTAAGGGCCTGACATATATTATTAACAGAAACATAATACATGCCTTTGTCTAATATTTTATACATTTGAAAATATTCAAAAATTATATTAATAAGATAACAAATACTTATTTAGTGTTTTTTATGCTGTGCATTGTGTAAACATCTTTATATAAATTATCTCACTTAAAGCTCATTAAAACAGTAGTTATTCCCATTTCAGATTAGGAAACTGAAGCCAGAGAAGTTAAGGAACTTATACATCTTTTGAAGAACAAAAATGGGCTAGAAACTTTTCTGATCCCAGCTGCAAGTTCTTATATAACACCCCATAATATTTGTTTTTATTTAAACAAGGAGATGGACCGGAGTTTGATTATTTCAAATTTTTCAGTTTGAAGAATTTGAAAAATAGTATAATAGTGTTGCACAAATCCAGCTATTTGGTAATCATTTAATCTTTCAAGCATGATAATAATATATGTTTGGGAATCTGTAGGCTGGAATGATGTATGTTTTAGGTGAAGGAAAGGAATGGTGGTGGAGTGACAAAACTGTAGCTTTTAAGCTTATGATATTAAGTAATCCTGTAAGTTGTAGTATATTTGTATTGGTATTTCTCATTATAGGAGTAAGATGGTTGAAGATTGTCTAATTTCATTCTGTAAAAAACACTGTAAATCTGGCATTCAATTATGAATGAAACTTGAGTTTTGAGAATGTTAGTGGAGCTTATATCTACATTTTTTAGGAAAAAGTAGCAGTAAAGTGCCTGCTATGATCATTCCCAAATTCAGTTATTTACATAATAGGGGTAGAAGGGGAAGTGTGATGAGAGACAGAATTAAAAACAATTCTTTATCATAAATGGATACAAATGGCCCTGTTTTCCGTTTGAAAAGTGCAAAACAATTGCTACTATTTATTATGCATATACTAGTTGCCAATGTTTGAAAATTAAATGAATTGGTTGATGAATGCTTGCCTGCAGGTGCTGTGCTAAGCACCGTACTTCCTTGACTCATTAACTACAGCACAGTAGGGGAAATATTATTATCCCAATTTTACATACCGAACTTAGAGAGATAAAGTGCTTCACTTAAAGTAAGCAAGAATTTGTACACAGCAGATCCAAACTACAAACCCAGAAACGATGCTGCTAATCGTTATACTAGCTCCTTAATTATGTTGGTGAGTATGTGTGGGCTGTAGAAACTGTAGAGTTGGTGTCTAGCTCTTTGCTTCCATAACAACAATGACAAAGGTAATCATACATAGCCAAGACTACACTGGGCACAAATGTTCAGCAGATGGGCCTGTTCCAACATAGTAACCAATAGTCTATTTCACATGGGATACTGGCTTGGAAACCTAACTCTGCAGCAAGAGATGATTGTATATATTCAAATATCTTCCAATCCATGAATTAGTCAACATTAGATTATACCACCTGGGGCTATTCTGTATTTATTACCAGAGCTCCAAATTGTTGGTTTTCTGGTAACACTGAATCACTCCCAATGCCAAGTCTCAAAAAAGAAAAAAATTAAATCAAATTTTAAACATATTTGGGATATAAAATAAGTTTTGACATATTTTTAGCTGGAAGGTTTACACATTCATAAACACATATTTATGAATATGTACAGAGAGATGTAGATCTATTCACACAAACACATATATACATAAGGTTTCTAAAATGTGATATTTCCCCCCTGGATTAGAACTATTAAAAACATATATATTTTGTGTGCATAAAAGTCATGCTGTTTGCAGCTAGAGTCACATTGGCAACCCACAGAAGAAGTAATGTTTTTTTTCTAGAGTTGATTGATGGTTTACTGAGTAAAAGCACAGAGGGTTTTGGGGAAAAAAAGTCATAAAACAGAAAATAAATATGAACTACTGTGGTATTTGGCAACCTTTTATCAACTCTGCTAAGCCAAAAGGGCAGTCTGCCAAACCTCAAATGTGATTGCATTGTATCCAGAGTGGATAAAAATACTGTAGCAAAATAAATAAGAAAGAAATAGTATCATCTTGATATGAGGACATAGGACGGAATTGGAATATTTCTATGTTCTATATCAACAATTCTATTTTTTTCTTTCATAAGATACGAAATGGAGGCAAAGTTATGTTACAGTCCCAGTGGACAAGTACCTGGTTGGGTGTCTTTGTGTCTGTTATTTAACGTCAGTGAACCTGATGTCCATCCTGTGCAACATAAGGGGATTAAAGTATATCACCACTCACCTCCTCCCAGTGAGAAAATCCATATTTCTAATTTTCTAGATTAACATGCAATTTTATTTTTACCTATTTTAGTTTTCAAGTTGCATCTTTATTGAAATATTCTGTGGATACACTGTTGTCACTTCTGGATTCTCTAAAATGTGCACCATCCCTGAATTATTGCATTAGGACTTGTGCTACTAAGTATCCTGAATACGTTTGACTGCAGAATTAGTTCCCTTGTTTGATAATTAGGACTCAACAATATCTCTAGAGATCTGCTACATGTCCTGTAGGATTTCTGTTGTATCCACACTTTAGGAAACACTGCAAAATTGAATTTTTCAAACTATTTACTTTATGTAACATTGAACAAAGTTGGCTCTGTACAGTATCATGGAATGAAGCATTTGAAAGTCCTAAGGAACATAAGTAAATAATGGATGAAACATATTTATTAACTATCTGCCAAGATAAGGGAGGTGGTAGAATAGGATACATTCTTATCTTCCTACCAAACTACCCCTTCCATGGATCTCCTGTGGTTAGTAAGCTTAGCCAATGTCCTTAGAACCTTGAGAAACATTGCCTGGTTGACTATATATTCCCAATTTGTCCAGAACTGTATTGACTGTCTTCACGTAATTATGAATAACACTCCCTTTCACTCTCAAACGTGTTTGAAATTAAAGAATTATATATAGTCCCCCTCCTATAAGAAGTATAAAAAAACCCCACAAACTGTCTAGCCTTGAAATTGCTCTTCTTACTCTTCTTGAAAATGTTGGGATGTGTCATTTATATCCCAAAATTTGCAGAAAATGAAATAAGTAATTTTTATATAGGAAAAGTATAAGAGCTATGATAAGAACTAACTTAACTCTTCCAGGACTAATTCCAATTAGTTAACAACAAATTCCTTTGAACAGTAATTGGGCAAAAGAGGCTTGCTGTTTATTTATTTTTACCTATTAATTTGTTTGTTTATTGACCCTGCTTCTCTTGCAATTCTGCAATCTCTTACAGTGCTTGTGAAACTATGTTCCCTTTACAATCTTCCTCTCTATCTCAACCAAGAAACTTTGTTAAAATAATTTAAAATTTATTCTTAAAAGTTAAGCAATTTAGGAGTCATGCAAAGTGTCTTGAAAGGTATTATTTTCTCATTGTTTATGCCAAATGACCAGTCTCCTCTTCTCCTCACATGTGTGTGACTGTGGAAATACACTCTTATGATCTAATTATTGGTGATTCAGTAAACAAAACCTTGGAAAGGCTGCTAACCCAGGGATGAGTTTACAGCTGAATTATTTGAGAGTGTTTGTCCAAAACACAATGTAGTAAACTGTGACATCCTGCTAGGGGAAGAGCAAGAGAGAATTAGATGTGTATGAGTAAATTAAATAGTAAGACTTCTCAATGAAAACAGTAGAGTCACATATCCGAATGCTGCTATTACAGCAGGATTTTATTGATTTTAACCAGGCAAATGGCTGCTTGTAGCAAAATCATGTGTGGTCACTCAGCAGTCCCTGTCAAGCTCAAGGCTGAGTTGTTCTAGTAGCCCCTGGCACCCAGTGAGCCAGAGACAACTGGTTATTACACCAAGAAAATCACACAGATCACTTAACAGCATGTCTGTCTCAGTCAGTTGGAAAGCAACTTCATATTCTGTGGATTATTCCATAAGCCAGCATAGTTATGCTACACATTTTTAGATGCTGTTTAAAATAGTTTACTAAGCAAAGGAATATAGATGGCAGTTCCTTCTCACGGGTCAAATTTTCTGTAACGTTATCCACCCATTTCTGCACTGAGCAGTCTCTAAACCTTTTTGCAATATGCATATGAAATGAATCATTATTGTAATGAAATTCAAAACACCCTAGAGTAATGGAGAGGAAAGGGAAAATAAAACAAAACCTGCTGCCCTGGTACTGAAGACAGCCAAAAGAAGGGGAGTGCTTCAGTGAACAAGTGGTTTTGTGATTTCATAGTGTTGCTGCAGGAGCTCTGCTGGGGCGATTGGTGGAGTTAGGTGGTCTCTACTGGATGCTCAGGAGTGGCATTAAGTGCCTGGTGAGGAGCATTAAGGCTTTGGTGTCCAGAATAGTACATAATTGTATTTGAAATTAGAGGGAGTCGAAAGGGATAACTGGTTTAATTTAGCTCTTAAATGTTATCTTTTGACCTGGTGGTTACTTTACTGGCTGTCTCAGTAGCAATGCACACACCATCTCTGCATGTGATAGCTTTTAATCAGACCATTTACTGTATTTGGAATTGCATGTTTATAGAAAGCAGAGAAAAGAAAAAGAATACTTGTTTTATGGCCTAGGGCTGCAAACAGCACACATTAGTTGTATACCTCTAGGGACAGGATGCCCCCTCTAGAGAGGCTGACATCATAATTAATTACACCAATTTTTTTTTCATAGGAATGAAATTCAACCTTGACACTGTGTGTAGTCAGAGTTGATTCTATTTGTAAACCGACATACTTCAATTTAATAACTCAAATTCTAGAAGTATGGTTTTAAATTAGTAATGTCTTCTGTGCTTTATTACTTGACTGCCAAGTTAAAGGTGATTCCGTTAGAGTTCCTAAATACCTGGTTCAATTTGGGAGAAAAATGTTCCCTTAAAATAATGTATTAATAGTATTAGAGTGCTGCTGACCCCACTGTCACCCTATTTAACTAGCAAAACACCTCTTGCTCTGAAATAATTGGGAAAATAATAAAATAAAGAGAAAACTGTAAGAAATTGTTATATGCCAAGATTTTTTGTTATTCTCAGTTGTTCTGCAATGCTATATAAAAAACATTTAATAAATCAAATATTAATAGTTTTTTAATTACTTGACTATAATTTTTAAAGTTTAATGGCTCTTGTGAGAGAAATATTAACAAACTTTTAAACTTTACAGCACCCTATTGAAGTGTACATTTTTTATATCAGATTAAATAACCAATGAAATGGATAGTACCTGCCACATTTTTCAGTTGAATAAGATTCTCCATTGTCTTTAAGAAATATGCAGTACAAAATGTGTAATTATAATAACATTTATTACATCTCTGTTTCTTAAAATCCCTAAGGTAAAATAGGTGAATAATCTTAATTTCCATTTTTATGAAAAAATATGCATAGTGTTTATCAATGAAATTGTTCATTCTTTTAACTATCCTGTATGAATCAACAGCCTTATATGTGCCTGACTGTTCACAACATATTATATTGCAGAGGCAGTTTAAAAGGAATTCATTATTTTGAGAAGTTTTGTCTCTGTGATATTTTCATGTTCAAATCATTTATTAGAACTGTATTGATGAAACTTTGATTAATACTAACTAGAATTATTTTTTAAGGGCAGACTAAAACAAATAATAAACAGCTCTAAGAAAAAAAAAACCTGATTAATAAATTCTATGTACAGTTGACCTGTTTAGAAGTTGTATTGCCATTTAGTTATATTTCCTCCCACACTTAAAGACACTTTAGTTAAAAACAAACAAACAAACAAACAAACAAACAAACAGAAAAACACCTGGTCTACATGCAATGAAAATTAGAAATTCAACATACACATTAATATATACATTTCTTATCCTGATTTGGAATTTGTTGAGTATGCAGTTTAAACTACTTTTAGAATGATTATAGTGATTTTATATTATTTGTAGAAAGACATGCTGTATAGATTTTTTTAATGTTCTAAAGATTTTCAAAAAGCCACAAGATTACTCTCCACTTGCTTAATAATATATCTTAACCTTTCTGCAATTTGAAGAACGTACATAGATTAATATTTTTTAAATAACCAAAAACTGATAGTTAATCCTGAACATTCAGAAATTCTATAACATTTTCTTTCTTGAATTCACATATTAGTTTGTGTAGAGTTCTGCTTGATTTTGAAAGCAGATTTTCCCCTTAATCCTCAACCAAATAAAATGATAAATTCTGACACTCTGGTAATTTGCATAACAATTGACTACAAAGAGTAATTCATTAATATTCAATGAAGTTCTAATTTGCACAATGCCTGCAGCAATATGTAAACTTCATTTTGCTTTAAGATGGAAATTTGTTACAGGGCAAATATCAGTAAGTGTAATTTTATTAATCAGTCTCAATGAGCATTTGATTCTCTGACCTTGGCAATGCCTATACTTTTGTCCTAGAACACACAGGAAAAAAGGAAGTTAAGGTAACCTTATTTTCTATTGGTCACTACTTACATTTTACACGTAGTTCTAGGTATTCCAGCACAGTACAGTGAAAGGAGCTTTCATTATTCAAAATAATGTTATTGCTTAACCTTCACTAGAAAAATTCAAGCTTATTTTCAATTATGTTCATTAATTTAGTTGACTAGCATTTGTTGAATATCTATTGTTTTTCAGGCAATGTGTGACGTTCTGAGGATATATACAGACCTACATCCCCCTCCTCGAGGTTTCAGCCTACACATTTTTAGTTAAGAACAATATATTTGCTGTGGCGAAAAAAAAAAAAAAGGAAAGAAAGAAAATGCTCCAAATGCATTTTGGTTTGAGCTGAACTAAATAACAATAGTAATAACAAGAGGTAACATTTATTGAATAGTTAGGATGTGCCAGCATTTTTCTAGCTGCTTGACATGTATCAGCTTGTTTGATCTTCACAAGAACCCTAAAATATAGGTAGCATTATTATCCTCTTTTTAAGTGAGGAAAATTAGGAATAATGAGATTGTTAAATATGTTTGTAAAAAAAACAATTTGACTTATATTGTGATATAAAATCAAAGATTGATTTTCACCAAGATTTCTGGCTAGATTTAAATGTACTAAGGCAGTCAACCAAAATCAGTATGCAAGTGAGACATCTTGCTGACTGCAATCCTAACCTACAAATTTTTAGATTAGCAAAGTACTTTTTATTTATCCATTTGGCGTATGAGGATATGCTTGAGCATCTATCTACAATGCGACCATTCTAGGCACTGGAGATTTTAATGGTCAGTAAGACGGACAAAGCCTTGTGGTCTTGGTGCTTACATGAGGGTGCTGGAAACAAATGATAAACAAGTAAAGAAATATATGTATCATATATTTTCAGGTAGTGATAAAAAAATAGAATGAAGTGCAAAATGATTGCTAGTGGGGGTAGGGCAAAGTTAAATTTCATTTTGAATAGGTAGGAATTGTTTTGCTGAAGAGGAGTTGAACAAAGACTTGGATGAAATGAGGAGTGATTCTTTCAACAACATGAGAGAAAGTACTTCAGAAAGAAGAAATAGATCCCGGGCTGGGGGTGAGAGGGCAGGGTTTATGTTACAGGGAATAGATAGAAGGGTGGAACTGAGAGAGTTATGTGGTTAGAGGGATTGCAACATCTGGGAAATAGTGTAACCTTTGGTGACGATGAAAAATAGTTTGGATTTTATTCTAAATATTATGTGAAACCAATGGAGAATTTTGAGGAAGGAAGCAGGGGGCTATGGGTTATAATTGTAAAAGATGGCTCTGACTTCTGTGTAGAAAACATACTCTGAGGCAGCAAGAAGGGAAGCAGGTAGAGAAGCTAGCAAGTTCCTGTCCCCATCCAGTTGACCAGGGCCAAGATGGTATGATGGATGTAGTGGAATACAGTCAGACTCAGGCAATGGTTAAATTATTTAACCAACAAAACTCTCTGATGGCTGGAGTTTTAAAGATGTCATTAGATTGCCAAAAGCCCACATTTTAAGGAGACTCATAAAGTTTTTTGACCTGGTTTCTGACATTGTAAATTGCCATTTAACAGAAGGTGAGGTTTTGACAAAAGTTAAGAGAAATAATTTAAAATTACTGATTGTTCCTTATTACAAATCAGTGATTGAATGTTTTAACTTAAATAACGTAAGTTGTGTTAAAGGGCAGCTCAAAACAGACAATATATAGACATTTCTTATTCTCTGAGAATAACTTATGAGTGAAATTAATACTGGTCCTTATAGTTCTTAGCAGTTAATTACTGAATATTGCTATCTATTAGAGGAACACAAGTTTATTGGACACCTTGCTAGTAAAGTAGATCATATGCTTATAAGGTGACTCATCAGGGAAATAGATTATTGGTGACAGTCTCTCAATGCAGAAAGATTTTGTTAAGTGATACCAATCATGCCCAGTCTCCATTTTGCCCACCATCTGTCATTGGCATGATGTGTGTGACAGGCTCCCCACAACAGGCTGACTGCTTTTCCTCGTTCCGTCAGTATGCTTACCTTCCTGACCACTTGACCGCATAGACTATCTCCAACGCTTTCCAACTTAGCAAAAAGCAATATGTGGACATAAATCACAGAGCTTCTAGAGAACAAGGGAGTTTAAAGTCATGAAATGTATAAAAGAAAGCATAGTAAAATAGTCTCTTAATAAAGAGTAGCAGGCCAGGTGTGGTGGCTCACGCCTGTAATCCCTGTAAGCACTTTGGGCAGCCGAGGCAGGCCAATCACTTGAGGTCAAGAGTTTGAGACCAACCTGGCTAAGGTGATGAAACCCCGTCTCTACTAAAAATACAAAAAATTAACTGGACCTGGTGGCACGCGCTGTAATCTCAGCTACTCAGGATGTTGAGGCATGAGAATTCTTGAACCCAGGAGGCAAATGTTGCAATTAGCAGAGATCATGCCACTGCACTCAAGCCTAACTGACAGAGTGAGACTGTGTCTCAAAAAGAAAAAAAAAACGAGGAACAGGAATAAGCATCATATAGTCAAATATTTCTAATAATTCAGAGCCATTTTCTTTCTGTGCCTGTGCTATACCAGGCATTTCAAATTAAAAGCACCTTCTTCAGGTAGAAAATATTGTGGGTCTAAGATGAAGATGTTTGATATTGGGAAGGCGATGAAGATGAAGCAAATTGAACGAAGCAGCCCTGAGGTCAGTTGCCCAGGGTAGATTTCCGTTAGGCAAAACTTTCCTCCAGGATAACTCCTCTATTGCCAAGAGATCATTTCAAATAGGCCTACCTATTATACAAATGCATGGGGAGCCACTTTTTCTCTTTCTAATTTTCATGGAAAGGTGAACCACTTATCTCTGGAACATTAGTCTTTTGTCTAGATTCAGTGTCTGTGCACACCTATGCCTGCATATACTCCAGAGGAGAAAGGAAGACCAAAGGAAGAGAAGATGGGATTAGGGACTGTCTTAAAGACGCATTTGGATCAAGAAAATCAGTGGCCATAAAAAGTTGATATTTTTAAATCAAATTATTTACGGCATTTAATGTTCAAAAATTATTAGAAGGTTATGGTTAAATTATATTTAGAACTAATGGTTTTGCAGAGAAAGCCATACATTTCATAGGATTGTATTTGTGTTGGTTAAGAGTGTAGTAAATATTTAATGCCCATATTTGGAAAAACAAGAAAAAATGACTGACTTTGTTGAACTCCCAAGGATGACTTTCTTCTCTCTTTTTATCCTCTGTCATTTTCTTCCTCCTCTTTTATCTTTCTCTTGCTCTCTTCCTCCTTTCCCTATTTTTTCTTATTTTTCTTCCCTCCCTTTCTTACACACACACACACACACACACACCCCCCAAGAAACAAAAACAGAACACATTGTTTAATGCATTCTGTGTGTATGACCTGAGGACACCATGTTTTAGTCAGATAAGATTGGTAGATGAGGCTAGAGAAATAGGTTCCAGCTTAGCTAGGAAAAGGCTTTAAAGACCCTGCTGAAAGTTACAACTTTCTGTCCTTTTCTATATACAGTGATGTCCCATATTAAAAAAATAAGCAATATGTGTTTTTATTTAAATGCACATACTCTATAAATGCAAACATATTAATATGGGAGATTATATTATGTACAAATGAAAGACATGTCTTCATATAGTAGAGGTTTAACGTTGAGTTATTTTAAAGAAAGTATCACATGTGTTTTATTCGCCATAGCATACATAGAGATTGCACTTAGCGATTTATCTACATTTACAATTTATGTGAAATTGTTTTAAAATTTACACTGATGGTTTACTTAGAAAGTTTGTTATTATAGGGTTAGGACTTTATGTTCTATAAGGAATTTATTCTCTAATAACCGTAAAGCAGACAAAGATGAACAACTGAAAGAACTATGTCACTATGGTAAAGTGCTGGAGTCTAATTGGAATCCTACATATATTTAGATTATGGGGTATAAATTACTTTTAAATAACCATAAATCATTATCAACCCCAAGATGATAATGGGGTTTCACGGGGAAACCCCAGTTTCCCCATGAAATTTATATATGGGTAGGTTGAATAAGTCTTTAGAGCAATGCCTAACTAATGGTCTAGAATACTAGAAAAAAAATGTGAGCAACACATATTTTAAAATATAACTCCCAGTCAAAAGAACTCTGTAACCTGAGAGATAGAGTCTTAATTATGGTGTGGAACTATCCCCTTAATTATTTCTTTGTCCACTTCCCTAACTCTTTCTCCTTATCTCAACCTATGAACTAGCTCTACTGAAGTTCTTTAAATTCCTCTAATAAGCTGTATTATTTCACTGCTTTGTTTTCTCACCTCTTATAATCATTGCACAGAATTTTTTTCTCCAGTGCTCACCCATCTTTTAAAGTCTTCATCTGCCACAGAAATCAAAATTTACTTCTTTTTTATAATCTTGCCTAGCATTTCCCTACTTCTCCTAATGTGCTAATTATTTTCTTCTTCAACCGTTAATACACTTTTATCAATTTTATATTAATAACACACATCTAATATAATTATGTATTTATATGTCTATATCTCCTAGGCTTTGTGCTTCTTGAAGGCAAGAACTATTTTATTCACCATTTTCACAGTGTGTGGTAGAAGCTCAACAGATACTTGTTGAAAGGATTAATTCTCTACAGTGAACCTATATTCTGCATATTACTAAAAATCTCTCTTCAGTTTATTACTTATGCACCCATCAAATGAGAAACATTGCTTTATGTTTGCTTTTTCTCAATATCATCTCAAACTAAAACACAGTTACACTTTTATTTAATTTTTCAAACCAGAGAAGCCAACTAATTTGAGGAAGCTGTCACTATCAGCAGAAAACTGGGGTACTGCTTAAATGACTGGTCCTAATTGAACAAAAGAGACTAATTAGGTATAAGTAACACCACTGCATTAATGAGAATATCCCCTTGACATGTTGTTCCATGGTAGGCTTCCATGTTTTACAGACAAGGGTCTGCAACTTTGCTTTTTCCCCAGCCTCTGTACACATGACAAAAATGTCACAATGCTGTATATAAATGGAGCTGGCTGAATAAATAAGCTTTCTTCACACACATTCAAATGGATCAGGAATGGGCATGACATATAAGTGCTAGCCAACTGCAGATGATAGCCACAAGTGCCCCCTAAGCCAAGGGATAGTGAAAACTGGTAGAAAATGCTTCCAAACACCGTGCTAATTTTTACGGAAATATCATCCTTAAGCAAAATCCTAAACTATCTATTTTGTTGAAAAATCATGGGTTAACTTGCTAATATTGCCTATAAAATGGAGGAGGCAGCGTGCAGACAGCCATCCTAGAACATTACTGGGCAGCAGTTACTGCTTCCCAGAGGAGAGAGGAGATGAATCCTTCCAAAAGCCATGAGCGAGTGAGCACACAAACAAATCAGTGGGGAAAGCAAAAGGATTCAGCAGAATTCAGTGTTTGTAGTAACAAAGAGATGCTGTTTTATAGCCACAGTAAAAGTTCAGTTGTAGAACAAAATGAGTGCAAACACTCCATCTGTAATGAGCTGCTTTAAATTGACAGCATTATCATGTTTTACCATCTTTGCAAAACATTTTTATTAGTTTGATTGGCAATGAGTAAACAGAACACCCTCCCTTTTCTCTTTCATTTGAATGTGGCAGAATATCTTATATAGAAAGAAGAAAAGCCACCAAAATAAAAACAGGCATAAAAATACTACTCCTAATCAGGAAGCATCATATCAACAATAAAGAGAGAAAGTAAATTAATAAAAGAATGGGAATATGGTGCACTGTGATATTTTCCCCCAGTCATATATCGGCTGGAATTAATTAATTAAAGCTATTTATAAATTATTTGTTAGGCAGTACCTTTCATAAAGGTGTTAGCAACAAGTATTTGTTAATCAATTTATCTTATATTTATATGTAGTATGATAGATTGAGCATTCCAAATCCCAAAACTGGAAATCTGAAATGCTCCAAAATTGGAAACTTTCTTGAGCATTGACATGATTCTCAAAGAATGTTCAAAGCATTTTGGATTTTGAATTTTTGGATTAGGGATGCTGATCCAGTCAGTATATAATGCAAATATTTCAAAAACTAAACAAATTCCAAATACACAACTCTTCTGGTCCCAAGCATGTTAGAGAAGAGATAATCAAACTGTATTCATTTTATACTAAAAAGAAAAATAAGTGAAATTATGTTAAATAAATTCTTAAGATACTTTATTACCCTGTATTTGCTGGCATTTAACACAATCTCCTCCTTTTCATTCTTATTTCAATTTGTGTGTGTGTGTGTGTGTGTGTGTGCCTGTGTGTGTCCGTTTGGGTTAGTTCCATTTGCGAAACTGTCTGATTAGTGACACCAGAACTGAAATCTAATTAGGATTCATTCACTTTAACTTTATTTATTAAAGATACTATAGATGTAGTCATGAGTGTTTCAGTGAACTGAAAGTGAAAAGGGAACCAAAAATGGTAATAACAGAGCAAAAGATCTTATATTGTTTCACTGCTACATCAAGAACTTTATAGTGAAATATACACATAGGATGAAAAAGAGAGTTAACAGGCTGCAATACAGTATTGACAGCAGGAGAGTTAAGGTCAAGCAAAGTTGAACAGCAGCATTACTGCCAGCCATTCTTCCTTGTAGATCTGAACTTTAATCCACAGAGATTGTTAAAGCCTTAGGTGGAGGTTGGGTGATAATGGTGGCTGTTATCCTAAGGAACAGATGGTAGAGTGAGTGACACCTATAAATGTGCAGGCTGCGTCTCTTCAGTGACAAGATGCTAAACGCTTCTGGCACTGAAGTAAAAAGACAGGTGTCTTGACACAAAAAGAAGTATTGAAACTTTGCCTCTAACCATGTATGACGGTGGAGCTAATTCTTCAAACCTAAGTAACTGAAAATCTAAATTGGTGTGTATTAATTGGAAAGATTACTCTAGGATCTTTCCCATCCATGTTTCTTCCCTTGCTCTATCCCTCCCTCTCTTTCCTTCTTTCCTTCCTTTTCTCTTTCTTGCCTTTCTTCCTTCCTTCCTTCTTCCTAATTAGACCCAGATGCCTGTCATCTCATAGTAAATTAACATTACAGTCTACGTTTTTTATTTTAATGGGTTCATAAATTTATGTGAAAAAAACTATCTTTCTTGTTTCTAAGACAAATAAAATAACAAAGAGAATTATTCCTTCATAGAATTATACATGACAGTGGAGTTCTTCAGTTACCTTTATGTCTGCCTTAAGTGTAGTGTGAAGTTAATCACATATACATATACTGTATATGATAATTGTAATTAGCAATGTCGGGTTTAGAGATTCATGTGGCCAACAGGGAAAACACAATAGTGTAAAAACAAATTTAACAAATGTACTTACTTTAAATTCCATTATCGTTTCAACAGATTACTTGTTTTAAAAGGTATTAAAGCTAATAACATTTAATCTACTTGCTTGAATGTAACAGCATTATTTTAGAAGCCAATGAAAATAAAGCTCCAATAATCAAGCACAACAGATGTTAAAGTTTTCAGCACAATTCTTTCAAAAAGAAAATAGGTTCTACTAGTCAATGCCTTATACTCTTTTTTCCTCCCCTTTGATTTTAAACATATAGTCATATTTGTTTTTTTCTAGAAAGAGAGAAAAAGGTGATGGACCAATAAACCATATTATAATACTTCAATGAAATGTTCTGACACTAGTTATAAATAAATACGTCATAAATGTTGAAAGACAACATGAAAGTTGTTTAGATACATTTCATTGAAGTGGTAATGTAAGTGAGTGGTACCACTAAAGCCAATATAATGGTATTAAGGATTAATTTATACCTTGGGCTTTGCTTCACTTTACCTATAAAATCACTGACTCATCCTAAAGTAATACTAAGTTATTTTCTATCTGTTTTATTCTAGACTGTATGTTCTTACCAGAAAATGTCTTTCTATCTATGCATAGCAAAAGGTATTCGTTGAATAAAGACACTAGCCTTGGGCATGCAAACAATCAAAGTTAATTAACATGAATAGTCCATGTTCTCTCCAGAGGAGTGCTTAGTGAGTTGTAGACATTTGAAGACTAACTGTAGGCCCAGGTTTTACATCTAATGACCATCATATGAGAATGCATTATATATTTATATACATATCTTTATATATATATATAAGCATATATTACATGTGCAGTATTATGAAATTTTAAAATTGGCAGCAAAAGTCAATTTTAATTTCTGTTTGTTCTGGTTCACAAAGAATCTTACCATGATGTAATCCAATCAACTAAGGTGAAAATATTCTTCACTCCTTGATTCATTGTTGAAAATAAGCTATTTCTAAATTATTTTTGTGATTATATTTAACATTTTCACTATCAATACACTATAGTAACTACTCAGGTTGCTTGAATTTAGTATCGAATCTGTTTTGGCACACTATCCTTAAGTGCAACACCTACATATATATGTATGAGTGTGTACATATATTTATTAGGCATTCACATGTATAGCCAATTTAATGATCAGATTTTTTCAAAGGTAATCTGTAGTAATATAACAAATTACCACAGATTTGGTGGGTTTTCTTGGCTTGGTTTTTGTTGTTGTTGTTTTGAGATGGAGTTTAACTCTTGTCACTCATGCTGGAGTGCAATGGCACCATCTTGACTCACTGAAACCTCTGCCATCTGGGTCCGGGTGATTCTCCTGCGTCAGCTTCCGGAGTAGTTGGGATTACAGGCATGCGCCACCAAGCCCAGCTAATTTTGTATTTTTAGTAGGGACAGGGTTTCACCATGTTGGTCGGGGTGGTCTCAAACTCCTGACCTCAGGTGATCTGCCCACCTCAGCCTCCCAAAGGGCTGGGATTACAGGCATGAGCCACCGTGCCTGGCCCAGGTTTGGGTTTTATAACAAGCTGCACATATATGGTCTGTGTTTTCCTAACTCTATAGGAGTACAATGTATACATATGTTCTATGTTTAATAAAATCTATGTTCACAACATTTTTAATGGCATGTCCTTGGAATAATTTATCCAGTTGTATATGTTAATACAGACAGTTTTCTACTATTGTGGAATTCTTCAGGTGATCCTGGAATAAATCTCGAAGGTAATAGATTGACCAACAAGAAAAATGTTTTCATTTACTGACTTACATATAATTACTGACTTATATAAAACCACACTAATATGCCTTAATATACCCTTGGAATTTCGTGAATTGAAATTTGCAGAGCACTTTGATGGAGCAAAGTAAGCATTCTAAATAGGATATTATTGATTTTTATTATAAAATTCATAACCCAGGTGTGTAAGAGTCTTGGAATAACTATGTATTGACTTCAGCTCAGTAAAACAAAGATTTTTTGTGTGCATAATGCAATGTATTTATGAGTGGTATACAGAGTGTATATCTGTCACACTATATTATTTATATTGTAGAAAAGTCCACATGATAGAAAAAAGAGTTACAGAGTGTGGTTTATATATGTTTAGAAAACAATCACAACAAATGTTATTAGATTAATCCAAAAGTAATTGCGATTTTTTCCATTGAAAGTAATGGCAAATGATAGCATTTACAAATTATACAATTTACATAATACATACATAAGCATGTACAAATTATAGCATTACTACATTATTTACATGTATGTAATACATTATTATACATTATTTACATGTATGTAAAAACATAATTATTTACAAATTATACCATTACTTTCATTGGCAAAAACCACAATTACTTTTTGTATTTGAAAGTAATGGCAAAAACTGCAATTACTTTTGCACCAACTTAATATATGTGTGTATATAAATCACAAAATCTTTATAGTCCTGCAGTTTGTCATTCAAACATTGTCAATGGACTAAAATTATTTTACTGAAATGTTTACCAGCATAGCATAATAATGAATTCCCTTTTTTAACATGTACTCAATTTAGAGGAAAAAAACACTGCTCAAGTTATAATATATTGAAAATTTCATCATAAGTTCAAATATCTAATAATTGTCAAACATTAAATCCTGTGTTTTATGACTCACCTACATTGATTTTGCTGTACTTATTTATAATGTATTAATTTCTCCATGTGTTTATGTGCAAAGGATCACTCTTGCATTATTACAGATGAACAGAGCTACAATAGAAAATGAAGTTACTTCACTTACTCTTGCAATAAATTCAGTGCGTGGTGTAGGATGATAGCTAACCTCACACAATAGCTTCTGCTTCACTAAAGGCTTAGAGCTAGAGAATTTGCATAGTAATGGTAAATCGCCTGTTTAGAAATTGTCTTGCCTTTGAGTATTAACTTTTCTGTGTTATGCTTGATTGATTATTTATAGAAATGTAACTCCTACAGAGAGCCAACATTAGCTGGCTAAGATAAAATACAATTTTAAAAACAGTATAGGTGATTAGTCTTCTACATGACATGAGATTTCTTTTTTAATCCTGTATAAAGTTTCATAGATTAATAATATGGCTAAGGATTTCCAACCATAGGTAGGAACATTATTTGGAATTATATATGAGATTGGGCACTTGAAAAATAAATAAGGATACTTGATATATGACAGGTGGCAATTTATGTCATGGGAAAAAGGATAGGATTTACTCTATTGATGAAAGAGTTGGTTATTCATTTTACTAAAAACATTAAACAGGCCCCTGCCTCACACCATACACAAAATCAATTATAGATGAATTAAAAAACCAAATATATAATGCAAAACAAATAGACTTTAAGAAGACAATATAGAAATATATCTTCATAGACAGGAAATTTTATAAAGCAGGCACAATTATAAATTATGCAGAAAAGGTTAATACATTCAACTACAAAAAATTAGAACCTCTCTTTGTGAGAGGTGATTGAAAAATGAGTAAAAAGTCAAGCTAGAAGATATTTGCAACTTATTTAACTCATGAATGATTACTATCCAAAGCATATTATGAACTGCTAGGAATCAATAAGAAAACAACCAAATCTTTTGGGGAAAAAATTGCCAAAAAATGTTTACAGAGGAGAAAGCATAAAGGTTTACAACTATATAAAATAATGTCCCACCTTATTATTTATTACAGAAATGTCAAGTAATAAACAATGAAATACCGTTTTACATTTACTTAATTAACCAAAAAAAATTTGTCTTACATTGTTAAGTGGTCTGCATGTGGCTTCAGTAAAATTCTTATTAATCATGGAAACAAAAATTGGTAGAGCCACCTTAAAAACGTTTAGCATTACCTGGTAACTACCCTGCAACCCAGATATTGCATTAGAAGATAGATGCCCTAGAAATAATCTTGGTTGACAACAATATTGGTAACTAGACTCCAGCCTTACTCAAATAGACAGAATTTTTTGCTGAAGAATAGAACAGTTTGTACACTGCTCACTTATTTGTTAGACACCAAGTAAATGACAGACAAAGTTCTAGATGCAAGAATATAGCAGCAAACAACACTGACAAAAATTCTATTCTTATGGAGCTTGCCTTTCACAATGCCAGATATTGTACAAAAGAAACAAGTGAATTATATGGTCTATAGAAATTGATAAATGTTAGTAAGACCAACAGAGCATAAAACGGGGATACACAGTGCTGAGAGGAAGTTGCAATCTTAAATTTTGCTTTACTAATGGAGAATATAGAGTCATAAAGTATATATAATCTATTTTAGAGACTTAAAGTAGTTTTGGTTGCTCTTAAATAAAAGCTAGATTCTGAGCAAAAATGTTCCTAGCTGGAAAAAAAATAAAAAAAAATAAACCCACTGTGGATAGATTTGTGCCATATTGTATAGAGACTCTTTTGATGAGCTGGAGGTAAAATTTTAAGTTTGTCCAATTGCCAAGGAAAGAATTGTCTCAATATGCACTAAGACAACAGAAACTAATTGAAATAGAAGTTCTTGCAATGTTAATGGCCTGGCTAATAGAAACTATTAGCCACGGGGGAGATTGCCTTGAGGTGAAAGGGTGCTGGTTAAGAGCCTAGGCTATGAAGTCAAACATTGATTCACATCTCAATTTTGTCACATTTCACCCTGCTAAATTTCAGCCGGTTACTCAGGGTCTGAATTACCCATAATCCATAGAGATTTTGTGAAGATTAAAGAAGACAGTAGCTATAAACGTCTTGGTTCAGACATTGACACAGAGAAAGCACTTGTAAGTGGGAGAAGTTTGTTGCTGTAACTGTTGCTTGAGGGTTTAGGATTGCTGAGATTTCTGGTTGAAGGCCAGGAGAGAAAGAAGAGCAGACAGATTTTTTAAATCCAGTGGATTTTTAGGGAACCAGGACAATTCTAGATGTGCTAGATTTTCTTAAATCAAGTGGATTTTTAGAAAACCAGGACAATTCTACATGTGCTAGTCAGACTGGAAGTCTTATCTCTAGGAAATTGTGCCTGAGTCCTGTGTTGCTGGGAAAGAGGAAAGAATAAATAGGAAAAACAACAGGGATGGATCATTGATTTTTACAATACTGCTGTGAGGATAGTAGCTGGATAAGTTAAGTTTGTTTGGATTTTTTTTGTTTTATTTTGTTTTGATTTTTCCCTTGAGCCTTTAAGATACTGACTTGGAGCCCAGCAAAAAAAAAAAAAAAAAAAAAAAAATTACTGTTTAGCTTTGTACCCTGGGAGATGATAGACTGAAGTTTCAACCTGAAATTCAGAGTGGAAGTCAGTGAGCTAGCATGCCAATTCCAAAACCTAATATTAGGAACAATAGGAAGATGCTGAGCATGCTGGACGTCACGATAAATGCCTTTACAAATACTATTCAACTTAACTATCAATTCTTATTATGTGTATATTGTTATTCTATATTATAGATGAGGCAGGAGAAAGTCAAGTGAATCATATAACTTACCCAAGGTTAATGCTATGGTTTGAATGTATCCCCTTTGAAATTCATGTGTTGAAAACTTAATCTGCAATGCAACAGGGTTGGGAGGCGAGGCCTTTTGAGAGGGATTTAGTTGATGAGGGCTCTGCTGCCATAAATGGGTTAATGCCATTATAAAAAGGGCTTAAGGAAGACCTTGGCTCTCTCTTGCCCTACCACCATGTGAGGATGTAACAAGAAGGCCCTCATCAGATGCTGGTGGCTTGATCTTGGACTTCGGGATTGTGAAGAAATAAATTATGGTGTTTATAATTATCTAACCCAAGGTATTTGTTCTAGCAACACAAAGTGGATGAAGACACTTGCTAAATATCAGTATAGTACAACAGAAATTTGCACGAACTCTAGGTCTCCTGTGCCTACACTGTTCCCTCTTTCAAACATGAACCAAAATGAGGGTACAAAAAGGTTGTATATTATCAACTTCTATACCTTTATCTTTGGAGAACTCTCCTCTTTTAATAAGTGGATTAATTACCTTGATATGCTTTCATACTAAACACTTTATTACTGTGTCATAGTTAAATAGAAGGCCTATATTCCACATAAAAATAGGTAGTTATGGCACTGGGTCGCCAACTGATTGGATGAAGGGGAAGAAAAATTCTCTTTTGGTGATTCAGAAGGTCAGCTAAGTTTGGAAAGTGCCGGGTTATGATTCAAAAGTATCATTCAATAATTACTAAAATAAAGCAGCAAATGCAGATTCAGTGTTATCTTTTTCTTTTTTTCTTTTTTTTTGAGACAGAGTATTGCTCTGTCACCCAGCCTAGAGTGCAGTGGTGTGATCTCAGCTCACTGCAGCCTCCGTCCTCTGGGTTTAAGCAATTCTCCTGCCTCAACCTCCCTAGTAGCTGGGATTAAAGGTACCCGCTACCATGCCTGGCTAATGTTTGTATTTTTAGTAGACATGGGCTTTCACTATCTTGGCCAGGCTGGTCTCAAACTCCTGACCTCAGGTGATCCACCTGCCTCAGCCTCCCAAAGTGCTGTGATTACAAGCGTGAGCCACCACGCCTGGCCCAGATTCAGTGTTATCTTAACATATATGTTTTAAAAAAGTCTTCACTTTGGAAAAATACTAACAATACAGGCTCACATATAAAAAGTGCTGTGTTCTTTACCGTGTGCTGTCTTAAGTTTGTGCATCAGAGGTAGTGTCTAAAGAGATAGGAGTCACACCAAGTGGTACAGCATGGGGTTGAGGGTCTTGTGATTAACTGCACACAAAAATAAGTGCAGACTAGGAATCCATAATTTATTCTACTTCCCACCTAAATTATTCAAAGTCAGGACTGTTTTTTGACTAAATTTTTGTCATTTGGAGAAGCTTGGTTAAGATGTTGGATAAATATTATTTTGATTTGTTTTTGTGAATCTGTCACTATCATACGTATTGTCTTCTTTGTACTTTTTAGTGCAATGCTTCGACATCTCTTGTAATTCATAATCAGTTGTGTTTTATTTTTTCTTCTCCTTAATATGCATGATGAGAATTTTTTTATCTCCTTTCTTTTCCTTGAAGTTTAATCAAGGTTAAATTTTCCCAAATACTAACGACTTTACTTTTTGTTTAATGTCTGTCTTAATTGTCAGGGCTTCCAAGGTGTTTGCTACCTTTAAATTATACAGTTACCCAAATGGGATATTTTCTTAAGGAAGCTAGTCCTGCCTTCTTGCAGGGTAGTACAGTTGAAAGATAGGTCAGGGGTATCTTTGGATGATTTTGGCTGCAAGTAATAGAAATCTTGAATTAAGCTCCCTTTCTAAAAGATAAGAAAATTTGTACTTCGCTTAAATATCTTGATGCAATCAGATCAATAGCTCAATAACGTCACTGAGAAAATCAGAACTTTCTTCTTCTGTATTTTGCCATCCAGCATCAGTTTCATTCAAGATGAATGCAAGTGACAATTGGGACAGTTTTCTTGATGCATAGGAGTCCATAAAAGCAAGCTTTCCCCTAAGCATACAGCATAAGCCTTCTCCTTGGATTGTATTGGGCCAGCTTGCATAATGGGCCTAATTCTTGATTGGAGGTGGTCATCAGGGCAATGCCACATGGCTGATTCTCATGAGAAATTGCTTTCTCAAGGGAATTGTGCCTAGCTTTCCTTGATGCATGTGGCTGTATGTAGCATAGGTAAACAGCTCAAATAATACCAAGGTTCTATTAGGAAAGTGAGAGAAATCGATATTGCCCATTCAACCAATTTGCCATGGGTGCTAATTAGCCATGTAACCAGGGGAACATTGATTAGGCTATCAGAACAGTATGAGTATGGATATTCAAATTTTGCTCCATAAAGAACTAATAAATTAAATGAGATAATGGAACATAAAATAATCATTTAATTGCTGGGCAGCGCTCTATAGGCAAAATTGTTACCTAGTTGTTTTATAGCAGTATTATACTTCTATCAATATTATTTTTAAAACTCAAAAATGGGACACTGCTATCTCTTCCTAGTTAGATAAATAACAGTCTCAAACAGTAAATTTTTTTTTTTTTTGGAAAAACCCATAAAGTCTTCACAATAATCAGTGAGTAAAAATCAAGATGTAGGGTGATCCATACATGCCCTACTCAGTGACGTTCCTCAATTGGGGAAAATGGTGAAAGAGTGAATTAATACTCACCCTTTTTGTCAACAACTTTCTGTTGGATTAACAAATCAAAGGAAGTATAGCCAAAAGATAGATATACAGAAATGTCACCTTAATGTTGCTGATATCCTATGACTTACTCATAGAATGAAATTCTCTGAAGCAGATTGAAAATAATGACACTTTTCTTGTTTTGATCAATATATATTCTCTGGGGTAAATACTTCTAGGATATCTCCACTTCTCTTACATTAAAAATAAGGAGAAATTTATTAATCCAAATTAAAGCAAAATTATCGTCAGTAAAATAAAAAAAAATCATTAAGTGACCTTTTTGAGTAAAGGTACGATGAAGAGTACTGTAAAATAATACACTCTTCGAACAGATCAACTTGAAAGTATTCATACTAAAAACACTCAAGTCTTTTAACTCAAAATTTCACTCATCAGTTTTCTAGAGGCATAATAGATAATACAGACAAGGATTTATTTACTTTTTATTATGGCTTATTTTAGTGAAACATTAGACAAACCTACAATATCCAATGGATATGTAAAGCATGGTTTAACTCTAATGAAAAGTTATTTACTTTTGGAGAATAATGCCATGGCTGATGAAGCTGCTATCCTGTTAACTGAATAAAGTAGGTGTAAAAAATGTGATTAGCATCATCTAATTTTTTAAGAAAGAAATACAATATTAGAATTTTTACATGTGTTAGGTTTATAACTTTTAATAATAGTAGAACTACTAATGAAGACTTTCCAAAATAAAAGGGAAGGATCGTATGCAGAAGAACCCTTTAAAGTTAAAAAAAATAAGACAGAGGCTCACTAGTTAGAGGTTTTCTATAGTTTATAAAGTAAGATCAGGGCAATTATGTATCATTTCTCTTTTGGAAATAGCAATATAATGTATTTACCTCAGGGCTATATTTTAACTAGCCTATTTATATAAAATAATATTTGCAACCTAAATTGTTTTGTATTGATAAAGTATATGCCCAACCAAATATAAAATGTTGTTAGTTTGATTGTTTTAATACACATCTATGGAGACACTTATGGAACGGTTTTATATTTATAAGTCTTTGAGGAAATGGTTGTGTGAATTAAAATA
This sequence comes from Homo sapiens, assembly GCF_000001405.40. Taxonomy (NCBI): domain Eukaryota; kingdom Metazoa; phylum Chordata; class Mammalia; order Primates; family Hominidae; genus Homo; species Homo sapiens. The sequence continues at coordinate 66,784,629 of NC_000013.11, read as the reverse complement.
ATAACATGATTTTAATGTTTGAAACACTCTGTCAGTAAGGAATAGATTCAGCTGCATGTAATAGAAAAACTCAAAATAAGACTCACTTAAGACATATAGAGGATTATTTACCTAAACGTAAACTAAGTCTGAAGATGGGTGGTCCAGGGTTTCTGGATTGCTTCCTGGTGTGCCAGAGTCCTGAGACAATGTCTTGGAACATGGCTTTCATTCTGAAATTCACCACAGGTCCTAGGAGGGCTTTTACAACTCTACACTGCATTTTTTCAGTCCAGGTAGCTAAAGCACAAAGGAAGGAAAATAGGTAAAACCATCCTTTTCTAAAGAAAAATTTCAGATGTCTCATAAAATATTTCTGCTAATAGCCTATTGACCCAAATTTAGGCATCTGGTAATACCTAAATATAAGGGATATTGGTAGGTGTAGTCTTTTACATCTGGTGGCAATGTACCTTGCTAAACATTATAGTACTATTTGTAAGAGGGAAGACAAGAGAGGCTCTGGAGGTAGGTAAACAGCATCCTCAACATATTTGTGATAAATTTCTATGCTAAATAATTTTTATATGGCTATTTTTTCCTTAATGAAGTTGATGTATAATCTAACTTGTTTATGAAGGTTTTCTCAATTATTTAATTTCATCTTACCATTTTGAATTTTGGGATTTATTCTGCTACATTTAACCCTTAGTTAAAATTAAATCATGTTCAAGGATGTGGCAATCATTAAAATGAATTTAAAAGAAACAATTATGTGACTTTGTATACAGTTTGATAATACTAAAGGTATTTTAATACTGTTATGTTGTACCTAAAGTAAGTCAGTAAATATATAAGAAATAGAGGACGTATAATGTTTAGAGGAAAGAATAGATAGTGTCAAATACAAACATTATGCATTGCTGAGTATAACAGAAAGATCATCTCATTCCTTTTGTTTGTTTATTTTGTAATATATCTGAAGTGATTTTATGTGTTTGTTTTTTGTGTGTTTTGTAAATGAATTTGAATTACTTAAAATAATAACCATTAAAATGTATACATATTTTTTATAAACATCAGTTTCTGATTTTGGTAGGAGACTATGTATTGGTTTCAGTTAGGTTTATTTAATTTCTTCTATTGTTCATGACAGTGTTCAGAATATACCTGCCTTCACATACCACCTTTAAGGGGAACTATTCTGCTTATACTTTGGGTTAAAGTATGATCGAGGTGTCTGTTAATTTTTTTGGCATGGTGACTTAGTCTTTCTTGGCTCCAGCATACAAAGCCTAGCCAGTCACTTTTGAGCTATGGCAGAGTAGGACAAGATGAGCAAGGACTATCAGATTTCCTCTCTATAGAATGTGAATTATGAAATAAAGAATGGGCTGAGAACACTGGGAACAAAAGCAAAAAAGAAAAGAAATTCACGTGCAGAGTCTGGAGAACAGCACTCTGGGGTCGTGTAATGGCCAAAGCTGAGAGGGACAAGGACTAAAACAGTGAGGAGTCGAGAAGATATGTACTAGATAAAAAAGACGAAGTAGCATGCAGAGAAGTAGAAATCTGTGAGCAACTGAGACCTTCAACAAGCTAAACGGCCTATGGAGCTGCTGTGATTCTAGCTGTAGACCTGCCTTGCTGTTTTACAGAAAGTTTGTTTTCTTGCAATGGGAAAAACAAAAATAAAACACATAAATGTGAAATTGTTTAGATTAATTTATGTTAAATGAGCCATAGCTGTATAGCGGGTCATTAATTTAGAAACATTAATAATATCCATTACCATTTGACAGAAAAGCAAGCTTATTTATCTGACTGAAGTTATGTATAATTACCTCTTACAGGGCACACTCCCTTACTTGAGATATTCTCTCTGAATAAACTCCAGACCAATGCTGTAAAATAGAATTGTAATATGAGCCACAAATGTGAGTCACACCTGTAATTTTAATTTTTTTAGTAGCTATATTCATAAAAATAAAAGGAATGGCGAAAATAAATTGTAATTAATTGATTTTAATAATATATTAATTGAATCTTATATGCCTAAAACATCACTTCTTCAGGAAATTGCTGCAAAAATATCAATGACATTGTTGGCTTTTTTTCTTTTGAAATCTAATGTGTATTTTACACTTAGAGCACATATCTCAGTTTAGACTAGTCAGATTTCAAATGTTCATTAATCGTGTGTTGTGACTACCACATTGGGCCGCCTAGTTCTAGAGATTACCATGATTGATACCCCATTGAAAAAAATCAATCAATCTGCCAGCTGACAGCTATCTCTCCTGCATTCTCTCTTGCTTTCTTAGTTCTTTTGTTGGACTAGGAAAAAATTATGGTTAATAAACTATTTAATGTAAATTTAAAAATACATTAGGCATGTCTGTGCCATTAAAATTCTTCTAATTCCAAGTCTGTAGGAATTAAGGATTTTTTCATTTCATCAATAAAATGCTTGTAAATTCTTAACAACATCTGCAGTTGGCAGAGGAGATAGAGTGGGGCTGGGAGGAAAGAGGGAAGGACTCACCAGGAAAGGTGTAATAGGTTCATGATAGAAAAATTAGGGAGAGTCGAAATACCAAATTCTGAATCCAAGAAGTTTGATATATTGAGATTTACTTGGACAAAATAATTAAAGCATCTTATCTCTTTAATGGCTGTTCTTTTTCACAAAGAAAATAAGCTCTTAATAAAGAACCACAGGTGTTTGGGGCAGATTTTCAGAGTGCCTAGAGGCTTTTGATTGAGCCCGAGATGTAGCCATTTCTTCCTGATTATTATGTGATAGATGTTATTGAAATGAATATAACTAAAGTAAGTTCATTACTTATGTGCCAGCTTCATGATTGAAGTATTGCTTTTATCATTATATTTTAGATTGGATGACACTTGAAGCATCCAAATCTCAAAAATACCTTTTAAAATACATGAATTTATATGTTTTTTCTAGTTTAGTATTTTACAGAAGCCACAAGGTCCTTACATGCCAAAAAATAATTCATGTAAGAATGCAAGATCATATAAGCCTAATGTGTACTTTTAAATTTTCTTCACCAAAAAATGTATTCTTTTGGTGCCAAGGACAAAATATAAGTGCTGAGCTAATAAACTCTTCAGAGACCAAGCCTCTACTAATTATAATTTCCCATGCTGATTTTTAATTCCTTTGTAATATCAGTAACTGTTTTAACACCTTGTCAGGCATTCAGGAACTTCCATCTGTGCAGCATAGCGCATTTGTGAAATAAACCCATCTGTACAGCTGATTAAAAATTGGATTAAATCCATGTTTTGACTTTGCCCTGCAAGAGGTGAATCCTAGTACAGTTGTTGCTGGTAAGGGCAGAATGTAGGATGACTTACACGCATTCAGCTAATACACCAAAAGTCATTTTCTGTTTGAGTATCTGTTAGTGAATTTTAATTCAATCCTAATTTAAATAAAATTATATAATATTTAAAGTAAGTAGAAGTTGGCCCAATTAGAAGTAGGAGATCTATTTTTATTATTCCTTTACAGGAAAAGTCATAACTATAGCAAGTTCCACTTACTTCTACACAACTTATTATTGGCCACTTCATATGATGAGTAATTTATGGGGAAATCAGAATGATGAATTCTCTTGAAATGCACCCCACCCGCATCCCACAGTCTTTAGTCTGATTTCAAACTCCACAATTACAGCTTCATACAATTACTTCAGTTAAGGCTTTGTTATTGGTCTTCTAAACAGCAGGTTAATAAAAACACAATTTTAAAAATTCGCTCAGTCAAAAAATATTTATTGAATACCTACCACGTGCTAGATACTGTTCTAGGCACTGGAGATAAAGCACTGAGCTAAGTAAAAACAATTTCCTTTCCTAGGACTTACATTCCACTGTGGAGGAGACCTAAGAAATAAATGTATAAGTTTTATATACATATTTTTATATATGTATATACATTGCACTGAAACTCATAAGTATCACGGGGAATTGTAAGGTAAGAATATTGACTAGGGAGTAAAGTGGAAAGGGGTCATTTTAAAATAGATGGTCTTGAAAGTCACTGAAAAAAATTGCTGTTGACTGAATATCCCAAGGAAAGAGCAAGCTGGCCACATGGGAATCTGAAAGAATGGCATTTGAGAGAATGGACCTGTTTCTAAGACAGGTAGCTTCTGGTTGCTTAAAGAATGGCAACAGCAGAGTCATGCAGTCAGCATTTGCACCTGGGTTGCTTGTGTTCTTTAATACTCTGCACAGCCTCATATGACCATGCTTTCCAAAGCAAGAAGCAGATGCTGATCCTAGTGAAATATAAAACCATGTCTTTGGAAATATTTTTTAAAAAATAAAATTAGGCAAAAAATAGATTTGCTTCCATCAACAAACTTTCCTTTTACTCTGTAATAAGTTTTATTGTCTACAGTTAAGGTATACAGCGTGATGTTATGGGATGCATAAAGACAGTAAAGAGGTTACTATAATGAAGTAATCATACTTATGCATCATCTCACATAGATACCCCTTTCTTGTGTGCCTAGAGCAGCTAAAACATAATTGTTTACAATGAATCCCATACACAGTACAATTTTATTACCTATAATCTTCATGTTGTATATTAGATCTCTAGCTTGATTATTCTACATACCTCTACTTTATATCCTTTGACCTATATCACCCTATTTCTCCATCTTTTCTCACCCTTGGGAACCACTGTTTTATTCTCTAGCTCTATATATCGGACACACACACACACACACACACACACACATATATGTATATATATATATATATAGAGAGAGAGAGAGAGAGAGAGAGAGAGAGAGAGATGGAGTCTCGCTCTGTTGCCAGGCTGGAGTACAGTGGCGCAATCTCAGCTCACTGCAACCACCGCCTCCCAGGTTCAAGTGATTCTCCTGCCTCAGCCTCCCAAGTAGCTGGGACTACAGAAGCATGCCACTACGCCCAGCTAATTTTTGTATTTTTAGTAGAGACAGGGTTTCACCATGTTGGCTAAGATGGTCTCAATCTCTTGACCTTGTGATCCGCCTGCCTCCGCCTCCCAAAGTGCTGGGATTACAGGCCTGAGCCACCGCGCCCAGCCATATTGGACATATTTTTAAATATTCCACATAAGTGAGATCGTGCAATATATTTTTTGTCTGTCTAGCTTACTTCACTTAGCATAATGTCCTCCAGGCTTATCCAATGAGGCAGATGAGATGATTTAGCTCTTTATTAGGTCTGAATAAGATCCCATTGTATGCATGTCCCACAGATTATTTTATGTATTCATCTCTCAGTGGACACTTAGGTTGTTTCTATATCTTGGTTATTGTGAACAATACTGTAATAAACATGGGAATGCAAATATTTTTATGAGGTGGTGATTTCATTTTCTTTGGGTGATTTTTCAGAAATGAAATATTGCTCAAGGAGAATGGAAATGTTAAAAAAAAAAAGCCACTGAACTGCAGAATTATGAACAATCTCACTGAGAAAAAGATACCAAAATAGCTACCAAAATCTAGGAGACTGCATAGGGAACTCTAAGAGACTCATATTTAAAAATATGAAATATTGATAGAATAAACTGGAAATGAAACTAAGATAAATAGAAAGGAATAGTTTAATTTGTCAGAATAATGGTCAAATCCTGAATGAATATGAGAAAATGTGAAAGAAACTGAAACTGATTTACCTATGTTGTAAATAAAAAGATAAACAGAAAGTAGAGAGCAACAACCCAGGGAATATGTTTTATGTTATCAGAAGTGACTAGATGAAGAACCATGGGGCTGCTCATCACATTATTGCACTAACAACATAAAAATCTGATAGGCTTGAGTTTGAATCCAGCCTGGCCAATTAGTACCTCTATGAATCAGGACATAGCATTTAATTTTCCTTATCTCAGCTTTATCATTGGCATGTCACATATGTGTAGTCTGGACTTATGTGAAATAATATTTTAGAGCATTTGTCAAAGTGTCAGGCACATAGTAAACAATATCTTGATTTAGTTATATAACCTCAGTGTAATTCTTGTGTAATTTCAAACTTTCGCAATTACTTCTTCACTATTTTTCTTGTAACTCAGTGAACAGGATGTTGAGCTACACTGTGACAGGCCACATGGTAAGTACAAATGTTGGAAAAGCCATCACTCCTGCCATGATAGAGGAATGAGACGCAAATAATTAATGCAACTTGAAGAAATATTCATGAGCTACAATGAGAAGCTAAAACTACAGTGCAAACCCAGGGGCTATTTTTGTAAGTGTTACTGTAGATGATATTGGGAAGAGAGGAATATTTCAGTAGAAGATTAAAGAGCAGAGAGTATTTTTATTATTATTATTATTATACTTTAAGTTTTAGGGTACGTGTGCACAATGTGCAGGTTAGTTACATATGTATACATGTGCCATGCTGGTGTGCTACACCCATTAACTTGTCATTTAGCATTAGGTATATCTCCTAAAGCTATACCTCCCCCCTCCCCCCACCCCACAACAGTCCCCAGAGTGTGGTGTTCCCCTTCCTGTGTCCATGTGTTCTCATTGTTCAATTCCCACCTATGAGTGAGAATATGCAGTGCTTGGTTTTTTGTTCTTGCGATAGTTTACTGAGAATGATGATTTCCAATTTCATCCATGTCCCTACAAAGGACATGAACTCATCATTTTTTATGGCTGCATAGTATTCCATGGTGTATATGTGCCACATTTTCTTAATCCAGTCTATCGTTGTTGGACATTTGGGTTGTTTCCAAGTCTTTGCTATTGTGAATAGTGCCGCAAGAAACATACGTGTGCATGTGTCTTTATAGCAGCATGATTTATAGTCCTTTGGGTATATACCCAGTAATGGGATGGCTGGGTCAAATGGTATTTCTAGTTCTAGATCCGTGAGGAATCGCCACACTGACTTCCACAAGGGATGAAACTAGTTTACAGTCCCACCAACAGTGTCAAAGTGTTCCTATTTCTCCACATCCTCTCCAGCACCTGTTGTTTCCTGACTTTTTAATGATTGCCATTCTAACTGGTGTGAGATGGTATCTCACTGTGGTTTTGATTTGCATTTCTCTGATGGCCAGTGATGGTGAGCATTTTTTCATGTGTTTTTTGGCCGCATAAATGTCTTCTTTTGAGAAGTGTCTTTTCATGTCCTTTGCCCACTTTTTGATGGGGTTGTTTGTTTTTTTCTTGTAAATTTGTTTGAGTTCATTGTAGATTCTGGATATTAGCCCTTTGTCAGATGAGTAGGTTGTGAAAATTTTCTCCCATTTTGTAGGTTGCCTGTTCACTCTGATGGTAGTTTCTTTTGCTGTGCAGAAGCTCTTTAGTTTAATTAGATCCCATTTGTCAATTTTGGCTTTTGTTGCCATTACTTTTGGTGTTTTAGACATGAAGTCCTTGCCCATGCCTGTGTCCTGAATGGTATTGCCTAGCTTTTCTTCTAGGGTTTTTATGGTTTTAGGTCTAATGTTTAAGTCTTTAATCCATCTTGAATTAATTTTTGTATAAGGTGTAAGGAAGGGATCCAGTTTCAGCTTTCTACATATGGCTAGCCAGTTTTCCCAGCACCATTTATTAAATGGGGAATCCTTTCCCCATTGCTTGTTTTTCTCAGGTTTGTCAAAGATCAGATAGTTGTAGATATGCGGCGTTATTTCTGAGGGCTGTGTACTGTTCCATTGATCTCTATCTCTGTTTTGGTACCAGTACCATGCTGTTTTGGTTACTGTAGCCTTGTAGTATAGTTTGAAGTCAGGTAGCATGATGCCTCCAGCTTTGTTCTTTTGGCTTAGGATTGACTTGGTGATGCGGGCTCTTTTTTGGTTCCATATGAACTTTAAAGTAGTTTTTTCCAATTCTGTGAAGAAAGTCATTGGTAGCTTGATGGGGATGGCATTGAATCTGTAAATTACCTTGGGCAGTATGGCCATTTTCATGATATTGATTCATCCTGCCCATGAGCATGGAATGTTCTTCCATTTGTTTGTATCCTCTTTTATATCATTGAGCAGTGGTTTATAGTTCTCCTTGAAGAGTTCCTTCACATCCCTTGTAAGTTGGATTCCTAGGTATTTTATTCTCTTTGAAGCAATTGTGAATGGGAGTTCACTCATGATTTGGCTCTCTATTTGTCTGTTATTGGGGTATAAGAATGCTTGTGATTTTTGTACATTGATTTTGTATCCTGAGACTTTGCTGAAGTTGCTTATCAGCTTAAGGAGATTTTGGGCTGAGACAATGGGGTTTTCTAGATAAACAATCATGTCGTCTGCAAACAGGGACAATTTGACTTCCTCTTTTCCTAATTGAATACCCTTTATTTCCTTCTCCTGCCTGATTGCCCTGGCCAGAACTTCCAACACTATGTTGAATAGGAGCGGTGAGAGAGGGCATCCCTGTCTTGTGCCAGTTTTCAAAGGCAATGCTTCCAGTTTTTGACCATTCAGTATGATATTGGCTGTGGGTTTGTCATAGATAGCTCTTATTATTTTGAGATACGTCCCATCAAAAGAGCAGAGAGTATTTTTGAAATGGAATTTGGTAATGACATTTTAAAGAATAGGGTAAACAGAGTGAGATCCTGAACAACAGCAGTGTGTCAAATGACCTGAGACAAAAGCAGAAGCAGTTGCATGGGGCCTCCAACATGGTGGATGGAAACACCTTTATATTGATAATAGGCACCCTTGTAACATAGGGGAGTTCGGGAAAGGCTTGGATCTATTCCCATTTGTCAGTCTTCATCTAAAGGGTCAACACAGTTGAACGCTGAACAGCATTGGAGTTAGGGGTGTCAACATTGCACACAGTTGAGAAGTCATGCATAACTTTTGACTCCCCCCAAACTTCACTGCTAATAGCCTACTGTTGACCTGAAGCCTTATCAATGGCTTAAAAATTTAATTAACACATATTGTGTACGTTATATGTATTCCTACAATATAAAGTAAGCTAGATAAAAGTAAGTGTTATTAAGAAAATCACAAGGAGGAGTATATTTATTATCGGTTAAGTGGAAGTGGGTCATCACAAAGTTCATCATCCTCATCATCTTCACATTGAGTAGGCTGAGGAGGAGAAGAAAGAGGAGGGGTTGGTCTTGCTCTCTCAGGGGTGGCAGAGGCAAAAGGAAATCCATGTACAAGTGGATCCACGCAGTTCAAACCTGTGTTGTCCAGAGTCAAATATATATCCAAGCATCCTTGAATCCAGGGTCACTCTGTCCTGGTTTGCTGGCAACAGTCTCTGTTTGTACCTGCTCGTCCAGCTTAATTATTAACAAAGCCTTGTTTTGCTCTTAAAAAGGCCCCATTTGGGACAATAAATTATATGTATACTCTACACAAATCTGAAAGCAACATTAGGCGTATGGAAAATGTGAAGTGATTTAATTTTACTACATGCTTCCTAAGACACTAATAAATCTCTTTATCCCACTTTCTATTCTTCAAAAATGATACTTTTTAAAAAGCAAACAAATGTTTTGTCATTTTTAAAAGAAACACTGTGTTAGCTCATAATCCTTAAATCAAAGCAGCTCAGGTAAAATGCACTTTCTTTTGTGAAACATTAGCAGTAATCAGCATAAAAAATGGGAACTTAATCATCATGCAGATAGAATCTGATAATTATAATAGATTTCAATGTCATATACTTAGAAAATAATATCCAAATTAAATCAAATGAAGAAAAGTAACAAGCTAGTGGGTAAAATGGATGAAATTCCCAGGGAACCAAGTACCAAAACTTGAATAGATATTAATAAAACAAAGCTGTCTGATTGAAGGTGAGCAAGTGTGAACACTGGCAAAAAGTTAGGAGGACAGGGATAATTGTAATTATGCACAATAGAATTACTGCTCACTGAGTACTGATTTTACTTGAATGGAGGCCACTTTAATGCTTAGGTGATAATAACAATACGTCATTTGGGGTATTGTAAATCACCTTGAGGGATGGATATGAAAACTCTAGGGCTAAACAATGCCCAAATGTGGGTACCTTGATGAAGCACAATAAATACATGGGTTTCTTTTATAGAAAAAGTAGGACTAAAATATAAACACAGTACACAGCCGCCTCAATCTGTCCATTTTCTATGCTTTGCTCATATGTTAAATAACTTTTAAAATTTGCTGATGAGTTCCCTCCAGAGTTAAAAAAAAAATCTAGTAGATGAGCAGGAGAAAGAAGTGACTCCATCATTTCCCCCCTCTTTCTTCTGCATGATGGTAAACCATCTGTTTGGGAGCTGCTTTCTTCCTCTCAACACAGAAGCAGAAGGTGATTCACATAGGGACACTGCAAGCATGTTAGGTTTGCAAGGTGGCTTTTTATTCCACCAGGTGAAGATTGGGTGAGTCAGACGTTGGCTCTCTCCTAATAGCAAGTCTGTCCCCTGTGGTCTTTAGTCCCTTATGAATATAACTAAAGAGACTCAGGAAGGGTTGTATTCTGCAAGTTGAAGCAGGTTATTATGAATATGTTCCTACATAATTGTCTTGTTTCTCAATGCAAATGTTAGTGTAAAAAATTACAGGAATGGCTGGGTGCGGTGGCTCATACCTGTAATCCCAGCAGTTTGGGAGGCTGAGGCAGGTGGATAACCTGAGGTCAGGAGTTCAAGACCAGCCTGGCCAACATGGTGAAACTCCGTCTCTGCTAAAAATACAAAAATTAGCCGGGCTTGGTGGCAGTTTCCTGTAATCCCAGCTACTTGGGAGGCTGAGGCAGGAGAATCGCTTGAACCCGGGAGGCAGAGGTTGCAGTGAGCTGAGATCACCCACTGCACTCCAGCCTGGGAGACAAGAGCGAAGCTCCGTCTAAAAAAAAAAAGAAAAAAAATTACAAAAATTGGTCCAGGGACAATTATTCAGACCATCTTCTGCTTTCTAATACAGTAGCCACTAGTCACATGTGGTTGTTTAGATTTATGTTTATTATAATTAAATTAATTTTTATTTTTATTTTATTTTATTTATTTATTTTTTTGAGACGGTGTCTGGCTCTGTCGCCCAGGCTGGAGTGCAGTAGCGCAATCTCGGCTCACTGCAAGCTCCGCCTCCCGGGTTCACGCCATTCTCCTGCCTCAACCTCCGAGAAGCTGGGACTACAGGCGCCCGCCACCACGCCCGGCTAATTTTTTTTTGTATTTTTAGTGGACACAGGGTTTCACTGTATTAGCCAGGATGGTTTCTATCTCCTGACCTCGCGATCCACCCGCCCCGGCCTCCCAAAGTACTGGGATTACAGGCGTGAGCCACCGTGCCTGGCCAATTAAATTAAATTTTAAAGTTCAATTCTTAATGAGACCAGGCACTTTTCAAACGCTCAATAGCTACATGTGGCTAAGAGCTACTGTATTGGAGAGCACATATATATAGAACATTTCCAGCCATTGAACATTTCTTCCGTTGAAGGAAATTCTATTGGAAAGCCCTGAGCATGTTATTTTCATTTTCTTTTGTCTTTGATGTGATGGAAACAGTTATACATGAAAGACACACCGGCTGGCTGACTTAGGATCGGTCACGTAGTTGAATGGATACATCATATTATTATAAAAAGTAAAATTCCACCAGTTATACATTTAGCTTAATTTATTCAGGTTCACGTCTAATCAAGCTAAACTTAAGAGTGTCGCTGGTATCTTTTGTAGTCAACGAAATTTAAATGACTGAAACTATACTTGTGAGACTTTTTTTTTTTCTGGTTTACTTTCCACCAAACAATGTGTACCTCTATATAGATAATAGAGAAATTAAAATGACTTTAATATGCCAAATATAAATATTGATAGCCCAGTGACATTGGTATGCTTTGTAATGCTTTGCTTAAAAAATTATATATTTAATATTTGAGAATAAACAATCAAAATATTTTTAACTTGTAAGATTTACTGTGATATTTTCATAGTTTTATTTTTTATTTTATTAAAATGTTATGTTTATGTTGAGCCCCTTTGTGACATTTAGAAATATTATTTCAACCAAGATTCATACCATGTTATGGGTTATTTATGTATGAGTTTATGTGGTATAAAATATAGAAAATAAAAATACAAATAATGTTTGATTAAGTTAATTTTATCAGAGACAATTCCAGCAAACCCTTCAATAATAGACTCTAATATAAAAGAATAACACACAGCTTTCATTTGCTTACAATTTACTAAACAGAAAAATAATCCAAAGATAATTTTATAAATGAGGAAAAAATGAGCTAGAAATTGAACACTTGCATGTAAACAAATTGTGGCATGATAATGAGATGTAAGTTAACTTTGTATTGCAAATTAACATCAAATGATGCCACAAAAGATGGGAGTTTTGAGAATTGATAGAAACATGATTTCTTCTCCTACTGCAGGTGTCTTGAGGCACACAGGATGATTGCTAGAGCAAATCTGATCAGATTTATGCATGAAACATACTGTATTAATAAAGTTGTTTTATTGCATGTGCCAGGTGGCTTCTTGTACATAAAGCTGTATTTCTGAAGCTGATATAATATTTTTTCCAAATTCCTTATGCCAGAATGTTGGCTACCTTATGCCTTGTGCTTAGGACCCAATTGTTCCATGTTTTTGTGAAATTTTAATTATGGTTAATTTAAATTGTGGTAGTCTGCTAAAAATAGAAAAGAAATGTATTACGTTTGAGCTTGTTGTTGTTCTTTTTTCTAAAAATCAACACATAGTCCAAGATGTCTTTGCTTTTCTAAAAATACTACCATAATGTTAGCACAACATGTCTATCAGGGTCTCTTTTCAGTGATTTATGCAACTTTTTCTCATTTAATATTGATGATAATTCCATGGGGAAAATTTTATAAGTCTCATTTATAATTGGAAAACTGAGAATTGAGGAGATAAATCAATTTGCCTAATGTATATAGGTAGCAAAAGTTAAAGAGTCCAAAATTTGAACCTAGTTCGAGTTGACTGCACAACTGATGTTCTTTATCAAAACTCTATACTGCCTCCTTACCTCACCGCAGGTCGATTTATTATCTGCCAGTTTCTGTTTTAGGCTTTGATGTTCATTCAGGGAAGATGGCATATGACTTGGAAACTTGTCCTCCTAGCACTTATCATGATTGTAATTGAATTACTACTATTGTACTTAATGGTTTAATATCTGCCTCTCTTGTCAAATGTAAAATCCAGGAGGGCAGGAACCATGGCAAACTATTTACGAAAAGAACAGACTGAAGGGAAATAAAGACTAAATGACAACGATCTAAGATTAGAAGGAAGGAAGAAATGAAGGAGGGGCTGAAGGGAGGAATGGAGGAAAGGAAAAAGAAAAGTGAAACATATTCTCCTATAGATCTAAAGCTAATTAAACCAATTACTATATTAAGATTCAAATGAGTCAAGTGCAATGGTGCACACCTATGGTCCTAGCTACTGAGGAGGCTGAGCTAGGATGACCACTTGAGGCCAGGGGTTCCAGGCTGTAGTACATCATGATTGCATCTGTGAATAGCCACTGCACTCAAGACTGGGCAACTTAGCAAGACCTCTTCTCTTAAAAAAATAAGTAAATAAAAATAAATTTCAGATGAGTGCTGTGAAGACATAGTGGAACATAATAGCCATACTGGAACACAGTAGATGTACCAAAATGTGACATTTAAGCTGAGTCCTGAAAGGTATGTAGGAGTTAACTCAGGTGAACCTGGAGTGATGAGAAGCAGCCAGAATCTCCTGTGATTTTTAGCTTAGGTTAGAATTTAGGAGTTATCAGTGACCATATTTGTGTTTTTGAAATGCTTCTCTCGCTTCAGTGTTCAGAATAGTCTTGAAGAGACAAAAATGTGGATTTTTAGCTCAAAAAGACAAAGAAGGAAGAGTTTGCCAGAACAGGAAAAAGAGCTATTGCTATATGAGTAGAAGAGGCTGTCTGGCAGGAGCTATAGCCTTTGTTGGAGGGACAGATTAACTTCAAGAACAGTCCATTGATGACTTATCCCTGGGTTTAATTACTCACACTTGTATTTCTGCCCACCACTGATCACTTGTTGATGACCCATTAGCTGGACCCTCCGAAAAAGTTGGAGGGCAGGAGGCCCCTATTGAAACTGTCTAAAAAGGTTAGCCTACTAGGCATGAAGCAGGTGGAGAAAAGGAAATATCCAGCATGTTTTTATAGATCTGTCCCCTTAAGAGATAAGGGTGGCTTCATCTAAGACTTTTGGGCATACTACTAAAACCTACAGATGCTAGAGGCTGCTAGTAAACCTATCCTGTTTTTTATTTTAGCAGTTTTTGGGGAACTGGTGGTTTTGGGTTACATGGATAAGTTCTTTAGTGGTAATTTATGAGATTTAGGTGCACCTGTCACCAGAGTAGTGTACACTGTACCCAGTGTGTAGTCTTTTATCCCTCACCCTCCTCCCTATTCTTTAAGCTGATCTATTTGCCTACTTAAATTATATAAGTAGTATCTTTTCTATCTATAGTAATAATTTAATATTGTTTCTGCCTTTATCCTAATGAAAGGAATATCTCTTCACTATTAAAATATGCATGCAACCCTATTTCCCAGTGTAAATAAAGTGACTCTCAATTTTCCACTTCCATACCTCCCTCAATAGAGGTTTGTTTTTAAAGTATTGCAGAAGCACAAGATTTTGAGATGTATGCAAATGGATGCTCCTTTTTCAGTCACTTATTTTCAAAAAGAAATTATCCCCTCCTGCCTTGCCCCTGCTGAGCCCCTACATCTCCCAGCCCCTAATAAAAACCTAGCTTTTACCTAGAACTTTCAACCTTTTGTCTTCACGTCAGATCCCACAACTGTAAAAATATGAGATTTGGCCAGATAAATGATCAATGAGGTTCCCTTAGGCTCTACAATTCTGTGGTTCTATTTCCTGGAAAATCATGTAATTGAAAGCCAGTGTTTGTTGCAATGAACATTTAAGGACATCATTTTTAAAAACAGCAGCCCATTTTAACTTCCATTGCAGAAAGATGTGGTCTTGTTGGATTTCTAATTGCAAAGCAGCTACATGTGGTCTACATGTCAACTTTTAATAGCATAAGCATATTTCGGTTGATAGAATTGTAACCACACTGTTATGAAAGTGGCTCCGAAAAACCTAGAAAATTGCATATCTGAAAAAAAAAAAACCATGTTGCTACTACGATGCCGGAAAACTTCAGGATATCGCTTTCCCAAATATTAATTTTTCTATATGAACCCTACTTTCATTGTAGTGCTATACCCAATTTAAGCATCAAGCATTTAACCTATACTTGTGAAAAAAGCAGTTTATGATGGGTGTAATCAAACTCCCATAGGTCCAATTATCTCAGTTGCATCCCAATTAATCCATGGAGTTGTTAGGGCCTCCTCTTAATTAGGTCTCTTCCTCTCAAAGAACATTTTTTTTTCATATTTCACTTTATTATTTCCTTTACTGGAACCCTGTAGGGTGGGAATACTATTTTAAAATGTACTTGTTTGTTTGATGGCTGATTGAGACTTAATAAAGATGATATTTTTAACCAGAGTCAGTGTCTGAGTAGAGATATAAATCAGTCCTTCTCCATGAAAATTAAATGCAAATATGTACAAAGTAAGATGATGCATACCTTGTATATTTTAAGTTTAACATTTTTCTCATTAAATCCCTTTGATCTTTTGCATAATCTCCCTGAATGTGAAAATCAGCATAGAGTTAACGGGCTTTTCTTTGTTTGTTTGTTTTGCACTATCTGATTTACCTGTTTGTTATCTTTATTAATTTTAATGATATTAATTTATATTATACATTAAGATGTAATAAAATGAGCTCTAAAAGGAAGACATCTGATCCACAGTGACATTTCACCTGTTGAATCTCCTCTAGGACATAGATAAAATACCAAGGATAAAAGGTTGCTTTGTCAGCATGGGGTTTCTTTCATATTTGCTTTCTGGTAGCTGGTACACTCTTGCATTCTCTTTAGAGTTCATCAGGAAAATGCTTTGAAATTATAGATTGAAATCTAAAATTGTGTCATTCTTTCCAGCCAACTTTCTAAGCTGTTAAAAATATTGTTTTATGTATAAGTAAAACTTTCTCATTAGATTCAGAATTTACACAGCTTTATAGGAGTAGAATTCCCTTTGTCATATTCTTCATACCCTATTCACTAGCATAGAGTATATTTCCCTGAAGAGAAAGGAAGTAAACCATCTCATCCTTAAATTTATTGACATTATAGTAGTTTAGGAAATCAGGCTTCATGAGAACTGGATTACCTCAAAAGCTTTGTTATATATGCTTAGGCTTATATAAATAAGTATAAATTTAAATTTCTGGAAAACCTGGCTAATCATATGAGTTATAAATTTAGTTCAATTCTTTTCATTTTTTATGCCTTTGATTTGATCAACTATTGCCATAGGGGGAACATCTACACATTTAATGGACAGCTATATTTCCACAGGATGTCAACAAATAATAGAAGTCATAAATATACAAAAACCACATACAGATACCAATAAATCAAATACAAGATTTGTACTAAAATAGGTCTTTTTTTTGGCTGAGAGCATTTAGACTGGTAAACTGGGACCTTGCTTGACTCTAGAGCTTGCTCAATCCTCATCTTTTCCACGGAAGAATTGATTTGTCAGCCTTATATACATTTTCACAAGGTGTTACTATTTTTACTTTTCAAGTCTGCCCACTGTACTAGACGAAGTAGACATAGAACTAAGCCTTATGAGTCTCTGCAGTTTCAGCTCTTCTTGTATTGCCTGGAATATTTACATGGTTTCAATAAATGTTTCTGGAAGAAAGAGGGAAGAGGAAAAAGGATTTTCTTAATATCTCTTTGGTGAAATTGCTCCATAGACAAGATTGACTGCTACAGATGTTCTTTTATTACTTCAGGAAAAAAGGCATATTGAGCAGAGTTCAATAGAATTATTCTATCCTGAATTCCACACTCTAGTGTGTATTGTTAGAAAAAAGTTACAGGAACCTTTTTACTGTCAAGCTGTTCAACATAACTCTTTCCTGAAAAGTACCTACCATGTACTTTTAGAAGTTTGAAGGGATCTGTAGGTACACTGCTATTAAGGTGTGTATCAATTTTAGTCTCCAGCTGGCATAAACTAACAGAAATGTATATAAACCAGAGTCCCCAGTTACTAATCTTAAGTGAAAAATACCTGAATAAACATTAAATCAGGCACCATTAAGATTGACTTGACTCATATTTGTTCTTGAATGCGACATGGAATGAAAAGTAAATCGCCAGGATATTGCTTAGTGATCAAGCAATTCCAATGGTGGGATTTGTTTAGAAGAATTAGGCTGAGATTTTGCCTTAAATATAACACATCTACATTCTCCAGATAAAACCTTCCCTTTGCTCTTTTTTGTGAGACCATCTCCCCAGCACAGTGCCGGGAAGTCACTGTCATTGTGTGTTTCAGTAACTTCTTTTCCTTGACTGCTTTCTCTGTGATATCCTCTTCAGATTGACGCAAACTTTCTTCACGTAGATTTCTACTGCGAATATATTTTTAGACGCTGTATCAGACCTAGAAGTCAGTTAATGTAAGGAGATTTTAAACATTATATATTTATCAATTTATTAATTATATAGCTTAACTTGCTCTAAAGCAGTATTTTTGCACTTCTTTTGAATGTAGAACCCTACTATACCTTCAAGTGACAACGACGTTAGATTTTCAAAAAACTTTTTGAATGAAACCACTATGGGGTACTCTAACACCATGTTACAGTAGCTGATATCAGTTGTGAGAAATATTATTAAGAAAACTAAAATATCAATTTGTACTTGAGCTTGCTGTTTTATACAGTCAACTTCAAGCCATACAACACCACTAATGACTGATTCATCCCAATAACCGAACTTTCCAAACACACAGAAGTTAGAATGTTAGTAGATTTGACTGACTGAAGCTATTTTTAGTACTCTGATCCCTCTCCTCCTTCCCTTTCCCCTTTCCCTTCCCAACTCTACATTTTTTTCCTCTCCTCCCCTTCCACCTCCTTATTCTTATTCTTCTCTCTGAAATATAAAATATTTCCCAAACTCAGATTTGTAGACTACTGCTGTGCTATCTACACTATAAGTATTAATGTCTATAAACTTGAAATTAAAAATACTTGTGAGGATAGTGTTTTGATAGGTCTCAAGTGGGATCTTGTATTATGTTATTTTTTCTTCTAATACTTTAGCTATGTTTGGGAATGATTGGATGTATCTTATATTTGTGTGCCTAAGGTTCCAGAAAGCTCTTAGCCACTACCCTTTCCAAGGAACAGCCTCTTCTACCTTGGCAGCACCATGGCTTGGTGAGTCTATCGTCATCTCTGACTCTTCTAGAGCTGGTAGACTGACTACTGCTGTCTACTCTTGTCAAAATCTCCAGTATCCACACTCAGAGCTGCAGCTACTTGTATCTGGCTTATGGCTTTCTTCACTCATGTATATACATATTCATGTATATAGATCACCAAACACCTCCCCATGCTTTTATCAGCTTTTTTATTAAATATCTCTTTGGAATAATTTAAAATAATTTTTCATGTTTAAATTTGGCTTCATAAATAGACTATATAAGAGATCCCCCTAGTGTAAAACTTATTTACAAACTTTTAAATAATAATACATATCATGTTTTTAGATTAAAAAAAGTAAGAAGCTAACAAAGATAGTGCACTATTTCAAGGGATGTTCTTTCTCTGGTTCTATATTCATAGTGTAGACACCTAGTCTTGGTCCATTTCTGCCAGTGTAGGCACTCAAACTGCACAATCCTTTGTAAGACAACTCCAGCTCCACCTCTTTCTTTCTCCCACAGCTAAACACTAAACATATCTGAGTGAAAGTAAACATGACCTCAGTGCTAGGTACCTACAAATCTGCTCCAACTTGAAGTACAACATTTGAAAGTAAATTATTCCCAATCTACTATCCTTTAGTATTCCTAACAAATTATGCTTTACAGACAGCAATTAAATTACTTTGTAAACCAGACTGTGAAATACTGGCTTAGAGCTGATTGCTGTGAATAACCATGAAGAACATCACATGCAAAACAAAAATTAACCTCAACCATTTATCTCGTATTAGACATCTCTATTCATGAGAAAGCAACTTTTAGTATGAGGTAGTCCCATTTTGTAGCACATTCCAAAAATATTAACTGGTGTGAATGAGTTCTCACACATTAAGAATACTCCAAAGTATAAGACATTAGCATGTGTTTATCTATTTGGGGTCCAGATAGAAAAGTTAAAAATTTATTTTTATCTTTTTTCAGGGTTGGATCTTTATTAATATGTAATATCTATGAGGTATCCAAGCCCAGAAATCAACTCACCAGTTTTGTACAGGATTCTGTATGGAGATCAAATCTTTGATTTCTAAAGTTAAGAATTCAGGCCTTGGTAATGGATTCGATTAGATCTGCCAGAGCTCATTTTAGAAAAAAGAGAGGGAGGGAGAGAGCGAGACAGAGAGAGAAAAGAGAGAGAGAAAGATACAGAGAGAGAGAGAGAGACAGACAGAGGCAGAGACAGACAGAGAGAGACAAAGACACAGAAAGAGAGAGAGCGAAAGAGAAAGAGACAGAGAGAGAGACAGATGGACAAAGAGACTGACAGAGAGACAGAGACAGAAAAAATTTATTTCTTAAATTGTATGATGATAATGGTTTTGAATTTTTTTCTATGAATTTCTCAAAAAATCGATATGATGTATTTTTTCTTTTGTTGTATTTTTAGCGCTATTTCAGAGTTCTGATAATTAATTATATATATGAAAAATACCAATAACTCAGGGTTTTCTTAATCAGTGTGCATCTAATAATGGCGCAAAGTTGTAGAAGCATGTTTTGGCCTTGGTGATCACTTCTTTGCTTGGTCAAAAATTACTTAATTTGTATAACGCTGAAGAGCCCTGCCCATGACTTCAAACTCTATTCCATAGATCTGCTTTAGAGGATGGAAAATAACTTTTTTCTTTACTTTTGTTCTTTTTTGTCTTAGAAACCAGACAATTTAAAGCTAAATTCTAAAATTACATTATGCTCTGAGAATTCCTGTCATTTTCCTCAAACTATTTAACCTTTACCTTGATAGAGGTGTAACTTAATGATCTATGCTTGTTTTGAGGTCTGGAACTGAAACACCTCATATAATCTATATAGAAAGTTTTACACGCAAATGTTAATGACTCTAACCCAAAGGAATTGAAGTTGACTCCTGTCTAAGTCACAAGCTCTTCGTTGCCTGGGCCACATCTTTTAACTGAACTTTGTTTAACTCAAAGAAAATTTTCTCTAAAATAAAGACAGAATGAGAATTAAAGTTTTCGGTTTTTTTTTTTTTCAGTGCATACATGGAAATGTATGTGTTTGTGTGTGATCAATCATTATATTTTTATCAATATATAAATCTTGTCCATATTCCACCTCTTAAGAAATACAATATGGAAGGCCCCACATATAATTGCCCAATTTTAACTTTTGAAGAGATTAAATAGGCCTGGCGCGGTGGCTCACACCTGAAATACCAGCACTTTGGGTGGCCAAGGCAAGTGGATCACCCAAGATCAGGAGTTTCAAACGAGCCTGGCCAACATGACAAAACCCCATTTCTACTAAAAATACAACAATTAGTCGAGTGTTGTGGTGGGCACCTGTAATCCCAGCTACTTGGGAAGCTGAGACAGAAGAATTGCTTGAATCCAGGAGGCGGAGGTTGCAGTGAGCTGAGATTGTGCCACTGCACTCCAGCCTGCTGGATGACAGATCAGGACTCCGTCTCAAAAAAACAAAAAAACAAAAAACTACAGATAGATTAAGTTGTGAAGGTATACTATTAAAAAAACTTGAGGTATAGGCAACCCTTGTCAAAGAATCATTGGAAATATAAACTGCGTGTGCTGACTGTCTTCCACATGACTTCTACTCTGTAGTCAGCTTTAGCAATATCTCCCCTCTCTACCAAATGTTGCACTTTTTGTAAAGATGACTACTCATTCCTCTCTACTTACTGTGGCAAGATAATTTCTTCTTTCACTCTTTGGAATTCCTTTTGAACATCTATAGGAAAATAGGGTGGAGTAGTGGTTACAGGTATAAAATATTTGGCTGTATTGGGTACATTTTAAATCTTGAATGAAATTTCTATTGGCCCTAGTGGAATCATCTTTATCTTAATCTGACCTCATTCTTATATCCCTTATTCTTATATACTTCACATCCTTGCAGTTAAATATTGTCTTTTATTTGGCTCTGACTTTATCTTTCAATATAACTATTAGTTAAATACAGCTTGCTCTTGTTTGAATGTTGCGTTGTCAAAGTTGTACGTTTATTTTCCACTTTGATATGTATTTATCATGGCTTTCTTCACTCAGGTATATAGATTATATATAAAATATATGTCATTTTATAAAATTCATATATATATTTGTAAATACCTACACAAATATATACACAAAAAATTTAAGTAGTCTTAGCTGGGAACCCATAGTTCCAGCTACTTGGAAGGCTGAAGCTGGAGAATTGCTTGAAACAAGGAGTTCAGGGTTGCAGTGCACTATTGTTGAACCTTCCAATAGCTATTGCATTCCAGCCTAGGCAACATAAGACCTCATCTCAAAAAAAAATAGTCTTATTATTTTGAAAAATGATTTACCATACGCTTGCTTTGAATCTTTCTGAATTTAAATATGAACTGATTCATTGTGTATATAAATTAAATTTTTTTTCTCTGAGACTTGTATCTTAATGAATTTGGATATTCACATAATATCAGCTGACTCAATAACCTGGTATAGTCTATGTTTCATAATATCAAATAAATACATTTCAATATATACAACCTAGAAATGATCTGTTTAGGATTGAGTCGAGTTAGATGGTAGAATAGGAACTTCCAGTGATTGCCATTCTCCCAACCAAAACATCAATTTGAACAACTATACATGCACAAAACTACCTGACAAGAGGTAAGGAAACCAGCTGGGAGATTACAGTGCCTCGTTGTTGCATAATGACAGGAAAAAATAAACTGAAAAGGGCAAGAATGACAGTGTTACATTACCTGTTTAATTCCTCCACCAACCCAGGAAGTGCAATGCAAAGAAATATATCATAAGCTTGAGGAAAGATGGGAAGTGAGCACAGGATTTTGCCTTGGTCCTTAACACTGGGCCCACCACAGTAAAACCTAGCACCAGGCAGACACCTATGGACTCTGAATTCAGGCTGGTGTCCATTAATTTAGCCTCCTGGCCTGTCTCAGTGCTAGGAGGGAATGCATAGTCCCTGCAAAATCTTTGGCCTGCATCATCACCAGCCAAGTGCAGTCACCATAGGTTCTGTACAAACCTCAGCAACTGGCAGGCTTTAGCAGCCATGGGCTGAAGATATACCCTGGCAATGTGAAAGCCTCAGCAGCCATGGAATTCCAGCATCGCACTGCACCAACCATGGTGGTTCTGAGGGAAGGGCATTACCTACCACTGAAAAGTCTACAGGAGTCATAGGCTTAGGGACCACACCAAACAACCTGCCCAGAATCTCTGGACAAGCTTACTGTTGAAAGGCATTTTCAGACAAATCCATACTGCAAATACTGGAAAAAATGTTTTTTCAATGTGTAGGGCATCAACACATGAACAAAAGGATCATTAATAATTAGGGGAAAATGACACTACCAAATGGACAAAATAAAGTATCAGTAACTGATCCTAAAGAGATGAAGATGTATATACTGCCTGATAATAAATTCAAAATAATGATTTTTTTTAAGGAAGCTCACCAATATTCAAGAACTACAAAGAAACAATAAACAAAATGAGAAAAACAATGTTATCCGAACTAGAAATTTAACAGAGCTATTTATTTATATAAAAATCAAACAGAAATCTTAGAGATGAAAAATAAAATAATTGGAATGAAAACTGCAAATACAATACTTGGAATGAAAACTGCAATACATATTATCAGCAGAATTGATAAAGTAGAAGAAAGAATTTTAAACTCAAAGACAAGTTATTTAAACTCATAGAGTCAGGGGAGAAAAAATAATGAAAAGAAATGAAGAAAGCTGACAGAATTAATGGGACAGCATCAGAAGAAAAAAATTTCAAGTGATTGGCATTCAAGAGTGGGCGGAGGAAGATAAAGGGGGTAGAAATCTTATTTTTTAAAAAAGAATAGATGTATCCAAACCCAGAGAAATATAAATATCCAGGTACAGGAATGTCCAACTATTGGGGGAGCCAGCCCCCAATATTTCAACATAGTTTCTTGTCTATTTTCCCTAAGTGCCAGCCAGTCTGAGAAGTAAAGAGAAAGAGTACAAAAGAGAGAAATTTTACAGCTGGGTTTCCGGGGGTGACATCACATGTCAGCAGGTTCCGTGATGCCCACCTAAGCCGCAAACCAGCAAGTTTTTATTAGCGATATTCAAAGGGGAGGGAGTGTACGAATAGGGTGTGGGTCGCAGAGATCACATGCTTCCAAGGCAATAAAATATCACAAGGGCAGAGAGGCAGATTGAGATTGCAAGGCCAGGGCAAAACTGGAATTACTGATGAAGGTCCATGTCCTGCTGGGCACACGTTGTCATTGATAAACATCTTAACAGGAAACAGGGTTCAGGAGCAGACAACCAGTCTGACTAGAATTTCACCAGCCTGGAATTTTCCAATCCTAGCAAGCCTGGGGGTGCTGAAGGAGACCAGGGCATATTTCATCCCTTATCTACAACTGCATAAGATAGACACTCCCAGAGCAGCCATTTTCGAGACCTCCCCCTGGGAATGCATTCTTTTCCCAGGGCTGTTCCTTGCTGAGAAAAATAATTCAGTGATATTTCTCCTATTCGCTTTTGCAAGAAGAGAAATATGACTCTGTTCTGCCTGGCACCGCAGGCAGTCAGGCTTTATGGTTATCTCCTTTGTTGCCTGAAAATCGCTGATATCCTGTTCTTTTAGGATGCCTAGATTTCATATTGTTCAAACACACATGTTTTACAAACAATTTGTACAGATAACAATCATCACAGGGTCCTGAGGTGACATACATCCTCAGCTTACGAAGATGACGGGATTAAGAGATTAAAGTAAAGACAGGCATAGGAAATTATAAAAGTATTAATTTGGGGAACTCATAAATGTCCATGAAATCTTCACAGTTTATGTTCTTCTGCCATAGCTTCAGCCGGTCCCTCTGTTTGGGGTCCCTGACTTCCCTCAACATCCAAAGACATCAAGTAGATTAAATGCAAATGAAGCTACCTCAAGACATATTATAATCAAAAACTTTCAAAGATAAAAGACAAATATAGGGTCCTGAAGGCAGCAAGAGAAAGAAGCAAATAACATAAAAGGGAGTTTTAATATGTCCAGCAGAGGACTTCTCTACAGAAACATTACAGGGCAGAAGAGAATGGGATGATATATGCAGACTGCTGAAGGGGGAAAAAAAATGACCGGCAACCAAAAATACTATATCCTGCAAAGCTATCTTTCTGAAATGAAGGAGAGATAAATAATTTCACAGAAAAACAAAAGCTTAGGAAGTTCATCACCACCACATCTGTAAGAATTGCTAAAGGGAGTTACTTAATCTGAGAGAAAATTAAATGAATGAATTTCACAAAAACATCTGAGCACAGAACAACTTACTGCTAAAATGAACTACACAGTCAAATTTAGAATATTCTAATACTATAATGGTGATATGTAAATCTCTAATATCTTTAGTATGAAGATTTAAAGATAAAAATATTCAAAATTTTAATAACCACAATAATTTGTTAAAGGGCATGCAATTTAAATATATGTAAAGTATAACATCAAAAATTCAAAATGAAGTGGAAGGACTCAAGTAAAATTATAAAATGTTTTTATAAGCTATAAAATGTTTTTATAAGCCTCATGGTAACTGTGAAGCAAAACTCTAGAATACATACACAAAAAGTAAAAAACAAGAAAGCACTGTTACTAGAGGTATACAAAGAAACAAACTAAATGAGGAAGAAAGAAACAAGAGAGGAAGAAAGAAAAAAGATCTCTAAAATAACTAGAAAACAATTAACAAAATGGCAATAGTAAGTCCTTATTTACCAATCATTAGATTTAATGTAAATAGATTAAATTATTTAATCAAAACAAAGAGTGGCTGAATGTATAAACAAAACAGGATTTAACCATATGCTGCCAAAAAGAGACTCACAGCACCTGTGAGGGTACACACACTGAAAGTCAAGGGATGGAAAAAGATATTCCAAGCAAATGGCAACCAAAAGAGATTTGGAGTACCTTTACTTAATTAAATAAATTAGGCTTTAAGTAAAAAAAACTGTAAAATGAAACAAAGGTCATTATGTAATTATAAAGGGTCCAATTCAGCAAGAAGATATAACAATTGTAAATATATACGTACCCAACTTCAGAGCAGCTACATATGTAAAGTAAATATTGATAGCAGTAAAGATCAGAGAAAAAGATAAAATAGAGATTAAAAAATAGAAAAGATTAATGAAACAAAGAGTTGGCTTTTTGAGGAGGTCAACTAAATTGACAAATCTTTAACTACACTAAGAAAAAAAAGATGATTCATATACATAAAATCAGAGAAGAAAAGGGAGATATTATAATTAATGCCACAGAAATACACAAAGTTTTGTAAGAGATTATTATGAACAATTACCTGCCAACAAATTGGATAAGCAAAAAGAAATGGATAAATTCTTGAAGACATATAACCTACAAAGATTGAGTTATGAAGAAATAGAAAATCTAAATAGATCAGTAAGGAGTAAGGGGGACTGAATCAGTAGTAAAAAGTCTTCCATCAGAGAAAAGCTCAGAATTTGACGGCATCACTGTTGAATTCTATCAAACATTTAAAGAATAATTAATACCAATTATTCTCAAACGCTTTCATATATAGAAGAGAAAAAAATATTTGCAAATTTATTTTTTTAATACCAGCGTTACTCTAATATTAAAACCAGACAAAAACACAACCAAAAAAGAAGACCACTTGTTAAAATTACAGATAGATAGAAGGAATAAATTATCATGTTCTATTGAATAGGAATGTTCTATTCATTACACAGTGTATACATGTATTAAAACATCACATTGTACCTCACAA
Organism: Homo sapiens; assembly: GCF_000001405.40. NCBI lineage: Eukaryota > Metazoa > Chordata > Mammalia > Primates > Hominidae > Homo > Homo sapiens. Next base: position 66,758,459 of record NC_000013.11, on the reverse strand, counting down.
ATATGCACAATTATGTGTCAATTAAAATAAAATAAAACTTTTAAAAATGTTAATCTCCTAGAAAAAGAGAGTAAAATGGTGATTTCCAAAGGCTGTGATGGTTAGGGGGAAGAAGGGTTGGGTAGATGTCAGTGACAGGATACATATTTATAGTTAGATAGGAGAAATCAGTTTAAGAGATCTATTGCACAGCATGGTGACTATAGTTGATGATATAATGTATTATTGAAAAATGCAAAAGGAGATAAGTGTTTTCATCACAAAAATAACTGTGTAACACACTTGTTAAATAGCTAGATTTAACCATTCCATGATGTATATATACTTCATAACAGCATGTTGTACATAATAAATATATACAATTTTATTTCAATTTTAAAAATAAGATAATAAACAACATTTTGCGTATTACTTATCTTTATTATTCTTATGCCAATAACATATGATAATGTTGGATTATTTGTATGTTCATTAATGATGTTAGTATTTAAGAAAAAATTATGGACATTTAAAATTTCTAATCCATTTGAGAATACATCAAGAAATTTAGGCTAAGTTGTTGAACTATTTCAGTTATTCAATCATAAAAAACTGGAAGATCTTGCTCTATTATACATTTGCTCAGAAATTGGTATATTTTCATTTTCTGTGCTTTTATGTCTACATCAAACTTTGGTTTAATTGATAATAAGATGATTAATGCTATCTCATGCATATGAAGATATCGAATAATTACACCTGAATATTTTATTTCTATAGTAGTCAGAAGTTTTCCCTTTTTTAAGGGGTGAAGTAGTAATTTTCCTCATACGTTTTATATATGTTTGGCTCTATATCGTATGTGACATGCTTGAATTCTAATCCTACATTCTGAAAAGTAGATTCTCTAGTCTGTTTTTTACCATTTACATATTTCAGGAATTTTTCAATTTTTAATGAGGACACATAGAATTTGGTTGAATAAATAAATGAAAGTAAAAACCCAATGATGGTAAATTAAGTAAAGCTGGACCTAAATTCTCAGAGCTATGTTACTGGTGGAACTAATTTAAACTAAGCCCTTAGCAAGATACCTAAAAATAATTTAGTCACCTAAAGAATACAATAAGAGTAAAGTGAAACAAAGAAATTTATTTCATAAAGTAATGGTCCAAATGAGCTATTCCAGGTTAATGAATGGCTGTCATTCATGAAGTCATTCAATCCAAGGGAAGGGCAGTTCTACCGTCTTCAACAAGAATTTTCAAAGTTGCTCTAGAAGACAGAGGGACAGAGCACCGAAGACCGCAAATGCAAGTTGGCTCAGAAATCAACCACATGAGGCTGGGGTGTTGGTGGCTCATGCCTGTAATCCCAGCACTTTGGGAGGCTGAGGTGGGTGGATCACTTGATGTCAGGAGTTCGAGACTAGGCTGCCCAACATGGTGAAACCCCATCTCTACTAAAAATACAAAAATTAGTAGAGCATGATGGTGCCCACCTGTAGTCCCAGCTACTTGGGAGGCTGAGGCAGGAGAATTGCTTGAACCCGGGAGGCAGAGGTTGCAGTGAGCCAAGATTGCAGCCACTGCACTCCAGCCTGGGTGATGGAGCTAGGACTCTGTCTCAAAAAAATTATAATAATAAAATAAATCAATCACATGACAACATTTAACTACAGGGAGTGCTGAAAAATATTGTCCTTAGATGAGCAGCAATCCCCAGCTACAATTCCATTATTGTAAAATAATCAGAAAACAGAATTTGATGTAAAACTAGCAGTATCAACACTATCTCCTTGTCAATGACACAAGCATGTTTTTTGAAAAAAGTATGAGGCTCAGAAATGGGGCTATAGAAACATGGAATGGGCCTGTTTGCAGCTCCCATGGCATGCAGCTGTAGATTCAGATTGCATCAAAGATTATCCTACAAAAGGCTTTGTTGACCTCACTGCAAAGATTATCCTACAAAAGACTTTGTTGACCTCACTGATACCAACATCAAAGTTATGGATCCATTTGCCAATATCTCCTTGCAGTCTTTAATTGTAAACAGTGGTGTGTCATCTATTGAAAGTCTTTAAACTATTTACATTTTCAGACTTGATAGTCTTCTATGCTAATTTACTTAATAAATTAACTCAGTTTACAAAATACCAATTCATCCTAATATTATTTTATTTCAAACGATTGATTTTTAATTGTACTGATATGCTGGAATTTCTTTAACATGTTTGTATTCACCTTATATTCCTCATGATTTTAAAAATGTAATTCTGAATTTAAAAGCTTTTTTACCTTTGGCATTGAATTCACTGCTTTGCTCACAATAGGTACTTAATTACAAGTTTGTAGATCTAAATCTAATTTCAGACTATTTCAAACAGTAGCCATATCTTCACTCTCTTCAGAAATGTGATTGTTTACTTGGGGCCTTCAGTGGGTCCTTGGTATTAATCAATATTTGACCACAATTACTGGGCAATCATTATTAATAAGGCACCATATTGAGAGCTCTAAGGGATGCAAACGATTTTGAAATGCACAGAAAGCCACTCAACTGCAGAGGCCTCCTGATCTATCGCCATCTGGACCCATGAGTCTGGGATTCAAGTGTGTCCTGGAGTATTTTTCTGCATGTGTCAATTTTTTATTCCTTGGAATTTTTTCTTTGTTCTATTCCATTGTTTTGTTCATCCTTGTTTCCCCAGACATTTTTCAAATCCAGAGCTTATACTATTTATGTCCTCCATTGATGGATTTTATGAGATTTCCCCACCCCATTTACCAACATCTTGGACCCTCAATTATGGTCAGTTGTGCACTTTTTAAAAATGCAGTAAATATGCATTTTAGATGCCCCCCCACCCCACACCTTTTTGGTTTACTTTAAAGAAAGCTAAGTAAGAGAAATCCACAAGATAGTGGACATCTATATTTAGGTGGGGAGAGAGAGCTTAGTCCTCGACTCAGTAGAGTATTATACAATACAGTGGAAAGATAATGAATTTAATGTCAGGGAATACTCAATTTAATTTGCAGCGCCACTGCTTTATTTCAACGAAACAGACATGTGCTGGACACCTATGATATGTCAGTCGCTCTCCAACTATGTCCTGCAGGTTCAGAAAAGCATAAGACAGTCCTAACTCTCAAGAGTGTTTACAATACACTAACTGTGTGATGTAGTTAATATCCACACATGCCAGTATCCTTCTCTGTAGAAAAGGAATAATATCTGCCTCATAAGAATATTGTGAGGATCAAATTAAATTTATTCTGTTCCCATGATTATAATGAATATGATCTTTTATACTGCAGCTCTAGGCTCAGCAAAATTTTGGTTCTATGGATTAAAGTGATTTTAAAATTTTAACATTGCAGTTTTCAGGGTTATTTGAATATTGGCTTTGGATAGAGGAAGTAAAAAGTAAATATCCCCAAAGTGCATTACAAGCTGAGTAATGTGAGATAAGTAATTTATCTCAAATTCATTCCACATTGATATAATTCATATAATTTTTTCCCTGTTGATAAGAGGTTTCTTCACACAAAAATAAATTCTAGAGTTATATTCATTGCATATAAATTTCAACCTTAGACTATTAACATTATGTATGACACATGTATTTATAAATATATAGTATGCATGTAATATCTTTCCTGGTGAAGAGCTCTTACAAATAAGAAAAATAATTGGATACCAGTATGATGTATTATTTTGATCTAGGAACGACTAAAGTTTTAATTTTAGTTTCAATACAAATGCTAGCTGTATTTCTATTTATACCAGTTTCATCTTGTTGACATATTTACTACATTGTTATGAAGTTAGTCAATCAGCAACTGTGTTTCTCTATGGAATTCTCAAGAATTCAGAATTCCTATAGCGTCTATAGATTAGGTATATCCTGATGTATTTTCTTAATCTCTTCATAAACTGTTTCTTGAAAGCTCTGGACTATACAATTTGCTTCAGAAATGACTTCGCCTCTTCCCTGATCCTACAATGTCACACACACACACACCTCCCTCTTTTTTTTTCCTTTTTTTAAAAAATAAGGTTTTATTTTGTTTTATGTTATTTTATTTATTTTATTTTGTTATACTTTAAATTCTGGGATACATGTGCAGAATGTGCAGGTTTGTTACATAGGTATACATGTGCCATGGTGGTTTGCTGCACCCATCAACCCATCATCTACATTAGGTATTTCCCCTAATGCTATTCCTCCACTTGCCCTCCACCCACTGACAGGCCCTGACAGGTGCGTGATGTTCCCCTCCCTGTGCCTATGTGTTCTCATTGTTCAACTCCCATTTTTGAGTGAGAACATGCAGTGTTTGGTTTTCTGTTCCTGATACACACCTCTTAGAACAAAGAGAATAAAAGTCAAGAAATAATTTAATGAAATAAAAAAATGAAATAAAAAAAGAGAGGTTCAGAAAGAAATGGCTAACAACAATATGCTACCAGAAATTAGAAGAAAATGAATGATTAAGTTAATTTCATTAATAATCAATGCATTTCTAACTAACAGAAGAATATGAAGGTTCAGTATTAATGTTATTACAACAAATTTTGTGTTCACAATATTTATTCATCCCCATGTGTGTTTTTGTCACTTGATTTGATTAGGTACCTTATGTTTAAATAAATCATGGCATATTTTTGTCTTATACCTAGTACTTAAAGAAGTATAGTATCATTTCTTTAGAATGATTTAGCAGTGTTGAGTTTTGGATCAACGCACTGAAACGTTTTTACATGTATGACTGAGATGAAAGTGAGAAGACAGATGATGATGAGAAATAGAGAGTAGTGTGCTATAGAGAGCCTGCTCTGCTCACCTTATCCCTCCAGTCAGGATCCTCTGAGTCAGTTTTCTTGATTGAATGACATTACCTCATTAGTATTTATTTTATGGATTTTTCCTGTAACACATTTTTTGTTAAGATAAAATTTTACTGCTTTACATTAAAAAATAATTTTCATTAACATATAAAAATTGTGCATATTTATGGGGTCCATAGTGATGTTTTGATATGTATATAGTGATTAGATCAAGCATTTCCCTCATCTCAAACATGATTTCTCTGTCTTGGGTTCATTTGATACGCCTCTTCTAGCTATTTGAAATGATTTATTATACTGTTAACTGCAGTCATTTTACAGTGGGATAGAACACTAAAACTTATTATTCCTATCTAGCTATAACGTTGTGTTATGTTGAGAATCAACTAAAAAATTTTGGGGCATACAGATATGAAAATGTTTAAGGCAAAAACTTACGGTACTTCTAAGTAAATGACAAATATTGACATAATATAAATTATTTCAATAGATTAGGATACATTTCATACAAAATAAAGCTATGAAGGATTTACCTAACTAAACCTACAAATTTAAATCCTAATGAAAAACAAACACTATCTCTTTTTAGAAGACTCCAAAATTTGTCTCTTGGGCTGAAACTCCACTCTCTGGCTCCAATTGCCTACTTGAGAACTCCTTTTGAGTGTCTCAACAACACATTAAAATTAGTAAAATTAAACATATGGCTGAGGCCTGGCATTTGTTCTTCCCACAGCTTTCCCTGTCTCACTGAGATTTGTTTACTCTCATGTTGAAAGGTTAACCCCTATTTCTCTTTTCTGAACATCAAGTCTAATCCACATTGTGTATGTGTGGACCTTAGAGCCTTCTTTTCACTTCAGATGCTCCTACTGTATCAAATCAGACAACTGCAACACCCTCTTAAATTTTCTCCCCAGATTCCATTTTCACTCTCTCTGGTTAATTCTGTATGAGGCAAAGAAAGTAAAAATTTAAATTCACAAATATAATAAGGTTTCTCTTCCATTAAAAATGCTGTAGATGTGGCCAGCCACCATGGCTCATGCCTGTAATCCCAGCCATTTGCGAGGCCAAGGTGGGCAGATAGCTTCAGCTCAGGAGTTCTAGACTAGTCTAGGCAACATGGTGAAACCCTGTCTCTACAAAAAATACAAAAAACAGCTGAGCATGGTGGCATGTGCCTGTAGTCCCAGCTACTTGGGAGGCTGAGATGGGAGGATTGCTTGAGCTCAGGAGGTCAAGGCTGCAGCGAGCCAAGATTGCACCGTTGCATATCTCAAAACAAATAAATAATAAATACATAAATAAAATAAAGCAATAGTTTTCATTTGCAATTTTAAAAAGATCAAAGCCTTTTTATAAATTTGAAGACATGACATATACTAGACACTGCTTAATTCTTCCAACTTGACTTTTCTTTTCTCTTTCTTACTTACTCTATTCCAGCCACACGTTTCTGTCAGTTCCACGAAAAAGCCAAGATGCTTGAGACTTGGCTTCTGCTGCTCCTTAGCCACCGATGCCCTTTCCTTGAGCTATTTGATTGATTGACCCCTTTCTATCATTCAGGTGTTAGCTCATACCCTCTGTGTGGTCTTCCCTGTCTCCTTAATCATAGTAAATTATCTCCCTTTTTTAAAAAAACCATGCTTTTCTACTCAGTTCACATTTTTGTTTATTCATTTACATGTTTCTTGTTACCAGCACTAAACCATAAGTTTCATGAGTCTAATACTGGTTTCACTTTTCACTGCACTCCTGTTTAGCAGATTGCCTGCTGTAGAAGCAAAATTGGAACTATGTTGTCTGGTATGGTAGCCAACAGTCACCGTAACTATTTACATTCTAATTAATTAAAAATTAACCAAAATTAAAAGTTTATTTCCTTCGTTATACTCACCACATTTGAAAGGTTAAAAGGGGCACATAAGTGGCTACCTTATTAGTGCTGGGACCATATCCATGATTGAAGTAAAGAGTCTTATTGAACTATGCTGCTTTGGAATGAACATTTCAGTTGCTTGCTTTCATGAAATCTCTACATCACTCTATTGAGACATAATTGTTAACATAAAACACAGCTGAACAAATTATATGTTTTGGGTACATGAACTTACTTAGTCAAATTCTATCTCTGACAGTAAGACAAAGAGATTTTCATAGTAGGAGGGGCTTCTAAAATTGATTTTGTTTTTGTTGGGCTTTTTATTCACTTTTAAAAAGTGAATTATTGTTATTTTATGTCTTGACATTAAAAAACTTAGATTTATACATTATAGACCCCTTGCTCAATTCTCCCAGAGAAAATTTCTCTTTGAAGTCATTGGGAGATCCAAAAAGAAATAGGAGATAGAAGAATTGAGCCAGGGGCAATTCTTTTCATGTATCTATAAAATGAAAAAAAAAATTTGATCAATTGCAGTCTATTTGCTCTGCTTCAGAACTTGCAAGGTACGTATGTTGTTATGAAATATAGATGCTAAGGAAAATTAGAGTCCCTGAAGAGGGAGTGCAAGTGGTAGAAGGAAAAGGGGAGAACTTAATAAAGAGATTAAGTAAAAGCATGAGAATGTCGAAGTCAATTGTTAGCTATTTGTTATAAGTTAGTGTTTAATACAAATTAAAATGGCCCGTTTCTGATATTTCATGTCTTAGAAATCCAACTTCATTAATGTGCTGTACTCACTAAGTCTTACAAAAATGCTATACACTAGACTTATAAGTAAAACATGCCATCTAGCCTCAAAGGTTTAAATATTAGTTTGCTGGTAATATAACCACTCTACTTCCCTTTTGCTAATGTTTTATGGGTAGGGCTGTGCTCTTTTTATTTTTATATTTGTTATGAAATTTTATTTCTAAGCCTCTTTGTGTTTATTTTTGGGAAAACATTTTTAGATTAAAAAAAAATCAACCCAGTACATGTTTAAGGGGTTAATTTAAGCAGATTTGGTTTTTCCTATTTTGTTACATTAGTTAAATTTAGTCTTTCATTTGTCATTCTAATTTATGCTTTTATGATTTCTCTTTTATTATTCTTTTTTGTTTTACAAAGATGGATTTTGGAGAGAGTGAGAGATTGGCTTTGCATTGTCACAAACACAAAGGCAGCTTCAGGGATAGCAGAGAGACAAGCAGAAGTTTCACTTCACATTTTAGGCTTTCTTTACACAGTTGGTCCTGGGTCCAACGAGAAAGTCAAAACACCTTCAACCAAGGGAGGCTGTGTTGCTTACTTGGAGAATGAGAAAACTTCTCATTCTTGGAGAATGAGAAAACTTGTTTTTGAAAAATTATTTTTCTATATGTGTTTGCTGAGTGCACTTATTTCACATATTTAGTATTTTTATTGTTTGATAATTAACTAATTTTAAATGTGAATCTATTTCTTCTATTAGCGAATATTTGTCATTCTTCTTTAATAGTAATAATGCCCTTCCTCTTTATCTAAAATTGGATGATGCTCAATTTTTAAAAGAGAAATAAGATATCTTACTCCTCATTTTTTTATTGTGTGTGTGTGTGCACATGCACGTGTGTGTGTGAGAGAGAGATTGAAATAAACCTTTCTCACTATACCTAAACAGTTTTTGTGCTTATTCATGATCCTTTATTCTTTTAGAGCATTTTTACTTCATTTTTTTCTTTTAAATATTTTTAAATGGACAGATCAAAATTATATGCATTTATCATATACACCATGATGTTTGAAAGTATGTATATACATTGTGGAATATTTAAAGTATAATCTGGAGTTAGGGTGCAAGGGATGGAGCAGTGTCAAGTCTCTGTGATTTTGTCTTAGTACTGTCTGAATTCTGTCACCAGTTCATCCTATTCCTAAAGGAGAGCTTAAACTAGAGGGTTGTGTTGGAACCTAGAGGTATATAACTAGTAAGGGGTAGGCATCCATCTTCTAGTATAGGCATTCATTCCTAAATTTAGGCATTGAACATTTTTGCTTTAAAATATGTTAGAGACTTTTTCTAAATTCTGGTCTCGAGCTGGTAGGAATGGGAAAGAAAATTTTCTATGGCAGTTAAGATAACTAATTTTGGAATTAAACTGAATTCCAGAACTGAATTCTTAATACAATTATGTCCCTTGGACTCTAAACCAGTTTTCTCCTGTGCAAATTCAGGTTGTAGTGCTTAGGTCATAGAGTTACTCTGAGGAAAAGAAGATAATTGCCTGGCACATGTTAAGCATTTCATAAATGATTGTTGATTATGATGTAGTATTTGTTGTTATTCCTCCTGCGGTGGGTGCAAGAGGGTGCAGATGGATTTTGATTTTTATATCCTCATAGCTGATGATTGTCTAAAATGCTTGCAGAATTTTAAACAGGTAAAGTCACTGTTGTATATGGCAGAGGTTGCTAGAGTGCTCCCTGCACCCACATCATCTGATTTGTTGATATAGAATTTTGAGAATGTATTAGTCTGTTCTTATGCTGCTATAAAGAACTGGCCGAAACTGGGTAATTTCTAAAGGAAAGAAGTTTGACTCACAGTTCCACATGGCTGGGGAGGCCTCAGGAAACTTATAATCATGGCAGAAGGGGAAGCTAACATGTCCTTCTTCACATAATGGCAGGAAGAAGAAAAATGAATGAAGGGGGAAGCCCCTTATAAAACCACATCAGATATCTTGAGTACTTACTCATTATCATGAGAACAGCATGGGGTGGGGGACTTCCCCCATGATTCACTTATCTCCACCTAGTCCTGCCCTTGACACAAGGGGATTATTAACAATTCAAGGTGAGATTTGGGTGGGGACACAGAGCCAAACCACATTAGAGATGTTGAAGCTCTTTGTGCTCTTAAAAGTCAAGTATATAGCTGAGTGTTTTATGTATCTGTGTTTGTGTGTGTATCCTTAAGCAATATTATGCTGTGATAACGATGATTATAAACAGAGGCCCAGGATTTCACAAATAATTGCACAATTTATACTATTAGTTCTCTTTCCTAAGCTCTCAAGAGCAAGTTTCAATGAGCTGCACATGGAGTCTGCTTTGCTGACACACTACATCTTCATGTGATCAAGTAGAGACACAGTGGCTAAAATTATTTAAAGTATAGCTATAGAAAATAATGAAATCAAAGCAAAGGTACACCTGCATTTGAAAATACATGACCACTTCTAAGGAATTATACACACTTGAATATTCTGAGTGTTTCAGAGTAGGAAAAATTCCTAAACCTTCCTTTTTGATTTGGTGTGGTTTAACTACTGTACACTCATTTGCTTCAAGAATGAATCAGACTTTTGACAAATGCATAAAACAGCAAAGGTACACATGAAATAAAATTTATCTCATTAAAGTTATCTCAACAATAACAAAACAGACAATTCTAGAAGCATCCATTTTATATTCAACTATTGCTATTGATTTTGGTTTTTGATATTCCTAACAGTAGTTTAAATCACTTCCATAGTCTTGCCAAAGTAAAAGCAGCAATCTAAGCTAAGGTTTCCTACCTCTTAAATTTACAATATGCTTCGAGATATATCAGCAATTCAAGTTTTTCTGCTTGAATGTGCATGTTCAGTGTTACTGAACCCAAAATATGAAGGTCTAATGAATTGGCTTTAATGATTTCCTTACTTCCTTAAATGTTTTTGTTTTAATTGGCTATACCACACTATATCCTGAACTACATTGAAAAGTTCACAAAATTGATGCTAATGGTCTCTTTCTAATTACTACATAACGAACAAGGTCTGACAGTGCAGTTTTAGAGGTTAGACACCACAATTAATAAATTATTGTCATATTTTTATGAAACAGAAATTTTAAGGCTTCCATAATAATGTGGAGATTATATATACATATGTGTGCTTCAGTGAATTTATGTCTGTGTATGTGTGTGTATTAATCTTAGATAAATATCTGAAAAAATATACATTGAGAATATTTTATTTTTTGATTATGTTTTTTTGATTATATATAAACATACATGTATATGCATATATGTATGCCTGTATATTAATACACACATTTTTGGAAGAAAAAAGCACCACCTAATAAGTATATTCTTAATTTATTTTGCAGAAGTTGCATTTCATGTATAATCTATGCTCTCCTGAGTGTATTTAACACTTAAACGGATCCTTTATCTGTTTCTGGTCTGGAGTTTGAACAAAATATTCACATTGGTCACAATTAAAATATTTTGATGAAAAGAGTTTTGGTCATGCCATATATATGCTTTTTGTGTTTTGTTTTGTTTTGTTTTGTTTTGTTTTGTTTTGTTTTGTTTTGAGATGGCGTCTCGCACTGTTGCCCAGGCTGGAGTGCAATGGTGCGATCTTGGCTCACTGCAACCTTCACCTCCTGGGTTCATGCAATTCTCCTGCCTCAGCCTCCTGAGTAGCTGGGATTACAGGCACACACCACCATATCTGGCTAATTTTTTGTATTTTTAGTAGAGATGAGGTTTCACTATGTTGGCCAGACTGGTCTTGAACTCCTGACCTCGTGATCCACCCGCCTCTGCCTCCCAAGGCGCTGGGATTACAGGCATGGGCCACCACGCCCAGCCAGGTCATGTCACATATTTAACAGACTTAGTCGTATCTTATTCCATTATAGATACAGTTTTTTTGAATAAAATGTTTAAAATGATATGCTTACACTGATATTTAGGAAAAAATAGCAAGAAATCTCACAAATCACGAAAGTTGGGGGATAGGGGTATTCACATTTAGTAGTCTCACACAATTGTTACATTAAAAGTACCAAACATTATTATACTTACTATTTCTAATGTTGATTCTCCAAAATATTAATTTCTTTTTCACCTACATAATGAAAAAAAATTTAATCTTGTTCTGGTTTTGCACATTTGACTTTCAGTAGTGAAAATATTTATTACTACTTATTCTTGAAGAAGTTTGATTTCAAATTTCCTATCAAAAGTGTAATAGATGACACGTTAACTTTTAGGAAAAAGACTGTAAATCTGTTTTATACAAATCAAATTGTATATACTTATTTTCACTTTTCTCAAAGTATTTAAGGCTGTCAACTGATTTTTTTACTTACTTTTTCAGAGCTATTTTACTATTAATGACTTATTCTCTTTTGATTCTTGCTTTCTTTCTTTCTCTCTTTATTGTAGTTCTCTGTCTGGTTATCTGCCTTGAATAATTCACTGTTTTCAGGAAAAGGACATACAATTTGATCAGGAATTGTATTTATCTGGCATCTTTATTCATGATTGTTTCAGATATTTACATACATTAAAAATATTTAATTTGAAATGAAACAAATATTGAGAGAGTTTTTATAATTGCTTTTACAAATCAAGTATTATTCCTAAAGTTAATCTCAGTTAAAACACACTTTCAGAGCTGAAGATTCTTTTTATTCTTTTTATTAACATAGCATTGTTTTTAGATGGTGTAAGTAAAAGGCACTGAAAGGAAGCATTCTCATTACATTGTTTGCAATCTAATGTTATCAAAAAATAGATAAGTGAAAAGTATATGGCAACATACAGGTAATGCCAAGTGAATGGAGAGAGAGTGAAATTAAAAAATGACTTAAATGAATATGTCTATGGGGGGAAGTGGGCTGAAATGAATGTTGGTAGTAGTATTTCTGAGAGGAGAAAAACTCAATACACATGTTGGGGAAACATTTAAATTTTAAACAGGTGGCGATAGGGAGCCAGAGAAAGGATCTAAGGGGGAATAATGTGCTTGAGCAAAGTAAAAATGTTCTCCTTGTTGGCAAATTCTAATCATATCTTGCTGTGATAATTAATCCGACAGCTAAACACTAGCCACTCACCTGCTTCAAAACATAAATTTTATTTTATGTGCACAACAAATTACTCTTTCATGCACACATTAAAAAAAATATACAAATTCTCCATGGAATGGGGGAGATATTCGATAGCTGCCTTTGGTGGAAATAATTATTATTAATTTAAGATGAGCATGCTCTAGACAGACTGTTAACATTCCTGTTTTATCTAAACACAGCCATGTGAGTGGCACAAGGCTGTCAGTGTGTTGGTGAAAGCTCTCCCACTGTTCCCAACAGCTGCTGAAATCACAAACATTTCAATCCTATTAATTCAACATGAAAAAATCATTAGCATTGTACTGAGGTGTTTGAACCGGCTCATTCCTGCTTGGTTGATCTCTCAAGTCAAATTAGGAAAACTCCTGGTCAGGCGCAATTTACCATTTGTTGAATCAGGCATATTATTCCGGTCACATTTTGAGATGGCACTCGTCTGCCCTATGAGCAATGATGAATTTCACTCAAGAAGGAAACTGTGTATTAGGGTTTTGAAAGCAAGAGCTTTTCTATCACTTGTGAATTTCTACAGGTATGAAACATAGATTAATAAAATATTCAAATGGGTAAGACATCATTCAGATCATCATCAACAACAATACTCGGTAGTGATTTAATCCTATTAAATGTCAGATATTTCTCTAATTGCCAAAGATCCCTTCATCAACTTGGTCTTCAAAACATCCTTATGAGTGGGGTGCTATTATTTCTGTTTTTCAGATGAGAAAACTGAGGCTCACACAAAAAGTAAATTGCTAAGTTTATATAGCTACGTTACGGAGACTGAATTTGAATCCAGGCAATATGATCCTGCATTACGTGCTCATTTCATATAGGTGAATGTACAAATGTGAAATAAAATGAAAGAAATAGAGAAAAGAAACTAAAAACTTTTCTCTCTGAGATATTTACAAGTAATCTTGTTTTATTCCTGGAGGTGAGGAAATAGTCAGTAAATGCCAGAACTAATATATATTTGAGATGTCAGATTTATGAAAGTCAATATGTCAGTGGGCCAGCTGGGACCAGAAACCGTATTTCCTTTCAGTCTAAAACTCTGTCCATGTTTACCTTGAAAGAATAACATATTCATTTTTTATACCTGAATTTCTTTCTTGTGTTTATATTGAAAATAATAAAGAGAATGAGGAAATTATATATATGTATATATTATATCCTATTATTAGCATTTGCTTAATATATCCAGTAAAATGACATACAACTTTCTAGTAATTAAACAAGTACTGGGAATGTATTTTCTCATGTGAACATGTTTTGTGTGTGGTAGATGCTGGAAGGCTAACACAAACATGATATTTAGGACAAGAGATTGGTCGTGTACCTTTCATTTAGTTTCGGACTTTTCAAAATAAATAAATTTTTAAAAAATTCACTGATAACACTGATAACCTTTACTTCAAGTCATGCTTTAGAGTCTACCTGCATAGTTTTATGCATGCGATCCATGTATAGAGATGGTTTATTCTTTTTCATAAATAAATATTTTGGTTCTGTCGGGCTTATTTAATCTTCATCTGGTCATAAAGTATCTTTCTCCAGGGATATGTGAATTGATTAATACAAAATAATAAATACATGTCCCAGGAATTGTTGATCGTTTAAAGAAGGGTTTATAGTTTTGGAAGTGTGGAGACAGTCAGAATTCCATTACCCAGATGCGTGGGGCTCTCTAATTCCAGTCATGATTTTGCGAGAAGATTTTAAATAGCACATGAATAATACAAGTAACCTTGTTGGACACCTTCTGGCCATCTTTTTATGCACGTATGGCCTTTCTCATCTGCCCTTTCCCATTTACATTTTTTTTCAATTTGGTATGTGGGTGTGTGTAGACATGTCTATTTTTCCCAGTAGACTTTAAGCCATTTTAAGAGCAGGCATTACGTCTAATACATCTTTAAGTTATATCTCATGACACTACTTGTGTTTTGTTTTCTTACAGAAGTTTTTAAAAATTTATAAATTTTAAAATTATTTTCAATTTTTTAACTTAGTTGTTTTTCATTTACGACTAAAATTGTATGTATTTATGGTATATAACATGGTGTTTTGGAATATGTATGCTTTGCAGAATAGCTAGATCAAGCTATTTAACATATGTGTTACTCATATTTGTTTTTATAGTGAGAACACTTAAAATCTACTCTCTTAGCAATTTTTGAGCATACAATACATTGTTATTAACTATATTCACCATGTTACACCATAGATCTCTTGGCCTTATTCCTCCTGTCTAATTGAAATTTTGTATCCTTTGACTAACCTCTTCCAAATTTTTTTTTTTTTATTATACTTTAAGTTTTAGGGTACATGTGCACATTGTGCAGGTTAGTTACATATGTATACATGTGCCATGCTGGTGCGCTGCACCCACTAACTCGTCATCTAGCCTTAGGTGTATCTCCCAATGCTATCCCTCCCCCCTCCCCCCACCCCACCACAGTCCCCAGAGTGTGATATTCCCCTTCATGTGTCCATGTGATCTCATTGTTCAATTCCCACCTATGAGTGAGAATATGCGGTGTTTGGTTTTTTGTTCTTGCGATAGTTTACTGAGAATGATGATTTCCAATTTCATCCATGTCCCTACAAAGGACATGAACTCATCATTTTTTATGGCTGCATAGTATTCCATGGTGTATATGTGCCACATTTTCTTAATCCAGTCTATCATTGTTGGACATTTGGGTTGGTTCCAAGTCTTTGCTATTGTGAATAATGCCGCAATAAACATACGTGTGCGTGTGTCTTTATAGCAGCATGATTTATAGTCCTTTGGGTATATACCCAGTAACGGGATGGCTGGGTCAAATGGTATTTCTAGTTCTAGATCCCTGAGGAATCGCCACACTGACTTCCACAATGGTTGAACTAGTTTACAGTCCCACCAACAGTGTAAAAGTGTTCCTATTTCTCCACATCCTCTCCAGCAACTGTTGTTTCCTGACTTTTTAATGATTGCCATTCTAACTGGTGTGAGATGATATCTCATAGTGGTTTTGATTTGCATTTCTCTGATGGCCAGTGATGATGAGCATTTTTTCATGTGTCTTTTGGCTGCATAAATGTCTTCTTTTGAGAAGTGTCTGTTCATGTCCTTCGCCCACTTTTTGATGGGGTTGTTTGTTTTTTTCTTGTAAATTTGTTTGAGTTCATTGTAGATTCTGGATATTAGCCCTTTGTCAGATGAGTAGGTTGCGAAAATTTTCTCCCATGTTGTAGGTTACCTGTTCACTCTGATGGTAGTTTCTTTTGCTGTGCAGAAGCTCTTTAGTTTAATTAGATCCCATTTGTCAATTTTAGCTTTTGTTGCCATTGCTTTTGGTGTTTTGGACATGAAGTCCTTGCCCATGCCTATGTCCTGAATGGTAATGCCTAGGTTTTCTTCTAGGGTTTTTATGGTTTTAGGTCTAACGTTTAAATCTTTAATCCATCTTGAATTGATTTTTGTATAAGGTGTAAGGAAGGGATCCAGTTTCAGCTTTCTACATATGGCTAGCCAGTTTTCCCAGCACCATTTATTAAATAGGGAATCCTTTCCCCATTGCTTGTTTTTCTCAGGTTTGTCAAAGATCAGATAGTTGTAGGTATGCGGCGTTATTTCTGAGGGCTCTGTTCTGTTCCATTGATCTATATCTCTGTTTTGGTACCAGTACCATGCTGTTTTGGTTACTGTAGCCTTGTAGTATAGTTTGAAGTCAGGTAGTGTGATGCCTCCAGCTTTGTTCTTTTGGCTTAGGATTGACTTGGCAATGCGGGCTCTTTTTTGGTTCCATATGAACTTTAAAGTAGTTTTTTCCAATTCTGTGAAGACAGTCATTGGTAGCTTGATGGGGATGGCATTGACTCTATAAATTACCTTGGGCAGTATGGCCGTTTTCACGATATTGATTCTTCCTACCCATGAGCATGGAATGTTCTTCCATTTGTTTGTATCCTCTTTTATTTCCGTGAGCAGTGGTTTGTAGTTCTCCTTGAAGAGGTCCTTCACATCCCTTGTAAGTTGGATTCCTAGGTATTTTATTCTCTTTGAAGCAATTGTGAATGGGAGTTCACTCATGATTTGGCTCTCTGTTTGTCTGTTGTTGGTGTATAAGAATGCTTGTGATTTTTGTACATTGATTTTGTATCCTGAGACTTTGCTGAAGTTGCTTATCAGCTTAAGGAGATTTTGGGCTGAGACAATGGGGTTTTCTAGATAAACAATCATGTCGTCTGCAAACAGGGACAATTTGACTTCCTCTTTTCCTAATTGAATACCCTTTATTTCCTTCTCCTGCCTGATTGCCCTGGCCAGAACTTCCAACACTATGTTGAATAGGAGCGGTGAGAGAGGGCATCCCTGTCTTGTGCCAGTTTTCAAAGGGAATGCTTCCAGTTTTTGCCCATTCAGTATGATATTGGCTGTGGGTTTGTCATAGATAGCTCTTATTATTTTGAGATATGTCCCATCAGTACCTAATTTATTGAGAGTTTTTAGCATGAAGGGTTGTTGAATTTTGTCAAAGGCTTTTTCTGCATCTATTGAGATAATCATGTGGTTTTTGTCTTTGGCTCTGTTTATATGCTGGATTACATTTATTGATTTGCGTATATTGAACCAGCCTTGCATCCCAGGGATGAAGCCCACTTGATCATGGTGGATAAGCTTTTTGATGTGCTGCTGGATTCGGTTTGCCAGTATTTTATTGAGGATTTTTGCATCAATGTTCATCAAGGATATTGGTCTAAAATTCTCTTTTTTGGTTGTGTCTCTGCCCGGCTTTGGTATCAGAATGATGCTGGCCTCATAAAATGAGTTAGGGAGGATTCCCTCTTTTTCTATTGATTGGAATAGTTTCAGAAGGAATGGTACCAGTTCCTCCTTGTACCTCTGGTAGAATTCGGCTGTGAATCCATCTGGTCCTGGACTCTTTTTGGTTGGTAAACTATTGATTATTGCCACAATTTCAGATCCTGTTATTGGTCTATTCAGAGATTCAACTTCTTCCTGGTTTAGTCTTGGGAGAGTGTATGTGTCGAGGAATTTATTCATTTCTTCTAGATTTTCTAGTTTATTTGCATAGAGTTGTTTGTAGTATTCTCTGATGGTAGTTTGTATTTCTGTGGGATCAGTGGTGATATCCCCTTTATCATTTTTTATTGTGTCTATTTGATTCTTCTCTCTTTTTTTCTTTATTAGTCTTGCTAGCGGCCTATCACTTTTGGTGATCCTTTCAAAAAACCAGCTCCTGGATTCATTAATTTTTTGAAGGGTTTTTTGTGTCTCTATTTCCTTCAGTTCTGCTCTGATTTTAGTTATTTCTTGCCTTCTGCTAGCTTTTGAATGTGTTTGCTCTTGCTTTTCTAGTTCTTTTAATTGTGATGTTAGGGTGTCAATTTTGGATCTTTCCTGCTTTCTCTTGTGGGCATTTAGTGCTATAAATTTCCCTCTACACACTGCTTTGAATGCGTCCCAGAGATTCTGGTATGTTGTGTCTTTGTTCTCGTTGGTTTCAAAGAACATCTTTATTTCTGCCTTCATTTCGTTATGTACCCAGTAGTCATTCAGGAGCAGGTTGTTCAGTTTCCATGTAGTTGAGCGGCTTTGAGTGAAATTCTTAATCCTGAGTTCTAGTTTGATTGCACTGTGGTCTGAGAGATAGTTTGTTATAATTTCTGTTCTTTTACATTTGCTGAGGAGAGCTTTACTTCCAACTATGTGGTCAATTTTGGAATAGGTGTGGTGTGGTGCTGAAAAAATGTATATTCTGTTGATTTGGGGTGGAGAGTTCTGTAGATGTCTATTAGGTCCGCTTGGTGCAGAGCTGAATTCAATTCCTGGGTATCCTTGTTGACTTTCTGTCTCGTTGATCTGTCTAATGTTGACAGTGGGGTGTTAAAGTCTCCCATTATTAATGTGTGGGAGTCTAAGTCTCTTTGTAGGTCACTCAGGACTTGCTTTATGAATCTGGGTGCTCCTGTATTGGGTGCATATATATTTAGGATAGTTAGCTCCTCTTGTTGAATTGATCCCTTTACCATTATGTAATGGCCTTCTTTGTCTCTTTTGATCTTTGTTGGTTTAAAGTCTGTTTTATCAGAGACTAGGATTGCAAACCCTGCCTTTTTTGTTTTCCATTTGCTTGGTAGATCTTCCTCCATCCTTTTATTTTGAGCCTATGTGTGTCTCTGCACGTGAGATGGGATTCCTGAATACAGCACACTGATGGGTCTTGACTCTTTATCCAACTTGCCAGTCTGTGTCTTTTAATTGGAGAATTTAGTCCATTTACATTTAAAGTTAATATTGTTATGTGTGAATTTGATCCTGTCATTATGATGTTAGCTGGTGATTTTGCTCGTTAGTTGATGCAGTTTCTTCCTAGTCTCTATGGTCTTTATATTTTGGCATGATTTTGCAGCGGCTGGTACCGGTTGTTCCTTTCCATGCTTAGCGCTTCCTTCAGGAGCTCTTTTAGGGCAGGCCTGGTGGTGACAAAATCTCTCAGCATTTGCTTGTCTGTAAAGTATTTTATTTCTCCTTCACTTATGAAGCTTAGTTTGGCTGGATATGAAATTCTGGGTTGAAAATTCTTTTCTTTAAGAATGTTGAATATTGGCCCCCACTCTCTTCTAGCTTGTAGGGTTTCTGCCGAGAGATCCGCTGTTAGTCTGATGGGCTTCCCTTTGAGGGTAACCCGACCTTTCTCTCTGGCTGCCCTTAACATTTTTTCCTTCATTTCAACTTTGGTGAATCTGACAATTATGTGTCTTGGAGTTGCTCTTCTCGAGGAGTATCTTTGTGGCGTTCTCTGTATTTCCTGAATCTGAACGTTGGCCTGCCTTGCTAGATTGGGGAAGTTCTCCTGGATAATATCCTGTAGAGTGTTTTCCAACTTGGTTCCATTCTCCGCATCACTTTCAGGTACACCAATCAGACGTAGATTTGGTCTTTTCACATAGTCCCATATTTCTTGGAGGCTTTGCTCATTTCTTTTTATTTTTTTTCTCTGAACTTCCCTTCTCGCTTCATTTCATTCATTTCGTCTTCCATTGCTGATACCCTGTCTTCCAGTTGATCTCATCGGCTCCTGAGGCTTCTGCATTCTTCACGTAGTTCTCGAGCCTTGGTTTTCAGCTCCATCAGCTCCTTTAAGCACTTCTCTGTATTGGTTCTTCTAGTTATACATTCTTCTAAATTTTTTTCAAAGTTTTCAACTTCTTTGCCTTTCGTTTGAATGTCCTCCCGTAGCTCAGAGTAATTTGATCGTCTGAAGCCTTCTTCTCTCAGCTCGTCAAAGTCATTCTCCATCCAGCTTTGTTCCGTTGCTGGTGAGGAACTGCGTTCCTTTGGAGGAGGAGAGGCGCTCTGCGTTTTACAGTTTCCAGTTTTTCTGTCCTGTTTTTTCCCCATCTTTGTGGTTTTATCTACTTTTGGTCTTTGATGATGGTGATGTACAGATGGGTTTTCGGTGTGGATGTCCTTTCTGTTTGTTAGTTTTCCTTCTAACAGACAGCACCCTCAGCTGCAGGTCTGTTGGAATACCCTGCCGTGTGAGGTGTCAGTGTGCCCCTGCTGGGGGGTGCCTCCCAGTTAGGCTGCTCGGGGGTCAGGGGTCAGGGACCCACTTGAGGAGGCCGTCTGCCCGTTCTCAGATCTCCAGCTGCGTGCTGGGAGAACCACTGCTCTCTTCAAAGCTGTCAGGGACATTTAAGTCTGCAGAGGTTACTGCTGTCTTTTTGTTTGTCTGTGCCCTGCCCCCAGAGGTGGAGGCTACAGAGGCAGGCAGGCCTCCTTGAGCTGTGGTGGGCTCCACCCAGTTCGAGCTTCCTGGCTGCTTTGTTTACCTAAGCAAGCCTGGGCAATGGCGGGCGCCCCTCCCCCAGCCTCGCTGCCGCCTTGCAGTTTGATCTCAGACTGCTGTGCTAGCAATCAACGAGATTCCATGGGCGTAGGACCCTCCGAGCCAGGTGTGGGATATAGTCTCGTGGTGCGCCATTTTCTAAGCCGGTCTGAAAAGCGCAATATTCGGGTGGGAGTGGCCCGATTTTCCAGGTGCGTCCGTCACCCCTTTCTTTGACTCGGAAAGGGAACTCCCTGACCCCTTGTGCTTCCCAGGTGAGGCAATGCCTTGCCCGGCTTCGGCTCGTGCACGGTGCGCGCACCCACTGGCCTGCGCCCACTGTCTGGCACTCCCTAGTGAGATGAACCCGGTACCTCAGATGGAAATGCAGAAATCACCCGTCTTCTGCGTCGCTCACGCTGGGAGCTGTAGACCGGAGCTGTTCCTATTCGGCCATCTTGGCTCCTCCCCCCTCTTCCAAATTTTAATTTACATTAATTCAACAAAAGTAAATAGACTGCCAACTCATGTGGGTAGCCCACTTTTGGTGAGAACCACCAATAACTTTTAATTAAGTTCTGAAAGAGATATTGAGAAAGAAAGTTTCAAGAACCAGTGGTCTATTGCTAAGGGCTGAAAAACTGCACAAGGGCTAAATTTATCAACCTTAAATTACCATGCTAATGGCATGGCAGAAACCAGACAAAACCAAAATGCAAGCAATCACGTGTTTTTATATGAAAAATAGAAATAGAGAACAAATACATGTTTTAACTTAGTGCAACCTTTCTAAAACAATTATTATTTGATGAATAAATATAAGATAAAAATTATTACATCTTCTCACTTGCATTTTATCAAAATGATTTATTAACTCCACATTATTTTTGTGCTTATTTTATTCAAGGCACTACCCTGCGTTTCATGGGAGATGGAAAAAATAGAGGCTACACTGTTTTTTTCCCCTCAGGAACGTATATTTTATATGGCTTTATAAGTAAGACAAATGATCCTGCGAAGTTGCCTGATAAAGAAGGTGGCAGTTAAGGGTTGAATCGGGGGAAAGATCTCTGGAAGATAGAGTTGTTAGTTAAGTCTTTATGAAGAGAGCTAGTTTCTGCATGACAGATTGGATTCAGATAGGTGTAAAGGAAGTGTATGTTTCAGAAATGGGAGAATACACATAGAAATGAGACTCTTGTAAGCATCTTCAAGATAAAAACAGACTTACCTATTCATATTATGAAATCCATGCTTGAGGACATTTAAAAATGTTGCAATGACCAGTTTTCAATGCCTGAACAAGCAATTGTGCTGTCAATTAAGTATCACCCTGAAAACTTTGTTTTTTATTAGAAGGCTATATTCGTTTGCTAGGGCTGCCATAGTAAAATGTCACAATAACAAAATCTAAAAGAAGACTGGGTGGCTTAAACAACAGAAATTTATTTTCTAACAGTTCTTGAGACTAGAAGTCCAAGGTCGAGGTATGGGTATATTTGGTTTCTCCAGGTCTCTCTCCTTGGCTGGCCTGTGGGCACCTTCTTTTCCCTGTGTCCTCACATGTTCTTTCCTCTGTGAATGTGCATACCTGGTGTCCCTTTGGGTGACCAAGCTGGGTCTATCTACAGACATCGGATTGGATTAGGACCCAGCCTTATAGCATCATCCTAACTTAATCACCTCTTTAAAGGTCCTTTAGCCAAAATAGTCACAGCTGAGCTATGGGGGGTTAGGGCTTCAACATATGCAATTGGGGAGATAGAATTCAGCCCATAACTAAGACCAAAGTTCAGGCATAAGAAAATAAGTATCATAAATATATTAATTATCATAGTATGCTGTATTTAATTAATAGATAATGAAAGATACATGAATCAATATTTAAATATACTCAGTTAACTTTTATTGAATAAGTACAGTGTTCCAGCATATGAACTGAATATTTTCACATATATCATGTCTTCTTTAATCTTTAATTTTTTTTTTTTGAGACAGAATCTCACTCTGTCATCCAGGCTGGAGTGCAGTGGCACAATCTCAGCTCACTGCAACCTCTGCCTCCTGGATTCAAGCAATTCTTGTGCCTCAGCCTCCTGAGTAGATGGGATTACAGGCGTGCACCACCACACCCAGCTAATTTTTGTATTTTTAGTAGAGACAAGGTTTCACCATGTTGGCCAGGCTGGTCTTGAACTCCTTACCTCAGGTGATTTGCCCACCTCACCCTCCCAAAGTGCTGGGATTGCAGGCATGAGCCACTGTGCCCGGCCTAATCTTTAAAATTATTAATACTACGTGCAAAGATAAGACCAAATTCACACAGTGACATATCTCTGATTCTGTTTCATGAAATTCTGACTCTAATTTTGTTGCTTTTTTTTAAAACACAGTTCCTTCATACCTGGCATATTTTCTAAATGTGCTCATATTTAAGATTTATGATTCTATTAAATTTACTTTGCCTAAGCCTCACATATTTCTATATATATAGGGTTATATATACATCTGTCTGTGTAAATGTATGTGATATGGTATATCCTTGTGTTTGTGAACAAAGTGTACCCAATCTTTAGTTTGTGAGATAAATTCTAAGTCTCACAAATCTCTCTATTTCATTAATTTGAAACCTCTCCTTATTTTAACAGCATATGCTTTAGAAATACAAGATTTTGCAAGTGTTTGATAGTTAAACTTTACATTATATTTTGTAGCATCCAGTCAGCATATGTGTCAAAGGAAGGTAGTGGAATATGTGGAGATTTCTCAGCTGCCCTAATTAGCTGATACTCTTTTGAAATTTTGAGAAGTCAATAGCACAATCTGTTGTAGATATAACTTTTCAGTGAACAACTATCTAATATTTTGAGGTTATGAACAGCACCCAGTACTATATATATTCATGTGACTGAACAAGCTATTCCTCGTATTTTAACAAATCATGTTAATCAACATGTACATACTGTTCTAGTCGTAAGATATGTCTGCCTTAATCAACTCAGCCTCAAAATAGGTTTGAGAGCTATGTTAACAAGGACCAACTGCGTTCGGTAGTAGTTTTGAGCATGGGATTCATAATGGAGTTGCTTTTGAATTTTGGCTTTAGTACATACTAAGTGCTGTATAAGTCATTTATTTCTCTTCCACTTGGAAAATATATATAACAATGTGTATTTCACAGCCTGATATGAGATATGAGACATAGAATATATAGGCAGTACCTAGCCTATAGTTAGTGCTACATGAATAGAGCTGCTATTTATTTAACCACATACACATTTTGATTATTCATCAAAAATTTGAAACTTAGAAGAGGTAGACATTGATTAATATTGACGTCTAGTGTAGAAAATGAATGTGCTGGAAGCTTGACACTTAGTTGTTACCCAGAGTTAGCCAAATTGCAAAATCTGAGGACACAGTCGTTAAGAAAGCCTTCATTTCTGACACCAATTGCAAATTTGCAGGGTTCACAAGATCCCTCTCAGGTACAATAATTTACTAGAAGGACTTAAAGAACTCCACGAAGCTCACAATTACTGTTTATTACAGGGAAAAGATACACTAAAATTAGTCAAAGGAAGAAATGCATAGAGCTGAATCTAGAAAAGCTCCAAACTTAAAACTTCAATTATTGTCATGATGTATTACCCTCCTGTCAACAAGGTATGACAGTATGCAATGAGTACTGCCAACCAGGGAAGCTCACCCAAGCTTTGCTATCCAGATATTTTATTGGGCTTTCATTATGTAGGCATAACTGATTAATTGATTAAATGCCCACATGCTTAAACTCAGTTCCAAGTCAATTTACATCATGTGACCCAAAGCCCCTACCCTAAAATCATATGGTTTATTTTTCTGGTATAACTAGCCAATATCCAAAGACTGTTTAGTGTGGGAAATCTTACCATAAGATCCAGAGTGGCCAGCCCCTGACCTAAGCAAAAATACTCTATTGGGTATGGCATGAATTATCTCCCTAAAGCCAA
The DNA here is from genome assembly GCF_000001405.40 of Homo sapiens. Taxonomy (NCBI): domain Eukaryota; kingdom Metazoa; phylum Chordata; class Mammalia; order Primates; family Hominidae; genus Homo; species Homo sapiens. The sequence goes on along the minus strand of NC_000013.11, from coordinate 66,733,962 downwards.
GGGAAAAGGCCAGACCTCTCCGGGGCAAAGCCAAATTACCTACTGCACAGATATATAGTCTGAATACAAATAGGTTGATGTGTTCTGTTTTCATTGCATTGTTATTTCATAAGAACTCAGTAAAGTGACTAGCAAAGTAACAAAAAGTAAGAATATGAATACAAAATCTTGTTATTTTGGTGACATTTTTCAAAGTACAGTCTTTAATAGTCAATATTATAAAGACACCTGTAAGATAGACAGCTTTGTGGCCTTCAAAGTGTTAATGTCGTAAAAAAAAAAAAAGCCTACCTTTATACATTTTTCTATATATGAAAATGCCACTAATCTTAAAACCATTTTACCAATAAATGTTTGGATGCCACTTAACAGATTTTCCAGAGAAATTGAGATCTATATGGAAATTCAACTAGCTACATGATTGTTCATTTGTAGCATATGAACGTATATTCTACAGCTTATACCTGCCAAACTAGGGAATGAATTCTTGTCATTGGTTTGTACTTTGTGTGTTTTTAGTTAAAAGATTAATAAATTTATCCATCAAAAATAATTAGTGTGGAGGAAGGTGATCTAAATAATTAACTAAAGGTGATTGAGTAGCACTTTTTAAAATTTAAAAATGTGACAGGAATAATTTGTGGCTACACCTAATAAAACAGTAAGGAGGAGTTCTAAGTTTCTATCCTATTGATGTCATGGTTAAAGGGACATTTTGAGAGATGGAAATATCCTGGAGGATAATTATGTAAATGAAAACACTCCCTAATGACTAAGTTTATAAAATTATATGCAGAGGATTTTCAAGGTTAGATTCAAAGCCACAGAGCCAGGTCTGAAATCTTTATAGGATAATGATCTACATCACAGTTTATACAGCTTTATTTGTTTTCTCAATGGTGGACCCAACACTTGTTGCTGTTAAAATACGTAATTTAGTAAAATATAAACATATATGCTTAAAATATAAATTTCCATTTTATTATCAGAGATAGCAGGGTCATACATGTGCATGTGAATATACATCTGTGTGTATATATGTCCAAGCTGGTGTAAAGGAAGCTCTTAGAACTAAGTAGGTAAAATATCAATAATTAGTATCTGCCATAAAATATCTCTCATAGATCCCAGGTTGGGGAATATTTTGAAGTTGTGAGACAATTAAAAATCTTAATAGTCTAATTTTTCATGTATTTTTCTATCTGCAAAAAAAATGGTAGTTTTAAATGAGCCTGTCTTAGGTTCTGTGGCTCAATGAGCCTTACATGAACATAATTTGGAGATATAAGCAAGTCAGCAGAAATTTAAAAAAGCAGCTCTTACACAGGTAAGAAAAGGAAACAAGCCAATGAAAGTACTTGGTAGATATTTAGGATTTGGAAATTTGGCTTTAATACCTTTGGGAAATAATCTTATTTTGTAAATTAGATTCTCTTTGGGGTGGTAATATTTTTTCTTTTAGCTCAAATAGAAGCTAATTATTGAATTAATAATTTTCCAAGCTTGGCAAGGCCCTTGTAGACACATGTAAATATTATTTGAGTCAGGTCAATATATATGTTAAATTTTACATTATATCACAGATAATAGTAGTATGTTGAGTTTTAATAAGTTTTCAACAGTACAGTAGGAAAGCTATAGTTAACAATAATTTACTGTATATTTCAAAATAGCTGGATTAGAAGATTTATAATGTTCCCATAGAAAGAAAATTATAAGAGGTAAAACCTACCTCAATTACCCTGATTTGATCCTGACACATCTTACACAGGTATCAAAATATGACATGTATTCCAAGAATACATACAACTATTGTATATCAAAGAAAGTTTTTAAAAATAAAAATAAATTTAAAATACTATTGCCTAATAATAAAACCAAATATTGAATTTTGCTGTGAAATCAAAAGCATATCTTGAATATGGAAGGAAAATACATGTCAAAATTATTTTTAATGTATTTTTACTTTCAAAGCCAATGTACTCTTGCTTATAGCCTTCCACATATGATGAGGTTCTTATGGTCCACAAAAAATAAACAGTGACATCAAATGTTTTAAGAAATATAGCAGAGTCTATTTGTCATGATACAGTATATCAATTTTATTTAATAGTGATACAAAATACTTTAAATTGTGTTTTAGAGAAAAGCAATGGAAGGGAAATTTGTTGATAAATAGAATGTATAATTTAATATTATGATGATGCCAGTCTTGGTTTGAGGTATGGTATTTATAATATATCTCCTTTATTTTGGGCTTTACTGCTGTGAATTATTGAAAGTTGATTCACTTATGAGATATGTTTATCTAAATTCAGTTCAAAGTGAATTTTCTTTTTCTTTCCATGCAAGAGCTAATATTGAATGTTCAGTGGGACTATAATCCATCATGCTCTTGCTTGGGAAACATATTTGTAAACTTAATACCATATAGATAATTTTCATTTTATTGTATAGGAAACACAAAGTGTTACTTTATTAGGCTAATGATACAATATGGAGTATTATCTGAGCACACAATTCAAGAACTCTTTAATCACAAGTAAAATAAATTTAGTTCAAAATCTAAAGGCTAAAAGTAACCATAGAAAGCCATCTCTGTTTTCATTAGAACCATATTCATGCAAAAATTGTATACAAAATGTCTGACTTTGACACCAATCCTTTATATAACCATGAGTTTGTGCTGAAGAAATTCCGTAAGCTTCCTTAGTGAGTTATTTTATTTTCTAAACCTTCTCATTGGAAATAAACTAAACCTCTAATCGAGATTTATGCCTCTGATTGTCATCATTTCCTCTTCCATAGACTTGAGAAATAACCCATCATTCTCTTCGAATGATTCTTTTCTAAATCTACAGATTGTGTGAAGTCAAATTTAACCATTCCCCTGTGGATTTATATTTATTTAGTCTTTGAATAAAGAAATATATATTATACGCCTGGGCCTGATAGTTCAGCCTGTTATCCCAGTGTTTTGGGAGGCCGAGGCAGGAAGATAGCTTAAAGCCAGAAGTTTGAGACAGCCTCGGCAGCATAGTGAGACCTCTGTCTCCACAAAAAAAAAGAAACAAACAAAAAAAAAACACACACACACAAAAAAACAAAAACAAAAAAACAGCCAGGCATGATAGCAAGTTCCTTTAGACTTACTTACTCAGGAGGCTGAGGCAGGAGGATCACTTGAGCCTGCAATGTCAAGGACGCAGTGAGCTATAATTGTGCCACTGCACTTCAGCCTGGGTGACAAAGCAAGACTCTGTCTCAAAAAAAAAAAAAAAGGAAATATATATTATATGTGCACCTGTTATGTCAGTCATTATGTGAGGTGCAGGATATAAAATGATGAGATGATATATACATATGCTCCACCCTCATGGAATGCAAATGTTAGTGATTGTATAGTATACAGTTTTGACTGTGATGACTGGTACATGGTGCCCTGGGAGTCTATATTAAAGGAATACAGATCAAAACAAAGGCAAGTGATATTTTCTAGAGGAAGAGATGTTAGAGCTGAGATATGCAAACTGTGTAGTAGTAGTTCACTAGATTATGAGAAAAAGCAAAATGAGTCCAAGATTGTTGACCACATTTCGTCACAGACAGTATGCAGTAGAAGATTAAAATAACAATTGATTTTAATTATAAAATTTGCAAACATGCTATGAAAAAGTATAGCTATCAAATATTTTTAAATGACAGGAAAGCTTGTCAATATCTTCAGTTTAAAAGAAAAGTGGAAATAAAAGAAGAAAAAGAAAGATTCCAGGATATGAAAAAAATGAATGCATATATAAAATCTTGTCAGTAGAATTAATCAAGTGATTTGAATTTTATTGACTATACAGAAAATCCTGTCTCTACAGAAGTAGTATAATGGGGCTATAGGCCCACTGTAGATGGTTAAATATTTTTAAAAGGAAATAAATACAAAATAAGTGTATCACAGTCATTCAGAAAACTTTTGTTAAACATATATTATTCTACAGACTTTGTGGTTTTAGGGGCAAAGATGGAAAAAGATGTCAGGTTTTCTGCTCTCAAGTATTCTATAGTCTACTCTGGGAAGTCAAACATGTAAAATGGTCTGACTTAGCACATTGTGATACATGTGGAAATCTTGATTAGGATAGAGGATCATCAATGCATAAAAGTCAAGACATTTCAGGAAATGCTTCATGGAGGAGCTATTTCTGAGTTAACCTTGAAAAAGCAGTAGGAATTAGCTAGGCAAAATTGGCCTAGTAGATGGTCAAAAGAGTTTTCTCACACAGAAGGAGCAACAATAGCAATGTAAGCTGCTAACTAGAATAAATAGTGCCTTGGTCAGTGTGACAGGAAGGAAGGTGTATAGAAGTTGGGGATGAGGGTAGACAGCTGAAAATAAAGGCTAAAACAATCATCAGAAACTTTGTAAAACATTTTGAGAAGTTTGGACTTCCTACTGAAGCTAAGAGGAAGGTATAAAGATTGTTAAATAGGGGAGTAAAACAAATCGATTTACAATTTATGAACATGTCTCTGGAAGCAAAATATATGAATTTTTAAAACTACATGCATAGTAGTATAGATGCACATGACTAAAAGTCAGGAGGGTACTTGATTGTCTATTGTACTAACTGTAGTAAAATAATAAGAGCCTGATCCAAGAGGAATTTATGATGAATTTTGAGCCTCAAAGAAATGGAGGATTAAACATGCCTTAGCAGAGTTTTTAATTTGGGAATCATTTGGCTGGGAAGGATGTGATACCATCATCTTTCACTCACCAAAGAAACACAAGAAGAGGAACAAATTTGGGGAGATAATGAGTCTGCTATAGGCATGTTAGATATGAGATCTTTCTGGGACCTCCAAGTTGATATTTCATAGATATCCATGTCTATGAAGCAGAAAAATTTATAGACTAAGAGCTCAGAACAGCTATCTAGACTGATCATACAAATATATGTCATCAGGGAATAAATGATAATTTATGAAAATTAAGTGATTATTACAAGAAGAAAAAAACACCATGGACAGAAACTATGTGAAAGAATAAAAATCTGGCAAAAAGCTAACATTTTGGAATCAGGTAAAAGAACCAGAACACATAAAGTGAATTAAAAATCAAAAAGAAGAGCAGAAAATAGGTATAAGGTGGTATCAAGGACCTTTATCAAAAAGAATTGACTGCAAAGGAAAGAAAGATATGATGGAGTCAAAGTCTAAGTAGGAAAATAATATTAGAGTAATGGATTACTACAGAAAGATTTTGTTTCCAGAATCAGACAATTATATACTTGGTTATTTGAAGGCATTCTTAGTCTGGAAATCAGTAGGAGAGGAACAGAACTGAGAGATTAAAGTTAGGTAAATGTGCTCATTTGCATAAGGGTCAACAGCAGAAACAATAACTCAATGCCAAAAAATAGAATCCCTGTGAATCCAGAATTTCATGACCACTTAGGAAAGAAAGATCACCTGGAGCCAGCCTGGGTTCACTAAAACTAATAATTATGGTCAGCACTACTATGATTTTAGTAAACAACATTCGGAAACGGATACATTTTTTTAAATTTCAGCAAATTCTCAGCATGCTAACTGCTGGAATACCTTCCTAATTAGTCAAAAACTAGATTAAAATGTATATGTTGAATGAGGAACAAAAAATGATTTGGAAACTCCAGTGTACAAAGGAAGTTTATTAGAGGGATTGACAACCTAAGTTTAAAATAATGCGGCAAAACCAGGGCTGTCAAACAGCATAACTGAAGTAGTGAATAGTATGTACACCATATAGTACAAAGGATAGTCAATAGCATTGAGATGTCTTTAGGAAGGCTATGGCAAATATCATTAAATATCTAAAGGCTTATTATGAAAAATAGAGATTATGTTTATTTTTTATTACTCTGGATGACCAAGTTGGTGTGAGGAGGCATATGTTAAATGAAAGTATGGAGAGACATATTTTGAAATAAAATAAATTTATAATACTTATATTCATCAGTAAATACAATGGCTGTCTCTCAATACAATGAGCTCTTTGCCACTACGACATCTTAGAAGTGAACTACTACTAGAGACTTCTGTAGTCTCTAAGTTTACGTATGCCTTAACATCATTTAATTTAGATATGATATTCTTCAATACTGAGACCCCACTGGAAAAAATGAAACATAGGCATTCTTTTTATTTTGTACCTAGTTTATATTAATTTCAATATCAAACATCATTTTTGGAAGAGAAAGGAAGAATGTAAGATGAGAGAGAGGATAATAATTTAGTTTTACTTATCATATGTGTGCCTCTGTGTCTATATCTAGTCTATATCTAAGTCTATGCCTATATCTATCTCTCTATACGTCCATAATAGGCACACACAAACATAGTAATATTTTGGCCACAAAAATATAATATATTTTAATTTAACTTCCCTTAAAATTCAATATTTTGTAGCAGACTCTAGTGGCATTTTTCCCCACTAGTGTAATAATTTCTGTAAATCTCTTCTTTATCATTTTATTTTTTTGAAAAAGAAAGCATAGAAGGAAAGATAGGCAATGAACAATGGGGCTTAAATTTCATTATTAAGCAGATAGCAAATTAAAAACATGAACTCTCCTCTTATATTTAGAAGAGAATATAAGTTTAATGTGTAAATTACGATCTTATTAAGGGTTTAAAATTTTTATTTTATTTTAATTTACCTTTTTTGAGACAGGAGCTCACTCTGTCATCCTGGCTGGTGTGCAGTGGCATGATCATAGCTCACTGCAGCCTTGGACTGGGCTCAGGGGATATTCCTCGTTCTTCCAAGTAGCTAGGACTACAGGTGTGTGCCAACACACCTGGCTAATTTTTAAAATGTTTTGTAGAAATGGAATCTAGCTATGTTGTCCAGGTTGTTGCCCAAGATGGTGAGCTTCTGCCCTCAAGCAATCCTCCCAATTCAGCCTCTCAAAGCACCTGGATTATGCGCATGAGCCACTGCCTGGCTCCAGTTTTAGATTTTTTAAAACAATCCAAATACTTAGGAATTTGTCAGAAATAAGGCAAGCAAGTAGGCTAATAAAGTAGGATGGAAGCTTCTTGTTTTTGGTGAATATGAAAATATTTGAGATAATCAGCAGTCTTTCAAAGCCAGAATGGCTAACTGAGAAAGTTGATTAAATCTATGCAAGTTAGTTTAGTTCTCCAGACATTTATTTAAAACATACTGCACTTCAAGAATCGTGCAAGACATTGGATACCAACATGAATGGTGCTTTATGTGAGGTCTTTGGTACGCAGGGAGGAAAAAACAACTTTTCATTCAAGCTACTTCAAGCATTGCAAGATTATTTGGAGGTAATTTGGGGAATAAGTGGAGCAGAAATCCCACCAAAGCCCTAAAACATCTGGGCCTCACAGAGATGAGAATTTATTTTCAGAGCCATGAGAGTCACAGTGACTTAGTGTGCCTCTAGGGACTTGTGTACAGTGCATTCTTGGATCTTCTCACTCTAATGTTATGCTTTAAACAGATTCACTTACTTATCCATTGTTATTACCCTCTGAGTTTGTATGCTTCTTTTACCATCTAATTGCATTTTTCCTTATGTCTTTTTCTTTACATTGTGCAACTTGTCACTAAAAGTTTTTGTTTGTCAAGACCACCCTTTGTCTTCAATGCTGCTTCCTCCCTATTACAACTCTGACTCTTTCTCCTGAATTCTTCCAACCTTTCTCCTTCAGAACATTTTGGTGACTGTTCCATATTGCCTTTTTCAAATTTTAAAGAAAGATTATCCAGTTCCTTCCAATGTAGGAATGTGTATGTCTCCTCTTTCTCCCTTCTCTCTCTCTCTTCCTTTTAACAGGAAAACTTGTAAAACATTTTTAAATCTAAAAAAATAGAAATAGATTGGCAAGTATCCTATCTAGCTCACCCATATGAAGCATTATTCCCTGTCATTGTATACGTTGATGCAAAAGTAATTGTGATTTTTGGCATTACTTTTAATGCAAAACCTAATATTAGGCTATTTTAAACCAACACCAACCTAATATTAGGCTACTTTACAACTCTACAGGCTGTAGAAAAGTGATAATAATGGAAATGATACTTTTCCTTAGAGATGTAAGTTAATTGTCCCAGGGGAATAAAATTGATTATTGCCTTTGGGTAGTTCTGTTCCCCCTCTATTTGTAAATGCGTGTCAGAATTCTTTATTCTCTTTACATGCCTCTGCTCTTTTGATTTTCATTTGAACCCCATTCATTACTGGTTCAACTGTGAGTTAATGATGTAAACAAATTATCTGAAACATGTTTATTGTATACTTTTATTAAAGTTATGATTATACTCTCTTTTGAAATGTATCCTTTAACACTTTGAAAAAAATCACACTCTATCCTAGAACATCCTCTAGCCATTGAAAAGTACCTATCACAGTCTAAACAATAGTCGCTGGGAGGTAACTAGGAGAAGGAGGGTGTTGGTGATGAAATCATGTAGGATCTTGGGAAAAAAATTAAAAGCTTGTCATTCACTCTGTGTAAAAAGGGAAGAAAATAAGTGCCAAACTGACTGACACTTTAAGAAGATCATTCTGGCTGTGGTCTTGATAGGCAACAGCAGGCTTAGGGTAGAAGCAGGGAGATCAATTAAAAGGCTATTACACTAATCCAGATGAGAGGTGATAATAGCTTGGACAATCAACCAAGTAGGTAATGGTAAAATAGCATAATTAAATAAAATTCTTGATATCTTTTGAAAGTTGAGCCAACAGAATTTGCTGTTGAATTAGATGGAGGGCATGTGAGAATGAGAGAAATCGACAATTATATAACAAACTGGACCTAAGAAATCAGAGTGATGGAGCATTTAGGGAGTGTGGGGGTGTATTTTTGACATGTTAAGTTTAAGGAACCCATTAAATTTCTGAGTGTGAATTTTGTGGAGGAAGTCAGCCATCTGGGAGAGAATTATGGGCTAGAGATATGATATTGGGAGTCATCAGCACTATGTAATATTTAAATCTCAAACATTGGTTGAACTGTATAATGACTACCCAAATAAGAACAAAAAGAGGCCATTAATTCAGAGCTTACTATATCAAGGAAGTCAGCCACCATCACTTGTGCTTTGCAGACTTCAAGGCAGGTAGGGAAGTGTGGGCAAATTTTGGGAGAGACACTAGATAAGCTCTGATTGGTGGTTGTTAACATAGGGAAGCTGGAGATAGGCTAACTAGAAGTGAAGCATCTTATGTGATTGGTTTCAGGTTAGGTTATTTGGCTCTCTCTGTTTGGTCTGGAGTTGGAAAGGTGAGGGATGGGAGTAGGGCGCCAAAATAAGGAGGATTTGTTGACGAAGTCCTGACCTTTATGGAAGAATGGCTGCAGAGATTGTGGTTTGGCTTCCGGGACATCATTTGTAGGTCAGAGTTGTATTATCACATATGGTCTGGACATAGAGACTTTGCACCTTCATTCTCTTGCAATAGATAAGATAGTCATGGGAGTAAATAGAGGTGGAAAAGATAAGGAGAGAAATGTAAAGATTGATATCCATGTCAATGTGTATAGAATTATTTTGTTGCTCCCTTAGATGAAGCAGGGGTATGGTTTTCCTGACTGCTAGTGGCCATTTTTTAAGCCCTATGCTTTTTCATATTTTCCATGGTAATTCTGATCCAAATTTAACCTGTCTCTTCAAGGACACAGCTCACTTAAATATTGTTTTTGGCTCATTTAAATAACACCTGAAGTGAACAACAATCAAATGAATTGTGTACAGACATTCAGTATTAGATTGTTATGTAGCGATGCTGAAGCATGCAGTCAAGGTCATTTGGAAAGAATCAGTAAATTTTCTAAAGAGAAAAAAGAAAAATTCCTGGTCGCACTCAACTTGATAATTGATTAATTTTGCCCACTGGTGACTTTCATTTCTTTACTTCATTCACTGCATTCTGTTGTCACATTTTTCTTCTCTAAATTTTGTAGCTTGCTTTTAAAGAATAACTTCCAATTAAGGAAAACCATGTACTTTACATTTTAAAGGACTATCCTTGGGATGGGAATTGCTACAAGCCTCTGGCACAATGCGACTTTTAAAAACTGTCCAACTGTTGTGTGGCCTTTTACCATTGCTCCTTGGTTCTGGGCTCTCCAGTGCTACAGCTTTTCATTAGTATTCTGGGCATGTTGCACTGTGCTGGCAAACCTCTCCTTCCCTTTATTACTGTGCCCTTCCTTTTACCCCTTCTCTTTTGCTTCTTTTTGGATCTTTTGTTACCCAACCTCTTTTACCCTCTTTGACTTGCTTCCTTGTCCTCTTTGTCTTCTTCTGTTATGATTTATGGTTTTGCCCTACAGTTTTCTTCTTCAGGCCATCTGGTTCCAAGCGAAATCCTTGCCTTAAACCACAGTCAATGCTTTGCTTAGCTACTTGTCTTTATTTGCAATTGAATTTTTAAACAGAGTACTGAAATAACTCTCATTAATAGTTGTATGAAACACCGACAAATCCTTTAGTATAATTTTCCTATATCACTTCCCTGAATTTGTAAAATGTAATGCTATGCCCTGTTGAAAATTTTATTCTGAAAATTTAAATTACAAACAATTATACATTTCTTAAGTGAAGATCTCTTTTCCATAAGATGTTATATATGGAAACCTCTTCTTTCAGAGATCTGGAGGGGCCTGTTAACTCCCTCTTTTGTTGTTGTTTGTTTGTTTTTGAATAAGAAGCTGAAGAAGCAGATATGAAGAAAACACCATATAATATAGGGCAAATAAAGAATGAGGTACCCCTAGAATATTAATTAGAAAATGTTTGATTGCATATAATAGAAAGCAATGCTAACTTACTCAAGCCAAAAAAAAATGTGGGAGGATTTATTATATTATGAGAATGTATGAGTATGCCTTGCAACACAGGAGCAGAAATTAGGAATTTGCATGTCACAATTAAAAGTCTTTTCATTGTTTATCATCACTTTTTTTTTTTTTTTTTTTGAGATGCAGTCTGGCTCTGATGCTCAGGCTGGAGTACAGTGGCACGATCTCGGCTCACTGCAACCTCCGCCTCCTGGGTTCAAGCAATTTTCCTGCCTCAGCCTCCTGAGTAGCTGGGATTACAGGTACCTGCCACCGTGCCTGGCTAACTTTTGTATTTTTAGTAGAGATGGGGTTTCACCATGTTGGCCAGGGTGGTCTCAAACTCCTGACCTGAGGTGATCAGCCTGCCTCTGCCTCCCAAAGTGCTGGGATTACAGGCGTGAGCCACCGCGCCCGGCACATAGGTGTTTAATTTTTTTCTTTTCTGCTTGTCTTTGTCCACAAAGAAGAAAATGGCTACCCCACTAATCACACATTCAAAAGATCAGCAGACACTCAGACAGGAATCTCTTTCACAGGAGAATTTCAGGGGAAGTAACTCTACTTGGCCTACCTAAACCAATAGGGTCCAATTAATAATCATTGTAGTGTAAGGAGTGACCCTGGATAGTCTACCATGGCTTCCGGGGAAGTCTGTCTCTGCAGTACTTTATAATTGTTTAGCCTGAACAACAAGCTCAATCTCTTTGCGATTTGATTTTTTCATTTGTAAAATGGAGATACAGTACATACCTCATTAAGTGAGATGACCATTATGTGCTAGCCATTATTATTGCCAAACATAAAACACTGAGTGCAGTTATGTTCTAACCATACAATTATTGTAGAGGACATTCTAATTTGGTATACACACATGCCTGATACGTAGCCTCAGTTTTAAGAAAACAAATACTCAAAAGCCAAGCAGCACTTACCTCTTAATATTATGAGGCCATTCACACATGGATGACAGTACTGGCAAATGTCCGTGATTATCTAGGTCACTCTAAGTACTGCAGAAGATAGGGAGGGTATTAAGTCTTCCTTACAGAAAGTATATTTAGATAATGGTGGAAGATAAATGATACCCAAGAGGATGAAACAGACTAGGATGTCCCCTTGAGGTCCGTGTTCATAAATTTATTCCTGCAGAAAATGATTAGAAACCACAGTGAAGTTATAAATTGGATGCTCGTGTCATTGGAGGTTCTGGGAGATATGAGGAATTTCTAGTACTTGAGGCAGAATGAGAGCAGCACTATAACAGGAGACAGTGGAAGGGCACAAAGAAAGATACAGGATTCAATGTGTTTAGAAAGTTATTGGAGCATTTACTTACTGACTAGGTGTAAATGATATTGGCTATGAGAGGCCTAGCAGTGATGTCAAGTTTCTTGATTTCAGAATGGGAGCAGCTGCTAATAGTTCAAGAGTATATTGCCAGCTGAAATGCAGAGAGTTTTAAATGTATATATTGTTCTCTAAATTCCAGGTGTTTTTATATGAGTCAGGATATGGTTGTGGATGAACATGAGTTCTGTCATGCTACAGTAAGAAAAAAAAACACTAAAATATCCACGCTCAGACATAAATATACTCAGAAAGCTTTTATAATTTAGCACCTTTCAAAGCATATTGCACGTTCTGTAAATGTTAATAGGTGATACAAAACACACTAGACTAAACTAAGATAAACAGATATCTTTACTGCAGGACTTCAGAGAGACTGTAAAATGCCAATGTACATTATGAAGTCCATGCTGAGAATAGGTAATGTGTTGAATTTTCAAGATATGTTTGAGTTCAGTGCCCTTTCCACAGTCCACCTTGTGAGACTTGGTTTTCAGAAGACCTCACTTCAGGAAATGGAAGTTCATTACATTGTTTTTCCTTATCACGTTATAATTATTCCCAAATTAGTCAAATATCATCAGCACAGCCTGTACAACAACAGCATGACGGTTTCATACATACTTCATTAAAAGCACTTGAAACTCCTGTGCGCAAATAATTTTTGTGTTAAATTAATGCTAATGGTTATAACCCATTACACTTGGAAGCTTTTTCATAAATGAATTATTTTTTACGTGTATAACAGTGATTGTAACATTGTGATACAGTCCCATTCAGTGTAGGTGCACAGACGTAATGGACTAACTTACTGCTATTTATCTCATTCCACCTTATGCTTTTTTTCCCCTGCGTATACCCACGATTCCATTTGGATTTTTGGACCCAGACTATACAATTATCAAGTTCCTATTATATTCTTTAATTACTCTGATTATCATAATTTTCTCTCTTGGGATTTATTGTGTGGCAGAATTTATTGCTATCCTAATTTTACTTACTGCTTTGAGTTTGTTATGGCTTATAACTGGGAACTGAAAATTAAACATCATTTCACAGAATATATTTGACATTTTAGTCTCTTGCCAGATTTGCCCCCTAAAATCTTAACTTTGCATTTTATAGCAGAAATTTATGTGGTATATATGATTTTTCATTAGGATTTTAGTGGTCTTAGAAGAAAAAAGTGTCCATTTTTTATAAAAAACTACTGGTACTGTATATCAAAATAAACATTTTCTTTATTTTTACATTGTCTACTAGATAAGCCTTTAAATGAAATCTAGGAAATGAGGCTGGGCATGTTGGTTCACGCCTGTAATCCCAGCACTTTGGAAGGCCGAGGCAGGTGGATCACCTGAGGTCAGGAGTTTGAGACCAGATTGGCCAACATGGTGAAACCCTGTCTCTACCAAAAAAAAAAAAAAAACAAAAAAGCAAAAATTAGCCAGGTATGGTAGCACGTGCCTGTAAACCCAGCTACTCAGGAGGCTGAGGCAGGAGAATCACTTGAACCTGGAGGTTGCAGTGAGCCGAAATAGCACCACTGTACTCCAGCCTGGGTAACAGAGTGAGACCCTGTGTCAAAAAAAAATAAAAATAAAAAATAAATAGATGAAATCTAGGAAATGGTCCTAAGTTAAATACAGTTAACAACATTTAATATTGATTCTTCCCAGTCATGCTTTAGTCATCCTAAGAGCTAAAACATGGTAGCTGGGTGATCAACAGTTAATCTGAATGTTGTAGTAGTAGAAGGAATATTTAATTATAGCATAAAGTCCACAGATACTTCCTTCTTCTGTGGAACTGCCACGCTTGATTTTACTTAAACCACTGGTATTTTCATCAATCTTTTTCCTCCTATTTGTTGTGAATCATATTCCTGACTGAACAACTTCACTATGGATACTTATAAAATGACTTGGATTTATTTTCAAGGTAGTATGCTAATAACATTTTAATGGTGAGCAACTTAACTGTAGTTATTTAAAGAAAGGTCTAGAATATCTTTCAAATATTTTATTTAAACAAACTTGATACAAACGTTTGGCTATCTCCTTTTTCATTACTATTTTCACCATGTTGAGCAATTATCACGTTTGTTGTTCAAACTGGTCCAATCAGGCTACTATAACAAAATACTTTAGACTGGATAATGTATTAAAAAAACAGATATTTAGTTTTCACAGTTCTGCAGACAGGAAGTCTAAGATCAAGCTACCAGCAGGTTCAGTGTCTCATGAGAGCTCACCCTCTGCTCTGTAGAGTGTACCTTGTTACTGAGTCCTCACATGGTGGAGGGCCCAGGGAGCCCTCCTCAATCTCTTTCATAATAACACTAATCTCACTCATGAGGGCAGAGACCTCCTGACTAAATTACTTCCCCCATAATCCCCACCTCTTAATAACACCACAATGGGCACTAGGTTTCAACCTGAATTTTGGAGGGATACCTTCAAACCACAGCAATCTTTAATCCATTATATTAGTATTTGAAAAAAAATGAGGAATTGACTCACGGGAATATTAATGACCTGTCTAAGTCCATCTAGCTACAGAGTAGTTGAGTTAGGACCAAAGCCCAGCTACGGCTATCTCCAGGACCAAATTGCAATCTATTAAACCACATCTTCGACTACATCTTCGGGATTGATTATTAAAATATGTGGGGTTCCTGTTTGAGGATAAGAAATACATTAGCCCATATTAACTAAGTTTTGTAAATTTAGATAAAAACAAAACTTGTGCATGTGAAATAACTCAACAATGTTCTTGATCACTCAACCTCAGTCTTGGAGTTTGTCTTAGTTCATGTCTAGGCTGGCACTTGGAACAATCCCATGTCTGTGGTTCTGGAGTGTCTGGTCCACGCTGCAAGCCAGGTACTACTAAGGATTTGCAAAGAGAAAATTAATTTGCTCAAGAAAATATCAAAACTTTTCTTGCAGGCCAGGCTTAAATTCAGACCTTCCATCACCATAGGAAGTGTTAACCCTGGTGTTTATTTTGGGGACCAACATTTCTTTTGGTGCTTTTGTCTTATTGTAAAGTTTGAACCATTTTGGTTGTTCCCTCGAAAATTGCTTATAATTCACGTAGTAACTTAACCATACACTTTCTAGATATTATCCTCTGCTGATAGCTTTTATGCCTTTTATTTTTTGCCTTTTAGCACTTAGCTGTTTTGAGACAGGTAATAATAGAAACATGTTTTGTCTTTTAGTTCTATTCGTCATAGTTATACACATAAACATGGATTCATTTTTTTTCAGCAGCATGGCATAGTGGATTATGAAATCAAAATTAACTACATCTGGAGTCCTACATTGAAATCCCCCCTCAACAAAATAGTATTCTATGAGTATTTTTAAATTATTTAACCCCTCCGAACACCAATTTGTACACGAATAAAACTTGACACAACAGGATTTTGTGGGGCTTGAGTAACACAACATATACAAAAGCACCTTATAAAGTGTTCTATATAGCAACTTCTCTCTCAGTTTGAACGGGTCTCAGGATAAATTAGCAAATATGAATTCTAACCTTTGTACTTACATTTTAATTCTGCTAAGTGTGTGAACCCCAATTTAGCAATTAAAATATTTATTTCCAGAATGTTTTGACCCTGAGCATATTTTTAAAAAGCACAGTAGTGAGAGACACATGTTCTATTCTTCCTATTGCTTCCCATCATCAAAATAAAATCAATGTACCCTTTTTCAACTGTTTTTTAATATGAAAAACAATCTGTAGTTATTAAAGTTGTTAAGCTATGAATAGCAACAGTATGCGTTAACATGATCTGATTATTTTGATCACTGTTGGGAATACCAAAATGATCTCTGTCTTGCTCTACTTGAGAAGTGTGGGTCTGTGTAAATAAATAGATACATATTTATAAATTGTGTTGGACATACCAATATGTACATATGAGGCATTTAGGAAGTTCTGTTCTGAGAATCAGATCTAGGAAGAGTTGACATTGTTAATACATAGATATATGCACCTACTCTGAAAATATCACACTAAAGAACAATTAAGAGATTTGAGATGGAAGCCTGACTACAAGCTGATTGTACATTTTGCTCTGTTCTAAAGGCAATGTTAAAGGCGGTCTGCAAAAATTAGGGCCATTTAAAGAGCAGATTGTATATACACTGAGTTTCTAAAACCCTTAATCAAAGTTGCAGTTGTATGCGAGACATATCTTGTACTAAGGTTTGTAGCCTATACATATATACATATATATATATATATATATATATATATTTTTTTTTTTTTTTTTTTTTTTTTTTTTTGAGACAGAGTCTTGCTCTGTCACCCAGGCTGGAGTGCAGTGGTGTGATCTTGGCTTACTAGAACCTCTGCCTCCTGGGTTCAAGCAATTCTCCTGGCTCAGCCTCCTGAGTAGCTGGGATTATAGGCACTAGCCACTACACCTGGCTAATTTTTGTATTTTTAGTACAGAGTTTCGCCATTTTGGCCAGGCTGGTCTTGAACTCCTGACCTCAGGTGATCCGCTCGCCTCGGCCTCCCAAAGTGCTGCAGTTACAGGCGTGAGCCACCGTGCCCGGCCAGCTTCATTGTATTTTTAAAGTTGCCATATGGTGTAAGAAACTGGGAAACACCTTGAAGTCCTCTAAGGAGTTAAAAAATAAATAAAATTAGATAATTTCATAAAAATTAAGCTCTAATATCAGAATATACACATGAAAAATCACTGTGATTTGAAAAATAGCTCCCAGGCTAGGACCACCATATTTAACCAAACTAGGAACAGATCTGGGTTTTCTGAGGCCTGAAGTATATACAATTTGAAAGACCTTCTTTCAGAAATAAATGTTAGTTTTGAAAATCTCATAAAAATATATTACCATGTGGACACTTTGTTCTGGCTTCTCCCCAGGCTTTGAAGAGGCCTGTTCAAGTGAGAAGCTTAAGCTTCTTAGCTTCAGGGTAATTCTACCACTGAGTACAGCTGATTGAATATATGAGCATATCTGAAAGAAGAACATGTCAATAAGAAAAAAGTAGGTCAGCCAAGAAATTTTATAATCAGGAGAGTCCCTGAGATAAATATTGACATTGCCCATCCAAGCAATGCCAGGGAGAAGAATCATAGCTAATAGATTTGAGGATTTCAGTTTTGTCAGCAAAACTGCCTATAATGTGAGATGAATCCATCTGCCTGTTGTAGAATCTTACTGGGATCTGACTCCTTATTTACAAAGCTAACATTAGATTAATACCCACCCAAGTCCTTTCACTCTTCTACTCTCCCAATCCCCAAACCCCCATTTTCTGTTTACAGGAAGAGAATGATCAAGCAAAATAAGTCAGGACCCACTGGTCTCCTCTACACTTCTTATTGCAAATTAGTAAACAAGCCAATGAATTACATACATTAATTTGTCTAAACCTAAGCATTGCTTATCTCTCTGAATGTAATGTATAGCACAAACATGGAACAAGTAACCCAGAATTTCTGCTTTTGCCAACTACATACTGCTATTTTTCTGTAGCACTCTTTATATTAGCAGATAATCTTCCAGACAAAAACAAATGCTTTTTCAAAATAAATTGAGATTATTGTTTGAAATTTTAAAAACAATCAGAAATCAGGGATATAACCTATTCTGAATGCTTTACAGCTACTCTGTTAATTTCCTCTGATAGTATTAAGCATGTTTTTATTAATTCTATTTCATATAATTTATAGTGGCTTTTTCCAACCACAATTGGAGTGGTTTCTATAACTACTTCAGATGGAAATAATCTACTACCTCTCTACTACCTGTATTTTGCTTTATGAAGTGTTTTAAAGATTCCAAAGACCCTTTCTTACTAGTACAACTGCGAAAGCAGATGTTGAAATAGTGAAGAGGGCAAAACATGAATGTGAAATTGAGCTTTTCTTTAAGTTAAACCACCTCTGAAACGCAGACACTAATGCACATCCATATTGATCTATTGGTTTTTGTTATCTGGTTATTGTTGCATTTATTTGTCTGTGCGTTATTTATTGGCATCTTTTACTCAGTGGAATCAGATAAAGAATAGACATTTTATTATGGGGAAGTAGATCATTGTGGAAGCAGATAGCATATTACACACAAAGATGTGCACAATGATGAATTATATATGTGTATCATCTGTACTATAACCTCTTAAAATGCCATGTAAATTATGGAGTTAATTATAGAGTTGAAACTCAATTATAAATTGTATACGGCTCAAGCATACTATAAATACAACATATGGACTACTGAATTATTGATCTCTTATTTTCAGGTAAACAAATATCTCATTATTGCATGATCTTCTTATTAATTGCATCATTTTTAAGTCATATATTTTGGAAATCCTCATAATTAGCATTACCGAAACACAAACAAAACAGGTGATTTGGGGAAGATATTAGTCACTTTAATGAAGTACATTAACATTTAGAATTGAAAGAAAAATTTACTCATTATGGCAGAAATTATACATCTCAGATGCTGTGTAATAGAAAATGATTTAGAATTGTGGCCGTATAAATATTACAAAGATTGAAGTTGGAGGGATCTCTGTCAGTCTAAAGAAACAGAAAAATGCCCAGTGACTGATGATTTGGGATGAAATGTGCTAGATATGACAGGTACAATCTATACATGTGTTCATTATTCTCTGCTCAAAAATACTAATTTTTTATCCTAACATCTCAGTGATCCTATAAGACTCTTAACATTTTCTTATTCATGCTGTCTCCAGTAGAGGCAGTATGATAAATGTTTTCTATGAACTAAGAGACAATTCCTGGTGTTTGACCTACTTTTCTTGACCATTCCCTCTCAGTTATTATGCTGAGGTTGGGTAGAGGTAGTAACAATGAGTTATTAGAATTAAAATGATTTACAATTGTTGAATATGTGCTGCTTTCATGGTTCTTAATGCTATTTAAGTTTCAAGAAAATCTCACATAGAAGTAAAGTAGTAATCTTTTATGTGATAGCAACTCCTTACCTTAATAACCTAACTCAACCCACATAAAATGGTAAATTCATACTTTTATTACAACATTTAGTGCATATTTGTTAATATAATCTCAACTTAACTCATAGTTTAATAAAAGATTAATAGGGTACATGAACGCCTAAGTAAGCCAGATTAGATAGACAGACAGTCATATACCATTAATTTATTACTAATATTAATATTTTCATAACCGTTACTTATTTGTTGAACCGTAAAACTGCTCTTCATTCCTATAAAATCAATGTAACTTTTTTTGTTTTTTTTTTTTTGAGACGGAGTCTTGCTCTGTCACCCAGGCTGGAGTGCAGTGGCACGATCTTGGCTCACTGCAAGCTCCACCTCCCGGTTCACTCCATTCTCCTGCCTCAGCCTCCCAAGTAGCTGGGACTACAGGCACCCGCCACCACGCCTGGCTAATTTTTCATATTTTTAGTGGAGATGGGGTTTCACAGTGTTAGCCAGGATGGTCTCGATCTCCTGAACTTGTGATCCACCCACCTCAGCCTCCCGAAGTGCTGGGATTACAGGCATGAACCACTGCACCCAGCCAATATTTTCTTTAAAACAATATTTAAAATCAATATTCTTTTCTTTATATGCAACAGCTATAACCTAATATAAAGTTACAATTTTATTTCATTAGCACAGTTAGCCATTACCTAGTATCCTGCAATAGCCTTCAAAAGTATATTAATTGTATTACATTAAGAATAAATTATAGGATGAAGAAACAATAAACCAATTTGCCAATCACTCACAAGAAATGGGTAGGGTTCAAATCATCAGTTACAAAAAGAATATTTAGCAGGAGTCACTTTCTATGTCCTTACATTACACAGAGATGTGGTGGGATATGAGGGCTTCAATATATCACACAGGCTGCTTGCCTCATGTAGATTTAATAGACTTAAAGATGTTTATCTTCATTGTCTTCATGTTGAGTAAGCTGAAGAGGAATAAAAGTAAGAGGGGTTGGTCTTACTATACTAGAGGTGGTGGAGAGGTAAGAAGATATGTCTATTTGACCCATGCAATTCAAACCTGTGTTGTTCAAGAGTCAACTGGATGTGTGTGTACATTATATATATATATATATATATATATATACACACACACACACTTTATATATATATACACAAACACAATTTATATATATATATGTAATTAGGCTTTGCAGAGATGATCTTAAAGAATAATCTAAAATGTTGCAATATTGAAATTTACATGTGGTTTATAATGAGGGGTAATCATCTCTTTTGTTGGGAGAGAGAGTGAAGCTTTGAAGTAGAGAATGAGTAAGAAGAAAAAAAGAAAAATCCAAGAGGGATAGCTAGGATAATGCTATGTCTGGCCACTACTTTGAATTTTATTTTCCTAAGACAGCAATCATTTTAATATTTTTATTTAAAAATAATATGGCAGTGATATGAAACATAAGCATTGTGCACAACACAAAACATTTATTACAAGGTATATAATTTAAAGAATAAATAAGACAGGTGTTTATTTTAAAACCTCTTGGTAAGATCACTGTCTTTAATGTCTGTACCTGCCTTTCTGAAAGCACAGAAACTCATTCCGTGCTCAGCTTGTTCAGGAGTGATCACGCAGTTTTTAAGAAAACAAACACAACTATGTAATGCTGCCTAAAAAATTAATGTGCCATTTGAAAACATACGAATGTTGGATAACTAACACGTTCACTGGAAGCAATGGCAAACAACAAAGACATTAGAAGATTTATTGGCAAACAAAATTTAAGCTCAAGTTGTTGGATGATCTAAAAATATATTTTAATTATCCTTTTTCATGTTTGCAAGCACTTTCTCCTTTAAACAATTTAATTATTTAGGATTGTCATTGAGGGCTGAATTTGGCCATTTGCTCTATGCATACATTTAATATAATATATGCTTTTCTAGTTTGTGCAGGAAAAGCCAATCCAAAGGGTAGAATATTGTTATAATGTACTAGAAAATATATAATGTGTGTGCAACATCAATAGTTCCACAATTCTACATTTAGAACTAGCAACAATAGAAAATAAAAATTGGACAATCACCTGACAGTATAATTTCCAGTATGAAACAATTCAATTGGAGAGGAAGTTATCCAAAGGACTTCTTTGAAGCTTGGCATTGCCTAATTTCCTTTCAAAAAAATACTTTATTTTAAAATTGTAATAAAAAGGTGTTGTATTTACATGTTTTAGTTTTTTTTAAATTTTCTCATGCCTATTATAAGAATTGTTTTTGTATTTAAAGGAATAATTCTTCCATTTGCATATAAGTTATTTTATGGAAAATAAATACTCTAAATTCAGGCTTGAATTTTAATGACTATCAAAACTAACACTATCATATTTAAGCTGAGTAGCAAATAAATAAGTGCTGTATTTTTTATTTCATTTCCCTTGAATATCAGTTTTATGAAATAATAACCGTTTTTTCATTCAATGTAAGCTGACAAATCTATTACATCATATAAATTTAACTATGTGCATGATACCTGTAATAAAACTAAAAGGAAATATTTTTAGAAATCCTAAAATATGCAAGGGACTATTGTGACATGTTAAAATTTGTTCAGAAGTTCAACAGGCAAATTAAATATTATTCCACATCTAATTTTTCTAATAGCTATCTATATAACTGTTAAAAATTCAGATTCACAAGTAAGAGCTTTAGCAGTGCTGTTACTCTATAACTCATGAAGGAGGACCATAATGAAAGAGAGAAAAAGAACTTCATGAGCTGGAAAGGGATCATGCAATGTCATAAACCTGGGAACTGGAAAGCAGAGACATAAAGTAAAGCTAAAGTTGCTGTTGGTGAGTTTGAATTGAATCTCAGCAATGTGTTGCTGTCTAGAGCAGAAGACAACAAGGGCTAAAAAATCAAGTAAAACTGTTGCAGCAGATGTTCTTTAAAACGCTGAGCATACAGCAGACTCCAAAGAGCTCATGGCTAACATCGTAAAAGACTCAATTAATGTGACCATCGATGATAAAAAAGATAAGTAATTTGTCTTAAAAAATGAGTATATTTCGAAAGTAACATTAACTCTAATTTTCATTATTTCCAAAATTACTAAGATAACCCAATGTCTACCACTCTTGGGTCTTACGATCTTTTATGTGTAAAACATGAACATGAAATAACATTGTATTTAAAGGAAAAGACGACTGATTTTTTTCTTTATTTTTGGCACTTAGTGATAGCGATGTGCAATAATAAGACTGCAAATACACTCTCAACATCACAGACTCCAGTCAACCTGTAATAAACAGAAGCTGCAATACTTTGGTTGTTGTATGTCAGGTAATTTTTTTTTTTTTTTTGCAATTTTCTTCTTCGTCAATACATATAGATCCCTTCTTATAAGAAGTTAGTACACAAACTTGGAACCAAACATAGATCTGAATTCACAGACCCAATGGTCTTAACAAATACACTTTAGAAATCTTGCGTTTTGTATTTAAGATATTGCAATCATATTTCTATGTCATTATATATGGGGATGCCTTGTCATTTGTAGCAAGTGCATAATGTTGCATTGCATGCATGTATCAAAATTTTCTGTCAATTCTCTGTTGATGGGTAGTTTTCAACGTACTGTGGGGAAGAAATAATACTCTATTATTTTGTTTGAGTGGTAGACAAAAAATATTCCCTATCCGAAGAACTACATGTCCTAATCTCAAATATCTGTGAATATATCGTTTTACATTGGAAATGGACTATGAGATGTGAATAAGTAAGGAATGTGAACTGCAGAGATTAGCTTAGATTATCAGGATATGATCAATGTAATCAGGAGGGCCTTAAAAGTGGAAGAAAGAGGCAGAATAAGAGAGAAGGGAATGTGGCTATGGAAGGATGGTTAAGAGATGCGACCTTGCTGGATTTGAATGTTGAGGGAAAGACTCATGAGCCAATGAATACAGGCAGGCTTTAAAAAAATGAAAAAGGCAAGGAAATGGATTCTCCCTGAGAACCTCAAGAGGAAGGCAGCCCTAATATCAATAACACCTGGATAGTAGCCCAGTAAGACCTGTGTCCAACTTCTGACCTATGAAAATGTAAGGTTATACATCTGAGTGTTACAAGTTGCAAGTTTGTAGTGAGGTTTAACAGCAGAATAAAAAACAGAGTACATTATGTTTGTAATAACATTTCTGTTGATACCCATTTCTAGAAGTAGAGTTACTGCAATACAGAACAGAATATGCTTTAGGTGTTTCAAGAGGGATATAAAGGCTTCCCAGTTGGAAAACATATCTTTCATAGTAAAAGAAAATTACACACATAGCAAAGAGCATCGGTGTCCTGTCATTTTGTATACTTTTCTTTTAAAAGTTTAAAGGTTAGGTGTTATTTTTTATGGTGCCAGAATAGAGCAAAGCATTCTGTTTCCTTCTAGAATTAGAAATTAAAATCAAATCAAGTCAGTGGAATCGCCATAGTTATAATTAATAGAAGGCATAAAACATTCTAGTAAAAATGTATAAATAAAGCTATATATTAATTTTCAGTAAGAAAAATAAAACTTATTCTAGTTCTAGTTGTATGTTAAATGAGTCAGATTTCAGTCCATAAGTCTCATATCAGACTGTGTAGTCAATGTGTATAATGTCAAGTAAAATGATGATTATTCCTTTTTGTAAACTTCTCTTAATAGCTGACATAGGACATTGGGTAATTTTTAACCCTCAACTGTCTAAAAACAGAAAAATCCATTGATATTTTAAAATTACTATGAAAAATATTATTTCTATTATATGAGAAGATACTTCTTTTGCTGACAGTCTAGACCTTGTCTAGTTCATCCTTCTCCTAAAATGGATATTTCTTCTTAAATGATGGGAGATCTCAAATTTGAATCCTCCCTGACTCTGTTAAGTATATACTCTGTTACATTTTTCTACTATTCCATTAAACCTGCCTGTTCTGTATCACAGCCTTAGAGGTTTTTGCTAGAAGATAAATTAAATTATTCATTGCCAATGATTTTTAGCATATGATTCCCATGTTACAAACATATTTATTTTAAAATTATTGTTCAAAGGCTATTTTCTTGACTCAACACAGTTTGTCAGTGACATTTTCAGGCACCAGAAGACGGATTTGGTGTTTGCTTATTTGTTGGGAAAGCATCCTATTGGTAACTCACTAATCAATCATATTTCTGTTTTTTAAGATTGGTTAATTCATGTACTTACCTTCTAGGTAATGGGGCTTGAAATGAAATTTGGCTTTAGAAATTGGGACAACATGATTGCATAGTGTACCACATTGCTTTTCCTAGATTTACTGAAACTGGGAACAGAAGCAAATACAAGTTTCAATTCAGAAACCCTTAATAATGATTTTCTATGATACAATTGTATTTAGTTATTGTTGAGACTAGGAAAGATATTTTAAAATAGCAATGTAAAATATAGTTGTGAATGTAATTTATTTTTAGAGTAACCAGTTTAACTGTGTAGTCTCTTACTGTCCTTCATAGTGCCATGGTTCCCTAAGTCTGTAAATGTTAATAATAGCAGTGTAGGAAATATCATGTTATTTTTCCAGTGAATTGGAAAAACCTCCTTCTAGGAAGTTGTACAGGAAATCAATTGTCAAGTCGTGTTTTCTACCAGCATATCTCACAATATATTACAAATGAAAAAGCCTGAAGACTATCTTATGGCTAAAGCTTTCAATCTCAATTCTGATCTTGTCCCTGAACTGAGGGCTTACTTGGAAATGGTATGTTTCCCAAAGATATATCAGAGAACACCATAACTACTATGACACTTTATGGGTGGTATAATCATCTCCCTAAACCAGACCTCTGAAGATTTGGTTGGGGGCAGAATGAATGATCTCTATCAAAATAAGCAGCTGAATGTCATGGATTTTGCTCTTGGGTGTTAGTTTTGAAGTCAGGGATTGTTTTGCCAACACTCCACTTTTGAGCTACAGGGGCAGTGATTTAATTGCAAATTTGATTCTCCTATCACTGAAAACAGTGTCTGTTATTTGAGTCACATACTTAGACTGAGGAAGCCATGTATCTTCCACGTTTCTGCGTGTTTCTGATATGAAAAATGACTCACTGATAATGCATATTTACAGCTCTTTTTTACATTCTAAGACTGTAATATTGACCTTAGTTTCATTAAAGGATATCTGCATATCCATCAGTAATTTTCTATATCTCTACATTTTCCTGAATGTAAGACTATGCCTGTGAAAATAGTGGCTAAAGGAGTATCCCCTAGAATTTCAGTTGTTACCTAGCCATTTCAAACTAGACCTAAGAAAGAAAAAAAAAAAAAAAAACTAAATCTCAAAGTACACTTGAAAGTTTAAGAATGAATATAAAAGTGTTATCTGGGGCCGGGCGCGGTGGCTCACGCCTGTAATCCCAGCACTTTGGGAGGCCGAGGCGGGCGGATCACGAGATCAGGAGATCGAGACCATCCCGGCTAAAACGGTGAAACCCCGTCTCTACTAAAAATACAAAAAATTAGCCGGGCGTAGTGGCGGGCGCCTGTAGTCCCAGCTACTTGGGAGGCTGAGGCAGGAGAATGGCGTGAACCCGGGAGGCGGAGCTTGCAGTGAGCCGAGATCCCGCCACTGCACTCCAGCCTGGGCGACAGAGCGAGACTCCGTCTCAAAAAATAAAAAAAAAATAAAATAAAATAAAATAAAAGTGTTATCTGTGTTCAATTTAAAGATTTTCTTCAAAATAAGAAAACGGAATTTAAAAAAGGTAAAGAGAAATCTACTGAGAATTGATATGAAAATTGGTGTTAAGAAATTGGTGTGAAGATAAACAAGCAAAATACTTATCTAAGATGAGCAAAAAGTGCTTATCCTGGCCTATCAAGGAGAGCATATTAAACCTTGTAAATATTTTGAGTATTACATTGGTTGGTAATTCAATACATTGTGATATAGTCAGGAAGCATTCAATAAATGTTAAATAATGGCTGTCTGATAAAATCCTGACAAATATTTTCCTTGTACACAAAAGATAAGTGAGTGACCTGAGTAGAGAGAGGAGCATGTTTCTTTTCCAATTTCTGCTAATTTGTCATCTTTACAATCTTGATAATCTCTCTGGGTTATTTCCATTGATGAGTTAATTAATTAATGTTTATTATCCCAGTTGAGCAGAAGCGCCTATGTAATCTCATTTATTGCTATGTTGATCGGCATGAACATCTAAAAGTGATGAGCATTTCTCTGTAAGTGCAGAGTGAATTAAGTGCTGCCTAAGATAAGACAAGTTCATTTTAAATTGCCAGCACTTGAGGGTAACTGTAGCTTAATAGCTGGCAATATGTGCTGCCTTTTTGTATTTGTCACTTGCTTTTTTTCTAAGTGCGTAGTGTCTCTTTCAATATGGTAAAATAAGTCAACAGCACAAATATTTAGATTTTGAAAACCTAGTCAAAATTGTTCTGTAGTGTTCAAAACGACAAAAAATTAAAATTACTGTACCTATGTTAAATGGCAACTGCTTAGGTTCCTAGACCATGTTATTGCTACATGTTATGGTTAAGGACCAAGTATGACCATGCTAGGTTCACCTCTTTCACGTGAATGGTTTATTCCCTGATTTTTTGTGGGGGTAAGAGGTGCTAAAATGAAAATATTTGTTGAAAGAAAAAATTTTAAAGGAACCTCAGCTCATATTAATTGGGAAGATTACTTATTCTGATTTATTCTTCTTTACCTTTGGCTCAAAGCTTTGTCCCCAGCCCGGTGTCCCTACATCTGTATTCCTAAAGGCCTAGCACCCCAACATCCCTGGCCTGATGCCCACTCAGCCTGGAAATATGGGAGTCTCCATGACTGAGTGAGATGCCCAGTAACCCAAACTCTTGGCTTCAGGATCAGCACCCATGAACATTTGATAACTGACTCTTTTTACTCCTTGCCCTGACAAATAATTATCTTGCTTCTTAAGTCATGCTGTCTTCATTTTGATTTCCACATTTTCACTGGGCAAAGAATAAAACCAATGCTGGCCTCTTGTCTTTCATAGCCTTCCCCTCTTAGCTTCTCAGTCACAATTTCTGATCTGTTTCTACTCTCTAAAACATCATTTGTCACTTGGCATTTGTTTTAGGTTGTGACTTTGTAGATTTTTAATAATAACTGGTAAATATTACTGCTACTACCACTACTGCAGCTGCTAGCAGTTAATGTCAGTTAAGCATGTAATATTTACCAGGTGTACTTGTCTAATCACTTCACCTGCCTCAGTTGATGAGATCCTAATAAAAACACTACCTTCTAAGTGTACTTTTACTCTGCTGTGTTGAAGAAAAAGTGTTTCAGACAGGTTAAGGAACTCGTCCAAATTTGCACAGCTGGTAACTGGCAGCACATGAATTTGAACCAAGGTCAGGCTGACTGAATTTTGCAAACATAGTTTATGAATCTAGCCTAGTGTCTTTTTATTCCTATCATCCAACATAACCATTATGTGGAAGTGTTCTTGAAGCTGACAATAATGATGCCGCTAAGTTTTATGGCCTTGCTTTAACTCCCTGTTTTCTAAGCAATTCTAAGTTAAATTATTTCTTTGTAAGGGTATTTCTCCCGTTCAAATACATACTCTAATCTTCATGCATTGGCTCAGTTATAATTAACGACTGCTCATTTACATAGTGTTAGCTGTCTTTTGGCCCCAAGTGTGCTTTCTATACTCCCGCAATCAAAGTATTTCATTAAAGCCACTTGAGTTGTGATCAATAGCTGATGAATAACTTCAGAGGAAATTGTCTAAAATCAGATGCTTACAGGGCCAGGAAAAAGTAGCCATGAAATAAAGGATTTTTCCTTTCAGTAATGAGCAATTGAATATATTTATGATACGTAAAATTAAGTTTCCTGCAATTCTTATGTTTATAATTATTTTTATGGTTTATTGAATTAAAACCCTAGTAAAGTTTTAACTTGTCATTCAGTTATTTTGGTGATACATTTTCTTCATCATAAGCATATATATTTCTCTTGTAATTCTATATTCTGTATGTGGGAGAGAGGAGCAAAAACTGCATTTTAGATTTTATCACTTTATGTGACATTTTCACAAACAAAAAGAGGTTTCTTTGCTTGAAAAATTTTAAGATATATGTGAAACATAAATTTATTTATGGAAAATGCCACGCATTATACCAAATCTCAGGCACTTTCAAACTTCTCTTACTAAAATAGATGAGGTGAACTTTATTTAGGTGTGATGGGGGATTGGACGATTTGTTGTTTTCCTCTAGTAAACTGTGTAATTAGGAGGAAGTCAACATAAGCGACAAACATGTTGAATCAACATATAGTTAAGCGTGGAAAAATGTGTTAGCATCCAAATTTGATTAATGCCAGCATAAAGACAAATCTTTCCCATGTCACCTATAAACATTATGACAATAGCAGCAGTTTATATGCTACATATTTTCCTTTGTTCTTCATTTTAGAAAATGATGTCTTGGCATGCACATGTGCCATTTATAATATTTCTATAATGTAAAAATATTCTAAGAAATCTTATTTATTTTCAGGAATAGAAGGAACTGAGTTATCTCTTCCATAAACACTCTATGGTATAAACCATCACTATACACTTACCCCTTTGTAACCATTTCAAGAACAACTGCTTACTGGATAGAGAAAAGGTATATATTGTACAGCCCTAAATTTTATGGAACATTAAAATTCAAAAAAATAAAAATTTGCAAATGTAACTTTTTTTATACTTAAGCATTGATGAAAACAAATTGCTATAAACAATAAAATAATAAAGGGTTTAGCATTAGAAATATGTTTTGTTATATGACTATTTTAATACCAATGTATTATTTAGCCAAATGAAGAAAAATGTATTTTAAAAGACTCTAAATGGAATAAAAGTGAGCAAATTAAGTGCCTTACACCACTTGCATTTTCCAAATCAGCATCTAGAGAATTGTTTCTCTAGAACACATTTCTAGTCAGTCTATCTACTATAATGAAAATGTGAGTTTCTTTCACTTTGCAAAAAGTTACACTTACCAGTCTCATTTTCTTTCCTGACACCATTTCCATTGTCATCATTCTGTCTTGCGATATTATAATAATTTCCTACAATTTGTAAATGAATTGGAAATCTTCCTCTCCTCTCTTCTTCACCACCTTTTAAATTTAGTTTTCTCAAGTGTCAGAGACTTACCTTATTGTCATTCTTTTTTCATTTTAAGTTTAGGAATGAATAAATCCAACTAAATTTGCTTTTATTTAGACTCTTAATAAGACATGAATTGTCTATGTAAGGCAAAAATGTTACAGAAAGAAAACAGCCCTAAGAAATGTCTAGTCTTGTGGCTCATGTCAGCTTAGCCTCAGGCAACTAAACTGTCTGTCACATATATCACATCAGTTTCTGCTTTAACTGAAGTGAAAGCATGTTACAAAATTGAAGCTATAATTTTTAAATGTATTATGAGTTTACTTCATTCGTAATTGAACATATCAAATTTTATTGTATGAACAAGCTTGTTGTTTTAATCAAGGTTACGTATCTATTCACAATGTTAGTTTCTATATGAGAGCTACATGCCTGAGTACACAAAAGTAAATATTTTGAAAAATTCTTGTTTTAACTCTTCATCATAATGTCCTAAAAGTAAGAAAGCACTTTTAGTATTGGTAAAGGAAAGAATGAACCACGCGGCATGTATAATCTGATCACTTTTTATTCTTTATGAACTGAATTAAAATTAATGAAAGTGAATGTATGGCTACAAAGATTTTACCAAATAGAAATGTTTTCCTATTTTTTTTTAATTTTTAATTGAGACAGGGTTTTGCTCTGTTGACCAGGCTGGAGTGCAGTGGCTCAGTCATGGCTCACTGCAGCTTCCACCTCCCAGGCTCAATCAATCAACCTTCCCACTTCAGCCTCCTGAGTAGTGGGACTACAGGCACTCACCACTATGCCTGGATACTTTTTGTATTTTTTTTTTAGAGACGGGGGTCTCACCACGTTGCCCAGGCTGATTTCTAGTTCCTGGGCTCAAGCCATCCTCACACCTTGATCTCCCAAAATTCAATTACAGGCATGAGCCACCACGCCCTGCAAGAAATGTTTTCTTAATTTCAATTAATCTATCTGTCCATTAAATCTGAATAGACAAACTTGAGAAAACACATATCCTCAATCTCATGTAGTCCTCTGGATCTGGAGGTAAGCAACACAAAGAGAATAATTGAATATGATTGTTTGAGGGATGTAACACAAAGCTTGGTCTATTATAGCATTAACTAAAGTTCATTAGGTCAGTTATTAAAATTCTGGCACTCTGCACTATTAGTTACGTAAACAAAGTGGATATAATCCATTACGTAAATGCAGAATAAAAGCCAGAAGTTATTTGTGGTATTGCTTGTATGAGCTAGTGAGAGGGAAGGACAATTCTTGGAAGAAAGTATTTGGCTTAAGTGTAGGTGTTAACTAGCATATGGATAAATATTTAAAGGAAAACAGCAGTGATAATACAATACATTGCGTGATGGTAATAAACTGAAATCTTAAAATTGTGGGTAATGTATGCTGCTATTCATTTTAAAACTTTTCAGTAGCCATAAGAACTCAGCTGTTTTCATTTGTATTCAATTTGTAATTTTATGGTTTATTACAAATTTCTCCTGGAAAATACAAACACACACACATATACACACACATTTAAATATATATATGTGTTTGTGTGTGTATACACAGATCAATATATATTTTTGGCATTTTGTGTTTCAAAACTGATTTATTTCTATCACTAGAAGTCTCTTTCATTATAATCGTGGTGAAATTGGAGATGGAAACATTCAAATAAAACTTCCATACTGTATATTCCAAATTTTTGTTCTCCCTTAAACTACTGGAAGCCTTATTAAGATCAGATTTTAATGTCTTCATCCAGGTTTCCTTTATTCATAGCACATTGATATATTTTTCTAGCTTTAGTGACATATACTTGACAAAAATTGTATATATTTAAGGTGTACAACATGATGTTTTGATATACATATACATGATGAAGTGATTACCACAATTAAGCTAATTAACTTCTCCGTGACCTCACATAGTTACCTTTGTATACTGGTGGGGGGCATGGGTTTGGTGTGTGATGAGAACATTTAAGACCAACGCTCTTAGCAAATTTTCAGTGCAAAATACAGTATTATTAATTATAGTCTCCATGTTACACATTAGATCTTTAGAAGTTATTTATCCCACATAACCGATCATTTGTATCTTTTCAATATCTCCCCATTTCCCCCCTCCTTCAGTCCCTGGCAACTATCATTCTGCTGTCTGCTTTTGTGCATTAATTTTCTTTTGATTTCATACATACATAGATCTATTTTCTAAAACGGAAAACCTGTGTTCTGGAAGGCTTATTTTGTAAATTTCCTTTTAAGTATATTTAGTGATGGAAATTTTAGTGCTCAGATTTCAATTCTATATACTTTCTATATTCCCCTTTGCAAAATTTTTAAAAATAAAATACGAACCTATTTCAAAAAGGAAATACTTATGCTACCAAATTATGACAATTTAACTGTCTTAAAGTTATTAAACTTTGCAAGTGTGTATTGCCTATTTTGCTATTTGAAAATGAACATAATAAATATTAAAGGGAGTGTAATTGAAAATACACTCTGGGCAGCTCAGCTTTCCGACGAAGGGCATGTTCTTCACAATAAGATCTGGGTACCTGCGCGTTGCCCAGCTTCCTGACTTTGGGCAAGGGACTCATTTAGTTAGACGTCACTCTTCCACCTGAACAAAGAGAGTAACAATCCCTGCATCAGAAGAAGAAATGTTACCAGGATTAAGTGAGAATAATGTACATGGCATTGAGCACATAGTTAACCAGCATTAAATGAATTTTTTTGCTAATTTTTAACCACATGATTAATCACTACTATACTTCACACAAAATATTAAAGAAATAAAATTCAACTTACAGAAGTCTATGAAATTATCTTGTTACTGAAAAAAAATACAAACAAAACCAAACAATAGCAATAACAACAAACACCAGCAGATTCAGTTGTTGATGAAGCCTTGTGAACCTGCATTTAAAAGAATATGGTTTTATTCTGAGAATAAATAAAAAGCTAGGCCAAACAAAAAGACAATCATGGTAATTAAGAATTTAATGTTTCTTTAACTTCTTCTGAATTAATCTCAAGTATTGAGTGGCCTGAGCATTGATAAAATGTATATATGTGTACACATATATGTGTATATGAATGTACATATGCATATATGCACATACATATATATGCACACACATATATGTATATATATATTTACACATACACTGGTATATTTACATACTCATACATGTACACCAGTGTGTGTATATTTACATACTCAGACACCCCCACATATGTGTGTGTGCGTGTGTGTGTATATATATATACACAAAAACGGTTGTTGTTCACAGTAGCCATGATGCAAAAATCTGGGCAAAATGAAAGCATCCAAGACTATTCAATCCAGAAGAGCTCACTATAAAGTCTGATGCTCTTCCTCATATAAATGGTCATTTTGACCCAGTTTACGAAATGCAAATATCTCAAATTTTTATTTCTCATTAGATTTATATTTGTTCATTCCAGAGAAAACTTAACTTAAAAACAGAATTCTGTTAAAACCTTGAAATATATAAGTAGGGAGAAAAAGGCCTCTAAATTAATGCCCTATACCTGTGAAAAAGTATATATATATATATATATATATATATATATATATATATATATATATTTATATGTACACACATATATTTTCATATATATATAACATAGACATTCAGAAAGAGGATTTCAAAGCATATAAAAGGAAAGAAAATAGCTTCTAGATGTATGAGAATTATTTTCATTTTACATGTATTTTGAAAGTCTGTATGAGAATCTTGCAGTATATAAGAAAACGTCTTCGTTGTTGGGGTAGGGCAGCAGATTTTGCCAATTCAGCAGGTCAGGCAGAACAAATAAGTTTGCTTTTGAAAGTCTCGTCCTGATTTATAAAGAACACCTAATTTGTTTCCTTTTTTGAACTTCAGATTAATCACCAGTATTTTCAAGCTGGCCTTCCAATGTTCTTCTGTTATTTTTCCCTGAATTGTAATTACTCACAGAGAATTCTTGTGGTCTTTTCAGAGCTTGCAGTAAAACAATACAGAAGTTGTAATAGGCTCAGACTGCTACTGCATTTCAGGTCATCCTTTCCATAACCTTTGAAAGGCTTAGAATCCCATGTTTTATCAACGGCTCATATTAGTTTTAATCACAATTATGTCCTAAGAAGCCTTGTAAAATTAAAGAAAGAAGGGAACGGAATGACACTGGTTTTTTTCTGCAGGACCTCTTGTCGGCTTCTGTCTCATTATGTTAACAATCTGCCGAGAGAATGGAGTCAGATCTCGAGAGCAGACTAGATTGATTTACTTTACAAGCCTTTCTACCCAGCCTAATTATTGCATTACAAATAGCG
The DNA here is from genome assembly GCF_000001405.40 of Homo sapiens. Taxonomy (NCBI): domain Eukaryota; kingdom Metazoa; phylum Chordata; class Mammalia; order Primates; family Hominidae; genus Homo; species Homo sapiens. The sequence continues at coordinate 66,700,194 of NC_000013.11, read as the reverse complement.
ATTCTCTCACCCCATGAAGGAGCACTTTGATTAGTGTTGGCAATACAGGTGCCGGGGTTTGCTACAGTAGGTGCACGTTAACTAGTTCCTTGCATCACAGCCAAAGGGCCCTAACAACACTGGAACAGGGACAGATGTCTTGTACATATTTCTGAGGTCTCTAAATTAATATGTTTAGAACAGTTACAGATAATATTGTATAATTTTTTATAGGTAACAATAAAAGGTAATAATAGAAACACTACATAGTATGGTTCCTTAAAAAAAAAAATCAGCCTAACGCAGTCCCTCACTGTCAACCTTATGTTTCAGATACAGTTAAATATTTTATATTAATATCTTATTTTAGAGAAGAGTCAGCTTAGCATTTCAAATTGCAACTTGTATTTGCCTTTGGTAGTAATGTTGTGGGGTGGCCATAGCAAATGACCACCAACTGAGTATCTTACATAATTTATTGCGAGAAATTTATTATCTCGCAATTCTAGGCTGAAAGTCCAAAAATCAAGGTGTCTGCAAGATTTTACTTCCTCAGGAGGCTCTAGGCAAAGAATCCCTTTCATGTCTCTCTCCCAGCTTCTGGTGGCTGTGGCCAACCATGGCGTTTCTTGGATTGTGGTGGCATCACTCTAATCTCTGCCTCCATCTGCACACTTCCCTTTTCTCTCTGTGTCTCCTCTATGTGTGTCTTATACGGACACTTGTCATTGAATTGAGGGTCCACCTGGATAATCCTGGGTGATTTTATCTGAAGATATTTTCTCAGTTACATATGCAAGGATGCTTTTTTCTACATAAGATTGCATTCACAGGTTCTGGGGATTAGGACACAGACATTTGTTTTGGGGAACCGCCATTTTATCTGCTAGATCCCAGACATGCCAGGTGTTAGTGTGTTTAGTGATTTGTCACATGATTTCTAGTCTCAAACAATTATTTCCTGTTGTGCTAATTAAAAACTCATTTTAAAATGGGAATTGGGGCCAGGCGCAGTGGCTCACACCTGTAATCCCAGCACTTTGGGAGGCCAACGAAGGAGGATCACTTAAGGTCAGGAGTTCAAGACCACCTTGGCCAATATGGTGAAATCCCTTTGCTACAAAAATACAAAAATTAGCCGGACATGATGGTGGGTGCCTGTAATTTCAGCTACTCCGGAGGCTGAGGTGGGAGAATCGCTTGAATCTGAGAGGTGGAGGTTGCAGTGAGCCGAGATTGCACCATTGCACTCCAGCCTGGACGACAGAGTGAGACTCCATCTCAACAACAACAACAACAAAAAAAAAAAAAAAAAAAAAAGAGGAATTGAGCCGGGCGAAGTGTCTCACCTCTGTAATCTCAAAACTTAGGAAAGCCAAGGCGAGTGGATCACTTGAGCCAAGCAGTTTGAGACGAGCCTTACCAGGCAAGATTGTGAGCCCCCCATCTCTACAAAAAATTAATGTAAACATGAACCAGGTGTGGTGGCCTACACCTGTAGTCCCACCTACTTGAGAGCTGAGGTGGGAAGATTGACTGAGCCCAGGAGGTCCAGGCTGTAGTGAGCTATGATCACACCACTGCACTCCAGCTTGGGTGACAGAGCAAGACCCTGTCTCGAATTAATAAAATAAAATAAAACAAAATAGGAATTCTTTCCCATCTAAAAGGGACTTGTGAGAAAGGTAGCACTAATTAGTTAAAATAGGAGACAATGTTTTCCTTTATGAGGGAAAATTTTCAAATATGAAACAAATAGTAGTAGCACTATGTAAAATAAAAGGGATGAACTGCTTAAAAATTAAAGAGAATTCAAATTCAAACCATATTTTAGAGCAGTGGCTCTCAATTATGTGTGATTTTGCCCTTCCACCCACCACAGGGGACATTTAGCAATATTCAGAGGTATTTTTTTGTTGTGGTACAATACAGATAACATGAATTTACTATTTTAGCCATTTTCAATACAGTTTGGTGGCATTAAGTAGATTCACATTGTTTTACAACCATCACTACCATCCATCTCTGGAACTTTTCCATTACCCAAACTGGAACTCTCTACCCATTAAACAATAACTTCCCATTTCTACTGCCCCACAGACCCTGTCAACCGCCATTCTATTTTCTATCTCTATGAATTTGACAACCCTAGGTACTGATATTAGTGGAATTACACAGCATTTATCCTTTCATGTCTAGCTTTTTTCACTTAGCATAATAATTTTTATGTTCATCCATATAACAGCATGCATCAGAATTTCAGTCTTTTTTAAGACTGAATTATGTTACATTTTATGTATATATAACATTTTGTTTACCATTCATCCATAGATAGAAATTTAGGTTGTTTGTAGCTTTTGGCTATTGTAAATAATGCTGCTATGAACAGTAGTATACAAATAGCTATTCAAATTCTAGCTTTCACTTCTTTTGGGTAAATACCCAGAGGTGGAATTGCTGGATCATATGATCATTCCATGTTTAGTCTTTTGAAGAACCATCTTACTATAGAGGCAATTTCATTGCTGTGACTGGGAGTGATAGTGCTATTGGCATCTAGTGGGTAGAAGCCAGGGATGCTGTTAAACATCTTACATAATATAGTACAGCACTGTCCCCCATAAGCAAAATATTTTCTGGTCCAAAATGTCAATAATGCTCCTATTGAAAAATCTTGTTTTAAATAAGTCTTAAATTAAAAATGGTCTTGGTGCAATTACTTTAATTCTTTCAAATATTCCCAGGGAAATATAGAATATGGCGTTATAAAGTTTTATAAATAATGCCCCAGCCATTAGACATTGTATGGTACAATTTATCTTTATGTATGTGAGAGCCTGTAATCTTTCTCTTCTGTTGTTCTACTCTACAATTTTGATATGAGAGGTGGACAATGAAGAAAATTGCTTCTCAACTGCAATATTTTTTGGGGGGGGAGAAATAAATTTTAAAAAATGATTTATGATATCATGCATGGGGACTGATAATATTAATGTCCTAATATTATTAAGTTGTGATTTCCAAGCACATAGCTTAAAAACATTCTTAAAAGATAAGCACATTGGGGCCTTTTAAAATATTTTTGTTATTATTGTTAATTTGTATTAAAAATATTTTTGAGGTAGGGTTTTGCTCAGTTGCCTAGGCTAGAGTGCAGTGGTGTGATCATGGCTCACTGCAGCCACAAACTCCTGAGCTCAAGCAATCCTCCCTCCTCAGCCTCCTGAGTAGCCGAGACTGCAGGTACATACCACCATGCCTGGATTATACATATACAGTAGAGATGGAGGTCTCACTATGTTGCCCAGGCTGGTCTTGAACTCCTGGACTCAAGCAATCTCCCATCTTGGCCTCTCAAAGTGCTGGGATTACACGTATGAGCCACTACACCTGGTCACCTTTAAAATCTCAAAAAAAAAAAAAAAAAAAAAAGTTTGCCTGAACAACCAGCAAGGTTTCTCTTTCAGTGTTGGAAATGCCAGCTCCCATTGGATCATCTGGTGTACAAATTAGTGGTAAAATGTTGTGACTACAAACATTTGAGTGCACAAAGTAGTGTTGCATAGTGTATTGTTAATGAAAACATCTTCTCAGAGGAATCCAGTTTTGCTGTTAGAAAGTCAATTATGTTACCCAGCAAGAGTGATGGTTTGTGTGGACATAAACTGAGATATATCATGTAGAGGACCCAGTGAAATGAACAAGGCATACTGCTGCTTCTTTATGGAAAGGTTAGAGAAGATTTCTTTTGCCTGACATTGTTATAAATATGGAAATTATTTTAAGACGTTTACCTTATGTTCTTTCTAAAATAGATGCAGAAATAAAAAAACACAGATTAATATTTCAGTTATCCTTCTTATAACAAAGATTGAATAATTATTAGAAAAGTACATCAATGATAACTGAATATTGAGTTGGTGTAACATAAATGAAGTTTCAGTGATCTTCAATTTAGTGAAACTGAAAATTATTTCTCCTTTTTTTAGTGTGATACAGCCTAAGAAAGTGATTTTTTAAAAAATTCATCATATTCACTCATCACTTACAGTATAATTCTAATTACCATGAATTTTAATCAGTGAATAATATTCTGCTTTTAAGTAGCCAAACATAATTCATGTAATTCATGCATTAAATAATTTTCAATGTAATAAAGATGTTTTAAAATCCAAAATACATAACTAACTAAATTTTTGTGATTCTTCACCATATTCATATTTTCTGAGTCATGGTAAATGAAATGATTGCATGATAATACAAAATAAATTATTTTCTAATTGCTTTTAATGTTTATTCTCAGAATATAAACCATAACATTGATTTTTAACCACTTAAAAAATATTAAAATAGCCATGCTAATATAGGACAAAACCTAATCCCCTTATAATTAAACTAATATTATGTGAACTACATTTAATCTCACATTCAAGTTCAGGGCATTAAAACTGACGTGTATTTTTGTACTTACAGTGCAATCAGTCAATTAAAAATATTTTTATAGAGCTAAAATGTTAAAATAAAATAAGGACCTGAGTTTTTCAGGATACAGTTAGGAAAAGAGAAGCTATATTGGTTATTTTAACAGACAGTTTTTAAGATAGGGATAGCACAGTATCTAAACTGATTTCAAAACCTCTCTTGCTATGTAATTATGGTATAATATATGTGACATTTACTTCTAGCATAGAAAATTTCTATCAACTTACTAACTAGTGTACATAAAGTAAATTAGTGAAGAAAAAAGCATGATTATATTATGTGTGCTCAAGATGCAGTCACATCATGTAGGTCATAATTACTGAGACTTATTTTAAATATCCCAGTCTTGGGGATATAGTAGCTAGACAATAGACCCAGTTTTCATTAAAGGTGTTACTGAAAGAAACTGGATTGAAAATAGACAGTGTCACAGGCCTTAATTCTCAGATTTAGTAAACTACAGCCAACATATTTTGACTCCCATATTTAAACTGGTTTCAGTTTATACATTCGTTATTTAAAACATGTATATACCGGGCGCGGTGGCTCACGCCTGTAATCCCAGCACTTTGGGAGGCTGAGGCGGGAGGATCACGAGGTCATGAGAGCGAGACCATCCTGGCTAACACGGTGAAACCCCGTCTTTACTAAAAATACAAAAAATTAGCCGGGCGTGGTGGCAGGTGCCTGTAGTCCCAGCTACTAGGGAGACTGAGGCAGGAGAATGGCATGAACCTGGGAGGCGGAGCTGGCAGTGAGCAGAGATCGCGCCACTGCACTACAGCCTGGGCGACAGAGCAAGACTCTGTCTCAAAAAAAAAAAAAAAAGTATGTAAGTGATGACTATGCATTTTTAAAGTAATGCTCATTTATTTAATTCAGCAAATACTTGTTGAGGACCTGAAATGTGCTTGGATATGCACATAAAGTTTCTGAATATGCAAACACGAATGAGAAACAACTTTTAAATATAAATATATATAATGTGTATAGTCACATACACATATGTATATATACAATATATATGATATCACAGTATTTAGAGTTATTTTTATATTTTATAAAAATGTTTTCATATCTTTTTTATTATATACATATTCCTTTTGACTATTTAACTTTCACTCAAATATCTGCTAAAATCTTGTTTAAAATCAGAGATTAACATGTAGCAGTCATAAATTTTTATAATGATGCTATTTCCTATATGGGTCATATTTTTTAACCTACTAGTACGTTTGTGTGAGAGTAGCCACAAATTAATGCCTGACATCACCTGAGGGTGTCCCTGATGCAATCAGTATAAGCCAAAATACTCTCTTGAGGAGTAAATGCAACTTTAGTTGTGTGATAATGTTTTTCCCTTAACTGACCTTATAAATTAACTTGCCTGCAGCCCACAAAGTTGTGTTCTGATATTTTAGTCTATGTTGATCATCTGACAGCCCCTTAGGCCAATGCTGTGCACAGCCACTATTAACAAGGTGTTTATACTTTTGTTAATGCATTTCTTCAAATCACATTACATACAAGATTTTATTACAGACACCCATTATATGAATTCAGATGAAATCCTTTCAGCTTTGAGTTGCAATGTCACCCATAGATGACTTTTCACATTTATAGAATATTTTCAACTGATGGTATGAAAGCATTTTGAAAACAGCAGGGCATTTAACTAGCTTTCTCAGCTGGGATATCCCTATGGGAGTATCCTATATGCTAACCAGCAGGACTGCTAAATGCCCTGCACATTTCACCTTCATTCCTTTTTTAAATTTTTGTGTATTTCAACCTTATAGTTGTGAGATAATGTGTAGCTGAAGACTTGTAATATATTCTACTCTCTCTTCTAAAACTGTTAACTGGAACACTGCCATTTGGCATGCAAAAGTGTCTTACAGATGGAAGCTCAATTTCCTAACCACCACTTCCACTTTGTGTTACTGATATTAAGACTAATTAACTGGACCCACCTAATAATATATTTGTCTTTACCATGTGTATCATTGCATGCTTCTATTAAGGAAGATATAATTTGGCCCATTCTGTATACAATTGGGAAAATATAAAGTCTGCTAAAACAATTTTTATTTGCTATTGGGAAAACAGCTGACAAAATTCTAGGGAACCTGGACATGTAAACAATTGACAAATTGTCCATAGAGAGCTCTCTCAGCAAACATCCTGGCATTTTAATTTTTAAAAATAATGTATTTCATAAAATCATGAATTATGATCATTTACTAATTTTATCACCAAGTTTTTATTGGTAATTATCATATTCAAGTCACAATGATGTATAGCTTCTTATATACACTTTTATTTTCTATTTTTGTCTGTGGGTTCTGTAAATATCTTAGATCAAAGTGTTTTTTCTTAGTATAATATAAAATGCTTACTGGAACAGATCATAAAATCTGAAAAATGATTTATAATCAATATATATTTGAATGAGACTTGACAATTTGAAAACTAGTCAAAGTTTATGAAAAGAACTGTAATACCACAGTTCTGTGGCATAAGCAGAAAAATGTTGCCATTCCAATTGTAGATGAAGAACTAATATTCATAAAGAGTAATGCATTTTGACAAGATGACAAGGTTAGGATAGAACGTGGAATAAAATATTTGCCTCTTGCTATCTTGATAAATGCACCTTATCATATACTACCATGAATCTTCTCCAAACTTTAAATGGGTCCACCAAAAAGAGTTTGATTTCTTTTGAGTTTTGATAATAGATATTGTTGTTACCACATATATCGTACCCATTGTTTCCTATTTTGTTCCTTGTATCATAGGCTTGCTTGTACATTTTTCCTCAAATAGTCCATTCCTTGTTTATATCATTAAATGTGCCCAGGAGTGTACAGTGTCATGTTATTAACTGTCTGGTGATAGATTCGTATATAATTCCATTCTTCTTGATTAGAGATTGTATATAGTTGTTTTTCTAGTTCGTCTCTAAATAATAGTACCATGATTGGAATACTTTACAACAAAATTAAAAGTAATCTAAATATAATTGTAATACCTACAATATTTAAGTTATGTTGTTATACCATAATTAAGAGTATTTGAGTAAAATATTATATAGTATCCTAACTAGAAGCAGCTTAAGTGAATTCAATTAAGTGGATGGCTATGGCTTAATATGGGTTTGTACTTATCTTCTCAAATCCATTGGCTCCATTGGAATTGTAATTAAATATCTTAAGAACAAAAATAATATTTCAGAACATTATTTTCTTTTATTCATTCCTACCATGTGAACTTTAATCGATAGCTGTAGAGTGAACATAATTATATTATTTCATCTCAAGACTTCCTTTCGAGTGTCTTATTGTAGATGAAGAACACTAAATTATGCAAAGGTCTTCAAAACCAAATATGATGCTTCAGTCCAACAGGGTAAAGGAATGCTTTTTTTATTTTTCAATAATGTATATATTGTGATCATGGAAATATTTGCCCTCTAATATTTCAACATGACTTACATTGATGATAAAGCTATAGATTTTAATTTTCTTCCAGGTTAATGGATGTCTCTTTCAAATTCATAACATGGAGGTAAATTGAAGACTGACAAAATTTCTTCATGCCATGTAGAGGCTAATATCAAAGAAGCTTTGTTATAGCATGTTCCTCATCTAGTCTACTTGCAACTGATTTATACACCATGTGTAAAGTTGTAAATAGGATACAGAAGCACAATGCCTCATAGCTCAAAATGACCTAGCCAGAGATTTGGATGAATAATGGTGGATTTCTAAAAATTTATTTTCCATGTGTAACAGATATTGCCCAGGCTTAAGTAGGTAGTAGTATTTTCAAAGGACTCCAATATATAATAAGCATGTCTTTGGAGATAAGAAATAAAGGCACTGACCATGATTTCAAATATTACGACTATAATATGAAATTTGTAAACACAATGTAATATTTTTGGTATTCAATACAGTTTTACAAATATAAGGCATGTATTCTTTATCTTGTTCTTGTTTTCTTCTAAAGAGCTCAATTTCAATAGGTAAAAAATACGTGGGTTCATTTTCTCAATGGTGATTATAATGATTAAGTTTATTTTTCTTCTGAGATATCAGGACAGGTATTATAATAATTTTCAGAGGCAAAGGCATCTATGTTTATTTTTTTTCTATTGCTTATCACATTAAAAGTTAAAATAATAGTAAAAAAATCAAGTATTTTTAAATTTAACTGTGTCCAATCTTACATCATTGAAACAAAAGACAGTAGATATTTTGACAATACATTGGACTAGATGTTGTTTATTAGCATACTTTAAGTACTCCATAACAAAAGAAATTCAGTATTCTGCTATTCTAACTATGTCAATGGAAGTACATAGCACTTTAAAATGATTTATGTTTATGTTGGCCGGGTGCGGTGGCTCATGACTGTAATTTCAGCACTTTGGGAGTTCAAGGCAGGAGGATCACTTGAGGTCAGGAATTCGAGACCAGCCTGACCAACATGGTGAAACACCATTTCTACTAAAAAATACAAAAATTAGCTAGGCATGGTGGCAGGAGCCTGTAATTCCAGCTGCTTGGGAGGCTGAGTGGGAGGATCGCTTGAACCTGGGTGGCAGAGGTTTCAGTGAGTCAAGATGGTGCCACTGCACTCTGGCCAGTGCTACAGGGTGAGACTCCATCTCAAAATAAATAAAATAAATAAATAAATAAAATTTACAAAATAAAATGATTTACGTTTAGGTAAAATACATTATTTAAAACTTAAGGGGATATTAACATAATTTAAAACTTTAGTGCAATATGTCTCAGGCTTACGCTGGTGACACTGCTGGCAGTTCATGAGATGTGGTTGAGGACAGAGGTCTTGCTTGCATTCTAGCATGTAGTTAGATTATTCACAGGGACTCTTTAATTCCATTCTCAGTAGAGACTAATATATATTTCACCTAGAAATATGTTTTCCTGTGGAAAGAATTCAGGGAATAAAACCAGGAAACTTATTTCTGACCCTGATTTTGACATCTATCCTCTGGACTACTTTGCCAACTCAGGTTCCACTTCTGTAAAATGATGATTTCCTTTGGTGATCTTAAAACTTCAGTTTAAGTGACTTTTAAAATTGCCTTTTCTGACATACCACGTGTGCTATGGTTAGAGCCTTTCCCTCTGTTTTCATAGCCTTTTTTTATTCTGTACTAAACCTTGTAGTGTGTCTGTTACACACCTTCACTGTAAGCTTCTTGAGAGCAGAAGATGGCTTATGATTCTTTAACCCTAATATCAAGCAAATGTAACCTTTTGTATAGGTTACATTTGTATTTGTTTGAAGAACAATTGAATCATCACTGAAGTCTTCAGACTTAAAATCTATCAATCCTTGTCAGGATTACCTCGAAGTTTTTTTCTAACTTTAAAATTAGACAATTCTATATTTGCCTATATCATACTTAGATTTTCTTAAGGAACTTATGTCACCTACCTGCTATATCGTGATGATGAACTATTTAAATGCAAAAAAAACTGCATTACTCCATCAAAAAAGTATTGTTTAAATACTAGAAGTTAAATAACTTAGTGCACTGTGTTTATTTAGAAGAGAATAATACATAATGCTTATTTCTGTGCAGTTGTTTCTTATTGCATGGTTTATTTATGTGCACTTTTACTGGCATATGTCTTTGCTTTTATTTATGTAGGTTTAATGTGGTCCAATTCTGTAACTAAGATAATGCTCATCAAATTTAGTAGCTGTATTTAATTTTCAAAGGATAGATTTCTTTTAATTGAAAAGATAATACTTAGGATATATCTCGAGGCATAGTCTTTAAAAAATAAAAAAGAAGACAAGAAACATTCAATAAAACTCAAGTCTGTGCCCTGCTTTTTCTCAAGTGGATAGTACTGTTTTGTCAACAGCTCCATCTGCAGACCAGGGACAGCTCGTGAATCTTGCTTAGTGATCAGATTATAAAGAATGAGCCCTCAGCCTGCGGTTGTCTATTAAAATTTGATTTGAAAGTCAACACCCGAAGATACCTTTTTGAGGTTAATTTTTTAGCAATGTCAGGTTTTATATGATTTCTGAGAGGATAGCTGTAGGCTCTGTCAATGGAAATTCATTGGGAGAGAGGGAGGAAAGGAAAAGAAGGCAATAACTATTGCTGAAGGCCTGCAATCAAGCATAATAAACTCTTCAGTCAGCTATTTAAATAAGTACACAGCAAATTAATTTTTTTCCTGAAAAAAATTGATTTATCTGAACATTTCCCCCATGAAGGCAGTTTCTAAGCTGTCATGTACTCCACGCTTTTTCCCTAGTGATGTGAGTGAGAACAGTTCCGTTTCCACCGCCAACGCTGTAATTTTAGTAGTTTAAATAATATGGGCTGCTAGCAGTAGTATTGTCAGCAGTGATTCCACATTAAAGGAGGTGAATGGAGGGACAACTTTAGCCATGCCTGAATGTATTCTGTATTGGGGGTCTCTAGTTTTGGAACACTAGAGGGCTGTATAAGTCTTTTTTAAATAGCCTGTAATGGTGCTAAATTCCCTGAGAAATGGGGTTCATCTTATACATTAAAATTAAGGCTCAATATTTGAAAATGAAAGCAGAATTTATAAGGATAGCATATATTAGTGGCTAGATACATACATTTGTGTTTCCTTGATATGGCATATATTACTGCATAATTTCTGTGCTTGATAACACCTGTGTATTGAATCTATTGGTCTTCAATGCAACATTACCTTATTTTTAAAATGACCATAGATTTTTCCTACACAGCTACCATAGGTAATATATTTTCCTACATAATTAGTAAGTTTCTAAGAGCACATTAATGATTTCATATAAAAAATTTGCATGTGGTTACAATGAATGTCTTGCTATGTATGCCATATATATAACAACAGGGGTGTTCGGAAGGGAAATGAGGTAATAGTTCAAAAAGATGCTTTGAAAATATGCAAGTGCTATATAAATGTAAGGTGGCTATAATTATTGTTATTAATCAATAAGTTTCTATAATTTGATGACTTTCAGACAGTGGTTTCTGTAATAATAGCAAACTGAATTAGATTAGATAAAGTTGCACTATTGGTGAAGTATTTGATACAAAACCACATCACAAAGGAAGGTAACTCTCCCATACTCTTTTTGGCTTCAATACTTACATCTATTAATATCAACTTTTAGTTATAAGCTAACATGAGCTTTCCACTTCTACTTTCAGGCATAATATATATTAACACTTTGTGCATATCTCTCCTTAATTAAGTTTTCTTTAAAAATTAGAAAAACACTTTTCTGTAAGATGCCTAACCACATATCCCTTCCGTGGTTTCTATTCATCAGGAAGAGCTGAAGAATACTGAGACAGCTCAGTCTGCATAAACAAAAAATAAATAGGACACAAGTTCTAAATAGTTTGTTTAATTATTACAAAGCTAGGAATACATCAATGAGGAGGATCAAAGGTATAGGAATGAAGGCAGTTGCTTAAGGCATTAGTGACAGAAGATGATTAGATGAAATCCATTGAGTCAATAGTATAAAGGGAGTGCACAAATAGTTGTAAAAGAAGACAGAATGAAAGTGTCTTAAATGAAAGAAACATTAAATGAAGAAAATAGTGTATAGAAGAGGAAGTGTTAGAAAAGCCCGCATAAGCAAGATGGGCTTTGGAAGAGGCTTGCGATTTGGGTAATATTGAAAAGTACAGACAAAAAACCATTAAGGAGAAAGGAAAGCATAGGGAAAGTTTCCAAGGCAGAAAAGAACAATACTTAATTTCACACCATAAACTTTGAAGTCAAAAGAAAAACTTTTGAATTTCATCCTCTAAGAACTATCATAGAAGTAATGAGCAACAGGAACATCAAGATCTCTTGAAGAGGGTAATCTTACAGTACAAAATGAAAGTTACAAAAGGGGAGCAGTTGAGGGCACTTTGCAACCTCATTTACTGATTATTTTTGGAAATGGTGGTGTCAGTAGATATGGATGGGAATTAAGTGGCCAAAATTAGGGAGTAAGGGGTAAAAATGTGTCTTACTTTACTTGGGTTTGCATATCTACTCATTCATCCAAAGCATATTTATCTTGCAAATAGCAGGCACTAAAGTTTTAGAAATCAAAAGAATATGTAATTATGGTTATCCAATAGGTAATTGGAAATTTAACTATAGAACATGGAAAATAAGTCAAAATTTGATGTATAAAACTGGAAGAGATCTACATAGAGTGAGGACTGATCTTAGAGGAGATGCAAATTCTGAGAACATACAAAGTCATGAAGAAAGTCAAATGAAATGTATTTTGGCAGGATCCGCAAGAAAAAAATACTGTGACACAAACTGAAACAAAGGAGAAAGCAAATAAAATAGAAAAAGTAATGAGCCAGTAGACATTGATGAAGCAGAAGTTTAAAGAGTGACTGCCTAACTTTTTCAAATGTTGGAGAAGAGAAAAAAATCTTGTCACAAAAACTCTGAAGGTGATTCATGCATGTTATTGTCTATTCCTTTCCTAGTATTTCTGAGCTTGAATCAAGTACATTCTTCAGTTTGGACATACAAACAAAACTTGGCTTATTGGAGCTTGTGATTATCACACAGGAATAACTTATGCTTAATAACCCTCATCTCATAATACTCCTGTTTTATGAGTCACTTGTAGTTTACTTTGCAGTTCCCAAAACTATATCTGATCCTACTTTATAAGGTAAATCGAAATGTCTTTTGGGGGGCACAATTAGAAGCCAGGGCTTTTCTTCTGAGTAGTCTTTGATAAAAGGTCCATTTCTCTGTATTCAGTCTCCTTCTCTGATTAAAGTTTGGAGGTTATAATTTAAATTTTAACAATATGTATTTTTGAGAATTTTTCTAAGCCCTATATGTTTATTTTTCTAGTCCTGTGCCCTGCCCAGAATGTTGCCTTTGAAAGAAAGAATGGTGGTTTGAGAGTAAAAGAGGCCTCTGTTCAAATCCTGGGTCCAGTGTTTATTAGAAAATTATTCACTCACCAAACTACACACTGATTAGCAAATGTGGTAAAGTGGTAGGAAGTAAAAAATGGTTAGACTAATATTATACACTTTTATTCACACAGACATAGTAGATAAGAGCAATGTAAACATTCTGAACAGTGCAGAACATTTGTTCTATAATATTATTGCAGCATATAGATAAATTGGTGTTACTTTATTTTAATTACAAATATTGTATTGAAGCTACAGTTTGACTATCTTAGATGATGTATTAGTTCATTCTCATGCTGTTATAAATAATTGTCCAAGACTGGGTGATTTATAATGGAAAGAGGTTTAATTGACTCAAAGTTCTGCATGGTTGGGGAGGCCTCAGGAAACTTACAATTATGGCTGAAGGGGAAGCAAACACATCTTTCTTCAATGATGGCAGGAAAGATAAGTGCCAAGCAAAAGGGGAAAAGCCCTGTATAAAACCATCAGAAATGGTTTTCTTGTGAGATCTCACTATCACAAGAACAGCATGGATGTAACCAACTCCATTATTCAATTACCTCCCACTGGGTCCCTCTCATGACACATGGGGATTATGGGAACTACAATTCAAGATGAGATTTGGGTGGGGACACAGGCAAACCATATCATTCTGCTCCTGGCCCCTCCCAAATCTCATGACCTCACATTTCAAAACACAATCATGCCTTTCCAACAGTTCCCCAAAGTCTTAGCGCATTCCACCATTAACCCAAAAGTCCAAGTCCAAGGTCTAATCTGAGACAAGGCAAGTCCCTTCCACCTATAAGCCTGTAAATCTGAAAGCAAGTTAGTTACTTCCTAGATACAATGAAGGCACAGGCATTTGGTATACCCCTTCCACATGGGATAAACTGGCCAAAACAAAGGGGCTACAGGCCCTATGCAAGTCCAAAATGCAATAGGGCAGTCATTAAACATTAAAGTTCCAAAATGATCTCCTTAGACTCCATGTCTCACATACAGGTCATGCTGATACAAGAGGTGGGCTTCCATGGCCTTGGGCAGCTCCACCCACATGATTTTGTAGGGTATAGCCCTCCTTCATTTATATGCTTGCATTAAGTGCCTGCGGCTTTTCCAGGCACATGGTGCAAGCTGTCAGTGGATTTACCATTCTGGGGTCTGGAGGACAGTGGCCCTCTTCTCACATCTCCACTAGGCAGTACCCCAGTGGGGACTCTGTGTGGGGGCTCCAACCCCACCTTTTCCTTCTGCTCTGCCCTAGCAGAAGGTCTCCATGAGGGCTCCACCCCTGCAGCAAACTTCTGCCTGGACATATTGGCATTTCCATACATCCTCTGGGATATAGGTGGAGGTTCTCAAACCTCAATTTTTGACTTCGGTGCACTTGCAGGCCCAACACCATGTGGAAGCCAACAAGGCTTGGGGCTTGCACCCTCTGAAGCAATGATATGAGCTGTACTTTGGCCCTTTTGGCCACAGCTGGGATGCAGGACAAATAGTCTCAAGACTGCAAAAAGCAGCAAGGCCCTGGGCCTGGCCCACAACACCATTTTTTCCTCCTAGGCCTCTGGGCGGGTGATGGGAGGGGCTGCCCTGGAGACCTCTGACATGCCCTGGAGACATTTTCCCCATTATCCTGGCGACTAACATTTGGCACCTTGTTACTTAGGCAAATTTCTGCAGCTGGCTTGAATTTCTCCTCAGAAAATGTTTTTTTTTTCTTTTCTATTGCATCGTCAGGCTGCAAATTTTCCAAACTTTGTGAATACATAAAACTGATTGCTTTTAACACTACCTCCATCTCGACTTCATTGTCTATATCATTATTAACATTTTGCATTCAACAAGTCTCTAGGAACTTCCAAACTTTCTCACATCTTCCTATCTTCTTCTGAGCCCTGCAAACTGTTCCATCCTCTTCCTGTAACCCAGTTCCAAAATCACTTTCACATTTTCAAGTATCTTTAGAGCTGCACCTCACTATCCTGTACCAATTTACTGTATTAGTCCATTTTTATGCTGCTATAAAGAACTGCCAAGACTGGATAATTTATAAAGGAAAGAGCTTTAATTGACTCACAGTTCCACATGTTTCCTGAGGCCTCAGGAAACTTACAATCATGGCTGAAGGGAAGGCAAACACATCCTACTTCATGTGAAGGCAGGAAGGAGAAGTGCCAAGTGAAAGGGGGAAAGCCCCTTATAAAACCATCAGAAATTGTTTTCTTGTGGGAACTCATTCACTGTCAAGGACAGTATGGAGGTAACTGCCCCCATGATTCAGTTTCCTCCCACTGGGTTCTTCCTACAACACATGGGGATTATGGGAACTACAAGATGAGATTTGGGTGGGGACACAGCTAAACCACATCAGATGACTTCTCCAAGTAACTTACAACACTACCGAATTGATGGCATGTCTGTAAAGTATTAATAAGTAAGATTATAGCGATCAGAGTAGGTTAAATCAGAGAAATGATCAATTTTCCAGGACAACCAAGAAGCACAGTTGTAGTTAAATACAGTTCTCTTAATTGGCTAGCCTTTAGTAGTCGAGTATAAAACTAGACTAAACTGTCATTTATTTTCTTGGAGTGTATAATAACTCCAGACATTTCCCAGCTATCACCAAATCAAAGGATTTTTAAAAAATGTATCATATCAAACTATGTGTGAGGCATTGTACTGTTCATTATTAAAACGTAGTACAACTATAAGAAACATCCCTCTCCCTGGAAGTGTATGCTCTATTTAAAGGCAATAAGGCACAGAATCTTGAAAAGTTAAATAGTACTATACAGAACAATATTGATGTCATTTTACAAATAAATTATATGAGGGAGTACACTGGATATATCACTATGAACTACATTCCTTTAGGGAGACTGTGTGAAAAAAGGGCTTAACTTTGGCTACAATTTGGGTATGTGTGAATAAGGTGGGGAGGGAATTGGCTTAGCTTTAGAATATTAAGCAAGGAGATGCAATTTAGAATAAAGATTAAGCTGGCTGGCTCTGTATGCATACAATTTTAAAACCTGTGATCTACAATTTCCTGCCTTTTTAACCTCACACAAAACCCTATATTTTTTCCTTAGCCTGTTTCCTCATTTGTAAAAGCACAGAATGATATTAACACATATATCATATGATTAATGTGAGTATAAATGTAGTGAAGCACTTAAACAGGGTGCCCACCAACATAGTGAGTGCTAGCTGTTGCTGTCAAGATATGGGTTGTGAATGCATCCCTTGGACCAGAGCAGAGGGTTCTTGCAGTAGCTAAATGAGATAGCATTATCCCAGTGGCTGTTTAGTGTGAGAGAGGGGAAGTGGGAACATTTGAACATTTCTCTCAATGTTGCTGTAACTAATGCCTGTTTGCTATTGAAGGCAATGTGGTATTAGATGTCTCCATTGAGGGCAATAACTAATGAATGGTGACAAGCATGACTTGTCAGTTAAACCATGTAAATTGACAGTATATCTGGACTAAACTGGTACTAGGCAGATAGTTTATGAGTGCCTGCTGGGAAAAAGGGAGGAAAAAAAAGATGAATGGGAAGAGTCTTTTAACTTTACATCACCATTGAAGCCTCCTTGATTGTGGGCTTTATAAGCCACTCACCTTGGGTGTCATAACAGGTTGTAACGTTGTATTTAAATGACAACTGCCGCTGCAAATAGACTTAACAAGTCAGTGGTCCCTAGAGGCACTATAAAATGTTCCCAACAAACCTCTGCCATTTGTTTCTAAGCATTCTGTGGACTAATAAAAGCCAGAGTAAGCAAGAAATAGGGCTGCAATCCCATTCTCTCTGCAGCTACTCATGTAAGACGATGGTTTTCCCTGCACCTGAGATGTTTGCCCATACAGGTCTATTTTTCAAGCTGCCTGCGGAAACTGAATGGATCCTAATGCCACCAATAGCTTTCAAAGCTTCAACTCTGATACAGCTTTGAAAGTAATTAGATAAAGAAAATTAATTCCAGTTGGGAACACATAAAACATTTCATTTGGAAACTGACATGAATAAAATTATAACTATGGTAAATATAAAATGTGAAATTCTAAAAATTACAATACACTCTGACTATAATATTTCCATACAAATTAATGTTTTTTTAACTCTCAGTAAAGTACTCAATAGCCAGGAGACCAACACAACAATCAGAAAGGAGGATGCTCTTTTTGTGCAAAGCCTTTGGGTGGACTCAACTCCGAAACTGAGCTGGAAACAGGACAGGAAAAAATTCTGCAATGAACAGCAGAAACAATACATAAAAGAGTACTCAATTAGGCACTCTCTCTCTTCCTTCTCACTAAATAAAAAGAAGAAGATGATAGATGATAGATAGATAGATAGATAGATAGATAGATAGATAGATAGATAGATAATAAATACAGCTACAGGCATAGCGATAGGTCACGCATTCATAAAGGAGGTAATATTGCCTGAAGTGACACAAAAATTTTATGTGTTATAATGGCGATGGGCCCTCTAAAGGGCCACAATACATAAACAGCTATGCAGTACATATGAGGTCTTAAAATTTCATAGAGCAGGGATGATTGGGGAAAAACAATCTCTAAAAAGATTCAATAGTGAGATAATGAGAAAAATGAATCTGTGGAACAATGATACAGGTATGCAGGCTTTGAGTCATAAATAGATAACTATTTTTTAGGTCCTCTAACTGCACAGAGATAAGTGTGTCAGAGACAGCAGCAACATGAAAACTAAAACCAAAACAAACAAAACAAAAACCAAAATCTCTCAAATATATATATATATATATGTTTGTATATACTCATATGTACCCAGATGTATCCTACTAAACATATCTTTAACTTCAACATGACTCCACAGATATTTGTGAAATGCCTAGTCTATGCCAGGCATTGCACTTCCTCTGGAATAGAACAGTAAATGTGCTCTAATAGAGAACAGAAGGTGGATGGAAACAGACATCAAACTGTTACAGCAGAGATGATGTTGGAAGGGAAAAGTACAATGCTGGGAGAGCATATAGCAGAAAAACCCTTGGAAGGCGACTTTTAATGAGACTTGGATGATAAAAGGAAGCAGTCAGGCAAAGGAACTAGCATGTTCAAAAGCCTAGAAGTCAGAGGCAGTGTGACATGTTCAAATAAACAAATGGGATCCAGTAGTGCCTAGAGAAAAAGAAGAGGCCAGGGGAATGTGGGGAGACTGTGGAGATTATAGCTCAGACAATACAGATGGAGGCTGCATAAGTCCTGTTAAGCATTTTGGAGTATTTCCCAAAAGAAAAGAGAAATCATTCTGTAATTTTAAAAAGGAGAGAGATTCACTTCATTAGGGTTGTGTAACTAAAATACTGAATTAGGTCAAGTTAGTTTTTCAATGTAATGGAAACAATTAAATGTCTAGCAACAGATTTTCTTCTATGAACTAATGAATACTTTAGAACCATATAATGCAGTTGTTTAAAATGAAAACTGGAAGCTGGTGTGTTTGGCAATATGCTCTCTGTAAATGGGAGTAAAGGAAAGAAATAATGCAATGGTTTATTTCATCAAATACACAAATAGTATATTGTGGGGGGTAAAGTGATTGTGATAGGTTTTTACAGGGCATGTGGGATTGTTTGGGTTAAGTTGTCTGTAACTTCTGTGTGACTTCTGCCTTACATTTCTGAAGTGAATGAAGTAGTTTATGATGATGGAATAACTAGACATAGAATTTGAATAAGGGTAGTTATATCTGAATATAATTGAGCTGGTTTCCCAGGACCTATATGATTTCAATTTATTTGCAACAGCTTTTATCCTTGTATTAATGCATAGTTACCATGTACATATGTATAATATTTATTTTTGATATGTTAATATTACTGCTATTTTCTCTTTTTGTTGGATGATATTGGTTGCAAGAGCATTTATAAAACATAACATTTATATTAATCATATTTCCTTGAATCAGGTGACTTTTGTGGCTTTCTTTTGAGTTTGCGCTTGGGGAAGTTTAATTTTTTACTGTGTATTGTGTACTATTGCTCATTGGTTGTGGCCCCTGGGTTCATTTATAAAGCTACAGAACTTTTGAAATGCCATTAATCGAAACAGGAAATTATAATTGACAGCACAATTTTACTTTATAGCAGCAACCTATGGATAAAAGTTCGACCTGAAAAAATTGTTAGCTTGTCAAAAAACACTTTGTGAAATAGCAAACTCCTAGAAAAAAAGAAAATTACAGAGTCAATGGATACAATGTTGTCTTTAAATTTATAATACTAAAAAGAATTAAATATACTAATTCAAATAAAACTGTCCAGGTTAACTAGAGAATAAACTCTGTGTTAAATATCACAGGTTGCAGAAATAGTTGATTGATTGATTTCATTCTATACTGGAAAGATGCCATTAATCTCTGTCTTTCTTCAATGAAAGGAAACTTTCTAAATTACCTATAAATAGAATGGTCATTAATTACAAAGTGAGGAAACACTGAATCAGCATCAAAATATTTGCGTATTGTTTCAGTTGCTTTCTGAGTTAGATTAATTTCACAGAAGTCCAAGATAGACACAATATAAAACTGAAATGCTCTTTGATGACAGCATGCATGTGACAACTTCCAAAAAGCCTTGGACATAGTCAATCCCCCATAAATATTGCCAAAGGAATCCAGAAGTTGAAATTAGGAATCTGAACTCTTAAACACATGTGCATATTCTTACCACATAACAAGAAAGAAAACATTTATGAAAACCATAGTGAGGTTATCAGAATTTTTTAGTAGTATTAAAAAAGATGTTTAAAAAAGTAATTTAATTTGATTATTTCTCCCATGAATCATCTGCCTTTATTTAAATAGAATTTTCAAAAGATTATCTAATTAGATGTATTCAGGACATTGCCATATATCAGGTGAGTCAGGTGAACTAACTTTCAAAAGCATTTGCATATAAAAATTATAGAAATTGTTCTTTTCAACATTGGAAAGAAAGGCTATGCATATTATATTACTAAAAACAATTATGTCTCTATATTCCTGGATAACATATTTAAATAATCTATTGGGGATTTGCTTTTCAAATTAAATTACTGTAACATTAACATTGCTATATTCATACAAAAAGGTTTCAGATACATTAATTCTAACCTAAACCTTTTATTCTCTTCATCTTTCAGAGAAAATGCAATAATAATTTGGAGCAAAAAAAAATTAAACACACATGAGAAGGTTATATTGAGTTGAAAAGATAGTGTAATCTTTAGCTTAAAAGGTTCAAAAAGCTATTGGATCCAGTACTTTGCTTGTATGTTTTTGTGCCCATGGGTGTGTGCACTATTACAATGTGCAAAATGCAACTGAGCTCTAACTTTTTAAGATTTTAGTTCCACTGAGGTGCTATTATAATATCACTATAATATCATATTATAATAATGTAGGTATTATAATTGTATTATGACAGAATGACCATTATGATATAATCATCTTGTAAATGTCAATAATTAATAAGGAATTATAAAAAGACTGTAGCTAAACCTTTTTAAAGATTAAATTGTTTTTCAGAATATAATTATATGTACAGTATGATCAAGAGTTTGACAAGAAATGCATTTAAATGATTTAGAAAATACCGAAAAAGCTCAATTAATTTAATTTAAAATGTTTGAACAGGTGTATATTATGTATTATTTATATAATATAAGCACTCATTCAAAATATTAATGGTGGGTAGGTTAAATATAATGCATATGTTCTTTCGAATTTTTATTTTACATATATATATACTGGATGTATATATATATACATCCAGTCGCCTAACTTGATGCCAGGCCAAGGTTTTCTTTTGAGTGTTCACTAGAGCTCTGCCCCTTCTTTCTTGCAAAAGAACATACTAAGTGTACTAAGAGTGTACTAAGTGTGAATTCTAGTTTTGTTTTCTTTTTTCAGAAGTCTGAGTAGGGAATTCTTTGAGATTTTTTGAATATTTTTTTTATTTTTCTACAATTTCTTACACCAATATCAACAGAATTTTTTAGCAAGTTTGCCAAGATTTTTCTTGTTATTTGGTATTTGGCTTTGCACATAAATAGGTTTTTAAGTGTGTTAAGCATGTAAGACATGTTTAGAACAGTGCCTGGTCCCCCAAAATTATTACATAAGTATCAACCATTATTTAGTTACTCAGTCACTCTGAAACTTGGCTTCCAATTCTGTAAAATAGGTATTGTATAAGATAATACATACTATGAATCTCAATGGCTTTGTTCTATAATACATCAAAAGTTTTGTGTTCAATTTTGCTTCATGCATTTTAAATTAGTACTACATTTGGAAGTTTTCCAGTCTTAGAATATTGAAGATAAGATCTAACATCTATACTTCTATATGTTTCTGAAACTCATTTCATTAATTGCGTTAATTTATATACACACTTAAAATCACATGATTTACTATGACAGTTGTTGACTATAATATTTATTACAATTTTCCATGAACTTTAAAAATGAAACTAATGAAAAGAATGAAAAGATAAAGGAAACCAAGAGAAAGCTAAGGCCAATGTTTGAACAGTAACATCAGGAATAGGTGGAAGGAAAATGAGAACTGTAACGTAACAACTTTATAAAATACTCATGAATTTTCAAAATTTTAGAAATAACTTACAATAATATTGCAATGTCTCTTCAGAAGATTCTGTTCATGATTGTTGAATAACAGTTTAAAAAGGAAAATTACTCTTTCTGATTTTTAAGTAAAGCTGAAATTGTTTTTTATAACAAGCAGTTATGTGCAAAGCAAGTATTTTGAAGGGAAACCAACTATCACTGAAGCAGAATATTAACGAGTACATACTTTAAAATATTTATTCAATATTATATGTGCTTCTGTATTAGGCCATTCTTGTATTGCTATAAAGAAATATCTGAGACTGGGTAATTTATAAAGAGAAGAGGTTCAATTGACTCACAATTCTGTAGGCTTTCGAGGAATCATGGTGCTGGCATCTGCTTAACTTTTGGTGAAGCCTCTGGGAACTTTTAATCATGGCAGAAGGTGAGGGGAGAAGAGGCACATCACATGATGAAAGCAGGAGCAAATGGAGGGGAGGCGGAGAGAGGTAGAGAGAAAGAGCATGGGGAAGGAAGTGCCACACACTTTTAAATGATCAGATTTTGCAAGAACTCACTATCACAAAGACACACCAAGCCATGAGGGATCCTTTCCCATGATCTAAACACCTCCCAATGGGCTCTACCTCGAGCCTTGGGGATTAAAATTAAACATGAGATTTGGGTGGGGACAAATATCCAAACTATACCAGCTGCCTGTTTACTTCAAAAAAACTTTTAAACATCTTTATATACATTTTAAACCAGTTTACTTACTATCCTAGATTTTGAAAGAGCAAAGATCTTATTTATATTACTTTAAAAAATATTAAAAACATTGTTGACAAGTGGCTTTTTATATGTTAACTTAGACATGCATTTCTTCTCATTTTAAAATACCTAAAATGAAATTTCCCATTGATTAGATAGCATTTATAAAAATTCTATTATCTTAAAATTGCTGTCTGGGCATTTGTGTTTATGGTTTTCTAAATTGCTTTATAAAGAAGTTAGGATGACAGGTACTCTGATGGCTACACACCCTTTAATGATTTTATAACCATGGTCAATCCATTAACCTTCATGACATTCCTGTGTCACTATCTGTATCTTCTTCGGTGTGATCTAAAAAAACTTTTAATCCGCATACCGACTTTGAATAGTTGGAAAATGAATCAATATTGACATGTAAATGGATATTTAAAATTTTATAATATAAAGGAAAACAAACATTAATTCTTTTGTTTTTGCTAATTGCAATATATATTTTACAGAAAATTATGTTTCTGTATGTCTGAGGTCCTGTAGTTTATGACTAATAGGAGACACATGATCTGCACTCTAAAACATGCATGACAGCTATAGAATGAAAACCTCCTGTGTACATTTAAATACACAATTGAATTTATTTCCCTTAGTTGGATATGAGATTGGTCAATAGATAGATAATAATTATGTTTCATGAATCCTGAATTTCAGTAAGTTATTTTTAAAGAGAAGTGACGATATATGAAAAGAGACCTGTTTTGGGGGTAACAGGCGTAGGTGAAAATTCCAGCTTCACTGATATCCTGTCATGGATATTAAGCAAATTTGTAGCCTCTCTACAACTTTCCAAGTTTGAAGCGTATATCTTAAGTCATATAAGAATTACAGGAAGTATTATTGGTTAGGTGTATTTAATTTTTCCTCATATCTTTGCAGTGTTTGAAAGAATTATTTGATACTGACTTAAAATAAGTAATGTATAAGCTTAGTTCTATGGAATAGAATTTTGTTACTAAATTCCTGTGATATTTACTTTGGACTGTAATAATAATTACAATTATCTCTTTTGTAGAAGATGGGTTATTTAATGAGTCACTTTAAAATGAGGCAAATACTTTTTCACTATTTTTCAAAAGTTACAGTGCTAAGGTGAGAGTTTACTTGGAGCTGCCACACTAACCAGCATGAAATGAAAGTTATTGAATTTGTGAATCTTCATGCTGTGAAGATTGAGATAAAATATGTAAAATAAATAACACAGAGACTGACAAATGATAGATGCCCCTTAACAAAATCCAGGGTTACAGAACAGCACTTATTTGTGGATGTCAAAATCGTCTAGATGCAGTTCTAAGTTGTTACACAATGTTGGGGAGAAATTGAACAATCTGCCAGTTTCAAATTACTTCGTGTAATGCACGAATATAGACCAGAATAATAAAAGTAGAGACAATAATTATGGGAAAGAGATCTAAGAAGACAACGCCATACTTCTGCGAACAAAAAGCTGGCAGAGTACTTAACTGACTTGCACAAGAGCAAGATTTCTTGTCAACAGAGCTACAAAGTCCAAGGATTCTGGCACCAATTCTTACCATTCTGAAGAAAGATGAAGGACAGGTTAAGGAAAAAAAGTAATATTGGCTAAGTGCCTATTAGTGATTCTGTACTAGATGCTTTAACACTACTTACTCATCCTACAAGGCAGACATCATTATGATTGCTTTAGGGAAAAGGCATCTGAAGCTCAATTTGGTTAAGCCACTGGTTCCTTTGACACCTGAGTCACTATTCAAAATTCATGAATGAAAGATTTTATCCTGGATCTAAATCTTGAATGTAGACTCTGATCTAAAAGAAATATGTTTGACTACTCTACTTTGCAGGAGACATAGCAGCGTCTATAACCAGAAACATGCAATAATTCACAAAACAATTATCAACCCAATTCTATGCAGACTCTACTAAGTTTGCAACTTTGAGGGCCAGGCATGCATGCATATCTTTTGCTTATTTAATAATATTATTTTAAATTGCGTGACAGTGATATTTACGATTAAAAAATATGCTTTTAAATAAAAATCAAACCGTGGACAAAGGCACAAGAAACTGTCTTCTGAAAGGAACACATAACTCTTTGTCACTTGTGTTTAGTGACTTTGTTCTTTAGCTTAGAGAATTGAAACTCAAAAAAATTTGCAAAATGTGAGTATAGGTTTTTATCTTAAAATCTTCACTGTATTTTACAGATAAGGAATCTGAGGCATCAAAATTTTAAATTTCTTATTCTCACAAATCCCTATCTAGTTTTCAAGTAAGACTAAGCAAACTGCATAAAACATAAGATTGCACTCGTAAATAAAAACACAAATCATGAAATGAGTTAAATTAAAAGATTATGAGGACTGATTTAAAATGAAATATACTCAGATATGTTTCTAGAAAAGTAATTTAATGGTAGTTCTCTTTATTCCATCAGAAGCATAAATGAACCACACTTTGACATCTAAACTCAATCTAGATTTTCATATATACATAATAGGAAACCTGTTTATGGAGTTTTGTTCTGTGATGTTTATAATATCTTAGAGAAATCAAATGAATACTAATTAGATGAAACTGAATTACATTAAAGACATGCATTTATTCTAACAGATGATTGAGTTAAACTTAAATATCAACAATTGCCATAGAGTAGATAAGAAAAATATTTATCTTTGTTGTAATTTTTATGGCATTTATATTGCTTTGACGGACCTCCCATTTAGTGAAAAGTTCTTATTTCAATTTTACAATATGTAGAAGGAAAACTGCAAATGGAAGGTTTTTCTGTAGGCTATATAATTCCAGAATACAGCACAAGTTAAAATAATAGTTTCAACACAGAGGTCATTTACAGTAGTTTTAAACTCTCCTATTTGTTTTTCATGTAAAGTCAATTTTTTTTAACACAATACAGTATAAAGTGGAAGTTATTTCTATGTGCATAAATGCTAGCAATATAAATTGTTCTTTTCAGTTTATACTATGAAGAGTCAAAACAGAATGTGTTTGTAAGCTTAAAGCAAAATAACAGTGATAATACCTTTCATACTTTAATCAGACAATGTTTATTTAAAATATTCACTTATTATGAATACAAGGACAGATTGGTAAATCACTGATAAAATTAACTCCATTGATTTTTAAAATGTTATATTATCTGTATTATTTTTATTAAACATCTGGTTTGATGGTGGGAAAATCTGTTATCTGATATTTGAAGGAGATTCAAAAATTATGTTAACTCCCCTCTTTATGTGAATAAATGTATTAATATTAAATTTTATTTAATCTGTGGATAAAATTATAATATTTGCAAACTTTAGACCCTATTATAATTTCCTAAATGTGTTGGTGGTAATAGAATGATATCATAAGCTAATTTTGTAGCAAGAGACTGAATGATACAAGGAAGACAAATGAATTGCAACCATATAATTATTTAACTGGATAATTGAATTAAATGTTATTAAATAATGTTAATTACTTAAACGAATGCTGTGGAATATAATAAGTCACTTAATTGTGCCAATATCTAGATATTGGGCCTATGTAGTGACTTCAGTCATTGAAATTGAGAACAAATGGTGTGTTTCTTTGCCAGAAGTACCATAACAAAGTACAAAGTTTGGGCATCTTAAACCACAAAAATGTATTGTTTCATAGTTCTGGAGGCTACACGTCATAAATCAATGTGTCCACAGAGTTTCTGCCTTCTGAGGTCTTTGAAGTAGAATCTGTTCCCTGCCTATGTGCCAGCTTCTGGTAGCCTCAGACATTCCCTGGCTTGTAGATAGCATTCTTTCTGTGCACTCATATCATCTTCCTTCTGTGCATATCTCTGTGTGTCTGTCTCTGTGTCCCAATGTATTAGTCCACTTTCATAATGCTATGAAGAAATATCCAAGACTGGGTAACTTATAAAGAAAAAGAGGTTTAATGAACTCACAATTCCACATGGCTGGGGAAGCCTCACAATCATGGAAGAAGGGGAAGGAGGAACGAAGGAGGAGCAAAGGCGTGTCTTATATGGCAGCAAGCAAGAGAGCATGTGCAGGGGAACTGCCCTTTATAAAATCATCAGTTCTCATGAGACTTATTCCCTGTCACAAGAACAGCATGGGAAAACCCACCCTCATGATTCAATTACCGTCCACCAGGTCCCTCCCACGATATGAGGGGATTATGAGAGCTACAATTCAAGATGAGATTTGGGTGGAGACCCAGCAGAACCATATCATTTTGCCCTGGCCCCTTCCAAATCTCATGTCCTTACATTTCAAAGGCAATCATGCCTTCCCAACAGCCCCCCAAAGTCTTAACTCATTTCAGCATTAACTCAAAAGTCCACAGTCCAAAGTCTTAATTTGAGACAAGGCAAGTCCTTTCCACCTATGAGCTTGTAAAATCAAAGAAAGTTAGTAATACTTCCTAGATACAATGGGAATACAGGCATTGGGTAAATACACCTGCTCCAAATGGGAGAGATTGGCCAAAATGAAGGGGCTACAGGACCCAGGCAAATCCAAAATCCAGCAGGGTAGTCAAATCTAAAGGCTCCAAAATGATATGCTTTGACTGCATGTCTCACATCCAGGTCATGCTGATGCAAGAGGTGGGTTCCCATGGTCTTGGGCAGCTCTGCGCCTGTGGCTTTGCAGAGTACAGCCCCCCTCCCAACTGCTTTCACAGGCTGATGTTGAGTGTGTGCAGCTTTTCCAGGCACATGGTGCAAGCTTTCAGTGTATCTACCATTCTGGGGTCTGGAGGACGGTGGCTGTCTTCTCACAGGTCCATTAGACAGTGCCCCAGTGGGGACTCTGTATGGGGGCTCCCACCCCTCATTTCCCTCCTGCATTGCCCTAGCAGAGGTTCTGCATGAGGGCTCTTCCCCATAGCACACCTCTGCCTGGCCATCAAGGCATTTCCATACATCCTCTGAAGTCTAGATGGAGATTCCCAAACCTCAATTTTTGATTTCTGTGCACCCACAGGCCCAATGCCACATGTAAGCATTGCTTTGATGGACCTCCCATATAGTGAAAAGTTCTTATTTCAATTTTACAATACGTAGAAAGAAAACTACAAATGGAAGTTTTGTCTGTAGGCTATATAATTCCAGAATACAGCACAATTTAATAGTTTCCTCACAGTTTGGGGCTTGCACCCTCTGAAGCAACAGCCTGAGCTGTATGTTGACCTCTTTTAGCCATGGCTGGGACAAAGGGCACCAAGTCCCAAGACTGCACAAGCAGCAAGACTTTGGACCCAGCTCATGAAACCATTTTTTTCCTCCCATACCTCCAGGCCTATGATGGGAAGGGTTGCTGTGAAGACCTCTGACATGCCCTGGAAATATTTTTCCCATTGTTTTGGTGATTAACATTTGGCTCCTCATTATTTATGTAAATTTCTGCAGCCAGCTTGAATTTCTGCTCAGAAAATGTTTTTTTATTTTCTATTGCAGTGTCAGGCTGCAAATTTTCCAAACTGTTATGCTCTGCTTCTCTTTTAAACATAAGTTCAAATCCAAAGTTCCATATATTTTTGAATACATAAAACTAAATGCTTTTAAGAGCACCCAAGTCACATCTTGAATGCTTTACTGCTTAGAAATTTATTCTGCCAGATACCCTAAATCAACTCCTCAAGTTCAAAGTTCCACAGATTTCTAGGGCAGGGGCAAAATGCCACCAGTCTCTTTGCTAAAACATAGCAAGAGTCACCTTTATTCCAGTTCCCAACAAGTTCCTCATCTCCATCTGAGACCACCTCAGCCTGGACTTCATTATCTGTATCACTGTCAGCATTTTGGTCAAAGCCATTCAACAAGTCTCTAAGAAGTTCCAAACTTTTCTGCATCTTCCTTTCTTCTGAGCCCTCCAAGTCACTAGGAAGTTCCAAACTTTCCCACATTTTCCTGTCTTCTTCTGATCTTTCCAAACTGTTCCAACCTCTGCCTGTTACCCAGTTCCAGTGTCGCTTCCACATTTCAGGTATCCTCATAGCAGTACCCCACTCTACCAAATTACTGTATTATTCCATTTTCATACTGCTATGAAGAAATACCGAAGACTGGATAGTTTATAAAGAAAAAGAGGTTTAATGGACTCACAGTTCCACATGGCTGGGGAGCCTCACCATCGTGGCAGAAGGCGAAGGAGGAGCAAGGTCACATTTTATATGGCAGCTGGCAAGAGAGCATGTAGAGGGGAACTGCCCTTTATAAAACCATCAAATCTCTTGAGACTTATTCACTATCATGAGAACAGAATGGGAAAAACACAACCCATGATTCAATTACCTCCCAACAGGTCCCTCCCATGACATGTGGAGCTACAATTCAAAGTGAGATTTGGGTGAGCACAAAGCCAAACCATATCACCCAACTTCCTTTTTTTTTTTTTTTTTTTTTTTAAATAAGAACACAGTCATGTTAGATAAGGGCCTACCCTAATGATCTCATCTTTACTTAATCATCTCCAAAGTCCCTATTTCCAACTAAGTTCACATTTCTACAGATACTCGGGCTTAGGACTGGGGGAACACATTTCAATCCATAACATATGGACATCATTAAAATACATAATGTGAAATTTTTTCCAAATATATCATCAGTACCTGTGAATGTATGAAAACAGGCAAAATTAGGTAGAATATGCTTTTCTGTTTTAGTTAGTGTTCTACAATTTTCATCTTTCCTTACACTTCCCTTCCTCTTCTCATTTAACTGAGTACCAATCATCTGCTGTAAGGTATAAATATATAGATATACATACTTTTTAAAACTGCATGCCACCAAGTTGGATAAGTTTCTGTATTTCAAAAGATGCCTCTTTAAATTTTAGGATCAAAATTTATAATTAAGATGATGATGTCCATACAGCTTTTATCTCAATTCTCAATTCTTTCGTTCTTTCATCATATATTGACTAAATACTCTATGCCATATTTTCTATTAGGGATATCTCATTGATATTAGTGATATTACTGACATTCTATTAGGGTTACCAAAGTACTGATTACTTAGACCACTTAGGTTATTTTAAAGCTGCATGTCTTTTACTTTTCTGCAAATATTGACTGAAACCTATTATGTTGCAGAATTCTATTAGGTGCTAGCAAAACAAGACAGAGACATTTCCATCACAGAAATGCATATGCTCATAATGTGATATAATATTTTTTAAAAAAACTGAACGCATAATTTCAGATGTGGTGAATTTGATAAGGAAAATAACACGGAATAGAGGAAGAGTGACTTTGGGGAGGAGCTAGAGGATCAGAGTTAGTTTATATATGGTGTTCAAGGAAGTCCTCTTTTAGAGGTACCTTTTGGTGGAGACTGAAGTGCACAAAGCTCTTTATGCCTCATTTACAAAAAAACAAAAGAGTAAGAACTTTTGAACAAATATGATCATTTATTTTTAGTTTTATTAAATATGTTAGTTTTTATTAAAACACATTTGTTAAAACACATTTAGTTTTATTAACACATTTTATATACAAAGTCAAATTTGAGGAAAAGGTTTGTTTTTCCCACCGTGGAATGAAAGAGAATGATGTTTACACAATAAGCCTGATGGTTAAAAGATCCATCATTTCCTTTGTTCCTTTAGTATAGGTGTATCAGCTCAAGTAACTACAAGTTAATCCCAAATAAATATTCCCTTTTGTCTTTACTTCCACTTTCTTATCCTCCATTCCCATTTGGTTTTCTGAGATGCTAGAGAGAGGCTCCGGCTGCTCATTAGGAAATACTGCTGTAACACCTCTGAGAACATCGGCTCCATTTTCTGTCAAGCTGGCACAATTCACACATCTTCAATTTACTTCATTATTTATTGTTTTGTAGAACAGTGACAGAATACTTGGCTCTGTTAAAACAACAACAAAAAAAAGATAGAAGACTGCTCTCTGCCCCAAGGACACGCAATTTAAGTTAGACAATTCCGACATAAAACACAATGGCTGGAAACTGGTTCATCTTCAGAGTGAAAACAACCTGAGTTTTCATACTTGTTTGCTGAGGTTGAAAAGTTACTATGAGACATTTTTTAAAGAACAAAATAGATATGGAGAGATAGAAATTAGGAGATAGGTAGCGTTAGCTTTACGTTTTTATTCTTTGTGTCTCAGACCAATTAGGAACTAAATTTTATCTCTCTAGGTGAAATGCTGGAAACAAAATTCATGATGTAGCCTGAGATGCACAAGGGCACATGTAGACATTCCATTTGCTTACAGGAAGATGTAAAACAATTAAAATAGATTCAATGAGGTCAAGTCAAATTTAAAGCCAAATGCAACATAAGATTAAATAAATCTCATATTTAGGTGCAATATTTTCCTAGAGAGGATGAAAATTCTAGGTCTATCAAATTAGTTATTCTAAAGCAGTGGAGTAGAAATTATTAAAAACAAACCTGAGACCATAATACTACTATGAAAGAGTAAAACTTGTTAAAGACTCTAGATTTAAAAATAATTGGGGCTAACAATACAAATACCTCTGCATTATAATGAACTGACGTATGCATACTAAACCTTCAACATATATCTTTGCAAAGAAGTGAGAGAGAGATTCTTCAGAGAAGGAATGATTTTCAATAAGTTGCTCCCCAAATTTTCACTGATGAAAGCCAGATTCTCTGGAAATTTTTAGAGGGCTCTCTCGGTCACCACTGCATATTACCATCTATATTTCACCAAGATTTTCACATCTTACTATGAATTGCTTAAATCAAACAAGGGGGCTATTTAGATTACTTAGTTTTTGAGTGAATGAATGAAGAACGAGTGAATTCACTTATGAATGAAGTTTGGATGACACTAATGAAGGAATTACCAGGATTTCAGGATTCAGGTTCCTTCAGTGGAGAGCAGTTTTTAGGTGCCATCAAAGATGTGACATTGATGAGCAAAATAAAATCTTGTGGCATTTGGGCTCCTAAAGAGTAGGAGAGATGAATGACAAAGAAAGGTTGGAAAAACTCTCAGAAGAAAAGTGACTGAATATGAATTTTGTTGACAAAAATCATGTATGCTACTAAAAAAGCCATGCCTTTATAAGAAAGGTTTGCCAATGTTTTGGTTATATACTTGTCACTCACCTTTTCAAACTGTCCTAAACAAAGAGACAGAAAAATGATCACATGAATCTGCCTTACTCAGATCACATGAATCTGCCTTACTCAGGCCACTAGGAATTCAAACTGTAGAATCTACAGAGACAGAGAAACAAATAAGTAATTCCCAAGCTCCTGAAGCTCATATTGTTTCAAATCATTCAGTGGATTTTATTCATTATGTTTATTCCACTGTAAAATTAGATGTGCAAAGAAATACATAATTCTTTTTATTTACTATTGGTCATAAATCTTTAGAACAAGCTTAAATTACAGTTATTTAAATCTATGCTTCATGAACACATTTGCAGGTTTTTTCCCCACTACTTAGTTAATATTACTTAGACAAATACTTATTAAGATTGATTTAGTTGTGAAGCTAAGTATAGGTTCCCTTCAAATTATATTGGCAAGTTATAATAATATATAACACAATACTGTGCATAATACTAGATGTGTATTTTAGATGTCAGGAATAAATTATGTATTTAGGGGAGTAAAATGGTGGCAGTCCTCTATGGCAAAAAGATCAAGTTCAAATATGCCAATTTTTATGTGTAGACAGAGCCTAGAATGATTTCATAATTCAAAAGGAGTTATAAAAGCTACTAAGTAATAAAACACGATAAATTTGGAGTTCTTAACCTATGATCCATCAGCTCCACTAGGTCCATGGGCCTAGGTACAGTACTTGCAGGTTTCTGTGCTCATTTGCATTTTGCTGGAGGGATTTCAACAGGTTCTCAAAAGGCACTGAGAGAAAAAAAATAAGGAAATAAAATTTTAAGATTGTGTAAACATCCATTCTGTAAAATAGCATATTTATATTTCCATTACTATGGATGTTTTATAAAATATCCAAATGTTTAGAAATAACGAGACTCTCATGAACCACCACATTTGTGACTGGAAAGAGCTTTCACAGGGATGACACATTCTCAGCCAACTTCCTTTCTTTCCATCCCTCTCTCCTTCCAGCCTTTTCTTCCCTTTCTTTTTCCACAATCCTCAAACCAGGGACTATCAGGCACAGCCATTTTGTATCCACTGTTAGATCCATTTTATCAGATTTTTTTTCTTTCCCTTTCTTTTCTCAACATACTCTGTTCATATTTTTAGATTAAATGTGCTGACAGTGACCCTACAAGTTCTAAAATTTGATGTCCCTAAAAAATTATTTCTATTTCAAATCTAAGGCTACCATTACAGATTCCTTCTTTATATCTAACTCCACATTTATTTGGTCCACAAGTGTATCTAGGTTTTATTTTTCTTAAATATAAAAGAGGAGGAGGGTGATAAAAATAACCTACTTCAGAAAGTTGGTAAGACAAATATAACTGTTAATATATTTCATATATTCAAATCTTTTTGCCTCATACCTCAAATATAGCAAGTCAAAACCATATCAATAAAAGTCATTATAAGGAAGTAGTTAATAGAATGTGAAGATCTCTGATTCTCACAGTAGTCTATTTAGTGTATTTTGAATCAGTATTAATAACAATACAGTATTTCTGACATATTGTAGAACAATTCTTCTGGAAACTCATTCTGGAATTGCCCAGGGTAGTGAGACAAAATTCTTGGACTATTTTGTTAGGGTACAGAAAGATTTATTGTCTCCTTCTAGGTAAAGAGCAAAACCTACCTTTTAACTTACTTCTGGCATTTCTACAAGTGGGGTCACCTTACATAGCTTCTGGCAAAATAGTTTCATGAGGCTGCTTTGAGAGCATCCAAAATATGGAGAAATAAAAAAAGAAAAAAAAAACACAGAACATCAGAAGACAGGTAGAGGAATCTGTGGCATGAGGAGCAAATGGGACCTTGAGCCAGCTGGAACCACGACCAGACATCCAGCAGAATGCCATCTGGCCCGGGCACCAGGACTTCCCTTGCTGCCTGTGCACCATGGAGTGTCCCAGGGCCTCCACCTAGTCTGGTCTGCTGGCATCACCTCTCTACTCCAGCGAAAAGCCTGCTCCACGTTTGACCTGCTCTGTTTTCCAGCTCTGACTTCTGGATGTGCCCCTGTTGCCATGGCTACCAGTCCTTGGTTTCTGACTAAGCCTGGCTTCTGGTCACGGCTCCTGCATTCACACACAGTGGCATGCTCAGTTCTTAGCCTTGGATTCATTTGCAACAGTATCTGTTCACTTGCTTCAGGCCTCTAATTCAGCTGTATTCTCTTGAGTTTCACCCAAGGTCTCAGAAATGGGCCTGAAGGAGAAATCTTTGGCTTGATTATTTGAGGCTATTTGAATTCTGTCTATGTCCCTCTTTAGTGGATGGTTTTGGAAAATCATTTCGTTACTTACCCTTAGTGGAGAATAATTTCCTACCCTAATCTAGTATCTCTCAAAACCTTAAGTAAACCAGTCTTTCTAGCATGTATTTACTCTTCCGTGAAGGATGAAAATATTAGTCTAAAAAAAACTCAATAATTAAATTTAAAAATTACATTGAGCTCACACAATTGGAAAGCATGTGCAGAGGACACAGCACAGAACATAAGATGACCACATTAAAAAATAGACTACATCATGTGCCCCAGAGGTATATTACAAAATAACAACATAGGCAAAGCAAAGCAAGTTAATAAGTCACAGAAACAATGTATATTGGATGCGTCAAGGAAGTCTTCCTGGTCCAGGCAGAATTTGATATGGCCCTTAATGAACTACCAGGATTTGGGCAGAAAGCTGGGAAATATGTGTACCAAATAGGGTAAGAAAACAGTAAGGGAAAACGCATAGGATTGTTTAAATGTGGAATGTCATTAGAAAAGTCCTTAGCTTTCTGGTCAGGCGCGGTGGCTCACACCTGTAATCCCAGCACTTTGGGAGGCCGAGGCGGTGGATCACCTGAGGTCAGGAGTTCGAGACCAGACTGGCCAACATGGTGAGACCCTGTCTCTACTAAAAATACAAAAATTATATGGGCATGGTGGCAGGCACCTAGCTACTTGGGAGGCTGAGGCGGGAGAATTGCTTGAACCTGGGAGGTGGAAGTTGTAGTGAGGCGAGGTCTCACTGTTGCCCTCCAGCCTGGGCGACAAGAGCAAAACTCCGTCTCAAAAAAAAAAAAAAGGAGAGAAAAGAAAGAAAAAGTCCTTAGCCTTCTATTTTGGCAAAAGGATATTATTGGTATAGGAAATTAATAGAAAAACAGTGTTGACTGTTAAGCTGGGTTTTTCCATTGGGGGCTTCAAAGCTTGTGTAAGTAGACTGCATTTTATTATGTAGGGACTAGCAGGACAGGGTCTGTTTTATCTATGCCTTAGGAAAGTTATTTTTTAAGTTGCAGTGAAGGGAGACTGGGGGTAGGGTATCATGGGATGTAGGGATGGGATGAAGCCTTAGGAACATGCCAGGTAAGAGGGTGTAAGTGCCTAAACAAAAGGTAAAGTTGAGAATATAGAGGAAATGATGGGTAGGGGAGACAGTGCATAGAGTGGACACATACAGGCTAAAAATGTTAACACTATGCCTGTCTCTTTAAGGATTTTATTGTCCATGGAGAATATATATCATAGTTTAAAGGAGAAATAAGTCACGTTTTCCATTTTTTGGAAAATAAACTTTAAACATGAATTCTCTCCTGAATTCATATAAGTTTCTAGGAGTCATACTGTTGTCTACTACAGTGCTTCCTAAACCTGATTATGTACCCAAATCACGTGAACAATTCCTTAATTCTTATTCATGTTTAGTAGCATTGAGTGAGGCGTTTGAATCTTTGTTTAAAAAAAAAAAAGCCCATTGCTGTTTGGGAAGGGATGTGAAAATTGCTGATTATGATACAAAAGTGTCCATGTTCAACCTCCAGCTTTCCTGGAAGTCATAACAAACTACTATTAATCCTCTCTTAACCTGATGACATTGCTATAAGCTATTTTAAGGAAAACTAATAAAGTGAATGTCTTATTTGTGCATATCCAAGACAGATAAAATTATTTAGACTGTAAATAGCATAATTGTGTAAGTAGGCAGGCAAATTTTTCAGAAGAGAATTTCAATAAAATAAATCTTGGATATGATTGGAAATACTTTTCTTATTTGTTTGATGGAAATTACTGTAGGCCAATTAGTATATATCACACTTTGTATGTGGCAAAAGGGATAGGAAACTTATCCCACAGTGGTCTGGCTGGCTGTTTTCAGTGTGTCCTGCTAGCAGAATTCTAGGTGAAAGTCTGTAGTTCCTTTTTTATCTTGCTCCAAGCTCCATGATGCTCAGCCAAGCAAGAAGCTACAATTGCCTTCAAAGATGACTCTTCACTTGAATGAGCACTGTGGGGTGCAGAGGAAGATGAGAGCCTGGCCTTGTGTAAGAAGATTTAACATATGCCTCATTTTAGATCAGGCTCTATCTGCAAAGGATTCCATGGAACCTTCAAGGCATGTACACATCTCTAATTCACAAGAGGAAATTATGAATTACAGAGTAAATCTGAGTGAATCTTATATTTGAAAGAGACTTAGGATATTTCGATTTTTATAAAGATTAACTAATTTTTATATCGAGAATCTCTCCATGCGTCTGGTTCATGTGTCAGGAGATACAGTAGTAATTTACAGGTCATTAGTGTCAAGATATATGCAGATAAACACACATAGACATCCATCTGTTTGAAGATATAATTAACAACATTTTAGAACATAGGTCACTTTTCTATGTTAGAAAATGTATTTATTGCATAGTCATGAAAACCCTCACGTTTATTTCTCAAATCTCTTTTTATCATTGACTCCAAAGATAATATATGTCTAGTCTCTAAGGCCTTCTCGGAAAGTGCTAATTCAGCAGCATTTTTCTCTTAGGCTGTCAGGTTCTGCCCAGGTTTTTTTGCCTTCATATTTGGAAGAATCCTGCTGCATTTAAGCTACACAATAAATATTAATGGTGAAAGGGACTTATTTTGTTTTACTTTGGATAAATATACTTTTTTATGTTAAGTATCCAGGACATCAATCTCATAAATAGAATAAATGAGAAATCTTCCCAAAAACACTTGTGAAATATCATAAGCCAGTATCATTAAGTCCACAACCTAAACAGGAACTTGACAATTTACTTGTATTTTTGTTTATCTCCCTTCACATCATTTAAGCTGTAGTGTTAAGATTCTCCTATAGAGACTGTTTTTCCTTATAGTTAATTGGGAAAAAGAAGTAAAACAATTGATACTGAGTTGTGTCATTTAGCATCATATATACACTGTTATTTCTTTTTAAATCTATAAGGGAACTCTTGATATTGTATAGTTATAGAAAATGATACAGCCCGCTAGAAATCTATGATAGAAGTGTTTCAATTAGTTATGTCTTATCTACTCATTCACTTTCTTATAGTTTTACTTACTAATTCTCTTATAACATACTATGTTTTAAAATTGAAATATTTAGGCCTTACTTTCTTGTCTTCTCTTATTTGCCCTTGAACTGGAGTTATTAACTATGAATAAAACAGACCAGAACCCTACACCACCAACTCCTTATGTCACCCATTGTTTCTTCATTCGCCCATCCATTGTTTCCCCACATAACTCTTCAAACATGTATGACGGTCTGCTCCAAGCTAGTCCTTATGTTGGACACTGGATATTCAATGTCTTGGACAATTAATATAAATCAGAGGAATTGTTCATGTTCAGTTGTTTGATATTTAAGTCTTATTTTCCTTATTGATTTTGAATCATTTATGTGACATTCTTTTTTTTTTTGAGACGGAGTTTCACTTTTGTTGCCCAGGCTGGAGTGCAGTGGCTCAATCTCAGCTCACGGAAACCTCTGCCTCCCAAGTTCAAACAATTCTCCTGCCTAAGTCTCCCAAGTAGCTGGGATTACAGGCATGAGCCACCACGGCTGGCTAATTTTTGTATTTTTAGTAGAGACGGGGTTTCTCCATGTTGGTCAGGCTGGTCTCGAACTCCCAACCTTAGGTGATCCGCCCGCCTCAGCCCCCCAAAGTGCCAGGATTACAGGGGTGAGCCACCACGCCCGGCCTTATGTGACATTCTTTAGGTTCTCATCTTTGATATACTTGATATTTGTTTTGATGTTGCTAGCTACACTGAAGCAATCAAAGTTATTGAGGCTTTCTTATCCCCACTTCCTAACACACATACACACATACACACACACACACACACACATACTCACAAAGGATAATTTTTCATCATGCCACAGCTTTAAACAAATGTAACACTGAGGACCTGAGCATGTCACAATATTAACCTGTGGGAAAGTCAGCCTAAGTTATTTTATTGGTTTACTTGAGTGATGATTTCGTAAAGCGTGGATATGTTAAATAAGGCCCAAAGGCTATGATATTATAACTCCAGAACTTTTTGATTATAAATACAAATTGACTAGAAAAATGCAGTTTCTTTAAAGTTCACCCTTCCCCCTTTATCAGTAGCATATTTAAAAGTTAGTCATATAGTTCCATTGCTCCACATTTAAGCTTTGTCTTCCTGTGTCAGATTGGATATCTGTGTTTGTGTTTATTTGATTTATGATAAACCTAATTGTACATGTGTGCTGATAAAATTGTGTGAGTTTTATCAATTTATTATTTCCAACTTTTCATTTGGATTAGCAGAAAATTATGGTCTAAGGATTGATTCAACTATGACTTCATGGTATAATCCAGATAAACAAGGGCATACCTCAGGGGACCTCTCAGTGGTAAAGCAATTTTAATTAGTAAATGATCCTGAAGCCGCACATTGAAAACAAACTATTACTCAGCAAACAATATTGGTAACGCCAGTCAGAGTTCTCATTCACAGCTTGTGAAAAGGCAGGATGCTTTGGGGAAGAGCTGGTGAGGGGTAATGAGAAGTGTCACTTAAAGTTAGCAAAGATCAAAATGAAGGACACTCATCCTCCTAGCACTAGAACTCATATCGAAGTGTTAGGTTTCTGAGTTATCTCAATTCTTCAGTTCCAACAAGGGAAAGGAAAATGCTCAGCTAACTTTCTATAAGAAATAAGGTTCTTCATCTTGAAATTCTTAGTTAATAAAGGAAACAGGAAATGGCAGCATAATTATGGCTATTGCTAAACCAGCATGTCACCAAATCAAAATTCTTAAAAAGAAAATAAAATGGGATTCGTTATTTTAACTATTTTGTTTCCAAATATCAAATTGTTAAATTATTATTTTAAACTGATATCCTCCCTTCTATTTTCTCTCTGTATTCCTTATGAATTATGTTTTAGATTTCAGATATTTATAATGTACTACTAATAGCATATTGTAAATAACAAGTTTCTAGATGGATTTCCAGAAACATCACTAAAATATAAAATATTTCCAGAAGCAAATCAAAATTCTTAAAAAGAAAATAAAATGTAAAAAGAAAATAAAATGGGATTGATTATTTTAACTATTTTGTTTCCAAGTATCAAATTGTTAAATATGATATTTAAACTGATATCCTCCCTTCTATTTTCTTTCTGTATTCCTTATGAATTATGTTTTAGATTTCAGTTATTTATAATGTACTACTAATAGTATATTGTAAATAACAAGTTGCTAGATGGATTTCCAGAAGCATCACTAAAATATTTGTATTGTGCAATCTTAAAACTACTGCTCTACTTAGAATTTAAAAATTTAAGAAAAAACATCAACCAAAGAAGTTTGATTTTTACTGCAAAGAAGTTTTAATAAGATTATTAACATTGTATTGGGCATTTGAAATCAGATATATGAGTAGATTGGTCACTATAATCAGGTGGATAAGTCAGTAATCAGTTGCTGAACATACTTCTTCCTTCATATTCTCAGGAGACCTTATCTACTGCAGCCTCATTACTCAGACAGTGCAGTGATTCATTATAAGGTCAATGATGACAAAAAAGGAAACTCACAGTAAAAAAAAAGGCAAAGAAATAAAGATCTCACCATATACTGTGAGTAGTCAGAACAGCTCTTGCTTCTGCAAGTGAATGAGAGCTGTTGCTGGGGCATTTAGAAAAAATAAATGGCCTCACATTTCCACGGCATTTCACCAGGCTGGAAGATACCTTTTCCTCCACTGTTCGTCTTCCATACCTCAAGCCCCAGCAGGTTATGATTCACTTGACCATGTGGTGGTGTGTTATCACTTTCAACTCCGAGAAAAGCTAGAGAGAAAAAGAGAAAGATTTTAGGCATTCGTTTAGCTCCAAACATTGGAAAGACTTAAATCTTTACCACTTTGAGGTGGTGTAGCTTAGAATTCGCCAGCAGTTAATAAGCTTATTTCAGTGTCATGCAAAGCAATGGCACCTTAAATAGTGTCATCCTTGACTCTGCTGTTAACTTGTTATACTTCACTAGTTTTGGCCACTTGTACATGCGCTAGTCCTAGCTAAAAATAAGCTAAAACACACACACACAGGCACACACCCCAAATCAGCTTCTTTGATGATTTAATGGGTGGAGTTAAGTTGAGAACAGAAGATATAGAGAATTAAGAGATCGGGGAAGGAGGCTGAGCAGGCAGAAGCAGTAACAGAAAAAAAAAATGTTTAAAAAGTCTTTCAGGGAAGATGCAGCAGGATTCACGTGATGTAAAACTGGAGAAGAAAATTAAAACCTGCGAAAGATTAAGCAAACCTCTTCTTTGCTTGTTCTACCAAACACACACAAACACACACACACAAACATAACTTAAGTGGAGGGATAAACCACATTAAACTGTATCTGGTTTCAAATGTTCCAAGGCCTATTTTAGCAGTTGTTTTTCTGTAAGTCATTCTGACTTGGAGCACTGGTCCTCCCCAAGGATATAAAATGTAGTGAAACTTATTATCAAGTCTGATGAAACCTAATGGTGTTTTACCTCTTTTTGGATGACTAGTGCATGCACAAAATAAGCCTTTGAGACAAATTCTATGATTTAGTCAATACTTATTGAGCACTGTTCTAAGGCTAGGGATACATTTATATATTTGACAGTGAAACAAACATGACCTTGTCTACATGGTGCTTATAAACTAGTGGAAGAGTATTCGATTTTCCATTGCATTGGCCATTTAATATATTTTTGTTATTATTATCATTTCTTTAATTTCGGTTAATTTTCTCATCATCTGTGATAATTTAGGCTTTGCTTTTTGTTGTTGTTGTTGTGTTTTATTGTTTTGTTTTTTGCAATGGAGAAAGTATATGCAAATAAGCAAGGGATTTGATCCTGACAATTGTACTTACAAAATATGACTTGGAGGAGGCTAGTTTTTATATGTCTTGAAGTCTATTTTATCCTTTGCAAAAAGAAGACACTAATTCTTAAGTCATAATTTGATGAATATGATATAAAACATAAAACTCTTAATGTAGTCACCAGAAAACAATAAATGCTTTAAAAATGTTCGTTCTGATCTTTTCCTCCTCTTGGATATCAACATAGAATTTCAACAGATAGGAAAAGTCATAGATTGCAAAGTACAAAGTATCATCATTTTATATACCATTAAGAAAATAATTCTAACAATTAAATTACAACATCATACTTACTTAGCACATTGATTATGTGGCATGTCCTGAACCTAGAATGTATAGATACATGTTTAAGAAAACATTGTGAATAAACAAATGAGTGTTTAAATTGTGTTTGTAAAATACAATGATTTTGGCATTTTAAATCTGAAGATAACTCATGTTAATGCTGTAGAGAAAAGATAAAATTGATTGCTATATGTATATACATTCATGAAAGTTTTGAGGAAGGACATAAAAATAAAAAGTAAATTAACCAATAAATGATCATGACTAAATATTACCCTTAAGAATTGTTTATTCTATAGTTTAAGCAATAGACTGGAACAGACACATAAATAATCTTTAAAAGCTAAAGGTACCTCTTAACCTAAAATAAATGTGTTTTTATATCAACTTGGGAAATTCAAAGAGATATAAACATTACTTACAAATTAAACATATCTCAAAGTAATAGTGTTTCTGATTATTGTATTCATTATTTCCACTCAACACAAAAAATTCAAACAACCAAAATCTAACAAAAGCAAGGTTTTACTAGTACAATCGGGGGACTGGTTTTGGGAACCCAGAAGATACCAAAATCTTCAGATGTTTAAGTACCTGATAGAAAATGGCATTGTTCTTGCATATAACCTAGGCATATCCTCCCATATTTTAAAAATCATCTCTAGATTTCTTATACCCAGTAAAATTTAAATGCTATGTAAATAGTTGTTACACTGTATTTTTCTCTTTAATGCCATTTTTTAAGAAGCATTTTTATTTTGTGAATTTTCAACCTGCAGTCTGTTGAATCTGAGGATGCAGAACCCTGGAACACAGAGGGCCGATTGGACTGTAGATTTCTTTGATGTGCAGGCTCTGAAAGAGTAAGCATTAGGCTAATAATGCACATCATAATAAACAGGTAATCCTTGTAAGTGGTGATGCTTTACACTCACAGATATGCCCAGGAGTGTAGGATGTTGTTCCCTGCTCCATTGGCAGGAGGAGATATTATGACATCTATTTCCACGAGTTCTTAGAATATAATTCACATATGCACATGCACTCACACCCATCATTCAGATCTGCTGGATTCCAAAGAATCGCTTCAATACTGGATTTCCAATTGCTGTAAAATACTGCACAGAGAATGAGAATTTTTGTTTAAAGTCACATTTGGAGTCAGTAAAAGCATAGATGTTAATCTGGCAAAAACTATGCTTGTGACGTAATCCAGGCAACCAGGAGCTCTTTGCCTGCCAGTCTCTTTGTTCTCCATTTGGCATTCTTCCTGAAATGCTTGAGATCATAGCAATGAAGAGACTCCCGTATGATTAAGTGACTTTGTGTTCAGGTGGCCAGATGCCAGGCGCCTCCCTGTTATTTGTATTAGTCCTTCACCTAGAAACAACAGATGCTGTGGTGACTCAGGGAGACATGTTTACAGTAGGAGAGACTAAGAGATAGCTTCCTGGAGGCTAAAGTGATGGCACACACAGGAACTGAGACTTCCATAACTTTTCTGGAACTGGAGTAGAAACTTGTGTAATTGGTTATAATGTTTTATATCCACTGATCTCTGTATAACTTATTCTGGACCCCGAGCCACGCTAATGAATTCTAACATAGATTGCCTGGTGGTCTAGGCAAATCGGTGTAATTAAAATGGACATAGGCTTTTGTCTGAGGAAGCTCATTTCTGTTGTTTTCTTTTCCTTGTTCCTCTTGCTCTGACTTGCTCTTCTGCTGCAAGAGCTATTTCTGCTTTATACTCCTTTTTAAAAGTTCAGATGCTCTCATTTCCTTCTGGGGATTTAAGAAAGAAATAGCAAGCGTCTTGGAATCCACGAGGTAAATACCCAAATCTTTCATTTGGTTTCCTCTTTCTGTATAAAGAGAGATCAACACTGTACCTAACTCATATCATAAAAAAATTTCAAACTTGGAATTTTGTAAATATCCCCCTACTTGTCAGAATATTCTCTAGTGAATATGAAGCACTTTCACAGGAGTATTAACTCTTAGCGGCTCCTTTTTCAAGAAACTACAGAAGAGGGCATTTTAACCGCCCCCCCACCCCACCATCCCCAAGGCCCCCAGTGCTCTTAAGCAACATGTGTACCTTTAAATATGTGCAACATGCCTAGAAGGCATCACTTTCACAGCTGGAGAATGACACTTATTAAAGAAAGAAAAAGAAAGGAAATAATTAGCTTTCAAAAGAAAACTGCAGAATTTTTTTTTTCCTTTATGAAAGAACAAATTTGTTTTCAAAGAGTAACCTGAATGAGAAGAAAAGGAAACTTTTCTAATTAGAATGTAATTCCAGAAACCTCTGATGGTGTCTTAACTCTACTGAATATGGAAATTGCAAGCCTTCTCTGTTAATTAACTCAATTCACTAATGTTGGGATGGACAGGGCTCCTCAATGCTAAGCTTTAGTGCTCCACTTTGAAAGCAGTAGCAGGTCAGTGGGGCTTCCACCACAGTGCTTGTGCATATACTGACTTTGTTCAGTAACAGGCTCAGCCAAGAAAATGGCCTGCTGACAAGAAGTTTGCTTTGATTTTGCTTTTTTTTTTTTTGCTTTTCCTTTTAAAATATTTCATTTGTTTTGCCAACATGCCTGCTTTTCTGGCACACCTGCCTTCTTCTTCAGATAGTGTTAGTTCTCTTAGAATCAATTGTGAGCAGCTTGCAACCAAATGCCTGATTAAAAAGTTAGCAGACCTTGAGTGCAATTACTTCAGCTCTATAGCACTCAGGCATTAAACCCTGTGTTAATTGTTTTCCATTTTTATAACGATCCTTATAATAGGATAAAAACAGGAGAGATCATTTCTTGTAGCTAGAACAGCGGAAAATAAAGACATTCAGTCTGATTAATCACTGTAATATGAAATTAAACACAATTAGGAGTAAATACATTTTAGGATGTTTTTTGATTTAAGCAAAAGATATCATTCTTGCTGTGTCAAAATATACCTACAAATTACCATAGCAACAAATTATTCATCGACAAAATGCTTAAGAAATAACTTGTACAATGATAATTTTTAGGATTTTAATATTGCTAAGCCTTATTTGTCTTAACACTTTTTATAAATATATATATTCCCTTGATAAATCATTTTACACTCAGATTATATTAAATTCATGCATTATAATTTTAAAAATATAGTTAAGCTAAATATTTTAAAGGACTGACTTTATATGAAGAAAAAGCACATTAAAAAGATTACATTGGAAAATATTCTAGCCAAAATTGCCTTATTTCAGCATTTCATTGCATTGAATAGTCCTTAACATTAAGAATTTTATTATTTAAAATTATTAATATTTAAATATTTTCCCATGTGAGAATAAAGAAATGCTGGAAAGCACTTTTCTCCTTTCTAGTCCTTATTCTGTACAGCTCTTTTGGGCCTTATTTTATTTTACCCAT
Organism: Homo sapiens; assembly: GCF_000001405.40. NCBI lineage: Eukaryota > Metazoa > Chordata > Mammalia > Primates > Hominidae > Homo > Homo sapiens. Next base: position 66,655,269 of record NC_000013.11, on the reverse strand, counting down.
GATCAGAAAAAGAGTTTTACCATTTGTCACACAGTACTCACTCACTCTTAACTACTGTTTTTCATGGTTGAAATTCAGGCTGTGATTCTTTATTTTCTTTTCCATTTTTTTTGTCTTCTGTAGTTCCCAGAAAAGAAGACATTCTGAGCATAAATGCAACTTGTTGAAAGGCCTTCAGGAAAACTCCTTTCAGACAATCAACACTTCTACAGAATCATTTTTTAATTATTTAAAAAAAAAATGCCACAGGGTATGGTGGCTCACCCCTATAATCCTAGCACTTTGGTAGGCCAAGGTGAGTGTATTGCTTGAGCTTAGGAGTTAGGGACCAGCCTGGGCAACATGGCAAAACCCCGTCTCTACAAAAAAACAAAAACAAAAACAAAAACAAAAATTACCTGAGCATTGTGGCATACCCCTGTAGTCCCAACTACTTGGGAAGCTAAGGTGGGAGGATTGCTTGAACTCAAGAGGTCAAAGGCTGCAGTGAGCTGAGGTCGTCATGCCACTGCACCCAGCTTGGGTGACAGTGAGAGAGTCTGTCACCAAACAAACAAACAAACAGACAACAACAAACAACAAGTATATCTGTTTGTCTTTTTTTCTATATGTCAACTCAAATGAATTTTCAGTATTTAATTTTTAATTTTTAATTTTTGTGTGTACACAGTAGGTGCACATATTTATAGGGTACATAAGATTTTGATACAGGTATACAATGCTTAATAATCACATCAGGATAACTGGGTATCCCTCACCTCAAGTGTTTATCCTTTATTTGTGTTGTAAGTGATCTAATTATACTCTTATAGTAATTCTAAAATATACAATAAATTATTGTTGACTGTAGTTTCCCTGTTGTGCTATGGAATACTAGATTATATTCATCCTTTCTAATTATATTTTTGTACCCATTAACCATCCCCATGTCTCCACCCCCACCACTACCCTTACCAGCCCCTGGTAACCATTCTTCTACGCTCTATCTCCATGAGTTCTATTGTTTTGATTTTTAGCTCCCACAGATAAGTGAGAACATTTGAAGTTTGTATTTCTGTGCCTGGCTTATTTCACTTAATATAATAACTTCCAGTTCCATCCATGTTGTTGCAAGTGATGGGATCTCATTCTTTTTTATCTGAGTAATATTCCATTGTGTTTATGTACCACATATTGGGTGCTGATGGACACTTCAGGTTGATCCTGGATCCTTGCGATTGTGAATAGTGCTGCAATAAACATGGGAGTGCAGATGTCTCTTTGACATACTGATTTTCTTTCTATTTTTTTTTTTTTAATTTTGAGACGGAGTCTCGCTTTGTCGCCCAGGCTGGAGTGCAGTGGCACGATCTCAGCTCACTGCAAGCTCTGCCTCCCGGGTTCAAGCCATTCTCCTGCCTCAGCCTGCCAAGTAGCTGGGACTACAGGAGCCCGCCACCACGCCTAGCTAATTTTTTTGTATTTTTAGTAGAGACGGGGTTTCAGTGTGTTAGCCAGGATGGTCTGGGTCTCCTGACCTCATGATCCGCCAACCTCGGCCTCCCAAACTGCTGGGATTATAGGCATGAGCCACCGTGCCCGGCGATTTTCTTTCTTTTGGGTATATACCTCACAGAGGGATTGCTGGATCATATGGTAGCTCTATTTTTACTTTTTTGAGGGACCTCCAAACTGTTCTCCATAGTGATTGTGCTAATTTACATTCCCACCAACAGTGTACCAGGGTTCCCTATTCTCCACAACCTCGCCAGCATTTTGTTATGGCCTGTCTTTTGGAAAAATGCCATTTTAACTGGGGTGAGATGATATCTCATTGTAGTTTTGATGTACATTTCTCTGATGATCAATGATGTTGAGCACCTTTTCATTTACCTGTTTGCCATATGTATGTCTTCTTTTGAGAAATGTCTATTCAGATCTTTTGACCATTTTACAATCAGATTAATAGGGTTTTTTTCCTGTTGACTTGTTTGAGCTCCTTATATAGTCTGGTTGTTAAGCCCTTGTCAGATGGATAGTTTGCCAATATTTTCTCTCATTCAGTGGACTGTCTCTTCACTTTGTTAGACAACAAAGGAAACAGACTTTCCTTTGCTGTGAAGAAGCTTTTTAACTTGATGTGATCTCATTTGTCTATTTTTGCTTTGTTTGTCTGTGCTTGTAGGGTATTATTAAGAAATCTTTGCCCATACCACTGTCCAGCAGAGTTTCCCCAGTGTTTTCTTTAATAGTTTCATGGTTTGGGGTCTTAGATTTAAGTCTTTAATACATTTTTATTTGATGTTTGTATGTGGCAAGAGATAGAAATCTAGTTTCATTCTTCTGCATGTGGATATGCAGTTTTCATGGCATCTTTTATTGAAGAGACTATCCTTTCCCTCAATGTATGTTCTTGATACCTTTGTCAAAAATGAGTTCACTGTGGATGTATGGATTTGTGTCTCTATTTTGTTTCTCCATTTGTTCTCTATTCTATTCAATTGGTAAATGTGCCTGTTTTCATGCCAATACCATGCTATTTTGGATACTATAGCTTTGTAGTATAATTTGAAGTCAGATAATGTGATTCCTCCAGTTTTCTTATTTTTGCTCAGGATTGGTTTGGGTAATTTGTGGTTCCATATACATTTTAGGACTTTTTAAAATTGTTTTTTGTGAAGAATATCATTGGATTTTTTTTTTTTACAGATTGAACCAACTTTGTATATTACTTTAGGTAGTATGTACATTTTAACAATATTGATTCTTCCAATTCATGAACATAGATATCTTTCCTTTTTTGTGTGACCTCTTTAATTTCTTTTATCAATGTTTTACAGTTTTCATTGAAGATATCTTTCCATTCTTTGGTTAAGTTAAATCCTAAGTATGTTATTTTATTTGTGGTTGTCGTACATGGGATTATTTTCTTGATTTCTTTTTCAGATTGTTCACTGTTGGCATAAATAAATGCTACTGATTTCTATATATTAATTTTGTATCCTGCAGCTTTACTGACTTTATCAGTTCTAATCATTTTTTGATTGAGTCTTTAGGTTCTTTATCTGCAAACAAGGGTAATTGGCTTCTTCCTTTCCAGTGTGGATGCCCTTTATTTATTTCTCTTGTGTAATTGTTCTAACTAGGATTTTCAGTAATATGTTGAATAACAGTGATGAAGATGGGCATCCTTCTTCCAAATCTTAGAGGAAAGGTTTTCGGTTTTCTCCATTCAGTATGACACTAGCTCTGGGTCTGTCATATATGGTTTTATTGTATTGCGGTACGTTATTTCTCTACCCAGTTTTTTGAGTGTTTTTATCATAAAGGGTATTGAACTTTATCAAAAGCTTTTTCAGCACCAGTTGAAAGGATGTTATGGTTTGTGCTCTTCATTCTCTTGAGATGATGTATCACATTGAGCAATTTGCATATATTGAACCATTATTACATCCCTGGGATAAATCTCACTGGGTCATAATGAGTTACCTTTAATGTGTTGTTGAACTTGATTTGCTAGCATTTTGTTGAGGATATTTGCATCAATGTTCATCAGGGATATTGGCTTATAGTTTTCTGTTTTTAATGTGTTTTTGTCAGGTTTTGGTATCAGTGTAAAATTGGCCTCATGGAATGAGTTTGGAAGCATTCCTTCCTCATCTATTTTTTGGAATAGTTTTAGTCAGATTGGTATTAGTTCTTTAAATAAATGTTTAGTAAAATTCAATGGTGAAATCATTGGGTCTTAGGCTTTTCTTTGCTGGGAGACTTTTTAGTACTTTATTACAGCTTTGATCTCATTACTTGTTATAGGTATGTTCAGGTTTTGGATTTCTTCATGGTTCAATCTTTGTAGGTTGTATGTGTCTGGGAATTTATTCATTTCCTCTAGGTTTTCCAATTTATTGGCACATAGTTGCTCATATTAACCTCTAGATCTTTGATTCTGTTGTATCAGTGGTAATGTCTCAGTTTTCATCTCTAATTTATTTATTTGGGTCTTCTCTCTTTTCTTTTTGGTCTGGCTAAAGGTTTGTGGATTTTATTTAAAAAACACTTTTTTGTTTGATTGATCAATTGTACTTTTTTTCATTTATTTCTCCTCTGATCTGTATTATTTTTTTTCTTCTACTAACTTAGGTTCACTTTGGTCTTTCTTTTCTAGTTCTCTAAGATGCATTTTTAGGTTGTTTACTTGAAGTTTTTCTGCTTTTTTGATGTAGGCACTTATACCTATAAATTTTACTTTGGGTATTGTTTTTGCTGTATCGCATAGGTTTTGGTATGTTGTGTTTCCATAATTATGTGTTTCAAGAACTTAAAAAATTTCCTTCTTAATTTCTTCACTCACCCCCTGGTCATTCAGGCATGTATTATTTAATTTTCATGTATTTGTATAGTTTTCAAATTCCTCATGTTATTGATTTCTAGTTTTATTCTATTGTGATCAGAGAAGATACTTGATATAATTTCAATGTTTTTTTATATTTTTGAGACTTGTCTTGTGGCCTGATATATGGTCTACCCTTGAGAATGATTCATGTACTGAGGAGAATAATGTGTATTTTGCAGCTGTTGGATGAAATATTATATAATATCTATTAGGCCCTTTTGGTCTATAGTGTACATTAAGTTCAATTGGTCTATAGGGTATACTAAGTCCACTGTGAAGGGGACTTTGCAAGACAACGTCCCCTTACTCTTTGTTGATTTTCTGTCTGGTTGATCTTTTCAATGTTGAAAGTGGGGTGTTGAAGTCTCTAGCTATTATTGTATTGAGGTCTATCTCTTTCTTTAGCTGTAATAATATTTGTTTTATAAATCTGGGTGCTCCAGTGCTGAGTACATATATATTTACAATTGGTATATACTCTTGCTGAATTGGCCCCTTTATCATTATATAATGCTCTTCTGCATCTCTTTTAGAGTTTTTGTCTTTAAATCTGTTTGATACAAATACTGCTACTCTGTTCTTTTTTAGTTTCCATTTGCATAGAATGACTTTTCCTATCCCTTTATTTTCAGTCTAGGTGTGTCTTTATAGGTGACGTGTGTTTATTGCAGGCAACAGATCATTGGTTCTTATTTTTTCATTCAGCTACTCTATTTTTTTTGATTGGACAGTTTAGTTCATTTACAGTCAATGTTATTATTGGTAAGTAAAGATTTACTCCTGCCATTTGTTGTATTCTGGTTGTTTTGTGGCCTTCTCTTCTTTCTTTTCTTCCTTCCTATCTTCCTTTTACTGAAGGTGGTTTTCTATGGTGGTATGTTTGAATTCCTTGCTTTTTATTTTTTTGTATCTGTTGTGTGTTTGTGTTTTTTTTTTAATTTGAGGTTACTATGAGGCTTCCAAATAATATCTTATAATGCATTATTGTAAAATAATGATAACTAACACGGATTGTCTAAGGAAACAAACAAGTGAGTGAAGAAGAAACTAATAAAAACTCTACACTTTAACTTTGCCCCACTGCTTTTTACCTTTTTGTTTTTTCTATTTATATCTTTTTGTACCATTGATGTCTTGAAATGTGACTGTAGTTATTATTTTTGATCAATTCACCTTCTAGTCTTTCTACTCAAGAAATGAGTAGTTTAAACACCGCAAGAACAGTGTTATAAAATGCTGTGTTTTTCCGTTACTTACTATTACCAGTAAGTTTTGTATCTTCAGATGATTTTGTATTGCTCATTAGTATCCTTTTCTCTCTGACTGAAGAATTCCCTTTAGCATTTCTTTTAGGGCAGGTCTGGTGTTGATGAAATCCCTTAGCTTTTGTTTTTCTGGGAAACTCTTTATTTGTCCTTCATGTTTGAAGGATGTTTTTGTTTGATATACTGTTCTAGGATAAAAGTTTTTTTTTCTTTTGCACTTCAAATATGTCATGCCACTCTCTCCTAGCCTATAGGGTTTCCACTGAAGAGTCTTTTGCCAGATGTATTGGAGCTCCATTGTCTCATACTTTTCTTTTCTCTTGCTGTTTTTAGATCCTTTCTTTATCCTTGGCCTTTGACAATTTGATTATTAAGTGTCTTGAAGTAGTCTTATTTGAGTTAAATCTACTTGGTGCTCTGATATAACCTTATTTTACTTGAATATTGATATGTTTCTCTATGTTAGGGAAGTTTACAGTAATTATCCCTTTGAATAACCTTCTCCCCCAAACCCCACCTCCTCTTTAAGACCAACAAATCTTAGATGTGCCCTTTTTAGGCCATTTTCTAGATCTTGTAGGAAGGCTTCAATCTTTTTTATTCATTCGTTTTTTGTCTCTTCTGACAGTGTATTTTTAAGTAGCATGTCTTCAAGCTCACTAATTCTTCTGCTTGATCTTCTACTGTTAAGAGACTCTGACACATTGTTTAGTATGTCAATTGCATTATGCTTGGTTTTTTAAAATTTTTTCAGACTTTCTGTTAAATATATCTGGTAGGATTCTGAATTTCTTCTCTGTGTCATTTTGAATTTCACTGACTTTCCTAAAAATAGCTATTTTGAATCTCTGTCTGGAAGGTCAAATATCTCTGTCTCTCCAGGATTGATCCTTGATGCCTTTTTTAGTTTTTTTTAGTGAGGTGAGATTTTCTTGGATGGTCTTGATACTTGAGAATGTTTGTTGGTCTCCGGGCATTGAAAAGTTAGGTATTTATTGCAGTCTTCACAGTCTGGGCTTTTGTGTACCCATCCTTGTTGGAAAGGCTTTCCAGGTATTCCAAGGGAGTTGGGTGTTGTGACCTAAGTTTTTGATTATTGCAGCTGCATCTGCATTAGGGGGCACCCCAAGGTCAGTAACACTGTGGCTCTTGCTGACTTTTGAAGGTACCACCTTGGTGGTCTACGATAAGGTCCAGAAGAATTCTCTGGATTACAGGCAGAAAATCTTGTTCTCTTCCCTTACTTTCTCCTGAACAAATGGAGTCTCTCTCTTTGTGCTGAGCTGCCTGGTGCTGGAGGAGGGGTGACTCAAGCACTCCTGTGGCCACCCAACCACTGTGACTGCACTGGTTCAGACCTGAAGCCAGCATAGCACTGGGTCTCACCCCCAGCCTGCAGTAACCACTGCCTGGGTACCACCTATGTTTGCCCAAGTCTCTAGCACTGTACAGTCAGCAGGTGGCAAAGCCAACTAGGTTGTGTCCTTCTCTTCAGAGCATTGAGTTTATCTTGGCTCCAGGCAGATTCAGGGATGTTGTCTGGAAGCCAAAGCCTGGAATTGAAAACCTTAGGAATCTCTCTGGTGCACTATTTTACTGTGGTTGAGCTGGCACCCAAGCCAAAAGACAAGATTTTCCCACCCTTTCTTCTCCTTTCCACAAGTAGTAGAATTTCTCCCCCTGGCCGTCTCTTCCCCAGGCCCACAGCAGGTACTGCCTGCTTACCACTGATGTTCACTCAAGGCCCAAGGGCTCTTCAGTCAGCTTCTGGTGAATGCTCGTGAGTATGAGACACTCCCTTCAAGGCAATGGGCTCCCCTCTAGCCCAGGGCAGGTAGAGAAATGCTGTCTAACAGCCAATGCCTGAAATCAGAGAACCCAAGAACCCACTTGATGTTTTATCCTACTGTGGTTGAGCTGGTACATAAGCTGCAAGACAAAGCCCCCTTTACTCTTCTCTCCCACCTTCTCAAGCAGAAAGATTTTTCTCTCCCATAGCCACCACAGCTGGGAATGTTCTCGGTCACAGCTGAAGCCAACACATCTCTGAGTTTCACCCAAGGGCCATGGTGAGTACTACCTGGCTACCGCTGCTGATTATTCAGGACCCAAGGGCTCTTTAGTCAGCAGGTGATTAACCTTGCCAGGACTGGGTCCTTCCCTTCAAGACAGCAGTTTTCCTTTTGGCCCAGGGAGTATCTAGAAATGTCATCTGGGAGCTAGGGCCTGGATTGGGGGCCTCAAGACTCTGCCTGGTGCTCTATCCTACTATGGTTGAGCTTGTAAGCAAGTTGCAAGACAAAGTCCTGTTTACTCTTCCCTCTCCTCACCTCAAGTAAAAGGAGGAAGTCTCCCCTGGAGCCGCAAGCTGTACAGCCTGGGGATGGGGGAGGATAGTGCAAGCATTTCCTTGGAAACCCTGGCTGGTGTCTCACTAAGTCACCTACTCCCCAAGTCCACTGGGCTTCAAGCCCAGAATAGCATCAGAATTTGGTTAGGAATTGCAGTCCCTGTGGCCTAGACTGCCTTTCAAGTTTATTTAGCACTCCAGAGCACTTTAGGTCTTGGTGGCAAAGCTTGCTGGAACTCACTTGATGGGTGATTCCCCTCTGGCTAGGGCTGGTCTAAATGTTCTCTCCATGGGCACTGGCTGAGTTCTGCCCAGTGTTGCTTTCCACTGTGACAGGGCAGCACCGAGTTCCAATGCAAAGTCTCACAATCACTGCGCTCTCCCTCCCTCAAGTGTACAGATACTGTCTCCACACCACAAAGCCACTGCTGGGGCATGGAAGAAGGGTGGTGTTGGCAATTCAAGAGTTTCTTTTCTACCCCTCTTCAACGCCTCTTTCAATGATATAAAGTTAAAACCAAGTCCTGTGATCATTCACTTGACTTTTGGTTTTTATGAAGGTGCTTTTTTTGTGTGGATAGTTATTCAATTTGATGTTCTGTGTAGAAGACGATTGGTGAAGGCTTCTATTCAGCCATCTTGCTCCATCTCTCTTTTCAGTATTTTTTTCTGAGCAGATAAGTAACAGTTTTTCATGTTAAGAAAAATGAAGTCAAGTCAGTTATTTCATTTTACTGTCATTAAGGAAAAAATAGTTTCTGATTATGTACATGGTTGTATATTTTCATTCAACACATATTTCTTGTCGTGTGCTAAGCATGATGTGAAGTGCTAGATATATCAATTCAAATAAGACATGGTTCCTGCCTTTTAGAAATTTATATTTCTAGCTATAGCTGGTCATAATTTTCTTAATGTATGATTTTGATAATAATTTCAGAAAATACAGTGAAAATCCCAGCTATATTAAGAAATCTGAAAAGAAACAATGGAAGTGTATCAGGATACCATTATTAAGCACCCAGCATTATTGCAACTTAATAATTCAATCCTGAAAAGGTAAACATCACTACATCTCTGTTTATGTTAATGTATTTAGAGGGACAGAGTAAAAATAAGAGAACTCTAGAAGCTTTGGGAAACATGTTTCAGTAACATCTAGAATCTTTCTTGTTAGTTTTATTCCAGGGATACAGAGTTTGTGTTCCACACAGGAATTCAAACAAAGCTGACAAGAGGCGGCTTTTGTAGAGTTATTATTTCATTGTTTTGCATAGAATTATAAGCTAGTGGGACTTTGAATTGTAGCCTCCCAGTGTAAGCCAAGTGGCCCTTCATGTCCTGCTATATCCCTTACTGGAAGACTTCCCTGTATAGATTGGATCTTTCTGTTACTTATTTCTATTGTACCCTGAATTTCTTCTTCATAATACCTATTTCATTTGTAATTACTGGTTCTATTCTATTTCATTTACTACTTTATAAACATTATGAATGGAGAGACTGTACCAGTCTTGATTGACAAAAATCTCAATATCTAACAGGGTCTCTGATAGAAAGTAGGTGATCAACAATGTTTGTTGAATAGCTGACTAAAGAGCTCTAGGGAGTCTCAACTTTTCTTAAACTCTTCTATCCTAGAATATTTTCTCCACATTTACAAGTGTATCTTATATCCTTCTATTTTAGCAGGCATTTTCCACGTTTTCAAATTCTTTTTATGTTTTAGTTTTAGAAATATCAGTTTTATAAGGACTCATAATTTAGCTACTTTCTCTTGTACTCTATTTTTTTAATATGAATGTCTCTCGCATGCAGTTTGGAAACTAGTAATGAAATTAGTAAGGAGAACAGATTGGAAGTTTTAAAACAATGTTGCTAAAATATATTTATATCTCAAATTGTTGATTTTCAACTTCTTCTTTTACCAGAAACACTATGATTGTACTTTTTTCTTCTAACAGTTTTGCCCTGCAAACACTACGGGAGATTATATGCATGGGTGATGGGGAGGAGGAAGGGGTCATAAGATCATACTCATGCACTAAAATAACTTTTTTCTATCAGAGTTTCTTAGTAACTAATATTGCTGAACTGCTGCGTTTGATTGGTTATCACCCAAACTGCAAATCTGATGAAACTCTTCTAGATTTTCATATTTATGAAAAGTCAGTGATAAAACAAGATGTCTGAACTGCATTCTCTATGTGCTTTATCAGCTGGTAAAGCCTCAGATAAGATGCCTTCTACAGACAGTACGCTCTATGATCTGTTCCAGGAAAGGTGATTTCTTAATTCTCAAAGTGCCATCATCTATCTTCTTCCATCTGTCAGACCAGGACATGAACTAGATCAGAATTATTTTCTAATATGAGGAGCATTTCATTTCATCTTCATGAAGTTAGCTCTCTGAAATATGTCTCTTGGAGAATAAACATTTGTTTAAATCATTATAAAATATTTTTAAATGGCTATTTAATGTAGAAACTTTAAAGTCTATACTGTTTAAAAAATTAAAAAATAGAAGCCGAGGACAATTGAGGACCACAATTACAAATTTGTGGAAGCAGAAGTACTTTTTTTTGAAATATATGTAATTATGTGAATATAGAGCCTTGATGACTGATGTAAAATGGCCCATTCAGAGCTAAATATAAGAATGATGATACATAATTATCTATATCACTAACACACATGCATGCATGCACACAAGCTCAATAGAAGTAAGATTCAACATAATATTGAACAGTGCTATCATTTAAATGATTTGAAAATTGCCCGAAGTCTGTTATTTTTACTACAAAAGTTTGTCTACTTCCTCTTTCTAATCTTTTTTTAAGACTATTTTTAGGGCAGTTTTAGGTTTACAGAAAAATTGTGCCCAAAGTACAAAGAATTCTTATATACACTGTCTTATTGAACACAGTTTTCCCTACGATTTAACATTTTGCATGAGTGTAGCATCTGTTACATATGATGAGCCAGTATTGATGCATTTTTTATTAATAAAATTCATAGTTAATGTTAGTGTTAACTTATCATGTTTTTTTATACCCTAGATAATAAAATATTTCTTTTAATTATGTATTGTATTTATCCTCCATTTTGTTTAAATACACATGTTTAAGCAATTGTTGACTCTAATAATTTCATTGAAAAAGTCATTTCAGGCTAGCAATTTGTTCATCATCTTTAACATTATATACATACAATAATATGTTTCTGATATTTGTGAGCCTATGTATAAATTTTAGAAAATTTAATGTATTTTTTCTAATTGCAGGCTGTCTTATTGTTCTTAAATTTTAATGCATAGGGCAAATTGTGTTAGACAGTAAGTTCCCTCCAGGTGTGGGAAATTTTGTACATGTTTTATTTGGAAACTATCTTTCCCTCTCTGCCCTAGACAAAAATTAGAAGGCAATTCTGTGTATATCCTTTAGATCTTAGAGTCAAGAGAACTTACTGGTGTTTACATTTTTATCTTCAAAAAACATATTGCTACTATTTTAGGATGTTTACCTTCTAGATTGCTCTATCCACATTTAGAACATAATGTTTGAGAGTGTCATGCCTTCTAAAGTAACTACATTTTTTAGTACAATTCAGCATTTTACAGAAGCTACCTAAACTTACAGAAGCTTTTGACATATAGAAGTTCTTGACATACGTTTGAATTTTATATTTGTATCCAGAAGAAACAAATTATCCTTAGTGCACAAATAACTGAGATAGGTGACTCGGTAATGTTTTCAAAGGACAGACTAACTAAAAAGCCATAGGGCAAGTAGCGGTTATCGCTGAAATGTAGGAGTGATTTTTGTTTCAAATATCAGGCTCAAAGTCACAGTGACTGTCTGAAATAATAGGTGGATTAAAAAAAAATGAAGTCCAGCTACTTCGACTGTTCAGAACAAAGACTCCTCTACCCGGGAGAAAAGAGATATAAAATCTTATTCATGTTTATTCCAACTGGGTTAGTTTCTCTGTTTCCTTAAGATCATTATAAGGACTCTGATTCTAGCTGAGTAGAGTAGGTAGTTACATATTATATTTTTTAAAGCAAGAGAGGCTTAAAACATATTTTCCTCCAGCTTATCAGGTCATCAGTGTTTTTCCATCTACTGATTAATGTTTATTAAAACTTCCCAAAATATCTTGATATTATTTCCATATCTGAATGTTACTTTTCAATTTGTATGTTGGAAACTTGTTTTATAAGCTTTTTCTCAGATTTCTATGATTCAAAACCGCTTATGAAGTCTATCATTATTCATCGCATTCTCTCATACCATACTGCCTTTATTATTATTACTAAATTTATGAGCCAAAAAGAACATTTCTGCATATAAGTTGAGAATAAAATTGAGACTGATCTTTATTTAAAGAACAGAAATTATGCATTTAAATAAGTGCTGTCCTTCAAATTTGCCCTCATTCGTAGCTACCCTTAATATTGTGATTTCTCAAAATATTTGGAATTCCACTTTTCTAATGGAATTCCAATTATATTGGAATTCCTCAAATATAATTTTTAAGCTACTGAAGAAAATGTGCCATTTTTACTTTATGATTTCTTTTTTTAAAAAATACTGTTCACTACTTCTAATGTATTTTAGGTGTTTGAAAAAATAAAATCAGGTCGTGAAAGGCAAAGTGTTGACACCTTGAGGCTGTGTCGTATAATATGCAAGGTTTCAAAACAATTCAAAACCATAAATTTGAAAACTTTAAAAAATCTAGTGGTGTTACTGCCATAGCATATGAATCATTAAGTACCTAATAAAGAACAGAATAGATACTTTATAAGATTTCTGTTAATTCAGGATGTGTTTTTCTCATCTTATAACCACAATTGCATATGATGAATTCTACACTCAATGAAATATTTCTAAACAAATAATTTTTTGTTACCTGGTCAGGCTATATGTTACATAGCACCAAACATAGCCAAAAAGGCCTTTTTTGGACTATAACATATATCAGAATTTATCTTCATTAATTTAGGCTTTCTGAGATTAAGTTAATAAAGTTTGGATTTTATTTTCAACATTAATAAGTAAAGATCTCAGATATGTTTGACAATTTTACTGTCTAAAAATATAAATTCCACATTTTAAGACACATATAGCATGTTTGTATTGGTATTTGTGCATCAGTTTTGTTACATGAATATATAGATACCTATACATATGCTCACAAATGTATATATACATTTTATCTATATCTTAAAAGTATCTTTATTTTATTCCTCACTTACATAACTGGAAGTAAATAAATAGTGCTTGAATATTACACATTTCTAATCAAAATATTTCAACTGCAAACAATATTTTCATTGAAACCCTTTGAGAAAATTAAAAGAAGGCCAGTTAGAATATGCTTGCACTTCACAATACAAACATTTTTCACAATACCATTACTAAGAAGAAATACATGAATTTTTTGTAACTTTCTTTTTTTATTTGGTAGTTAAATACAGACACAGTTTTGCATTGGATAGTCAACCCATATCGATATTTCTATCTACTTAACTACCTATATCTCTCTGTCCATCCATCATCTATCTGTCCCTTCATATCATGCATTAATAAGTCTAAGATTTAAGATGAAATTCAAAGGATGCTTTTTTGTGTGTTCTATATGGCTAGAGACAGTCCCTTCCATATCTGTTGTTTCCCCTCTCTCCTCAATTCTGGAAAACATTTCTCAAATACATGTCATGCTTTTAGTAGAGCCTGGAGGAGAGAATGCGGTAATTTGTCAATAGTCTCATTGTCATGTTCTGTTCTTGCACGCACATATTTCCATACACTGCGAGTGTAATTAGGATCTTTACCTACATTTTGTAGACTATGCATGACCATGCACTTTCTCCATACAAATTAATCCTCCCATTAACCTACTGAAGAGGATCAAGTTCTTTAACGTGACTGCTTGTTTTTGTGAATCCTATGCTAATTAATAGTTATATGGCTGTCTCCTTGAATCATAGACTAGAAAGCTGTGCTACAGGGGTACATCATTCCCATTGACATTTTTCTTTTTTTGCTGAAAAAGATGTGACTGATGGCTCAGAATTAATCATAATCCATGATCTGTCAGTGATAGATCTCCATTACATGATCTAGGACTACTGGAAGGAGCTTCTTAACTCCTTCACTACTTTTGAGGTCAGGAGTTTGAGACCAGCCTAGCTGGCCAACATGGCGAAACTCCATCTCTACTAAAAATACAAAAATTAGCTGAATGCAATGGGAAGCACCTGTAATCCCACTACTCGGGAGGCTGAGGCCGGAGAATTGCTCGAACCCGGGAGGCAGAGGTTGCAGTGAGCCGAGATTGTGCCATTACACTCCAGCCTGGGAGACAGAGTGAGACTCCATAAAAAAGAAAAAAAAAATCCAAAAGTTAAATAAATGAAACAAAACTGCATTGTGTGACACAAGATCAGTTGAAACAGATTATGCTACATTATAGGTGCAAATTAACAATCCGTCATGAGCATTTTTTAAACAACCTTATTGTACAGTAATCGTACTTCTCAGAGACTTTCTGCCGAGATCACTTCTTCAACCCCTCTATTTGTGTTTCATTCTCTAACTTGGAATAACATTATCTGTCCTTTAAAGGCTTGAATTACTAGTTTTCATTCTTACTAGGTAATTACAATCTTTTCCCTTTTCAGCAATACATGAGGACAGTTTAAAGCATGTTTGGATGTGTGTGTGTGTGTGTGTGTGTGTGTGTGTCTTTGCATGGGTGCGTGACTGTTTAAACTTTTTTACCAGTCTGGCCATAGTCTGAGGTTAATTATTGTATAAAATTGGGGCTATGTCCTAAAAGCTGCAACTTACTTTAAAAACGTGGCCTACTTTGGTTTTAAAAGTCTTACTTTGTATGGAGAATTATTAACAAGGGGAATGCTAGGGTGATTCCCATTACTTCTTTTGTAAAATCTGCTACAGGGAACTGAGACAAATTCTTGAGTAGTAGACACTGAATCAGATTCCATTTTTGTTATAAATATTGACAAGAGGTTTATCACACATTTTGTGGTGATACTTTGTTATCCAAAGTAAAGCCTCCTTTTTCTAAAACCGTATGTTGTATCTGTGATGTCTATATATTTATCTAATAATAGTGATAATTTAATGTAATTTCTAATTAAATTGCTACAGCCATCATGTATTCTGATTTTGTAAATATGGTAAGGGTAACTTACTTTCTCATTTGGATTTGTTTTTTCTAGAAAACTAAATTGGAAAGGACTCTTGCTGGGTTTTTTCCTCCATATTTCTGTACATATCATTAATAGATGCAAAATTCTGCTTGCAGATTCAGGAACAGCTGCTCCTGTTTAATGTAGTCATTTTATATTTCGTGTGCTCAGATAAAGTACCACATTCCTACTGGGCAATGAGAAATAGGTTGAGGACTTTTCTGATAGCAGGAACTAATAAACAAGAATATAAGAAGCAAATCACCAACAATGCAGACAATTTTTAATCCTCTCTGTTTGCTTTGAACCCCTGAGGAGACTTATAAGGGTGGGGCGATGTCCCCAAACCATAAAGGGAAGTTGATTCAGAACTTTCTTTTTTCTCTAATGTCCCACAGGAGAAAAAGATGTGAAGGAGAGTTTTTTGTTTTATGTTTGTTTCAAATGTTTAAATTCAAGCACCAAGACTACACCCAAAAGGAGTATAGGGTATACTTTTCTCTCAAGTTTCTTAAAGATACCAATTGTTTTTTCACATGATAGATGCTAGTTAACTGAAATCACAAGAAACAAATGTCAAATTACAGTAGACTACTTATCACCTTATGACATTAATATGAGTTCTCTACCACAGGGAGTCCTAAGAGGTATTTGATGCACTTTACAAATCCCAGAAAAAATACAGATCCTTAGTTTGAGGAACTCATTTCACAATAAGACATTTACAAATCAAACAGGCCAAGTTTAAGTCCATGTGAGTTTTCCACACACATAAAAACAAGTCTCCACAACTAAGCATGCAGTTGAGTAGTAAGTTAGAACAAAAGCTGACAGCTCTATCCTCAAACAAAGCAGTTGCTTAGCGGCAAACAGCAAACTGGTTAAAAGAGCAGTAAGTAGAGTGCAGACAAACTCCCCCATTTCCTCTGAAAATACTGCTTGACTTTAAATGGCCAGTTATCATCTGCACCCAATTTCTACTTTATATAGCATGCATAAAACTAGGAATCAAAAAATTTATTTTGAAATTGCTGACACCTTCACATTCATCAAATAGGATCAGTGAAGTTGTTGCTTATTTTTCTCAAACACAAACTGAACCTTCCCATTTGTCTCCAAATCTTCTAAAATGTAAAAATTCAAAGAGGAAAGGAGGAAAGGCTGACAGCTAGTGGAATGTTATCATGTTTCACTTTGCAACTTCTAAAACAGGGCAGGGCTCTTAAAAGTTATTATGGAGGAGACAGGTAACTTTTCCCGTGAGAAATCACACTGAAGGATGGACAATAATATTTCGTTTCTACTCTGTCCCCTTTAGATTTCATACGTTAATTCCAGTTAACTCATCTTCATTCAGTAAATAAATATTTACTGTAAGCTCATAACATGTCATGTGTATATGTTCCTCATAAAAAATTGCTAGTTTTGATTTCATCAATCGTTATTTGAGGTTGTTAATATTTTTGTAACTCTCTAGATGAAAAAAAATTGCTCATTAAGACATGCAAAATTCACAATTATTCTGTTTTTGAGTCCAGAATTACTCTAGCAGTCTTTGATACTTTTCTATTCCTTTTATTTTTTATGTTCACAAATTGGCAGTAAATTTTAATTTATGGCTGGCAACAGATCTGCAGATTGTTTTGGCATAAACTCAGAATACAGTCCCTTCGCCTTTTTTTTCTTACCTAGATTTCTACTGATTAATACAGTGAAAGTCTCCCATTCACACACTGACCTTGCCTAAGTCTGCATAGTTTGCAAGAATTAGAAGAGAATGACATTATGAAAAGGTGACACAGCTGCTGGTCAAAACAATCCTCAGGACTGATGGCAAGGAGCTTAATGAAATTCTACTTTTTAGAATATGATCTTATTTAGGAAGTTGTGGAATATAGTATTTGTCTTGTTCACCATTGTAGTATTAGCAGCTCGAGTAGTGTCTAGAATATAATGGTACTCAATAATTATTTAAGTGAAGAGATGAATGAGCAATGCTAATACCTTTATATTGGAAATCAGAAATTGTGGTTTTTAGTTTGGTTCTCTCATTGAAACCTATATAGACAAGTCACTTTACCTTACTTCCTTGTCTAAAAAAATGTAACATACTAAAATAGAAAATTAAATTTCTTTTTTTTTTTTTTGAGAAGGAGTCTTGCTCTCTCGCCCAGGCTAGGGTTCAGTGGCATGATCTCGGCTCACTGCAAGCTCCGTCTCCCAGGTTCACGCCATTCTCCTGCTTAAGCCTCCCAAGTAGCTGGGACTACAGGTGCCTGCCACCACACCTGGCTAATTTTTTTGTATTTTTAGTAGAGACAGGGTTTCACCGTGTTAGCCAGCATGGTCTCGATATCCTGACCTCGTGATCCACCCACCTCGGCCTCCCAAAGTGCTCGGAATACAGGCGTCAGCCACTGTGCCTGGCCAGAAAATTAAATTTCTAAACAATTTCCCACTCAAAAAAGGATGTGATTTCTACATTAGTGGAGCCATTTTAACATAAGTACTTCCAATAAACAGCATAGAAAATTAACTCAGTTTTTGAGTTACAAATGATAAAATGACTCATAAAAAATTCTCAACTCATAAAGTATTTTATTTATTACCACTAGAAAAGTGCTTTATAATTTTATCTGTCAAAACTATTTATTATTCTTGAGAATGAACACACATAGGTACTAGTAATTTCCATAAATCATAAGTTCAGAAACCTTAAGGTTTAAGTCTCATCTTTCAAACATGAATGAAGTACATGTGTGTATTAATATTTGTTACCCTTAAGTCGAGTCTGCAAATATTCAGAGCAATAGCAAATTAGGCCATAACCATAGATTGCTTTTTGGGTCCCATTTACTTTACTTTCTAAACCACAATGAGTTTTGGATTTTATTAAGAGGAAATGTGTGCATGCATTGATTTAAGATGGTAAGACCGTATTGAGGAACTTACCATAGACTATCTTTATGACAGCTATTTATAAATTACAATTAAATTGTGTTCTTATAAAAATAAGAAAGTTCAAAATATTTCTAGTGAATATTATAAGAAATATGTGTATTAAAATGCAGTTTCCAGTCTCTATATTTTTTAACCCTCTTTGGAATGATTTCCTTTGCTACTTTGAGAAGAGATATATATGAAAATATTTCAAATAAAGAAAAATCAAATCTTTATTGGATTTATGCAGAGATATAGCAAAAACATGTTTGAATATAAAATTTTACCATGGTTTTGTATTTTAGTTCATCATAAGTACTTTCTTGATGGTATGTGTGTTTGTGTGTGTGTGTATGTATTTAGCAATAGATAGATACATAGATACATAGTTAGAATGATAGATAAATAAATGACATATTATTGCTCAAGCATGGCAAGGGAATTAAATCAAAATTAGGTACAATGTTTCCACGAGAAGATATTTAAAGAATTCTCTATACATAAAATCATATTTAAACAATTACAAATAACTTTTTGTTTCTATTTTCATAATATCAATGTATAACATTCCATTGGACAATAATTATTTTAAATGTCTGTCATTAATTAGATAATTGGTTTATTTAGTTGGTAATAATTGGCTTAGTGCTAGATTCATGTTGTTATCATGTTACTTGAGAAGGCAAGGATCTTTAATTGTGATGATTAAAAAACTACGTAAAGAAAGTGAAGAATGGAAGTTAGAATAACAGAAAAGAGATCAGAAGATTGTTTGGCATACCTTAGCTCAAGGGAAAACCCATATACCATATATCAAATGTTTCTGTTCTTCTGGATTAAGCTCTAATTTTCTATAAGTGATGAAGATAAACAATTAAAAATTGGGATATGTTTTATTATTACAAAGATAATGTGTTGAAATTTTAGTGTGGTCAAAATAATAACATTTTTGAATATCATAATCACATGACCAAACAATACTACTTTAAACACTTGGTATATGTGTGGTTGGAAATTAGCTTATGCAGATTCACACATACATACACATTAACAAAAATGCAATTCAATTTAGCAAAATATTTACTAACTTGATTTTTAACTTTAACAATAGATTATACATATTTTCTATGCTAATACATATTAATTGACATAACTGTAAGTATTGTCAATACTTAACACAACTATATGGTGTGATCTTTACAGGATATTATATAACTTACTAATCATCTATTAGACATTTTACTGTTTTCTTACCTTTAGACTATTTTATGCAGAAAACAATGACATTTACCACCAAATCCTTGCACATAGGAATGTCTGTAAATTCATAAGACTGAAATAGTAGGCTTGAATGTGAGTCATTCACTTGTGAATGCTATTGTATACCAGTAAGAAAAACATAAGAGAACCATTCAAGCAATGATTGGGATTTCTTAGGTGACTCATTCTTTCAGTGAGTCTTGAAGAACAATGCTCAGTGCAGGACATGTACATCTTCATTAGGCATCTCGAATGTTCCTTCTTTTGCTTTTCTTCTAAGCTGCAAGAAAAAAGTATTGTAGAGGTTCTTGGTGATATTTCTCAAACCCAACCAGTGTGTCACCTTCTGACTTTCAGGACCCTGTCTCTACACCCCCATGTGTGAACACATGGCACTATTAATTGTGTAGAGTAGAATTTCTGATACAAACTTTGCCTAATCAGAATTCATAGTGGCAGTCCTGACAGAAAATAAAGTGTGGAAGCCTTAGTAGTTACTTCTTTCATCCTATTCTTTCTCAAGCCAGCCAGAAATCTGTATATAACCTGTCAATGATAAATCAGGTAAACAAATGTGACATGCAAACAATTAACTGGACAGAGGCAATAATAATAAAAATATTTCCCACAGGATAAAATGGAATGGGTAAGAAATAGATTTAGGAAAACAAAATGTAACTGCCCAGCTCTGGAGAGGCTGAAGGAGTCTCACTGTAATATGTGTTGTCCCTCTTCAGCCAGTCAGGATTTGACTACATTTATAACCCAGACTGAGCTTATTTCCATAAAGATGAATCAAAATGCAAAATTTTTGGAGGCAGTAAGTAAACACTTTTTCCTCTGAATATACCATTATATATGTACTGGAAGGATAATGGGCAACTCTTCACTTTCTCCAGGAAGAAAACATGTATTCCTGGTTTTTAGTCTTTCCCACCCCACACTAAGAGCTGCGTCACCTCAGAGAAGGCCCTGAATTGACAAGATCAATAGGTTGCATGGTGAGGCATGCCAAATTCTGTGGATCACATATTTCACTTGTGAAAGAACAATACTTTTTTGGAGGGGGTGGGGGATAAGGGAATCACATCTTTAAAACCAGCCAAATATTGATAGACCATAAGCTTTAAAAATGTAGTTTTAAATTTCAATAATTATAGCTACTTTTTATTGACTATCTCCAATGTATCAAGTATTGCATAGCAGGAACACTATCTACTATGTGTCATGTATTGCATACCAGGAACACTATTTTTAGCCTTTCAACACTTCCACAGGCAAGGTATTATTTTCTATTTCTCAAGGCCAGGAACTCATTCAACAGCCATGAGGTCTGGTTCTGGCTTCTTTTTAAATTGGTGCTCTGCAGTTCAACCTGAGCAAGTACTACTGAGCCCTTAAACACAACAGAAATCCTTGTCTCCTACACCTTATTGGTCTTTGTTTTTCTGCATGTCAATTTATTCAGTTCATCTCCTTACATCTGCCCTGATAGTTCAGACATTCTTTTACTTGCATCAATCATTATGATGATAAAGATGGGTTTGTTTCATCAATTTGCTTCATACCGTAATATCCATGTACTGATTCTTAATCCATACACATCACCACTCTCCCTCCCATCAGACTGATAGATTGTGCACAAATCTGCCAATTAAGACTTAAACATCTGAGTCAAATTAATTCAGAAAGATTTTCATAAGCCTCCATAGTTTAAACATTATATCACTCCAATTTACAGTGTCTAATTGCAAATAATTTATAGTAAATTTACATTTTTCTTATTCTCACTTATAAAGTGCTAAAGAAAAATAGTGTAGTGTATGTGAAACAGACTCTAATAAGCTATATTTGAAATAGTTTTGGAAAACAATGTTTTAGTTTTTCTTTTCAGTGTAATCATTGTACCAGGTATATAGTAGATGCTCAATAAAAAATTGTTACAAGGACCACCTGCAAGAACTGCAGGATTAAGGTATAACTAGTCGTGCATATTTAAACATTCATTATGAGGAAGAAATATCGTCATTAAAACAGTGTTAACTATGTTAAAAAATCTCACAGATGTATTTTTTTCTTTTTTACTTCTGTCTTTCAAATATATACTTCTTAATGGCTTAAGGGACTTCCAGAAATGCTTTACGAAGATTCAAGAATCATTTGTTTCATTGCTTTTCTCTTAAGACTTGACTTCTTTTTACTCACCAGAGTTAAGAGGTATTCCTCAAGAGATAATACCAAAGACACATTAAAATCTAGGAGTTTTCAGTAGATCAGTCACTGTAAAAGCTATGTTTGACAGTCATCCATAATAAGCACTGTGGTTCCTAGTACAGTCTTTATCACAAAAGGATATTGATAGATTGAGGGCATATTGAAACATAAATGGCTAATATTTGTATTATTGGTTTTCCCTGAAGAGTTAAATATATATAAGAGAGTAAACACTACAATAAATAAACATGGTAGCATGATCTTTCTTAGCCAGGAAGAAATACATTTCAGATATTAATATTCAAGCTTAGCTTGCCTTTTCTATAGCACTCACCTAGGCACGTTTCAAAACCTTTGAGAAGGGAATGATGTTCTTGAGATACATGTGCATGAAGGTGAAATGTGTTACAATAGAGGCAATTAGTACCATTTATGATTATAGTTTTTGTGATGTTGGCATCAGTTCATTAAAAATGTACTGAACTATCAACTCATTTCACACAGATCATTGAACAGCAGTAAAGTGATATCATCTCTACTCCATTATGACTCTGAATTGGATTTGAACCAGTGACTCACAGGATATAGGCTGTCTTCTGTTGTCAGTCTATAAGTATGCATTCATACAGTTTCAGTATACCTATCTATACTATTTTGTTTCTAACCGCAATCCTTTTTCTTTGAAATGGATACAATCTATAAATTGTCTCTTGAAAAGCACAAATTTTAGGTACTAGAAAATGATTATATTGTACATTATATACTTGTATATTATATATTTTTTAATATATACATTCATCATTTTATTAATTCTGAATTTAAGTGGTCATATGTAGCATGGTATCGAAAGGTCTTTTGGCTGCTAGGCAGAAAGAAAACTAGGTTTATTCAAATAGCGCAAATGTACTACTCTCATACAATTCTCTAAGGCCTAAATCTCCACCCCACATAATTATAAATATTCTCAGAGATCATAGCAGCTAAAAGAGCATTTTCCAAGAGAACTAAACCAATCTGTGCTGAGGAAACATTAAAATGTATTATTTTTTATGAGAAAACTTTTTTGGTAAACATGACAATGTATTGAAGTTACCATGTATACACTTTAGGTCACATCTGAGAGTGACATTGTGCACATAGATACCAAAGTGATATTCCAAATACCTTTCAACTAGGATATTCTATTCTACTACCAGTGTAGCCAAAGATTAGAGTGATAGCTGGGTCAATGGTCAAGAATAATTTCTAATTTAATCTCTTTTAAAATATAGTCTTCTTTTTATGTATATCAATAGCAATTGCATAGAACTTCATTATTTAAAATACTAATTTTAGCACAGCTAGTTCAGTCAGTCGATCCTGAGACTCTTCAAATAATAACTTTAATTAATTATTCCAGTATTGCTTTAGGGACACTTACATGGGTACGGTGTCCTTTAAAAATAGCAGGTGGGCTGGGCATGGTGGATCATGCCTGTAATCCCAGCACTTTGGGAGGCCAAGGCGGGCGGATTACCTGAGGTCAGGAGTTCAAGATCAGCCTGGCCAACATGGTGAAACCCCATCTCTACTAAAAACACAAAAATTCAGCCGGGCATGGTGGCATGCGCCTGAAATCCCAGCTACTTGGAAGGCTGAGACAGGAGAATCGCTTGAACCTGGAAGGCAGAAGTTGCAGTGAGCCAAGATCGCGCCATTGCACTCCAACCTGGGCAACAAGAACGAAACTTTGTCTCAAACAAACAAACAAACAAACAAAAAGGAGGTGGTACTGTAGGAAATATGTTGACTACAAATGTTACCCTAAAAACATCAAGTAAGCACAATGTCTGGTCATTCAAAAGAAATGAAATATTGCATTTTCTAAGTATTTATTTAGATTTATCAAAAGCATATTTGCATATTTCATCTTATTTAATTTTTTTCTGTAATTTTGTCGACAGTATAAGTTTTGTTTAGTTTTGTTTTGCCTTTCTTGTTACACTTTTCAAAGCCCCAACTTTAGTTTTAAGGTCGTGAATTATACAAGATTGAAATTCTTTTTGGTATTTTGCTGGTTGGCCATTACATAGTAAATGGCAAGTAATTAATACTTGTTCTTAGCTTTGTTCCTAGTTTGGTTTATTTTGCTTTTACATTGTGTTACTTGTTGAAAGTGTTTTGATTTTGTGTTCCACTAGGCCTGTTTTATTTGAGAGGAGTGTTAATCAGCATGTCCTGTGGTCTTCTTTGTAGTCGCAGCGCCGTGTTACGTTTCATCTCCCTGATGGCTCCCAGGAAAGCTGCAGTGACAGTGGTCTAGGAGACCATGAGCCGGTGGGTAGTGGAACCCTGATCTCACACCCTCTTCCTCTGGTTCAGCCACAGGACGAATTCTATGACCAGGCCTCTCCGGACAAGAGGACTGAAGCAGATGGCAACTCTGATCCCAACTCTGGTGAGTCCCCTTCAAAATTTTGATTGCTTGGAGTTGTTCTGGTTTTGTAGTGCACTTGAGCTTTCAAAAATAATTGTAGGGGGCAAGGATGAACATTTAGTTATTTTTTTGCTGGCTTTATTGTTGTTGCTGTATTCTTTGAGATATACATTTAATATGTTTGATATGATTTTGGCTGTTAAATTGTATGATGTGTCTTCATTTTATGAACCATTAAAAAAGAAAAAAACATGCTATAAATATAACTGAAAGAAGCCATTTGTTGCAAGATATTCTGATGTCAGAGATCTTATGAAATTTGAACACATTTTAGAACTGCAAAAATACAGTTAAGTAGAATAGTCAATGAAAAAAAGAAATCTATTTGCATATATAAATGTCCTATGAAATTTGATTTTCCAGTGAACACTTTACAAAAACAAATAAAGAATATTAGAGTTAAAGGTATTTTAGAATTTGTCTATCAGATTTTCTGGTTTTTACCAGAAAATTTAAAAAAAAAAGGATTAAATCATGATTAAAACAAGTGTGAAGAGGAGAGATAACAATTTGGGGGTTGTTTTTCCTTTATTGTCTACTTGAATTCTTGGATAATTTGTTTTTTTACTACTATGCTGAGGGAGATATATTTGGCCAAAACTTTTATTCTCCACAGACCCATACCCCACTCCAGAAATCACTGCCCACTCCAAATAAGCATTGTTGGGGGGTGTTTTCCTTGGCCTTTGGAGGAAATCTTGGGCAAGTGCTAATGCTTTTGCTAATAAAAAACACTGACTAGCTTACTTTTATTAAATAAATAAATAAAAGACCATTTCATCAATTATTATCCCCAGTCTAATGACTGTAATTTCTATTTTACTTAAATTCAAATTATTTTCTGGTGGGGTATGTTCATGGTGGGGAAAGCTATGCATGTGTGGGAGCAGGAGATATGTAAGAAATTTCTGTACATTTATCTCAATTTTGCTGTGATCCTAAAACTGCTCTAAGAAGTAAATAATAAAAATAGTAATTATAATAATGCATCTAAACTAAGCAGGGCAAAAAAAAATATTTTTGCTTGTTTGTTTGTTTAACTCATCTTAAACATGCTCCAAACTGGTTGCACGAAGTGGGAAATTGAAGTATGATGACTTTTTTCTTGATTTTCTACCTATTTTGCTTCTTATTGTTTCAAACATGAAAATATCTCTGGCATTTCTATGGTGGAAGTAGGAATACCAGGAGGAGGTAAAACATACAACAGGGCTTTCTTAGCCAGTTGTGTGATAGTAATACAGCACTGGTGTTCTCTGACTTCCAGCATTTTAAGCTGCTTCTTTTTGTCAAAAAAAGGACAGATTCTTTCTAAGGTATGCCTCCTTCCAATCCCCAGCATGTCCCCATCTTTGGAAATCTCTTCTCATTGGCAAATATAAGGCATGCAAAGTTACATTTTATCTTCTCTCTGCCAAGAATTTTCTCTACTCAAGGCAATCTTTCAGGAGTATCTAAGCTCCCTGCCAGCTCTGGTTTTGTTATTTCATGTCCTATACCTTGGTCACATAAAGAAAACATAAGTGCATCTTTTGATTTCACATATCGAGAAGAACAGGACATACCCAAGGAAAAAACCTCTTATTATTACACTGAATTTGGGAGAACAAGAACTATCCTCTTTTGATTTCATGGTTTTGACCAGTGTAAGCACCACTGAATCTAAGTGGTTTCATTGAATCAACCTTCTCCAGACTTCTGTGAAGAGGTTTATGTAGGTGGAATTCACACAGCTCTTTCAAAACTGTTTTCCTAGTCTCCAACTTTGCCCTCTCCAATTTTAAAACATCTCTTGTTGAAGTAAAGCTAAGAGTCTCACAGCTGGTTCCTGACCATGTTTTCTCTAAGTGTATGTGAGTGGTTGGCTCCTCTTGTCTATGGGCCTCAGACAAAACCAAAAAAGAAAGAGTCCCATTTAAAAAACAGTTGCACAAATTGTTTTAGGACTTGTCTATAGAGTTTACCAAAGTTAATTTACAAAGATATCTTCAAAGTATTTGTAGTATGTGCAATTCTAGGTAGAATATTTACAATGAATAAGATTAAGACAATGTTTCATGAACTTTTTGGCCAGAATAATGAAATATTTCAGATGCATATGCAAAAATTCTGGGTACAGTAAATTTAATCAGTGGATTTCAGAAACCAATGAACATCTGGGTAATTTTCTAGTTAACTAATTGAGTTAGAGATTTTAAAATTTATTTCAACTAGAAAGCAAAGGCAGCTTTTCAAATTTAATAGCTATAAGGATAAAATGAGAGTTATATATTTTATTTGTCATAGAATTTTTTGTCTTTTAGCCAGGGCCAACTGAGAAGTATCTGAGTACAGGAAAAATTGCAAAATTATGTTATATATACCTTCACTATCATAGCAGCAATATATATGCACAAAAATGAAAAATTTGTTGACTCTTATAAGAAATAATGCATTACTGAAAATCTATTTGAAGAAAAGCAAAACTTAGGCTTATGTGCAAAGGCTCACTTAAATATGTATTACAGCTTGGCATGGAAGCACATGCTTGTAGTCCCAGTTACTGGGGAGGCTAAGGCAAGAGGTTCACTTGAGACCAGGAGTCTGGGCAGCAGTGAGCTATAATCACTCAACTGCACTCCAGCCTGGGAAACAGAGCAAGACCACCTTTTCCTCAAGTGTGGGTGTGTCTCAAAAAATATGTATTACAATAAAAATTTGGTTTATGTTTTCTAGCTTAGTTTTTAGAAATAGTAAATTCTAAATTAAAGGCAAATGTATAAAGTTATTATGAGAAATTTATTGTTAAAAAGAATCATGTGGTAATATTTCATTTCATTTTTTGTTTGTCTGTTTATTTGTCCGGAGATTCAGGGATCCTTTGAATACTTTAATCAGAGCCTAACACAGTCTAAGAGTCTGAAGTCTCTAAGAGAAATATATGTTCAAGAAAGAAAAAAATAAAACATGAATGAGATAAAAGTAGCAGGTTGTTGATGGTTGGTAAGTTCATCTAGACCAAATATCTAGACCAAATGGACAGACAAGTTTTGTTTTGTATTTATCTTTGTTTTTTCGGCTAGAAAATAATTTTTACCAATACGGGTCTGCTTTCTCCTAAGCCCACACTTAAGAAAGCCCACATTTGAGTTTTCCAATCATAGAAAAGGGAAAAGAAAAAAATATATTTTTCCTAGCTTTTAAAGTATGCTTAAACTAAGCTGCCCCAGGCCAAAATATTGTCCAATACATATAACAATTTACCCAGTGACTTCGACCTAGGCAGTGGCAATGGGCCAGGTGCCAAATGGAAAAAGATAGCAGAGGTCCTAAACCAGGAAAATAAAAGCAAACAAACGAAAACCTTTCAAACTAGCTTCAAGAAATCTCTAGAGTTTTTACCAATCTAGTCACATGGAAAAAGACACCCAATGGACAGCACAACCTTGGGCAGCCCAACATTCACCCAGCACAGTGACGTCACTCACAAGAATAATGATCACTAAAACGTCTTTAAACTGGAGAGAGCAGGGCTCTTAGGTTGTGACAGTGCCTTGTTCATCATTGGGAAGGGGAGAAAAGAGAAAGTGGAGAAGCGAGAGGCCCTGGGAGCCCCTAGAGGCCAGCAGTTCTCTTGATGTTTAATGGGACATAAAATTTAAACCTCCTTTGTAAATGTCTAGAGCAGAATTAATTAGAATGGCCTAGAAATATTAAGAGAGTCAGACTGAATGTTCATTCATATTAGGATAGAATTATTACATATTACCTTTAAATTTTGCAGTCACATTTTTGGTAATTAACTTTGAGAAATTTGTGAAGTGAGGTACAGTGATATTGATGAAGTAATCATCTCTAGCAATAATTTTGCTATTTAGTTCTCTATTGTCCCCTTTGAATTCAGTGGAATTTGTTGACCGGGCTTTGATAGTTCCCGAAGAGTTGTGATTTTATAGCAGGTAAAATAGGTTTCTATTGGATGTCAGTATGATCTGTAGAAGTACTAAGTAATTTCGATTGTACTTATCTAGATTTCTGTTTTTTCAAATATGGTTCATATAAAAAAAGTCACTGAGAGCTGGTACTAATTTCTATAGTAACTATTTCCAGTAGGTATTTTTTCAAAGAAATTAATACAAATGGTAGTATCATGTGGAGACATTTTTGTAAACTTCAGGCTTTAATATAGGTTATTGCTTCTAAACACACACACACACACACACACACACACACACACACAGTGGCATTTGATCTAATAATACTGGCCTACAATAGTATTCTTTATTCCCAAGTTTATACTTCTGGGTTATTAGTATTATCGATTTTATATTATATCTAACTCTTGATTAAAACAATAAGTAAATGATGATAGTCTTTACATGCAATGCCAAAAACAAATTGTTTGCAAATTAAGCAATAATTGATAGGTTTTGTGTAAATAATGTTTATGTAAATCTAAAGCAGTCTCTACTACATAAGGTATGACACATATGTCACTAATTTTTTTGTGCTGGAAACAGAGCTTTCTTTTTTTTCTTCCATTTTTTAAAAATGTCTAATTCCTATTGCATTGGTATGACAGAAACTTCGGTTCTTTTTTTACCTCAATTCCAGAGGATCGTTATCATCAAAAGGAAGTGCAATATTCTCAACCCTGGGTCATTGGTCTGCTTATATGTCCATTGTCTCATCTGCCTAGAGGGGTCTCAAATGAGACTGCCTTCATTCCAGTCCTCCTGGACTCTTTGGGAAATTGCTGATACCTCATGCCATAGGGAAGGTAAATAGGTTTCAGTGAGTTTATCTTTGGACTCCCATGTCTAGATGGACAGCATGGATCATTACTTTTAGGGATCTTCCTGACTCCCTGGACTCTACGATGTAATCTAGCCTCAAGGACTTTCTAGTCTTTATCCTCTAGGTTTCTCTGAGTTCTGCTCAACAAACATGGCACAGAATCTATCCTCTTTATATTCCCTCCCCTCTCACTTCTTTCTTCTTCCCAACCGGGTTGACTGAATGTATTTAACGTCTAGGATCAAAGACTCCCAATGATTTTCTTGATATTTTTTTCCTCAAAAGCACAACTCCTCTATTTTCTTTTTGCCTCAGCAACAAGAAAAAAAAATCTCATGATAGCTGTACAACTTTGCAAATTAACTACTTTCCTACTGTTCTCCATCCTATCTCATCCTCATCTAATCAATGAATTATAAAGCCAACATATAGGCCAGGTGCCATGGCTCACATCTTTAATCACAGCACTTTGGGAGGCTGAGGAGGACAGATCATTTGAGGTCAGGAGTTCAAGACCAGCCTGGCCAACACGGTGAAACCCTGTTTCTACTAAAAATACAAAAAAAATGAGCCAGGTGTGGTGGTGCGTGCCTGTAATCCCAGCTACTCAGGAGGCTGAGGCACTAGAATCACTTGAACCCAGGAGGTGGAAATTGCAGTGAGCCAAGATGGCACCACAGCACTACAGCCTGGGTGACAGAGTGAGACTGTGTATCAAAAAAAAAAAAAAAAATTCCACTATATGTTGGCCAAAAGTGGAGTAGGCAAAGGAATACATATATGTATATATGAAAAAAAAACCCAACATATATTAACATTTCAAAGTTATTATCAAAAATAATTGTGTAAAATTATATTTGTGTTTATTGATAAAACGATTACATCAGCATTCAATTTAAATGTACAGTGGATAGATATGAAAAAGAGATTATTTCTTTTTTGCCAAGTGGTTTTAAAGAACATATGTGAAGAACTTCCCTCCACTAATTATTGACTAGCCTGAAATACCGTTCTTACAGGAAATGCAATATACATATTTGATTTGAATATCAACTTACAGAATGATGTTGTACCCTAAAAACCTCTAATGGTGACCTAAAATTTTGTTGGTTTGTTCCTTTCTTCAGTATCATAAAAAGATACCAAAATTTTGAGATAATTGTAGATATAAGAGTGTGGGCTGGCTTTTAAATGATATTTTAAAATTATTGTTTGTTAGAAATAATAATAGAATTGTATTTTGTTAAAAGAAAGTTATCATTGATAGTGATCGATTATGAAGAGTTTATAAAAGAAACAATATGATGTCTGGAATTTGCCTTAATATTACTCTATCAAAATAATAATAATAATGGGAATACATTAAACAATAAAATATTAGTAGCTGTTGAGATTGGGTGATGGCTATATGGGTGGTTATTACATTAGGCTATTTTTTTACGTGTTTTAAATTTTCCAGAATACAAAGGTTAAGTACATAGTGGCAGACTGGTATAAAACTCGGAATCAATATATGAAATACTTGAGCTCACATTTTATTTCCTCTTTCTTTCTCTATTGTTTTGATTCAAAAATAAGGTTTACTATACACTGTACACAAGTATGGATGGATGTTTTTGTATATAGCAAGCATATTTCATATATTTAAGTATGTTTCTAATGAAGTTGCAATTAAGCAGAGATTTTCAGTAATTACATGTGTATTTGTAAGACTAGAACATAAACTGATAACTGCTCCATTAAAGACCTTTTAAGTAAAATAAAGTCTTTCGAAAGTTCCCTCTGGAACTTAGCAATAAAATTGTTAACCACAAATGTCTGTGCTTTTCTGCCTGTAGGGTGCCCAAGAGAAGTTGAAGGCAGGGCATGACCGCTATCCTTCTGGCAACCAAATAGATAGTGTCTCTGTGTTCTAAGTATATCCAAGACCTAGAGCACACTTAATCAACTGCCCTACAAATGAAGCACACAATGTGCAGTATTTATCGCACTGAATTTTGTTACCTTTTACTGCAGGGGAAGATTTATTCCATTCCCAAGTAGCAGTAAATCATATTTACTTAAGAAGTTAACTCATTAACATGATCATAAACTCTATGTAAAATTCAATGAAACCATTAATTCTAAGAAAATGGTAAAATGACTTTCATTTGAGGATTCTTATTTTTTAAACAAATATAACTAGGATGATGAAAGAATTTCACTAATTCAAAAGCAGACAAAAACAATTATGTGTTCAGATCAGGAACAGTTATTACCACTAATTCAAAATTAAGTCTTAATCTTGTCCCATTGAGAATCATGAATAGAGTTATTTCTGTATCTGATATTTCTTTAAATGTTATTTTAAAGGATTTTCTGCTGTTTAATCATGTGCAAAATTACAAGTTATATTTACTTTGAAAATCCTGCTTGTCATGTGCCTCTGACTTTATCTAGACTATGTTACTAATCAGTTGATGAACTTCTCACTGAGTATAGTTTTAATACCTGACATTTATGGTTAATATTTAATAAGTCCTGTTTATGACCCAGGAATTCTTGTAAATATTTTGATTCATTGTATATGATCCCCCACTAATACTGTAAATTAGATAGTATTATAAGTAAACTGAAATTCAGAAATTTTGTTATTTGTCTAAAACTGCTGAGTATGACTCGGGTGCAGTGGCTCATGCCTATAATTCCAGCGATTTGGGAGGCTGAGGCAGGACATAACTTGAAGCCAGGAGTTGGAGACCAGGCTGAGCAACATAACAAGACCGTGTCTGTACAAAAAAAATTAAAAATTAGCCAAGTGAAGTTGTTTGTGCCTGCAGTCCTAGCTACTAAGGAGGCTGAGGTGGGGGGATTGCCTGAGCCTTGGAGTTTGAGCTTGCAGTAAGCTATGATCGTGCCCAGGCACTCCAGCCCAGGTGAAATGACAACATTCTGTCTCTTAACAAAAAAAAAAGAAAAAGAAAAAGCCTACTTGCCAGCAGGTGAGCCCCAAAATATGAACTCAGGAGTGTCTGACTCCACAGCTTTTGCTATTCAGAAAAACATCCTTCAGTGAATACATGGTTTAACATAGTACATGACTCAACACAATCACTACTGGGGATGCATTTTTAATTATAGGACACTCATCTTATCTTTAAGAAGCTTGAGAAATTAAATGTTAACACAATGTGTTGGTCAAATAGTCGGCTGATAGTGTGTCCGGAATTGGTGGGTTGTTGGTCTGACTGACTTCAAGAATGAAGCCGCGGACCCTCGCGGTGAGTGTTACAGTTCTTAAAGGCGGCGTGTCTGGAGTTTGTTCTTTCTGATGTTCGGATGTGTTCGGAGTTTCTTCCTTCTGGTGGGTTCGCGGTCTCGCGGGCTTCAGGAGTGAAGCTGCAGACCTTCACCGTGAGTGTTACAGCTCTTAAGGGGGCCCGTCTGGAGTTGTTCGTTCCTCCCGGTGCGTTCGTGGTCTCGCTGGCTTCAGGAGTGAAGCTGCAGACCTTTGCGGTGAGTGTTACAGCTCATAAAGGCAGTGTGGACACAAAGAGTGAGCAGCAGCAAGATTTATTCCAAAGAGAGAAAGCACAACGCTTCCACAGTGGGAAAGTCCACCAGCGCGGATTGCCACTGCCTGCCCGGGCAGCCTGCTTTTATTCTCTTATCTGGCCCCACCCACATCCTGCTGATTGGTAGAGACCAGTGGTCTGTTTTGACAGGGCGCTGATTGGTGCGTTTACAATCCCTGAGCTACACACAAAGGTTCTCCACTAGGCCACCAGATTAGCTAGATACAGAGTGTCCACACAAAAGGTTCTCCAAGTCCCCACCAGAGTAGCTAGATACAGAGTGTGGATTGGTGCATTCACAAACCCTGAGCTAGACACAGGGTGTTGATTGGTGTGTTTACAAACCTTGAGCTAGAGACAGAGTGCCGATTGGTGTATTTACAATCCCTGAGCTAGACACAAAGGTTCTCCACGTCCCCACCAGACTCAGAAGCCCAGCTAGCTTCACCCAGTGGCTCCTGCACCGGGGCTGCAGGTGGAGCTGCCTGCCAGTCCCACGCTGTGGGCCTGTACTCCTCAGCCCTTGGGTGGTCGATGGGACTGGGCGCCGTGGAGCAGGGGGCTGCACTCGTAGGGTAGGCTCCTCGGCCGCACAGGAGCCCACGGAGCGGGGGAGGCTCAGGCATGGCGGGCTGCAGGTCTCAAGCCCTGTCCCGCAGGGAGGCAGCCAAGGCCCGGTGACAAATCGAGTGCAGTGCCCGTGGGCCAGCACTGCTGGGGGACCCAGTACACACTCTGCAGCCGCTGGCCCGGGTGCTAAGCCCCTCATTGCCCTGGGCCAACAGGGCCGGCCGGCTGCTCCGAGTGCGGGGCCCACCAAGCCCACGCCCACCCGGAACTCCAGCTGGCCCGCAAGCCCCACGCGCAGCCCCGGTTCCCGCTGGCGCTTCTTCCTCCACACCTCCCTGCAAGCTGAGGGAGCCGGCTCCAGCCTTGGCCAGCCCAGAAAGGGGCTCCCACAGTGCAGTGGTGGGCTGAAGGGCTCATCAAGTGCCACCAAAGTGGGAGCCCAGGCAGAGGAGGCGCTGAGAGCGAGCCAGGGCTGTGAGGACTGCCAGCATTCTGTCACCTCTCAATAGGATAAATAACTTGTGAGAGAACTACTTCTGCAGTTTTTAGTGTTTTTGTTTTGCTTTGTTTTTTGTTTGTCTTTGGTACTAGATTAATAAAAATTTAGATCTTAGGACCCTACAGATCATCCTGTATAACAGTGTTTTATACAGAGGCATAAAAAGGAAAGTGCTTTGCCTGAAGCCACATAGTTTATGAGTCTACAATAAAACTCATATACGCCGACTCCTCTATCAGTGTTCTTTTCACTGGAACAATACTTTCTTATCATGAACCTTATACCTTTTCCTCAAAGAAAATAGGTACAGTTATTTGATTAGCAATTGTCTCCTCATTAATCTCTAGGGACTATTTGGTCACTTTTCTATTCTCCATGCCTGTCAGCTGGGGATTGCCTTCAGCTCTTAGAGGTCACACTCAGCTGCTAGCCATGTAGACCTGTTAACATTACTACTTATTTCTTCAAGGCCAGCTAGAGAGACAAGGTCTCTATAGTATGTCTGTATCAAGATAGAGTCTTATGTAATGTAACATAACCATCAGAGTGATTTTCCATCATCTTTGCTTTACTTTGTTGGTTAGAAGCAAGCCTCATGTCTTGCCTACACTCAAGGTGACAAATGGTCATAAACATCAGGAGGTGGGGATCATGAGGAATCACCCTAGAGTTTGTCTGCCATAGTCTATATTAAACTTTTAGAAACTTACATTAAACTTATATAAATGTTACCTTGATATATCTTCGTATACATTATTCATTTGAGCTTTACATAATTCACCCATTTTTTAATTCATTTATCTATTCATTCTGCAAACATTCATGTTAAGTCAATTATGTACTAGGTAGTACGTTAGGTTTGGGGGATAGACATTAAAACCAAGACTCAGTAAGCTTAAACAACTTCCAGTTTAGTGCAAGAATTCTTAGTCTGTGTTACTTGGTCCAAGAGGACCACAAGTAGATTTTTAGGAATTTGTGAGGTTCCTGAAATTGTTTTGCAATTTTGTTCTATGAGCTATGAAGCAGTGATGCTATGAAGATTTTATAAACCATAAAAAAAGACAAAAAAAAAAGGAACACTGATTTTTGTAGGAGAGAAAGTACTAGATACCAATAAAATTAGTGTGTTAGAATAAATACTAGTAAGCATACAAAGAGTGGGTTTTAGCATAGAATAAGCCTTGGATAAAGAATCAATAAAGATTCTATAGATAAAGTGATACTTTAAACAAGTGACATGGGATGAATAGATCTTACTGAAGTAAAGTCTGTGTGTGTATGTGTGTGTGTGTTTGTATGCAATGTAGCCTTCTTTGTCCTATAAAAAGTCATGGCCAGTAGGGCATAGAAGTTAAAATCTCAGTTTCTTTAGAGCATATCCATGTAAAATTAGTGTCAACATGGTCTTTAAGTCTCAGATACTTAACCACCAAAATGAGCCTACTAATATCTGAAAATATTCTTATAAAAATTAAAGGGCCTGAAACACAGTAGATGCTCAATAAATGATAAACTGTTCAAGTAAGTGACGGTAAATGAATTGTCACTTACTTGAACAGAATAAATGGATTGAGACATAGGTTGGGCCCAGATTTTGAATTTTGGAAAGTCTAGGATAAATTTCATTTGGATATAGGAGATGAAAGGAAAAATTGAGAGTATTTCTTTGATTTGCAAGATTTATGGAAAATTGCATAATTAAAAAAGAGAATATAAAATAAAATCAGATTAGGAATTAACTCTTTTTATTTTAATTTTAAAGTCTGAGCTGCTGGGCAAGATTATTTGGAACTAGAAATGTGATTGAAAATTGGAAATTGAAAACTGACAACATAGAAAGTGAATAAAATTCTAAGTATGATAATTAGAGGAGACAGAAGTAGGTTAAGAAAGAAATCACTGCAACCTTATATTTAGGCCAGGCAGAGGTGGGGGCAGGATGGGAGCAAAGATCAAAAAATTAAGAATGTACAGCCAGAAAATTATTTGAAAGTTCCAGGGATATTTGAGCTCTACACATAGTTAATGGTGGATTTTTTGGAAGTAATGTAGAAATGCGATTAAGAACACAGACTATGGAGTCAGATTAACCTAGGTCCTAATTCATTGACCTCAGAGCCACAGGTTTGCTAGCATATAATGCAGGCTTAATTTACAAAATTACTACATTTAATTATCATTATTCTTATCAATAGGTACTGAAAAGTTGTAGAAGCAGCAAAACATGTATCTTAATTATTTAGCAAAGTTTCAAGCTTAAAAAATGACCATGGTGAATTTTGAACTATAAAATCAGTGTTACACACTTAAAAAATAAATAAAATTCTAGAAAATTGTTAGTTTCAAATTCTAAAAGTTTTATTTTAAAAATTATTTTTAAGTAATTTTTTCTTTGTATTTACCATGCCTGATGGGGCTCCAAAACACCCATTTTCTAAAGACTAATAAAATTAATAGTAAAACATGTTTTTGCTACAGTGTGTTCATTGTTTTTCTTAAAAGCAGTTATGCTCACTTTATGATTTTAAAGGAATTCTTCAATATTAACTTTTCACCGTACACTTTAATGTTTTACTACCATTTTATTTTAAAAGGGGGTACCACAGGATAATCTTCTATAATATTACTTAATGTAGTTAAGCTATTGATATAAAACAAGCAAGGACATAGCTTTGTCTGCTAGAAGCTGTCAATCTCAAATGTGACTTTATTTCTAAAAAAAGAATTATCTTTGAATATTGTTTACTATAAAAATTTTAAAGTTAGTAATATTTTATCATGTTTAAGCTTCTTTAAGGAATCATAAATGTAGTATGTTTAGTGTGGTGGAAAAATCTATAGTAACATTTATGCCTCCTAGTGTAAAGTAAGGGTAATGTCAACTTTCCCTGGTGTACTGCATGGAATCTCATTTCCATAGCTGCTGTCATGTGATCCATTCTTCCAAGAAGTAATAAAGAGAAATGGCATTTACTTAACCCTGGATATGTAATCTTCCCTATGGGGGAAAAGTATTATTTGTATATCCGTGTTTATAGTAATTTGAGAGTGGTAAAAATGATAGATAAATAGATATGTAAATCAGTAGCTATATCTAAAAATGAAGAAACTTGCTGATATCAGTAACTCTTAGAAGTATAAAATTAACTTTTTAAATACCTCAAAATAAAGTTATATTACAGAAAATAAAATTACTAATTATAAAGAATATATTCTCATAATATCAAATTAATATCTTTATCTTTAGATACATACAAACATACATATGCACCTTAATAAATACATAAAATTATCTAGAGTTTCAAAACAATTTGAAATTTTTTAAGAAACCATAGTAATTTGTCTAAACTCCCCCAAATTTACCTTAATGCTATTTTAACATGTATTTCTGCCAGTGATTGAGAATTACGCATATTAGTGTGGCTGACAAATACATGAGTGCTCGGATTTTAATAACACTAAAGTTAGGCTGCCAGATGAGATACAGAATGTCCAGTTATTGCAGGACTTTTCCTTACTTCAGCTAAAGATGAGGTTCTTTGTCCCACCGCCACAAAACTTCAGGCTCGCAGACAATTTGAATGTTGAGTCAGACAGGGTTTTATTGGGTGAAAAGGAAAATAAAGGGGGGAAACAGGGACTCTCACTAGGCCAGAGTAGCTTGCTAGAGTGTTTCCCACTCAGCCATTCCAATCCCAGTTTCCACCCAGGAAGAGGAGGGGCCAGGCTCCTCTCTGCTACAAACATGAACTTCCCGAGGCTCCAACTCAGTGCGCAGGCTGGCTAGAGTTTCCCCAGGGACCCCCTCCCACCTGACTGTCTCCTTCCTCCCTCTAAAGAAGTACATCTAACTGCAGTTAAGGACGAAGAACTGCTTCCTGCTGACAGGGGACGCCGTTTTGTGGAAACGGCAGTCTGAGGTCCCTCAGGGGCTTATCTAAGGGTTCCCGGCAGATGGGGCCATCATCAGAGGCTCCAATTGCATGACTGTTTGGAGTTTGATGGCCTGAAGGCAAGAACAGACAAACCGGGTTATTAGAAAAAAAGTATCAAAACAAAACAAGGGGAGGGGTAAGGACAGATCAAAAATTCCGAGGCCTTTTACCAGTTTGCACAGGGAGAGGAAAGCCAAAAGCCTGACTGGTTAAAAAAACTTTACTGTTTTGCCGGCATGTTGGGCTTCTGGGTTCCCTTCACCTGAGCCCAATCCTAAGTCAACCAGTTTAAGGTTTGGGAAATTAACTCTTTCCAGTTTGGAGGATGCATCTGAGGGGAGTGTCCTGTAGTACAGAGACACAATTACTTACTAGTGAAGAGAGAACTAAAGAGAAGAAAGGAAAAAGAAAGCATTTTTAAAGGAGTCCCAAGGGTTTAGGATGCATTCGGAAGAGGTACAGACGGAAGATGATGGCTACCCATCTAGAAAGAGAGTAGCAGGCATCCGTGGTTCTCTTCTCTTCCTACCAGATACCGGGGTATGTGAGGGAGACAGGGAAGAGTGCCCTCTTTCCATCTTCCATCCTTGCATTCCCAAGTTCTGACGACCTTGGCAGGTGCCACCATGAGTGCAAAAGTGGCTTGCACCCATGAATCAGGGGGCGCCTAGAGAAAAGGAACAGAATTATCTGCTCTCACCTATATCTCCTTCCCACCTACTGTCAGTAGCCTTGGAGTTCCCTAGACCTCATTTATGCCATGGATATTAACGTGGCCTTTATCCATGAAACAGGAAGCTTGGGGTTGGCTTAATCAGCAGGAATCAGCCACATTCACCTGTGCTGTGCCTTTTAACCTCTGCTACCATGTGGCTCTGGATTCCTTAGATGCAGTTTTCCTTCCTAGGGCTTTGACCTGAAGCTTGGAATTGAGGCTGGGACAAAAATGTGTCTTGGGGGATTGTACGGACTCCTTATCATAAGCTGAATGCTAAGGTGAAACTGCGGAACTCAGCCCTCCTCAAACAAGGGAGAGGAAAGGATTTCTTGTGACACACTCAGATAATTGGTGGCTATAGTTATGCTTGGTAAGATTTGGGTGCATGGTGCTTGGCTTTGGTTAGCTTCCTTGGTCCTGCTTTCCCAGAAAGGAAACCTCCAAGTGATAGTCATCCTATTTATTCCCATCACTTGGCAGGATTTGCTCAGAAATAGAATGTTAATCCAGATTTTTACATTACCCATTCCTCTTGTTCTTTCTGAGCTGCAGCCAGAGATTGCTGGTTGCTTCACAGAAAGAAACAGGGCTAGTCTAAAATGTAGGCAAAAATTAAAAAAAAAAAAAAAAAGAATTTTAGAATTTAATGACGAATGTATGATAAGTTTTAAAACATGATTTACCTTTCTCCAGTCATGTGTTAAAAAAAAAAAAACTTCTGATAGGAATGAGTGGTTTGCAAAATAGATGTTAGACTTATACTTGGCCTGATTATTTGCAAAAAGTGCAGTAAGAATAATTGTTTCTACATAGGCCTTTTGGATTGGCTTTGATGGACGTCTGTTCCACAAGAATCTCAGATAAGAACACATAAAGTGGAGCCCAAGCACAGGTTTATATCCTCAAACACCTGTGAGTTGGATGTTCCTCTCCTCTTAGGGTCCCAAGATAAACTTAGAGCTCCTAGACTGTCAGAAAGTAACATCCTTTACTGACCACAGGTCAGGAACCCAGTACAGAGACTGCATAGACAAGGGTATGAGGCCTGTTTCACCATTGGGCTTCTATCGGCTCTGTAAGTCAAGCTCAAATCTTTAAAGGGCAGAATAGCCTTCCAGTCAAAGCCTTGGTAAAATTAACAGTATTTCCAGTTGTGTCCTGTTGCAAAAGAAAAATGGATCCTTATTGCACTGATGCCAACAAGTATATTGCCATAAGAATACCCACAGATAGTTTCCAAATTTTAGAGGAACCAGTCAGGGAGAAACATGCTTCAAATTTTGTTCATAGGAGTATGCCTTATTTAATTATTAAAGGCCATAAATAGTTCAAAATAGGTTTCCTTGACTCTGAACAACAAGGATCAGTAATATTCCAACCAAAAGTCAAAAAAGTTGCTTCAGCTTTCTGAATTCAGTCATTTAATTAACGCTGGTGTTGCTTGATATTTGTGAGTATTTCAGCTCTTCATGATTTCTGTACATTTTCCTTTATTCCAATGTCACAATCTCCAAAGTTATCAGAAGCCTGTATTTGAGAGCACCTGCTAAAGTTTTATAGTTCATTATGAACCATCTTTGAAAAGGATTAAAACAAGATGACAATTGTCTATGAATAGCAAAATGTCCAGGGTAGTTATAGTTAGAAACACAATTGACAAAGAAGTTTGGTTATCTCTGTGGTTTACAATAACTTAAGATAACAACTTTAATTATGATTGATAGCATATACTCAGACATCAGAATTTTAGAAATCTCATACAATTTTGGAGCAAATATTAGCATTATTCACAAAAATATAACCTAAAGAAGATTGAGCATCATTTTGGCAATCCAATGTACCTAAGTGTAAAAAGTAAAGTAGAGGTTCCTCTTCAAAGACTTTCCTCCCCATGTAGTTAGGAATACATAGTAACTTCTCTTAGAAGCAAAATTTATTCAAAGACCTGTGCTAACATTATTAAATATCTTCTAGCCATAATAAAGAAATCAAGGTACTTTATGTTCTTAGCGCCCACAATTTAGCCTAAATATTTGCCCTGGCATGCTTATACTGGTCCAAGCAAGCATTAGGTCATAGTCTGTTCCTCTTCCTTATTTGAAAGTGTTTTTACCTTTCTCAGAATTCCACAAGGTACTGCCTCCTTCCTTTGTTCTCCTCTGCCTTTGCCTCTTTTAAAAAGTTCTAAGTTGCTAGCCAATCGGGACAAATACAAAATGTGAGGTCCCATTCCAGCCAATGGAAACCAGACACAGCCAGTAGGGTGGACGCGTCAGGTTATAAATGACCCTGTCTCTTTTGTTCAATGTACTCTCATGGCAAAACTGCTGGCGAGTGTACCCTTTCTGCAGAAAGTAAAAATGGCCTTGCTGAGGAAATAAAATTTATGTTCAAATGCTATTTCTTTATGGCACCAGGGAACAAGCATTTCTAACATAAGCATGTCAAATAATCCTCTCTTTTCTGGACACTTCAGGGGCCCTCTGAAGTATTCGAAAAGCCTGCTTCCGGGGAAGACAATTTTAAAACTGAAGTTTGATTTTTCAGAAGGCTGTTAAATGTTCGAGTGTTAAAACACTTGATATTATGAAACAGAATTCCAGATTACCATAAGTTATTTATTTTGCCAAAATGACTCAGAAATTTTAAAGAAGCAAAAACCTTTTATAATCCTTTATAAATTTTACCAAAGAGCAGATTAGTACCTTAGGAAAACCTTGTTATGCTTTTATTTCAATGCTCAATTTAAAGAAAAACCATAAATACCCTTTTTTGAATTTAGTCAATATGTTCACACAGAGAACCTCTTCTGCAAGATTAATTTCCACAATTCTTCCACCACTTACTTGAACCTTCAGCTTTTTCCTAATTTAACTCAAAAAACAATCCTTTAACCCTAGGCCAAAGTTTACATTTCCATGCCTTCTTATAACCTTTTACTAAAAAGCACATTTTACTGTTCTTACTCCCTTACATGTAAATCTGTTTCCAGTAGTTTAAATTAACTCCTAGCAATTTTTAACTTTAAGGTAAAATTTGGTAGGTTGCTTTGTGTGCTAAGTGTAGCTAAGGTTGGCCTTCTTAGTTACGGTGTGGTTACTTCCACATGTCTCCCGGCCTTACCAATTGTGAAGCCTGCAAGTCAAATAGTTCTCAAAACCTAAAAAGCAGTTTGTAACCTTAAAACACTTAGCAAAACTTGCATCTGACCTGCATTTTACTAATAGTCTTTAGGGTTGTTTTTATTTCTTAAATATTAAAGTCATGTGAACTAAAAGATACCACAGCTTTTACCTTCCCTTAAAAAAAGTATTTGATCCCAGTGCTTGTCTTTATTTAGGCCAAATTAATTGAGCTCTTTTTACAGACATCGCACACAGTACACACACAGACAGGCAGAAGAAAACCCAGTCGCTGGGTGGAACCCTTGAAGAGACAGGGCTAGGAGAACATGCAGATATCTAACCTGAGAGGGCTCATCCCCTAAGGCAGGATTGCTAAACAAAGCTTTGCCAAGTGGTTACTGGCCATGGCCCCAGAGTGTAAAGCAAGATGGAGGCTTGCCACACAAACCATACAGACATGCAAAGCACACCAGATTGGCCACAGCTCAAGACTAGCCCCACAAATCCTTTCTCACAATTAAAGCTTTACAGAAAATATAAACAGTGACAGTTGAGGGGCCTAGCCTAATAAAGGGAAAAAGAGACTTTAAAGGTTAATTGCTGACTGGGTGGAGAAGAGGCAAGACAAAAGGTTTAAAAATGCCTGGGGAAGAACCTCTTATTCTCATGCAAGTGGTTCCTTCACCAGGGAGATAAGTTTAAGCTTATTACAGTCTAAAAAGTTAAACCCCTTAGCCAGGGACGGGGAAGTCTGCAGCAGTGGCGAATGGCTGGTTCCAAACAGCCGGCTCTGCTGCACTCTTCGACCAAGCATCCCAGGCCTGGCAGGGAGTGGAAGTGGAGGGGAGCCGCTGCTTGCAGGTCTCTCCCAAAAAAGAAAATGCCATGAAAAGGCCCAGGAGCGACTGGGGTGGAGGCATGGTTTCCCCCACCCTCAGAAGTCTGAGGATGAAAAGGCTTAGAAGCAACAGTGAGAGATTTTGAGTCCCCATTTCACTCACCACTTATTGAGCCCCCACTTTGCATGCCAAAAATGTTGCAGGACTTTTCCTTAGTTCAACTAAAGATGGGGTACTTTGTCTCAAGGCCATGAAAATTCAGGCTCACAGACAATTTTAATGGTGAGTAACACAGGGTGTTATTGGGTGAAAAGGAAAAAAAAAAGCAGAAACATGGACTCTCAACAGGCCAGAGTCCCTGCTAGAGTGTTTCCCACCCAGCCATTCAAATCCTAGATTCCACACAGGAAAAGGAGAGGCCAGGCTCCTGCCCGCTGTAAACCTCATGAACTTCCCCAGGCTCCCCTTCAGTGGGCAGGCTGGTTGAGTTTCTTCAGGGATCCCCTCCAACCTGGCTGTCTCACAGTTAAATTTAAATTTCAGATAAACAATTAAATGTTTTCAGTCTAAGCATGCTCTAAATATTGCAATATTTTAATATTATTCGTCATTACTCTGAAATTCAAATTTAACTGGTCTTACTGTATTTTATCTGGCAACTTTACAATTTATATTATAGTTATTTGCAAGTCCAGGAAACAACCACATTACAACATTAGAATTTCAGTTTGCTTATATATTTAACACTGTAAATGCATTGCTCTATCATGGAATGGTGACTTTGATCACCATTGGTCTTTCACTGATTATTGTTTGGTCTTTCACTGATTATTGCAAATAGTTGGTCTTTCACTAGTTGTTGCAAATAGAGTTTCTGATTAAAATTTTTGATGCATTATTTGGTTTGTTGTTTAGTGGTCCTTTTGGCACATCACATTTTAAGATTCCTTATGCATTCATTGACTTTCACATATTTCCTTTGCTTTCATGATCTAACACACAGATTCAGGATTAAACCACTCCTTAAGGTCCTTTGTTAACATT
This sequence comes from Homo sapiens, assembly GCF_000001405.40. Lineage (NCBI taxonomy): Eukaryota > Metazoa > Chordata > Mammalia > Primates > Hominidae > Homo > Homo sapiens. The sequence goes on along the minus strand of NC_000013.11, from coordinate 66,612,107 downwards.
GAATGAGGTTAGGAGAGGGAGATATTGAGACTAAATTTGTTTCTAAAACTTAGTTTAAATATCCCAGCAAATATATCCATGGAGAATCCATAAAATACACTTTTAACACATCTTAAGTAAGAGACTGAAGAAAAGTGTATGTAGTGGTGAACTGCTGTAGAGAGTACAAATAATGCCTCTTCTATTTGCCAGCTACATAACCTTAGGCAGGTAACTCTGACTTGTCATACAGATTGCAATGGGTTAACACATGTAACCCACTTAGAATAGTTCTAGGTTAATAATAAGTCTTCAATTATGTTAGCTGTTATTATGAAAATTGAAGTCAAATGACAATTAGCTAAGCACACTCTTTGGCTTCAATTCCGTCCTCACAACAAACAAGGAAAGAAATATTAGACCAGTCTTCCCTATATTCAAATTTCTTGTTAACTAGTTGAAGAAAGATAAGTATTCCTTTAGTGTATCTTGAATCATCAAGCTAATCTTAACTGCATTTTACTTTACTTATATAGTCAATTGTTTTCTAAAAATCATGTGATTTAGCACTAGTTGTTTGCAGAGTGACATAGATTTAGCTGAAAAACAGCTTTGAATAGTGACATGGAGGGATTTTGGTATTTCTGTAGGATCAACCCAATCATCTCAAGTAGGTTTAGTGGTGAGCTTTGGGTTACATATAAGAAATATTAATAAAAATCCTATGATATTCCAGACTCCCAATCTTTATTTGAATTTTAGACCTTTACAAACTTATTTCTTCTAATTAGCCAGAAACTTCTTAATTTCTTTGTAATTAGTCATAATTTGACTGCAAGTCAAATCTGCAAAAATGTAATATGCTATATTTTGGGTGAATTTGCCAGTTAGTCTCTGTGAATGAAATGTATGATTAAAAATAAAATAATTTTTATTCAAGTGCTCAATGAAAGGAAAGAATTAAAGCATTAATTTCCTAAAGTTCAGGCATTGGTTTCATTGATTATTTTTTCATGTTTTTGTGTTTTGACATTAATGGGTATTTTATCGTGCCTGAACATTCTACTGAAAACCTTTTTCACATTAAGAATAATGTAAGAAAACTTGAACTAGCTTTTAAATTTTTCAATGAATGAAAAAGGAAACTGCTTCAGTCAAGAAAGGGAGTACATTATCTTTTATGTTTTATAAGATGGAGTCTTAGACTATGCACAGTCTGACAATTGTGAAACTATCCAGACCAAAAACAGATGTAGAGGTACCACAAAACAAGCACAGACTTAAAAAAAGGTATCATCCTGTCACAGGAGGAGTGGTGCTTCATTAGAATGTTTTTCAAAGCCTCTCTTTATTAGGAAAAAAATATTTTTACGTAACATGAAAGAAGGTGCTTCATTCAGAAGAGGATGTTGTGTTCCGATTTAAGCTGCTTAAGAAATAGCTACAGAATACCTAACAGTAACTCTTCAGTAATCTCTCCTAAGTCATAACGATTGTGTAGTAGAAGATTATGATTTAAAATAAGAAGTTCAGGTATTTTGAGCCAGAAATACCAATACTCCACAGGCAGTAAAATCTTGACATAAGCGACAAGCAGCATAATAAAGAGGAAAGAGAAATTGGCCTATATTCTATCAATTTTATATCTTGCTAGCACAATCAGAAGGCTTTTTGGTGCTTTAGTTCATTTATTGTTCAAAAGGGTATAAAGTATGAAGGTATTTTATGATCTGCAGGGCCCTAGGAACACAAGCTTCAGAATCAAGCAAATTGAAGTTGACACTGGCCCTGTACTTTCAAGTTAGGCTGTGAAGTCTAAATGCTCTCTCTCTCTCTCTTTCTCTCTCTGTCTCATTCTCCTTTGCTCTGTTGCTCTCTCTCTTTTTTCCCCCTTACCCCTGTTCTCTCTCTTTCTAAGATAATAATATAAATATCTTAGCGTGTGGATATTTGATGCATTAGTAATAATATAAGCAAAGCATGATGAACAAGATCTGGTAGATAACAAGAGCTCAAAAATGCCAGTACTATTGTTATTAAATAAGAAGGAGGCTGAGGCAGGAGAATGGCGTGAACCCGGGAGGCGGAGCTTGCAGTGAGCCGAGATCTCGCCACTGCACTCCAGCCTGGGCGACAGAGCGAGACTCCGTCTCAAAAAAAAAAAAAAAAAAAAAGAAGGAAATGCTATTTCTCCTTACTGGTATCAGTGTTCTCAGACCTAGTCCTTCTAACATGTTGCTTCTAATCAAATTTGAGTTGATAAGCTGAAGAGAAAATTTGGAAAAAGACTTGTGTATATTTTTATGAATGAAGTACTAGCATTTATATTTTATGAATATTTTATGAATATATGAATGTTTGACTGTTCAGATATTTGATTTACTTTTTTGTTCTCAAAATTAAATACCTTTAATAATTTTTCAAATTATTAAAATATAAAATCAGAAAAAAGACATGTACAGAATTAAGGCAGTTTAGGTGGTATTGAATAAACAGTGTTAAAATTCTGAAAACAGACAGTTATTCAAAAAAATCTGCTTTATATATGCCAAATGCATATATAAAGTATAAATTTTCATAAAGAGTTTTCAAAACTAAAATCCTGCCTCTGTTTTCTGTTACATTTATCTTCACATGATAGCTATTCACAAATTACTAATTTAAGTTACAGTAGTAGACATTTGAGTTATAATAGTGGTAACCTGTAGTAAAATAAAAGTTCTACGAGGAGATAACCATGTAATAAAATATTAATTTTTGTTATAAAACATTTTAAGTTAGCAAAAAGAAATATATTTATATTAACTTACTTTATATTGTATTAAAATGCTGTTGATACATAAATCAATTTTCTATTTTGTTTGGAGCATATTTTTTATTTTCTATATGTCATTTTTGTCTTCCAAATTAACTGCAGGCAGATAGACATTCCTGGTCATTAGGAGAAATCTTATTGTGTGTCATTTACTTCTTTTTCACTGGATTATATAAACAGCTAATTTATATAGCTATTGAGTGTTTCCTTTCTCCATGTATAGCATTACATGCTACAATATGATTATCCTCTAAAGTTTGCACTCAACAGCATTCCTGACACCCATTTGAAGATCTCACTTAATACATGCCAAGTTGGGGTCTCCCTAGAATGAAAATGAGACAGTAAAGGAGACCGTGTGAGGTCCCTTAGCTAAAGTCTTTGCTGCAATTCAAGGCTGTATTAGATAAATACCATCTTCTCTCTGTTTTCTGCACTAACAAATACATTTTTCTTCTTACAATTCAAGATGCTAATTTTGATGCAAAACATTTTAAATATATTTCCCAGCTATATTAAGAACTGTTGCTCTCTCTCTTTATTATTATTATTTTTTTTCGTCCTGTGGTGATACGGAGGTCTTTTTGCCTAAAGAGCTCCTAGGTTTGAATTTGGGGCTGAGTGTTGCTCAGGGTGTCTCCTGCTTGGAGGAGTTTGATAGAGCCATCTTCTATTAGCCTTTAGGGTGAGGTTCAAACTCTGTCTATTCCCTTTGCCTCTTTCCTAGCACTATTAGTTTGGGGAATTGGAGGTTTGAGTGAATGATGCGACTTGTCCTCTTATTCCAAGCATCTGGAACAAAATGTTAACTATAATGCTGCCTCTTTATACCAATATAAAACCAAACTAAGAAACTTTCTTAATAATAAAATTGTTTTCACCTTCCAATGGTTTATTTAGAAGAAATGTGTGTGAACATAAGTATGTGAAACTTTGTAATTATTTTTAAAAAATCAGTATAATCTCCTTGAAGTTTTAGACTTTAGAATGTTTATTCTAGGCAATCAGACCAGCTTATAGAAATTACACAATAAATTGAAAGTATAATCTTAAATCTATGATAATGTGTAAACTCTTTATAATCAGCTATCACAGACCTGTAACTTAGAGTTTTACTGAACTGTATATACCTATATATACACACACACACACACAAACACATATATCTCTCTTGTGTTTTAAAAGACAAGTATTCCACAAAATACAGTTGTAAAATACCTTCTGATCCTGGTTTTTCCCATAGAAGAATATTTCTTTTTTATTCATTCATTGATTAATTAATATATTTTTCCATTTATTTACTAAATACATGTGGAAAATTTTTACTCAGTTGCTTCCCATGTTACAGTGTGTTTGAAAAACCTTTTTTTGCAATCTGCTATATTTCATTCACATCTCTTCACTTTTTTTCTTTCTATGGAAGAGATGATTATATATAAAATGTGTAGTCACATAATAATTAGATAAATTATGAAACAGTCACAGAATGATTCATTTCTTTCCTTCCTCAGTTATTTTCATTATAATTTAAACATGCATTCATTTGAAAAATTTACCACTTTACTGTAGCCAACACTCTGCACAGTGTTCTATTTAGCAGATGTTTAGATCTTGGATTTATTTTTCTGTAACCAATACAATCAAATAACATTTGAGACTAATTCATTGGTACTATGAGAATACAGAAATATGGGTGTATAAGATGTTAATCAAATATATTTATGTAACATAACTAATTACAGAAGGAGAGAAATTAATACTAACTTTGGGATATTGTAGTAATTTTTGCCCTAGAAGGCTTTATTTTGCCTTTACTATGAGTAGTTCATATTGTAGGGGCTCTATAATGTTTTACTCAGAAGACTGTAATTACCACAACATGTTTAATGATAGAAAAGTAGAAGTCACTACATAATTTGTAAGAGTTTGGACGTTAATAATAATATTACCATTTATTAAGCACTTACAATGTACTAGGCAGTTTTATACTTTTTTCTTTGCTAAAATCATTGCATTCTCATACTTATCAATTAAGTACATATCATTTTCACATGAAAAAACTGAAGCTTGAATTTGAGAATAATTGTTTCAAGGTCACAGTGCTGATGAGTGGAAGAAAGGGTCTTGAATTTAAGTTTTAAACAACTTACTTAACAGCCTTCACAAGTCACTGCCTTAGCTAATGTTTTATTTTTAATCTTAATATTTTTATATTTAGGAAATAGTATTTTAGTGAGAATTTTTGGTATTTTAATAGAACCTCTGAAAGCCAGTCAATTTTGGACTATTTTGAATATAAGTAGATTCAGAAATCTCCGATTAGCCATTAATTAAATAACTTTATTTTTGAATCACAAAACACAGAAGGATTACCACCATCTAGTATCACAGATGACTTGAACATAAATGTGCAGGTGGTAACCCACAATAATACAGTGGCTCAGATTTCCTTTTAACATTTGCTTATGCAATGTTTAGATGGTTTTGGTATTAACACTTAAGCTTCAAGTAAAAGAGAATTCCTGCTACTCAATCTAGGAGGACTACCTGAAAAAAAAATGCCAGTTTTAGCAGTTGGGATTGCCAGTTTTAGCAAATAAAAATGTAGGGCATAAATGATTTAGGACAGATGTACTAATGATTTAGGAGAGACGTACTAAAGCAATATTTATTGTTTGTCTGAAATTCAAACTTAACTAGGCATTCTATTGTGTCTGGCAACAATATGCCTAGTGGAAATTATTGATTATGCTTTCCTATTATTACAGTGCTGGAATACTAGTTCAGTGAGACAAAAAATAAGACCTATTATCATCCTAACTCCCTGTAGAAGCATACAGGTTTACTCCAAAAATCTCGGTACTATTCCCTTCATCGTATTTTCCAAAGCACTTATTGTTATCTAATCTACCTATGAGCTTCTCCTATTGGAATGGAGGATTCATGAGAAGCTTTGTTCAGTGTTGCATTCGTGGTGCCTAGAACTATGCCTACACACAGGAGGCACGGTTAAAAGTACTCACTATAATGACATTAGAAATTCTACATGTATTCAGGAGGGAGATGTGTGCATTTTCCTTAGCACTGATAGAAGCACAAAAATTGTGACTTTCTGTGCCCAAGGCAGTGAACCAGCCATTTGTTCCCTCTGCCTGTCCTCATTCTGGTTTTGCATGGGGAAAAAAAATAAGTGAGTAGATGAGAGCCTTCTACCCTACAAACTTTAATCCTAAGGACCACTAATAGCTAAAAGAGCTGCCTGCAAGAATGCTGAGGGGAGCCCCATGGAATGGCGAGGGGAGCCCCATGATTTCTATGTCACTACCCCAAACTGCATTTTAGATCCTGCAAATCTAGTAGACTCTTGAGGAGGCAAGTGTCCCTGTTCTCAGAATAATGAATTGTGCTTGAAAAAGTAAACTCGGCCAGTGTTACTATTAGAGCCAGGAAAAAACAAATGTCCCTAGCACATGGTGTATGAAGTCTTACTATCCGACACTAGAAATTATAGAAAAAAAAAGTACAGTCATTCAAGCCACACATGATATTGTATAATATTGTCTTTGCATCATCAAGTCTATTAAGATAATGTATGAAAAACATGTTGATTCATCTGGCAAAACTGATAAATAAATAAAAATGTTAAATAAATCATCAGAGTGCCAGTCCTGCTGAATAGTCTGTCATGTGGACACTTCATTTGCTGTTTAGCTGAAGGCTGAACAGAACAGACAGCAGTAGCCAAGTAGACAGTAACTTTTAAATATAGATGAGGCTTCATTATTAAGCCTACAGTTCAATACTTGTAAGTGCTGCTTATAAAAATCATGTTTGCCTTTGCTCTTTTCTCTTTTGTACTTTTCTTCTGTGTCTTTTCTTTCAGAACTTTTATGGTTAACCTTGGTTATTTGAAACTGTAACATATTATAGGAAACACATATGAGTAGTCCTCTGGATTCCAAAGAGTTAATCAACATATATTACTTGTTGATTTTCATTATTACCAGAATGTACCTTGTCTCCACAAATCCAATGAGTTTATCATAGAACTGCAACACTTGGGTCCCTACTGGTACAAATATTATTTTTGCCAGGTATTTGCTCAAATATTTAGAAACTATTACAAAAGAATCTACCAACAACTTCAGTTCATATATACCTGTGTACACCAGTTGTGGTAAGTTTTGAGAGATGATATATGTGGTATAGCATAAACCTTCTAGTAATGAATGTTACTGTATTAAAATAAAAAATTTCAGAGATAACAGTATTTTAAAATATACTTTAGAGTTTCTCAATGATTCTGATGTCTCACTTTCTCCCAACACCCAAGAAATCTAATAAAAATCTCCATTTGATGAGCACATGACCACTTTATGTAGCTGGAATTTTACGGCCTTACTTAAGATGCAAGAATTAAATCTGGAGAAAAAGATACTACAGAAAGTGATGTAGCTATTGTCCCCACCAGCAGAGATCTCGTTGGGAAAAGTTATACATAAAAACATAAAAAGTATTTGAAAAAAAATATCACTAATGAATGGTTTCTATTGAATGATGGCGTTGAAAAGATATTTATGATTTGTTCTATTTGTGTATATATTTTAATACTACATTCAGTTCTCATTAAATAAAATAGCTCTTGTAAACAACTTTTTGAAGTTATTACGTACTGAGTTAACAGTTTTGGTAATCACCTCAGGAAAAAATCCATCACTCAAGTGGTCATTAGCACTTATTTAGATTCATATTACAAAGGAAAGATATGCTAATTTTGGATGGAAAAAATGAATCATTAATAATATCTAAAATGTACCTGAAATCACAAACATAGGTTTAATTATACATTTATGTAACAGAATTATTTAGTTTGAATAAAAGTAATTATTTGCCTCATCCTCAGAATGAATTGATGAAAATAAATGTGTGCACACACAACTATTTATTCGTCTATTATACTTTTAAATTATATGTATAATATTTTTATTCTATGAAGAATGCTTACAGTATAAAACAATCATATGTTCAGCCAGGTGCATTGACAAAAATATGTATTTCAACCTGAAAAAGAATATCTCCCTTTGAAGCATGCAGAAGAAGAACTCAGAGCTACTGAGAGAGTTGCTGACAAAGTCAAAGAAAGCATAAGAGAATAAAGTGTGAGCAAGGGGAAATCTGCAAGTGCGGAGGAATGGGGCCGTGGTGAGGACTCACTTTGAGAAACTATATATTGGAATATAAATTTGGCAACCTAAATTATAAATATAACATAAAAAGCATATTTACTTGTATAAAGAGAAGTCAAAATAATCATCATAAATGAAAGGGGAGTTCATGGTTACAACCACATCTAATTTAAGAAAATATTACCAGAGAAAATCAGGAGAAGAAAAGATCACACCTAAAGTTTCATTAAACAGGCATATTTATTATAATCTTATGTTCTAGTACTGATGATTTGTTTGCTAATATTAAATGTTTCTCTGTTGATTTTAGACTGCATAATTACATAACAAAGTCTTAATGGGAACAATTATACACACAACTAAAATGTAAAACTCTTACATCAAATAATTGTAAAGAAACTATTTGGGGCACCAGATACATGCCATACTTTAAAAAAAATTCTTACGCTTTTGAATAAGTGTCATATCTCCACATGACATCCAAAAGTGGTGAATGAGGACCTGATTATAAACATGAAAATACATTAATTAAAGTTCAAATATTCCTTATTGCCCTATATATGAATGTCAATGTATAACTTGTAAGTGCCTACTCAGTCATACATTCTATGAATGTTTTATGATTTTACATTAAATCCATTGAACAATTTTCAAAGACTAAATATCACTATACTTTGTACATGAAAGAAAACTATTTGGTAGAATATAAAAATATTTAGATTTTAGAAAGATGATGCTAAATGTATCCAAGGTATTCTACTTTCTTAAATTCAAACTAATTTTAAATAAAAATGTTAAAACCTTTTTGGTGGTTATTGTAGCCACATTCTTTAAGTTAAAAAGCAGCTAATCTCTTCTCTGATTAACTAAGCTCTATTGGATATATACATGTTTAATGTGTACGCATAGTCAGAACTAGCACTAAGTCAATTATTAGTCACAAGAAATCTTTTAAACTCTAATTTCTTTTCAAACTCATAGGACTTACTTTCTTGAATATGCTCCAGAGTATAGTCATGCATCACTTAACGATGGGGATGTGTTCTGAGAAACATATCCTTAGATGATTTTGGTCATAGTTTGAACATCAAAGAGGGTACTTACACAAACCTAGATGGTATCGCCTACACACTCCTAGTCTACAAGGTATAGCCTATTGCTCCTAGGCTACAAACATGTACAACATGTTACTATATTGAATACTGTAGGCAATTATAACACAATACTGTATATCTCATTATATCAAAACATTATAAAGGTACAGTAAACATACAGTATAAAAGATCAAAGATGGTATACTTATATAGGTCATTCACCATGAATTTAAATTGCAGGACTGGAAGTTGCTCTGGGTGAGTCAGTGAGTGAATGGTGAGTAAATGTGAAGGCCTAGGACATACTTTGCACTAAGGTAGACTATGTAAAGAATATACACTTAGGCCGCACTGAACTTATTTAAATTTTTTTTCTTTCTTCAATAATAAATTAAACTTAGCTTACTTTTACTTTTAAAAATTTTTGACTCTTGTAATAGCACTTAGCTTAAAACACAGATACATTGTACAGCTGTACAAAAATACTTATTTCTTTAGATCCTTATTCTATCATACTTTTCTGTTGTTGTTTTTTTTTAATTTGTTTGTTAAAAACTAAGACACAAGCACACACATTAATCTAGGCCTATGCACGGTCAAGATCAATATCACTGCCTTCCACCTCTGCATTTTGTCCCACTGCAAGGTCTTCAGAGGCAATAACATGTATGGAGCTGTTATCTCCTATAATAACAATGATTTCTTCTAGATCAAGCTTGTCCAACCCACAGCCTGTGGGCCACATGCAGCCCAGGAGGCTTTGAATGTGGCCCAACACAAATTCATAAACTTTCTTAAAACATGATGAGATTTTTTTTGTGTGTGTGATTTATTTTAGTTTATCAGCTATCATTAGTGTCAGTGTATTTTCTGTGTGGTCCAAGACAATTCTTCTTCCAATGTGGCCCAGGGAAACCAAAAGGCTGAACACCCCTGTTCTACACTAATACCTGGAGGACTTACCTAAAAGAGCCTTAGCTAGGCCCTCCAGGCATTTTTTTTAAGTAAAAGTAACTTTTTTTTTAATAAGTAGAAGGAGTATGTGCTAAAAGAAAGAGTAAAATATAGTAAATACATAAAGCTGTAACATAGCCATTTATTATCATTATCAAGTATTATGCACTGTATATAATTATATGTGCCATACTTTTATATGACTGGCAGCACAGTAGTTTTGTTTACACCAGCATCACCACAAACACATGAGTAATGCCTTACATGACATTATTATGGCCATGACATCACTAGGCAGCAATAGGATTTTCTCAGTTCCATTTTAATCTTTTTAGATCACATCCTATACACAGGCCATCACTGAATGAAGTGTCTTCTGCAGTGCATGACTCTACTTCTATCTGTTAAAGCAGCCTTCTGCAAAAATGTCAACACATATAACATGCTACATATGTTAAGATATTTGACTTAATTTAATGGTGATACTAATGATGACAGTCAAAAGAAAAATTTACTAGTACAATGAAATTACTTACATTTCCAATAGATGTGTGGCCTGATTAGTTAGCTCTTCCTTCGCTCATCAAAATAAAGTCAATTTCATTTACTCAGTGAAACTTATATCTATTTTTATTGTCTCCATTAATACAATTAACTAACAAACTAATTGCACTTGTACCATATATAAGTAGCCAATGTAATTCTCTAGCAAAAATTATCCAGAGGGGTGTGTGTGTTTGTATTTTAAATAATAGAGCAAAGTACATTTTAAGAAGATTTATAGAAGGCATTTTAAAAAACTAAACATTATTTTTAAAGAGAAAAGCACTGATATCTTTTTGCTAGAAATATCTTTCAAAATAATTTCTTTAAGTTGTGGGAAAAAAATCTAGATGTTATTAGATCTAGCCCATAGCTATAGTCTAAAGAATAGGATCCTCTGTGAATTATATGCTGTATGAATAAAATAGTAACCTGAATCATAAAGACATTTCAAATATAAATTGATGTTTTCTCATAGCCTGACTTCATAGAAGTGTACAAATGAATCCCAGGTGTGCCCCTGGGAAATATTTATTTATGAAAACCAATGGAAATGAAATGATACACTCTCTCCCCCTCCTTGTAATTTTATAGTAATTAAGAATAAAAACATTAAAAAATTTAAGGTTAAGTGTTCTCAAGCAAATTAGAGTGTTCCCTGGGACTTGTGTGTAATTTGCCTTTATGCATAAATCTAGGGGAAAAAACAATTATAACATGATATAAAATTAACTCCCTTACACACACACACACACACACACACACACACACGTTCTTAATTAGTTCATCCAAAATGTTATTATACATTCATTTTTATGAATACATAAGAAAGAGTTCAGCCATAAACTGTGATGTTGACATCCATGCCAATATCCATAATTACTGTTAATAAAATATAAAGCACAAAACAGATATGACAATATAATACTTCAGTTGTGCAGGATATGCAACAGACACAATTCCTAAGTGCTGGTATGAGGCAATTAAATCATGCACTTATGCAAAATGTTAGGGAAAAAAATTATAATTACAGAATTGCTTGATGTACTTTTAGTTTGTATTATGTTTTGTCAGCTTATTAGAAACACAAGAAAAACAGTCAATGAAAATAATACTAGCAGAGTAAAATAGCATTTTTTGTTTTCTAGAAAAAATATAGTTGAAAATTGGATAATATCAACTGTGAGACAATTCCTCAGTAGACTTCGTGGTTCTAAAATACGTTGTTTTGAATTGTCTTACAATGAATTCTGCAGCTATGGTTCTGATCATGAATTTTTACATTTGATGTTGAATATTACAGAATTCAAATCACTTTGGAAGCCTACACAGTATTTTTAATAGTTAGTTCTTGGTCTGTTTGTCTAATAAACTCATTAGAAGTAGATGCAGGGGGAGATATTTAATTCTATTTCCGGAATGCATATTCCATTCATTCATTTGTGCTTTTATTAATTCAAAATTTACTGACAGCTTATATGTGACTGAGAAGGAAATATCAATGAAATATGGTCTCAAATTGACAAGTGCCATAATAAAGGTAATATGCCATTTGCAAGCATAATATCCTATCAGTCAAGAAGATCATCATTATTAAACATTTAAAATGAGACCCAATTCTGAAATCTCCCATAATAAAATTATGAGAAAATTATATTAGGGACAAAATCAATCGTAGAAAACTTTGAAGTTCTTAAAGTTTTGTGTCTGGCATTACTTTCCTCTAGTAGATATAGTCTAAACTGAGAGCATTTAAACAATTAAAAAGAGTACAATCTCAGCACTTTTTGAAGCTGAGGCAGGCAGTAGTCTCAACTACTCGGGAGGCTGAGGCTGAGGTGAGGCTGAGTATGGATACACTGTACTAATCAAAGCTATTTCAATTTAACCTGAGCCTGGGAGGTCAAGGCTGCAGTGAGTTGTGATTGTGCCACTGCACTCTAGCCTGGGTGAGAGAGTAAAACCCTCTCTCAAAAAAAAAAAATTAATTAAAAATATAGTACATGATTTAAATAGTTGTTAATTGATGTATAATGTAATTAAATAATTTTTAGAAAGTAAAAACAGTTGCAAATATAAACTAAACATTAACATTTCAGGTAATAACTTTTAATATTTGACAAATGCTCTACAAGTAACCTATTAAGTGATATCCTAAATCTTTAGGGATTTTAAATATTTCTCAATCAGGATTTTAAATATATCTGGTTTTTTACATTCAAAATCTCTTCAATTAAAACAAATACATATTACATTTCCACAGCAAAGAAAAAAAATTTCTTTTTAAAGGATGCTCATGCAATTGTATTTCACAACTACATGAAGTAGTAAAATATACAGCTCAATTTATATTATGAACAATTAGTAAAAATAACACTAAATGAAAATAAAATGCATATATATTCTGTATATTAACATAACTTTTAAAATAAAATATTTCTAAATGTTCATAAAGCTTGCTTTACAAAAAAGGAAATAACTCTAAATTTCTAGTTAGATGTAAAAAAAATTACTTGATTTTAAATTATTCACTAGAAGTAATTGTTACAAGGGCAGCTCTAAGGAAAGCTAGTATTCTCCTAATTATATGCTACTTTGATTATCACTGTGTTTTCTTTAGAGCAGTTTTACGGATACACTGTACTAATCAAAGCTATTTCAATTTAACAATATAAGGTAAATAATTGCAAGGCCAAATATATGAGCTCATTCTCTCCTGTTCCTGATGAGATTCTTAGGAGGCATTTATACAAGATCTGTTAGTTTTCCCTTTTCCCTTAAAACACATATTAAATTTATGAATACACCCCTAGTTGTTTAAGCTAGCACAAATTTAAGCAAGCACAAAATTTTGCATGTTTAGATTAATTAAATCATTAAGCCAGTAGTTGCTATGCTGCAAATATCCATTTGGCCCTGTTGAATTTATTATCTAATATCTGTGGGCACTGATTAGCAGTTTTGCTCTTTATTAAACTAAACTTGTTGCATAAATCAAGGCCCTAAAACACTTATCATGGTTGTTCCCTGAGCCATTTTTAAGCTTTCTGACTCAAATACTTCATTTAGTTAAAAAAAGATAAACATGTATTAATTTCTTAAGCATAATCTTAAATATAAACTGTTACAATATTTGAACAATTCTCTATCAACTTGTCTTTTGTTTCTGTGTATCCTCTATATTTACTTTTCCATTTAATGTAAAGGTAACAAAACAAAACAAGAAAAAAATTAGGTTATCTTTAGAATAGCCATGTTCTAAATATTGCTTCCAAATCTTAAATTCAATTTTTCTGGATAGATACCCAGAAGTGAGATTGTTGGGTCATATTACAGTTCTATTTTAAATTTGCAGAGGAACTCCATACCATTTTCTGTAGTGGTCACGCCATTTTGCATTCCCACCAACAGTGTAAAAAGGTTCTAATTTCTCCACATTGTTGCCAACACTTGTTATTTTCAGGGGATTTCTTTTTTAAAATAATGACCATCCTGACAGGTGAGGAGTGATATCTTGTTGTGGTTTTGATTTCCATTTCTCTGACAATTAGTGATGTTAGGCATGTTTTATATGTCTGTTGGCCATTTGTATGCATCTTTGTTTTTTTTTGGAGAAGTGTCTATTCAAGACTTTTTCCCATTTTTTAAATTTGTTACTGAGTTGAATAAGTTCCTTATATATTTTGGATTTCAATCTCTTATCAGATATATGGTTTGCGAATATTTTCTCCCATTCCATAGGTTGGCTTCTGTCTCTGGTGATTGTTTCCTTTGCTGCAACAGATGCCTTTTAGTTTGTTGTAGTCTCACTTCTCTATTTTTGTTTTGTTGCCTATGCTTTTGGTGTCATATCCAGGAAACTACTGCCAAGAACGATGTTATAAAGGCTTTCCTCCATGTTTTCATCTAGGAGTTTTATGGTTTCGGGTCTTGTTGTTGAGTCTTTACTCCATCTTGAGTTGATGTTTGTGTATGATGTGGGATAGGGGTCTGATTTCATTCTTTTGCATGTGGATGTCCAGTCTTCCCAGCACCATTTGTTGAAGGGACTATCCTTTCCCCATTGTGTCGTCTTGGCAACCTCTTGAAGATCATTTGACTGTATATACGTGAGTTTATTTCTGGGCTCTTCATTCTGTTCCATTGGTCCATATGTCTGTCTTTATGCCAGTACCATCCTGTTTTGATTAGTGTAGCTTTGTAGCTTATTTTGAAGTCAGGAATATAAAGCTTCTACTTTGAAGGTCCTTTGTGGTACCTTATTAATTATTGGATTTTTTTCCATTTCTGTAAATAAATGTCATTGAGAGTTTGAAATGGATTGCTCTGGGTCTGCAGATCACTTTGGGTAGTGTGGATATTTTTAACAATATTGAGTCTTCTAACCCATGAACATGGGATGTCTATCCATTGACTAGTTCTTTATTTTTAAAGACATAGATGGTCAGCTGACTAATGTCAAAGATGACAATGAATTATAATGAGAAAAGGTTTATTGATTTTTTTCAGAAAATGATACTAAGTCAATTGGATATCCATGTGGATAAAATGAAATATGACCCCTACCTAACGCTATACATAGAAAGTACTTTCCAGATGGGTGGTAACTCTAAATGAGAAAGGTACAACAATAAACTTTTTAGAATAAAAAAAAAAAAAGAATAGCCATGTTCTGCTACAGCACAAGCTACAGCACAAACAACTCAAGCCATGTTTTTTTTTTTGTATTATAAAAGAGGTTAATTGGGGAAAAATGAATGAAAAAAAATTTCCAGTAAGGCAATGAATAATTACAAAGTATATATGAGAATTACATCATATAGATTTCAAATATTTCTGAAATTTTTGATCATTTGACATATTATGGTTAAGCTAAAACAATGATCCAGTGATAGAGAACTTTCTTGTCACGTTCTCGTATTTGATGCATCCATTTAATTATGTTGGTCACATGTAAAATTTTAAAAAGAAAGATTTCAAATAGCAAATGTCTAGCAATATGTGTAACATATAGAAGAAATGAAAATATAATGCATCTGTTTGAAATTTACACATATATGGGTGTATATATGTACATGCATTCTTATATACTTGTGTGAATATGCATTTATATGCACACAAGCTTACATGGAATCATCTTATTTTAATCTCTGGATTTTATTTTTTAAATGTGAAAATTCTTCTAAAACAAATGGACACTGTTCAATTTGATTATGTATTCATTAAAGAATCATTTGTTGGGAAATGAGACAGAGAACAGATAAGTTTAATGAAGGCCTGTAATAACAATTTTTCTCTGTCTGGACAAAACAGTATGTAATATTAATCATTTGTTGTGCATGAAATAAAATAAATCCCTACAGAACATGGAAGACAATTTTTCATTCCTTAGTTACCTTCAATATTGGATCAAAATGATGTGATTTTCTTTTGAATCATGGGAATCTAATATATTCTGGTTTTGTTTGTAATGATTTATCACAAATTATTGTTAAATGATCTTATTGATTAAAAATGAATATTTCTTAATGTTTATTAATGCAGTCTTTGACCTTGTGCATTTCATATACAATTCTATGCATTTTTAAAATCCTATTCTGCTAGAAGATTATGCTAAATTTTACGTTTATTTTGAAAGGTCATAGTCTTTCTCTTTTCGCTTACTTTACGCTGGTGTTTATCTGCTAAGAATCTTACAATCTTTTCAGGGTTTATATTTATTCATTTTTATCTACAGAAGCAATAATTCCTATACGTTAATATATTGTATGCAGAATGTGATTACCAATGACTATTCATAAGTCTACTTTATTCCACTACTAATAAAAAAGTTAACGTATTTTTTCTCAGTGCAAATATCCTGAATTCTTGGTTTCTGGCTACTTTTGTCATTATTGAGAGATTACAATTATAAACAATCTTCTAACAAATCAGAAATCCTCTTCATAAAGGCAATAGAGGAAGAAAACACATATAATTGAATAAGCCTTAAATTAGAATGTGATGCTCATGATAAGCCATCCACTAAGAGACTGCAAACACAGAAAGAAATCTCACCCCTTTATATAACCAAGCATATACAATGCATTATACCCATGTTTTCAAGATAAACAATAATTAGTCCTCAATTAAGAAAACTTGACAGGACCATTTGTCACACATAGTTCAACATAACTTCTCCTGGCAATTGGGGTGATCATGTGTGTTGGTTAATTGGATTTTGTCCAGAAGATAAACACACTACTCATATCTTTATGACAGGAGGTAGGTTTGCAAATTGGAGCAAGGTTCCCACAAAAGTTAGGCTCCTACCTTCCCACAGAAAGTGGAAAAAAAAATGCTTTCTCTCTTGATGTGTTTACATTTCAAAGAGATGTTCCCAGGTTCTTGAGAAAGACATCCCTGAGCCATTAAGCTGACAGAAGGCCTATCTCCAGAGGCCTATATAGTTTTCAAAAAAATGTGTGTGTTTGTGTGTGTGTGTGCACTTATTTTAGAGAGGGAAAAGAAAAAGGACTTAGGATTTTAAGTTTTTTTTTTTTTTTTGAGTAAATGCTCTAAGAAAAAGAAGGGGAGGAGTAGCTCTTCCGTTACTTTCAACATTAAGCCTCTTATTTGTCATTTTAATTTGTCCTTAAAAGATCAAAGCTGCAATCATTTATTTAATCAACACTGTGGAATACTATGCAGCCATAAAAAGGAACAAGATTATGTCCTTTGCAGGGACATGGATGAAGCTGGAAGCCATTATCCTCTGCAAACTAATGCGGGAACAGAAAACCAAACACTACATGTTCTCATTTATAAGTTGGAGCTGAACAATGAGAACACAACAGGGAGGGGAACAACACACACTGGGACCTGATGGAGGAGGGTGGGGAGAGCATTAGGAAAAATAGCTGATGCATTCTGGGCTTAATATCTAGGTGATGGGTTGACAGGTGTAGCAAACCACCATGGCACATGTTTACCTTTTTAACAAACCTGTACATCTTGCACATGTACCCCAGAACTTAAAATAAAATAAAATAAAATAAAATAAAATAAAATAAAATAAAATAAAATAAACAAAAAGTAACCTGATGTTACCTTAATTTTGGCTATCATAGTCAATTATAATCTGGGCTCATCAATATTTTTATATTCAAAACCTGTTTATTTTTCTTAAAGTAAGACATTGGAGTGGTAGTTGCACGTTTCTTTCACAGAAATTTTCCATCTGGATGATTTTTCACAGGGCCATGGCTGGAGGTTTTCTTTGCTTTTTGCCTTTGATTCGAAAGATGATGTTCAAATGTTGTGGCTGGCTAAATAGAATACTGTTCTCCTGAAAATGTTATGGATATTTTTTCATCTCTGTGCCCTCATATAACACATTTCTTAGTCATATTATTCTGACTTCAAAAAATATTCTGTCCCAATGCATCACTTCTAAATTAGCTTAACTTTAGTGAAGCTCTATTTCCAAATAGATATTTTGTGTAGTCCTGTGGTATGTTGTATTAAAAAACAGTAACTGTGTCACTTATGCCATATCACGTGTTGTCCAAAACACCACTATTCCTGAAAAAAAACTAATGATTAAAGACTATAAAAAAACTTTATATATAATAATATTAACCTCTTCATGCTCCAAATTCTGATGAGTACTATCTACATATTCTACAGATGTGTAGAAGAATTTGATGTCATGTTGAAGAAAATTATTAACAAAGTACAACAAATTACAAATCACAAATCAATTTCATCCTTTGAAAAATTATTTATTCTCTTTGGTTTTCAAATACAAACATATATTTAAAAATAAAACAAAAGCAAAGATTTTCCCCTTCCTGCTTCAAAAAGAATGTTTTCCACAGATATTTGTAATTAGACTATTAACTAATGCTTTTGAGGTACTGGAGAAATAGATTTTCTGGCTCTATGACCATTGTCAAAAATTTTTCTCCTATAAGAAAAACCACGAGGTATTTTAATGTTTTCTGCTTCTTACAAATGATTTTTATATACAGAATAATATATACTCAGTCATAAAGCAACATCACTTACAAATATGGTGGCATCTTTATTCAGCTTTAGACTACTGTATCCACATGAAAACCACTTTCTAGGGGAAGAATATATAATTATAGAAAATCTATTCCATATCTGCTTTTCCTGAATTTATTTTTAAAAATTCATATATCAATTCATTGCATTCCATGTCTTCCAGCCATATCATGATAATTTGTTTCTGATACAACAGTGAAAATCTAGCTCTGATTAATTCAACACCATTAAAATTGCCTTGCAAAATGACAATAGTCCTCCGAAGATGTTCTTCAATCAGGCATCTATACGTAAACATTGGATGCGTATAAGCACTGCATCTAATCATATACCAAAAATGTACCATGAAATTTTATCAGCTCTTAACAAATATTTCCAAATTTAGATAAAATTACAGAACCATTGATAGAGATTTAAGGATTCATTGTCTACCATATTCTTCAGATTGTATCTTTCCTTGGGCCTTTGTTGTTGCTGTCATCCTTAACCTTCAGGTGGAGTGGAAAATAAATGTCCAAATAATGCTTATTTTGTATTTAAGATCATAGAAAATCAACTATATGAAAATGTTATTTTCAGTTTTAAATTTTTCCTCTGACATTAAATTATATCTATCCTAAACATTTCACTTACTAAACATTTTCACGTAAAGTAATCTTAACCCCTGAAGAAACAACTATTGTTATAACTTCTTTTATTCTGGTCATTTTCTCCTTGTTCTGTTCTTTTGAACTGTTTGATTGTCACTTTCCTACACTAATATTACAGAGAGTTAATCTGCATTTGCCTTACAATAGACAACATAGATAAAATGAGAAAAGGTTCAAACAAACCAGTTATAGTAAAAAACACATGTATCTGGAATAAAACACTATAAAATCCTCAATTCATGGAATGTTTCTTCTACACTTGATTTTTAGAAGAGAAAAATCACAGAAAATAAAGGTAAACGCGATTGTTTTTGAGAAGCACTGTATATTCCTGCTGTCAATGTAGATTAAGTTAATTTCTTTTGCTTTTAATGTCTTGAGCCAAAGATATATCAAATTTCAGTAGTACTGCACTCTGAAAAGTTCTGAACCATCAATTAACTATTAAATATTGAGGCAGGAAAGCATGAAATAGAATATTTTAGACCCTTTCTTCCTTTCTTCCCCCCATCATTGGAAGCTTGATACTGATCTCTGAGTTAACAAGGGCAGGGGATTGATCATGTATCCTGCCCAGAATTCTAGTTAACCGAAATTGTGTTCTATTTTTTTGTTGTTGTTTTGTTGAACACAAAGCACTGCTTGGTTGATTGAACCTTGCCTTTTCTTAATGATGAATTTAGTCCAATCACTTTCAGGTTATAAAAAAGGCCTCTATCTTATTGTATTTATTTGTATTTCATTATATTGATAAGTACTACTACAGAGAGGCTCACATCACATTTATACCCCCTGAAAGTCTCTCTGGGTGATGTAGAATTCATTAAATAGTTGACCTCACATAAGCAGCAGATGTTTTCAATTTTCTTTCTTTCTTGTCATATTTTCAGTGGATACTTTTCTATCAAGATTAATCATGAGAACACACTTTGTTTACTTGTAATGTTATAATGTAATGTTTAAATTATGCAGATAATTTAATATTCTAAATTATTTTATCATCTTGTTTTCCTTGCAGAATGAGCCCCCCCTCCCAACCTGCAACACTTTATATTAAGATAACTAAACTCTTAGAATTTTATACTATTTCAGTATTTTAAATCCTATAAGCATTGCAGAGGTTTTTTTTAATGGCTTATTCAAAATTCATTGTTGTCAGATAATTACAAATTAAAATATGTTCTAGGCCAATTGTTATTCTGTCTGAGTCAACTCATCTTTCCTTGAAGCTTAAATCATAGCTGATCATTACTTGTTACATGCTAATTGATTTCTGTTTAATTTGGCTGCTTTCTGTATTGCAGTAAATCACACTACTTGATAAGACTCCTAAAGTGAGATTTTTGCTCTTAGCTTTTTTTTTTGTTTTTTTTTTAGATAGTTACCATCTATGTGTAAATTTTGGTTTATATTGGCTTTATTTTCCATACTGCTATACCTTTAATGTGATTTATCTTAAGATAAATGCAGTATTAGAAAAATCCAGATTTGAATGAGAAATATATTTTATTTAGATCATGTATTTACAAAATATTGGCATGAAAACAGCTGCATAAAGTGTATGAGATTCTGTGTAAACCAATATATCACTGGTTTATTATGTGCAAAACAATAAACTAGGTCTAATATCAAAATTATTCAAAGACAAAAATTGAATTATGAATTGATGCCTCCTTTGGGACATAAATACAAAATTCCCATAGAACGTTTTAACTGAAACAAATATAGAAAACAAACTTCTGTTTTGTTATTATAGACTAACATTAACTTGAAACATTAAATAATAAAGAAGTGAAGTACATATTTTTAAACATCAAGTAAAGATTGTCTAGAGTCTTGTTGTAATTCTATATTTCTTTTAAAATCATATTTTTACAGAACCACATGTTTTGGGTTTATTTGGATACTGATATTTAAAAGAAAGAAAACTTTGTGTTAAATTATATATGCTATTGTTATATATTTAATGAAAGAAGAGAATAAATCAATATGAGGATGTAAATGGAGAAATAGAGCTATATATAAAGAAAATACAAATTTTTTAAGTCTAGGGAGTTAAAGACGTGCACTTACTCTTTTGTACTTAGTTTTAGGATTTCTGAGTGTGAGCTAGAAAAGTGAATTTTAAGAAACATTGTTTTCAACCTATACTATACCTGTGCAATAAATATCAAAAGCAAACACTGAGAACAAGTTTCAACAAACAGTGTTATGTTACAATTAGCTTAACTTCCAGTCATTTTCTGAAAATGGTAAACACAGATTAGATCTATATTTCCTTGAAAGGACCTTCATTCCCTGCTAAATAGCATGTGGATTTTTTGTCCCAGAAAGTTATTATTTTATATGCAGAATCTAATTTTCATTTGGTTGTGTACCAACCAATTCATAGTTTAACATGAACTTAGATAACTTTGAAAAAGACTTTGTCTCATGTTTATTATATTTAATATATTTAGAATATTAGTTGGAGTTATTAATCATGTTAAGAGCTTTTTATAAACTTAAGAATTTCTTATCAAAGCCTCAATATGAACATTATCTCATGGTACTTAAATTGTCACTCTGGAATACAATTGCCATCAATTTTGTTTGGTTGATTCGTTAGTTTAAATCATACTAACCTATATAAATGCATAAAAATAGGAAACCTTAAAACAACATGAAACAAATTTACATGATATCTATGGGAACAGACTGAGAATTAATTTTGTTAGGGTTCTCCGTATTTTTCCCATTAGATGATGAAACTTTGTGTGCACAAAATCCATAACACTCTGCTTTTATTTTGGCCAATAAGGCAGCCAATTGGTTCATGACATGACATAATATATTGGATTCTGCCTTCTCATTAAATCATACTTTTAAAAAATTATACTTTTATAGAACCACATGGAATAATTTGAATACTAATATTTAAAAGAAAAAATTTCTTCTTATTAATATCTGTGTGAAATTTCTGCAATCACAATCTCACCAGATATAAAGTTATTTCATTTAACTATAATATGTATTCTCAAACTCTTAATTTCTTAAATTAGAGGACTTTTCAATCAACTGCAGTATTATTTGGAATATAAAACAGCTGTTATAGTTGAAAATAGGATAAGAGAGCCAGAGTTCAGCCTGTTGCCCACCCTGGAAGGATTCATCGCTGCTCCCACATCACCAGCATCCCTACCTCTCCAAATAACTCCCAGGCACTTAGGAGCCTTGAGGGAATCAATGGAACTCTGGTTTTCAAGTTATGCCATCTTATATGACTATCCCATATAGCTATTTTGTAATTAATATTTTAATATTCATGAGATTCCGCTCTATACTTTCTAATTGCATTTTATTTTCTTTACTGATCCACAATAATTGTGTATATTTACTGAGTACAGGGCAAGGTTTTGCTACATATAAAATAGAATGATCAGATCGGGGTAATTAGCATATTCATCATCATAAATATATCCTCCTTCAAGCTATATTAAACTAAATCATGTATTTTTGTTACCTATAGTCATCGTAAGGTGGTATCAAACACTAGTATTAATTCCTTCTATCTAGCTGACAATTTCGTTGTAATTGAAGAGCTCTCAGAGATGATTGCTTTCTTTCAAGTACAGTGGCTCTTTCTAATCTGTAAATATAAGCATGATTAGAAGTTATGTAGGTACGGAAACATTTTATTTATAAGGCATACATACAGTAACTCTTCAATTAGTTGGGTTTAAAGAATAGGACATATTTAATTTTCTTTTGGAACTAGTTGAGAGATAACCAACGACTAAAGCAACATTTTGGCTTAGGTAAAAGGGAACATTTTATATAACATATACATCTGAAAACAACAAAAGTCAAAGGGAAAATGGGAAATCCTTCAGAAATATTGATTACTAAGGAACTTAAAACTTCACTTTTTTCTGTTCTTTTTTTGTAAAAAAATGAAATTTTTAAAAAGTTCTCGTAATAATGGAGTTGTAATTCCCCTGAAAAAATGGAATTTTTATCTGTAGTTTTTTTTTTTAACTTCAACACACTGCATTAGAACCCCAAGCCATGCAATTACATGGCATATATCATACTGTCAGCTATATTGCATTTCATGAATTATCTTCAAGAAAAGAACTTGTTTAACAGCTCTAAATGTAATCCTCAGGAATTTTATCCTGAATGCCTTTCTCCAGTGAACATAGAAATGAATGACAAGGTATAATAGATTGTAGGGAAAAAAAATTATTTAGAAATTTCCTTGTGCACTGATTTTAATTTTATGTAAATTTTCAAAAGTTTAAACATATGAAGTGTGCATATATATGTGTGTGTGTGTATATACATACATATATATATATATATATGACGTTCTCTCCTTTGAGTGCAAAATAAAATAAAAAGTAATAACAGTAAAAAGCCGATGGGCAAAAATTGATTCATAAATGAGATGGTGGCATTCATCTCAACGCTCTTATTGGAAACCTAAATCTCAGTAAATTTGTAGCCTAAGGATACAATGGTCTTAAAGGATTTCTGTCTCTGAAGAAAAATTAGAAGGCCTTTGAGGTAAGGTAAATGGAAAAGGTTGTTTGGGTAAATCTGGAGCTCTAGCACTATTAAATGTTAAGCACCATCAGGGGGTATCTCCGTCATTAACAAGAGTGGCATGTAGGAGATTGTTTCAAGCAGGAGAAAAATTATAGATGTCTATGTGAAGGTGGCCCAATGCCACAGGGAAATTCTGTCAAGCTAGAAATGATTTTTTACAAAGTTATTGTAAAGAAAAAGTGAAGAGGTTATGGTCAGTTTTTCTCTTCCTTTACCCAGTCTCCCAGAATATCAAAGAACAAGATAGCTGCAAGAGGGAGGGAGCAGCAGAGATATCTTAGAGGTGAGCGACATTCAACCAAAAGCATGAGGTCCACTAAAGATGTGAAAGTTCATGAATTATTATCCTCTACCTGTTTAGCATTCTTGATTCTTTGGGCAATATTTTATTTGGTTTGAAAGTTTGTTTCATGAATGATTTTATAATCTCCAAAACTTTCTTTTTTTTTTTTTTAATAATCCTGCAAGTTCACTTCTGTTGTATTGCTGAACCATTCATTCCCATGAAAAAAGATCATTTAGGAAGTGATTCAGGAAGTCTACCTCTGACGATCTTAGAAACCTGAACCCCACATACACACAGAGTACTGTATTTTCAGGAAGCTACTTTCACATAGCACTAGGCCATCCATCTGCCAATTCTGATAAATAACTGGGGTTGAGAGCTCTGAAAACAGACATTGATGTTCTCCTAGCTGGAAGCATGTAGTGATGACAGCAGCTAAATAAATTTCATGGTTACTGAAGGTGGTTTACCTTTAGAGTGCTAACACAACATTGCCTTCAGATTTTCCTTATATAATTGCTCAGAAGATGGTAGCTAATGAAGATGAGATCTAAGATCTTTTTTTTTCTATTTAATATGATGTTCTTTTTGTTTGTATGTTTGTGTCAACCAAAGACTTGATTTATACCATAGTCTTTTTGTTTTGTTTTGTTTTGTTTTGTTTGAGACAGGGTCTCACTCTGTTTCCCACAGTGGAGTACAGTGGTCCAATCATGTCTCACTGTAGCCTCAACCCTGTGGGCTCAAGGGATCCTCTTACTTCAGTCTCCTGAGTAGTTGGGACTAGAGTTTTTTGCCACCATGCCCAGCTAATTTTCAAATATTTTTTGTAGAGACAAGGTCTCACTATGTTGCCCAGGCTCGTCTGGAACTCATGGGCTCAAGTGATCTTCTTGCTTTGGCCTCCTAAAGTGCTGGTATTACCGTGCCCAGCTGACGGGTGCCGTACTCGCAGTGATAATATATTAATTTTATTTTCATTTTTCCTGCTAATAAGTTACATTCATATGGTCAGGGAATTAGTAGTGTTTCAGTCAATAAAATCTACTTACTTTTACAACAACAAAAGTGTTGATACTCATGATGAGATGAGAGGTTGTTTAAAATCTATTTTTAGAAATAACAGATTATGTTAACCAGGAACTTTGAATTTATTTCCACGTTTGCCACCTAAAATTTTAAGTCATGAGCATATTGTGTAATAATAGTATTACAGTAGGGTTTTTTGATGTGTCAGTAGTTTGCAACTCCTCTTGTCTAGTGGTGAAATATATTTCACCACACAATCTATCTAGGAGTGTCATTTCCCTTCCTCGGGCCAATTATGTGTTAACAAATGTGGTGTCAGCAGAGGTTTGAAAAGTGTTTTTACATTGGATTTTGCTCTGTTTGTTGCTGTGAACCTTGAGACTTCTGTACCAAGCAGCCTGGGCTAGCCTCCTGGAGGAAGAGCGCCCCAACCATTCTAGCCATAACAGCTGAGCCCAGATCTCATCTGATCTTGCTGCAAAGGCAAATAGGTGCACACTTAGATCTTTTCTCAGGAATGCATATAATGTCACATCATTACTTTCTTCAAAAAACCATTGCTTGGATTGAAAATTAGAATCAATTAAAATAAACAATCTATAATTAATTTCTAAATTTTAAATTTTATTTAATGTATCTCTCTCTCTATGTGTGCATCTATTATATAGCATTACTTTGGATCACTGATTATTTTGTTTTGCAAATATTGTGTCATTAATCTGTCATTATGCTGATACTTTCCCTACTTTTAATTTATTTATACTCATTTCTCCCTGAATCTATTGAATAATCTAAATAAAGCTATTAAGCCATCATTTAGTTAACAAGGGTATCCTCTCACTCTCAGTTGTGAATGCTTTCCCTTGCTCCTGTCTCATAGCTAGAACTTTTAAATAAGGTCTTTGTTTGATGTGGGTTGAAATGGAGCAAGCTTATCTCACAGAGATATAATGTGCTAACCCAATAGTCTTGACCCAAGATAAATCACTCATTTAATGGGCTCTGCTTGAAATGCAGAGGGTTGACCACAAAAGACCACTTTTTGTCTCTTTGTCTTAGGTCAAAACTGAAACTGAATTTGTTGGTCATATATTCTTATTCTAAGATCATTTGTTCACCTCTGCACACCGCAATACAGTCCAATGTAATTGCTAGTCCTTTAAAAGAGAAGAAAAGAAAGAAAGAAAGAAAAAGACCAGTGTCATCACAGGCCACTCCTGAGGTTCTCTGACAGAATAAGTGAGGTTATCATCAAGTTTTCTGCCTAGTGTTAGTGTCATTAGATTTTCATTTTATGACAATGCAACTATTTTTAAGATAAAATAATGAATACTGGGGAATGCGTTAAGGGATCTGATTGCTGAAATATTTTTTAAGTTCTTAAATGAAGAGATATAATATTTTTAAAGCAACATATTTTACTTTAAAAAAATAGATTGATAAGGCAAGAAGGAGACTTGATGAATCTCACTTATTCAGGAGGTTTGCTCAGGAATGCAGAGATAAGAATCTGTTAAAAATAAGGGGAGATATACCTTTACATTAATTTTAATTGCGTCAGATTTTTTGGGGGGGATGGTAAAGGTACTAGCTATATTGAAAAACTACCTAACTAGTTTCAATTTCTCACAGATAATCAAAACTTTATATAGTACAAAGAGAATTTTCTATTTTTATGTGTCTCATACAGGAAATAAAAATTCTCTTCAGAAAAATAATGCATATATGCATTTAATAAAATAAATAAATGCATGCACCACAGGTCACATGCCTATGATATCTTAACAGCACTTTCTTACCATCAAATTTCCTACTCAATATTTTGTAGTTCTTGGTGCACTCTCTGAATATGAACCCCCATACCTCAGTCCCTCAAATTTCTAATTCTATCCTACCCCCTACCCCCAATCATATGCCTTTGTTTTTCTAATCATATGCCTTTCTACAAACAATTTTCTGTAACTGGGATGACCGTATCACTTTCCTTACATAACAGATTTTTTTAAATCTACATTTTAAATACCACCTTCTTTTCGCACTGTTCTTTGCTTATTGCTAGTTTCAATTAAACTCTTCACCTCATATTCTTAAGATAGGTGCTTCTTAGCACTTAAAAAACTGCCTCCCATTTCCATCGTGAGCCTCTACAGGCCAGTAACTATATTTCATTCCTTCCTCTATCAACTACCATTCCTTGTATATATTTGGAGTTAAATAAATGCTGTTTGAATTACTAGTCACATATTTTGACAGGCTTTAATATGATGAAGACTACTGTAAAAGTATTTAAATTATATTTTTCCAGAGTTCGAAATGATCTAGAAAAATATATATTTGGGTTTAAATAAATGTTATAGCGGCATAATGAATCCATTGATCTTGAAGTAACTGAAACTTAAATGAATCACTTATTTAAGGATTGCACGGTGACAATATCTAATGTTTATCGACTTTGTTCAATATTTTAGCAACTTTAGGAAACTTGTAAGCAAAATAAAATGCCTAGGTTGTTGTTAGCAGTAATATTTAGTGTCAATCTTGGAATTGGTGCTTTTGTGAGAAATTCTGTACTCAATGATTAATTCTGTACTCAAAAATCATTCCGTTGAGTATATATTTTATTCGGATTGCTTTGAGATATTGCACTGTGATTCAGTGCGTTCTATTAATATGATATAAAACTTGTAAGATATAGATCATAAAGTGAGGGTATCCCTTTTCCTTAACCACAAGTTTCTACTGTATCTAATAACCGAATCACAATCCTTTGATAAACTAAAAAATTAGCCAGATGTTTTTAGTTCCTTGCAAAGCCATTGACTCAAATCAAACACAACACAACATACTACCTGACTGGGTTCTCTCAAACAATCAAAGTGTCTGCAATGGGTTTGGATGTAATCTTACTTGTGAGGCGTAGGTTTTGGGCTTTTTACATGAGAGAAAACATACACAAAGCAGGAAAGGCCAAATTATAGTTTGACTATGTAAATGGTAACATCAGCTCACAACATCTGTATAACCTACATGTAGTGAGCTGCAGATTAAAAAAATGATAATGATAGTATTTCTGTTGGCCACCATTTTAAACTCTTGGAACAGTTAGCAAGAAGTTATATTTCTCTGTTCCATAAAATGAAGAAACAAAAAATCTTCTTACAAAAATTATGTTTGTTTCACAGTGGAAGTAGCATTCTTACGCTTTTCCGTGGAGTATTTCTTACCTAAACAGCATAATTTCTTGCTAAACAGAGAACATGATTAAATAGAACAAGAAATAACAAACTATTTCAAAGAGTTTTATTCTTTTTTTTTTTTTGAGAGGGAGTCTCACTCTGTCACCCAGACTGGAGTACAGTGGCGGGATCTCAGCGCACTGTAACTTCCGCCCCGCCGGAATTCAAGTGGCTCTCCTACCTCAGCCTCCCGAGTAGCTGGGACTATAGGCGCGTCCCCCCAAGCCCAGCCAATTTTTTGTATTTTTAGTAGAGACAGGTTTTCACTGTGTTAGCCAGGATGATCTCAATCTCCTGACCTCGTGATCCACCTGCCTCAGCCTCCTGAAGTGCTGGGATTACAGGCGTGAGCCACCATGCCCAGCCTAAGAGTTTTATTCTTAAACATTGAGTAGATAATCAAGTGGTAAGAAATTATAATCGAGTAAGTTAAAATGAACATGATGTTGTAGGCGGATGACCTTTATGCATTTATTTATTTTATTAAATGTATATATGCATTTTTTTCCTGAAGAGGATATTCATTTCTTTAATCACATTATGCAAATAGTTCATGACGCCAAAATGAACCAATGCATTAAAAAAAAAAAAAAAGCATGCACATACAATTTCAAGAGCATTCTTATGCCCATGTGTGGATCTTATTTAGCAGAGGACAAAATGTAAATGAGGTCTAAAAGACTACTAAACGTGGTAGAGGGGTTCAGATAAAAGGAGGAATCTAAACCAGATGAGAGATAATCATGTGTTTGGGTGGAGAGTAAATAGAGGATTTATATTCACGATTTCAAATGTAGTTGTCTATTTATTGTTTATCCCTCCATACTATTTAGGTAGTGTTGACCAAAGAGTCATAGTCTGACAAGACACTGGACTTCATAGTACCTTCAGCATTGGAAATGCTTATGAAATATAATCTAAAGTAATTACACTGAATGTAGGAGTTCACACAAGGATATCTTTCATATAAAGAAATGTTAAAAGAACAAGGCTCTCTTGAAGTAGCAATATCAGTCAACTCGTTAATATTTTATCTGTTTTATTTATTTATTTATTCATTTGTTTGAGACAGGGTCTCACTCTGTCACCCAGCTGGAGTGCAGTGGCGTGATGTTGGCTCACTGCAACCTCCACCTCCCAGGCTCAGGTGATCCTCCTGCCTCAGCCTCTCAAGTAGCTGGGACTACAGGTGTACAACACCACACAAGGTTAATTTTTGTATTTTTAGTAGAGAAAGGGTTTTGCCATGTTGTCCAGGCTGGTGTTGAACTCCTGACCTCAATTGGTCCTCCTGCCTTGACCTCCCAAAGTGCTGGGATTACAGGCCACCATGCCCGACATTGTTTTATCTTTAATGTGAAATGAATAGCTTTTTGAGATGAGTGAAATATCAGGATAATTGCTTAAATGACTTAACAACATTTTACCTTATCCAGATTATTCTTAGCATGGGTGCTATCTAGTAAAGACATAATCTATTCTTCTAATATGGAATATAACAGTGTGAAATTCCAAAGGTAAGCCAAAATTATTATTTTTTAAGAGAACAGAATGCAATTTCTGTCCTTCTTAATAAAAATAAGAGTACTTTTCTATCTCATTATGATAGGTTAGGTGTGTAATGATATACACTTTGGTCTCAAGACATTACCCAGAATGATATCATGAAGTATGGGATTCTCATTGGCTTTCCAGAGGAAGATTTAAGTTCTAAACTGAAAAGGGACAAAGACGTGAAGAGAAATAGATTAGCAGATCCTGTGTTCCATATCCATATGAATAGTCATTATGCTGACTAGATGAGGTACATTTTTCAAGATCTAAATAGGATGACTGGTGGACGGTATAAGTTTTGTATTATTATGTAGATCTCTGAGGCACAGCTTCCAGTGGTAGGCAATTGAACCACAAAGAAACTGAAGAAAGAAATGGGGACTGCCATTGAGTTGCTTGTTTTTACAGCAGCACCTGGCACACTTCATTTCTTGGGCACACATGGATATAATTCAATTTTTGTGGATGAAATTGAAATCCTTTCAGGAAATCTTAGAGTAATTAAATGATTCTGCTTCATGAAGAAAACTTTTTGTTTTTAAGTTTGAAGTAACGTCCTTCCTTTTACCCATCTTTTGTCTGCATTCTCCCTTCCAATGTAAGTTTGTTCTTGTGAGGAAAAGGAATAAATACTATAATTAAAAGCATCTCTGATAACATTGTACTTCAGGGAATTCACTTTTGCTGTGCATCTTCTTTGAGACAAAAAACGCACAACAGATGGTGTGTTTAATGTTAATCTCCTTATTATTCACTACCCAGTATTGCAAGAAACCTTCACATAGCAAAATATGGTCTGGTTTAATAATTATGCTATCTTAAGGCTTATTTTAGCTCATCCATAGAATGATACTGAGTTGCCAGTGACAATAAAGTTTTAAAGTTTTAAAACTTTGATTTGCTTTTTAAAATTTGTTGTAGTAAGCTAAAGCATTTTTCAGACATAATCTATTTACAATGTTTTGTTGTCTGGAATTCAAAAATTACCATTTCATGGTTTCTATTTGTGACAAATGTGAGGCATTCCTCATTTTATGGTAAAGTTTAGTAGCTCTCATAGCATTTTCAAAAATGGGTGTAAAGACTTTAATGTAAGAATTACAGCTTCATAAATGAAAGGATATCAGTGGAAATAAAATTTGGAGAGGCTGTAGCCTATAGATCAGAGTTGCTGACCACCACCGTGGCTAGAAATAACGCCATGTTCAGCATTAAGAAGACACCCACCTCTGTAATCTTTCATAGTTACTTCTATCTTCCTCTCCTGTTCAGATTGTTCTCAGTTATTTTTGACATCAGCTTGCATGGATGGGGGAAGAATTGTCAAAATTATTGTGGCAATTATTGAGCTTATTGTCTTTTTAACAATTTTGAAACATATATTTGCTTATCATAAGATACACTCATTTAAAGTGTACGTTTCTATGGCTTTTTGAATGAAGTGCCTAATATTGTTAAATGCTAAGCTGTACAGTGTGGGGTGGTGGTGGGAAGTATTTGTCAATGGTAAGGACATCTTTTTGGGGTGATAAAAATGTTCTAAAGTTGATAGTGTTAATGACTGTACAACAGTTTTATCACCCCAGAAAGATGTCCATACCATTGACAAATACTCCCACACTACCCCACTCCATATTTCTTAGCATTTGACAATATTAGGCACTTCATTCAAGGTTTAATGACTTTCTACACATGCATTTATGCTGATAACAGACATATACTTATTTAACAAGCATTTATTGGCAATTTCCCAGGTGCCAGACAGAATGATAGGTATCGAGGATAGAAAACTGAATATAACACTAGATCCTAGGCCTCAAACAACCTAGTAAGAAAATAATCTCAAAATAAATAGTTGTATATGCCAATAGTTCTTAGAAAAGAGACAAATATTTTAACAAAGATGTTTTAAGTTGATACATAATTATAAGAGAATATTTGGTTAGATGTACATGGGGTAAAGAAAATACAAAGTTTGTATACAGATACTATAGGAAATTATTTATTAACTTTTAATTAAAATATTCATTTACTCTAACACTAACATATTTATATTAGACTTGAATCTATAATCTTTAGAGATGTATATATCCTATTGCTCCTGGAAACTTAAGAGATCAAAGACATATATAAAAGAAAGGTATTTGAACATCTTCAAAAATCTTTTTATGGTATAAATCTAATTTTGACTCTGAAAATATTACCTGGGCTTTTGAAATTATCTCCAGTATCAGCTCACTTAATGTGCTCCAGTGAGGGGTCTTTGAAGATTACTTCTTTCTAACTTAATAGTTAAGAACACTAGTTTTGTCAAATAGATCTGAGATGAATTCTACCTTTATCATGTTTCCTTCCTTGCTACCTTTTATCCTTCTTTTTCTCCTCAGATATTTAAGAGCCTACTGTGTGCCTGACACTATTTTAGTATACTCATTTAGACAATCAAGCCACTTCAAATCTTTTTATTGGATGGGTATACATACATATGTCTAATCTAACTGACTTATATGACCATTTTTTACTATAATTTTATTGCCACAATGATTGCTATTGGTAGTTTTCTTTCACCTCTTCTTTTCTCCATCACACCGTGGTATCAGATATCCAGGCTCACAGCAAAATTGTCAGCATCGAAAATCCATTTTTCTACCATTGGAATATATTTCTCATAGCAGTCATTTTCCTATTCATGTTTTTGACCTTCAACAAATTAATGTGGCACTATTTTGTTTGGTAATAATTTAACATTGCTTGTCCCTGTTGCAATATTTTTCCAGTTCGAAGTTTAGCATTTTAGCTGCTGATATACTTCAGTATATTTATATGAAGTCATTTTATGTAGTAGATTTTATTATCTCCATTATGTAACACTTATTTTGATTTATATATTTATATTTTAGTTGTAGCTAATGACTACTGCAAAATAAAACTAATAGGAACATCAATTTTAGGAGAAAGAATTTCTTATTTATTATGCATGCCAAAACTACAGACAAGGCAATTAAGGAACCACGTACCTGTAGAATAGAGGGGCTTCCATTACATATGCAATTTTTGTGGCCATTACACAATTCTACAGGTCCCAGTCCTTACTGGTTGATTTATAGGTCTTCTTTATCTCATACAGCAACAAAACAAAGGCCCACATTGTGTGTCTCCAATAGGGTCAATGATGGAATTGCAAGTTACCTTGCCTTGCAGAGATAGTAAAGATCACTCAGATGTGCAAAGATTTAAGAAGCATAAAGACTGACTGGAAATTCACAGGAAGAGGAAAGTGTGGCTAGTTGGCAGAGAACAGGGTGAACTCAGTTGGCTCCCAAAATGGCTACTGAATTAATTTTCTTAGCTCATATTATGTGTCATTATGTTATAATCATTGTTTTTAGCATTGTTTACACAGAAGAATAAATACAAGAAATTAGATGTTTAATGGACCATTCAAAGCCTGACTTTTTCTTTTTTCTACTTAATGCATGAACTATTGGAGACTTCAATATAGCTTCTAGTGCTGTACATTTGTTCTTTTCTTTGTAAAATATGCTAGTCTGAAATTGAAGCATTTGAGATCACTGTTTTAGAAGTTGCTATCATAAGCAAAATTTCTAGTTGTTCTGTTCCCATGAGTCAAACTACACCCACTCAACAAACATGTAGAATGATCATCCAGGACCTACAGTAGGCTGACTACAAGTATTTCATCCTCTCAGCCATCCTGTGGGGTGGGTAGCTATTATCGTCACTCTAAAGACGAAAAAAAAAATGTAGCTCATGAAACAATTTGTTTGAAGTCAGACAATGAATAATACTCAACTCAAAAGTCAGTTCTCACTGTTGAAAACTCTCACTACAGCTTCAGCCTCCCCTGAGTAGGTAAATATCACATTCAAATAGGAAGATAATATGAGGCTAGAAGGTATGACGTTTTCCTTGATACTGAAGAGTGTTCTAACAAATTATCTGAAAGAGTAAATTTTTCTACTTTACAAGTATCTTTGTAAATTATATTTTTTACTTGCTTCAAGTGTCTTTATGGAGCATATTGAATACATTAGGGAAAATACATAAAATAAACTTTTAGATAATCTATATCATCTCTTGATAAATATATGGTATACATTTTACATAGAGACAAATATTAATTTTGATTTCAAGCTAATCAGTAGTTGTGATTAAGGGACCAGAAATTAGTTTTTCCACCTTTCCCTCAGCATCAGCACTTTAAGAAATAATAAATCTCTGACAGAAGTTTATCAGCTGAGCTTACAGTTATGTGTCCTATTTTTTCAACTTTTCATGCATCTGTCATTTTCTAGGTTTTAGCCAAGTTTGCTGAGCATCTGAATCCTCAGTCAAAGTGCTAAAATCCATAACTCTGAAAACCCTCTTTTAACCAATAACTAAGGCTCTTCAACTCAAGTGGAACTGAAAAACTTAAGAAAATATGAAAGCAATCTCCTATCAGTAAGCCAGGCTGCTTCTATTTCAATTTGTGTGTGTTAGGGGGGCGGGGAGTGGGGTACAAAAGTAATAGAAATAAGGATATGAACTATCTATCCTATGCAGTGTATTTCTGGGCTACTGACTGACGAGGGACAATGACTAATCTCCAAAATAGGTGTCAGAGCATAACAAGCTTTCTCTCAATATGAGTATTTTGTGCTCCAAATATAGAGTTCATATAATATTGATAATATAGATATTATTTTTTAATGTCATTAATGAAACAAAATTTAAATTTTAAAAATGCTCTTATTATTCACTTTGGATTCTATTATTTACTTTATAATTCCTGTTTCTGAAGTCCAGGATAGAGTTTTGTTCCTGCAAGTAATAATTCTATGCTTAAAATGAATCAATTCTGGAAATAATATTTTTTATGTTAAAATCCATCTCAATTTATATATTATTGGCAAATAGTATACATGGTAATATTTCTAATTTTAATTTCCTATATATTTATTTGTTAGTAGACTGGTTCACTGACAAAATAAATAACAATAATTCTTATCTCATGTAACAGTAGCAAAGATTTTTAAAATGAATTTAAATTGTATAATACCAGGTTATTTTTCAGTGAGATAGTTTGTCAATTACTTTTTCCATGAGATTTTGTGTTGTTTTTATTCAAGCAGTTATAATATCTTCATAATTATATGTATTTGTATACACACAGACATATATAGTTTGATATTATAGTTTTTTAGTGTAAATTTATATGAAAAATAAAAATAAATATACTGCACTGATAGAAATGTTTTCCTTTGAATAAATTCACTGATGAGTTGTACCTGTTTTTATTTTAATTACCCATAGAAGCTATTTCTCAATCTCCAGGCAATGTATTGCATCTAGTTTTTTATAGCTTCTTTTCTCCCAGGATTTCATTGCACACAAGAATGGAAAATTGAAAAGGAGTGAGATTGTGGCAAAATAATTGATGTCCCTTTAGGTTTTCCCCATGAGAATGCTCCCATAATAGCTTAAGTTCCCCTATTTAGGTCTCACAGTTTAGCTTGTCAATACGTAATTATGATTCCAAAACAAAACAGATTAGTTTGCAGTTATGGTGTGAATGCTGTCATGCTGAATAAAAAAGAAGCATTGGCTAGAGGAAGTGAATGTCTCATTAGTAGTTTCTTATTTAATGATCTACCAAGGTTAGGACTCTAACTGTGAATGCTATCTTTAACAATCTTAAACAAGATTCCTCCAGAGGCCCTATAATAGCCATAAAGGTTTGAATCTATGACCTGAAATTTCATTGCTACGATTATGGACATTATAAAAAATATATATGTACACATAGCTCTGTGTGTGTCTATGTGTGTGTGTATAAAGAAACTGGAACACCTGATCACAGAGCTACAATCTTCATTTATAATTAACATTTTTGGAATATATATATATTTTGAAATTTTAAAAGAATAAAACTATCAAAGAAATAAAGTGTTTATAAATGAAGACTTGATTTGAATTCACAAAATAGCTTCTAACCTCATGTTGATTATAAAAGTAAAGGCTACCTGCTTTGTACTGTTGAAGAATTTTGCCTTTCCTTTTTTTTTTTTTTATCTGCTGTGATGTTTTATGATAATTGATCTTTTTTATTTGGGTTAAAAATAATCCAAAGTGTCTAGCTTACATATTTTAATCTGGTGACTTTTTTGTACTATGCCTATGTGCTAATTGTGGTACAAAAACATAAAATTAACATATTTAGTAAGCAGTTACTATCTATAAGATTGTACTGAGTATTGGAGAGACATAGTTTCTTATCTCATAGGGCTTGTCTGGTAAAAAATAACATAGCATTAATTTATAAAAACCTCATTATATTCATTCAAGAAAAAATTACAGTGTGTTTTGAGAGTGAATAAAAGAGAAACTTGATATAACGTGATATAGTTGGAGGGAGATGGTTCTGAAAATGTCTTTGAGGGAATAATATCTTAGCTAAAACCTAAAGGATGAAAAGATATTGATGGATAAAGAGGATACCACACAGTGAGAAGAAGGAATTCTGAGGCCTAGAGGGAGGTAAAAGCAAGGCATATTTTAAAATATGAATGCAATGTGTTTGGAGCGTACTCACTGAAGAGGAAGGTGGTAGGCATGGGGTGATCTTACAGGGCCATGTGGACCTTCTAAGGCTTTTCAGCATTATTCCAAAACCAGTTAAGAACCATTCCCAGATTTTTGAGTAGATCCTGATGGGACTAGATGTGAGGAGGATTCAGGGAATATACCAATAAAGACATCCAGATTTCTGACTTAAGCAACTGGGTGGATTATGGTGCTATTTACTGAAGTAGGAACTCTCAGAGGTATGACAGATGCTTGTGAGAAATACTAACATGTATGCCTGTGTCAGGAAACAGAAGAAAGCTAGGACTGAAAATGTAAATATAGTATTTTCCTAACAACAACAACAACAACAATAAATATATATATATGTATTTTTTTTTTGAGATGGAATTCCATTCTTGTCACCCTGGCTGGAGTGCAATGGTGAGATCTCGGCTCACCACAACCTCTGCTTCCCAGGTTCAAGAACTTCTCCTGCCTCTGCCTCCCGAGTAGCTGGGATTAGAGGCATGTGCCACCATGCCCAGGTAATTTTTGTATTTTTAGTAGAGACGAGGTTTCACCATGTTGGCCAGGTTGGTCTCGAACTCCTGACCTCAAGTGATCTTCCCATCTCAGCCTCCCGAAGGGCTGGGATTACAGGCATGAGCCACTGCGCCCGGCCCAAAAATATCTTTGCTATTACTAGGTCATTCTTTATTTCCTGCACTGAGTTGTCACAGTGGAATTGTTTGTGGCTGAAGAAAGGCCAGCTTCTATGAAGCAGTCAAGGGCAGAAGCCACATTCCAGTTTGTTGAAGGGCGAGAATGACTGGCTAGAAATTGTGAGAAATATGTCTTTTATAAGAATCACAGATGGAAAGGGAGAACAGCTCAGTAGTAAATAGACACACTGGCTTAAATAAATTATTTCTGAGGACAGATATGATTTCATCTTTTTGAAAGATGCATTAAGTGTGGAAATTTGAAGACAAAAAATAGACTGAGTTAGCAGCAAAGTATTTAGAAGACTGGAACAATTGGGATACGGAAGACACAAGAGAAGATTAAGGAACATGCACTCCATTTTAAAGGAGCATGTAAATGGAGGATGTGTGGGTAGCTTGTATATCATCAATTTAAGGTTATTTTCACCTGAAAACTTCTACTTTATTTATGTATCAGTAGACAAGATCACTTGCATGAGGAAGATGGTCTGGTTCAGTAAAGACATAGAGAGAGAGAAATGAGATTGTGGAAGCAGGGAGGCAAAACAGATTTGAGGAGACTGAAGCTGGTTGGGAAAATTGGCTATGTAGAGCTTACAATAAATTGACCAGAGAACAAACATAGTTGTTGCTCATTAATATCGGATTCAAATTAAGGCTCAGCAATATGGAGATTCAATGGCTCAACTAAGAATGTGTTGTTGAGACATTCTTGTTTTTCCCTACAACTTATCTTTGGTAATGGTTTGCAGCTTTGCCGTAGGCAAGTAGGAAAGCAGAAAACTGAATTTATTGACAGGTGGTGTTTTCCTAGGTGATTTCGTCCAAAATGATAAGAGTATCTAGGCTATTGACCAGAGGGATTTTATGGACCTACTATGGAATGTTAAAACTAGAAGTAGGGGAGAGAAATAAAGCTGGAAAATATTGGTAGAAAGGAAGAAAGTAGAGGAAAAAATTAACTGAACACTCCATAATGTAAAAGAACCCGATAGTGGGATGGTTTGGGATTCCTATGTCCACATGCAAGTAATATTGACTGATAATTGCATTGCATTTCAGTTGATTTGGCACCAAAAAAACAAACAAACAAACAAACAAACAAACAAAAAAACCCAACTGCTCTCAACAAAATACCCTTAACTGACTGCAACTTGATTGCAATAAAAAGATGTAAGTCTGTAAATTATTTTTTAGTTTATCAAACATTGCAAATGGACTGTCTTAACGTAGCATCTCAACCTGTGCCAGATACTATGCTAGAATCTAATGATAAATTGATGAGAAAGACACAATCTTTTCTTTCAAGAAACTCACATAGGTAACAAGGAAATCTATTTAGGAGGTTCAGGCAAAATTAAAAATAGGAGAGGATAGCTGAATTGAGTTTTAATTGATAACAAGGGATTCAGAAGGGGTTAATACATTTACGCAAGTAACAAAAGAAACAATCAACCGAGTGAAGAAACAATGTATAGAATGGTGGGAGAAAATATTTGCAGACTATCTATCCAACAAAGGATTAGTAACCAGAATATGTAAGAAATCCAAACAACTCACCAGCAAAAAAAAAAAAAAAAAAGTAGGTAAATGATCCAAATAGACATTTCTCAAAAAGAGACATACAAATAGCCAAAAAGTATATGAAAAAAATGTTCAGCATCACTAATCATCAGAAAAATGCAAATCAAAACCATAATGGAATATCATCTGACCTCAGGTAAAATGACTACCATCAAAAAGATAAAGAGTAAATGCTGGTAAGGATGTGAAGGAAAAGGAGCTCTAGTATACTGTTGTTTGTATTGTAAATTAGTACAGCCATTATGGAAAACAGTATTGGGGTTTCTCACAAAACTAAAAATAGAAATACTACCAGCCTGGGCAACATCATGAGTCCCCGCTACAAAAAATAAAAAACTTAGCCAGGCGCAGTGGCACATGTCTGTGGTCCCAACTCCTTGGGAGTCTGAGGTAGGAGGATCTCTTGAGCCTGGGAGGGTGAGGCTGCAGTAAGCTGTGATCATGCCGCTGCACTCCAGCCTGAGTGATACAGCAAGGCCCTGTCTCAAGAAAAAAGAAAGAAAAAAGAAATACTATAGCTTCTAGCAATCTCACTGCTAGGTATATATCCAAGAGAAAGGAGATCAATGCGTAGAAAAGATCTGCACTCCCATGTTTATTGCAGCACCATTCACAGTAGCCAAGATACACAATCAACCTAAGTGGCTATCAGTGGATGAATGGATGAAGAAAATGTGGCAAATATACACAATGGAATATTATTCAGCCATAAAAGGAATGTAATCCTGTCACTTGTAGCAATATGGCTGAGCCTGGAGGACATTATGTTAAGTGAAAGAAGCCAGGCCCAGAAAGACGAATATAACATGTTCTCACTTGTATGTGGGAACGAAAAAAATTGATCTCATGGAGGTAGAGAGTAGAGTGGTGGCTGGCAAGTGACTGAGGAGGGGAGGATAAAGAGAAGTCAGCTAATGGGTACAAATATACAGGTATATAAGAAGAATAAGCTTGAGTGTATGCTAGCACACATAGTAGGGTAAATATAGTTAACAATAATTTATTGTATATTTTAAAATAGCTAGAAGATTTGGAATGTTCCCAAAACAAAGAAATGATCAATGTTTGATAGTGGTGGGTGTCCTAATTACCCTGACTTGATTATTACACATTGTATGAATGTATCAAAATATCACATGTACCCTACAAATATGTACAATTGTTATGTATCAGTAAAAAAGCTTATATGGTGAAAAAGAGTCATAAGTTTAAGAGAATTCAAGAATTCTGAGTCGAAATTATATTCCTTTCTTTTTTTTTCCATTGTGACACAATGTCTACAAAAACATATATATTTAAAAGTTAATATTATTCCTAATTTTCTGGAACAACTACAACAAATTATAGATTTTTATATGTAATCAAACATTCATATTAGTTTAGTCATACACGATAAAACATTTATATCCAAAACCCAGCCAAAATAATCAGGAATGCAATGTTGGACTGAGACTAGAAAAAGAAAAATGTTAATTTTTGCCCAAACATTTGACTATTTTGTGACCTCAGAAGAATTATTTACCCAGTCACTCTTGAGTTTCTCATTTGTAATTGCATATACAATCAACTTACTATCTCATAAGCTTTTATGCAAAATGGCTAATAAGAATAATTATACAAAAACAACAGTCTTTTAGCCGTTGAACTATCAAGCGATAATGAGGATGGTAGCCTGGAGTACAACTGATATGTAGAGCAGAAAAGGACAATTATTTCTCATGGCAACAATGTTAAAAAAAAAAGAACATTAGTGCCATTTAGGTGCTATTTTTAGTCTAAATATAGCTTGCTAAGTCTTTTTATAATGCCCTTATATTTTGCCATAACATTCAATCTATGGCCATTATAATTTTCCATGTACAATTAGGTGAGTGAATCATAGGTCTGCAAATACCAAGCAAAGGGTCAATGTTTTCAAATTACAGGTATTTTGTTACTCATAAAGAGGCTTCCAGATGAATTATGATATTGTTTGATATAAAGACATAAAAATTTACAATAAATGTCTGGGAGGATCAGAATTAGATCAGAATATCTGATATAATATGTGAGTGTGCTATTTGTATAGGATAACTTACCATGTAACAATAAATATTCTCTCATAGGAAACAAAATTAAAATGTTATTAGGCCTCATCTAATATATTTTGACAAAGCAACAATTCTTGTTACTTTTAACCAGTAGTAAGATTTTATATCTATGCCTAGAATAGCAGGATAAAATGTTAAGAAGGTTAATTCTAAAGTAAAAATTATATATTTCTATTATTGAATAGTTCATTCAGATATTTATGCATTCTGTTCTATTTCACCTCCCTCCTCCCTTTTATGCATATGCATTATTCAATTATATAAGCACTGAAACTTATAAAATATGTACTAGACATTAATTTTTCTCAGATTTTGAAAGCCATTTATCTTAATGTGTCCTCTAATGACAAATGAAATAAATACCTTTTTTAAATGTGTCTTACAAAAGTAACTGTCATATTTGGATTCTGTTGTCTTCAACCTCTACAATCCTGTATTCAAAATCTATTGCCTAATCTAACTACTTTGTCAAGTTAATCAATTCCCTTTTCTTTTCTAAAATC
The DNA here is from genome assembly GCF_000001405.40 of Homo sapiens. Taxonomy (NCBI): domain Eukaryota; kingdom Metazoa; phylum Chordata; class Mammalia; order Primates; family Hominidae; genus Homo; species Homo sapiens. The sequence continues at coordinate 66,570,670 of NC_000013.11, read as the reverse complement.
TGTTTTCCTTAGTTTGTGTTCACTATGCATCTTCTTCTATAAGTGATTTTTAACTGAAATGTTAATAGATATAATTGAAGATTGACATACAGTTGTAAGAAATAAGGCAGAGAGGACCCTAGTCCACTTTTCCTAGTTTACACAATGGTAACATTTTGCAAAACAGTAGTATAATATCACTGCCAGGATATTGACATTGATAAATCTCCCTATCTTATTCAGATTTCATTAGTTTTACTGGTATTCATTTGTGTGTGTGTCTGTGTTATATTTAGTTTTACACAATTTTATCTCCTGTGTAGTTTCATGTATCCACCAAAGTAGTCAAAATGCTGAACAGTTCCAACACCGGAATCTCTCATGTTCTTTCATAATCACACATACCTGTTTCCCACTGCTCTCCACATTTCCCTCCTCATCCCTAATCCATGGTAACCATAATCTGTCCTCCATTTTTTAAACTGTGTCATTTCAACAATGTTGTATAAATGGAATCATATAGTATTTAACTTTTTATATGGGTTTTTTTCCTTCAGTATAATCCCCCGGAGATTTGTCCAAGTGGTTGAATGTATCAATAGTTGACGCTTTTTAATTGGTGCATAGAATTCCATGGTAATAGCAGTTCTTTGAGTCATTCACTTGTTGAAAGACATTTGGACTGTTTCAAATTTTTGCCTATTAGGAATAAAGCTGCTATTTAATATTTGTGTTTACATTTTTATGTAAATCAAAGAAATTTTTATTTCTTGGATAAATAACCAAGGGTGTGATTGTGGAATCATACGACAATTGCAGATTTAATTTTGTAAGACTCTGAAACTAGTTTCCAGAGGCAGCACCATTTTTATATTCCCAATACAACAGATGAGTGATCCAGCCTGTCTTCCTCCTCACCAGCATTTGGTGTTGTCTTCAATTAATACTTAATCATCCCATCTCTTATATAATGGGGTTATAATTAACCTATAAATGCTCTGAATATTCTTCATAAATAGAAACACCCTCAACCAATAAACAACCAAAATGTTCATGAATGGTAATTTGACTATACAACGTTTTGAGTATCTATAGAATGGCTTGTATGGTATCCTAAAAATTATGTTGAGGAAAAACAGCATATAATGTGATTTGTAATGACGTTACAGTACAATGACATATAATGACACTGAAAAATATTAATGATATATTCTTAAGTGGAAAAGACATATAATTGTATATATTGTACACAATATATGCAGAAGAAATAACAGAACTTTCATTATGGTTAATTTTGAGTAGTGGCATTTTAGGTGAGTTTGTAATTTATTTTTATTTATCTACCCTTTCTAATTGTTTTAAAATGACACTTTTGGCTGGGTGTAGTGGCTCATGCCTGTAATCCCAGAACTTTGGGAGGCCAAGGCAGGTGGGTCATTTGAGGTCAGGAGTTTGAGACAAGCCTGGCCAACATGGTGAAACCCCGTCTCTGCTAAAAAATAAAATAAAATAAAATACAAAAATTAGCTGGGGGTGGTGGCACATGCCTGCAGTCCCAACTACTAGGGAGGCTGAGGCAAGATAATTGCTTGAACTCAAGAAGTGGAGGTTGCAGTGAGTTGAGATCGTGCCACGGATCTCTAGCCTGGGTGACAGAGTGAGACCCCATCTCAAAAAAAAAAAAAAAAAAAAAAAAAGACATGTTTCCAAGAACAGAAGGTTAATAGAAACTCCATATATACGAACCTTTCATACTACATAGTACTTAGTATTTGCATATCAGTAACTGTTTCTCCTGTATTCAACTACTGTTTAGAAACCCACCCCTCCAGAACTTCCATTACTTTTCACCTTCTCATTCCCAAATTATATCTCTTTTTTCTTTGAATGTTGTTCAAGATGCACCTATATTTTTGAATATATTTTGCTTTTGACCCCTTTGACTTACATTGAGTGTTAAAGTGACATCTGGATTACTCCTGATCCCCTCTCCTGCAAATCATTTTCTTTTTTTTTTTTGAGACAGGGTTTTTCCCCTGTCATTCAGGCTGGATTGCAGTGGCATGATCATAGCTCACTGCAGCTTCGACTTTCTGGGCTCAAGCTATCCTTCCACCTCAAACTCCTGAGTAGATGGGACCACATCTAGCTACTTTCTTTCTTTCTTTTTTTTTTTTTTGTAAAGTCTCACTATGTTGCTTAGGCTGGTGCAAATCATTTTGAGTCAGTTTATCAGTGTATGTGTGTGTGTGTGCGTGTGCGTGTGCGTGTGTGTATGTGTCTGTGAGTAAATATTTCCATGTCTTAATTGTGCCTTATCTTAGTCTGCTGTAAAAAACTACCACATGACTACTGGATGACTTAGATGACATAAATTTGTTTTCTCACAGTTTGGAAGTTTGGGAAGTCCATGATCAAGGTGCCAACCAATTAAGTTCCCAGCAAGTGCCCTCTTCCTGATTTGCACATGGCTGTGTTCTTGCTGTGTCCTCACATGGTAGATAAAAAGAGCTCAGTTATTTCTTCTTCTTATGATTAGGAGAACCAACCCTATCAGATTAGGGCCCCACCTTCATGATCTCATTTAACTTTTATCACTTTCTTACACGTCTTATCTCCAACCACAGTCATAGAGGGAGTTAGGCCTTCAAACTATAAATTTTGGGTGGGCACAGACATACAGTTAATAACAAACACACAGTAGGTGTGTTTATTAAGCAATTATTTAGGCTTAGGATGCAAACCAGCACTAGTGGAATATAAATGAGAAAAACATATGTCTTAACTAAAATGTAGTCCTAAATTAGGTGACTGTGGTTTATATAAGAAGTAAATTGTACATCAGAAACCTTATAAGCACTACAAGTTTTCTGTGTTCCTGAAGAAAATTATTTATTCCTTGCATAATTTGGTAGTAAAAAAGTAAAGTCACAGATTATAATGTCAATTAAATTTGGTTTGTACTTTAAAATGGTACTTCTGACAATTTGAAAGAAAACTTTCTGTTGAGTTGTTGATAATGGTGGTAAGCTGTGTTTCACTAAATATTTCTCTAAACATGTCCTTTGGGTCCATTATGCAAAGTAAAAAGTATAAATGTTTAAGAGGTCTCTGTATTTCTTTGTTAGAATCATGCATTTGCATTGTAATATCATTTGTTGAGGTCAAGACTATTTATTTATTAGCAGACAGATGGATTTATTCAGTGTTGTAAATATGGAACACATTGAAGTAATAATTGAAGGTTAAAGATTGGCATTCTGGTGTAATGAATGGGAAAGGGAGAAAGAAGACAAGTGTCAGAGGAAAAAGGAGCTAATTAAAAAACAATGGACAATAACCCTTTAAAAGCTCCATCCCCATACCACGCGTTTTTTATTCAAATGTAGTCTGGTACTGTCAAATATGCAAACTTTTCCTCCCTAATTAGAACATGAACTCCTTGGGAAAAAAGCAGATAGGTAGATTCTATTATATCCCATGCAGCACCCAGTATGGAGCTCTTCACAGACAAATACTTAATGCATCTTGAATGATATTGACTTAAACTGAATGGCACTGAATTCAATAAGACTTTTCCTTTAGGACTGGCTAAAGTTCTAATAAGCAATTTGATTTTAAGGATTTTTTTTTTAAACATAAGAATGGAGAACTTTCCCCTCACTATATTCTTTCATTCATATATCATTTTTATTTTGCCTATATTTCCACATGATCCTAGTGGATTTGCTGTGATGTTATCATCTCCTTCCACAGCTTACTAATTGCAATATGCTTATACGACAGTGCAATGTCAAAATAGTCTCCATTAACATTTAAAATGCTATCTTTTACTCTTGGTATATAATTAAATGAATGCATCAAAAATTTAAGCATGATTTTTTTATAAGATGCTGTCTAACAAAATTATAACTAGATGTTAAAGTTATGAGCTAATTGACCATCAAGACGGGCCCTTGGTTTCTAACATGTAAAAGACAATTTCACTTCAGAACAACTAATAACAGGCCAAATCACTTTGACATATCAACTATTAAATTCCTGACAGGCAAAGTTACTGTTAGTAAAAGCAATGCATGTAAAATATATAGTGATTTTAATATAGTCATTTTACTTTATTTGTTTGAGTTTTGTATTATGAACTCTCTTACCTTTACACTGCCTAGCTGTTTTGTGTGAAGAAAGAGAAGTGATCTATTCAGACCTTATTGCTATTTCTTTATTAGGCAAGGCACATATATATATAGAAAACAAAAATATCTAAGGGAGACTTGCTTCTTCTATGGAGGTAAAATTGGATTAACATCCTTGGCTATCCTGTGGAAATTGAAAGCTCTCCTTATATTTTATGGATATGTACAGCAGGCTTGCATTCTTATGGCTGGTCTGCTTCTAGGAGTCTCAGAGTCTACTGATACAAAGTGAAACACATTAGTTCTTTCTTGTATAAAAACAAGCACATTCCTACAAAGTATTTTCCAATATTCTAGAGTGAAGGAAAACTCTGAAAAGTACATCACAAGTCAAATAGCTTCCAATTGAGCGTTAAACTTTCATGGTTTTGAAAGTTCTTTCAGACACTGCCACCTTGAATATCTCTCAGGCCTAGCTTCACCCTGTGGCATGATCCTGGGACTCCCTTCTCTTCCACAAATCTTCCCTTATCTGCTATCCTCACTCCCTCCTCCTTGCTGGAGAAAAACAAACATACAAACTAAGAATTTCTTGTCTCAGGCAAAGTAGGGTAAGGCTTCTCTTGTTTTATTTAGGCTCTTTCCATCATTTTCTAAAATCTTAGCTTCTCTCCCAAGCAGCTTTGTTTTTTTCCATAGGAGGAAATAGGAGAGAGATGTTAAAACAATGAACAAAATCCCTTTATATTTATATCCTAACAGACCAATGTTGTTGAAGGAATGTATATAAATATAGAGGAATATGTCTGAATATCTGTAAATTTCCTTAAGGAACCTGAGTCTGGCCATAAGGTTTTATCCAGACATGTGTGTTCTTTCAGAAAATGACATTTTTAGCACACACACAAAATCTTATGATTGAGTATGAAAATGCTGAATGATGGAATTGCCTGAAGATGAGATTACTAACTATATGAGAGGTCTACAGCAGAGTGTGAAATCTAAGATTGAGATAAATTTCAAGCTTTCTCTGTACTAGCATTAACAGCTGCTCTGTCAAAATCTGCCACTCTCTCTGGTTACTGTGATCCCACTACTGAGGAAGTTCATTCCAGGAATTTGTTTCACTGCACTTTCTAGGTTTCTCATACAGCTTTTCTTTATCATATGCTGTGAATCTTGAGGGCACATTGTTCATGAAAATGGAAGAACAATGTTTATCACAAAACTAGATAATTATTCTTCTGCACTTAAGTTGTTATCACCATTTATTTATTTGCATGTTGTTATGTTCTCAGCATAAGGGTGAAAACATTCTTGGAGTTTCAAAGTCTACTGATACAAAGTGAAAAACATTAGTTCTTTCTTGTATAAAAACAAGCACATTCCTTATACAAGTACCTAAGCGTTAGTAATAGTGTTAGGTTACAATTTGAAGACACAGAAATTTAAGACACGAAAATGATTTAGCAACTTAGCACTGAAAGTACAATTATTGTCCTGAAACAGTTAAAAGAATATGTACACATTTTATGATATTGCATTATATTTGTATAGCTTCCTAAGGGAAGAATATTCTCCCCATGATGTCTATCAGAGAGAAACGAGGTTACATCCATGTGCATGAGTATAACCCTTCCATTGATTTATGGACAAAGAAATCCTCAGGGTATCAAAAATTAAAAAAAAAAAACCCTACATTATGTGCATGATGTTTCTGAGTGAGTTTAATTTTGTATTTGCATTTGTGAGATAGATAAAAGCTGTAGAAAAATCACTTTTGGGAGATAACTCCCTATTGACTCTGCATCAGGAAAATAGTAAAATGTGTTAGAATTTCAGCAACAAGAAGGAATATTTTATGACTAATATAATCATTTTAGAGAGAAGAATTCAAATAACTAGAAGAAAGGGGGAAAAATCGTGGTACTCTCTGTTTTTAAAATTGTCTTGTATTTTCAGAAGGCTGTTGATTTTAGTTTGTCAGTGACATCATATGTATTAACACTCCCATTTCTCTGTTATCAGCTGTCCTCCCATATTTAAAAAAAATTATTAAATTTTTTACCAAGCCATTATTAAGAGCAAATCAATGACTAGTGTGGTGGGTCATGCCTGTAATCCTAGCACTTTGAGAGGTCAAAGGGAGAGAATCATTTGAGCCCAGGAGTTCAAGACCAGCCTGGGCAAAAAGGTAAGACCTCATCTCTATAAAAAAATCTAAAAATCAGCTGTGCATAGTGGCGTGCACCTGTAGTCCCAGCTACTTGAAAGGCTAAGGTGGGAAGATCCCTTGAGCACAGGAGATTGAGGCTGCAGTGACCTGTGATCATGCCACTGTACTCTAGCATGGGTGAAAAAGCAACACATTGTCTTAAAAAAAAAATCAAAATTTCCCATAAAACATTGAAACAAGTGGTCAATGTCCTTGTTGCTTTTAGACTGCCAGCTTTTATTACTGTTGTATTCCCCTGGTTTATTTTAATAACAATTTTCTCCCACAATTGTGCCTTAAGCTTGGATTATGTACCAAACATATTTTAGCCCCTGGGGATACAAAGGGTAATGATAGACGATGTTCTGTCGAAAGGGCTGTGGTAAGGGAGAGTAGGACTAACAATTTAAAAAAAAACACCCTGCGTTAATAATAACAATATTTCAGTTACAAAAAGTGTCCTGATGAAAATAAAACTGGGTAATATGTTTCAAAACAGAGGGGGTGGGCATTATGCTGCCAATTTAGAATGGCTAGATAAGGAATCACTCTCCAAGAGATAACAGGTAAGCCAAAACGAAAAAACAGAAAAATGTCAGGAATGGAGGAATGGTTTTGGCAAAGAGCATTCGCAAATATAATCATGTGAATGTCTTGAGAATTGAATGGGCTTGAGGTATGCAGAAAATATGGAAAACTACTGAGAGTGGGGCACAATATGTGACACCCAGCATGGTAAGTGGTGAGATCAGGGGACTACGGGCAGATCATGCACCACCTTGTTCTGGAAATAAGGAGATCAGGTTTTATTTTAAGCATAAGGAGAAGCCATTGTGAAGTTTAAAGCAGGGAAAAGACATGCTCTCATTTGTAATTGTAATAGATCGTTGTGGCTAGAGGGTAGAGTGTGGATTTGTATGTAGGGTGGTTTTGACTGAAGTAGTAGCAATCAAGTGATAAGAGCCTAAGTGAATTTACGGATCTATTTTGGAGGCAAAACCAACAGGACTTGCTGATAGATTCCATTTAACTGTTGGGAGCAAACGGAAAAGGACTCAAGGATGACTCAGGTTTTTGGTCTCACAGCTTGATAGACTATGATGCTGTTTAGAGAACTGGGAAATGGAAACAGGGCAGGGACAGGTTTACACAGGGAGTGCTGAGAAGAATCAACAAAAGTTCTATTTTGGATAAGAAAAGATAGAACATACAACACAACAAAGTCAAGACAACATGGCAATCTCTGATTCCTCAGGCAGAATGGTGTCCAGCAAAACCCATGAATGTTAAATAAACTTCTCAAAAGTCAATGAATTCGATAAGGAAATAAAGCTTTTAAAGGACATGAAAAACTGAATTTTCTTTGGGGTATTACTATATATACTATATATATATATGTATGTGCAGCACATTAACTTCAGAGACACAAACATACACATGCATATACTCCAGTTTTAATATGAATGAGGAGTATAAGCATAAACTGCTAGTTTCGTTTTATCCTTTCTCATATGAAATGGCTCTATGAGTCCTGTGACTCCATTTCATGACTCTCCATCCACTTACTCAAGGCAGACAGCTTTGCTCTGACCACTCAGGCATTGATACCATTTGGCTGTGTCTCCACCCAAATCTCATCTTGAATTGCAGCTCCCCTAATCCTCATGTATCCTGGGAGGGACCCGGTGGGAGGTAACTGAATCATGAGGGTGGGTTTTCCTGTACTGTTCTTGTGTTAGTGAATATGTCCCACAAGATCTGATGGTTTTATAAAGGGCAGTTCCCCTGCACATGCTCTCTTGCCTGCTACCATGTAAGACATGCCTTTGCTCCTACTTTGCCTTCCGCCATGATTGTGAGGCCTCCCCAGCCATGCGGAACTGTGAGTCCATTAAACCTCTTTTTTTTAATAAATTACCTAGTCTTGGGTATGTCTTTATTAGCGGCTTGAGAACAGACTAATACAGGCATTTAGTATATCTGCTATACTGAGATCTATTTGTCTAAAACTAGGAGCTCTAAAGGTTTAATGATGTGTAAAATAGAGCAGCCTACATGCTGAGCTAAGAAAAAGTTTATATGGGGTGATGATGTCATCAGTGGTAACTGATTTACATATTATCACAAGTTTGATTTTTTTTTTCCTTTTAAATATATTTTATGCTTAACTAGTACTGTGTCCGGAATTGGTGGGTTCTTGCTCTCACTGACTTCAAGAATGAAGCCGTGGACCCTTGCGGTGAGTGTTACAGCTCTTAAGGTGGCGTTTCTGGAGTTTGTTCCTTCTGATGTTTGGATGTGTTCAGAGTTTCTTCCTTCTGGTGGGTTTGTGGTCTCGCTGGCTCAGGAGTGGAGCTGCAGACCTTTGTGGTGAGCGTTACAGCTCATAAAGGCAGTGTGGACCCAAAGAGTGAGCAGCAGCAGGATTTATTGCCAAGAGCGAAAGAACAAAGCTTCCACAGTGTGGAAGAGGACCCGAGCGGGTTGCCACTGCTGACTCGGGCAGCCTGCTTTTATTCTCTTATCTGGCCCCACCCACATCCTGCTGATTGGTAGAGCCAAGTGGTCTGTTTTGACAGGGCGCTGATTGGTGCGTTTACAATCCCTGAGCTAGACACAACGGTTCTCCATGTCCCCACTAGATTAGCTAGATACAGAGTGTCAACACAAAGGTTCTCCAAGTGCCCACCAGAGTAGCTAGATACAGAGTGTGGATTGGTGCATTCACAAACCCTGACCTAGACACAGGGTGCTGATTGGTGTGTTTACAAACCTTGAGCTAGATACAGAGTGCCGATTGATGTATTTACAATCTCTTAGCTAGACATAAAGGTTCTCCAAGTTCCCACCAGACTCAGGAGCCCAGCTGGCTTCACCCAGTGGATCCCACACCAGGGCCACAGGTGGAGCTGCCTGCCAGTCCTGTGCCTTGTGTCTGCACTCCTCAGCCCTTGGGTGGTGGATGGGACTGGGTGCAGTGGAGCAAGGGGCGGCACTCCTCCGGGAGGCTCGGGCGGCACAGGAGCCCACAGAGTGGGTGGGGGGAAGCCCAGGCATGGCGGGCTGCAGGTCCCGAGCCCTGCCCTGTGGGAAGGCAGCTAAGGCCCGGTGAGAAATTGAGCACAGCAGCTGCTGGCCCAGGCGCTAAGCCCCTCACTGCCCCGGTGGCGGGGCCAGCCGGCCGCTCCGAGTGCGGGGCCTGCCCAGCACACGGCCACCCGGAACTCGCGCTGGCTCACAAGCACCACGCGCAGCCCGGGTTCCCGCCCGCGCTTCTCCCTCCACATCTCCCAGCAAGCTGAGGCAGCCGGCTCCGGCCTTGGCCAGCCCAGAAAGGGGCTCCCACAGTGCAGCGGCAGGCTGAAGGGCTCCTCAAGTGCCACCAAAGTGGGAGCCCAGGCAGAGGAGGCGCAGAGAGGGAGCCAGGGCTGTGAGGACTGCTAGCACGCTGTCACCTCTCAGTCCTTTATATGACTTACATGATTCTTGTAGAATTCCGGACTTCTGGAATGATGTTGAGTCACTTTTCTACAGGTAGAATGCAGAGGTGACTGAGCAGAAGTTAGATAAGGAGGCCTGAAATCAAAGAGGTATTTTAAGTTACAGCCCAGGGGCAAAGATGCCTTGAGTGAAATGTGCCTTTTCAATTCTCCAATCCAAGAGTATTTTGAAGCCAATTTTATTAGCTGATTATTTATTTGAATTCACAAAATTACCTACTATGACAACAAGTGCTAAGTATTTCATCATTCACTGGATGGCCGGGCTGTGCTGCCAAGGTTAGAAGACAGATAAAAAGTGCCTTCCAGGGAAGAGACCAATGCACGACCCGAGGTTGTGATACAGAAAACACACATGCTGGACTCAAGCCATACAGTGTTTACTCACAGCAAGAGAGGAGCAAGAGTGCACAAGGTCCAGCTCCTTACATTGTGTTGGTCCCTCAGGGCCACTGGATCCACTTCACAGCTATGCTATGTGGGGAGTTAGCTGCACCCACCCCACTTTGTGCTGCAATAGAGGGACCCCTCCCCCTTCCCATGCAGTCTGAAATACAGAAAGCTGGAGGTGTGTCTGAGGGCCATTGACATATGAGCTTAAGCAGATTAAAGGAGTATACAGAGTCTGAAACAGGAAAAGATATTCCCATACCAGGCGATAAACCCGGCACATGCTGTGAAGGCTCTTTATCTGTTGGTAAGGAAGTGTTCGGGTTGAAGGCTCATTCTTCTGTGGTCCAATGGAGTCCACACACAGGACTGCATGCAGGAGACAGCCTTTCCCAACACAGAGAAACAACAATTATATTTTGGACAAAATAAACTGCATATGTTCAACTTTTAATTTCTGTTATTATCCTAAGTGTGCAAATAAGATAGATATTCATTAGCTGTGTATGTTAAAATGACTGAAAATACAGTATGGTGAAGTTAAAAAGTGATAGGCCTTGTATCACGTTAGTACATTTGAATCCTGATCCGTGTGTGTGTGTGTGTGTGTGTGTGTGTGTATATATATATATATATTTTTTTTTTTTTTTTTTTGAGATGGAGTCTTGCTCTGTCTCCCAGGCTGGAGTGCAGTGGCACGATCTCAGCTCACTGCAAGCTCCGCCTCCTGGGTTCATGCCATTCTCCTGCCTCAGCCTCCTGAGAAGCTGGGACTACAGGCACCCGCCACCACGCCCGGCTAATTTTTTGTATTTTTAGTAGAGATGGGGTTTCACTGTGTTAGCCAGGATGGTCTCGATCTCATGACCTCATGATCCACCCACCTCAGCTTCCCGAAGTGCTGGGATTACAGGCGTGAGCCACTGTGCCCGGCCTCCTGATCCGTATTTTTAAGTTACTTGTTATCAGGTAGTTACTTAACTTCTATGAAGTCCAGTTTCATAATGTTAAAGCAGAGATCATATCCTCCTGAAGAGATTTGTAGGATTATATAAGACAACATATAATAAAATACTGGCTATAAAGCCAACACACAGTGGCTTCCAATACAACATCAAAGGCAAATTTTCCTTCTTTGTAAGCATAGGAAAGAAGGAGTTCAGGAAATATGAGCTCTTAGCTGATTTGTTTACACAATCCTTTACTACATCACCAAGATTACTAGGTATCAGTAAAGTGAACATATGAGTAGTTTTGATGGGATATAAGTTAGTCACTAGAAGGTTTAGATCTTTCATTCTTTACTCCTGACAATTCTCTTCTGGTTTCTATTGAAGGTAATTCTTGCTAAGGAAGTAACTAGTTTGTAAGTCACTGCACAAGAGAAACTAAGTGGAAAGTTTCCAGTCCTAGCCTTTTAATCATTCCTACTGACCCCACTTATCAAGACTTCAAAACTCTGTGCATGTCAGCTCTGCCATTGAAGCACAAATTAAGAACTCACCAGGTAATTATGTCTCACTTCATTGACGAATTCTTCCATTTGGTTTACAGAATTTTAGTTCCCTTAATTACAACTGAAAGCAATCCTAGAAACTCCTAGGAACGACTTAAGGAATAAGCCATTTGAACTTTTGCCCCAAGGAGTCTTGAGAACCAAATTTTAGCTTCTGGCTGACTGCATCCAGAGTGGTCTGAAGGGAACCCAGCATCTTCCAGACTAAGCCCATACTTTGCATGACTGAGCTCTTTTACAGTTAGCGCCTGCCCTCTCTGCTTGAGGCTCTGACTTTGGCAGTTGCTCCAGAGGAACTGACTGTGTACTAGGGCACTTTCTGAAAGTTTCAGAGAGGAAGGAAAGGTTTTTTAAAAAAATTTCTGTCTGTGCCAGAGTGTTTTGGAGGTCTTTTCTTCCTCAGCAACTCTTTAACTCACCCCTTGTGAAATATTTTTCTGTGTACTTTGCAGAGAATGGGATCTCACCAGAGGCCCAGCAAAATGACTTCAGAAAAATATAGACAGGAGCCAAATGCACTATGACCTCCCCTCCACCTCCTTACAAGACAGCACAGGACAGAACCCTTCACTTCTTTTATGACTATGCTAATTTTTTCATGTCATAAAAGGCTTTTTTAAAAAAAGCATACATTTGTTTAATAGTTTGTAAAATGATCTCTGAAAAGTCTTTTTAAACATACTTTCTTTCAATGTACTAATGCATTTTAGTATTTAATGTAATTTAGTAATGAATGTGAAAGAAATAGTGGCAGAGCTGGCTTTTGTTTGTTTGTTTGTTTTAGAGACAGGGTCTGGCTCTGTTGTTCCGGCTGGAGTGCAGTGGTGCAATCATAGCTCACTGCAGTCTCAAACTCCTGGGCACAAGCAATCCTTCTGCCTCAGGCTCCTGAGTAGCTGGAACTACAAGCACACACCCCTACGTCTGGTAATTTTTTAAGTATTTTTGTAGAGATTGGGGTCTCTCCATGTTGCCCACACTGGTCTCCAAACTCCTGGCCTGAAGCGATCCTCCAGTCTTGGCCTCGCAAACTGTTGGGATTACAGGCATGAGCCACTGTTTCCAGCCCACTTCTCTTCTTTGTCTCTAATGCGATTATATTTCTGATGTTAACCTTTGCATACAATCCTATCCCAGTCTTGATAAGTACTCTCCATCTACCTTTGTATTTATCAGAAACCACTCTATCATTAGCACATCTTCTCCTTCAGATATTGGTTGTATCCTTAAGCTTAACAGAACTCTAAATACTTATAATAGTTTATCTTCCTTTGAGTTTTCCCTTTACTGTTAAAAACGCTTGCTAAATTTATAGGAAAGTTCTGTTGTAACCAGTACAGAGGGCAATGCTGGTTTCTGTTACAGCGAAGAGAAAGCAATATAAATCACCATGTAATTATGTACATGATGATTTCTATATTTATGAGCAGATGAGAAGCATATGTTTCTCTGAAGTTTTCTAATGATCTGTGAAAGAAATATCCTAAATAAAATATAATTCCAAAATATGAATTTGTAAAATAGACTACGCTTACTATTACATTTTAAAGTCTCAGTGAATATATTGTTTGTTATTGATAATTTGTATATTTAAAAATATTCACAAAGATCTCTATTTGAATTAATCAAGAAAATTTGTCTAAATTTCTCACCAAATCTAACTGATACATAATTACCAGCTACTGTTTCAATGTAATTATGTTAGTAAGTTTTTGAATGGTTTATGCACAAACAAAAAATACATTCATTTGCCATGTCTGCTGGCAGAATTATTTCCTCTTATATTCTCCTCGCATCCATTTGAACTTGAAAGGGTGGACTACTTCCTCAGCAGTATTTGAGTGTCTCTCCTTCATAATCTTATTGATGAGCTCCTTTGTAATTTGTAAAGCAAAATTAAAATCGACCTGTAATCTGTTAAAGCAGTGCTTAGCTCTCACATCAGCCATTAGCTCTGATAACTCCTTTATCTTTGTGAAGAAGGAAAGGCTCTTAAGTATTGATTTTAAATAATATAACATAGCTGCCAATCTAGTTGTACCTGTATCATACTTAGATTCTTAGGTTTTGTTCTATCTAGCTCCTTGTTGCCCTTTTTGTTATGAAATAATGTACTCTTTTGTCTCAAAGAGGGGTTGTGGAATTGTTTGTTCTTTCTACCAAACAGCTATAGCCTGAGTATTCGCCACAATATAGTTTTAAGTAAAAATAATAATACTTTAGAATTTTATTCTGTTTTACTTTAAAAATTTTTATGATTAAATTATGCAGTTCAGGCAAACATCACAGAAATAATTTACTAGTACAACATGGTCAGCATATTACAATACCATTTACAACATATAAATCATTGGTTATTGAGATAGAGTCATCCTTACTAAAAATATCCTATTTGTTTTCCTGTATTTCCCAACTGCCTTGCAGTTAGGCAGGGTCATCTGACCAGTTTGGGGCAATGGAATGTGATATATCATTTTCAGGCTAATAAAAATTCCAATTCTCCAGCCTGTCTCTTTTTCTCAGCTGAGATGACCTAGAAGACTGTATGTTCCTAATGGAACAGCTACATGAGGATGGCAAACTATTAATTTTATTGTAGCCAATTTTTCTTAGTCCCCATATCTTACACTCATGCTCTGGGAGAAACAAACAGATTTTTAAAATAAGCTAAATGTATATACATATATTTAGCTTATATATCCTCAAATACAGTTATAAAAAATATGGAGTCAAAAAACACGGTGCTACTGAAAAGATAACATTCAGATGTCTGGCATTCAGTACCAGGCACCCAAAGATGCAGAAAAATGCAGCATATAATGAAGAGGATAATCAATAAATTAAAATTGATACAGAACAGACACATATATTATCATCAGCAAAAAATAATATTAGAAAACTTATCGGAACTGTGTTCTCTGTCTTTCAGTAGAAATAAAGACACTTTTCAGCATATTTATTTTATATATATAAAATGTATATATCTTATATATATAATATGTATATATCTTATGTATATAATATGTATATATCTTATATATATATATAAAACTTCAATAGTGACTGTAGTACCGATTATCTAGAGTTTTTTAAAATTTCATGGTACTTATTGGGACCATACCCATTGTTAATTAAATTGCTTTTGTAGAACACAGTGAATAAATTTAAACTAGGTTTTACATTGCATTCAAAGGTTCATAATAGTAGCTAATGCTGAAGATAAGAGTCTGAAAATAATTTCATTCAGCTCATATATTGTCTTAGATAATAGAGGCTAAAAAATGAAAATGTCAAAAGCCCTACCCTCAGTGATCTACCAGTTTTAATGGAGACCGTTGATGTGTAAATGACAAGTTTGAATATAAGTTGATTATAATAGTACAACAAATTTAACTATGGTATGCAAATAAAACTTAAATACTTTCAAGAGGGAGGTTAAAAGAAATAACACAAATCTGAAGTAGGCCAGTAACAGTGGTAACAAAGAATAAAAAACATATATTGCTTTTTTTTTTTTTCCCCAGAATGTAGCCACTATTCAGATGATAAAAGGAACAAGGACATATAAAATTGCTATCTAGGTTTCTAACGTAGATGACTCAGTAGTTCCATTAATTATATTAGAGAATCTATAAAAAGACACAAAAAACACTTGAAAGAAAGTACTATTGGTTTCTGTGAAATGACTCTTTTGTCTCCAATGCAAATATATAGCTTAGCACAGAACTAAAATACAAGAAGCATTTATTTATTTATTTATTTATTTTTGAGACAGAGTTTCACTCTTGTTGCCCAGGCTGGAGTGCAATGGCGTGTTCTTGGCACACTGCAACCTCCGCCTCCCGGGTTCAAGCAATTCTCCTGCCTCAGCCTCCCAAGTAGCTGGGATTACAGGCATGTGCCACCACACCAGGCTAATTTTGTATTTTTAGTAGAGATGGGGTTTCTCCATGTTGGTCAGGCTGGTCTTGAACTCCCAACCTCAGGTGGTCTGCCTGCCTCGGCCTCCCAAAGTGCTAGGATTACAGGCGTGAGACACCATGCCCGGCCGCAAGAAGCATTTTTTAAATGGACACACAAAACTACCTTATATTGTATATTATGTTCTTTATTTTTTTCTAAGGCCATTATTTCATTTAAAACCTGTTATTCACCTTTAATTTGCTAATATGTTATTTATTTTTTCTCCAAATGTTTAAATTAATCTTTAGTATCTCTTTCTTTTAGAAGCTCTAGAAGTTCTTAATGCTATTGGCTAAGAATGACATCCTGCACTCATTTAATAAAATCTTACATGGAAGCAATTTATCTGTAAGCTAACAAAAATGTTCAACAGCACTTGTGCCCTGATTTTTTGAGGTTTTAAAAGTATAAACTACATATAATTATTAGTTTACTTTAATTCAGAAAAAATATTTCATAGTATATTTATATATCTAGCTATCCATTTAATATCTGTATTATTCAACAAAATGCCCTTATTCAACAAAATGTTAAGGCAGATTAGAAATATGTAATAGCCTTAATCATTCAAAAACTTATTATTTTTAAAACTACCTCTTGGGAAAAGATTTTATTTTACCTTCGACTGCTGAAAATGTTCCTACTTTAAAGTTGCAAAAGAGTATACATTATAAATATTAAAACTCAAGCAATGGCTGTATATTTAATGACTAGAAAATAAGTATGTGGCTTTTTAACAAACTTACTTTTAGGGGTTAAAGGATTTTTTTTAGATGGTTAGAAAAATAATTACTATTGATTAGCAATTGGCTCAGCTTCTCTAGAAGGGTTGTTAAGGTTCTAAAATACAGAACAGAGTGTTATAAACAATATAGTTTTCTCCCAGTCTGTTTTGGACTAACCATTTCTTTGTTTGAAATGTCCTATTGACATCATTTATGCATCTCTGGAGCTTTGATATAAGGAGCAATTTAGAACTAAAGATTATTTCAGCATTTAAAAAGAAGAATGCTCAGAAACCTCCACAAAGCCATATGAACTCTATGTAAATGGAATGAAATAATTATGGCACCTCTCAATTATTATTTTTGTATATAAAGTTACTTTATGAAACTAAGATTAAATAGTTCTTTTGGAATTTTATTATTAAAATGGAAATAGAAATAGTTTCCAAATGTGTAAAAGGGGGAACATTGACAAATTGCAGAGAAAATACAATGTCCACATTTTGTGTACATGTTTCTGCATGTATTATATACAAGAGGTACTTGGTATTGGTAAGAAATATCTCTGTGGAGTTCTGTAAATTTCCAAATAATTTAACACAAAATTGTGTACTCCCTGGCATTCACTCAAATCACATTTCTGTTGAGGACCAGGCTTATTTCCTGTGCATACCAATCAACACAAATCATAACCAACTCTCCAATTTCTAGTGGAGTATTTGCTCTGTTTTTGGGCATTTGTGCCATAATGAAAGTAGTTAATAAAGCCACTTTTCAAAACAACTCGACATACTACAATTTAGTACATATGGTATATATGTGAGTCACGGACCTGTATCAGTAAGAATTTTACATAATCTGTTTAACTTATCCAACAGTTTAATATATTCTAAGAATATTTATTAATTCAGTCAATCAATAATCCATTCCACAAGTACTTAGTAAATTTCAACTATTCTCTAGGCTATAAGCTAGGTGCTGGAGATACAAGGATGCATAAGGAAGGTTTGCTGTCATACTGGTTCTTTCTTCAGCCTGCATCAAAATAGTTAGTGATTTTTTGTTTTGGAATTGAATGTTCTTTTTGACTGGTATAGTTCCCTGATATAGTTTGGCTATGTCGCCACCCAAATCTCATGTTGAATTGTAGTTTCCATAATATCCATGTGTTGTAGGAGGGGCCAGGTGAGAGGTAATTGAATCTTGGGAGTGGTTACCCTCATGCAATTCTTGTGATAGCGAGTTCTCACAAGATCTGATGCTTTTATAAGGGAATTTTCCCCCTTTGGCTTGACACTTCTCTCTCCCGCCACCATGTGAAGAAGGACGTGTTTGCTTCCCCTTCTGCCATGATTGTAAATTTCCTGAGACCTCCCCAGTCACGCTGAAGTGTGAGTCAATTAAACCTCTTTCCTTTATAAATTACCCAGGCTTGGGTATATCTTTATTAGCAGCATGAGAATGGACTAGTACATTCCTCATCTTTCTTCTTTTCACTACTACAAAATATTAAATCTCCAGACCAATCATTGATATTATCAAACACATTATGTTGATTTTTATATGTGTGATTTCCCCCCAAAGTATTTAATCATTATCTTTTTACTTCCATGTATCCAGTTCTTGGCATGTGGTAGGTTCTCAGTGTAAGTTTATGGAACTAAACTGAAGGCAAGACTGACTACCTCAACAACACAAAGAATTGAGACAGGCATCAGGCTCTGGCATGGGATTCACTGAATAGTTCAGCAGTTATTGGAGTTATGTTCACATAACCTGAGAGGGAATCACATCATACAAATTTTGGTCTCCTATTAGTCATATCAGTACTGAGAGTCTAAGGCAATATAAAACGGAGATAGGAGGAAGCCATCCAGACATGCAAATATCGCGCCTAGGAGACCCCAGAAAAATAGCCCAAAGGAACGCTGACTGTGAAATTCTCCACTGAACTAAACACTAAAGCAGCATAGGTTGAGATAGGGGAATAATTTAGAATCCAGGAATCAATATCAGTAAAATTCAACCAAGATTACACGTTTGGGAGTGACATGGATAATATTGAGTCTCACTGTTTTGCCATAGACTATGTAAGAGTAGAGATCAGGGTGAACATCTGCCTCAAAACAGATTCAGGTAGAGAGGTGGTAGGACAAAACAAGGCATCAGTCGCCTCATCTTTGGTGGCCTGGAGAGAGAACTCTATAGGGGATTGACAACTATAAGACAAGCAACATTAATATTCTTTGTGTTCAGCCTGTTCACAAAGAGGTTCATTTTGCTTTTAATATTTAGTAATGAATGATACAAAAATCACATACGTCTCTCACTCAGGACAAAATCTTCATATGAAATACATTTATTTCTTTATTTGAAAAAATGAACAAGCAAATATCGGTTATTTGGACCCTGAAATTGCTGTCCTACATTATATGTGCTTTTATTTCTTTTGAAAGTAGAAAATTATTCTACGTGGTTTTAACGCAGAAGATGAAAAAAATATAATTTACAAATGTACACTGATAGCTGACCATAGCCTTGAATTTACCAAAATTTGGTAAATTCAATTTGGTAATTTGGTTAACAAATTAACCAAAGTTTGTTTCTGCTTCAGACTTGAAATCTACTAAATAACTTCTTCTATGTCATTGGGACATCAGTGTTTATGTTTACACTATCAATTAGAAGTAGAGTATATGGAGAATTTAAAAAATTGATTAGCTGTCACCATGACTGTGACTTAAATTTGACATGTTTCTAGAACTCTTTCATTTCCTGTCACCTCCTCATTCTCAGTTTTCCCCTATGTTGCCACCTGCTTTGTAATTCTTTTTAACAGAGGAGAGAAAGCTGAGGAACAGCAGAAGGACATATGATTGCACGTGCCCTTTCCTCACCTGGTGAGCAGTGCTATGAATCATATTCCGTATCTATTCCACAGTGAAATGCATTGTGCTTCAAGTCCGTCCCTATAAAAAATAACAATCTAGCTTCCCTTTGGTGGAGACAGCTTAAATTGGATATGGTCCTTGGGGATCTGAGTTCCAAGGTCGTTTTAGGGAGGTTACACATCACCTCAAAGTAAAGACACTCTTAGCCAACAATAACAGCAAAAAATAAAGTATTTGTTAGTAGAAAAGCTCTGGTTCCCTTAGAAAATGAGAAATTAAAAAAATTAACTATAGTCACCCTCAACTTGAAATCCCCAGCTGGAAAGCTTGTGAAAGTAGATTAGCCACATTTCTAAAAATGTCATGAATTACTTTTGCTTTCCCTCAATTGAGAGTAATGTCAAGGGGCTAATCAAACAAGTTGTAGCAGAGAAATCAGGGATATTAGTCTAGAGTATCATTTGTATTGTCATAAACATTCAGTTTACAATGTCTCTCTAGCGTGTTCATGAATCACTTAAAAGGTAAAGAATGAGTGTTCGTTGATAAAAATGCCAGCCTATTTAGTTGGCATCATCCCTCTTCCTTCCCACAAATCTGTATTAGGTAAGAGGGGGTTTAGCTGCAAGTGACAGAAAACCCGAACGGCATGTGGCTTAAACAAGATGAAAGTTTATTTTTCTCTCATGTAAAAATTCAGAACTGATATGGGGCTCTGTGCTATCAAGGACACAGGCTTCTTTTTACTGTTTGCTTCACCATGCATTGCCTTTAACTTAAGGTTCAAGATGTTAGCTCCATCAACCTGGCAGAAAGATGGTGGAGGGAATGAAGAAGAGGTCAAACACATCCCATGCAAAGTGTTTACAATTCATTTAGCCTCCCAAAGCAGGCTGAAAAATATATCAGGGTGTCCACATAACCAACCATAACATATGTTTCTATGGGGTAATTGGGAAGAGATATTAGGGAAAAACCAGAAGTCTCAATCTCATTTGTTTCTGAGAAAGCTTATAAAATATTAATATTCTTATACTATAATTTTTGATATAAATACTAAGTATATTTTAATTTCTATTTCATAATAAGGGTTTTATGAACTTTCTGTGATATTCTATTACTTGAATTTATTCCTGAAGCTTAAATCATTAAACAATTATTATAAAACGCAAATCAACCAACATTAAGCAAATAAGAATATAGATGTTACATAGTAATAAATTAAAATTAAAGAGTTAAAGTTATCTGTATTGAATTATCTCTGTGCTCTTCACTGAAAAATGTTTTTGAATTATAGACTTTCCTCCTTTAAAAATTATGATTGCTCTTGGGCTAAATATAGAAGGTGAGTTTTTAGATGAGATATTGTATTTTTTTCAATTAATGTTGATACAAGTTTGTTTTCTATTCAAGAATCTTAAGAAAAAAAATAGTATTATTTTGGCCATGAGTCCTAAGTGGCATTTCTTACAGACTCATCTATTAATTCTCTTTTTGTTTTAAATAGAGATAGGGTCTCGCCATTTTGCCCAGGCTGGCTGGAACTCCTGGACTCAAGCAATCCTCCAGCATTGGCCTCCCAAAGTGCTGGGATTACAGGCATGAGGCAACACACCCAGCCTTAATTATTTTGATTACTACCATATAACCAACAAAATGATCTTTATAGGTGCTCCGAAGATATACCTAATATTTAGATCAAATTTTTGATTCAAACTCTTAAAAAATTAATCTGATTTGACCTCTTTAGAGGTCAGTTAAAGAAAAGAGGTTTAACTGAGCAGCAGTGCCCTGGACCCAGTCCAAAAAAACCTTTTTTTAAAAAAAAATAAGTGAACAGTTTATTGAGAATTAAATGAAGGTATGGAATGTGATACGGTATATGTACAGTTTATTAAGAATTAAATGAGGGTATGGAATGTAATACAGTACATGTAAGACACTGATGATGTGTATAATAGCACTACTTGTGCAAAAAGCTGAATTTCACTTCAAAAAAAAATCACAAAAGTAAAAGCAATTCTACCATCATAAAGCAAGCTATTTGATGCAAAGTACTAATCCTTCCCCCTCCCCTCAAAACTCCAACTTCTTAACAAACAAAAAGCTAACCGAAAATGCTGCCATGCTAACATATACATACGGTTTATATACATTTCATTTATATATAGGCTTGATTTATATATACACATGTATATATTTTGTGTACGTATATACATTAAATACATATATCAAAAATTGTCAAAGCTACCTTGGAAACATATGTCAGAGGAAAAGAATTTCTTGGAAATAGAATAAGACAAATTGCAATGAGTTGAGAAGTTTAAGTCTTCTCTCACTTATGGTGGTATGGTTTTCCTTGAATTAATTATCCAAATAAAAGAAACTTTAAAAACTTCCTTTTTAACAAAACATTAAAAATCAGAAATAAGCTTCTGATTTTTAATCATATAATGTTTTAATAAAAAACATTATCGATGGCATTTTTAATCAAATTAAAACTTCAAGATTCTTTTCAAGTTTTGGTTACTCTGGGAGAGTGTTTCTTAAATTTAAAAAGTAAACATAAGCATTATTCATGAGTGTCATGACTAATAATTAGAATTACCTTTGAAAAGCTCCCATTTTTTTCATGAAAATGAAACTCTATTTTGCTCAAATGTAGGCCTTTTAAAGTGGATATCACTATAGTTATTACGATCATAACAAATCCAAATCCAAAGGCAAGAGTTTCATAACTTACAGAAACTGTTTTTATTTTTTTTTAGTTTTTGAACGTTTAATTTTTATTTTTGAGATGGAGTCTCACTCTGTCACCCAGGCTGTAGTGCAGCAACATGATCTCAGCTCACTGCAACCTCCACCTCCTGGGTTCAAGCGATTCTCCCACCTCAGCCTCCCTAGTAGCCGAGATTACAGGCACATGCCACCATGCCTGTCTAATTTTTGTGCTTTTAGTGGACACAGGGTGTCACCATATTGGCCAGGCTGGTCTTGAACTCCTGACTTCAGGTGATCCTCCCGCCTTGGCCTCCCAAAGTGCTGGGATTACAGGTGTGAGCCACCATGCCTGGCCTAAGAAAGTGTTTTTTAAAAAAATTTTAAATAAGAAAAAAATTTGCACTTAAATTTTTTACAGGCATAGACCTTTAATAAATGGAGTGACAATTTGAATTATGAGGCTCTAATATTGCAAAATTTAAAATGTCGATTCCAGAAGACTTCAGTGTTAAGTTTTGGCATACCACAACTTATTACACAATGAAGGTATAAATTGCTCTTCTTAACAGTTAAGGTAATGAAAAGATGGGCACGAAAACACAAACATACATACATACATACATACAAATACACACGCAAACAACAAAAAGCTTCTATACATCTCACTGTTTTAAGTTTACTATTTTATAATTAAATATATATATTATTATATAATATGATTAAATATATTATTATATAATAATATGATTAAATATCATATTATTATATAATAATATAATTAAATATCATATTATTATGACTTAATTTATATACTGACATATCCACTTGAATCAAGATTATTTAAAAATGCGCATTCTATCTTATGGGCCTCACAGTCTTGCTCTATTATACCGAAGGGGAAATGGGCAAATCACTTTTTAAAATTAGAATACTCCCAAGAAAATTTCCTTTCACAAATTATTAAAGACAATCAACATGGCAATTATTTATGTTATTTTTGGGTAAAATTAGTGGAACTATCATGGGCATATTTAACTTTGATCAGAGTTAACAAGAAAGACTATATTCTAAAACAAGTACAGACAGGATGTAAGAATGTTCTTTCCAATACTGGAAGTAGTGCAGAACGTAATCACCTTTGCACCCGTTAGAAAATCTACTGTATGGTTCAGTGGGAGAGTATGACAATGGTTACTAGAAAGTCAATTTAATTAACCTTAATCGCCCAACAATTGCCTTATAGACTCTGTTGATTTGAACAAAGATAAAAACGTTAACTATGAAATGCAGAATATTAAGGATACTGTTTTGCTTTGTTTTGTTTTCCACTAGGGCATATAATACCCTCAGATTAAGAATAAATGTGCCTAAGGCACTCTTGGCTCTTCAAGGTGTCATACAAAGTATGTAAGCTTTACTGTGATCTCAATAGTAGGTAATGCTTGTTAGCAAATACTGCTGACATTACAAATAAGAAGTGATTAATTTACAAATTTTAAATTGAATTTCATTTCTATAAAGTTTGGTAAGATGAATAACTAGGTGGAAGACTGAAGTAATTACAGTATGTGTCCTTTAATGACAGAATACATTCTAAAAAATGTGTCCTTAGGTGATCTTATAGTTGTGTGAACATCATAAAGTGTACTTGGACAAAACTAGATGGTCTAGGTTACAGACACCTAAGCTGTATGGCATAGCCTAATTTGCTCCTAGGCTAGGAACCTGTACAGCATGTTACTTTACTGAATACTAAGTGCAATTATAACATAATGACAAATATTTGTGTACCTAAACATATGGAAACATAGGAAAGACACAGTAAAAATACAGTACAAAGGAGTAAAAAATGTTACATTTATACAGAGCACTCACCACAAATGAAGCTTGCAGGACTGGAAATAGCTCTGGGTGAGTCAGTGAGTGAGCAGTGAGCGGGAAAGCCCAGGACATTACTGTACACTACTGTAAACTTTATAAACTCTGCATATTTGAGCTAAATCAAATATATTAATTGTTTCTTTCTCTAGTAATAAATTAACCTCAGTTTACTGTAGTAGTTTTACTTTATAAACTTTCAATCTTTTTTAACATTTTTACTCTTTGGTAATAACACTTAGCTTAAAACAGGAACATATTTTATAGCTGTACAAAAATATTTTCTTTCTTTATATCCACATTCTATAAGGCTTTTTCTATTTTAAATTTTTTCTATTTATAATGGTTTTTTAATTTTTGAACTGTTTGTTAAAAACGAAGATACAAACACACACATTAGCCTAGGCCTATAAGGTCAGGATCATCTGTATCACTGTCTTCCACCTCCACATCTTGTCCCATTGGAAGGTCTTCAGAAGCAATAACATGTGTGTGCTGTCATCTCCTATGATAACAATGCCTTCTTCTAGACTGCTTTCTGGAAGGTCTACCTGAGGCTGCTTTATAGTTAACTTTTTTTTTTTTTAATAAATAGAAGAAGTATACTTTAAAAAATAAAGATGGCCGGGTGCGGTGGCTCATGCCTGTAATCCCAGCACTTTGGGAGGCCGAGATGGATGGATCATGAGGTCAGGAGATCGAGACCATCCTGGCTAACATGGTGAAACCTGTCTCTATTAAAAAAAGATAGAAAAAAATAGCCAGACATGGTGGTGGGTGCCTGTAGTCCCAGCTACTCAGGAGGCTGAGGCAGAATGGCATGAACCCGGGAAGTGGAGCTTGCAGTGAGCCAAGATGTGCCACTGCACTCCAGCCTGGGCAACAGAGTGAGACTCCGTCTCAAAATAAATAAATAAATAAATAAATAAAATAAAATAAAATAAAATAAAGTAAAATAAAAATGAAAGGTATAGCATAGTAAATACATAAACCAGTAACAGAGTAGATTATTATCATTATCAAGTACTACCTACTGTAAATAAGTGTGTGTGCCATACTTTTAATAAGCTAGTAGAGTTGTTTACGCCAACATCATCACAAACAATTGAATAAGGCATTGAACTACAATGGTATCATGGTTAAAACATCACTAGGTGATAGGAATTTTCAAGTGCCATTGTAATGTTATGAGACCATAGTTATAGACGTGGTCTGTCATTGACTGAAATGTTATAATATGGCACATTACTGTGTATGACAATAAGTGTATAATTTGTAAAAATGTAAAAGCCAAATTTTATCAGATATGGAAGCAAAATTGACATGCCATCATCTAATTAAAACAGCCTGATTTTTATTACATGTCTTGAAATTTTTTATTAACTCATTTGATATGTTTCTATTTTGAATCTATTTAATAGAGAATAAAAACCTAGAGATAGGTTTATCAGTATCAGAATGTTTATTCTGGCTCACTTAGTATACCAGATATTTTAAACAGGATAAAACAAATATGTAGATTTCTCAATGCAAATAGCTATTTTCCTATTTGCCTTGATTCTAAGTGACCAATAAAACAAACTTAATGAGAATTAACATGCAAATCAAATAAAGGAAATTAAAAATACCTTGTTTTTCTTATTCAATGTAATCATGTAGTCTTAGGGTACCAAAAATTTAAAGGACATCTAGGTTTGCTTGAACCATTTTTATATCCGATCTGTATTTACACTAAACAGTCTGTTATTCAAACTGGCCAAGTAATATTAGATCAGCCTGAATAAAAATGAGCTTGCCCTTTTGAGGTAGGAGACCTGCAAGACTTGTTTTCTGTTCACAACCCTGCTGAGTAAAACAAGATCTGGTCCAGGCAGTGTAAAATGAAGAAACTGGCTGAAACCATATGGAGAGGAAAACAATCCCTAGCTGCTCTAATTGTTAATTAGCATAAGATGTATTGATGGCCGCATCAATCTCATGACAGTTTACAAATGCCATGGCAACAACCTGGAAATTACTGCCCCTTTCCATGGCAAAAACCTGGAAGTTACCTCTCCTTTCATAGAAAGTTCTAAATAACCTGTCCTTCAATTTACATTAAACCACTCCTTAATTTGCATATAATTGCAAGTACCTGCAGATACAGTTGTCTACTGCCCATAGGTAGCTAACTCTGGGTGAACTGCCTGTAAGGTAGCACTGTTCTACTAGAAGCAATATCATTCAATAAAAGATTCCTAACACCACTGGCTCTTTCTTGAATTCTTTCCTGGGAAAAACCAAGAACCCTCAAGGCCTAAGCTCCAATTCGGGGGCTCACCTGCCTGGCCTGCATCACTTTCATATATACGTGTCATATGAATGTGTGTGTTTGTGTGAAACCACCATTACTGAAGTTAATTGAGTATGTTTGGTAAGTTCTGAAGTTCATATAAGAGTCAGGCATGTCCTTAGTCAACATTGTCAGTGTACATTTTCATTCAATTAAGGAAACAGGTAAAGGTTCATTATGAAGTTTTTCCTGGTAATATAATACTGGACCGAAAAACAGTGATAGGAAATAGGGAAATATTAGCAAAATAGAGAGATCCAGTCCCTGTAGTCATGGGAGCTTGCTGCTCTTTAAATAAGGCATCAAAGGTCCTGTATATCATAAGTATAAAGTTTATATCAGATAGGAAGAAAATAATTCAATGATGGTACATTTCTAATTCTGTATCTGTAAACAATGGAGTCAAGGCATTACTATATGGAACTTACCTGTATTCAACCACTGGGCAGTAAGGAGCTGTTCAGACTCAGTAGATGGCCCTCTAGAGGTGAGCACCAATTGCAAGTGTGATGGAAGTTGGCTGTGTCCCCGTTAAGTTCATTTCCAGAATGCATCACAGAATGTGATCCAAGGGTAATTTCAGTCTCCATGATCTCTGCTTAGAGACAAAGCTCTTGTAGCACAGCACCACTGTGTACTGTGTTTCATTTCTATATTTTCTTTTTCTGATTTGTTTATACTGCATGGTGTTTGAAAGATTGGGTTTTTAAGAGGTGTCTTTTTAAATATGTTTAATTCAATTGACTTTTCTGTATACCCTCTTTAACTTTCTTACAGTGGTGAATATTCACTTCTCAAACTGGAAAGAATTTTACTAACTGAACAGATTAAATTTTGTTTTACTTAATCTTTTTTTTTTTTGAAACGGAGTCTCACTCTGTCTCCCAGGCTGGAGTGCAGTGGCATGATCCCAGCTCACTGCAACCTCAACCTCCTGGGTTCAAACAATTCTCCTGTCTCAGCCTCCCAAGTAGCTGGGGTTACAGGAGCGTGCCACCACGCCTGGCTAATTTATTGTATTTTTTAGTAGGGAGTTTCACCATGTTAGCCAGGATGGTCTTGATCTCCTGACCTCGTGATCCACCTGCCTCAGCCTCCCAAAGTCCTGGGATTACAGGCGTGAGCCACTGTGCCCGGCCATCATTTTACTCATATAACTATTTTGACTAAATTTGAGGTGCAGGTTATATATACTGCTGATTATTTCATTCTGTCTACTAGTGATATGAAACGATAACGTGTCAGTGATTTTCATCTAACGTGCAACTGATTTGATATTATTTAATACTCTTCCTCAAGAAGAGCATTACGTTAATGAGAATATAGAATGGAGTAAAAATAAAAACATGTAAAATTATTGAAAAGTAAAGATATTTTGATTAACACTCCATTATTATTATATTTGTATATTTCTTCTAAGGAAAGTTGCATTTTATGACCATATGACTTTCTACACACACATATTAATTTGAAAGTTATAAATATTGAAAATTTCCTTTATTATGATGACTATGTGGCTCACCTTTTTAAAGAAAAAAGTGTTTATTTCTCATATGATAGATACATAATAGTTGTATAGGGTTCTCCACAGAATCAGAACCAATGGGAGATAGATATATATATTTATATATACATATATTTAAATATATATATGTTTAAATATATAAATATATAAATATCTCGGAGATATATATTTATATATTTAAACATATATATGTTTTTATATATATATATTTAAACATATATATATTTAAATATATATATATTTGACTTTAATGTTTAAAAACACACACATAGATATACATAAGGATATTTATTTTAAGGAATAGGCTCACACGATTGTAGGAGCTGGCAAGTCTAAATTGGATAGGGCAGGCCAGCAGCTGGAAACTCATGCAGTAGTTGCTGTTGTAGCTTGGAAGTAGAACTTCTTCTTTCCCAGAAAATTCTAGTTTTTTGATTTTAAGGCCCTCGACTGATTGGACAAGGCACACCCACATTAGTGAGGGCAACCTTCTTTACATAAATTCAACGAATTATAGATATGAACATCTATAAAACACCTTCATAACAACACCAAGATTGGAATCTGATTGCATAACTGGGTGCTATAGCCTAGTCAAGTCAACACATTAAAGTAACTATAACATGCTTTATTGGTATATTCTGCTGATCAAACCTAATTTTGTAGTCTCGTGTCATTAGGTCACTAGTGGAAATATTCCGTTGGATATTTCACAGAGTACTTTACATAAATAAGATAGAAATGATATCATTTATGGTAAAAATGATTATTAGTCTAAACCCACCAAAAATATTCACATTGTCTCCTTTAAAGGCTTCTCATCTGCTGTTTTACACAGATCTCCCAAGGCTTTTCCTTAACTCATTTTATCTATATGCGCAAGCCTTTTAAATGCAAACAAACATTGTAGGAACTAAAAATTAAAAGAGCCTCATTAATTTACAGACGAGGAAAACTACTCACCAATTACAGATAAGGAAAACAGTAATCAATTTACAGATAAACAAAACTCCAAGGAACTTCTCTGATTCTCTGGTTCAAGTAGATGCAGGAGCACATTTTCAGAATTCTTTCAGTTATTTGTCTATAACTGAGTATCTACTCTGTAGTGGGTCAGACAGTTTCCACCCGAAACTCATGTCCATTTGGAAACTCAGAATGTGGCCCTGTTATTTGGAAACAGGATATTTGCAGAAGTAATTGGTTAAGATGAGGTTACACTGGGTTAGAGTGGTCCGTAAATCCAATGCCAAACCCTTGGAAGAGTGGAGAGAGAAACGGAGAGAAGTACACTATGTGAAGCCACAGAAACACGCAGAGAAGATGGACATATGAAAACAGAGGCACAGATTGAAATTAGGCTGTCAGAAGCGAAGCAACATCAGAAACCACCGACAATTAAAAGAGGCAAGGAATATTTTTTTTCCTAGTGCCTTCAGAGCGAATATCTTCATGCTGACACCTTGATATTGTGCTTCTAGCCCTCAGAAATGTGAAAGAATAAATTTATGTTGTTTTAAGCCACCTTGTGTGTGGTAGTTTTGTATGACAACACTAATAATGAATATACTCTCATTACTCTTAACACCTGGAGGTTTCTCTACCTTACATTATTTTAGAAAAGAACAATGACACTTCCACAGAGAAACCTTAAATGACTTTTGTGCCATCTGAGAGAATATTGGGACTTTGTCTGTATAAAGAGGGAATGCCCCATTTTGCAACTTCCCTTCAGAGTCTTTTATAGTTATTAAAGTAGTGAAATGGATAAGTGTAATTTATAGTTAGAAGGAGGAAGGGATTCTTCAGAGGAGTTTGTTTAATGTACATCATTAGTTGACTTGAATTGAATTCTACTAAATCTAGACAAAACTTGTAACCCAATCCAGTCTGCTTTCCTAAGAGAATTCACTAACCTAATCTGGTGTGTGAAGTTCAATAAGTTAACTCCATTAGATTACAAATGAGCAGCCAAGGCTGTCAAAGATGTGGCCCTTCAAGGTGTGTTGCTCAATGTAGAGTCACACTGCAACCAAAGACTCATTAAACTGATCTAATTAAATAAAAACAATAACCCAAATAATTAAGGACAAAGTCAAGACCTTTAATGATACCTTAGCTTATCACTGATACTAAATGAATTTTAATTACCACTAATGGTTTATTGTATATCTAAGGCATAATGCAGTTAAAATCTGCCCAAAGGGGGTCAACCAGTTACTTGCGTACACTACGTACCCTTCTGGGAATCTGTATTAATTGTTCTTATACAGAAAGAAAAGTATGCAAAGTTCTCAAGGCATTTTCTGACAACTGTCAGCATAAGTGTGCATAAAATTTTAATTGTGTCTTGGGTGGCATCTAATATAAAATTATCCTTGAGAGCTTTTAAGAAACCTTTAAAATTTAGTTGCTATGTAAAAAAAGCTTAATAATAAAATTTCTGCTTATGGTGTTCATGCAGCAGAAGTTACCTTTAACTTACATGAACAGAACTGAAAGTTTGATTTGTGATTATGATAAAATTTAATTTCCTGTTAAAATTACTGTTTACAAAAGCAGCACTACAATGTTATATATTTATATGAGCCTACAATTTGCTTTTCAGCGGTTCCTTCATGAATATGTAAATGTGTATAAACTGCCTTTTTTCCCCAAAATTCAATATATTATTGCTCAGTTTTATTTAGAAGATTATTTAGGAATCAGTCATTAATATTCTAAACTTTGCCAGGAACAATGGCTCACACTTGTAATCCCAGCACTTTGGCACCTGAGGTGGGAGGATTTCTTGAGCCCAGGAGTTCAAGACCAGCCTGGGCAACATAGTGAAACCCTGTCTCTGCAAAAAAGTAAAAATTAAAAAATAGCTGGGCATAGTGGTTCAGGCCTGTAATCTCAGCTACTCAGGAGGCTAAGGTAGGAGCATGGCTTGAGCCCAGAAAGTCAAGGCTGCAGTGAGCTTGATTCCACTACTACACTGCAGCCTGGGTGACACAGCAAGACCTTGTCTCAAAAAAAAAAAAAAAAAAGGAAAAAAAGAAAATAAAAAAATAAAGAAAAATAGGAAAATATAAAATATGGATATTATTTTGGGTATCTCTTAGAAATAATTTTTGGGGAGGCAGCAAGGCAAAAAAAATTGTAAATGTTAAGCTTTTTGTGTTTACAAAAATAATGCAAGTATGTTTATCAGTTATGTATTACTGTGTAAAAACAAAACAAACAAACAAAAAAACCCAATACTCCATGACTTAAAGCAATAACCATTTATTTAGCTTCAGATTCTGTGGGTCAGTAACTTGGGCTGAGCTCAGCTGAGTGATTCTTCCAGCCATGTCTGAGCTCTATGATTGTATTCACCTCCCAATATTATGGCAGCAGAAGGGGAAGTAAACATGTCCTTTTTCACATGGCAGCAGCAAGAAATCCAAAGCAAAAGGGGGAAAGGCCCTATAAAACCATCAGATCTCATGAGAACTCACTATCATGAGAACAGCAACATGGTGGTAACCACACCCATGATTCAATTACTTTCTTCCGAGTCCCTCCCATGACACATAAGGATTATGGGAAATACAATTCAAAATGAGATTTGGGTGGGGACACAGCCAAACCATATCAAGATGTAAATGGTAACTTCAATGAAGGTAGTTCCAGTAGATTGTAGTAAGATGTTGAGTGAATATTGTTAAAGAGGTGAAGGTAGTGGATGTAAACTATTTTTCTGAGAAGTTTGAATCAAGAGAGAGAAAAATTTTAATTCTAAAATCTTCTATGAGCATATTAGACAGGTAAATATTGCAATATATAAATATATATGTACATATATTTTGTTGTACATTTTTGCTTCTATTTTCTGCAATGGTTTTAGAATCATGAGATACTGTGTTAAAAACATAGATTAATGTAGACATGTGTATATATAATTTATTTTAAAGTTTTGTTTCTATTTTAATTGTTCTAAAATGGGAAGACACTATATTTAATATTACGCTTCTCACTGAAGAATAATCTTCCGTCAAATATTTTGCTAAGACTAGACTCTTACACTCCCTGGAGAAAAATGCATTCCATCCCAAACCTGTAATGGTCTTCATCTTATGTATGATAGTTATGTGTCAATTGGCTAGGCCAAAGTACCCAGATACTTGATTAAACTTTACTTAGATGAGATTGACATTTCAATTAGTAGATTTTAGGTAATGCAGATCACTCTCCATAATTTGAGTGAGGCTTATTCAATCAGTTGAAGATTTTAATTAAAAAAAAAAAAGATTGACCCCCAACAAGGAAGAGGGAATTCTGCCAACACACTTCCTTTGGACTCAAATTGCAGCCCTTCCCTGAGTCCCCAGCCTGCCAGCTTGCTGTGCAGATTTGGGACTTGTGAGCTTCCACTATGTATATATGTCCTGTTGGTTCTGTTTCTCTGGAGAATCTTGACCATCACATTGCATTACACCAGGAGATGTGAATATTGAAGAATCGGGA
This sequence comes from Homo sapiens, assembly GCF_000001405.40. NCBI lineage: Eukaryota > Metazoa > Chordata > Mammalia > Primates > Hominidae > Homo > Homo sapiens. The sequence continues at coordinate 66,538,408 of NC_000013.11, read as the reverse complement.
AATGTAATTCAGTAAAAGGCACCATTCTTGTGAAATAATTTCCTCGAACTTTCTAGTTGTGGACAATGGTTATTGAATATTTGTCTATAAAAAGGTATTGAAAAGTATTAAATCATTGCCTTCCTGTGAAATATTATTTTTGTAGATGTTTCCCCAGTCTTAATTGCTTTCTATGTGCATGTTTTAATTGTTACCGCATCATCTTTCTTTCTGTCTCCATGAATAATATGCAGAAACCAACAGTGCAAAGCAGTAATTAATGAAAATATAAGTGAAACATTTGTATTGTCTGAACACCACTAGCACGAAAGACTTTTTGAGAGTATCTTTGTCACTGAACTAGGCTACCAAAGTAACTCTAATGAGAAGGGTAAAGAAAAACATATTTTACCTTTTTGTTTTCCTGTAATGAATTTTTGATTTTTCAGTGGCCTTAAAAACATAAAAAGATAAAAGGAAAAGTAAACTGATTTTTTCCCAGGAACAATCCACAATAAATTACTTGGAGAGTCCATTTGGAGTTTAATGAAAATTTTACTAGATAGTTTTTAAGATGAACATTTAACAAAAATGTTCACCTCACTTTGGTCACTAAACTACCAAAGCTAGAACACTTCCTATTTAGTGACTGAGTTACTCAGTGATCAAATGTGTCCTGAATTAAATATTTATTTAAATTAAAATAACTGTTTGAATGACTTCTGTGTTAATCTTTACAGAGTAAACACTAAAGCCTTCTTAACAGTCCAGAAAGCTCTGTGTAATTCAGACCTAAGCTCTTTCCTTGACCTCATTACCCCACATATCTCCCACGTTTCCCTCTGCTCCAGCACTGCAGGATTTCTTTTATTCTTCAAATGTGCAAAGCAAATTCTGCCTGGAATGCTCTTGGCCCAGTATCTGCATATCAAACTCCTTCATTTTGTGGAGGTTTTCTGTTTGGATGTTATCTTCTCTGTAGGCCTGTTATGCTACATAATATATCAACTGATCTTATTTCTTTCACCTATTTATTATATATATCAAAATATGTATACCAATTATGTGAAATATATGCTAATTAAATAGTTAATATGGACGATATAGATTTCAGGTTCACTTCAATCCAGACCTTATATCTTGAAAGAGTAACCCAATGTTCAGCACTCACTGAGCATAATGCATCATTGGCTGACTAATGAGCCCTGAAGACTCAGGGGTGCTCATGATCAGTGCGTACAATGCAACTAGTGGTTCTCATCGAGGCAGATAATTAGAAATACCTGAGCATGCTTCTGGCATTCCCATAAACACATGCTTGATAGCTATGCATTCAGTTATCCTCATCCTTTCCAAAATTGAGGTCTATTTGTCAAAACAGCAGTGTTGAGAGATAAATAAGCAAATTCATGTACACTTATAATTTTAATAATTCCATGTTGTACCCCCAAGGGATTTCAAAGAATTTTTTGAGAGCTTTTAGCTCCTAAAATTCGTTGACTGAGTCATAGGAAACTCATGAGTTGAATGCAATTCTGCAACTTTTTTTAATTCTTCAACTTGTCTGTTTACATATTGTTAAAACTGGTGTCTATCTGCTTTTAAACGCCCACTCATTTCAACTTGTACTTATAACTATTTGGGTACCTATTCTGTGATGATAGAAAAGCACGGTTTCATAACTTGAAATCAGTACTGTATTCATTTAGCATATACATTTTCAAAATATTCCATTCATCCAATTTTCAGAAGCTATATCTATTCATTTGAAAATTTTTGTAGAATTCAGTTAACATTTTTCTAATTTCTCCAAGTTATTCTTGGTCATTTGTATTTGTATTGTCTTGAAAATACAAAAATATCAAGACTTTCTTCATTTGTGCCTAGAAGAAAAAGCCACATTGAGTCATGTTTTCCTCACAGATATGTGATAATTGAATATTAAAATATACAGGAAGCATTTAGAAGATATAAAATAAGAACACAACAAAAATTTTCTAAAAGTGCAAAAAATTAAGTTTACTTTTAATGTTTAAAAAATAGTACCAAATGATTATGCCAATACCTGGTTGTTTTGATTGTTTTTGTTGTTGCTGTTATTACATTCACACCTGCATGGTATAAAAGGAAGAGCACTGGACAAGGAATCAGAAGATCTATGTTTGAGCTTCAGCTGTTGTACTCCCTGAGGTGTAAGACCTTAAATAACTCGCCTTATAAACCCAAAGAACATATTATTTATAATATAGAAGTAATACTTGTCCTACAACCATATGGGGTGGTATGAATAATCAATTGAGATATTAATGGAAAAATTGCTTTTTAAACTTAACAGATAACCTGTAAGTGGTGGGGAAGAGGAGCAGAGGAGCAGATACACGTGTGATCTTTAAGATAGCATTTGATAACTGATTTCCTCATTTTAATGATATTACAAATATAGCTAGAATCATTCAAAAACACTTTATAGTGGATATTTCTGGTTTAGTCTTTGAAACTTTCTTACTTCTGGTAACTAGCATCATATTCTTGGGGAGAAGTGCTCCCTCAAACTCCTATTTCAATTTTGTAGTTATAGTGGGGGCTGCCAATGATATCATATGGTTCTTGAAAAATTGGAGAGCATGTTACCCAAGCAGTGTCAACCAGAGCCTTTCCTGAGTAATATTTTAATTAGATGAACATAAAAGAAGAGGGATTTTTGAGATTCAAGTCTCTTGAGTCTACGATCCTCTAGGAAGCATAATAAGCATAATATCTGCTTTCTAGCTGGTAAAGGGGAAATTTTCTTGTGTTACATTCATAATCAATCCAGTTTAGTATGAAATTCTGGAAAGTGGCAATTCAAAACAAATTGATACTTTATATATAAAGTGGTATAAATTGTTGTAGTTGGGATTATGCCTGCTATTGCTTTTCTCACACCTGGTATTTAGTGGGGGACTGAGCAGAAGTAACTACAGCTGGTAAATGCAGCCAACCTATTAGCTTGTAATTCTAAGAAACTTTCAACAAGAATATTTGGAATTATAGTAAGATATTTGGGACTTAAAGAGGTTGCAGTGATACTCTGTTTCTTTTTTTAAAAAATTTCATATTGGTTAAAAGAGAACATTTTATTCCTGTATAATTCCCAATCTAGTGGTAAATAGCTGCAAAAGAAATGGGAATACTCAGAAAATGTTTAAAAACATTTATTTAACATGTAATTTACTGTTTCATTTACTTTCCATTTTCTAGTGTTTCATGTTCTGAAGAATATAATTTAAAAATTGTTGTTACTTTATTATTATTATCATTTTTATTAATCAGAATGTCAAAATTTTAGTGGTTCACTGACTTGATTTCTATTCACGCCACTTATACATGAACAATCAAGCAGATTTGGATCAAAGGACTCAGTAATGCTTCTTTATTACAGAGCCATTTAGTACTTTGGGAGCCAGGTGTATTTTTATACAATAAATTGAGGAAAAAAGGTGAGCCACTGTTTTATAATAAAATATGCCTGCCAGGTATTAATAACTATAGCTTGTGTCACAGTTGACAAGAGCTATTTTTGAATTTGTTATGAATTTCAGAATCTCTAACAACAGATTATGTTTCAAATATTCCTAGGGGTACTAGAAAAGGTTGTCGGCCTTGATGTATACTACATTCATTAGACAGTTATTCTGAGTCACCAGTTCGCATAGTTCTTATAAGAATGTGTGCAACTACAGTCATAACTTAAAGAAAAATATGTGTAAGAAAGAGAAAGGAAAATAAGCATACAATAAAAATTGAATTAAGCCATCTGCTGTGAACTGAATGTTTGTGTCCCCCCAAATTTATATGTTGAAACTCTAGCCCCCAGTGTGGTGGAATCAGGACCTTAGAGAATTAATTACATATTGAGATTGGGGCCCTCAGGAGTGGGATAAATACACTTATAGAAGGGACCCCTGAGAGCTGTCTTGCCCTCTTTCTGCCACATGGGGATACAAAGATAAATCAGCATTCTGCACACTAAAAGAGAACCCTCACCAGAACCCAACGATACTGTCACCTTGATCTCAGACTTTCAGCCTTCAGAACTGTGAGAAATAAATTTCAGTTGTTTATAAGCCACCTAGTCTATAGTACTTTGTTATAGCAGCCTGAACTAAGACAATAACTTTAAAAAGAAACAACTCAAAACAATCCATCTTTATAAAACTAGAGTTTTCACATTCTTCTGACTCTTTACAAAAAAATTTCCTGACTTTTAGTCCTAGAGAATATCTGCTACCTTCTAAGTTATATTGTTATATCAGTGTGACATGGTAGCTGGGGCTAGCTGCATTTTCAGTTGTGAATTTGTTTGGTTTACTCTCCAAAGTTGAAATCTCAATATACATTAATGAAAATACCACTTCTAAAAGCCATGGTAAGGAAGATAATGGAATAAAAACAAAGGAAGTGTATATGCTGCCATGATGATCCTTTCATAGTGTTATTTTCTATATCTAAAGACATAGAAAGAACAAAAAAAGTCAACTCATTTTATTTCATCAAATCCAATTTTAATGTGATTGGCTGCCTTTGGGAGTTCAATGTGGGCCATATGTTTGCGGAGGTTGGAAGGCCAGTTAGATGATTTGAAAGTACAAGTGAAAATAAAAATTGTCCGTAACTTCCCTTCTCTGGGTAGTGTGCATCTTTAAGATTTTTAAATAAATAGATGTAGATGTAAATATAAAAGAAATCAAGCTCAACATACTGTTTGCAAGTATGTTTTCTTATTTAACAATGGTTTTTGTTTATTTCAGACAACTTTTATGTCATGTCTATTTTGTAGACTTCAATCATTAGGTTGAATGTCCCTAGGATTAATTGACTAATGTCTTAAGATCTAGCTAAAAAAGAATCTTAGGATCCAGGGAACAATGATTTTTATTTTAAAATTTTCCTCTAAAAATAACTAATAGTTAAATACAAAAGTAATTTGTTAATTTATGATGATCTACAAATAGTTTTGCACTGTCTAGTTATTTTTATATATCATTAATATTTAACTAAAAAAAAATCAACCATGAGATATAGAAAGGGGTGCAGTGGTTTAATATGAGAGACTAGAAAAGCAGACAATCTACCTTAAAATCTAATGAACATATTTATTTTAATGCATTAGTACAATGTATGAATGGTATCTTAAAATGACTTTTATTTAAAGCTTCCATAAAGGAATATATTAAGAGTCTGGAATATACCCATGATTATCTGGAAACAGCTGGTTCCGTTTCACCATCGTTTCAAGTGAAGCCCCAGTTTTGTGCTTTTCTGCCAGAAATAACGTCAGCCCAGAAGCCCTGAATCCCAACAGCACTGAACTGCCGGAGTTCCACCCAGTGTGGGCACATAAGTGGCTTCCTCAACCCACAGAAAGATGTGTTGCTAAGACCGTAAGGTGACCTTTTAACTTCTTCAGAGATAGTTTCAGTCATGCATATCTTTAAACTGCTACATCTCACCCTTGGTTAAGCCATTTTTTAGAAAATTATGAGATCTAATGTTGTCACCTAGTCTGAAATACTGTAATACTGTGGCAAAGTCCTACAACAGGCAGTCATTAATAACAGGTAGAAAGAAAAGACCGAGGAGAATGGCTAGTAAGACATGGAAGTAAGTGATTAAAAAAATAAAATTAATCTTGACATCTGCCCTCCTTGGCCTCCGAAAGTGAAACCCCGTCTCTACCGAAAATATAAAAATTGGGCATGTGCCGGTAGTCCCAGCTACTCGGGAGGCAGAGGCAGGAGAATAGCTTGAACCCAGGAGTCAGAGGTTGCAGTGAGCCGAGATTGGGCCACTGCACTCCAGTCTAGTGACAGAGAAAGACTACATCACAAAACAAAGCAAAACAAAAAAAATTAATCAAATATGTATTTTGACAATAAAATAGCATTTCGATTCATTGCCAAGAATTTTTGTTTAAATATTTAGTTTTTGCTTCTCCATTTACAGTTCATTTTTAGTGTCTTACATATTAAAACATACTGATCTATTTATAAATGTTTTCCAATCCTTATTTAGACAAATTCTATGCTGACTCACCCATGGGGAACGTTTAAGCATGAAGATGTGGTTTAAGCATTTCCACCTTACAAAGTAAATACAAGGCTCATGCCCATCATCCGGACACTTTGGGAGGCCAAGACAGGAGGATTGCTTCAGCCTAGAAGTTTGAGACCAGCTTGAGCAATATAGTGAGACCCTGTCTCTACAAAAGAAAAAAAAAAAACCACTAAAAAATAGCTGGACATGGTGGTACATGCCTGTAATTAGTCCCAGCTATTTAGGAGGCAAAGGTGGGAGGATCACTTGAGCCCTGGAGGTAGAGGCTGCCATGAGCTGTGCTTGTGCCATTGCATTCCAGCCTGGGCAAAAGAACAAAACCCTGTCTCTCAAACAAAAACAAAACAAAATCAGAACACAAATAATGTCTTAGAATGCAAGCAGCAATTAGAGATGTATAGATATTCTCCTCATTTTATAGGAGAGAAAATTGCAGCCAAGAGAACTTAAGTTAATGCAAGCATGTAGCCTATCTCTAAATTCCATTTGTGCTATTGTTGATTAACAATCATTCAGTGGAAATCTACCTTAAAATCTAATGAACATATTTATTTTAATGCATTAGTACAATGTATGAGCAGTATCTTAAAATGACTTTCATTTAAAGCTTAAAATAAATGTTTTTCCCTTGTTTGTCCAGGAGCCCTCTTGCATTTTAAGTATTTAGAGAATGGACCACCCCAAACAATTTAAAGCGTAGTTCAAAGCATAATCAATATTACTTAGAAGAGTCGTTAAAATTTAGGTGAGGCTTTTCTTCCTTTAGTTTAGATTCTTAATAGTAAAGAATATCAAGTGAATGAAATTGGTGCATGCCATAACAAGAAAATTGTTTCTTGAGACTTTCGTAACATACTATCCGTTTATTTTAATATTCTGCCTTGATGTTCACAACAGTGCTTTCGATCTCCAGATTGAAAACAATGATTTTTAACTAGCTTTCCATATATAACTATTAATAAGTACACCATGGCAATCCATTGTGATTAAGCGGGGATAAAGACTGTTGTTTTCTTGTACTCGATAGGAATAAAGCGATGCATCCTCCCAGTCTCAAAATAAATGCAAAAGTGGAGCTATCTATTATCGGAGAGTTCTCATTTGTCTTTTGTTCTTTAGCCTAGCCGGTCTTATCACAACCTGAGTCTAATAGAACCAATATTACCAAAGAAGCAGGAGACAAAAGGAATCAAAAACACAAAAAATATTTAAAACAAAAAAAAATGGATTTTTTTTTTACCTCCAACACTGTTTAATCATTTCAAGTTATTTTAAAAATCCTTTTTCTTAAGGCACTGCAGCATTGTCATGATAATAAGCATGGGAAAAACACAATGGATGATTTAAAAAACAAAACAAAACACAGACTCCCTTTTACATCAAGTATCATGGCCTGGCCTGAGGAAATGGGAGAAAATCAGTGGTAAAAGTCAGTGATTTTCACACAAAGGTATGCAAATGCTTCAAAAAACTGAAAGGGATTAGTTATATATTTCAGCAGTTAGTGTTCTCCCCAGAGAAACTCCTCGCAATTATAATGCAACCAACATCAGCAATGGATGTAGTCCCACTGTTTAACTGGATAAAACATCTATTTTTTTTTACTATCATCTTACTTGCTGGTAAGAAAAGACAAAAAACCTATGTTGCTGATATTAATCATATGTTTATGTTTTCATTGGATCAACAGATACATGGACACAGGCATCACTAATGTATATTGAGGATTGTCCTAATTGTAAATAGCATTTGTTTAGACTTACTGTGATACTAGATTGATGAAGGATGGCAGACCTATTATCTTTTCCTATTTAATGTCATAGTTCTGTTAAGAATAAAAAAAGATACCATAAAGACACTTAATAGAGGACACAGAGATAAGAATCTCAAAATAAAGGTATAACTATGGACATAATTTATCTCAATGAGTTGATATCTAATACTGAAAGCACAGCAATAAAATGGAAGTAAAATGTTACCAAGTCAGCATTAAGTTTTCATGTTTCAGTAGATAAGCCACACACTGTCGAAAAATAATGAAGTCTGAAAAGTTGGCCACTGGGAATCCTTGCCACAAACACATATCTTCTCCTGCTGTGACAGTATTTATAATTTCTTTCTGTAGACAAAAGTACCTTCAGAACCCTAGGTCATATCAGAAAAAAGTAGGAGGAGCTTAAAAGGAAATTAAACCTTGCATTTTTGTTTGAAATTGGAAGCAGAGATATCATTTCTTAATAAACTCCAGTAATAGTGATTCACAATACAAAATATCAATGTAACAACTATATATGCAGGGAGAGAGAGATGTATGCATGTGTGTGTTCATGATGTGTGGTGTAAATGTGTTGTATGTGTATTTATGATTATAATTCATCATAAAAGTTGTGGATCATTAAATTCCTAGAAAAAAATATTTTTTTTTCTGCAACAGATAAGTGCTTTTTTTTTTTTAACAGCATGGTGATATAACTCCTTCTAGTACACAATACTATCTTGTGTTCATGTGATATTGATCTGTATGAGGAACCTTTTGCTTTATACCTTTATTCTGTAACTGTGGTATTTATCATCTTTTATGTCATAGATACATACTACCTGCCATGTAAAAGAGATATAAGAAGCAAGAGGCAAAACAAATCAGTGTGAACTATTAAATACTTTTGCAAACGGGAAAAAAACACAAAACTTTCAAATGGACTTCTTGTAATAAAAAGAGATTGCATAATATTTAATTCCAATATGTTTTTATTCAACATTCTAGAGGCAATCAGATTTCATTACATCTAAACAAACAGTTTAGTTATTAGTTTTTGGAACAAATATGACTCTACCGATACACAAACAAAAGGAAAAAGACACAGACCCTTTTGCTGTTCAAAGACTTCATACAAATAGTAATAAAAGACAGTTTCAGTTTTCCCTCCAAAGTAGTTCACTTTAGTGCAATAGGTTCTATTTTCTCAGTTGTTAGTACTATTATTGGTATAAAGAAGGTGTGTATAGCTAGAGTTTTGCAATTCCCCTAAGTGGGGAATCAGTTTGTGCCTGAAGAGATGGTGCATTTCAAGTCCTTTTCAGCCTGTCAGTATTTGAGAGTTATTAACTTCAACTTCCTTTCTGTCTTTTGAAATCTGACACTGATTTGTCCTATATTTCCCAGAGGCCTTTATGTGCAATTAGCCATTGGATTCACTGAGTAATTACTTCATTTTTCATGTAAAATGTACTTGATTTATTATATACTTGGAGAGGAATGGCAGAGATAGGTCAACAGCAGTTAGAGGAGATTAAAGGAGGTACAGTGTGGAAGCAATCAATCTCCATAAGACTTTGCTAGAGAAGAGTAGAGAAGGGTACCACTCAAAGTTTAAAAGTTGTTTCCCACGTGAATTTTCTACTACTTTGATAATTAATTGAGTAATGAGAGGTTATTTTTTTAAAAAACACATTCATTCTTACAAACCTATCCAAGTGAATAGTAGAGTGATGCATTCATTTGGACAAATTCAAGAGAAAAAAGAAGTTTATAATTCTCAGGGGGAGTTTTGCAGCTCTTATAAACTTGTAAATCAGGGCAGTTTTACTGTTTAAAATAAAAAAGGAGACATTGTCCTAATCTTCCTGCCTATCCTTTTAGGAGAATTTTGCTTGCAATTGCTGTGCTGAAGTAATACTTTTCTAAATGGATTTTCCTTGTTCATGGATAGGTTACTCCGACTTAAATAAATGATATTCCACACAGTAATACAAAAGGTATGACTGGCTTAGAATGAAGAAAGATTGTTTCCTTTTGACTAGGCACTCACATTTTATGTGTAGTTTAGTAGTTGATACTGTACTGCTGAAAATTACACTTCAGTTGCTTGGGAAAACACATTTTAGCAAGATGCCAGTACTTTGTTTCTGTTTGTACAATTGCACTATTGCGGGGAGCTTCCTCAGTAGAGTAGTTTCCTTCTGTGGGGCTGGCATCTGAAGAGAGGATAATTGAGTGACCTTGTATTGCCGAGGAGGAATGCCAGGTCGGTAATGGAAGACTCCCCTGTGAAGCGAACTGCTGAGAGTTTTCATTGCCCCATATAATAAAGCAGAGGTGGATCTTTCGGAAATTATAAAGCTAGCTCCAAAGGGACCACACTTTCACTTCCTCTGCCATTTCTGTTTTTATATTTCTAATTCTAGTCAACTGAGAGTTGGTGAAATTGCAGAAAAGAAAAAGCTATTTATTCAGGGTTGTCACCCTTTAACAATATATTATTTACTGTTTGTATAATTGAGTTTGTTTCCCTTCTAACAACATCTTCACTTCCTTTGAGACCGAGTCTTGCTCTGTCACCCAGGCTGGAGTGCAGTGGTGTGATCTCAGCTCACTTCAACCTCCACCTTCCAGGTTCAAGCAATTCTCCTGCCTCAGCCTCCCAAGTAGCTGGGATTACAGACATGTACAACCATGCTCCACTAATTTTTGGATTTTTAGTAGAGACGGGATTTTGCCATGTTCCCCAGGCTGGTCTTGAACTCCTGACCTCAAGTGATCTGCCCGCCTTGGCCTCCCAGAGTGCTGGGATTACAGACGTAAGCCACTGTGCCCGGCTGATAATTTATCTTTAATAAATGACCTGTTCCTTTATACTTTCTTTTTTTCTTTGACTTTCTTACACATTTTGGGCCACTGTGTCAAGTCATATTTAAGTATTTTTAAAGGTAAGCACTTTTCCTTAGGAGTTTCAACCATACGGAACTCTTTAGCACAAAATATATTAGGCAGTCCAAAAAAACAAAAAGTTCTTTAGAAGACTGCACTTTCTATTTTGATGCATAAGAAGTATGTTCATGTAAGGACCTTAATGGTATTACCTGTTTTATAGAAATTAAAAGGGAGGGGCAAAGATGAATACAGAGAAAGAAAACATTAATCACCTGTAGGTCAGAGTAGTAGGGAAGATTTATATCTAACACACAAAGTGATGAATTCAAAGAGAGGTGAGATACTTCTATCTTTTAATTTAGAGAAAAATGATGTGACAATATCTGCTGGTCTGAAATTTTTCTTTTTTTTTTTGTTTTGACAACTTGAATAAAAAAAGGTGACCAGCTATATTTCACCCTGACACTTACAGTAATTTGGGAATTATTACATAGAAAGATAGATAAAAGGTAAAACATAAGTTTTATATAATCAGGTATCTTCCCCCAAGGAATGTACAATAAGACTGATAGTTTTATGGAAAGATTTTGCAGAGGTTAGGTGCTAGTTGGCTTTCGCATCTCAACACAAAGCAGGCCTAGGACTATAGAAATCCCCAAAATATTACTGTTCTAACCCCACAGCCACTTCGTGGCCTACCTGCTAACATTTAGTTCAACCAAGCATGGAATGGCCTTTTCTATCACTATAGTAGTAGTGCAAATCCAATGATATGCTCACAGTACTTTTATGCACTTTTGCTTGCATCAGAGATATTGTGTAGGTTTATCATGTATAAGTAATCTAAAATACAAAGTTCTCTTATTTACAGAGTTCTTATTTTCTTAAAAAATAGTTAAATTTAGGCCACTTTGAGATATTCTTGCTGGGAATATAGTAACTTCATAATGAATTTGAGATTATTATGTTTCACATATTTGTTACTCTAGCAGGGCAAAACCAGGATATCAGAAGCATCTTGTATATTCACTCCCAATGCAGTGAGAATTAATCTCTAAGTACTCATAAAAAGACAAATTATGGTGAACTGACAAATATTTGTGATCTACAGGGAATTGTGAAGCTATGCACTCCAGAGAGAGACAGAGACAGAGAGAGAGAGAGAGAGAGAGAGATTTCAAAGCATTGTATAAGTAAACATAAATACATTGATTTTAAGACTGTCCTGATTTTCAAGCATTTTAGCTCAGCAAAATTTCTGAACTTTGAGTTGAGACTTTCCTCTTCAGGGGAGTCTTCATTCTGACAAAATGGTTCATCAAAATATTTGCACAAGACTCAATAGTCTTATTCTCGTGTTTTATTAGCACCGCAGGATCACAGTCACTTTACACAGCATTTATAACTCAAACCTCAGGTGTTCTTCCTTTGTGCTCATTCAGCTCATAATTAAAATAAATAGCATTATTTCTTCTCTAAAGAGCTTGCAATAGAAAGACTCCTGTTTGTAGAAGCATTCTCCCCTTCCTGATAGAAATGGAAACTTCGTTTTACACACAAAACTAATATTTATTTTTATTGAGCATCAGTCATGTCCAAACCCGGAACTCATCCCTAAGAATGTAGCAAGGAATGAGATAGCCATGGTTCCTTCTATTGGGGGAATCAGATCAATGTCCACTGAAAAAGTGCAATAAGTGCATTGAAAGGGAACAGCTGTACAGAGTATATACAAATAAATGGAAGGATTTAAACACTACTTAAGAGCTATAACGTAAGGATTAAATTGTGTGAGCTAAGGAAGAGAATAAAGTGAAGAACGTATGTCGTCTTAGCTTAGACAACAAGGTGAAAGCTGGGGGATTTGAAAGAGATGACAAGCTTCATTTTGGCCACGCTGATTCTTAAGCATTCTTGGAAGATGCAAATAAAATGGCTGAAGTGCACTAGAATGTATGCTGTGGGAAGAAGCCACATCTTAACACCTTGAAACTTTAATGAGACATACAAAGTTGGAGACATTCAATGTAGACAAATGTTTTAAAGAAATTTGGCATTAAAAAGCAAGAATGAGTAAGTGGGCTAAAAATAAAGGACTTTCGTTGTTTGTTTGCTTGTTTTGTTTTGTTTTGTTTTGATTTTTGCTTTGTTTTAAGATGGAAAAAGATTTAGACAAGTGTAAGTGCTAATGGAAGTGTTCCAGAAAAGAAGAAAACATTGAAGAGTGAATAAAGGAGGTATAATTGATAGTATTTAGTTCCTGGGAAGGAAAGAGGAAATTGGATGCAGAACACATGTGGAGGGGCTAGGACTGGCAGGAGACTGGCCAGTGCTAACTCTAAACACATGAAAGCAGAAAGAATAATTCAGGAATCCTGGAGGACTGTAAAGAGGTGGTAAACTGGGGGAATGCTTCACTGATGACCACTGCTTCCAAGAATTGACATGACCTTTTAAGAGTTGGAGAGACGCTGTTGGAGATCAGGGGTTAAAGAGAGTGGAGAAGTTGTAAAATTGCCGTTGTAGAGAAGGGAAATGAGAGCGACAAGGGAGAACTGGAAGTAGTGTCTGGCAATTCAGAGGAGTATTCAGCTGAGGTTAGAACCACAAATTAATAGTGACACCAACCTGTGAGATTCTAAGATTTTTCTCCTGAGGCATGCAAGCACATGTTCATGCTCTCTGTCTCTCTTTCTCTCTCTCACATGCACACACATCACTCAAGATTTTTAATAGAAAATAATTTCATTGGAAAGTTGCAAGATATATTAAAATAGGAGCAAAGATGGCTATTATTTCAAGATAGCAGAGGTATCTACAAATTTTGGTTTCAAAATGATACTCCCCATTTTATGAATGAAATGTCTCTACTTTTTGACTTCCCAAAATATATTATTATAAACGGCAACATATTGGCTTGTGTTGGCTTTGCTAGAAAGCTAATATAACTACCTTAGTCCTTTTCCTCAACGAGTGCTGAATTATCATTTGTGGGAGTGGGGTGCACTAATAAAACCTTTTTACTTCTGTTCTTCTTTCTTTGGATTCTCTTCCGATAGCTCTATATTTGCAGATTTCTCCATACTATTTTGCAAGTCCAAATTATGTTATTATTAACACCCCCCTTTAGCTGAAAAAAGTGAGAGTTTGAAACAGGTCTTGAAATTTGCCAGGTTTGTCAGTACCCTTTCCAGGATTTCTTCAGCAGAAAGGACGCTGGTTACCTGTTCTGTAATTACACATTAAAATTTCAGTACACAATATTAACAAGAATAAAATTTTAGTCTTCCATGGCAGAATAAAGATACATTCTTTATATCTTTATACAAAAGAGAAAAGGAAACAAAAAGAGAAAAGGAAAAAGAACAACAAAAGAGAAAAGGAAAAATTCTGATACAAACAGAATTCATATCAAAGGAAATTAATAACCATTTTATGTAATTATTAAGCTACAGTTTTCATACAGAAAGTACTTTCAACTTTTTTATTACTTTCAATATATTTGATTTTAACTAAATAATTCTTGCAAATTGTTTGTGACAAAAGAGTATGAAAGCTAATCGTGGCAAAAAGAAAAATTAATCATGAACTCATTAAAGCCCATTCCCACTATTTATTTATTTCCCTCACTTCTCCATCTGAGGGCTGAATGACCAAGCACTCTACATATCATTTAGCACCGCCTCATAATGAGCGATGCTGACCTTGATTACCTCTGAATATCGATCATGCCTTCACTGGTAGACACTGAACTTATAAAATGTATAACCCATTATAAAACTATCTATCTGTTATATAAATTATTTTATGCTTAAGTATTTTTCAAAAGTTTACATTTATAAAAATCATAAAAAATTGTTTTCAATAATGCAAGTTTTTTCCCTCTGTGTCTGCATAGAAATTACTTGATCCAGTTATCTTCTATGTGATAATGGTAATCATATTTTTAAAAAATCATCCTTAATCTCTTCTCACCCCTCATTATGCTTTTTCCCTCTGATGCTACACTCCACCCTCCCCCTGCCAACTCCTACAGAGCAGCCTGTATATGCATTCTTCCACTGAATCACTGTGCACATAGTAGTATCTGTGTACATATGTGTGTGTGTGTGTATATGTATATGTGTGAATATATATATATATGTTAAGTTCATCTGAATCTTCGTTTGGCAAAAAAACTACGTTCAGAAGACACACATTATGTGCTACTTGAACAAATGAAATACTGTCATCATCTTTAACAATATTACCATTTGGCAGTTTATTTTTCTCATATTATCTTCCTTTCTTTACTTCAACTTTGAGCAAATTTCTCAAGCTCTGTTCTTCAGTTCCTCAACTGTTAAATGGTCATAATAGTGCCTATTCTGTAGGGTTACTCCCATTATTAAATAAATGTTGTCCTATAATATGCTGGCATAGTGTAAATTCTATGTAATTATAAATTTTGATAGTGATAGTAATGAAGGGTGAGGAGGAGGAGGAGTACGCAGCATTTCACACAAAGGTAATGATTCAGGGAGAGCAAATGAGATAATGATTGAACTTTCAAGAATGCTGATGATTCTTTCTTGAACAAATTGCTATGAATTCACCTTAAACAAGACTTGCTTTAAAATCATTTTGAAGCAACACCCTGCAAGTAAAAGAAATGCAGTGGGCTCTATTCAGAGACTGTAATTTCAGTCCAGCAAACTATGCTAATGTTAAGATATTATATTATTTGCTAGCAGACAAATAAGAATAAGATATTGTGTCAGTTTCCTGTGACTGTAGCATATTACCATAAGCTGGGTGACGTTAAAAAAACAACAACAATAACAAAAAGCATACATTTTTTCTCTCCTACTTCTGGGGCAAGAAATCTGAAATTGAGGGACTCCACTTCCTCCAAAGTTTTAAGGGGAGATTCCACTCCATGTCTCTTGCAGATCTTCTTGGTTCCACATGCCCTTTAGCTTGTGGCTGCATGACTCTCTCTATCTCCGTGGTCACATAGCCTCATTCTTTTCTTTCTGTGTGTCCTTTCCCTAGGACACTTGTCATTGGACTTAGGGCTCTCTCAAACCACCATGACCTCATCTCTTTAACTATATTTGCAAAGACCATTCTTCCAGGTGAAGTCAAACTCACAAGTCCAAGGATTTGGACACAAACACATCTTTTGGGGTAACATCATTCAACCTCCTACTGATACGCATAAGCTATGTGACAGTTGTTTCAAAAAAATTGTTGTAATTGTCTTTCTTATTGAATTTTGAAATCTTAGTATATTTACTTCATACTGAAAGCTACACAATTCTTAACTTGAAATTTTGGTCAAATCTTTCCAAGGATCTTCCGTTTATATCAGATTCCCCTTTTCCATACGACAATGTAATTTTTTTTGTCTTTGTCACTTATTTTGGTTCCCAGTCATGTATTATTTTAAGATACAAGATTTTTTAAAACAAATGCCATGCCTTGATTTTACCCCTTGATATTGTGATTTAATTGAGCTATGGAAGGGTTTTCTACATTGGTATTTTTTTAAAAAAATTTCCTTAGGTAATTTTTAAAGTATAGCCAAAGGAGGAAATTTGACTGCCTTATGTAATATATGTATATATATTTAAAATATGTATAAAACTATATATATATATATATGTATATATACACACACATACTTTTTTTTTGAGACAGGGTCTCACTTTGTCACTCAGGCTGGAGTGCAGCAATGACTCTTTAAAGTGTGGTATCAAATTTCTCTTTCAGAATTTAATGAAAATCTACTCCAGGATAATGTATATATATGCACACACAAACAGAATCATGTATTAAAAATTAGGTGTGTACACAGTTCTTTCATAGATATACTAAGGTTAGAGAGACCCAGATTAAGAATCCCTAAATATCGTTTTTGTTTTGTGAATTGTCGTATCCTGTATCAAGTTTTTCTAAAGTAAGTCCTCTAACCAAGTGAATTCCTCTTGAAACAATTTTGCAGTTTGAGGATTGAATCACATGTTTTGTTAAACCAAGCCTCTCTGTGTATAAAATATATCTCACCATAACACGTACCACGGGTGTTATCAGTGTCCTGAGGCTTCAGCAATATAGCAGAATCTTCCATATTTTCACACACTATAACAGTATCTGTGCTCCTACTGAAAGGTAGTTTCTTTTGACAGTTTTCATAAAATTGAAATTCTATGTTAGCTACCTATGATAGGATCTGTGATGTTCATAAAAGCGGTTTTCTTATTCCATCTTCAAAGTGGTGACTGTTTTTTGAGTGACTGACAGAGAGCAAGATTCTGCATCATGTGGCAGAAACTACCGACCTCATCATGGCCCATTTCCTTTCAAATTGTGCAGGAAAATAAATGTTGAAAAAATGTGAAGGAAATGTTTCAGAAACAATCTTTCATGTTTCTAACCACATTACTCAACACATGGAAAGGCTAATACTGTATTTTATCACAGTTAGTGTAACTCATAGCCATACTTTCAACAGAGGGAAAAAAAAGATTTAAATGCAGGTCTTGGCTTAATTTAGAACTGATTGCTCATTAATCTTTGGAATAGGTATGCAAGCTGTCTTCCAAATGAAGGGGAGGCTGTTGGCTGCCTACCCTAAACCCTACTGTGCTGTTTTCAATTTGTTTTTCTGTATGATATTTAGTCTTTCATTCAGTGTTTAATACTAAACATTAATGGGGAAAATATTGCCTAATGAGCTGTTGTCCTTGGGCAGAATACAGTCAAACACGCCTCCTTTGCAAGAACTCACCAGCTTCTGCCAGTATTTAGATAGTGTCATTAATCATGAAGCATTTCATTCTCCTCTGTCCTGGAAGACAAGGGTTTCCTGATGTCACAGAAACAGGCCCTTTTAAAATTGGTTATGAATTAAGACATAAGATACCTAAACACAAAGCATCATATGGTTCAATTACTGTGAGGCAAATACTCCATTTATGGTTCACAGTGCTTCTATTATGGACTTGATAAGCCCTGAGGCATAAATAAAGTCCAGAGTTAAGAATTCATCCTGTGAATACACAGGATTTGAAGATTCCACCATTGGAAAGGATCAGCTAAATAATCAGATATTCGATAGATTAATTTTAAAGGCAACAAGCATTAAAATGAAGCATGTCTGTTCCCAGGGAGATTGCTTTGCATCACAGGTTTTCATGTGGCTTTGAACCTGAAAGATGATCTGCAGAACTACTGCAGGAAAATGCAGCAATGCAGGAAAAAAGACAACTTCCCACCCAATCTTATCTCACTCACAGTATTATGAACAAAAGTAAATGCATTTAGTTCAAATCTGAATCACTGTTTTCTTCTATTACTAGAAAGGAAGACCTAAGGAGTTTCGGGACAATGCTGAGTTCCAAAGCAAATGAAATAGCGGAAAAAAAATCATTGTATGCACATTTAATCCAAATTCAGGAAAGTCTGTTGACACTGACATTTTATTACCATAGTACTATCAGTTTAAGACGTTCAAAACAAAAGATGCTAAAAATAAATGATAGTATTGAAGGTAGGGAAAGGACGTAAAGGGCATTTAAGCCACAGAGAGCCCTGCAGCACACTGAGAGCACTGAGGCACCGTGTTCCCTCTCATCATTGCTCGCAGTCAGGACAGGACAAGGCCCGCTCACTTTTTTGTCCTGAACCGATTTGGATTGCTGCTTTGGCAGAAAAGAACTATCTGAGTAACAGAAAATACACGTCAGTCAAAAAAGTTTATTTAGTGTGATACTTTTTCAGTAAAATATAAAAGTGTAGATTCTGTTTTAATAGGACTGCCGTCGACCAGTCGAGTAAGAAGAGAAGCTCAAAGTCTGTAAAGCTAGTCATCCTGGCTCACAATATTTTCCAATGGCCGAGAGCTGCTTCGGTCTGCAAAATCAGAAAAATACTTTACAAAGCTTATATAATTGAGAATGATACTGTGTCATGCAAATGTGGGTAACAAGCCTCTTTCATCGTATCAGGATCATAACCTCTTGCAGGGAAGGGAACTGGCATGTGTGTTGTCTGTTTCTCTCCTAGGGCCTGACTATATGACACTCACATTCTAAGAGGATTCATAGACTCATAAAATCTTAGGGCCAAAATGACCTTAGGGATTCTCTAGACTAACTCATTTATTTTTCGTATATGGAAGTTGAGACTCAGAAGCTCTAAGTGTTTACCCAAGGGCATACTGCTAATTAGAAGCAGGCCTGAGATTATAAAGAGTGCTCGTCTGCCTCTTCCGTTGATGGTCAGTTTGATCATCATAAAGCTTTTGCCCATTTCCTATTACCAGTTTGTGCATAACCCGATTAATGGTGAATTTAACTTGATATATATATATGGGTATCTGTACTGATTGTTATAATAATAATAAACAATTTCTAATATAGATCTTACCAGGTATCTGGTTTTTTTTAAAGGATTTTTATATATAAATTTATTTAATTCTTACAGAACCTTAGAGGAATGCACTACTATCACCACTGTTTATCAGAATAGGATGTCAAAGCACTGCCAGTGGAGATAACCAGCCCAACTTTATACAGCTCATGTGTTCAGTTAACTTTCCAAAGTGCACTATTATTTCTGTGTGGCCACATGCATAGTAGTTCCCAGCCTCGAATATAAACTGTATCAGACCCTAGTCTTTCCACGTGAATCCAGAGAAAATGTATATTATATCTGGGACACCGGACTAGATTTTCTTTATTTAAAACAGTTTTAGTTTGGATATCTTGTACTATTATGCCCTTGGGCCTTTCTTGGAAATACTGTGTTCCAATAAAGCAATTTGCCCTGGTGTTAATTCATGCGTTTGGGTTTTGGTCTCTTTTACTCGAAAAGTTTTAAAATTCCCTGCCCATTGAATCCCTTTGCCCCTCCCAACAACAGCACTGCGGTCCAGGCATTTTGGAGTAGCGCAAGTCAAACAACTTATTACCACCACCCCACATGTATTTAAAGTAAATTTATGTTACCCATAAACTTATATAACTTCTAAACCTCGGGCGTTTTCTCATTGGTTTATCCCTAGAGTGTAAATAAACTAACAAAATATTTGAATTTTCCAAAGTATATCCTTTTAATCCTTGCTTATCAGCCCTACCTTGCCCATAAAAAAGTGTGCTTTCATAATATTCAAATCCAAATTTTATCGAGGAGGAGGAGTTTGCAACTTAGGGTCAAAAATCAGCTATTATTTCTAAATTTCACTTTTGAAACTTTTAAAAGTATTGTCTCATTGTGGTTTTATTGATGATTCAGGAAAATAGGGATTGATATAGTTTGGATATTTGTCTCTGTCCAAATCTCAGGTTGAAATCTAATCCCCAGTGTTGTAGGCGGGGCTTGGTGGAAGGTGTTTGAATCATGGGGGCGGATCCTTCATGAATGGCTTAGCACCATCCTCCTGGTAATAAGTAAGCTATTGCTCTGAGTTCACATGGGATCTGGGTGTTTAAAAGTGTGTGGCACCTCCCCTCCTCTGTTTTTCCTGTTTTTGCCATATGACATGTAAGTTCTTGTTTTGCCCTCTGCCATGAGTAAAAGCTCCCCATATCTCCCCAGAAGCCAAACAGATGTTGGAGCCATGCTTCTTGTACAGCCTGCAGAACCGTGAACCAGTTGAACCTCTCTTCTTTATAAATTACCCAATCTCAGGTATTTCTTTATAGCAATGCAGGAATGAACTAACACGGGATGGATAGAACATGTCCATTCATTTTGTTGAGAATAATGGATGGCAGAATGTGGGGGCATATTTTTTCATTTATTCATTTATTAATTCATGCAAGCATTCATTATTTTTCTATAATGCCAATTTCAAAAGTAAGTTTATTGCAGCACAAAATTTTAAAGATGTAAAATCATTAAGAGGAAAAAAATCAAGAATTGTTTATTAAAAGTATGGAGTACATGACAGGAAAGGAAATTTAAGATTCGCTACTAAAATAGAGCTTAAATCTTAGTTCTGGGTTTCCTGAAGGCCAAGTTTAGAAGGGATAGGCAATGGATTGAGAAGTTTTCATTATCTTACAAAGAAAACCATAATTCATTCCAAGACACGTTTTTTCTTTAATGCTGAATTCTGGTAGGAATTTCACATGAGCTTTTAAGAGGCTCTGTGAAGAACACAGTGGATATTGTCCCTGATAGCAAGTTTTGTTGTTGTTTTTTTTAAATTACAGAAATGTCTAAGAATGCCTGTTTCATTGGAAAAGCTAAAAGTCTAATTACTATCAAAATTCCTCAAAAGTATTTTTAGTCTCACAATTATGCAACCCAAATGTGTAGCATTCTGGTGATCTCTTAAGCTAAAGTGATCAAGCTTAGAGGAAGTGCAGTTTATATCATAAATGGATTTCTTGCTCTGCAATGATTTAATAAATCGGTCAGTTACAAAGTGTCCAATATGTCCCTGGAACAATGACAAATACTTTGAGGTCATGTTCAAAATATAAATTTCTAAAAATTGTTCTTAAGTTTAACTATATTGTATTTTACTTGAAAAAGCAACTTTATATAAATTAAAGATACCAGAAATGTCCCATATATAGTTTGGCACGTGTGGGCAAACTTCTTGTCTACTGGCCTACATATCTCAAGTCTTGCTGGCTTCCTAGGGTCTCTGGCAATTACTCAATCTTGCCATTGTAGCAGGAAAGCAGTCTTAGAAAATACTAAATAAATGGGTGTTATTAGATCTGATTTGCAGAAGTTTTGGAACTCTTGTTATAGCAAATAGCATTTAAATTAATTCTAAACCATATGACACTCACTGTAGATGTATTAAAAAATTAACAGGAAAGATATTCTTAATTGAGATAGGTTCTAAAGGTTTTGATGAGGAGGACAAATTTGATTATGTTCAGCATAGATAAAATGACTCATACAAGCACACACACACATAGACACAGAGAGAAAGAGAGAGTGAGGGAGAGAGAGAGAGAGATTTCGGATGGTTTTCTTTTTGGAGGGTGGCAGATTGTCAATTTTAGGCATGTAGACAAATGCCTAAAGACAAGATAGTTGATAGTCTCTAAACAATAATTGGATCCATTAATCAAAATACTGAATTGCTCACAAAGAATATGTGGAAAAATGATAAACTGTGCTACACTGTCTTATTATTCCCCGTTCATCCTTTACAAACATGTTTTATTTCAGAACTTTTCTAATTTGGCTTATATATAAATTTTTTTTAGATTTAATTAATACATATTAGAGTGCAGATATCAAAGGCTTACAATAACATTTTGGCTTTTCTGTGTTTACATAGCAAGATAGAATAACATAAAAATGAAGGCCAAGCTTCTAGGATTATTATTGATAGTATTAGAAATATTGAGTAATATTACAGCTTTACTAGAAAGACCCAGTAATAATCTTGAACTACTATATACGTGATTGTCTTAATAAGTTTGCCAGTTGTATCTATTGGATATCATATGCATTCAGTAGACTCTTGATTTCTAAACCTAACATGTTTTATCTATTGTACAGTACTTCTGAGGAAAATAAAATTACATTGAATTATTACACAATTTCCATGTTGATAAGAATTAACAAAAAAAGTTAGATGGGACAATAATTTCTTTTCAAGTAGAAGTATTTCAAATGGTGTTAAGAAAAAACTCTGAAAATAAAATATTTCATTTTCAGTGACAGCAAAGCCAATGGGTATGGGAGAAAGATGTTCCCTTGTAAACTTGTAAATGTGGTAAAGTCATCCTCCTTTGTATAAAAACACAAAAAGCAATTCAGGTGGTGATCTCATATTCTCAAAAAACTTGTGTAGCTCACATACTTAAAATTCACTTGAGAAAGCTTTCTAAATTAGTTTTATTAAGAATTGGAGAAAATAGTAAGCAACAAATTTGATTTGTACAAAACATGTTTACAATTCTTCTACATAATTCATAATTTTCTATAAATTTTACTATTTACATTCTTGTTAAATTGTATGTTCTGTTTTTCCTTTTATAATTATGAAAGATTTCCAGTATGGAGAAAAATGAAATATCTATGTGCATACTACATGGACCTAGCAGATATTAACATTTTACTGTATTTGCTTCCGGTTGCTAATTTTTATGCCAAATAAAAGCATTACTACTGCCCAGGAGTATAATTTCTAAATATGTATAATGTTATGATTTTTTAAAACCGTATATGATAATTGTTTTATTTTTTAAAATTTTACCTATATGATACCATGTTTTTATCCGTGGAACTTTTATTTAAAAATCAGATTATCTATCTTAAGAATATTATAATAATGAATTTGAATAGTTGTACAAATAAGTTTAACTGATTCACATATAGTTACTAAACATATAAGTAATGCTGTCTGATTGCATAATAAACTTGAATTTGTTCAAACACCAATTATATTTTGATTTCTTATTCAAATATAACAAGTGTTTGTGTGAACAAAGCAAGGTTAATGTGAGTAACTTGATAACATATAGAAATCCTTTTGTTTATGCAAAACTGGACATGATACAGTACCTTGAGGAAAATTCCCCACAACTCCTTTCTGAGCCTTTGTTCTTTATTTAGTGACTGTGTTATTTATTTTAAAGTTAGATGCTAAAGAACCAGAAATGAGACTAGTAGTGCTCTCACAGCACTTGCAGAATTCCAGGTATAATCAGGGAGCTAATATGGTTTTATGATGATGAAAACACCGTACTTACAAAACAGAATGGAAATAAGTAGATATGTGGGCCCTGAATTTAAACTGAGACAAATGTCTCTGTATGAAATGGACTATTATGGGTTTATCTTCAATTCAATTCGGAAATACACTACAGTAGACCAGTGGACCAGATAATCACATATAGTTGAAAGTGTGAACGATGCAGTATAGCCATTCATTGCTTTTACATTATGTAGCAGGCAGAAAATTGGTAAGAATTCACAATGCCTGTAAATAGCAACCTCTTCTGAATAGAAGTATCCGGAATGCTTACTAAATAAGACAATGGGAGCTTTGCTAAAGCAAAAGGTTTTCTCATGTCTGCCACAAAAGCACACCCGAAGAATAAACTCCTTTGGTGTTGAATTCCCAAATTCTTAATAATATACTTAAATTTTTTAACATAAATTGTTGCCTAAGGCATCTCCTACTTACACTCAGCAACCTATTTTGCATGTCTTTCTTTTTTTTTTTTTTTGAATTCACTCCATTTTCCCATTCACTAATTTTTAAACTCAAAACGATTTGTTCTTTAGACACACTGCCATTCTCTGTCTACATAAAAGGACATGAACCTGCACCACGTCAATACTACTGCTGAATGAATTTTATTTTATACAAACCAAGTCTATGTCTCTGCAACAAGGTGAATATCCCAATATGTATGGCTAACTCAAGTCCAAAAAATAGATTTTATTGGATTACATTAGGGACTTGGGATATGCCAGGCAGCGACGTCTTAGCAAAATCAATTTAGGAACTTTGATTAAGTATACAGTACTGTGTATGCCTAATCAAACCTTATTTCACTCAGACATATTTAACCAGGTTTGCAAATATAGAGTTCATATTTTTAAAGAGATAAATCTCCATTCAGTCTGCATCTACCCAGTCATTACAAGCTACTTATTTTACTTCCTAATATGTGGATGTGGACTCGGGGTCACAAAACAGAATTCACCCAAGAATTGTTGATTCAGCTAAAACAAAAATGCCATGTCAAATCTCCTTTTGCAGTCAGTGTTAGTCACTGCCAGGAAATAGCTTTCTGAAACTGAGTTCTTAAATTTAATCTCCACTTGATTGAATTAACCACACATGTCTGAAAAGGGAGTAAGAGAAAAAAAAAAAGTTACCTCATTGCCAAACTGTTAAAAAACGAATGCTGGACCTTTGAGGAAAAAATATCCTGACTTCAACTTATTTCAAGGGCATAGTCAGGATATAGTTCAGGCTTTTTTTTTTTTTACTTAAGAAAGGTTACACATTTGTATTCTGACAGCCATTCTATTGTTTTATTAAAAACTGAAGAATGAAAGACCAAGAGAATATTCAGCTGCACCTGATAAGATTTTTTTCTTTAAAGATGACCCCAACCTGTGGAAGATGATTTATGAAATCATGGTTTTCATTATTGGACTTGGTGCTGACTGTGTTGTTTTTGATTGATGGGCCTGTAGTTTTTGTCTTCTTTTGTCTTCAGTAGAGAACAAGGGCATAAAAACACTGCTAGCGAATGAAATTATGTAAAACGTGGCAATTCTTAGGGACAGGTAGTTTGAAAGAAATGTAAAGGAAACTATTAAAGTAGCTTAAACATATAATACAGCATGATTTTTAAATTATTTTTAAAGAAAGTTACATATATTATAGCAGACATTTTGTAAAAGTTTTCATTTGCTACTGAAAAAAAATAATAAAAGGATACAAGAAAAAATGGCATTTTATTCACCCTGGCATATAAAGTGTCCTGACAGGAAAAAAAAAAAAAAACACGTGTTATTTTATAGGCAAACAGAAATAGATTAGTCTGTTTACATAATATATATAAGAATATAAGAATGTGTACTGGTCTGGTACGGTGGGTCACACCTGTAATCCCAGAACTTTGGGGGTCCAGGCAGGTGGATTCCTGAAGCCCTGGAGTTTGAGACCAGCTTGCGGAACATGGCAAAACCCCATCTCTACAAAAAATACAAAAACTAGCTGTGTGTGCTTGTAGTCCCAGCTATGTGGGAGGCTGAGTTGGGAGGATCACTTGAGCCAGGGAGATGGAGGTTGCAGTGAGCCAAGATTGCACCATTCCACTCCAGCCTGGGCAACAGAGCAAGACTTTGTGTCAAAAAACAAAACAAAACAAAACAAAACAAAAAAAGAAAGAAAGAAAAGAGAAAAGAATGAAAGAATGAGTCCATGTGTCTTTTTGCTAGAGTTAATAGTTCTACAGTTTGTTTTACAGAATTTTTTATTACATTAACAATATACAATATGAAATAATTTTTCTTTTTGTGATAAGTCTAAAATCTGTGTTTGTGTCTGTGTGTGTGTTTTACTTCTCGAAATAATATAGGCAAACTGACAAAGTAATGGGACTAGACTTTCACAGCAAAGCTCTGACACACAGAATCTAGAATCTGGGGGTATTGTGGAGATTCATTCAGGACTACAGAAAGCCAGAAACATCTTCATTTCCCTCCTTTGAAGTACTTCTAGTAACTATCAGAACCTATCCTTATTATAGTTTCTGCATTCTAATTTCTCAAAGGGAACATTAACTATTATTGTTTGAAAAACATATTTTATAAAATACAATCATTTATATATAATTGACACAACCCATTTATCAATAGTTAATAGCTCGCTTCTCATGAATTCTTATTGTGTATATATATATATATATATATAATTCCTAAGGTATCTGTATATATTTTGTTAGATATATTAATTTTTTTGTATAATATGTTTCTCTACAGGCTCTTTAGGAAAATAGGCAGGGATGAAGCCACCTAAATGTGGTCAATCTTGCAGGACTTTAAGAAAGAAATGTAAAAGTATGAATACAAATATGATTTAAGGAAGTAAATATTAATTAGGATGAGACCTGTAAAAGTGAAAATTCCCAAAAGTTAAGCTTCATTAACTTCATGATAAACCTATCTCTAAATTTTTTACAAAATGGAGATTTTAAACATCATCAAACATAGGTAAAACTCATTAGTTATTTTATTAGGCTGTTCTTGCACTGCTATCAAGAAATACCTGAGGCTAGGTAATTTATAAAGAAAAGAAGTTTAATTGGCTGACAGTTCCACAGGTTGCACAGGAAGCATAGCAGCTTTTGCTTTTGGGGCGGCCTCAGGAAGCTTCCAATCATGGCAGAAGGCAAAGGAAGAGCAGGTATATCACATGGGAAAAGCAGGAGCATGAGAGAGTCAGGGGAGGTACCACACACACTTACAGAATCAGATTTTATGAGAACTCATTCACTATTTCCAGGATAATCCCAAAGGGAAGGTACTAAAATATTCCTGAGAAATATGACTCCATGATCCAATCACTTCCCACCAAGCCCACCTTTAACATTAAGGATTACATTTCAACATGAGATTTGAGCAGGAAAAACATCCACACTAGATCAGTTATCATGACTTGATCAATTGATAGCACCACTACCATCATAATCATTGTCCTTTATTGGGCACTTGCAACATTCCAGGGACTATGTAAGTGCTTTGCATTAATAATCTCATTGAACAATCCCATGAGGTATGTGTGATTTTTTTAATCTACATTTTAGAGATGAGGCAATTAATACTCAGGGAGGTTAAATAACATGCCCCAGAATGTGCAGACTAACAAATGGAGGAGCAAGAATTCTAATCCAAGTATATGTGAATATAAATTCAATAAATTAAATTTATTTTGAATTTTATTAATAACAACTATAATGCAAAACTAATATAAAAATTTTTGTATTCATACAGGGAAATACTCAAATTTATGGTGATTGTGTGTTTCATAACTACTTCAGGGTTTTTAATGTGACAGTTTTAATATAAAAATCATTTTGGATATGAATGTTGAGAGGCACTGGAACATTCAAAGCTCATCACAGTTTCAAGCCTCATTGATACCATTTATCTCGTGTATTTGTGGAAAGAGTAGTTTTCTTCAGTGAGCAAAGGAAACATTGCCACAACAAATTTCTTGGCTTCCAAACATTACCTAGTTGTTTACACCTAACTAAACTTTAACAGCATTTCAGTGAAAAATTTCAGGGGTCATCCAAAAGGTCTAATGTTGCATATATATTCAAACGTAGCTACTCTGTAAATAGAAGATGTAATGAAAAGATGTTTAGCACACGTATGTTTATTGTGGCACTATTCACAATAGCAAAGACTTGGAACCAACCCAAATGCCCAACAATGATAGACTGGATTAAGAAAATGTGGCAAATATACACCATGGAATACTATGCAGCCATAAAAATTGTGAGTTCATTTCCTTTGTAGGGACATGGATGAAGCTGGAAACCATCATTCTCAGCAAACTATCGCAAGGACAAAAAACCAAACACCGCATGTTCTCACTCATAGGTGGGAATTGAACAATGAGAACACCTGGACACAGGAAGGGGGACATCACACACCAGGGCCTGTTGTGGGGTGGGGAGAGGAGGGACAGATAGCATTAGGAGATATACCTAATGTAAATGACGACTTAATGGGTGCAGCACACCAACATGGCACATGTATACATATGTAACAAACCTGCACGTTGTACACATGTACCCTAGAACTTAAAGTATAATAAAAAATATGTATATATATATATAAATGTATTTTTAATCATAATATACTATTCAAGACTTGGGTGCTTTATAAATTAAAAACAAAATTATTAGATTCTTGAGCAGTAGATAATTCATTCAGTTTTAAACCGAGGCACATTAAAATGCTAACCATGCAGTAGATTGGTTAAGCAAAAATGCTTTTATAGAAAATATAGAAATAATAATGTATATTCATAACTAATAACTCAGTGTAAGTGTTGAGTTGGCTCCACCACATATAAACCTGAAAGGAAATTTTTCTGCTAAATTATGCTCAGAAAAATAAAAGAGTAAAAGCCAAAAAATCACTGGGGTCCTGAAAAGTTAGACTGAATTTGTCAGCCATTATTTGGAAACATATTTAAAATTTCCTTACCTTGAAAGCGCATGTGAAAATCAAATTCTAGTCTATGATATATCCATCTTTGTTTTCATAGAAAAATGTTTTCAATGTCCAGTTAAGTTGCATTTTTCTTCTTAAATCTTCACATAAAATGAAATTTTAGAAAGATGTCATTTGGCTCTATGTGAAATGTCAAAGCAAAAATTTCACTAGAAAAAATTAGACAGCCAAGGAAGACTTTATTTAAGACTATTGCAGGCCGGGTGTGGTGGCTCATGATTGCAGTCCCAGCGCTTTGGGAGGCCAAGCTAGGAGGATTTCTTGAGCCCAGGAGTTTGAGACAAGCCTGAACAACATAATGAGACCTTGTCTCTACCAAACAAGAAGAAGAAGAAGAAGAAAAGACTATTGCAATAGAGTAGAGAGAAAGAAGTACCAAAACAAAAGGTGAAAAGATTTTTAACGATTGGGGTGAGCCAGTGGAAACATTCTGGAGGATGAGGATGTTGCAAAAGGGAAGTTGATCAGTGGGATGTGTCAAGCTCATTTAGTTATTTCTGAGTTTGCAAATGTGTTTACTCTTTGACTAGGCCATCTGTATTTGCTAATTGCCACCCATCTAAGAAGTTAGGCTCATAACCTCCCACAGAGACTGGGACCCTTCAATGTTTACATTCCAACAAGATGGTTCCCAGGTTCTTGAAAAAGACATTGTCTGGGTTGTGAAATTGGCAAGAGGCTGGGAAAAGATTTACCTACATTTTAAAGAGTCAGAGAAAGACTCCACAATTTCAAGTTTTCTAAAGTAAATGATTTAATAAAAGAGAAGACAAGGCCTAGAATCAGGACAAAAATCTGTTTACAGTGTAGTTGGGCTGAGGGGAAGTTGGTCAGAACTCAGTCACAGTGTATGCCCGTGAGAATCACAGCACTGTCTAATACAACATACAACCTAATATTGTATAATAATCTTTTTCCACAGGAGGCTTCATATATACTTATTAAATGCCAAGCAGAATTCAAAATTCATTATGTTCATTATGTTAGTCAGTCTTCACAACATCCCGAGAAGTCTTTCTCATGTTCACCAATTTATATATGAAGGAGGTGGGGACTGTGTGTCTCATTCCTAATGACAATTATACTCTACTACCTCCCCAAGAATTTTCCAAAAGAAAGTAGCTTTCAAATTCTTCATTGCAAACCTAAACATATTTTCACAAAACAGATTGGATATCAGTATATCTATTATTCAGCCTGTCATACTGTGCAAGATAGTAGGAATGAATCATCCATTAAACTGATGTGATGTAACTGAGTAACTGTATTTGGTGTTGTTTTTTTTTATGAATATCCCTGAGGTACTAAGATTCCTTGGATAATGAAGGCCACAGTGCTTGTGAAAGCTTGACTAAGTGGTACAAAGTTCTTGATGTGTTTTGAAATGTATTCGACATCACCCGTGTTTCAAAGTAATGGTCCGTTCTTTGGTATTATGATTACTAGTGAGCAACACAAGAGTGAAGAATTCAATGTCTGTTATCTGACTAGCACAATATTTTGTAGGTTACATATTTTCTCTATTGAAGTGAAATCCACATAACATAAAATCAATCATTTTAAGGTGAACAATTAGTGGCATTTAGTACATTAACAATGTTGCGCAACCACCATCTCCATCTAGTTCCAAAATATTTCTGTCACCCCAAGTGAAATCCTACATCTATTAAACAGTTGCTCCCCATTCCCTCCTCCCCTAATCCCCACAAATATCAGGTGTCTTCCAAATGCAACTTGTTATTAGTATTAATGGGTACAAATAACAGTTAATACTCATTTAGATAAACAGTTATTTAGGGCATACCATGTTTCAGGAACTGTTTTAAATGCTCTCTATCAAATAATTTGATCCTTATGACAACTCCATGAACAAACTGAGGCAGAGAGGTCAAACAATTTGCAGAAGGACACAAAGAAAATACAAGGTAGGGCCAGGTGCGATGGCTCACGCCTGTAATCCCAGCATTTTGGGAGGCTGAGGCAGGCAGATCACGAGGTCAAGAGATCAAGACCATCCTGGCTAACGCGGTGAAACCCTGTCTCTACTAAAAATACAAAAAATTAGCTGGGCGTGGGGGCACACACCAGTAGTCCCAGCTACTCAGGAGGCTGAGGCAGGAGAATTGCTTGAAGCCCGGAGGTGGAAGTTGCAGTGAGGCAATATCGCACCACTGAACTCCAGCCTGGGCGCCAGAGCAAGACACCATCTCAAAAACAAACAAACAAACAAACAAACAAACAAACAAACAAAAAAGAAAGGAAATGCAAGGTAGGGGTATATTAAGAGGATTTGAACCCGTTTTTGCCAGTTACCACTGGCAATCCTATATTTTCGTGGCAGACAGAGACACAACTATATTTTCATTCAATACTTCAATGCTTTACAACTTGATTAATGCTAAAACATGACACATACAAAAAAATCAAACAATAAACAACAGCTACAAACATACACATACAGTTTTCCTGACAAAGGAGATAAATGGGATAGGCCAGAAACAGTAGAGGGGTGGCATAAAGAAAGAAAGCTCACCTCTTCTTCCCTGTAAAGTTCAAAATAAATTATTATTTTGTGATTTGTCCACCCGTGATACCAATTCTGAATTTTTGCTACATAAAAATGAAGAAAAAATGTATTTCACTTAAATACATTTTGCCTTAAGGAGCTTCAGACAGTTTGAACTTGAAATGCAGCCCGTGAATGAATATTTAATTTCACTTTCCTTATAAGAGAAGTTGAATCACTTTTGCAAGTCTGAGGGTGACAGTTTCAGATTTCAGCTCAGGCAGGCAATCAACAGAGAATAATATTACAGCAGGGGGAAAAGTTGGTGATTCAGTAATGACATTTTAATGTTACAGAACAGAGTATTGGTATAGAAATTTGCAATCCCCTGTGATAGCTTTCTGTTGACTTAACAATCAATACCATCATAACAATAAAAATATGCAAGTCTCTAGCTATAGGCAATGCCTAAGAATGAGAACTTGTCCATCATTTGTTACAACCTTCCAGGTTTTCCTGCACAACAAAGTATTTTCCATGCATTTAATCTGGTGTTATAAAGCAAGGCATAGACATTTAAAGATATTGAAAAAGTATTTCTTCCTCTTGGCTATTATTTATTAAAGCAAAGGTGGTTTTACAGAACACTTTTTTATGTGAGCGTCTAAACCTAATTTGCATTTTTATTTTAAATTCGAATAGCCTCAAATGCAATAGATAGTATCTTATCATCATTAAGCATTTATTAAGCTTTCTTAGTGTGTAGCGCCATAATGCCATAATCAGGATTGAAAACAGACATGGTCTCTGTCCATTAGAACAGCATGACCTGTAACCTGCTCACTGACCGCAAAATGGACTCCAGCCCACTCAGTGTCTTTACTTACTGAGTTTAAGAGTAATGACTGTAACTATCTAATCTTTTCTATTAATGATGCTTATAAATAGATCTTCTTTCTTATGATCCATGAGCATTTTCTCATTTCTGACATGTTTTTCTGTCTCTGGGGAACCTTATAATAAACTCTTATTCTGTCCGTCTTCCACGGTAAGAGGGAAGAATGAGAAATAACAGTAGTTTGCCGCTTTTTACATTTTCACTTGTGAAAATAAGATCACAGAAAACGTTCAGGATTGTTGTGTATGGTAACTTAACTCTGTCTATAAGCAAAGCATGTGTAAACTTAGAGGCCCATAAAAGACAATGTGAAAACTGGATCCTTCTCCCCAACCTACTTCTAGGCATTATTTATTTGCTTCACAGAGGTTTCTGGTGAGCATCTACTTGACAAGGATAAGGAAGGCAATGAAGCATGATGCCCTTCCTCTAGAATCACATAGTCTAAAGAGAGAAACATAGGAAGTATTAGCAATTTACTATAAGAGCATGGTTAGGAGATTTACTCTACATACATGTAAGAATTATATGAGAGTACAGATTACCCTCCTGCCTTAGTAAATGTGTCTTATCAGAGATAAAAGTAGAATAGACTTTGAGTTGGGCGTGGTGGCAGTGCACCTGTAGTCCCAGCTACTTGGGAGGCTGAAGAGGGAGGATTGCTTGAGCCCAGGAGTTTGAGTCCAGCCTCGGCAGCATAGCAATACCTTGTGATATGGCTTGGCTGTGCCCCCACCCAAATCTCATCTTGAATTGTAGCTCCCATAATTCCCACGTATTGTATGAGGGACCCAGTGAGAGGTAATTGAATCATAGTGGTGGGTCTTTCCTGTGCTGTTCTCGTGATAGTGAGTAAGTCTCATGAGATCTGATGATTTTATAAAGGGGAGTTCCCCTACACAAACTCGCTTGCCTGCCACCATGTAAGATGTGACTTTGCTTCTCTTTCACCTTCCACCATGATTGTGAGGCCTCCCCCTCAACCATATGGAACTGTGAGCCAATTAAATCTCTGATATGGTTTGGCTCTGTGTCCCAAACATCTCCTTGCATTGTAATAATCCCCACGTGTCATGGGAGGGACCTGGTGGGAGGTAGTTAATCATAAGGGCAGATCTTTCCTGTGCTGTTCTCGTGATAGTGAATAAGTCTCATGAGTTCATTTCCCCCTTACATGCCCTCTTGCCTGCTGCCATGTAAGATGTGACTTTACTCTCATTCACCTTCCATCATGATTGTGAGGCCTCCCCAGTCATGTGGAACTGTGAGTCACTTAAACCTTTTTTATAAATACCCAGTCTCATGTATGTCTTTATTAGCGGTGTGAGAACAGAATAATTGCCTCTTAAAATATTTTTAAAAATAAGGAAATAAATAGAAAGTAATAGGCCTTGAAGAATAAGTAATATCTAAGACTGAGAAACATAGGAAGAGTGTCCTAGAGAAATGAAATAAATTAGCAAATGTATGTAAATCTCAAAGCACAGTATTTCTCAAAATTATACATAATTATAGATAATATAATATGGAAAAGGTGTAGGATGTGTAGCAGTGAATTTCTGAGATATACCTGGAAGCCAAGTTTTTGAAGAATCACACTTGCTCTGGTAAGGAGTTTGAATTTATGTGGTAGCAACTAGTAGCCATTGAGGAGTGTGATTTGTGAAGACTACTTGGGAAAAGATAACCATGGCAGTGGATATTCACTCAAAGAATGTTTCACCTCATAAGCATTACTTATCCAGCTTTCAGATCTCTTTGAAATGTCCCTGACACCTTTTCTCAGCAGGTAGCATTCATCAATCCACCCCTTTATCCAGTCACCATTCCCACATGTATTTACTGAGCACTCATTATGCTAGTCATAGTCCTTGGCTCTGCAGATACAAGGATAAGCAAAGTTGATAGTCTCCATGCTCATACAAGTTCAGTCTATCGATGTATGAATTACCTACTGATATGTAACAAACCACTCAGAACCTTAAAGGCTTAAGAAAATCACCATTTTCTTCCTCATGATTCTGTGGGTTGACTGGGCAATTTACTGCTAGTCTTACCTGGGCTTACTCTTGCAGCTGTGTTCAGCTGGAATCCACCTGAACTTTGGGGACTATGATGACCTCACTTATACAATCAGCTCAGATTCAAGGGTTAGAGAAATAGAGTTCATCCTTTGAAGGGAGAAACTGAAAGAAATATTGTCATCAGACCATAGAAGGATTGAATAAATAATTATAAGATTTACAATGATTACAATAATTATTAAGATTGAATAAATAATCACAAATATCAAAATGTGCTTTGAAGGAAACAGGCCTAATCCTAAGGTACACGTGGGTTCAGTAGACGTTTTTAGACAAAAGGATTGGCCAAGGCCTTTCTAAGAAGGTGGTATTTACCAGCAACCTGAAAGACAAACGGAGCCAGTGAGTACAATGACTCAGCTGGGAGAGGCAGGGAATTAAGGGTGGTTGTGTTTACGGAGCAGAGATCAAGTCAGTGTGTCTGTCCTTAGCATATTGATGCTAAGAAGCAGGTGGCATGAAATGAAGTTGGACACGTAGTTACGACACAGCCTGACTTCTGGGTCTTGTGCCTGATACCCAAGACCCAGACCTGTTTTGTGTATCTCTTCTGTTGACTTAATAGTTTTTTGCTGATATGGTAGGATCTTATATATATTCATGAAACAGGGGCCCAAATAATGATGCACATAATGGGTGGTTAATAAATGTTTGCAATCTGAGTGAAAGGGACAGGAGAAAAAAGAAGTACCCACAAAAATGTAAAAGTATTCAGATTTAAATCAGCCATTGAACTAAAAGCATACTATGCAAAGCGCTTTCACTTATATTATCTTTTGGATCTTACACTGAGGTGGGATACATATTCTTATCATTCTCTTTGCAAAAGTAAGGCAAATAAGTCACCTGCTCAATTCACCCAGACATTATTGGTATATATACTTATTTTTATTCAAAACTCAATATCTTTCATGCTCTCTTTTACAAAAAATGAAAGAACATGTCATTAAAAGAAGAAAAAATAAACACTAGTAGTTTCTTCAAATAGTATTTGTGTAGTATTATTTAAAGTTACATAGAAGAGGTTATATGAATGAACATTGTGTGATTGGTAAATGCAGATTCTAGTACCAAAATAAAGATCTACTAAATCAAACAGTCTCCCAGGGGAGTTTGGAAATACGTATTTTAAACAGGCCCTCTCATCCCCCAACACTGATTTATTTTGCCAAACAATGCCTTAATGTTTCTTTCCAGGGTAAGGACATGTATTCTGAAACTTCTAGCAAACCAGTTATTCTATCGCTTAAGAATGATGTGATACTGGAGATTAAGCATATGCTTATGAAGATAAATTAACAGTAAGATTCAATGTAATTACACATTGTAGATAATAAGCATGTTTGGGGAAAGTATTGACTGGTTCTGTATTTTTTATTTAATTATATTTATGTTTCCTTCCTCCCCCCATCCTGGACTGCTCAGCAGAATGACTGATTCTTTAAGGTGTATTTTACAAAGAATGTGGGCAGGACCATGCCTATATTGTTTTCCTCTGCAAAAGGAGCAACTAGCACAAGTACCCAGTATTCTTTGCAGACTTAAATTAGTGGCATTTTTCTCTTAAATTTCTCCTTGGTCTTGCAAGTGCAGAAACAAATCACATTCAACAAGCCATAAGAACAAAATTAAAATGAGATATTCACATCAGCAAATTCTGTGTAGTTTAGTATACTCCTAATTGACGAAACAAATAAAACTTAAACAAATTAACTTAAAAAGCAACATTTTAGAGTGGGATTTTTACCCTATTAATATTTCTACCAATTGTCATGAGCACTTCTATTTTATTAAAGGTTTTGTTCTTCATTAACTGCTATTTCACTATCTAGACATTCTTCAGTAGCGTGTACTTCTGTAGCCTTCACATCCTTTTACAATACACAGGAAAATTGTTTAAAATCTTGGCAGGTAAAATTGCTCACTTCATAAAAAATGACAAATTTTTTTATAGTGTGTTTATATAGTTTTGTTACCAAAAGAATATATCACTTGTGTGTTTCTTTAAATCTAATAAAATGAACTTTAAGAAAAAATATTTTGATCACAAAAGGTAGATAATATTTTTATAAGTAGTCTATTATATGGAACAGCTCTGCCCAATAGAAGTGAATTAAACATGAGTCAAAATTTAAAATTTTCTCACAGTCATGTATTAAAAATGTAAAAAGTACATGTGTACTACAACAATAATAACCTTATTCAGTGTGATAGTTAATGTGAAATGAAGTTGTACTCAAAAGAAGAATGTTTACTTGACAGAAAAAAATACTTTACTTTGTTTTCACTTTTACATTTAAAATTTAATTCACCCAATGTAGCCACTAGGCATATTTCAAGTGTTCCATAGCCACTTGTAAGTAACAGCTACCATAACAGGTAGCTCAGAGAGAATATCAAAACTGGCAATTGGCAAAATTGCAAAAATGCATCTGTTTCTCACCTTTGTTAAACTAAGCCTTCACATCACCTTCAGGATGCCTAATGCACTAACTCCAGACCAGAACAGCACTCTAAGTTTTTATGAATTTTCTTATATACCCACCCTCTTAGTCTTTTCTGTTAGATTACAGAGTTTTGTCAGAAAAAAACTAACTATGGCTCTAGTTTTTAAGTCCTTCCCAAAAGGCTTAATGCCTTAAGTAAAATGTACATACTACATTAAAAAGGGTCCCCAAAGGTAAAGGGATTTTTTTCTTTTTCTTTTTGGTCAGTTTGATTTTTTTAGTCATTGAGAATGCATATTACTACAATGATGACTATTACTTGATATCTCATTATCTTAATTTTTTTAATATACCTGTAGAATTTACTGGTAAAATTACTGCTGCTATTGAGAAAGAGACTTTTTCATACTAGGTAAATTCTGCTTAAACATATAAACCTGTAATTGTGATAGAACCATTTGGATGAGGAAGAGATCATTTATAGTTGCCAGGAGAAAATGGAATGGGAGATAAATAACAAAGCTCATAATGAACAGCAGGGAAGATTTCCTAAAATTACTCTGTTCTTTCTCCCATGCTGTTTAATGAAATTCTTTATGACACAGGAGAATATTTGACATTTGAGAGTCAGCAAAATGTTTAATGATGATTCACAACATGATGAAATACTGTAGAGTCTAAGACTGCTTCATCCTTAATAGAGAAATGGTATGTAAAACAGTGATGTTCATGAGTCTCACAATCAAGAAGGAGAAATTCCCCTCACAGGAAAGCAGTGCAAGAACTTGACAAGTATCAATTTCAAAAATTCCATTAATTTCAAATGACATACTCATAAGGATGTGCATTTATTATAAATTAAAAGACATTTTATTTTTAGCAGTTCTTAAGTTTGGCCCGCCTTTTGAGATTTCTGCTGATTAAAGTTAGAAGTTCTTGGTGATTATTTTTCTATATAAATATTACCACTTATCAATTAATTCAGCTGTTTGAAATATAATTAAACCTAATAAAGTTCTTGGATGTGTGAATCATTGTATTTCAGATCTGAGCTCTTCCAAGTATTTTTTGTTATGCTTAATCTCACCCAAATAAAAAATTGCTATGTGGATATAGGGAAAAAGGGCAAGTAATTGCCCTGACATACGGAGAGTGTATTTCATTTGTAATGGAAATGATGGCATTATAATATTAGAATATTAATGGTGATATTAGAATTTCAATGAAATGTAGATGATAGAAATAAAATAGAAACAGTAGGAAACATATAGGAAAAGCAAGACAGCAAGAATATACCGTAGGCTTTCTTGTAAGTGAATTAATCCTTCTTTGGAAACTGATAATAAAATAGGTTAAAGTTATAATTTTCATAATATAAAAAACTAATCATTTCAGATTGTGGATAATACCAACAAAAATAACAGTAATCACCATTTTTTGAGCACTTCTTACCAACCAGTAACCCTACTAAATGTTTTCCATGCTTACCCTGTTAAAAAAACAAACAAACAAACAAAAAAACTTATCCTGTTAAAAAAATTTACTTATCCGGTCTTACATATTTAGAAAAAAAATGAAAGAAAAAGCAATTCCTTGATATTATGTCCCCTAGGTTCATCCATGTTGTCAAAAATGACGATATTTCATTCTTCTTTATGGCTATTGGGAATAATGCTGTGTTATACATGGGAGCCCAGATAGCTCTTTGCATACTAATTTTATTTTCTTTAAATATGTACCCAGAAGTGAAATTGCAAGATCATATGACAGAAATCCTGAGACATGCAAAGGGATTACAATTATAAATAAGAATTATTGTAACAATGTAACTACCCTCTTTTGCATCATATGCTTAATAATTTATTAATGCTATATTATCTAATAGAAATAGAAGAGGAAAATATCTTAATGGTTGGATGTGTTAGTCCATTCGCATCGCTATAAAGGAATACCTGAGACTGGGTAATTTACAAATAAAAGAGATTTATTTGGCTCAGTTTCTGCAGGCTGTACAAGAAGCATGGCACCAGCATCTGCTTCTGGTGATAGCCTTAGTAAGTTTTCAATCATGCTGGAAGGGAAAGGATGGGCAGGCATGCCACATAACGAGAAAGGGAGCAAGAAAGATGCCAGGCTCTCTGAAACAACCAGCTCTCTTGTGAAATAATAGAACTCACTCATTACCTGTGAGATGGCACTAAGCCATGTAGGAAGGATCCATCTCCATGATCCAATACCTCCAACTAAGTCCCATCTGCAGCACTGGGGATTACATTAACATGAGATTTTGAGGGGACAAACATTCAACCTATATCAGTTGATTAACTTTTGTCACTACAATATTCACATAAACAACATATTTTCATCATTACTATTGTGCTTATTAACTTTCATAGGAAATGATTAATAACTATTCTGAGCCACCACCCACTCCCATGGGCAGTGTAGCTTGGAATGGTCTGCTGGAGATTTTTATATATGCCTCCAACAGCATTGTCTCCATCACCACCATCTTGAGCATCATGATTTTTAACCATCTCAAGAAGTGTGCAGGTCACATAGCTAGTTAATCAGAACAATGTTTTTTATATCTTGCTACACTGTTTTAGACATGTTTTTAAAAATGAATTTATGTATACTGTATTTATTCATTCATTAATGTCCAAGTATGTATATCTTAGAAATTTATTTGTTATATATAGACCTTCTTGAAATAAAAAAAATCTGCTTTAAAGATTTAATATAAAGGAAAGAATAAATAAAATGTCATTTTAACATCACCTTTTCTTTTTTCCCATTTAAATATCATCTTTCTTTTAATTTCAATTCGTAGTAGTATTATGTTTTAAATGTAATACTAGCTGAAAATACATAGGGTATAAGGATTTTTCTGGTTCACAAACTCATAAGCTTTTATTTTTGTCTCTCCCATCCATATTTGCTTTTAGGCATTCAGGTCTGACATATCCATCAGAATATAAGTAAACAATGATGAAAAGTAAAATGTTCCTTCAACACTTCATTCTGTTTGTTGTTCTTTAAGTGAACTATTGCCATGTGACATTTGAGAACGACATCCTAGATGTTTAAATCTGAAAATTGTTCTGGTCTTGTATTTCAATTCTGTTGGTGAAAAACAACTTTTGGTATAGCTGCCAATGAACTTAAGAGAAAAACTGAAGACACAACTGTAACAACTAATTTTTTCAAAGGCAAGGTGACAAATACTTCTCTGTCCTTTAGGTATTACGCACTTAATACGGGATACCACATCAACAGTACATTAAAAAAAAATTTTTTCAGGACCTTATTAAAACATTCGTTTAATTTTGTGGAGATATTTATTTGATTAAATTATGGCATGCTCTACTTGAAATGTTGAATATTTGTGGGGTTGGGAATTATATATGGCATTATAATACTATATATAGGTGACAGTTTCCAAAGTGTTATAAGTTTCTTTTCAGATCACAGGGATATTGAGGAAGTCAGTAGGTGAGTAGCCAATGCAAGGAGTTTTCCTCTGTGTTCTTCCCTATATTCTTTCAACACTCCTTGCCTGTGGTTTTTTTTTTCAAATTGGGAAATAGGGCATTAGACTGGGAAAACCTTGTAGCAATCAAGAGGCAAAAGATTGTCAAAAATTAGTAAGAGTGCTCCTGGCTAACACGGTGAAACCCCGTCTCTACTAAAAACACAAAAATTAGGTGGGCGTGGTGGTGGGCGCCTGTAGTCCCAGCTACTGGGGAGGCTGAGGCAGGAGAATGGCGTGAACCTGGGAAGTGGAGCTTTCAAGTGAGCCGAGATCGCGCCACTGCACTCCAGCCTGGGCGACAGAGCGAGACTTGGTCTCAAAAAAAAAATAATAATAATAAATAAAATTAGTAAGAGTTTGGGCTGGGCGTGGTGGCTCACGCCTGTAATCCCATCACATTGGGAAGCCGAGGCGGGAGGATCACTTGAGGTCAGGAGTTCCAGACCAGCCTGGCCAACATGGCGAAACCCCATCTCTACTAAAAATACAAAAATTAGTTGGGCGTCATGGTGGGTGTCTGTAATCCCAGCTACTTGGGGAGGCTGAGGCACGAAAGTCACTTGAACCTGGGAGACAGAAGTTGCAGTCAGCCAAGATCACACCACTATGCTCCAGCCTGGGTGACAGAGTGAGAATCCATCTCAAAAAAAAAAAAAAAAAAAAAAGTAAGAGTGTGTATAGCACTTTTTCTCAACTCTGTGTATGTCCTTAGCTATTATAACTTAATGGAGAGCAAATTGCTGCTGTGTAAGGAACACCTGCTTACAAGTCTGAACCTGGGTTATCAAACCCTCTTAACTACCAAGTAATGCCAAAAATGTCTCCTAATATCTTTTGGTCTCAAATTTCTCATCATTAAAATGTAGCATTTGAAATATGATCTCTAACATCCTTCTCAACTGTAAACCTGACAAGCTGAGAAAGAAAGGTAGAGAGATGGTTGATTTTTT
The DNA here is from genome assembly GCF_000001405.40 of Homo sapiens. Classification (NCBI taxonomy): domain Eukaryota; kingdom Metazoa; phylum Chordata; class Mammalia; order Primates; family Hominidae; genus Homo; species Homo sapiens. The sequence continues at coordinate 66,497,529 of NC_000013.11, read as the reverse complement.
AGCATAAATTCAGATTTATATTGACTGTGTGACATCTGGGCAAATGAGAAATTCAACTGAAATTATATCCAACTACATAAGTAGGATTTCGCAAAATGCTAAACAAAGCATAACCTATAAAATGTAGATAATTTGTAAGTGCCACTCAATTCTTGATATGAGTCTAACATATTTATTAAAAATAAGCAGAAAGTTTGGGAGGCTGAGGTGGGCAGATTGCTTGAGCTCAGAAGTTTGAAACTAGACTGGGCAATATGGCAAAACCCCATTTCTACCAAAAATACAAAAAAAAAAATAGCCAGGTGTGGTGACACATGCTTGTGGTCACAGCTATTTGGGAAGTTGAGGCAAAGAGGATCACCTGAGCAGGGGGAGAGGAGGTTGCAGTGAGCCAAGATCCCGCCATTACACTTCAGCCTGGGCAACAGAGCAAGGACCCGTCTAAAAAAAAAACTGAAAAAGTAAGCAGAAACTTTAAAAAATCCATTGCAAAAATAAAATTGTTGAAACAAAAGGCCAATATGGGGATTTTAGGGGTCGGGAGGAAAATAAAAGATAATACATAAATCATGTGGCCTTGTGAAAGAGATAACCAATCGTAGCCAGTTATGCATTGGATATAAGAGCCTTCAAACTTCAAAGAATATCATGGATACACAATCCCACATTGCCTTGGAATTTTAGTTTTAAAAAACCCTTTTCTTTTTTGCCTTGCATTTGTTCTTGCCACTAATTGCACTATTGAGAACTTAATTGTTTGTGATATAAGGCCATGTTCACTATTAAATAAGGGACAAGTACCTAATTGTTGGTACAAGTATGTGATTGTAACTGACTGAGGAATTATTGACATTATGTTCCATATTGTTTCCATAATAACTGACTTGTATAAAGGCCATTTTTAAAGGCCATTACAGGACAGATGTTTACAGGACAGATGTTTATAACAGGTAACTGTCACATAAAATATTTATTTATTCAACCAGTATTATTATTTTTAAGTTCATAGCACTGAGAGGGCTATAAATACATGTCATGTTTGAAGTAATAACTTGTACTAGGGGCATAGTGTCAACCTTGAGAGGAGGAAATGAATGTGGTAGTGCAAGAAACATTTAAGGAATGGAAGGATGGAACTTTAGGACAATCAGTAGCTACATGAAAATGTGCTTGGAGATTTGGGGGGATCAAAAATGAAAACAGACCTGGAGGTATGTGATGTCTGAGATATGAGGATAGTTTCGATATAGTGGACAAAGATTGAAATGGATTTAAATGACCTAAGTTTTTAGTTGGTTTACTGGACAAATGTTAATTTTTCAAAAACATGATGTTTGAGTAGGAGAAGAAGAGTTATATTTTGAACATGTTCAGCACGGGTCAACCAAGTTAATAATTTCCCTAATCGGGGGAAATGAATAAAGATAATGTGAGAGATAGATAGTTGAGTGTTAACAGCATGAGAGAAGCACAACAATAATAAATGTCAAAATTTTATAAGTATTGCTATGGGCTTTGTACAATCTTAAACAGTTTAAACAAGTAAAGCACATCACATCAGCAAATCAACATAGGTAGGTACCATTATTACTCCTGTTTCACAGAAGAGGAAACTCAGTCACAAAGATGAGTAGAGTCATTTGCTCAGGAACACTCAATATGTGGCAGAGTCACGATTTGGGCACAAACAATGGGATTGTAGTGTCTGTGGCCATGATTACTAGCAAGAATTAGTGTGCAGTGGCTCCTAAAGAGATCAAGGGCTTAGCCTGAAGTGGAATGCACAGTTTGGGGATGACAGGCAGAAATGCAGCCAATAGAGGTCAAAGAGTCACCAGTGTGTTCTCTACCCAGAACCAAATTAAACAATTCTGACTTTTTAGAATGCTCTAGTTGAAGAAGTAAGGTTTTAGACTGATCATCCAGAGGTATGTATGTATGTATGTATGTATTTATTTTGCAAGTAAACATTGAATGGATGTCCTCTGTTTCCAAAGCACTATGTTGAATCAGAAACATCATCTCAGTGTCCACCTTGACCAAGGCTAACTTATTCCTAGTCCCCATCTCGCCTTGAAGGAGATACCGTTGAATAAAATAACAGCTGAATGTACTTAGCTGGTTTCAATGTGTTATTTCAGATTATTTATTCCAGAGTCAGAAAATGTAATTCTCTTTAGTGTTTTTCAATGTGTCATTGCTTAAAGCCTGCCTGTAATGTACCTGAAGTGTTTTTTAAATGCAGGTTCCTAGGCTTAAACTAGAATTAGAAATCAGAATGCTAACAAAGAAGATATTGAAACATGCTAACAAAAATCTCTAATTGTTTGCCAGAATTTTTAATTTTCTTTTTGTACTTACTTTTAATTATGAAAATTTTTAGTCATAACCATAGAGAGAGTTGTTTAATAAACCTTCATATACCCATCTGCTAAATTCAATAATTATTTTAAAAATCTATTTTTTTCATGTTTTTAACTCCTTGTTCTTCCTTTCTTCCCTTCTTCCTTTATTCCTTCCTTCCTTCCATCCTCTCCTCTGTCTTATATAACCCACTGACATAATCACACTTAATAAAATTAGTAATTATTTACTGTCATTTATATTCAAATTGTGACAAATTTCTCAAGAACAATATTTGTACATTTGGCTTTTGTTTCAATTCAGAGACCAAAAAGAATTAAGACATTGCCTTTGGTTGAAACATTTAATAAATCTCTTTAAAGCAATCTCCCCTGCCCAACTCATTAAAAACAATTTTTAATGTAATGGATATTTTGATGAAACCAGGTCAGTTATCTTGTGAAATATCCCACAAACTGGATATGCTTTAAATTTATCTATATTATAAAGATTTTTAAAATGTACATACCTTAAAGGGTGTGTACCCCAGAGTTTCTGGTTTCTGGTCTAATTGTTGGCAGTAGAATGGTGGGGGTATGGAGAGAGTGAGAGACAGAGAGAGAGAGTCACAAGCACACATTTAAATTAACTTAGGTAAGTCTGATGTGCAGTCAGGATATATTTATCTCCTCAAACTCATGGCAAATTTCAGACAGCTATTTCAATCATTTAATGATTTATTTACAAAATCAAAAGCTACCTCCATTAGATTTGCATTTCATTGTTTGTCAGGCTTGGTGATTTGTTGTCCGTGTAAACCTTGTCTATTCCTACTATTTCATGCTGTGGTAGAATGTTTCAGTATCTTGTCAATGATTAGCAGTTAATAAAATATCATGTCCTGAAATCTGAGAGCTTACTGTTTTCTGAAGTTTTGCCATCTTAAAAGCATAGAAAATCCTTTTGATAGAAATTCTTTACATCGAAAATTCTTTTGATAAGTAACTTTGTTGACCTTATTCTTTAGCCAACCAGATTCCTTTTCTACTCAGGTTCTACATCTCTGCATTCTCATAGAGTGAAAATTTACATTTTGTTTTCTTTCAACTATTACAATTTATTTCCCCATTGATAAATTAACATAAAGTTATTTTTAATTCATAAGTCTTAAAAATGTAACTGAACCAGTTATTCAACATAATCATGGTTTAATATTGCTATTGTTATCATTAGTGAAACATCATATTGTCATAATTATTTTATTATTATATTGAAAATGTTATTAAACCTTTTTAGTATTGCAGTCATTATTAAATATATATGTGGCATCATAGGCCTTGAGCATTGATTAAATGGTTTATTCACCCATAGTGTGACTCTATGAAAAACAAAAGTATTGACAAAGTGAGCTGTTTCTATAAATCAGTTAATCCTTCAAACTTTGATTATATCAGTGCCTAACACAGTGTAAGAAATTAATTAATAATTGTTGAATGAATGAGTACATAGTTTCCATGATAACACAATGTTTTAAATGTATGCTGTAGTAACTTCCTTGGTTATGGCAGCTCCTTGGTAACTACTTATGATGTTCAGTTATTTGCATTTATTCTGCTTTTTGTTGACCAATCACATTTCATGGTTTAAAATAATTTTTATGGTAGCCAATTAAATTACCGTGGTTGCATGAGATATAAGTGAATAATTTCAAAAATATGAAACCATTTGGATTATTATTAACTCAAGTATGTCAAATAACATATAGATATGTGCTAAGTTTACTAATACAACTGTTATTGTAATAAAAGAATTTATTAAGAATAGAACCTTGCGAACAATCTGCAGTTGCTTTGAAAGTTTAAGTTAGGAACATAATTTGTTCCTTTGTCTCATAAAAGAAGAGACTTGCTGGCTAGTATTCAAATGCCACAAAAACACATTTGCCACACTGACATAAAATATAGATGAACTTTTCCTCCAAATAACAAATGTGAGATTTACTTCAAGTCTGCAAAAAGATGTAAATGTAAGAATTCCTATTATCTGATTTTCTTCTGAATATTTTGCATTCCTTTGAAATATGCTCTAATAAGCTTATAGTCACATAGGAAACATGTTTATTATTATTTTATTTCTTTATTCTGTAGTATTCTAGTCTAGATCGCAGTTTAGGGTCTTCCCACAGGTGGTGAGAACTCACTCAGGATATTTTTAATGAGACAGGATAGTCACCTCATTAATAAAATATTCAGAAGGACAAAGTCCCAGGATCGCACTTAGCTCCAGCTTGCTCACCTTTTCTTTGTAACAATGTATCTAATTTGTTGTATTAATTTGTGTATATTTCATGTATTCGCCAGAGAAATTCATTTAATTTGATCCTGACCTTATTATTCAAAGCTTAAATGTGAAACATAACCTTTTCTCCTCAAGTGGTGTCACAAAAGGTTGCATCTTAGTCATGCAGCTGATCAATGGCTGTCATGCAAAATGAGGCTTCCACCATCTCTGAGTGGCACCTGGTGGTTATTTATAGCATGACCAGCAAAGCCATCTATCTTTTCTGACAGCTCACACTGTTACTAACCCAGCATCATGTTTTTCTCTAATGCCACTTGCAAAACATCCACCCATGTATTCATCATTCCTTTATTGAACCCATTTTAAAACATATATATATCATTATATATAAATATAAAAATCATTATATATATTTGTTTATATTTATATATATTTATTATATATAAATATAAACATTAACTAGGTTACATATATGTGTGTGTGTGTACCTATTTAATGCTAAGGATAGAATGACCAACATTCAGAAAGCTTTAATATATATTGATTGGAGAAAAAGTTGAATGATACTGAGATTTCTGTCTATGTAAGACAAGGCTGGTAGACTCAGGAACCTTATTATCTCATGTTATATAACCATGAAAGTAAATAGCAACAGCTAATCTTTTAAACTTTGATTGTGTCAATCACAACAAATCACAACAACTATAAATATAAATCATGAAAAAGTAGTATCACAACAGAAGACAAACAGCAAGTATCTTTTCTGTGACATTTCTCTTTAAGATCTCTTTTAAGGGAGTTTATTCCTCAGAAACCCGAGCACAAATCTTCTCCCTCATTTCATTGATCCAAATTGAGTCATACATACCCATTTGAGAACCAAACTTTGTGGCCAGGGGAATGCCATGCACATATGGCTTAGGTCTAGGTGACCTGAATCAATTTCATTGATGCAAAGTTTAGAGAATAGGAGATGGGGCCTACCAGTATCACAGTCCCGCGATGTGGAATCAGCTTAACCCAAAGTACCTGCACTAGGTGTGACTAATAGAACATATGTCTAAAGGAAAGAGGAAGAGAGAAATGGACCATGACAAGTAATCAATGATTGTTTAATAAAAACCTGCATTAAAAACTTACCTTTCTATGAGAAAAACACATATGCTATGTTAAGCTTAACTGAGAAAGTGATAATATAACAAAAGGAATAAAGGAATTGCATTTACATGATACAGTGTACAAGTTCAACTCTCAAAATAGTTAAGTATTACCCAAACAATTCAAATCAATGCCAGCTACTTTGTGGAAAGTATACGAACTAAAGAGAAGATAATCAGCTTTTCAAGTGTTGTACTTGGAAACCAACAAGTCACTTAACGCTCTAATATGGGATATTTACATTCCTCGCTGATCACAGTACTGTAGTTCCTCACTACATATTCACTGAGCACAGTCTCTCTCTCTCATACACACACACACACACACACACACACACACACAATATCTCCTGCCCTCACCCAACACACACACCATTTCCTTGGCCAAAATCTGTTCCGTTCTAGGTGGCAAAATTTACGAGAGAATTTCAGCGAAAACCAGGCTCTTATTAAATTTTCCTATTGTGCTTTAAGCCAAGTGATCCTTAACCACTGTTTAAAAAAGAACAACTATGGACTTATCAAACACAATCCATATATCTGAATCCTATCCAAGTGTGCTTTCATTTAAAGAGGGGAGGCAAAAGAAGTGCCTATTTTGTAAGAGGCAGTGAAAGAGTTTACTGAAGTTTAGCATTAGTTTAAAACAGATGTTCAGGAGAAACTAAGAAGCTAAGAAGCCAGTAAATAATGTATATATCAATCAAAGTGAGAGTATATCTCATTTCTATAAACTGAGGATTTAATTAGCTAAAAGAATTGGTAGACTAACTTAAGACAAGCTGTCATTCTCAACAGCATAGCCTGAAGCAGGGACAGATATGCTGGGCAAAGAAATGTCACAAAAAGTTCTAACTAAGGAAATACATTTATCCAGATTTAACTTTTACCTATGAGAAAAAAGGCTTACTTAGAACACGTTCTGAGATTTTAATTGTTTAGCTTTGCTCATAGTTTTTTGCATCAGGAATTTTTTTTTCTGAATTTTATGTGCTTTGATTAGTCTATTAAAAAAAATAGTTCAGCAAGCTATAGATTTACACAACTGATAACTCTCTTCCTTAAAACACTCTCTTAGACCACCACCTCACCTATTAAAAACAGTTAAACATTACGAATTGATCTGAAAAAGACAAAAATTAAAAACAAAACCAGTAAAATAAAAGCCACAGAAATCGAGGTAATAGATGTAAAAAATAAATAAACCTTGTGCTGAATCTCATGAACTACACCCTTAAAAAATCCTCTCCTATTCTTTCCACTTTAGTTATCTGTTTTTAAGGTCCACAGATTTAAAAAGCAAATTAGAAGAGATGGACAGCAACAAGTTTTCCCTTGAGAGCAGCACCACATGAAGCCGACCGGTATAACAGTGTTCAGGTCTTAGGAAATCTACAGAGAAAGCATTAATGGAAAAATCACCCTCTCAGAACTTTTGGTAAAAGTCAAAAACTCTGAAGAACTCAGGAGGCCTTAATGGCACTGGTGGCCTTAAGCAAAGGACAGATATTTCTATCTCTAATTATGACCCTAGATCATCCCTTTTATACAGCATATTCTCCTCGAGAAGTCAGAAAAGAGAATACAAGATTTAGAAATATTTCTACGACAGCATTAGGAGAAATACCTAATGTAAGTGATGAGTTAATGGGTGCACCAAACCCATGTGGCACAAGTATACATATGTAACAAATCTGCACGTTGTGCACATGTACCCTAGAACTTAAAGTACAATAGAAAAAGAAGTATTTCTACCTACTGCTTGTGTTTCTGTGTTTATGAAAATCAGGAGGAATCAGAAAATCACTCAGTTTCTAAGAGTTCTGCAATAGAAGTGGTTTATTCTGTTTGAGGACAATGAAGTCTGAACATTTTAAGACTGTTACTAGCTCTCCGTGTTCTTATCATAACAGAAACTGATTATATTTTAAGCTGCTAAGAATGTATGTGTGTCATCGATGAGGCTTCTTCACTCATTTTGTGTTTTGTGGGAACAAGAAAATCATGCTACAAACTAGGCATATACAGATGGAAATTTCTTCATGGGATTTGCAGTGGAGAAGGTAGATTTATAAGGAGGCAGTGAACATGTAGTTGTATACTAATAATCAAATGTTGGCTGGGTAAGGTGGCTCATGCCTGTAATCTCAGCATTTTAAGAAGCTGAAGCAGGAGAATCCCTTGAGCCTAGGAGTTTGAGACAAGGTTGGGCAACATAGTGAGACCCTGTTAGTACAAAAAATAGAAAAAATTTGCTGGGTGTGGTGGTGCATGCCTGTAGTCCCAGCTACTCAGGAAGCTGAGGTGGGAGGCTTGCTTGAGTCCAGGAGGTCAAGGCTGCAGTGAGCTGTAATCTACTGCACTCCAGCCTGGGTGATGGAGCCTGTCTCAAACAAAAATTTGCCAGAGGACTTCTGGAGTAAGAACAAAGGGCAAAAACCCCAGTCTTGGAATGCTGGTTTGTTGAGTAGACAGATTATAATTTTTCAATGCGGTAACACAGTGATATGTGATATACAACATCAACTATCAATCATGCCAAAATAGAAACATAATGGCTAATTCCAAACATCAAAAAAATAAAGTTAAAGACAATCTATATTTAGTTTGAAAAGTGTCTACCTATATATTAATTCTGTAGATTGAAAACTTTGCAAGTTGTTAAAATTATAACACCACTTAGCAAATAGCAAAGAATTTATAATGCACTTAAAATGTAACTATTTTTGTGTGTATACGAACACATATTTCAGTATATTTATTTTATATTTTATATATTTTGGTGTACTCGCCTGTGGGAACTAATTAATAAAACCATTTTTCTAGGTTGGTTTGTTCTATTTAAGTGTTTAATCCATCTGAAATGCATTTTTATGTAATGCAATATAGAGATTCAATTTTATTTTCCTCAAGATGGATTACTAGCACTTTTTATGCCAGCAACTTTTATTAAATAATTGATCCTTCTCACATAGAATTGAGCTATCACCAATGTCATTATATTAAATTCACACACATATATAAATTTTCTTCTATGTGGACCTGTATATATCTCTTTTATTTATGTAAATTATTCTTCTACTAATACATATTATTTGATCACAATAATTCTTACAGAATTTTCTGAGATTTTTTTTTACTCTATTATTAGCTGTCTTGGCTGTTTATTTTTCCACATAAATTGCTGAGTTTTTATACTTGTGCCACATAATTACTCATAAAAATCTCTCATCTTTGCTTCACGATTTATCACTTTTTAAAAATAATATGTTGTTTGGTTTTTTCCCTGGGCTTTGTAATACCAATTGCATTTGATTTTCTAGGGCACTCATTTGGCCCTCAACTGGAACCATCCCTTTATTAACTGAATCGTTAATTAGGAAATCAGATTTGTTAGCAGTAGAATTATCTGTGGTATTGCATTTGAATTTCTAGAGGTCATCTCTCTCCTTGAGCAATTCTAGGTCATTAGGTCGTTTTGTATTTCTCTGAACTATCTCTCTCCAGATATTGGGACACATTGGCTTGATTTCAGCGTCGGCTCTTTCTAGCTCAGGCATGGTTGTTGGGGTTGTATAGTGTCGGCATAAATTTGTTACAGCACAAATTTTCCCTAAAATCTCAGTGGTTTTAAAACAAGTATCAGTTCTCAACCATGAAAACAAAGCCAGGGAAAACATGTTGGATGCTGTGTATGGTTCGGCACCAGGAAAGCTGTGGTTCTACTCTATATGTCTCATCCATTTGAGGACTCAGTGCTGATGGAGAACTCTGCAACACAGATTTCTACAAGCCAAGATCTTCCCAGAGTGAGATATCTTCTGGTTCTCATCCAAAGTTTCACTGATCCTGGTCTACAAGCTTACATGGTCAAGTTAATTCCATAGGTGCTTAGTCTTCATTGCATCTGGCTTGAATTATCCATCAGATTAACTCAGGAAAAGTAAAAAGTGGGGTTGGTAATAGAGGTGAGGGGAAACTTTCAGGTATGTTTCTAAAATTCACCCAATAAAATCATAACTTGATAGGGATTTGAAGTGGTAGCTCATTTTTCATAGGGATAGAATATTTTGATTATTCATACAAGTCATTTTACAACGTTTAAAGATGTCCATATAATATTATGGACATATAATATTACGTCCATATTATGGAATATTATATGGACATTGACAAAGTAAGTTTGGCAAGTGATGGAAGAGTTGTTACAATATCAATACTATAAATAGGCAGTGCTATATTAAATTTATAGAAACAATTACTATAATAAAAAATCCATAAGAAAGAAATTTAGTGATGGCCATGTATGTAGTTTTAGTAAGTCAATATCTATAAATTAAGCCTCCCTAAAAAAATGGGAATTGTTCTTTTGTCCTAGATAACATGTGTACAGACTTAGATAATGCTTTGAGGAATTATTGCATGTCACCTATATATTTTTGTACTTGTAATTTATGGAACAGCATCAATCATATACTCAGTTCATATTGAGAGCCTATATTATTTACCTATTCAAAGTACGGCTTGATTCACAATGGAAATCTATAGCACTGCATCCTGGCAAAACAAGAGAATCATTGTCAAAACACTTGCAAATGCATATATTTATTGTTATTTTGATATATTACTATCAAAGAGATCGTATGGTGATATGTTAAATGATCCTTTTAAAATCTATAATAATACAGACAAGTTAAACGTAATTGTTAAACTCACTAGTCATGTGAAAAAAAATTATGTATATGCACACCATCAATGGTTCCATAGAATTTTTTAATGAAGTATATTTAGTGGCAGGTATGCATTCTCTAGGTCACTTCTGAAATTGCACTACCACTACAATTCCAGTGATACACTACAAGCTTTTTCTGGCCACACACATATTGTCAGTACCTGTCTCATATAATAGACATAAACCTTTAGCCAGATTGCCTCGTTAGTATTTGGGACAACCAGTAAAACATACAGTGTGGTTAACCTTAAATTAGAAACATGAAAAATAAGCAAATTTTAATTTATGAGATCATGCATATTACATATCTAAACTCAAATAAATAGTGAAACTCAAATACTTTTTTTTTTTTTTTTTTTCTGAGATAGCATCTCACTCTGTCCTCCAGGCTGGAGAGCAATGGCACAATCATAGCCTACTGTAGCTTCAACCTCCTGGGCTCAAGTCATCTTCCCACCTCAGTCTACCAAGTAGCTGGGACTACAGGCATATGCCATCATGCCTGGCTAATTTTTTTTATTTTTATTTTTTTGTGGGGGGGGGACAGGGTCTAGCTCTGTCACCCAGGCTGGAGTGCAGCAGCACAGTCACAGCTCACCGAAGCCTTGACCTCCTAGGCTCAAGCAATCCTTCCACTTCAGCACCACCCCCACTCCCAACCCAGGAGCTGGGACTACAGATGTGCGCTACCATGCCTAGCTAATTGTTCTTGTTTTTTGTAGAGATGGAGTCTCACCATGTTGCCCAGTCTGGTCTCAAACTATTGGGTTCAAATAATCCTCCTGCCTTGGCCTCCCAAAATGTTGGGATTACAGGCATGAGCCATCGCATCTGGCCTCAACTGAAACTCTTTAGTCTTCTCTAAAGTTGAGAAACTTTGATATTATTGAAAAACTAGACTTGACTTGTATCATGCATATTGTATATGATAACATATTTTAATATGTTGTGTTAAAAATAAAAGATTTGGACCCAGCACAGTGGCTCGCACCTGTAATCCCAACACTTTGAGAGGCCAAGGCAGGTGGATCACCTGAAGTCAGGAGTTCGAGACCAGCGTGGCCAACATGGTGAAACCCCATCTCTAGCAAAAAATACAAAAATTAGCCAGACGTGGTGGTGCATGTCTGTAATCCCAGCTACATGAGAATCACTTGAACCCAGGAGGCGGAGGTTGCAATGAGCTGAGATCACTCCATTGCACTCCAGCCTGGGAAACAAGAGCGAAACTCAGTCTCAAAAAAAATAAAAAATAAAAAATAAATAAATAAATGAATAAATAAAATGAAATAATAGGGTTGAAGAATAATTTATTAGTTAAAATAAATTTATGATAATTTATGCATTGCCATAAGTCTCTTTCTATGTCTCTGTCTCTCTCTCTATATATATGATTTTGTCATATGCATATGTACACATACCTGTATGCATTTCTGGTGCCTTTCTTATTTCTCCCTTGAATATATAAACTGAATGCAAGGACCAAGTCTTATTTAATATTGTTAAATCTGAATCCAGACCTCACTGACTGATGTAGGTATATACATGAAATAATTCCTGCAAGAAATATTAATTTAAGCAGCCCAGCATATTATTTTATTAACTTAATGGCCGATAGTCTCAAAATAATTCATTCTTACACAGAATGCTTATAAATATCAAGAAATAATCTATAAACCTTTAAAGGTAAATTTTATAGCAATTAGTACATGAAAAGACTGTGAAGGAAATTATCCTTGATGAGGTTTTCCATCAGCCTTAGACATGTTTCCATTGCATAGTGTTCTATTCTTTAAAGAAACAAACAGAAAACAAAAGTGGTTTTAAATTTTCCCCAAGCTATGCTTCAAGTTTTCAAGAATACTGTTTAACTGTCAGTACCGAACACCTTAGAATTTATCATCTGCCTTTCTATTTCACATTCTTGCAAAATGGAATAAAAAAGTGACAGATATCAGTGTTTTAAAATTGATTTTGTGAAAACATAAATAACAAAAATTGCAGGTACATTTTATTTTTAATACTAGAGAGAACTTTAAAGGGTACATGTGTATATCTATACATCCTTTATTTCATAACAAATATTTGCAGAGTTTGCTTCATTTTACAAAGCACTCTTACATGTTTTATTCTATTTGATTTTTACAACAAGCCAGAGAGATATGCACATAATTATCTTTATTCTACAGATAGGGAAACAAAGTCTCAGGAGTTAAGCGATATTCCCAGGACAGAGTTTGAATCCAGTCACATAAGAATTCAGATCGCCCACTCTTCCCATGGCATGAAGCTAGTGCTCTCTCGTTATACCTACATGTCTGTGTGATCATAAAATGCACCTGGCACTGAATAACCATCTCATATAGGGCTCTGTGTTAGAGTTTCTTTCTCAGTATCAATGGCAAGAAAGCTAGGAAACTGTAATTTAATCATATAAAGTGTTTAATACTGCCAGAAATATGCTATTCTAGAATCTACTCTTCCATCTCAAATTTAGGGTACTTTATGAAAGGAACACCAGGTAAAAATAATGAAATGGGAAAGGTTCTTTTATCGCCCTCGCACGGTGTGTGATGTGGGTGTGGCTCGCTTCTTCACTGCCCAGCTGCTCAAACCTCTAGGAGAGCATACAGATGGGCAGGCCGTGGGGCTACGACCCTACGGCAGTATGTATCTAGGGGTGAGTGTTTACAGTTCCTGAATCCCCAGTGGACGTGTGTCTCAAGGTGCTCTCTTAGTTTGCCATCTATAGGCAGCTGGTGTTAACCAACTCAATTAGACCCCCTTCCTTGTCACAAGGACAGAGGGCTTTCTGTATCCCGGGGTTTCTCGCCTTGGTATAGAGGAAGAATCCGATCACACGTGGGCTTGGAGAATAAATGCAAGATTGTATTGAGTAGAAGTACCTCTCAGCAGATGGGGGAGCCAGAAGGGAGATGGTTTTCCCCTGGAGTTGGCTGCTTGGCGGCCAGGGCTCTCCTCCAAGTGCCCCGGCCAAACTCTGCCTTGTCCTGCCGGTTGATGGCCTGCAGGCATGTGGGGGTGCTCCCCTCGATGTCCGATTGCCATACAACACCTTGTGTCTTCTGCCCATCTGCTTCTCTCGATGTCCAGCCCTTTCTGTATCTGCCCGCTAGGGGTCTCCAGTTTTTATAGGCCCAGGAAGGGGGCGTGGCAGGCCAGGGTGGTCTTGGGAAATGCAACATTTGAGCAGGAAATGACTGTCCTCACCTAGGTCCGTGGGGTTGGAGCTGTAGTCAGGGATCATGCCCTCCTCTACCCAGCACTTGTCTCCTCCACTTCAGTATCACTTAAAGGGACCATGCTCTTCCCTTCCCAGCACTCCCATATCAATAACACCGTGCTGCCATTTCCTGTTAGAAGCAAAAATAGCAAAGTTGCTTTTAGCAAGAGTATTCCTTTTAACAAAATGAGTTTTATTTACTTTTCTATGTGTACACTCAAACAAGTAGACACTGATGGTGATAATTTCCCCATGTTTCACACTCACTTCATGTCTCCAAGTTGGTGGTGATGTAATAGGAACTTCCTTCACCCTGCATTTCAGGACATTGTTGTATTGGTGAAGGTGTGGTTGTGATAAATTTGACTCTAGTTTTCTCACTCCAATTGTCCCTTGAAATAAAGATACTGACACAAATATAACCTTCTCTAGCCATAATATACAAATCCATAATTCGTGTGCCAGTATATGCTTGTTTCCTATAAAACAAAAAATGCATATAATGCAGAAAGAGCCAATTCTGTGTAATTTCTCTAATCAGAGAAACTAATAAACACTTTCAAGGCCAAACATACAGATATAACCACACATCTCTTCTGCGCAGTTCCGATGAATTAACAATTTCCAAAATAGATTGTAGACTTTTTAGAACATGAGTCACAAAGAATATTTTTTTCTAGCATCAATCATATGGTATACGTTCTTCCCAGTAGCAAAAACTCTCTGCAGTGGCCATGAATTCCAAAGCAAAGCACGGTGGGGCTTAGTATGTGCAGGAGGAAGTGAGCAGCAAAGGCCAGGAGAAATAGCTAGAGGCCCTTAGAAAAAGGTTACCACAGAACCATTTGTTCTGTTAAAATCATGAAATGAAGCTTCAAACTTATTTCACATTGTTTATCTCAGTGATGCAGATTGGATTTCTAGATTGACATTAAAAGTATGAATTATGTTTAGATCACAGTATTGGAGAATGATCAGAATTAATCAAATATAGGGGAGATCAGAATAAAGAATACATAAAATGGAAGTAAATCATGTTATAGCAATAAAAACACTGCTGATGCTGATGGAAGAGCTACTTTTTGTAGATGCAATACTTGGAGTTGTCCAACCAACAGCTCTCCCAGGATGTGCCTCCTTTCCTTGCCTTCAGACACTGACTGTATTTGGGGTAGCAGTATGTTCAGCATCATGTGATAAATTGTGTGTTGTTTAAACCCATCATGACAATTTGATTCTATTTTTTGAGACACTGAATTTCTCAGCTTTCCTGCAGCTAAGGGTGGTAGAGTGACCCACTTCAGATTAGAGCAACATGAGAAGTCTCCTATAGAGGGGCCTGCGTGTCCTGGAAAGTGTGCTTTCTTCCTCATAGACAGCAGTGGCTAAGGCTGCTTTCAGATGTTATTCCTGGAACTGCAGTAGCCACATTGGGAGACGGAAATGACAAACGTTAGATTAAAAGGCCAACTGCCAAAAATGGCAGAGTGAAAAGAAGAAAGCGACTGGCTCTTGAGAACATTTTTGAGACCCAGCTCCACCATTGCTTTTCCTATCTCCAGCTATCTTGTTATGTGGAATATGAATGTCTTGATGGCTTTGGCTACAGTTACAATTCTATTGTTACTGTTACATGTGCCTGAGACCATCCCACACTAATAAACTCACCCTCTATCTGAAAATAGATGAAAGGTACCCAAAAATAGAGTTTATGGTTTTTGGTGAACACACTGGGTTAAAGAACTTAGAATTTGTGTTTTATTTTTCACTGTTGATTGATTGATTTTGTGTGTGTGTGTGTGTGTGTGTGCGTGCATGTGTATTTGGACTTATGATTTTTATTCAGTATTTTCTGAAGTATTTTTGTTAATGATTTTGTTTTGGATATCTTTCAAACAAACCTCTTACAGATGCGGAGATTTTAGATTTTGCTTAATTCAAGAAATTGGGTAGCAAGAGAAAATAATTGTCAATTATTTTCTCAAAGACAGAATATTTGTAATTAGATCTACAACTAACTTTGAATAAATTCAACATTGTGCTGTGCTGTTTATAAGGTTTAACAACACAGATGTTTTAAATGACAGTACATAGTTATCGGCATACCTTGGAGATTTTGCAGGTTTAGTTCCAGACTACTGCAATAAAGCAAATATCACAATAAAGCAAGTCACATTATTTTTTGGCTTCCCAGTGCATATTTTATAAAAGTTATGTTTACACTACACTGTAGTCTATTAAGTGTGCAATAACATTATGTCCCAAAATGTACATACCTTAATTTATGAATACTTTATAGCTAGAAAATGTTAAGAATCATCTGAACCTTTGGCAAGTTGTAATCTGTTTTCTGTTAGAGGGTACTGCCTCAATGTTGATGGCTGCTGACTCATCAGGGTGATGAGTGCTGAAGGTTGAGGTGGCCATGGCAGTTTCTTTTTTTTTTTTTTTAATACTTTAAGTTCTGGGGTACATGTACAGAACGTGCAAGTTTGTTACATAGGTAAACACGTGCAATGGTGGTTTGCTGCATCCATCAACCCGTCATTTGCATTAGGTATTTCTCCTAATGTTATCCCTCCCCTAATCCCCCATCCCCTGACAGGCCCCGGTATGTAATGTTCCCCTCTTTGTGTCCATGTGTTCTCATTGTTCGACTCCCACTTATGAGTCAGAACATGAGGTGTTTGGTTTTCTGTTCCTGTGTTAGTTTGCTGATGATTTCCAGCTTCATCCATGTCCCTGCAAAGGACATGAACTCATCCTTTGTTATGGCTGCACAGTATTCCATGGTGTATATGTGCCACATTTTCTTTATCCAGTCTATCATTGATGGGCATTTGGGTTGGTTTCAAGTCTTTGCTATTGTGAACAGTACTGTAATAAACATATGTGTGCATGTGTCTTTATAGTAGAATGATTTATAATCCTTTGGTTATATACCCAGAAATGGGATTGCTGGGTCAAATGGTATTTCTGGTTCTAGATCCTTGAGGAATTGCCACACTGTCTTCCACAATGGTTGAACTAATTTACACTCCCACCAACAGCATAAAAGTGTTCCTATTTGTCCACATCTTCTCCAGCATCTGTTGTTTCCTGACTTTTTAATGATCGCCATTCTAACTGGTGTGAGATGGTATCTCATTGTGGTTTTGATTTGCAAGCAATTTCTTAAAATAAGACAACAAAGATGTTTGTTGCATTAACTGATTCTACCTTTCAAGAAAGATTTCTCTGTAGAGTGTGATGCTGTTTGATAGCACTTTGCCAATAGTAGAACTTCTTTAAAAATTGAAATCAAACTTCTCAAAACCTGCCACTGTTATTTCAACATAGTTTATGTACTACTCTAGAATTTTGTTATTTCAACAATGTTCTCAGTATCTTCACCAGGAGTAGATTCCATCTCAAGAAACCACCTTCTTTGCTCATCCATAAAAATCAATTTCTCATCTGTTTAAGTTTTTATCATGAGACTGCAGCAATTCAGTCACATCTTCAGGCTCCACTTCTAATTCTAGTTCTCTAGCTATTCCCACCACATCTGCAGTTCCTTCCTCCACTAAAATCTTGAACCTCTCAAAGTAATCTGTGAGAGTTGGAATCAACATTGTCCAAACTCCTGTTAATGTTGGTATTGTGTTAGGAGTTGGTTCCTTCTGGTGGGTTCTTGGTCTCACTGACTTCAAGAATGAAGCTGTGGACCTTCGTGGCGAGTGTTTCAGCTCTTAAATGTGGTGCAGACCCAAAGAGTGAGCAGCAGCAGGATTTATTGTGAAGAGTGAAAGAACAAAGCTTCCACACCATGGAAAGGGACCCGAGCGGGTTGCCACTGCCGGCTGGGGTGGTCAGCTTTTATTCCCTTATTTGTCCCTGCCCACGTCCTGCTGATTGGTCTATTTTACAGAGCACTGATTGGTCCATTTTACAGAGTGCTGATTAGTCCATTTTACAGAGTGCTGATTGGTGTGTTTACAATTCTTTAGGTAGACACAGAGCACTGATGGGCACATTTTTACAGAGTGCTGATTGGTGAATTTACAATCCTTTAGCTAGACACAGGGAGCTGATTGGTGCATTTTTACAGATTGCTGATTGGTGCATTTACAATCCTTTAGCTAGACACAGAGTGCTGATTGGTGCATTTACAATCCTCTAGCTAGATAGAAAAGTTCTCCAAGTCCCCACTCGACCCAGGAAGTCCAGCTGGCTTCACCTCTCAGTATTTTGACCTCTTCCCATGAGTCACAAATGATCTTAATGGCATCAAGAATGGTGAATCCTTTCCAGAAGATTTTAAATTTACTGTTTACAGATCCATCAGAGGAATCACTGTGTGTGGCAGATCTAGACTTATGAAAAATAATTCTTAAATAATATGACCGGGAAGCCAAAATTTCTTCTTGATCCATGAGCTGCAGAATGGATGTTGTGTTAGCAGGCATGAAAACATTAATCTGCTTCTACATTTCAGTCAGAGCTCCTGAATAATCACATACATTGTCCATAAGCAGTAATATTTGGAAAGGATATGTTTTTTCCTGAGCACAGAGTCTCAATGGTGGGCTTGAAATAGTCACTAAACCATGCTCTCAAAAGATAGGCTTTCATTCAGCCTTTCTTGTTCCATTTCTAGAGCACAGACAGAGTAGATTTAGCATAATTCTTAAGGGCCATAGGATTTTGGGGATGTTAAATGACCATTGGTTTAACTGAAAGTCACTAGCTGTGTTAGCCCCTAATAAGAGAGTTAACCTGTTCTTTGATGCTTTGAACCCAGGCATTGACTTCTCCTTTCTAACTATACAAGTTCTAGATTTCATCATCTTCCAACAGAGGCTGTTTTATCTACGTTGAAAATCTGTTTTTTAGTGTAGCCATTGTCATCAATTATCTTAGCTATATCTTCTGGCTAACTTGTTGCAGCTTCTCCATCAGCACTTGCTGCTTCGCCTTGTACTTTTATGTTATGAAAACATCTTTCCTTAAATCTCATGAGCAAATACTTGCTAGCTTCAAATTTTTCTTTTGCGGCTTATCACCCCTCTTAGTCTTCTTAGAATTGAAGATAATTAGGGCTTTGCTCTAGATTAGGTTTTGGCTTAAAGAAAAGTTGTGGCCAGTTTGATCTTTTAACCAGACAACTAAAACCTTCTCCATATCAGCAATAGGCCTGTTTCAGTTTTTAAAATCATTTGTGTGTTCCCTGGACTAACACTTCTAATTTCCTTCAATAACTTTCCCTTTGCATTCATAACTTGCTAATTGTTTGGCACAAGAGGCCTAGCTTTTTACCTGCCTCAGCCTTCAACATGCCTTTTGTCAGTAAGCACAGTCATTTCTAGCTTTTGATTTAAAGTGAGAGGCTTGTGATTCCTCCTTTTACGTGATTGCTTAGAGGCCATCGTAGGCTTACTAACTGGCCTAATTTCAATATTGCTTTGTTTTAGAGAATAGGAGGGTCCAAGGAAATAAAGAAAGGCTGGGGAATGGCTAGTTGGTGGAGCAGTCAGAACCCACACAACATTTATTAAGTTCACTGTCTAATATGGGCATGGCTTGTGGTCCTCCAAAATTCTGACAACAGTAACATCAAAGGTCACCGATCCCACGTCACCATAACAGAGATAATAATAATGCACCAAACATTTAAAATATTGAAAGAATTAACAAAATGTGACACAGAGACAGAAGTAAGCACATCCTGCTGCAGAAATGGTGCTGCTATACTTGCTCAATGCAGGCTTGCCACAAACTATCAATTTGTAAAAAATGTAGCATCTGGGAAGCACAGTAAGGGGAAGTACAATAAAAAGAGGTATGCCTGTACTCATAATCATGCCTTGGTAGAGTATCACGATCATCTGAGATCATCCTGAAGAGAATTACGAGTTTATGCAAAATAAGCCAAGTTTGTACAATTTAAGAGGATGAGGATAGATAAAGCATGATTTTTATCACCTTATCTTTTCTTGAAGCTAATCCCTGTGGGATGTGGATTCAATTATGATTTGCATGTGATTTATATTGATAACAATAATCATCAACTTCTGTAGAAAACATAATATGTAAAACACTATAAGTGTCTTACATATTAATTATTTTAATCTTCACAAACACTCTCAGAGTTAGGTATTATTATCTCTGCCTTTTTAACAAGAAAACAAAGCCACAGAGAGGCAAAGCAATTTGCCTAATACCATACAGCCAGTAAGTCTGAAATAATTCAAACCCAAAATGTCTGTTGGATTGCCATCTTTTGATATCTATGTCTTGTCCACAGTTCATCTCAAATATCATATAATTTAGGTAAGCATAAATTCACATGAAAGACCATAATCATAGCCTACAATGAGATTTACATTTATAATGTACATGCCAAGTGCTTGAATGTGTATGATCCCATTTAGTCTTCACAATAATCGTATTAATTAGATATTATTATTCAGTTTTATAGGTGAGCAAACTGAGTTTCAGAAAATAAGTTGCCCAAGCCATATAGCTTATAAATAAGTGGCATCCAGACCCTTCAGGTATGTCTGACTCTAGAATACATGCTTTTAACAAAACTTTCCTAATAAAATGTGTGGTCCTGTCATATTGTCTCGTTAGACAGACATGCACATTGAACTGCTTAGTCTCTTAATGTCAAAATTTCTACTCTGCATTCCTCCTAGTAACTAAAATAAGTAAAATAGCTTTATTAATTGTTTAAGTAAAATTACTATTGGATTAGTCACTCTATAACTCATATCATTGAATAAAAACTTAGGAGAGTTAACAAAAATGAATTATCCATAAGGGTAATTCACCTACTTATTTAACTGAGTATGGCCTAAGGATCTTTACATCTTAAGAAGTAATGTTTCTACAGAGCTATTCATTTGATGAGCTGAGGGTTGAAGCAACATTAGTACCATCATGTTAACATTATACCTCCCTTCCTCACAATATTTTTGGATATTAGTCTCCTGATAACACTCCTGGTTTGTGATACTAAAACAATGTTACTTATACACAAGAAGATATTTGCCTTCTTAGGTGAATATGGAAGAGAGACAGGCATCTAGTTTGCTGGGCTTTAAAGCATGGACATGTCAGAATTATACATTATGTCCACTTTGTGACAGAGATATTATTGAAACCTTTTAAGACATTGGGAATATAACTCATCTCCACTATTGAGAATGTATACTCGTCTTTCTCATTTACTTAAATTTATATTAATGTTTTTAGTTAATCTGATGATAATTTCATGTAGTTACAGTTAATTAGGATTGCAAATCATCAAATGGAATAACAAGATTGAAACGTCATATATAAAAGTAATTCTACTAGCAATTCTCTTTATAAGAAAATAGTCTTTTATCTATCTCTATGTAATAAAGTCTAACAATTTGTGTATTACTAACATCATATAATATTTTAGTGATTTTTTTAAAATGTAATTTTCCTGTTGAGGGAGGAGCCTTCAGATAAGTGGTGGTGATACTTCAGATTTGTAACTAACAATGAACAAACTCAAAACAAACTTCTAGGATACATCAGGAAAACTTGAACAATAAACAAACTTTTTGGCTTTATAAAGATAGGGGGGTGTTATAAGTGAGGTCAGGTATGATTCTAGGGCATTTGTCTTAGAAAATATTTAAGAAGACCTTTAAAGATAGAGAGAGTACCCAGTTCTCACCAAGGAAGGGGCACAATGGAGAGGGCTGAAGGCTGAAAGAGTAAGAAACAACATTCAACCTAAAACTGTGAAAAACCAGAGTTAACTCAAAGAACAACAAAAGATAAAGTCCAAGGGACAAATCGGAAGACAGGGCTCAGTTAGGGAAGAGACTTAGAGGTGAATTCTGGAGTCAGAATTTAAAGATAGGTAGAAGAGATATGGTGAAAGGCAATGTGGTCGTGAATGCTTTGTGGCAATATTCACATCAAACAATTGTTTGCAGTTTTTTTAGTGAAAAGTAGGTCTTACATCTCCCTTTCTGGGCGTACAGCTGTGTGGCTTTATTGGTGAGCTAAATATGATTCTCTTCTGACAGGAGACCATTTTGAGGGTTCATTACTAAATAGAATTCGTATCAAATACATGTTTATTGCATTCTCTTTTCTCTACTTTGTGTGGGCATAGGAAAGATAAAGATAAGAAAATATTGTGAAAGGGAGAAGAGGAAGACAAATGAGGACAAGAATACATTTGTGAATGAAAAATTGGAAAGCTGTAAAAAATAGTATGTTACTTCCAAATGGTTGGTCTCAGAAGGGGTAAGTTCTTACATATGAGAATATGGCACCTTACATACAAAAATATAGAAGTTTTAAGTTATTGTTTATGAATTGAATAGTATGTAGTAAAATATCATAATGAAAGTCCTTATAAGGAAACACATTTTCTGCAAAGCTATCTTTAGGTCACAGTGACAGCAGGGCTGCAAGAAGGTAATTAACATATTTTGTGCATCTACTATGTGCCAGCAAGTGTGCTTTATACATATGGTCTCTTTTAGCAAAACTGGCAGATATTTGCTAATCTTGTATCTAGATAGTCTCTACAACCAACAACAAATGCTTTCCTCTGTGCTGTGAGCATATAGCACTTGTATAATGAGAAAAGCATGTTGTTATATTCAGTGATTCCTTTTTCTCAGAAATTTTATATAACTAATCTCTTCTACCAGTCTGGAAGTCCTTATACATCATCTAATTGGATTGGTTATATATTTTTAACCTATCTATTGTGACAGAGTGTCCCAAGATAACATTAACCCATAGAGAAAATTGCAGCTGTAGACACACTGTCAATTATTCTTGGGATAACATTGAAATTCATTCAAGGAGACTCTAGGTAATGTCTTCTGCTCCACCTCAGAATTCATTAGTACTAAGGACAGAAACCTTAGCGACCAAAATTTAAGAACTCTGGAATTTCACATTTGGAAGAAAGAGAGAGTAGGTTGTAGTGACTCCCAGCCTAAGATGCCCTTGATGACTCAGTGATAGTGGTAAGAGCCAGGACATATCAACCCCATTTACATTTCAATTGTAGCCATTGAAATAATTTTATCAACATAAAATTTATGCCTATTAAACTGTGTCTGTATGTTTTAAAATTATAACAAACTATCAACATAAAACCATAAACCATTATTAATGTTTGTATTATGATATATTTCATATAATAGTTTAAATGATTTTTAGTTTACTTAATATCTTGTCATAATAGTAAAGGCTTTTTTGTAATATTGACTACACATAATTTTCATAATTTTAATTTGGCAGATATTTATTGGATAGCTACTATACCTTGTGTTAGTCATAGCTCCATCTATTGTACCCTGCTTCAGATCAGTACGTTAGATAGAAGAAGTGAATTTATCTGTTTTTCTATGGTTTCTTCATTTTATCCATTGAAATTCCTGCCTTCAAAACAGATAGCAGTATAAACCCAGAGAAATAAGAGCTATCTTATTAATCGGAGACAGTCTTTGTGTTCTGTGTGCCATGGAGCTGTGTTTTCTAATTCACACTGTGGTTTGCCCATGCAGATAGGTAAGTCAAAATGAGACATGGATGTAAACATGTGAGCTGACTAAATTTAGTCATGATGATGAAAATATTCAAAGGTTAGTTATGTCTAGATTCACAATAATATATTGAATGCATTTGTTGTCAGAGTCAATTTCCTTAAATGCTGACATTAAACAAAGCTAAGTGAATGAAAACATTTTGATTTTGGAAATTTTAAATAGAAATTAAAAGTTTATTGTTGCTATACACATATCAAGATCAAAGAATTAAGGAGTTTTGTATCTTTTATTAAGACAACCGTTCAAGGCAGTGTTGTTTGATAACGGCAAACTTATGCAAACATACAGAGACCTGCATATCCACAGGAGATAGAGAGCCAGATATGTTCCTTCAAAATTTGCTTTTTTCTTTGTAGCATTATGAAAGAAGCTTTACTAGTCCCCAAGGAGATGTTGAGATCTATATTTCAATAAAGATATTAATAACTTGAGCTTTAGCTCGCTTTAGAAAACTGTTAAGTGGTTTAAGATATTTTGTATAGGTAAGAATGTGAAGTGAATTGCTAATGACACATACAAAGTGATCCTGAAGGGCTCAAATTTTGTCATTTATCACATTGTATGCAGTAAATTACCAGTTACATTGTAACATGAGTCCTAATAAATGCATTATTCAGGAGTTATTGATAAAATTTTAATAGAGATATACATATTAGGTTCCAGTATGCATCTACTAGTAGTATTTATTGTAATAATTCTAGCATATGTTACTAAGTGGATTGTGTGTGTACATGCACAGAAACATACACATACCAATGGAAATGAAAAAAAAACATATAGCTTTATTGTTATTAACTTATAATTCGTATTTGTATTAGAAATATTATTGAAAGTAAGCATAGCAAATATCGATATATCAATTCCCATTCCCTGCTATTTTTTTCCTTGTTTTCTAAGTGTTTGCTTTGGATTTTTATTAAAATCATGACCAAGATCACCCTAAAAATTGTCATACAGATAATAATCATAAAATATATTATTTCTTTTGTAAGATTTAGCATCACTGTGAAGTCTCCAAAAAAGTTTGAATAAACTGCCACTGCCAGTGTTTAATATCTTAAATTATATGTGAAACTCCAACTGTCAGTTGTGATTCCTGGGATACCTATTGCAAATCAATCCATAAAAAATATAAAATTTATATAATATAAGAAGGTTTTACATGTTAGTTATCACACATTAGTTTTTAAATGGAATAAATATAACTAGAAATCATAAAGTACCAAATATAATAAAAAATGAACTTTCATCCTTTAGGAGAAAATTCATTATTTCATTGAATTAACAACACATAGATTACTTATTTTACAGTATAGGATATATAAATTCTTGATTCTCATATTCTTTTCTTTCTTCCTGTGCTTTGTAAGTTTTAGAAGATTCTAAAATAAAGACAGGCTTGGATGCTTAAACCATAAAACTCATGTACAAAACTCTTAACTGGGAAAAAAACGATTTTCAAAGATGAGAGATCTGGAATCACTTTCAATATTAAGACATAGTCACCAACATCAATAACTTCAAGTAAGACAATCGAAAGAACAACACTGTTATAATATGGATGTGTTTGGTTGTTGTTGTTGTTTTGAGATAGGGTCCCACTCTGTCACCCAGGCTTAGGTGCAGTGGTATGAACATGGCTCACTGTGAACCTTGACTTCCCTTGCTCAAGTGATCCTCCCTCCTCAGCCTCTGAAGCTAGGACTACAGGTGCATGCCACCATGCCTGACTAATTTGTTAAAATTTTTTGTAGAGATGAGGTTTTGCCAAGTTGCCCAGGCTGGTCTCAAACTCCTCTGCTCAAGTGATCCACCCACCTCAGCCTCCCAAAGTTCTGGGATTGCAGGCACGAGCAACCACACCTGACCTGGGTTTTTCTTTCAGGCAAAGGTGAACCACATTTCTATTTTCTTTTCTTTTCTTTTTTCTTTTTTTTTTTTTTTTGAGATGGAGTCTTGCTCTGTCACCCAGGCTGGAGTGGGGTGGCACGATATCGGCTCACTGTAACCTCTGCCTGCCAGGTTCAAGCGATTCTTTTGCCTCAGCCTCCTGAAAAGCTGGGATTATAGGTGCCCACCACCACGCCCAGCTAATTTTTTGTATTTTTAGTAGAGACGGGGTTTCACCATGATGACCAAGCTCGTTTCGAACTCCTGACCTTAAGCGATCCGCCCGCCTCGGCCTCCCAAAGTGCTAGGTTTACAGGCGCGAACCACTGCGCCCGGCCACATTTCTAGTTTCAATGAATAAAAATGTTACATGAACAAATGTAATTTGGGGAAACCACCAAATAACCCAGATATTGGAAAATCACCAAATAACCCACACTTTCCCTTCTGTTACTTTATACTTCTCTGATACTAGCAGAGCAATGGTTAGGAAACTCTAGAGCTAGACTACCAGAGTTCAAATTATAACTCTGTTCTTTACTTGCTATGGAAATTTGAGCAAGCTACTTAGCCTCTGTTGCCTCAGTTTCCTCAAATGTGAAAAAAGATAATAATTATATCTTCTTTAAAGTCCCATTATTAATGATTAAATGCATTAATCACAAGTAAGCCGTTTCACATAGTCTCTGAAAAATAGAATATGATATATGTGTTAGGTATTATAATGTTAAAATAAAAATATGTCAGTGTTTTGGTAATTTCAAAGAATTACACATACACAAGCTGAGAAAATTGAGATCCATTAAAGTGAAATTAACATTATTCTCAACTTTTATTTTTTCAGATTCCTTTAGTAAATCTCTGCAGTAGTAATCTTCGAAAGAAAAAGCTCTGTAAGATCAATTAAATAGTATTGACTGTTTTTAGCAAAACTTACAGAAGCTGAGTTACTGCTAAGAATGTCTTTTTGCTTATTTCACCATTGGTTCTCTTTGTTGTCAAGGTAACAATTTAACAATCACCTTTTCTCATTGCCTCCCTCCTCCTTGAAAAAAGGCATGTACGAACTGATCAGTCCTTTTAAAACCATAGCTAAAAATATTAAGTAGAAAACAAAGATTGATTTTATGTGCAAGTAGCAATTTTTTTAAAGCTCTAGGCAAGCGTTCTTTGGTGATCTGGCTTACACGATAAGGAATCATTTCCCCCAGGTGCTCAGTAGAAGTACTGTACTTGATTCTAATCAGATCTTAACAGTTAAACAGCATTAATAAAGGCTGCCTTTTATTGAGCACTTAATAATTTCCATCTAGTGTGCTTTGTGCATCTCAATGCATTTATTTTTTAAAATTCTTCCAAATCACCTACTGATCAGATCTTCTATATGCCCCTATTTCAGAACTGTAAAAGTTGAGATTCAGAGAGATGAAACACTTGTCCAAGTTAGCTCAGCAAGATTAGGTAGAATTGATCCCAGTCATTTGTCTACACAGTCCTTAGTGCTAATTCTTATGTGAGCTTCCAAAAGTTTTTTTTTTTTTTTAATTTCAGAGCTCATGTCTGTTCTGTACAATGTTACATGCATCCCCCCTTGGCTTTTTCTCTAGTTATTTATAACATTTCACATTTTTAGGGTTTTTTTGTACCTCATCATAGACAACAGAGAAATGTTTGTATATGCCATTCAGTGAAGCCCTGCTTAGATGAGCTTCTCTACACAGTTAAACTGACCCAGATTTTTATAAGTCACCAATACTCTTCAGCAATATTTCACTTTTCAAAGATGCGTTAACACTTTGAGATTTTCAGAGTACTTTAGTGACTGGTACTAACGTACTTAGGGAATTGAGTTAATGCATCTTACAAAAGTACCTACATTTTAAGGAGCAGGAACTGGATAAATATGACAAACCATGTGTTAGGTGTGCATACATGCTAAAATTCAACAGAAGGATATATATAATTCTGAGTACAAAAGGGCTGTTAAGGTACACTGGGTTTTTAAATTTAATTTTCTTGTTATTTTCTCTTTCTCATCTGTGTCTATATATATACCTACAGATGTCACAATTCAAACTAGCAAGGAAGGTCATGTCGTATTGTTTTAATTACGAAAGCAATTATACTAATATAGAAGTGGCATCAATCACTGCTTTCCTTAGCACTTACCAAGAACAAAATCATTCCTGTGAAACAAAAGCACAGAGAAGAAAAGGAAAGAGGTAGAAGCTGGCTCTGTAGTTCAAGAATTCACCAGAGATCACGGTTAAAAGTGGATAAAGTCTAGAAAGACAAGCAGACAGTGTAATTCACAGTATCACCACTCTGCCATTAGCTTTGAAGGACGATTAAAGTGGCCCTGTCCATGAAATGCGGTGGCTTTCTTTATCAGTTACAGACATAGCAGATAAAATGTCCGTGATAGAAGGATAAAAAAGGGAATGGGTGAAACTAAAGTGAGAGGGAGAGAGAAAAGCAAACCGTGAAGGGAAGAGAAACCTGCAGAATGCAGAAATGCGTAGCTTTATGTACAAATAAGAGGCGACCAGAGATACCAGAATTGACACATTTTCACGCACTGTAATCACACCTTGATGGACTATTTTATAATTTTAAAAATATAATATAATTAAAACACGCTGTGGCATAGAAGAAATAATATCAATATCTACTGGGTCGTGGATAGCTTGTAAGTTAATATAGAAAATGAATCCATTTTGCAGCATTTGGTTACAATTTGAAGTTATTCCCTCCCTCCCTTCCTTCTTCCCTCCTTCTATTCCTTCCTTCCTTCCCCCCTCCCTCCCTTCCTTTTGTCCTTTTTTCATTCCTTTCTTCCTTTCTCTCTCCCTTCCATCCTTTCTTTTTTCCTTCTTTACTTCCTACAATAATTGCCTTCTGTGAATCAATATTGACAGACTATACATTTTTAAAGTATCTTGAAGTTATCTGACAAGATGGCATAATGTGGTTTTGTCGCAGCAAAATGTTTCTTTTTGGGCAAACAGGTACGTTACTACCCTTATTAAAACAAATTAATCTGTCAACTCTAACTGCATATCTAGTTATTTATAAGCAGCTCTGAAGGAATACGATGAAAAATTTTAGCTGGATTTAAATACAATGGATACAGTTCAGTCTCAGAATGATAATTGTATGAGAAATATATTAGCCTGGCAACAGAAATATTTTTAATTCAAATTCTGATTAGGTCCCACACACACACAACTTAGAAAAATCACACCCATGTGCAAATGAATAAATTAGTCCTTTAGAAAATGCCCCTACTTACATTAGGCTTCCAGAATAGTACTTTTGAATATATTTTGGCCAAATTTATTTCCTAACCTCATTTCCTTGGGTGCAGCCTGACTATATCTTTGTGGACATGACTGTAACTTCAAGTATTTAAGCCTTCAGGGAGTATATAGAAGAATGCTTAGGAAGTTTCTCTATAAAAAAGATATACTCACAGCTTTGTTCAACTCATTACCAAAGTGATACTTGTAGATATGGACATCATATGTGTATCCTAATTGTTAATATGTATAAATTTGAGGTGCACAAGCAATTATGCAGAGGATTATGTTATCATCCAGGTTTTATCTAGGAATAAACTAGGATACTAGTCAAAAATATACATGACTGGCAATGTGCTTTCTGGGAAACATTTAATAGCATCACTATCATCATTGTACTGCAAGAAGAGTATGTATTGTCATGAAGTGTAAGACATAACAAATCTTCTTTTCAAGACATCAGAGTATGAGAGTAGGTTAATAAAAATGGGACAATTCTAACAGTTTCATTACTAGGTGAGTCAGGGAAATGACAGTTATCTACCTTTTCTTTTAAAAGTTTCACTCTGGGTTCAGTGTTGAGACTTGACAGGTCATTGGAGAAGGGTCTGAGATGATGGTAGATTTTACCAAGGTGGTGACAGGAAAGATAGTGAGAATAGACTGTTTTTCAATTGATTTTTAAGGTAGATGGGGTGTTGACAGATTGCAGGTAATGTGTGAGAAAAACAAGCAACACATTGAAGGTTTTTGGCCTTCACTTCAGAAATACCATGGTGGTGGTATTTCCTGGGATGAGAGAGTGTAGGGTGGACAGGTTGGTGCTTGGGAAGAAAGGTAATTAGGACACTTTTGGGCATGTTAAATTTAAGAAAGCTTTTAGATATCCAGCTGGAGCATGGAGGAGGGAGTTGGATCAACAAATCAGGAGATGATAGGGCAGCAATACAAATTTAGGAGACTTCAGGAAGAAAAGGGGGCAGATGACAAAGTGTTACTAGGTCTCTGAATTCACTGTTGGATTTAGTAACAGGAAAATCATTACTAACATAGACAAGAGCGGTTTCAATGAGAAATGAGCAAGGAACCTCACTGGAGTGAGTTCATAAGTGAATAGAAAATAAAAAGGGAGAAACAAGTATCATACAATTTTAAGAATTTTTGCTATAAATAAGAGCAAAGAATGCGATAATTGGAGTAGGACTTAGGGTTAAAATAGATTTTTGATTTTTTTATTTGTTTTCTTTTTCTTTTTTCTGACATACAGGATCCATTCAAAAGAAATTATAGTTTGTACTGGACTGTGGGATAATTGCTGAAACAAAGTTCTGAAGTTAGAGACTCCAGAAGGTATCTAGAGCATGCCCTTAGATAATGGGATAAAAGAATCAACAATTCAGTCTTAGAAACAGAAGGAAAGCTTGAGGATATGCACACTGATGTAAGCTGGCTGGTAGATGTGGGTGCTTCTTTCTCAGGGTAGTTAGCAAAGTCCACATCTAAGAATGAAGTCGAGAAAGAAAGTATTAAAAGTTTGAGAAGAGAGGGGTAGACAATTTCTAGTGAGTAGACATAGGTACCTGACTATGCATGGAGGCTTTCTCCAAGAATCCACAGGAAACCGGGAGCAGTCTTGTCTTTATGACAGAGGACCAGTAAGACTGAGGGTTGGCGTGAGGAGAAACTTTTTCATTCTGTTAAACGTAGTCTTTCAGGCTGTTTCAATTGTTTTTTCCACATGTACATATTAAAATATATGCGAACATCTAAAACATCTAAACATCTATTACCTCCTTGGTGAAGTGATTTGCTGTATTCCTTAGATGTAATGTACTTTTTTGGTGCTCCCTTAGATTATCACATTTACACTAGTTACTTAAAGAAAAAGCTACTTCCCCATTGTATTAGGAATTCTTCCAGGTTAGGGGCATCTTTCATCAAAATTTTTGCCACCAGCCCCTCTGCAATGCCTGAAACAGAGTCAGTAACTAGTGAGAGATGCTTTATGGAACCTGGTGCTTCTTAAGTCATCTCAACAGCATTCGAATTTAAACAAAATTGTGAAAACTGCAAGCACTCTTATCCATATGGTGTACTTCTTAGTTCATAACATTTTTTCTAATGTGTGTTTCCCAATCACTTATATTTGAATCACCTGAGATACATGTTAAAACACAGTTTCTTACCACTCCAGGTATATTAAAACATGATCTTTTCAAACAGTAAAGTTTGAAAACCACATTTTTAGATAATAGGTTGCCATTTTTTAAAAAGTAATGTGAGCAGATATATTTTTAGAAAGTAGCAGGAAGAATAAATTAACGTGATGGAAGTGGGACTTTTCATGAGCAGTGATGCCTGCCTTAGTGTGGGGCCCTGAACCAAGACAAAGCACATGAAAGTGCACAGGAAATGCACATGAAAAAGCACAAGTACTACCTGAGAAGTCCTCAGAAGGCTTAGACTCTGCACGCCATGGAGATGCAACAAATAGTTGGAAGATGAGGGAATTTAAGACTTAAAAGTATCTCCCTATTCTCCCTATGGACTGGCTTGAGGGAATACTGGCATCATAAATCAAGATAAGAGATTCGTGACACAAAGTAGGGTTATTGGTGAAATGGGAGAAGTGAGAGGTGTGAAGGAGACTAGAAGTCAAGAATGGATTTGTTGAATTAGAATTCATAGTGTATCAATGGACAGTAAAAGATATTTCTAACTTCTTCTCACTTGTGCATGGTTGGGGAGGACTGACAGAGAAGGAGGGGAGGAGAGGAGGGAGGGATAGAAAAATAGAGAGAAGGGATAGAGAAAAGTCAATTTTATGGAATTGAACTGATTTTGAAACTATGTCATGAGATGTAGTTGTGTTTCTGTGAGAAATGAAGAATCAGACAATATGTGAAAAAAAGTAATTTCAGAACCAGGTTTCTATATTTTTTATTGTGAGAATGTTTAGTTTATTTTAGTGAACTTGGTGCTTCTTGAAAAACATGTTGGAAACAATAACATTGGACTTAAGTCAACCTTTCTTTACTTACCAAATTTGAAGGACATTACATGGGGTCTAATACTATTATTTCCCTTAGCTTCAGTAAGAGCTTATTGAATTTTCCACAGTAATATATTTTAATAAAACATTTTATTGGCTAATATAGAAAATATTCCAGTTAGAAACTTATGCATTTATTTTATTAAAATAAATGTAGACATTTAATTTATCTGGCATTATGTAGATAATGAAAGGAAATTTCATACTTTTAATAATAATTTCAAAAATGAGAAAACTGAGGCATAATGACATAAACAATATTTCTGTTAGTAAAGTTAGTGGAAGAGCCTAGTTCATTGTTCATCTTCTGAAATGCTGTGGTTAGTTTAAGCTAACCAAAGCATGAGAAATTTGATGTGAATAAAACTAGACGGTATACTGTCTACCTTAATAGTATAATTATTTTGAAGTATATAAATCATACTAATTGACCTGTCACATATACTTACCTTTTACTGAAATTAATTTTGTATGTGTTTAACTGGCAATTTAGTTGTAATCTAAAGCTCAACTACTTCATCTGAATCATTATAAATACTGCTAGATTCAGGTTATGACAAGATTTAAATGATTTCTAATCCATTTTTTTTGACCCTCAAAATTTCTATATGTAAATTTCTGGACTTGCTAAAAATATTTTAGTCCTCTAGAAAATATTTCTCGTCACTTGAATTCTGGTTAAAGGTTTTATTAAGATCATTCAAGGTTATGATCCTAATACTTTTGATTTTCACAGGCTGTTGTGTGGATGCTGCATTGTAAATCAGTGTTCCTTCTTGCTATTAAATCACCCAAGTCACATTTCCCCCAAGATGGTACAGATGTATAAATTGCTACTGCTGAAACTTCACTTTTCACCAGATGTTCAAGAAAGGCTAATATGCTTTCACCCTAAATATGGCTTGGTTGTTCCCTTTCTATAGAAAATATGTGTTCAATATAGCAAGATGATATTCTTAATGAAGGTTAAGTTTGCTGTGGCCAAGGAGAAGAAGATAAAAAATTAATTGCAATTATTAGATATATTCTTTTTAATTATTTCACATGAAATAGAAGTTAGAACCATGGAACTCATAAATCAAATTTCCAAAAGACACCTCAGCATTAAGATACTTACACTTATCTCTTTCTAAATTCTCCTTTTCATAAAAGTACTACCCAAATTTAGGAAGCTGTGCTAATGCACTTTCCTGCAAATAGTCCACTTGCAGTCCCCTCTCTGGAGCAAATGGAAAAGTAACAGATTTGTTCCTTTAAGCATGGCCAAGCCTTTGATTACTTCTATTACTTCACAGTTCCTGTATCTGGCTATTAAATTGTGCAATTTTCCTTCATCATAGAGTTGGGCTGCTTCAGGTTGAGCACACTGTACTCTGTCTTCTAATTCCAGTAAAGTCAATTATATAAACTCTTTTGCTTTTACAAAATGCTCTTTAGAACACTGGTTCTCTCATAGCAGGGAGAGCTAAGCAAAAGAGAATTGTGGAAGCTTTTCAGGTATAGCTGTGTTCTGCTCAGCAGGTACATTTATTACTAATGGGTAAAATAGTCTCCTTTTTTAGCTACATAATGCTTCTGAAGCCTTCCGTTTTCTGGTTTTGATAGACATTCCGGTTACACTGAGAGGGGAAGGTGAATGCCATTGATCACACCACGAAGCTGTGGCAGGAGCACTCTTCTTTTTTTTTTTAATCATTCACTTTACTTCATAAAACAGTGACTGCGTTTATCTTAATGGGCTGCTTTGCATCGTATTCTGGGTTAAACACTTGAATCTGAAAATACACATAATGAGAGGGGATTCCAATATTTTGATTTCATATTACAAAATAAATATTTCAGCAGAAAGGATGCCATTGATCACTTTGGTGGTCCTAGTGTAAAACAGAAATACTGTGTAATTCTAGCATCAGTTAAATTTAAATTTTTAATGTCAGTTAAATTTAAATTTTTAATGCCAATGAATTGTTTTGTTCTTTTTTCCCCTAGACATCTAATCATATGTTTATAAATCATGCAGCATCATATGTAGATTCATGGCTCACTCAAGCCAATGTCTGGTAAAACAACCTTTGCTAATAATGACTAATTGTACCTTTGAGGAAAATGTGATGGTTTTCCTCATCTCTCCTGCTGTATATATGATATTTCTGTGTCTGAGCACGATATTTCTATGTTGCCTATAAGGATATAAGGGAATGGATCCAATGGATCCAACACACATTTTCTTTCAAATGTTTACCATCTTGCTCCTCAAAGTGTGGTCCACAAAAAAAATAGACTACAAAGCATCCTCAGATTTCCCTGTGATCTTGGTGAAAACGCAGTATCTCAGGCCACAATCCAGACCTGTTGAATCAAAACCTGTGTTTTAAATGCACAATAAATACTTACAAATCCTGTTTGACAGACCTTGTTTCTGTTTTCTCTCTCTCCTCTCTTTTTTTTCTCTCTCTCTTGCTCTGTCTTGTTTTGTTATTTGCTGTGCAGCACAAATATATGTGATAAAGCACAATTGGAGAAGAAAGAACATCAGTCAAATTTTATACAATGTGTTCTAAGTCATTCTGTTTTCTTGAACAACTTGGAATTCTACATGCTGTTTAGAAAAAGAAAGGGAGACCTTTGACTCTCAAGAGCATTCTTTGCTCTCTTGAATGCAAAGGGGAGAATCAAGCTGATTGTTTATAATCTCATTGAATTCTCCCAGATGAAGATATCATCTTCATAGGGAGGGATAGGCATATATATCCCTAAGGAGGTAGTTCTCTTCCTTACAAAGTATCACTTAGGTGATTAAGTTACTTCTTCCACCAAAATTACAGATGTTAGTTTGCATCATGTATATATATGAAGAGAGAGAGAGAATTATATTTGTTGGGTTAGGCACACATCATGCAATGCATATGGCATTTTATTGGGCTAGCTTGTGCAAGCAGTGATATCACATTTCAGTTTGTACCAAGAATAATTAGGTTTTTTTCCTCACAATTTCCTATCAATTGTTAAAATTCTTTGTATAGTGGAAAGCAAGTGAATTTATTTAACTGAACTCCTCTTACATAGTAGAAAATAGGAGTGACTTTCTCCCTCAGCTCTGGGTAATGGCAAATAATGAGCACGCTTTGGGGACTGACCTGCAGGCCCTAAAGCTTGTGATGTATTAATTTATCTTTCCATTTCAGGAATTTAAGGCATAAAAAGATTTAAAAGTGTTTAAATCATAGCCCAGCGTTTCCCAAGCTACTCTGCATATTAGAATTACCTGGGAATCTTTTTAATGTTTCAAAGCCCAGGCCATATTTCAGACCAAGTAAGTCACAATCTCCAGGGCTAGGACAACAATAGTATTTGTTTTTGCAGTTTCCCAGCTGATTCTAACGGGCAGATAATTTTGGAAACCATTGTTGTAGACAAAGATGTGATCATAGATAATTTGAACTCTGATATTTAGCTCCCGTGATCTTTCTACTGAATTCATTCTTAGGCAAACAACTTATGTTCCAACCTAACTTCCCCAATAGATGTCTCTTCCTGACTTCCTTATTTCTGATAACGGCACTTTAATTCTTCAAACCATAAAGGTTTAAGCTTTCAAAATATGCATTAACTCTTCTTTTCAGTTTGTAAGCTTTCTTTATGTCTCCAATCCAATCCTTTCCAATAAGTATGTTAAAAACTGGGCTGGGTCTTATTATTGTTTGCCACCTATAGCACTGTGTGCAGTTTTTTTCTATATAATCACAGTAGTGTATTGGTAAAGGGGTTGGGGGAGCATGGTTTGTAACACTGCCAATTTCCATAGTGTAAATATTCCTATCATGGCTGATTTCACACTAACCATAGCTTACAGTGTTTGTAGTTATTAAACAATTGGCTCTTTCAAGCTGGTAGGAACTAGCTCCAGCTTGTTGCACTGCTGCAACAATTACTCAATAAATACAAGTCATTAAATAGAATCACTGGGCAAGAAATAGGGATGGTATGGTAAGGCCTCTGACTATATATGTATTTTGACATTAACATCTATTCATTTGTATGATAGATAATAATCCAATATAGTCATTTTTAAATAACAAAAGAAAAATAATTATTTGGTACTATTCTATTTTTCTTCACGATTTACCTGGAAATTACATATTGTACAGTGCAATTGATATTGTGTCTAAAGTAGCTATTTGTTAATTCTCAAGGCATTGTATGACAACATTTCTCAGAAAAACAAAAGGACTATACATATACATAAAACAATGAACTTCTAAAATGGTAAGCTTCCCGTTTTGTGTATCTTGCTTTAATGTCATGGTATCTCCTGCAAGCAATGCAAAATCACAATCTACGTGAGGCATGATTTTCTTTTTTTTTTTGCAGAGTTGATAATATGGACACAGTTTTTTTTTAATGGATTAGAAGGTGTATGCATTAAAAAATATAAGTTAGCTAAACTAAAACCATTATTTAGCTGAGCTTTTTTTTCAAGTTCAATATTATTTCTAATCACTTATCTGCATTCAACACAAAACACTAATTTTAGTTCAGTGAAGTCTGAGAATAGAAATGTATAGTGTCCCAGAGGAACTTGAAGATTAAGAAATTTTTTTTGGCTAAAGATGATTTATTTAGTTTTGATGTAACTGAAACTATGCAAAGAGAATTTTCTAAAATGTAACAAATGTGATTTGTAGTCTCAAATTCCACATCAATGAATAACTAAAGAAGTATATGAGTCAGGCATAATCTTTTAAGAAGGTTTAATATGCTAGTGATATCTTAGGAACTGACTCCCGATTAATTTATTTTAGCATTTTGAAGGCAGTCTCTTGAGGCTATACTTAGCACTGGAAGGGAGGAGGATATGGACAGTCTAAATTGTTGCCCAGCATTAACCTTCTTTATTTTAGCATCTAATAATCTGTTGGAACAGATATGAAAAACCCTGGGCCAATTTCTCTTGCAGTGATCTTTTTCATAAATGCTAATAATTTTATCAGTATTATTTTTTAAAATGAAGAAGCAACCAGCGTGTAGGTAGGAGCTTCTGGTGTTGTCATCTCTGCTGAGATTCTAAAATGATTAGGGTGGGATGTCACCAGTGAAGGGTTTACATGCTGGAGTAGTTTAGGCATTTCTGCAGGTGTGGAGTGAGAGAAAAGTCTATAGCTCTTCGTCTCTGTCACTCAGTAGCTATACTTGTCTCTCCACTGACTCATCTGTGTGACCTTGGAAAAAGTCACTTAAAATTCCAGGTATCTTTATTCTGGTATCTTTAAAACAGGAAGACGCTTTAAATTCAACTATCTTATAGTAGCATAGTTACAACAACCATTCAATGCTTTGCAGTCCCTGTGAGAAAAGGCTCAGGATTTTATAAATTGTACTTATATGTTAGTTATGTTTCTACTTTAAAGTTTACATTTCACCTCACTTGGCCGAGTTTTCTGGATATCCACCATTTCACTTCACAATTATAGATTTCCTAATGTGACCATGAAGAACATTCTTGTTAAGTAAGCAGGTACTGGGCAGGTGCAGAATTCATTCCTGCATGAGTTTCTATTTCTTGTTAAAGTTACTTCTGGCTGATAAAGCTCTTCAAATTAGAAAAGGTAGCAGTTCTGCATTTAGATATCTGTATTGTATTTATAAATAATAAACTGCTTTTCTCTGTCTTCCTTATCTCTCCTATTATATAATAGCATAGTTTTACTTGATAGTGCCATTGTTTTTCTGTCATGCTAATTTCCATTGTATATTTTCAACAATATGGGTAATGTTTATGTTTTATATCTCTGCATGGAAGTCATTACCTGTCACAAAGCATGTAAAATTTAAGTGGTATAAAGTGATTAAAATGACACTACTGAGTTTTCAAATGATACCATACAGATTTCATGTTAGTTTCTTGTTTTTGCCCCTCATTCTTTTTGTCTTGAAAACAGATCCTCTTTAAATAAATACATTGAGCTGTAAACTGGGGGTGGGGCTTAGATAATGATATTCTACGTGAGAAATACAGTCGCACATCTCCTTACCACTTTGTTATGAGCTGTGTATGATTTACATAATCTGTATAAACACTGAAGTATTCAAAAGCAAGCCCAGAGCTAACTGTATTGAATCTAGAATCTGATATGAGATGCAGATATTTATTAGATGCTAAAACATCAAACATTAATGCATAGCTTAAAGCATGCGAATACATTTTGTCTTCATGTTAATTAAGAAAGTGAAGTAAACTGGCCTCAAAGCAGCTGGATGCTGAAGTGGCAATCTTCAAACTGACTTTCTAGTATTCTTCTTAGAACAAGTTTTTCTCCTTTTGTAAAATTTTTGTAGTTGTCATCTGTTTTGTGGTTTTACATTTTTAAGCACTCCAGAAACTTACATCAATGAATATACCCTCATACAATGAATACATTCTCAAACTAAAATATAAAAAAAAAACACAACTTTTTAAAAAAATTCAAAAGTAAAACCTCATGGCATTGCAATCATTGGCTTCCACTCGGAAGAAAGAAAAGAATACCTGTTTTTCATCCGGAGATCTTACCCAATGTTATAAATGCTGACAATGCTACATTCCTCTGCATTATTGCATTAAATGACAGGAATAGTTAGAAACTGGACCTTCCAACACTATAAACATCCCTGAAGCAGAACCTATGAGTATACATGCTTCTGTGACTCTGCTCTTTGGATTTTTATCCTCTGGGTCAACCTCTCCACAGGCAACAACTTACAACCAGTTTAATATCTTACACCTGAAACATCAGGACCCTGGAAGTATTTTTCCCTGTAGTTTCGACTGTAAACAGGAAGCAGTGGAACACGTTCTTATTTTTAAGACTCAAAAGCAGCATATTTTGGTCCTTCTGGAGCTAAAGCACCCTCTGCTCCCCCTCCCCTGCCAAAAACACTCCAAAACATATTGCTTTCATTTCATTTGATAACCCTGATATAGTTGTAACTCAGGCCCTAGCTTTAGATTTTTCCACTGCATAAACATTACCACCTCCTGCAGAGTATCATCTTTGTGAGAAATTTAATACAGTAATGTATAGTTGGTATAATTTGAATTAGAGTTATTTAACTTTTAGTTTAAGTGGTTAGGTCTACTTTATGACAATTTTATAGTGTATTTTCTCATAGGAAAGGTTTGGTAAGGTCACAGCAAGCTTGGACTCTTCGAATGTCACCATTTGTCTTCTAGGTAATAACACAAACTGTCTTGAATAAGATTTTTGGATAGAATCAATGTGCTATTTTATTGTGCTGGTGATGTATGTAAACTGATTTCATTCCACTACACTTCCAGTTAAAGTAGGTATGGATAACTTAAACACTCGCTACCTTTGGAAAGGATGGAGAGAGAGAGTAGGAAAGTGAAGAAAGCAGTAGAAATCAGCAAAATGTAGAAAACAGAAAAAGGTGACCAGCTCTCTTAATACTTTGCTTCTGTTGGAGATGTGGCTTCCTAAGGTTGAATAAGAACCTAAGAATCCAATACATAGATTTATTTGCACCAGAGATAATTCACTGTTAAAAAAATAAAATATTCTTTTGAAAATAGATTGTTGGTTTTAAATCTAAATACTATGTAGTTTCCATTTCATTTAGATGTAATTATATTTAAGTAAATAAGAATAAAATTATGATCTAAAATGACCAGAAATCTACTTAAATCACTATATATAATATGCAAGTTTCAACAAAAATAAAGTCTGGAGTAAAATAGCGCAGGTATTATGTATGATTTAAGACACTTTGACCAGATTTTAGGGAGTTAAAGTTTTTATTTCACATGAGGTATCATTAACAGAAAAAAGCATGATTTGTCTCTCTGCATGTAACGGTTTGTTAGGTACTGTACAGAGAGAATTAACCAACCTGTTTCCACATCCTTGGAACCTTGAAATATAGGATTGATAGCAGTATAAATATATATACACACAAAACTTAAAAACAACAGACAGCAAACCTGAGAGCAGGATGAATGAAACGATTTAAGGGATTGGAGTAGGTTGTTTTATGATTAACATGTATCTAGATTTTAAGCCCCTATCCCCCCCAAAAAAATCACCAACACTTTTTCAAGGAAAACTTTCTAGAGGAAGATGATGTGAGTTAAGTTAGTGTGCTTGCAGCTATAAGGGAGGTATTGAAATCCCAACAGTTTACATAAAAAATGACCCAACATAACTCAGTGGTTGCCAACTTTGCTGTAATTTGCAATCGCCTGGGGATCTTTTAAAAATACTAATTCCTAGCTCTCACTTCCAGACATTCTGATTTAATTATTATGGGGTGTGATCTAGGCATTGGGATTTTAAAAAACTCCCTAGGCTGTTAGTGCAATATTTGGGGATTAATGGCATAAGTGTTATACTCTTAAAAATTATGTATATGAAGGAAGGTATTCCTTTTTTGATGAACAACCTTTCTATTTGTAGGTTTCCTTGATTACAAACATCAACAAGCTCTTTATTTTAAAACTGGAAATGCTCTATTTACTTGTATTCAAAAAGCAAGGTGAATTATTTGGTTCATCAATTGGTGGTAGATGTGCTCAATGAAATTTTATGCAGCGTTAAAAATAAACATATTGAAGCCTCACATGTTTTTGAGGATAAATAACAAAATAATAAGCTGTTTTATTTTAGGAAAGCTGGAGATGCATTCATACATATGAATATGCCATAATGAGTATGCCATAATCCATATAAAGTTTAAGAAGACATAAAATAATTGCTTTTGTTGTTGGCAACCACTGAGTTATGTTGAGCCACTTTTTATTTAAACTATTGAGATTGCAATACCTCCCTTATAGGCACAAGTACGCAGACTTAATTCACATCATCTCCCTCTAGAAAACATGAAATAAAAAGCATGAAGACATAATATTTACTAAATTCAGGATAGTAATTACTTTTGGGCACTTTCATAAGAACACAATTACGAACGGGTACACAGTTATTATATTTTACATCCTTAAATAATATCTCAATAAAATACAGCAAAAAGGTAAGGTTTAACAAAGCCCATGGCAGTACACATGTGTTTGTTATATTATTCTTTATTTTTTTTGGTCTAATCACCATACTCCATAGCAAAATGAAAGATTCTTTCCAAATCTTCTAGTATTCAAACTAAACAAGAAAGAATTAGGCTGTGATACTTGGAAGAAAGAACGGGGAAAGAGTCAAACTGAATAGGCTATGACATTTTGAACAATTTAGCATGTTGAGAAAGCACAAGAATTGGAATGCTACAGTCTTATCATAGGGGAAATGAAATTCAGAGTCGAGTTTTAATAAAGTAATATTGAACAGAGAGGGAACTCATAAAGAAAATTTGAAGGCTGAGCGTGGTAATTCAGGCCTGTAATCCCTGCAATTTAGGGGTTGAGGTGGGAAGATTGCTTGAGGCCAGAAGTTTGATACCAGCCTGGTGACATAATGAGAGCCCATCTCTACAAAAAATTTGAAAATTAGCTAGGTGTGGTGGTATACCTCTGTAGTCCTAGCCGCTCAGGAGATTGAGGCAGAAGGATCCCTAGAGGTTAGGAGTTCGAGGTTATAGTGAGCTATGATTGCACTGCCGCACTCCAGGCTGGGACAACACAGCCAGACCTCAGACCCAGCCTCTAAAAAGAAAAACAATAGACAATTCAAGTTATAAATTTATCCAGTTCTTTATTAGCAGAATATGGATTTTAAAATTTGTATTTGAATTTTCCAGATAATTATATTAACTTTTGTTTTCTAATGCATAACCATCAGATAAAAAGCATTTAATTTTTAGTATTTTCAGATGATTCAGATATATTGGAATATGTTCATTTAGACACACTACATAATATTTTCAAATAGGTGTTCTAAACTCTCTTTGGAAGATCAATGGACCTTCAAATCAGATAAATGAATATATATTCATGCGACATCGTTTATATAATTTCATAGCCAGTGCAGATTCTTCTGACGTTTCAACATGGGCTGTAGGCTATGAATCTCTTACCTTTAGACTAAAATATTGAACATGGTCTTTTTATTTTCTTTCCTTTCTTTAGTATATAAAATTTACTACAATACACTATATTGGCTGGATATTTTTACTTACAATGAATAATAACAATTGAAAAGAAAAAAGATTACTTTCCAAGTTTGTGATACTCTATAGTAAAACAATATCAAAAGAAACTAAATATTATAAATGAAGAGAAACTATCTTTCAGCATCACATTCAGTTTTATTCTAAAAATATAGAACTGGTAAAAATGAATAGACCCACTGAGCAATTTAAAATAGAAAGAGAAATCCAGTTTGGAATGATTATCCAACTGGAATTGACTAGAATTTTATCCATTTATTATTTCATACTTTCAGTCAAAAACTTTATTGGGATTCTAAAATGTTCCAAGAGTGATTGGGGCAAGAGTGAAACATAATAGTTTGTCCTTGATTTCTGGTATAGGAACAGCAAGGAATGTTTTTAATAGAACCTCATATTTTTATTCTAAAAAATGACCAAAAACTATTATGAGAATATTGTTATAATTCTTTAAAAATTATTTATTAAGGAGAAGAAGAATGTGTTCAAAAACACAATTCTACTTTTTTATAACTTTTTTATAATAAATATATATATAACAACAAGGAATATATATATATGGTCAATATTTATTAGTGTCAAATCAAGAATGATGCTGTAGGCTGAGATTAAGAGAACTGAAATAAATAAATATTAAAAAGGTTTTATTGTTTTATGATTGAATTATGAAACTTACAATTGAATTGGCTAGGTGATGGTTTTACCTAGACTTTTGTTTTTATTTTTTCTGTATAACGACAGAATTATATGAAAGGAAAACTGGCAAACATCTCTGAAAGATGTAAGAAATAAAATCAACTCAAGTAATTTTTTTTATAAAATGCTTTCCTACATAGAAAGTTATTCTTATTGTTTTTAAAATGAATTCCCCCATATTAAGATTGAAATTTGATAATTTTTGCCAGGTGTGGTGGCGTGGCTCACGCCTGTAATCCCAGCACTTTGGGAGGCCAAGGTGGGCAGGTAACTTGAAGTCAGAAGTTCGAAATTTAGTAATTTTTACAACTATACATTTAAAAAGATCAACTAAAAAGCTCATAGGACTAATTTATACTCTTAAAATTTGCATTCCCTACATTTTCTAGAAAATGATATGCAAAGATTATGTTTTTCAAGAAGAAAGAAAATCTTGCCAGTAACCCCTGACCTTTACTTCATTATCCTTCTCCCACGAGAATGGATAGTCTGAGCCTCCTTCCATTCAAGTCCTCCATGAAGAGATAGTGAATGTTTAAGGAATAAAGAAAACAGCCTTTCATATATATCTTTTATACATAGGATATCATTGGCTAGGAAAGAGAGGCTAGTTCTCTCCTCAGCACTGCTGCCTTTTGCATATTCCCTATGATTGGAGAGGTGAAATTTTATTTCTGTTTTGGGTAGATGGAGAAGGAAGGTCCCTACAACCTTTCCTCTAATGTCATATAATTGTATGTCAAGTGAACTTGTCAATGTTCTTAAACATTATAGGTGCTAATTAAAAATGTGACAGTGGATAAATTCAAGTTTGCTATTTTTTCTCCTTCGTTGTAGCTCATTATATTTTCTTTGCTCAGATATAAATGTTATGTAGCTGTAAAATAATGTCTTTTTTTTCTAACTACTCACAAGCTGCAAATTAGTTTTAGAAAGAAAATGCTTTTTTTAAAAAAAAAGAAAAAAACAAGTCTTATTTGGGGACTTTTTTTTCTTCCCATAGTGCATACATTTTGGTTTGGACAGAAACTATGTGATGATTCTTATAAGAAAGAACAACAACAAAAAGGAGATCATGGGATTTTTTTTAGTTC
Source organism: Homo sapiens (assembly GCF_000001405.40). NCBI lineage: Eukaryota > Metazoa > Chordata > Mammalia > Primates > Hominidae > Homo > Homo sapiens. The sequence goes on along the minus strand of NC_000013.11, from coordinate 66,454,018 downwards.
CCAAGGTATATATTCAAAAGTAAAAGAGTTACTGATTATGTATTTAAAATAATTATTCCTAAGACAAATATCATATTTTCTTCTATGTGTTTATGTTCTGAGTTCCTTTTATATTGGTTATTGATAAGAAAGTGAACTTTAATAAAAATATTTATTTTGTTCACTTTTATTCTTGGTTTACTGTTAATGAGATATGCATATCTCATTGGTAATAGTTAAGAAATAATAATTTTTGCAAAACAGCTTTGGCCAGTGTAGAATCCATTGATGTCCTCATTTCAGATCCTAGAAGGAATTTGATTAGTCCAGCCTGGGCCTTATACTACTGCAGAAACATGGCTGCTGTGAACCCCCAAAATGGCATTTGTACAGACGTCCCCATGGGTGTCCACAGTGGTTAAAGGATTGCTGGGAAGAGAAGCTGATTTAATTAACTTCAAGAGTGTTTATGCTAGCACAGTTAAAGGTTATTCATTACAATAGGCACTTGGAGGAACAAAGAACAAGTCTGCCTTTAAAGAAGCTAGTGATTTCCTGGGGATAGATTATAGTGCTGGGGACCTGCAAAAAGAAAATATTAGGGAACAATATCACATAGGCTATCACTATGTGAAAAAATGCATTTGACCTCTAGTAGGAAGAATAGCTCTCTAGGTCAGCTTACTTTACTGAGGACAGTTTTATGTAGGAAGTTAGATTTGAGATGATTTTTGAAAGAGTGGAGTCAGATTTTTAAGGCAGAATTTTAGATAGTTAGAGATCAAAGAAAAGGAAATTCTGAGATTTACCTTACATGTCACCTACTCCTTGGAGGCTGACTTAAAAGCCCTTTCAAATTCTCACATAACACCTGTCTTACCTGTAACATACAGTGTCGTGTATTATAATTAGATAATTTCTGCCTAGCAACTTGCCTGGGAGCATCCTGAGGACAGAAAATTATTTTAGAATGTATTTTAAATGTCTTATCCTGTGCTGTGCACCTATTCCTTACATGAGGGCTGGTAGGGTGGTTGGCTGGCTGAATGGATGGATGGGTGGCTGGCTGAATGGATGGATGAGTGGATGGATGGATGGATGGATAGATGGATGAGCATATTCTAAATGAAAAGATTATCTTGACTGAAGTCATGTGAGAAGGGATATTTATGAAAAGGGATAATAATCCTCAGGGTAATGTCTTGATTAAAACAGTATATGTTTAGGTAAAGTGATACATTTGCCTGTATAATCAAGACGAATGTATAGAGCTTCTCAGGGGCCACTAATATGATTGTGCACTTGACTTAAGAAGCTTTGGAAAAGTAATTGCAAACTCTTATTTGCAATTACTTTGAGAAAGTAATTGCATTCTTGGATTCAGGAGAATGGTGTCATAGAACTGGTAATCTGAGCAGATTGAGAAGACTAAAGGTCAGGAGTTTATTTCAGCAATCTGGACATAGAGAAATGAGGTCATGAACCAAAGAAGTGGTGTAAGAATGTGACAATTCATGTAAGTTCCAAAGCACTCAAAAGAAAGGATCTTCAAGAAATATATAAATATTATAAATGGGGATGAGGAAGAGGGAACAGTCAGAAACCCATCCAAAATTTTGAGTTTGGGCTATGGGGAAAATGCTAAAATGTTGGCAGAGTTTAAAACTTGGCAAAATAGAGTTTGTTTGGAGGGGCATGTTTATTATGCTATGCTTTGGATCTATTGAGCATAATATGCAGTGCCCTTTATATAATCTAACTGAAGAACAGTGAGGTTCTTTACAAAGACCAGTCATAGGTCATATTATTAGAATGGAAAAAATGTCCCATCCTCTCCTCAAAAAGCATTTTCCTCTCTCAGTATTTACCTACATGCTTCTCTTCTGCAGTCTTCTTATATATACTATCAAGTAATTTTCTTTCAGATATTAGTTGATAAAGTTGTTATTGATTGCAGTGATATGTTCACATACTTCATAGGATTATCAAAGACACAACTGTCATGGAGACCTAAAAGAATATTTCAGAATTTAGGGGACCCATGACAGTCTAGACCTCAGCCCGGATTTAAAAACAAGCAAGCAAAAACGCTGCAGGAAATATTGTTAACATATCAAAAGTATTGAAAAAGATAGTTATTGCCATTGTTATCTTTGAATTGTAATAGTATGCAAACACATTCTAAGTTGCTAAACAGTCTAGTGAAAAAGGAATATCACAGGATCTCCAATTTAAAAATGTAGATTAATTTTCCATATGTTAATAGTATACATTAGATCTTTATGTTTTATTTTTCTTTGCCAGATAGCTAGATAGCAAAACACTTGATTTTTAGTCCTGCGTGTTTCATTTGGTAGCTTTGTGACTTCTGGGAATTGATTTCATCTTTCTGAACCTTAGATTCCTCATTTGTAAACAATTTTTGGATGTGCTAGTGTTTTGAATATAAAATGTACTATGTGAATACAAATAATTGTGATAATTACTGAAAGGACTTATTTTATTGTTAAACTAATTCATAGTAGCTTTGAAAATATTAAGTAAATAATAATTTAGAAGAGAAAGGCATATTGAAATTAATCAAAATTGTTCTTATGTTTAGGTTCATTTTAAAATATCCCCATAGCAGCTACCTTGGAAATTTGTTGAAATAATAGACCCCACTTATTATTTTGCAATAATCATATTAGGTAAATTATATACCAAAACACATTCTGTAGAGGTAATTCTCTAAAATGTTAGTAAAATAGACAGTCATCTAAATTAGATTCATATTTCCTGAATTTTATTCTGTAAAGTATTCCTTTCATTCATTTTGTGCAGCATATACCTGGCATTGGAAATATAGTTTTTTGAGTGAATTTTTAAAATATATTTTTCAATTATACTTTAAGTTCTGGGGTACATGTGCACAACGTGCAAGTTTGTTACATATGTATACATGTGCCATGTTGGTGTGCTGCACCCATTCACTCGTCATTTACATTAGGTGTATCTCCTAACGCTATCCCTTTTTTGTTTTTGAGACGGAGTCTTGCTCTGTTGCCCAGGCTGGAGTACAGTGGCGCGATCTCGGCTCACTGCAAGCTCTGCCTCCTGGGTTCACGCCATTCTCCTGCCTCAGCCTCCCAAGTAGCTGGGACTACAGGGGCCGCCACCACGCCTGGCTAATTTTTTTGTATTTCTTTAGTAGAGAAGGGGTTTCACCATGTTAGCCAGGATGGGCTTGATCTCCTGACCTCGTGATCTGCCCGCCTCGGCCTCCCAAAGTGCTGGGATTACAGGCGTGAGCCACCGTGCCCGGCCTGAGTGAATTTTAATACCCATTACTTTCCTAAGCTAATAGAAATTTTGGCATAAAAATTACCTAAGATGTAGATTACCATTTATGGACATTGGCAGTGTCACAACTCCACTTGAAAACGCCATTGGTCACTACTTGTATTATTCAAATGGTCTTGTATGTTCAAACTCTTGTTCAATCTTTCCTCCCCACTGCTCTCCACTGTTTGCATTGAAATAGTATAGATCCTTCTATGTCACTCTAAATGCTTAATCTTCTTTCAAAGTCTCTGCGGAGCCCTCAAGCCAACAGGAAAGTGCTTTCACATTCCATTATTCTTCACTCATAGTTCTCTAGAAAATATCCTATCATTCATTACCATTATTTAGACAATGCTTTCTCATGTCCATATGAAAGGTTCTCAATGGCATAGACTCCTAATCATCTTTAAATCTTAGAGCATATTGTATAATAGCATAGGCGTAATATATGCTATTAAATTAAATATGTTTTGGTGCAAAATGGCAATAAATTTGTTTATTGTGGTATTAACTAATTGCACACCCTCTAGATTTTATACAATATTGAAAGATCATAAATAAAATAAACTGATGGCTACTGACATTTTCTAGGGTAAGATGTAGTTGTCTGTGTTTTTTCACTGTTTCTTTATACTTTGAAAAAATAAACTCTTCCAAAATGAATGAATGGAAGTATTGGAAGCATTCTTTTGCCTCCTTTATATTTTATAATGACATTTTCCAAAGCAATTGTCCTGCCTATTGTGTAAATGAGGTAACACTCATGAAGTATAATTGATAAAATATGTATATGTTTTTTGATCTAGGCATTAAAAGGTCTCTCACATACAATTAATCTAATAAGTATATATAGAAAAACTTTTTCTAACTCTAGAATAGAATTAGTACGGATGCATAATATAATCTTTATTAAAGGAATATTATAATCAGTTTATTTATATTACTGTACGATTGGGATATAAAAGTTTAATAAAAATTTAGAAGGCCATTATGCATACATTTAAATGCATGATTTGACTATTTCAGTTATTTGAAAAATTCTGCCAACGGGGTCTTGATCTTATGTATGCATTTATATGTATTTAAAACATTTTATTTAGCTTTACACTTTATTTGTGAGATAGGATTTTCTGAACACTCTTGTGAGGTGGGCGTAACAGCATTAATATCTCCATTATACCCATAACACAGTGGAAAATGATGGAAGTCAGGTGGCAAGCCCCTAGTCCTAAAGCTAAGAGTGGCAGAACAAAATATCAAGTCCAGATGATAGTTTGTTCTCAAAACCAATCCATATTCTTAACTAAATACAGTAGAAGAAAAAAGAGAAAAGAAGGCAGACAGGAAGACGTTATAATGAGAAATGAACAAAAAAGACTAAGTAATCACTTTGAAGTTTTATCTTGTCATTGCATGGCACATTTAATCCTGAAATGATATTCAGTTTCACTCTCATTAACGTTCTTGTTTGTCTGAAACATTCTGAAGGCCTTCTCCTGGCTACATGTTCAAATACTAGTGGCTAATTGGGTATTTAATATAAAAGCACCTTCAGATATAGATTTCTTTTTTCTTTCTTTGGTTCCAGTCAGTGTTTTATGGAAGATTATATAAGCTCACTAGGAGGAGCAGATGATTTTATCCCCTTGTCTCTTGCTGAGCTGCATTAAGAAGACTGTCTAAACTATTCAATTTCTTTATATCAAAGGCTTCTCACTTCTGCTGGGGGCTGAAGTGTTGATTGAAACTAAGAAGAAATTGGACTAGTAAGAGGACCAAGAATACCAAAATGTGGCTAAGTTTGCATGATCACCATTTGTTCAGCTTAGAATTATTTTATGCTTTCAAATAAATTCTTGCAGCATAACTTAATTTCCTGAAACAAATCTACTAACTTGATTGTATGACTACAAAAACTTATTTGAAATTCAAAAATAGTACGCAGCAAATGTTTTAGTTATTTCTTTTACAAGCAAATAATTTTCCTCCCACCTCCATATCCAAGTATTTTCCTTTCATTACTATGGTACTTTTAATATATGGTCTAATTTGCCTTTGTTAGCCCACAATTAAGTCTCTGTCCCAATTTCTGTGATGTGGTATTATCAAAACTGCATGTGATTTTATACATGTTATAAAGACAGGTCTGTATATGGAATTTCAAACATTTCCGTTTACACTAAGATTTTGACCTGTCCTCATAACTCAGTCTCTTTAATCCTAGGATTTTAAACTAGCTAAAATTCTACTAATCTTTTCCTTAAAATGTTGCAATGTCTTTTTGCTATGTAGTGAAAAGAACTAACACAGTACTCTAATTAGGGCCTGGCCCTTAAAATGTAAAACATGGCATTCACTCAGTTTACTGCACACATCCACGTGCACTTCACACGTCCACTGCAGGTAGCAAACAGCTATTTCTCTGGGGATGTATGTCGGGTACTGTGGTTCTGAGCCATCAAAAATACAAAATTTCCAATATTAGGTCATCAGAAAATACTACACGATGAGATTTTCTCATTTCAAGCACACCATTTTCTGGGACTTGAATTTGTGTCTGTTTTGGACTGAGAAATTGCTTCCTAAAGAGCCAATAACTAAATTTCCCACCAGCATTTTTTTTCTTTATTGGATAAAGAGAGAAAAGAAAGGAACCTATTCAGCCAAATATTACCCAATTAGGAACTAATTACAGTGTGATAACTAAATGATTAAGGCATAAATGACAACAGTGAGGTTCACACAATGAGAAAGAGGTAGGATTTTTTCTTCTTCTTGTTCTCCAAACTGAAAGAACTCAGATATAATGTCATTACCTCATATTTTTTCACTACTTGAAAATCAGTTGAGTTGGATTTGCAATATGGCAAAGATACATTCAAGATAATAATCTAATTATGTTTTACTTTCCCCTTGCAACATTAAATTTAATTCGTTGAATACCCACCTTTTACAAATTACAAGACAACTTTCACTCACTTTATTTCAATTATTATTTGTTCAAGTATTTCTAATAAACAGATTAGCTTTATCCTAGCTAACCATGCTTTCAGTTTTTATTATATTAAGTTTTGCAACCTTTATTTAAAACTTGCTACAATAAATGACAGACTGACAAAATAGAATCCAGTCCTAATTGCCACAGATAGATTTAATCGCACACACATATTAAAACATGAAGTAGAAAAGATTGCCAAATTAATTTTTTTATTTGCAAAAATTTTTAAAAAGAGAGACACAAGTAAATTTCTTGGGAGAAGATGCATTAATATGGGCAGATTCCTTTGACATAGTATCATAATTTGTGGTAATTATTCCCAGTTATATTTTTTGAAGCATTAGCAGTTTATTATGAACAGTATAATTTATAAGCCTAATATTAGACTCAAATCTCCAAGGCTATTAGTTATGTTAACTCTTAATACACATGTTCAAGTGGAGTTGTGTTGAAAAATGCCATAAAATGGATGCTTCAATTGATAAAGGAAATCTATTTTGCAACTTAAAAATATATTAGAAGCTTTTCAACATTTTTTATCGGGCTCAGAAAAATAACATTTCATAAAATTTACTAAATATTTCCGACCGTAAATAGAGAAGTATGCATTTTTTATTCCTAATTTTTGTTTAAAAGACACTTTCTTCCTGAGAGTTAAGAAAACAATGTTTATTAATTAGTTGCATGACTATTGTCACACTCCTAAACTTATGAACAAGCTAAATGGCTTAGAAAGGAAATGTTAAAGTTATCATTTTAAAGTCCAAATCCTAGTTAGATTTTTAGAAAATCTCTGTTATTGCTCTTGTTTTTGACAACTGGTTTATTTATAGAATGTGCTGTTCATTTACAAGTGCATTCTATATGCTTATTTTTAAAAATTATGACTGGACGTTAGAATAAAAGTTAAGAAATTCTATTTTTTTTACAGTCTACAGCTTCGTTAGATAAAATGATTCTAACATTTGACCGATGCTACAACTTTAAGATTTTTTGAATGTGATAGACAATATAAACATTCTTTCATGTAATATGAACATATGATTTCTTCATCTCCAATCATTGCCCAAGGGAATCAAAATGGAATTCCATTCACCTGCCTCACCTTAACTCTAGAGAATGTGTTTTAATCCACAGCACAGAGAACTAGTAACATTCCTTTCATATGTAGCATGGATCTTTTAATATCCGTTATAAATCATGGCTTTTAGCCTTTTTATAATTCTAGTTTCTTCGAGGTGTACCTCATTTTGGGTCTTCTTTTTCCTACTCATCTTTCAGAAATTCCAGTAATAGTTATTTTTAATGGAATTGCTATACATTGGCATAAACATGCAAATCCACAGTATTTAATTTATATCATAATATCCAGCTGTCTTCCATTTTTTTTAAACATTTCTGAGTGTGGATTTTGCCTTTAAAATAAGGATTAAGTGCTGAACTGGAAAGCTTGGCAAATGTTGGTTACTCTTTTTATTAGGGTAACCAGCTGGACACTGGAACAAAATTCTGCTAATGGACTTTCTGTTTCAAAAATTGAAAGGTTCAGATGTTTTCACCTGAAGCACATACACACAAATACATACATACACACATCACATATAAACCCTGATTATTTCTCTTTTAATAGCTGCTAGTTTTGAACGTTATAATTCTTTCAATTTTGCACTTTTGGAGAAATGCTTTATTTTTAAATAGTTTGAAAGACAAGTTTGCAGGAAATTTCCAGATTATGTAATATCTAAGTTATGACATTCCATTTTGTGGAAGCTCATGCTTAGAAATTGGCATCGAAAGGCTTACCAAGCCTTTGAAATAAACATGGAAGAGAAAGGAAAATATAGATATATATTTTTTTCTTTATATATGTGTATGCTTGTGTGTGTGTGTGTATATATGTGTATATATAATATATGTGTATGTATTATATATGTGTATATATAATATATATGTGTATGTATTATATATGTGTATATATAATATATATGTGTATGTATTATATATGTGTATACATAATATATATGTGTATATATTATATATGTGTATACATAATATATATCTGTATATATAATATATATGTGTATATAATATATATGTGTATATATAATATATATGTGTATATAATATATATGTGTATATATAATATATACACGTATATATTATATATGTGTATATATAATATATATGTGTATATATTATATATGTGTGTATATATTATATATGTGTATATATTTTATGTGTATATATATTATATATATGTGTATATATATACACACATCTACATCTATTAATTTATCTGTATAGGTAGATAAATATAGAACAGCGTGTATATATGCATATGTAAATATATGTATAGCATTTCAACTAACTTTCTGCAATGAACTAAATCTTCCCCTTGAAAAAATAGGAATCAGAAGAGGACAAAGAAGATACTCAGCTTTTTTATTTTTAGTGAAATTATCTTCTCCTTCCAACTGTATTGAGATATAATTGGCAAAAAAATTATATATATTTGAAGTGTACTACATGGTGATTTTATATATATATAATATATAATATAGTAAAATAATATATGTAATATATTTTATATAATACAATAAAATTATATAATATACATTATATATAATATTATATATGATAGATATAATACATATTATATATATATTATATATATAGTGAAAAGATCACCACAATCATCGTGTGTTACAATTTTTCTAATATGCTAATATTTTCTGAAGTCTAAGCTGTCTAGGAACCAAATTTGTTGTTGTTGTTTTTGTTGTCAGCACAATAATCTTTCAGTGAAATTCTCATTGATACTGCTCTTGGCTCCAGTTCTCATAAAAATACTTTCTAAGGCTGGGCGTGGTGGCTCATGCCTGTAATCCCAGCACTTTGGGAGGCCGGGGAAGGCGGATCACCTGAGGTCAGGGGTTCAGGAACAGCCTGGCCAACATGGTGAAACCCCGTCTCTACTAAAAATACAAAAATTAGCCAGGCCTGGTGGCACATGCCTATAGTCCCAGCTCCTCGGGAGACTGAGACAGGAGAATCGCTTGAACCTAGGAGGCAGAGGTTGCAATGAGCCGACATCGTGCCACTGCACTTCAGTCTGGGCGACAGAGCAACAGAGTGAGACTCTGTCTCAAACAGAAATAAAAAATAAAATAAATAAATAAAAACATTAAAATATCTCCTCTCTAATGCTCTTTGCAGGAAAAAAAAAAGTCTTATTAGGAGAAAGCAAAATAATTTTTGTCCTCATGGAAGCTTTCTAACAGTTATAACTTCATTTCCTGTGCCTCTGAGCTACACTATGTAAAAGTTAGTCATGGAAAGTTATAATTAGACATGTAGGATAATTCTAATGATGTCTTACAACTGATGAAATCAGTCTCAGCCCTGTCTACCACATGATTACCATGGAAACCATTACTGGCCAACAGAGTAATTCTGATCAAAAGGAATTATTATTAATCCTCTCAGTATATGTTGGGTAGGGATTTGCACAGCTTTTGTTAAAGTTTCTTGTGGAAGCTTAAAGGTCCAGTAAGGGTAAATATTAATTCTTAATGTGCTGGAGAGTAAGAATGGCTTAGTCTCCGTGGGGCACAACTGGCTCTCTGTAAATCAGATATTAACAGATTATAGGATCAGTCTTGAACTAGCCAGGGATTAGAGATAAACAGGTGAATTTGTAGAGGGGGAAAATAATTTCTGAAGCTGACTTAACCAAGTCATTGCCTTCTGAAATTGAAATTTAAATAGGGAAAAAAGAATGTACAAGAAATTTGAAATTTGTTAAACAACGCTCATAGTAATTTCCAAAAAAATCAGATAATAATATTGAATGATTATTTTTCTAATTTGCATTATGTATAACTATAATATGTGGAGGGTAATGACCAACTGTCTGTGATGAAAAGCATAGCATTCTTTAAGGATTTTTCAAATTACTTATCTTTATCTATATATTTACTCAAGCTGTTGCTTAAAATTCCAGAATAATAAATCAAATATCATAAATGTTACCAAGAACTGAAGACAAGCTCTTAATTTAAAAACTCTTCATGTAATCATTTCATGTAAAATTGTGACAAAACCATGTTTCCCAAAGTTTTAGCTTACATTTCAAGAGTTGAAAAAAATACATGAAAATCAGCACTGTTAGTTTTATTAGAATGTTGTCACTATTAATTATGAGCATTTTAAAATTCATTTATAATGCTAGTTTATTGGAATATAATAAATATGTAAAAAATCACACAAAAATAACAGTAACATAGAAACAATTTATTCAGAACAATAAAAACATAAAACCTCAAACATTGTTACACAGTTCCAAAAATTGTCAGAATTTAAAATGCTATGCCCTTTTTGACCATTAAAATTCATCATTTTGCTCACTTCAGCAGCACATATATAAATCCCATCATCAATACTAACTAAAAATTTTTCAGCTTGTTGTCCCAGAGATGAATGAAAATTTGTTCTAAAGTGTTCATTGAGTTTGTGGCTATGTCTTAAATCTGTTTATTTTATGAAAGACAATATAAAAATCAAGTCAGTATTTCCTGACATTTCATGTTACTTAATACATTTTCTGTCTGTTTTAGTTTTCTGATGTGTGCAGTTAGCCCCTTGCTTTGCTCTTGTTTTGGCATTCACAGAGGGTCCAGGCTTCAATTGGCACTTGTGCCATGTATTTTTGGCTTGCCCTGTTGAAATGTGTTAGTTTCTGCAGCTGTGTAAACCAAAAAGGGAAATATGTAGAGATATGCCTGGAATTAGGAACTACCATTTACACATATTGCTAACTTAAAAGTTAATCATGAAGGTAAATTAGGTGTTTAATAAGTATTCTTTTTGTCAATGACTAAACCTCAAAAACCTGGAGAAAATATTATGATGAGCAAACAAATGGCACTATGTGAGGAGAGTCCAAATGGTTTCATAACCAAATTCATCCTTCATCACTAAATTCGTACTGTCCCCATAATATTATCGCTAAAGTTCACACCGAAATAATTTAGACAAGACTGAAAAAAAAACAACAAACTGGAGGTGAGTTTATTATTTTAGACAACTATTAGTTCTTACTGTGAGATCTAACAGTTACTTGAATACTTAAAATATTAATTATATATATATATCAACTTAATCTCACTCTTTGGAAAAGAGATTTTTTATCATCATAGATTTATTCCATTGTATCCTTTTTCTATGAAAAGAATGCTACTCCATGACTCGATGAGGAGAGGAACAAATCATTTTTGCACATTTCTCCAACTGATTAACTAAAGGCCTCACCTAACCATAACCTTTGTTTAGAAACTTCTATGGTTTTATATAAAGGGGATAACATGCATTTTCTCTTTGAAAGACCAGAGTATGTGATTTCATCGCTGTTCTCTCATTCTTCCTTACAAGCATATTTATGTTTTGGATGTTCTCCAGGGACTTCTATAGTGATCTCTAAACTTTTATTTATTTATTTTCATGCCTACTTTGTAAGTTGTTCACCAGAGATTGAAAGTCAATTGATGTATGTGGCAGCCAGTTTTTGTACAGCCATGCTTTGTGCACTGGACAAGAACTCTTGTAGAAAGAGGTAGAATCCTCCCCATCCCTTTAAGTAGTTGGAAACATTACCTGTAAACTTATGATGTGGATACAATCATATATAGTTTTCCAAAAGTCATTCAGTTCAGATTAAAAACCCAAATAGATTATTCCTCTGGAGTAATGGAATTCCAATTTGTTATTTGCGTACATAACTTGGAAGCTGGATGTAATCTTAGCATATATAAAGAAATGATTTTAAAACTTATAATGTAGAAACCCAGAAACTGTATACTAGTGAAGAAATGTAGTACTAAGAAGTCATAAAAATGCACAATTTTTACTGTTTTTAAAATATCTTAGTTTTTCTTTATTAACCAAGAATTATCCTTTTCCTTCCCTAAATTGTTAAAATAAAAGCTGTAATAAATTTAATCATAATATAAAGTAATAAAACATAAATATAAAAATCCCAGCTTAATGGTAGTTTTTGTCCTGAATGTTTTTATTGTAAAGAGAACTCGTTAGCTTTGGAAACTCTATCCTTTAATTTAGGAATTTCAAAATAAACCACTGTAGCTAAAACACTCTATGCATATATTGTTTGAGATACCTTTTACAATGATTTAAGAAAAATCAATTCTGTTAGAATAACAGAATTTATTTAATACTTATCTTGCTTTGCACACACATTCTAAAAATAAAAAGTTGTTTTCATATATTTTCAGGTGGTTTTTCTAATATTTTTTTCTTCCCTCCTTCAAGACATAGAAAAATTACAAATTAAAACCAAGGACAGATCTCTTAAATTTTCATTGCTTTGAGGATACAAAATTTGTCTATAGCTCTGGTGGGTAATTTTTGGAAACACTGGTGATATTCAGACTTGTTAATGCAGCTTCTCGGCCCATGCCTGGAGAGAAAGTGTTTCATCCACCAGAGCTCTTACGGATAACACACTTCACTTGCTGGTGAAGCAACATCCAAAGAATTATTTTAATGTTCTAGAGATGTAAATGGAGTGTATGGTAGAATGGCAATAAAAAAGCAATTTCATTTAGGAAAACTCATTTCTTAGTGTATATTCTGTGAAGGGATATTGTTTGATTAAAATAAAAGACATTAAAATTCAATAAAGACAGAACGATCATGGTGAATGAAGTTGAGTCACTTTAAAGTTAATTATGCTTGTGGTTGATCTTGTGGCTGTGTAGCTGATATATGCAATGCAGAATCTGTGTGTTTCCGTGAAGCCATATTTTGAAAACAAGACAGGTACAGTCTCTGTGTTGGATGCATTAGAATAGCATGCTGGCAAGGAGAAAAACTAGAAGAAAAAAGACAGAAAATAGGAATAAGAATATGAGGGTTCCTTAGAGAAAAAAATAAAATAAAAATACTGTTCTGTTGGAAATATTTGCTGAAGAGTTGCATTAAAGGAAGAAGAAATGCAACAGGGTTTATTACTCAGGTTGTAGAAGACCCTGTCTGAGTCCCAATTCCTTCTATTCATTAGCTATTTGCCTTGAGATTTCACACCTTTCTGAACTTATTTTCTCATCATCTACAAATTAAACCTAATGATACCTGCTTTTTATAAATCATATTGCAGACTATAAAAATTATATTTATTATAAAATTAACATAGTTTCAACATTTTGTTATTAGTAGAGTATTTATAAATATAATATTCATTACAGATTTTTTACACACTTGAAATGTCCAGCCAAAAAATCTAAAAGACATTTCCAGACATCAAGCACAGGAAATTAATAATCAATTAATCAATGACCTAATTTCTCTTTGCAATGGCTCAGGCATTTTCCCTTATAAACAAAAGTAGCAGTGACTTCAAAATTGGCCTGCATGGATCAAACAGTTAAGTGTGTAAGGAAAATTATCTGAGACACTCCTTTATGATAAAAGTGCAAAATGTTTCCGTAGAATTGTTGCTACATTGGCATATGAAAGCACATGCTTACACCAACAGTTTGATGAAAGACTTCTCATCGAAGTAGACAGAAATTAGTTTTCATCTTTCGTTTACTATAAAAAACCACTCATTGATTATGTCACGTTTAAAGATCTTTATTGTTTTTACTCTTGATATGATGTTATTTTACTTTGTGTGATGCATGTTTAGTTCAAGGTGAACTTTGAGTTGTTCAACAAATGTGCACTTGAGAAATTAAGGGCGCAGTATGGATTGCCATTAACTTACCTACAATCTAAAATGAACTGTGGAATTGGATGTTAAACTTGTAACCCTTTATTAACTCCTCTAACAGAAAGGTGCTGTGGCAACTAGTTTAGAACACAAAATCAATTTGAACCTCATGGAAACCATGGACAACTCAAGAGTTGGTGGTGAGAAATTAAAAAGGATGTATGTACAACATTTTGTGTAATTTATACATACCGTGAAGCCTAACACCATAAATAAATTATATGAAACAATAAGCTATTTGAAAGGATAAAACCTAACTAGGATCTGTCAATAATAAAAACACTAACAAAACAAACTGTGGCAGCTACCATTTATTGGATGCTCACCATGCAACAAGCAGCATAATTTACAAGCATTTATTTATTTATTTGTATGCATTTGTGTACATGACATATTGATATATGTATACAGAGTGAATTGATTGAATACAGTTAAGCCAATTAACATATCCATCATCTTGAATAGTTACCTATTTTATTTCTGTGGAGAGAACATCTGAAATCTACTCTTAGAAAATGTCCAGTATACAATACAGTATTCTTAACCGTTAAAATCTTCAGGATGTACTTTATTTTTTAATCAGCTAAAAAAAACCATTGTCTTGTTAACTGTATTTTATAGATGAGATAACAAATGCCAAAATACATTAAATTTTCTTCTGAAGTTCACGCAGATGAGAAGCGGCCATCTCAGATAAAACTCAGCCGAATTAAAAGAAGTGAATTGAGGCATTTCCTGATTTGAAAACACAAGATTGGGCTAGAAACGGGCAATAGGAGTGTTAACAAAGATGAAGGGAAGCTACATACTTAAAATCCAGGAGGAAACAGCTATTTAATCTCATTCTGAGTCACAATTTTTGTACAGAATTTTCTGTATAAATATGTTTTTTCATTATCTTGGAATTCCATCAGACCTACTTAAATTTGACTAAGCTCAGACTGCCCTTACTTTAAGCCTATTTTGGATGAAAAGTTTCAGCATTGGGAAGAACTCCTATCCTTTCCTATCATCTTTGCTCATAGCTACCTCTGCTTACTGAGTTGGCTTCAGTGCTAGTATTAGGACAGGCTTGCTGCTATAACAACCCTACATCTCAGTGGCTAAACACAGTACCATTTATTCCTTTTTGTATCATTGTCCAGAGTGGGTCAAAGAACAGATTCTTGGCTGCAGCATCATTTTCTATATTTTAGACCACCTCCTTCAATGTTTGAATTTTCAGACAAGGAGAAAGAGATAAGGAGTGTTATGTGGGCTTGTATGGGTTGGGCCTGCCAGTGATGAATAACACTTGTGTGTGTTGCAAGGGCCGTAACAGTCACATACCTGCTATCCAACGACAAGGGAGAACAGAAAATAATCTTTGGTGTAAGCCCAGAAGAGAAAGGGAAATTGTTCTGTGAATAATTAACCAATCTCTGCCATTTTCCCTAGAAATGTGATTCAAATACACACCAACAGTTATTTAGCTGTCAAAAGTTATTTAGCCTTCCTTGCCTTGCTAGTGCCTAAACATGTATGACTCAGCAAGGGAATGCCCAATTTGTTCAGATAAAATAGTTTACCTTTGATGTCAAAAAGAAGCCAGGGCACTCTTTTATTAAATAAAAAGAAAAATTTTATTAATCCATTGTAATATTATAATAGAGTTAAATTGAAGTGTACATATCCTAAGTACTTTTTTTTTTTTTTGAGCCGGAGTCTCGCTCTGTCACTCAGGCTGGAGTGCAGTGCCATGATCTTGGCTTACTGCAACCTCTACCTCCCGGTTTCAAACAATTATCCCGCCTCAGCCTCCTGAGTATCCGGGATTACAGATGTATGCCATCACACTCAGCTAATTTTTGTATTTTTAGTAGAGATGGGGTTTCACCATATTGGCCAAACTTGTCTTGAACTCCTGACCTCAGGTGATCCACCCGCCTCAGCCTCCCAAACTGTTGGAATTACAGGCGTGAGCCACCGCGCCCAGCCCTAAGTACTTTTATAAACTGAAAACAACCATAGAAACAGCACCCAGATCACGAAACAACGTTGCCAATATCCCAGAATTCCCCCTAGGACTCTTCCAGCTTTCTTTTAGTACATGTCTTTTAGTCAACATAAGTATGAAATTATTTTAGGTATACACATAGGAGTGGAATTGCGGGGCATAAGACATGCATTTTTTTCAGCTTTAGCAGATACTGCCAAGCCAAGCAGAATTCCAAAGTAGCTATGCCAAATTTACTCCCACCCACAGTGCATGAGACTTTCTGAGTGTGCCACATCCTCACCAACAGTCACTATTTCCTTTCCATTTTAGCCATACTGTTGGTATATAAACTATTTCATTGTAATTTTATTTATATTTCCTTGATGGCTAATTTTATTGAGCATCTTTTCAGCCACTGATTTTTTTGATGTATGTGATAAGAATCCTACTCCTCTTTGCTACCCTTTTCTGTTTATTTTCAAAGTATATCTTGACATTTCAGACACTACCTTTGTTTTCTCTCCTTTTTTTTTTTTTTTTTTTTTTGAGACAGAGTCTTGCTCTGTCACCCAGGCTGGAGTGCGGTGGAGCGATCTCGGCTCACGCAAGCTCGCCTCCCGGGTTCACGTCATTCTCCTGCCTCAGCCTCCTGAGTAGCTGGGACTACAGGCGCCCGCCACCACGCCCGGCTAATGTTTTGTATTTTTAGTAGAGACGGGGTTTCACCGTGTTAGCCAGGATGGTTTCGATCTCCTGACCTTGTGATCTGCCCATCTCGGCCTCCCAAAGTGCTGAGATTACAGGTATGAGCCCGGCCTGTTTTCTCTCCTTGTTTTTAACAAGGTAGAACTGTAGGATTGTCCATAGTGGTGAGATAGGCATTCTAGATTCCTGCTTTCTCGTCACGAGGTAGAAGCTGAATAGGAACTGTGATCTGCTTGATCATAGTTCCTTTGACATACAACAAAGAGAATTACCTATGTCTGCTCGGCTGACCTTGACATAAAAATGTTTTATTATAACTTTTTTTTTGCAGCTCACAAAATGTGTAGTTTCTGAGTAAATATTGATTATAAAGAAATCAATAAAAAAACTTGGCACACTACTGAATGGAAATTGCTCATGAAGCTTTGTCTTGTATAATTTTTCTTTGACTTCAAAAAAGAATGCATTAGTATGTTATATATAACTTTATACAATCTAAAGGGATGTAATTTAGGCCTGCATTATATTTATGTCAACAATTATGACAATTTAAATAATCGAAACTAAGGCACAGTCTAGGTTTCCAAAGTCAACTTATGTGGAACAAACCACTTCAGAAGTAAAGTTAGACTACTTTACTGCATTCAGAAAGAAAGTTGGGACACAGGAATAGGTAGAATTGAACAATCCAGAAGCAAAGCTGAGAAAATGGGTTATTTTTTTTAACTAAAAATAGATTAAAACCTTTAGGAATCTCCAACCCTACAAAGATTTTGGTAAGTGGATCCGTCCATTTGGTGCTTCTCTGACAGAATACCTGAGACTGGGTAATTTATAATGAATAGAAATTCATTTTCTCACAGTTCTGAAGGCTGGGAAGTCCAAGATCAAGGCACCATCATCTGGAGAGGTGTTTCTTGCTGTGTCTTCACAAGGCAGAAGGTAGAATGGCAAAGAAACAAAAGGGGGCAACAAGGGGACTCACTTTTAAAACACATTATTCAAACCCACGAGTGTGAAGCCCTTATGACTTTATCACCTCCCAGATGTCCCACCTCCTAACAGTGCCACAATGGCAATGAACTTTCAACAAAGCAAACATTTAAGCCACAGCAGTGACTCTCCCCATATTTAATTTAAATTAAAAAATACTAAACCATAAAGCAAAAATAAGAAAGTCTAGTAAATTGAGATTTATTATGATTACTAGGTGACTTTTTTTTAAAAAAAAGAGTATTTTGAAAAATAATCCTCTTGCATTGCTCACATCCTAACATTGCAAAATATGTGAAACGTCAGAATGAAGAGTGAAGAATCACTGATATCCAGAGTCTCAAGATAGAATTAAAATGTGAGGGCTCTAGAGAAAATAACTTTCTTCTCCAAGTCGCTGGCTCCCATTGTAATCTCCAAGCAGGGATGTGCCTGCAGCCATGAAATCTTAATAAAGATTTATTTTCTTAGCTGTTTAGTGTTTTGTGAATATTTATATATGATTAAAACAGAAGCATTTCATAGTTCACCATTAAAGCCAACATTTCATTAGTCTCAGTCAATATATACAATATCTCTAGTTTCTCCTTTGTCTTAATGAATTCAATTTTTATGACTATTATGTAAAAGTTGCTTTGCTGTATAATATTAAAGCCTTAGCATGTGAATGAAAATGAAGGGAGTGAATCTTATGAAATGTATTAATGCATCCTAAAATATTATCACTCCTTTAACATATTAGTGACTTTGAAACTCCAAGTTGGCTCATGTGATAAGAAAGCAATTAGTGTGCTACCAATGCAAATGTTATGGTAATACTTTTATATTGAATTACTAGCTTTGATAAAACCCTGGTAGTCTCCATTTAATAACTAATTTATATGCTCTAGATAATGTCGTAAAACTCACAGTGGACATATTTAATGTCCCTTAATGATAAGGGAGTCATATATCCTATTTTGCCTTTCTCAAAATGGATTTCTACTTAAAAGAAACCAGATATAGACACAGTGCTTGTCAAAGACACAACAATTTATAGTCTCACTTAATTCCTGTTTTAAATAATGAATAATTTTATCTACAACTCTTCCAGACATTGTTGCTATCATTCCCTCCACCATATCATGGGTTACAGTTTATTAAAGAGTGAGCAGTTTCCTAAGCCATCTAATGAAGCCCTTTGCACCTTTAGGATTTCCTTGGAATGCCTTCCTTGATTTGTGATATCCACAGTCTGATTTATCCTTCCAGTCTTAAGTCAGACCTCACTTCTACTGCAGCTTGTACTAATTTTTAAGCAATAAAACATTTCCTTCTTTGGGCTCTTCTAATGTTTTTTCCACACTCTATAATAGCATTTAAAAATATTATTGAACTAGTTTCTACATCACTTTTTTGTTTCATAGACTCAGAGTTTGACTTATAGACCCTTAGCATTATGGCCTGCATATTATGGAAATTTTCACAATGTTTTTATGAATGAATGTATACATTTTTTATAGTTTGACATTGGAAAGTAGCTTACAAGTAAAGCTAGAGTGCTTGAACATAATTTTCAGCTTATATGTGTGCTGCTTACAAACATACATATATTTTAAGTCCATAGGATTAAAAAAAATGTGATGACCATTCCAAGTACTATAATTCCATTTCCTTAGCTTTACTCATACTTGTATCTGTTCAACAAGCATTGATCATCCATTATGTGCCAAACACTGCATTCTACTAATGATGCAGCAGTGAACACAACAGGGATATCCTTCACTTTAATGTACCATATTTTAGAGGCAGAATATAAGCAAATGAATACGTGATATGTAATATTAGCCCAAGAAATGCACAGCTCTTTTGATTAAGTTTAATGGACAATTCATTTGAACTTACTTTCTAAAGACTGAAATTTACCGAAAGTAAGAACAAAAATTACCTGAAAAGTATTTTTTTCCTACATAAAACCCAGGTCCTTATTAATGTTTAAATGTCCCTGGTTTTTGTTTGTAAGTTAAAGAGTATTGAAAAGATTCATGTAAAATCATACCATAAAAATGAATTGGGATAAACTGTGGTCAAATATGACTTTCTTGCAGATTTTGATAAGAGTTCTCAAATTTCCAACGATTTTTTCACATAATAATGTCTTGATAACCTTACATTGTATATATTTCTATTTTTATAGCCATTGTAAGTTAAAGGGACATTGGATACAACTCCATCAACATCACTGTATTTAATTCTAAGGTTTAGAAAATTAGTTATTGCCTCTTGACCATGAATAATATCACTCTGATTGTTTTATTGGTTTCAAGCAAAATTATTCAAGCAAAAGATCAGTCAACACCATCGAAATAAAGACTGACCCTTGAAAGTTTAATTAATACTCCTTCAATATTTACCAGGGAAAATGCTCATATGAACAATACATGGTTTAATATTATATTTATAAAAATATATTCCTAATATGAGAGTATATGCAAACAACAAAATATATTTTCTCTAACTTAAGTAAGAGTAATCTTGAATAGGACCAATGTTTAAGCTGTGTTTTCAATACCTAGCATAGCAATGCATTGGGTGGGATACTTAACTTTAGGTAATAAGAATTATAATATTATAATACATTGCAGCTCAACTCTTCAACTACTATAAATCAATTAAAATATACACTTTAATATGACAGCATACACATGTTGAAATGGATCTTAAGAATATACTCAATTTCTGCAGGATCTGAATTGTTCATATTAGCATGTAGGCATTATTCTTTGTTCTCCAGATTTGTTTATGAAATAGATAAATAGCTTGAAAAAAAAGGAAGGTTTTCTGGTTTTCATTAGTTCTCAATTACATGTTAATTAAGAAAATTTTTTGAGAGCACTTTTTGTTTGCTAAGGTTACTTAGATTTTTAATAAATGATGAAAGTATATGAAAAGATTAATTGGTTTGTAATCCTAAATACAAAATTTTGAAAAATTTCAAAGGCATTTAAATTAAACTAATAGTTAATGTTTATTCTTTTAATTAACATTTGGCAAGCTTGCTATTGCAAGTTAGTCTCATATAATTTGGTTGATGAAAATTCTAATTGACATTTAATAAGTGTGTTGATTAAAATATATGTTGTTTTGTCTTCCATTTCAAATGACAATTACCTGCTTAAGCATCCCTTTCATTTCACAGATTAATAAGAACAATAGAATTTTAATATTCTTCTGCCCTAAGACTGTCATTTATATGATTTATGCTATATAGGATTTTCCCAATTTAGAATTTACTTCCTCATAGCAAATTAAATATATTCCTTAGGGCATTGAGCCATATTTTTCTGGTATGCACAGTCTATGCCCTGGGATTAATTGAAGCACATTGGGAAGCCATGTGAACTCATACAAGCCAGTAGGGTGCTATTTGGTAAATAATGACTTAGACTAAATGGTATTCACTATTTCTTCCTCATTTTATGCATGTTATCATTTTTGTTTTCTAATCATCATCCACAATTCTGTTTTCTTGCTATCTTCCATGTCTTTAGTCCTATGTTCAATTGTGATGGGAAGAGGTAGTGGACCAGAGATTGCTAATAGTGAGAGGGTCCCAAAAGATGAGAAGAAGGTGTCCAATCACACTCATTAGTCATTTCTCTGGTAGTCTGTGTTTTTCTTTCTGCTACAGCCTGGTACATAAATAGATGCCTTTCCAACATGCCTTTCATGATGAAACATTATTTTTTTCTAATTTCACTAAATATTACATATTGTTACAAAAATTAAGTAACTTAATACCTTTCAAGAAAAGAAATATTCAAGGCTATCAGGCATGTTGTCATAGTTATGATAGAAGTCATGAATAATTATTACTTTGAAAGTAATCATGCTCCGATTTTCTTAAGTAAATTACCTCAAGGCTCAGACGTCATGTTGCCACAAATTCCCAAAGTTGTCTTTAAACAGTCTTCTTCTCTGATATTCTTCTATTGGGTCTGCTACATTCTTGTATTCATTGGTTATTTTTGACCTGCCAAGTGCTATAATATTCCACTTGATTCAAGGGTTTTATGTGGTTGAAGTTTACTTAAACATTTGGATAATAAATATCTACTTTAGTTGCTAACGTTTTCTTATAACAAATAAGCAAGAAGTACATGTTTAAATATACCCAGTTTAGCTTAAATGTAAAGGAAACTGCACAGAAGAAAAACTTGTGGCTTCAAATCATGAAAAACACAACGAATAAAAAAACACTTGCCATTGTAAGCACATTTGAGAAACTATTTAGAAATACTAAATTGAATACTGTTGTTATTAATCAAAACCAACAATGTTAGAATCTGATCATTGACTATATTGTCTTGTCATTCCACTTGTCTTTTTCCAATAGTCTATGAAATCATATCAAAGAGAATGATGAGATAAAAACCCTAATGAATCTTGGACGTCATTAAAATGTAATCATCTGTGTTCTTGCAAAGCTTTGTTTTATAAAGCCTCTTTCTATATTGTCAGTGCTTCTGAATGAATCACTTAATTTGTCTGTGGGTGTCTTGGTTTTGAAATACAATACTTTAAGTGAAAGATCTTTATGCCTACTTTGAGTTTGACAGACATTGTGTCAATGTGTATTGTTAAATACATGTATGTTCATGTTATACTGGTATTTGGGTAGCAATATTGTAAAATCCTTAAAAATGATCTGCCAAATTAGATACGATGCATATCCCCTGTGGACTTACAAAGCTGTATAATACATTATTGATAAATCACCATAAACAGTTAACAGTTTGAATAAGATCATGGAGTAGAGTGGAATCAAAACAGATTCTTTTAGTTTCAGTCTCATCTCTGCCATTTACTGGGTTTGGGATCTTGATCAATTTGTTTAATCTGTTTGTGTGTCAGTTTCTTTCTTAGTTAAATCAAGATATTAATACTTGTAGTATTGATGTACCAATTAAGTGAGCCAATATGGAGTGCTTTGTATTATTTCTTACACATAGAGGATGCAAAATACATTTTATACATTTTATATAGCTTTATTATTGAATCAAAAATAAACTCAAATTTGCTCCTTTGAATAGAATATGTGGTAGTTGGAATCTATGAACTATTATAGACACAGATCTGCACTGAATAGAAAATTACTCTTTCATTCCCTAGGACCTACATGCACATGGCTATAGTCAAATTTCATGAAAAAGGGACATTGGAAAGATGTATAGATATCCCAGTTTTACTGAAACAGTGCTCAAAGAGATTTAATGCACTGATGAGTATCCAAAGTATGCCTCATAGCTGGACTGTAGATTTGCAAATTTATTTGTGAATGTATGAATTGCTGCATGTAATCTCCTTGTGACTTGGGAATTAACAATTCAAATTTATCTCCAACTTTGGAAGAGAAGGTTCTTTTATACCCACACTACAGACCCTTTGTGCCTCTACTGCACTTTGAGTCAGACCCCATTGCAGTTCTTATCACACTGCATTTCAAATAATTGTTTATATGTAAGTCTCCCTTTAATTCAGTGCAATATGCCAAGACACTGTTAATGTGTTGGTGGTAAAAATGGATAAAAATTGTTTACTGTTATCCCAGAGTGAATAGCAGGTTAAGAAAGCAGGGTAAGGAAGCACCCTTGATGGCAGGACCCTCTCACCATGTGGGCATCCCTCAGTTACTAACACAGGGCCAACACCTGGTTGCTACTTGGTACATGTTTGCTGAATGAATAAATGGATATACTATGTTATTGCTTCACTGGAAGGATTTAGCAACATCTTTAAAAATGCATCCTTCACTCTCCCTTACAGACTACTCAGAGCCAAGATTTGCAGCTGTGAGGAAAATAGAAGAGCTAGTTTCTCTCATTCCTACTCTACTTTTAGCTTAGCCTATTCTTATACCAAGCAAAATTTATTGTATTTATTGATGTGGAAAATGTGCCCTTGATATATCAAATGAAAGAGTTAGGTTAAAATTCAATGTGTTGCATGATCCCATTTTTGGATAATGTATGAGTGTGTCTGTCATTAGTAAAAATATAGGTAAATACAAACTAGAATGTTTATAGTAGCTTTTGCTGTGTGATTGAATAAAGAGTTAGCTTTATTGCTCTGAATGTTTGTAGTAAGCATGTATTACTTTTATAAATAGGGAAAAAAGCATTCTAAAAACAGAGAAGAAACTTTGACTTGAAACAAAATGTAAAATGGCCACAGAATCTGGATTTGAATCTATCTATATACAAGAGAGCTCTTTTGGCTACTTAAAGTGTGGTTGATAGAAACTGACTCCCTGATATACATACCTTATGGGTAAAGAGGAAGATCGATAAAGGTATATTCTCACTGGCATTTGCATTCCACTTCATAGGCTCTGTAATGCTAAGTACGATCAAGATCACCATTGGTGCTAACACCTCTAACAAACTGTCCTTGACTATCAACAGCAATCACTGATGTGCCCTTGTCTGTTAGTGATTCAAACCAGTTGACCTCAGTCTTAAGAACTTTTAAAATAACCAGAAAAAGTTATTTTTTTCTTCTTCTTCTTCTTTAGCTGCAGGGCATTGTTCTGTGTCTTTCTACTTTCTGACATTATGAATGATGTCCTCCCCTTAGATTCACGGTTACCTTGAAGATATTTATAGACCAGGTTCTGATCCCTCTGAGGGAGCTCTTCCGTTTGTACTCTTCAAACTCAGTATTTTGTATCCTCCAAACCTCATTTCCTAACATATTTATTCTGGCATAAATGTTCTGTATTAGAAAACATTTTTTGTATAGTCTTTTTACCCACTGTGGGTGCAAAATATTAAAAAAAAAAAACAGAAAAAATAACAAATCTATAAAAGAAAAACATCAAATCACACCAGAGATTTTTGTTCCCATAGTCATCATTTACATGATTTTTCTCCTCCTAGTTATACTGCTTGTTCTTTGGGAAATGACATTAGCTTGTTTTTTTCTATACACTGAATTCTTTTGGGTACATTCTTATTAATCTCTCTTGCTTTTCTCAGACATGTCATTCTTTAAATGCTTTATTTACCTACAGTCTGAAATACAGTCTCCTTCTTTGCTAAATTGCAATAGTCAGTATCAGAGTGAATTTTACTGTATGAGCATATTTTGCCACAAAGCAAATAAGAAACAGTGTGTGTTCTTTCTTATTTCAGGTCAGTAATATAAAACTGCATGTGCTAGAACTAATTTAATCACATGCATATTACAATGAAACTAAAATTCTCTTTCGTCTTTTCAACTTTCTTTTAGACTAAGATCCTGTTACACACCATAAAAATATGGCCATTATTACACTAAATGTGCAGCTATTTGATTACTTATAGATTTATATTTTTAAGCCAATTTAACTTTTAATATTGGGGCATATCATTTTTAAAAGGTTGAATATATACTTTAATTTCTGTTTGAGTTAATGCTCCATTTTTGTTGATTTAAATAAGTGGCATACCAAGAGCTGAATTTAATAATCTAATTTATGAAAAGTAAGGAAGAATATCTGCAAATGATCCAAATCCATTTACCCTAAATATCTCGTATATTCAATCATTTCACACATATTCGTTTTAGAAATACATATATATACAATCCTTATAGAAGCTTTATGGTAGACATTATTTTCCCTGATTTATAAATAAGGATGCTGAGGGTAAAAGGATTAAGTAACTTGCTTGAAGTGGTAGCCCTTGACTGTCTTTTACATTTCACCACGGACTAAAAGTTGTCAATAAAAAGATGACAGCTCTAATGTCTGTCTTGAGGAGATTCTAAATGCTACAATTTTATATGTATTCTATAAAATCCCTTGCTAAGACCTTCATCTAGTTCCAGTGGGCTATAAATCAAGTGGATAGTACATATTTTAGTAATCTTTTATACAGAGTTACAGTAAGAACACATATTGGTTCTAGACGTTTATTAATAAACCCAACATAGTTTTTACTTATCTGAGAGTTTTCCTGACATGTTGGATTCATTGATTGGGATGTTTGTTTGTATCTTTTATGCATTTGGTTATGTAGAACTAAGTCAGGTGTTTAAAAAAAGATTTATAGAAAACTGATTTGCCAACTAATCTGGACACTGGTGTGCAAAACTTGTTCTGAACTTTTTCAAAATACTGCAGAACATAATATACACTGTTACCCAAAATGCTACTACTTACAGCCACATATGGTTTCTTTCAATAACATATTTTTCATCAAGAAGAGAAAATAATCAAAGTTTTCATTTGCAAACTTAGTTAATAATATTTGATTACCTCAAAACATATAATATTAATTATCTTGTTGTATTGCTTACTGTGTTACTTAACAATTATCAGCATTTTTATTTAGTTCCATTAATTTTCTATTGTTAGTATGAAATATCTCCTGGGAGTTAAGAATGACTAACCGAACACTTTACTGTGAGTTGTGATGACAGCTTACTGTGAATAAGTTGTGTAAGAGAATACCTGATACAAAGACACCAAAACTCAAATTGATGCAATACTTGAGCATTCTTCGCAAGAATACTTTAGCCTACTTTCAATTATTGATGAGCCTCACTTGAGAAAAAAAAGGTGGGAAGAGGCTAAAAGTTTTATATTTTCTGTTCTGAAAATCTGTACTGAAGAAAGGAAGCCATTCTGTGAGGATGCAATTCAAATAGAAATGGGGCAGTTGGCCAGATTTTATTCCTAGGCTCCTGACTTCCAATTTATGACTGTGACAAGAGCAAACTTTCATATCTTGAACTAACACAAAACACATGTCTATGTAAACCAGTGAACTCTTAGTTTCCTACACATGACATGTGGTTAAATGGATTTGAATGGATATGCATTTATGCAAGAATAAACGCAAACAATGAAATAAAATGGAGAGATTTCCTATTAATAAGTCAAATAATTAAATAAGTTTCTGCTTGTTTTGTCAATGAATGTGCAGTCAAGAAGTATTATAGATAATTGAGAATCATATAATTAACATTTAATCATTATGGTAGTAATTCAGCTTTGTAATCAGACGTATTTAGCAGATATATGAAACATTTATTCCTCACAGGTTCATGATCTACATTAATATGACCATCTCTATTTTTATAACTTTAAAAAAAGTAGCTTGATATTTAATGTTGTTTCATTCATGTGGAAAATATTTTATTAGTCTTTTCAAAACAACTATAAAATTGTCTGAGGTTGACACTGAAGCTAAAACCTCCTCCCTTTTTTGTTTTGCTATGTGTTCATATGTCAGCAAAATCATGATATATATCTTCCTGATTTCAAATTCAATATTTAAAATCAGAATTTATCACATAAACTAGGCAGTAATTATACTTAATATAAAATACAATGACAAAATGCTCTAATTATAAAACATGTTAAAAGTTGTTTTTAATGTTGAACTCTGCTTGGACATTTTTTACACAAAAGAAAAAATATCTATATCTATTGTAATAAATATTAAAGGAGTTATTAATAGTAAAGGATGCATGTTTCCTTTAAATGTGGTAAACCTTTATTAAGATGACAGTAAAAATGCATAAAATTACTTAGCAAGGTGTTGGCCTTTTATAAATGCCAGATACTTTGAATTTAATTAAAAGTTTTTTTAGCTGCTACCATGAATTTTCAATTAATTTTTATAATTATATTAGTGTCCACATATTTTATGTGAATAATAAGACCTTAACATATGAATTTCTAATATTACATAGCGTATTTTTGCCTGTGCTTGGAAATAGAATCAAACGAAGCTTAATTTTGCATTGTTCAAAGGTCAAATAATAGTCTGGGAAATAAAATGCTGTAACAAAATAGATAGGCCAATAAACTAAAGGATATTTAAGGCCATTAACCACTTCACTGAAGATTTCCTCTCTAGATGTGGCTTAAATTAAGGAAATATACTTTACATATTCTTTGGTTGAAAAAGGATAATTAGAACTATGGGGTCTACTGCTCTCATTAGGTTGTACTACCATTCATTAGTTCTAATTCTCTGCTTGTTATAGGGTTCTTTTTTTTTTCATTCATATGATGAGTTCAATAGAGAGAAAAAGTAATTCTTCTGCCACCCACTGAATAGATTAAGGTATCCATTTGGCCTATTTGATAACTTTTTTCCGTAATGAATGTTTGGTACAAATGAAGAAACTATACTCCTACCTCTTTTTTCTTTCTGTCTTATCAGTACCTATCGGCTTCTACCACATAACATGACGTCATGATGAACATAGCTATAATTTATTAGACTACAACTTATCTTTCATTATTTATATTTTAGATGGATGTCTCCATCCCTTTTGGCTGATGAGATTTGATGGAGATTAGAATTCATAATGACCTCATGAGTCACCCTTGGCTCTTCAGCAGATAGCACACTTACTAGACTTTTCTCAGGACAGTTTGTCCCCAATCTGGTAAACCACTGACAGATGTCCAAATTCATCCAATGTATGATAAGTATTAGTCATTCTAACCAGAATGATTCTGTATAAAAACTGTTTTTCCAAAGGTTTGTTCTGTACCTAGACAATATCAAATGTTATGATAGATAATCCTGATGACCTGAACATCTATCCACCTGGTTCCCTCCTTCATTCCTAGGATATAATTTATAACTTTGGAGGATTTTATAAGAGAACTCCGGTAGGACAAATACACAGTCAAAGGTATTTTTTTTTTTTTCGTTTTCTGAAAGTAGGATAACTTCTGCAACTACTGGAGTGAAGTTTCTTTTCCAAAAAAGGTAAACATAAGAGTCTCTGATGAGATTGAAATACTTAAAGATATACCTACAGTTTATTGGCTGCATTTTGTTTCAATTCTTGCTTTTATTATTGGCAGGCTGTAGGAAACTTAGTTACCTAGTCGGTGTGATAGGAGGTTACAGAGTCAGTCTAGATTGTATGTCTGCTGCTTGGTTAAATGTAATAACTTCAGAAGACATTAAATTAAAAAGTTAACTGTGATCAAAGTTGTCAAAGCTTTGCAGTCTTTACCTGTAATGTCTTTCACAAAGTTTTTAGGTAGAGAGAGAGAGATCAAATGTTATTTGTTTGACAGTGGAATATTTTCAAAGAATATATATAGTGCAATACTCTTCATTCTTTTGTGTGCAACAGAAAGTGTCATAAAATGATGAACATAATATAATTTTCCATTTTTCATTCAAGTTATGCAAAGTAGTTGATGTAAGCTGAAATATTAGCCTTCTCTTTGTTGTGGTTTGACCATCCTGGCATGTCATAATTTTCTTTAGCAAATAAACTGATTGGATGTGTTGTTTTTAGTTATAATTGCAGGTATCACTGGTGAAGCTCCCAGTTAACTATTTCTTTAGTTTTCAGTATAATACAAGAAATGAAAGACTGGCTGGTAAAATTCCTGTTACCAAAATCATTCAAAAGATAATATGTAGATTTATCCCTGTTCCTCTTACCTGCAATCTCAGAGATGTTTACACAAACGTAAATTATATAAATTTATAAATGTGATCATCTCAGACGAAATTGTTTCTTCACCTTTTTCTTCTGTTGTTGTTTGATTTTGTTCTGGTAATATAAATCTTTGGCCAGTGTACAAGGAATACTGTAATGGAAACTTCTCAAGGATGATTAAGAAAACTTCTGAGTAAATCAGGAAATATGCAGTGTTGTCATCAGCTATACAGACTTTTACTTTATTTATCTTCAGTTTAGACTTTGCAGTCTTTTGCACATATAGATGATGAAGTTTTAGGGTTAAAGAATGCCATCCATGCAGGTCACTTGTTGCTTGTGTTCTTTCCATACTTCTCCCAAATGGTCCTCTATACCATGTTTAAATAACTCTAGGGAAAGGCATTTAACCTTCCTGAAGAAGTCTGTTATCCTGTAGGCTTGCTCAATTTGAAAGTTTTCTTTCTACAAACCTGAACAAAAATGTATTGATCATTATGTGAAGAAAGTCAATGGTAGCTTGATGAGAATAGCATTGAATCTATAAATTACTCTGGGCAGTATGGCCATTTTCACAATACTGATTCTTCCTACCCATGAGCATGGAATGTTTTTCCATTTGTTTGTGTCCTCTCTTATTTCCTTGAGCAGTGGTTTGTAGTTTTCATTGAGGAGGCCCTTCACATCCCTTGTAAGTTGTATTCCTAGATATTTTATTCCCTTTGTAGCAATTGTGAATGGGAGTTGGCTCATGATTTGGCTCTCTGTTTGTCTATTATTGGTGTATACGAATGCTTGTGATTTTTGCACATCTATTTTGTATCCTGAGACTTTGCTGAAGTTGCTTATCAGCTTAAGGAGATTTGGGGCTAAGATGACGGGGTTTTCTAAATATACAATCATATCATCTGCAAACAGACAATTTGACTTCCTCTCTTCATATCTGAATACCCTTTATTTCTTTCTCTTGCCTGATTGCCCTGGCCAGAACTTCCAATGCTATGTTGAATAGGAGTGGTGAGAGAGGGAATACATGTCTTGTGCTGGTTTTCAAAGGGAATGCTTCCAGCTTTTGCCCATTCAGTATGATATTGGCTGTGGGTTTGTCATAAACAGCTCTTATTGTTTTGAGATATGTTCCCTCAATACCTAGTTTATTGAGTGTTTTTAGCATGAAGGGCTGTTGAATTTTATCAATGGCCTTTTCTACATCTTTTGGGATAATCATGTGGCTTTTGTCATTGGTTCTGTTTATGTGATGGATTATGTTTATTGATTTGCATATGTTAACCAGCCTTGCATCCCAGGGATGAAGCTGACTTGATTGTGGTGGATAAGCTTTTTAATATGCTGCTGGATTCGGTTTGCCAGTATTTTATTGAGGATTTTCGCAATGATGTTCATCAGGGATATTAGCCTGAAATTTTCTTTTTTTTTTTTTGCTGTGTCTCTGCCAGGTTTTGGTATCAGTATGATGCTGGCCTCATAAAATGAGTTAGGGAGGAGTCCCCCTTTTTCTATTGTTTGGAATAGTTTCAGAAGGAATGGTCCCAGCTCCTCTTTGTACCTTTGTTAGAAATTCTTTGGTAGAATTTGGCTGTGAATTCATCTGGTTCTGGGCTTTTTTTGGTTGGTAGGCTGTTAATTCCTGCCTCAATTTCAGAACTTGTTATTGGTCTATTCAGGGATTTGACTTCTTCCTGGTTTATTCTTGGGAGGGTGTATGTGTCCAGGCATTCATCCATTTCTTCTAGATTTTCTAGTTTATTTTGTGTAGAGGTGTTTACAGTATTTTTTGATGGTAGTTTGTATTGCTAGGGATCAGTGGTGATCTCCCCTTTATTATGTTTTATTGTGTCTTCTTGATCTTCTCTCTTTTCTTCTTTATTAGTCTGGCTAGCACTCTATCTATTTTGTTAATCTTTTTCAAAAAACCAGCTCCTGGATTCATTGATATTTTTTTAAGGGTTTTTCGTGTCTCTGTTTCCTTCAGTTCTGCTCTGATCTTAGTTATTTCTTGTCTTCTGCTACCTTTTGAATTTATTTGCTCTTGCTTCTCTAGTTCTTTTAGTTGTGATGTTAGGGTGTTGATTTTAGATCTTTCCCACTTTCTCCTGTGGGCATTTAGTGCCATAAATTTCCCTCTGAACACTGCTTTAGCTGTGTGCCAGAGATTCTGGAACATTGTGTCTTTGTTCTCATTGGTTTCAAAGAACTTAATTATTTCTGCATTAATTTTGTTATTTACCCAGCAGTCATTCAGGAGTAGGTTGTTCAGTTTCCATGTAGTTGTGCAGTTTTTAATGAGTTTCTTAATCCTGAGTTCCAATTTGATTGCACTGTGGTCTGAGAGACTGTTATGATTTCTGTTCTTTTGCATTTGCTGAGGAGTGTTTTACTTCCAATTATGTGGTCGATTGTAGAGTAAGTGCTATGTGGTGCTGAAAAGAATGTATATTCTGTTGATTTGGGGCAGAGAGTTCTATAGATGTCTATTAGATCTGTTTGGTCCAGAGCTGAATTGAAGTCCCGAATATCCTTGTTAATTTTCTGTCTTATTGGTCTGTTTAATATTGACAGTGGGGTGTTAAAGTCTCCCATTATTATTCCATGGGAGTCTAAGTCTCTTTGTAAGTCTCTAAGAACTTGCTTTATGAATCTGGGTGCTCCTGTATTGGGTACATATATAATTAGGATAGTTAGTTCTTGTTGCATTGATCCCTTTACCATTATGTAATGGCCTTCTTTGCCTCTTTTGACCGTTGTTGGTTTAAAGTCTCTTTTATCAGACACTAGGATTGCAACCCCTGCTCTTTTTATTTGCTTTCCATTTTCTTGGTAAATCTTCCTCCATGCCTTTATTTTGAGCCTATGTGTGTCTTTGCACATGAGATGGGTCTCCTGAATACAGCACACCGATGGGTCTTGACTCTTTATCCAATTTGCCAGTCTGTGCCTTTTAATTGGGGCATTTAGCCTGTTAACATTTCAGTTTAATGTTGTGTGTGAATTTGATCCTGTCGTTATGATGCTAGCTGGTTATTTTCCCCCCAGTTGGTGCAGTTTCTTCATAGTGTCAATGGTCTTTACATTTTATTTTGTTTTTGCAGTGGCTGGTACCGGTTTTTCCTTTCCATATTTAGTGCTTTCTTCAGGAGCTCTTGTAAGGCAAGCCTGGTGGTAACAAAATCCCTCAGCATTTGCTTGTCTGTAAAAGATTTTATTTCTCCTTCACTTATGAATCTTAGTTTGGCTGGGTATGAAATTCTGTGTTGAAGATTCTTGTTTTCAAGAATATTGAATATTGGCCTCCACTCTCTTCTGGCTTGTAGGGCTTCTGTTAGTCTGATGGGCTTCCCTTTGTGGGTAACCAGACCTTTTTCCCTAGCTGCCCTTAACATTTTTTCCTTCATATCAACCTTGGTTAATCTGACAATTATGTGTCTTGCGGTTGCTCTTCTCGAGAAGTATCTTTGTGATGTTCTCTGTATTTCCTGAATTTCAATGTTGGCCTGTCTTGCTAGGTCGGGGAAGTTCTCCTGAATATCTTGAAGTGTGTTTTCCAACTTGGTTCCATTCTCCCCATTACTTTCAGGTATACCAATCAAACATAGGTTTGGTCTTTTCACATAGTACCATATTTCTTGGAGGCTTTGTTCATTGCTTTCCTTTTTTTTTTCTCTAATCTTGTCTTCACACTTTATTTCATTAAGTTAATCTTCAGTCTCTGATATTCTTTCTTCTGCTTGATAGATTTGGCCATTGATACTTGTGTATGCTTCATGAAGTTCTCAGGCTGTGCAGCACCATCAGGTCATTTATGTTCTTGTCTATACTGGTTATTCTGGTTAGCAATTCCTCTAATCTTTTATCAAGGTTCTTAGCTTCCTTGCATTGGGTTAGCACATGCTCCTTTAGCTCAGAGGAGTTTGTAATTACCCACCTTCAGAAGCCTACTTCTGTCAATTAGTCAAACTCATTCTCCATCCAGTTTTACTCCCTTGCTGGTGAGGAGTTGTGATCCTTTGGAGGAGAGGAGGTATTCTGGTTTTTGGAATTTTCAGCTTTTTGTGCTGGTTTTTCCTCATCTTCATGGATTTATCTACTTTTGGTCTTTGCTGTTGGTGACCTTCGGATGGAGGTTTGCCTCATCATCCTTTTTGTTGATATTGATGCTATTGCTTTCTGTTTGTTAGTTTTCCTTCTAACAGTCAGGCCTCTCTTGTGCAGGTCTGCTGGAGTTAGCTGGGGGTCCACTCCATGCCTTGTTTGCCTGGGTATCACCAGCAGAGGCTGCAGAACAGCAAAGATTGCTGCCTGCTCCTTCCTCTGGAAGCTTCATCAAGCTTCATCACAGAGGGCCACCCACCAGATGCCAGCTGGAGCTCTCCTGTATGAGGTGTCTGTTGACCCCTGCTGGGAGGTGTCTCCCCATCATGAGGCACAGGGGTCAGCGACCCACTTGAGGAGGCAGTCTGTCCCTTAGCAGAGCTCGAGTGCTGTGTTGGGAGATCCGCTGCTCTCTTCAGAGCTGGCAGGCAGGAACGTTTAAGTCTGATGAAGCTGCACCCACAGCTGCCTGTACCCTCGGTGCTCTGTCCCAGGGAGATGGCAGTTTTATCTATAAGCCCCTGACTGGGGCTGCTGCCTTTCTTTCAGAGATGCCCTGGCCAGAGAGGAGGAATCTAGAGAGGCAGTCTGCTTACAGTGGCTTTGTGGCACCGTGGTGGGCTCTGCACAGTCCAAATTTCCCTGTGGCTTTGTTTCCACTTTGAGGGGAAAAGCACCTACTCAAGCCTCAGTAATGGCGGATGCCCCTCCCCCCACCAAGCTGGAGCATCCCAGATAGACTTCAGACTGCTGTGCTGGCAGCGAGAATTTCAAGCCAGTGGATCTTAGCTTGCTAGGTTCCATAGGGGGTGGGATCTGCTGAGCCAGACCACTTGGCTCCAGGGCTCCCTGGCTTCAGCCCCCTTTCCAGGGTAGTGAACAGTTCTGTTTCGCTGGTGTTACAGTGCCACTGGGGGAAAAAAAAAAAAAAAAACTCCTGCAGCTAGCTAGCTCAGTGTCTGCCCAAATGGCTGCCCAGTTTTGTGCTTGAAACCCAGGGCCCTGGTGATGTAGGCACCGGAGGGAATCTCCTGGTCTATGGGTTGCAAAAACCATGGGAAAAGCATAGCATCTTGGCTGGAATGCACCGTTCCTCGGCACACAGTCCCTCATGGCTTCCCTCAACTAGTGGAGGGAATTCCTCTACCCATGTGTTTCTGGGGTGAGGCAACGCCCCACTCTGCTTCTGCTTGCCCTCCATGGGCTGCACCCACTGTCTAATCAGTCCTAGTGAGATGAACTGGGTACCTCAGTTGGAAATGCAGAAATCACCCACCTTCTGGGTTTGTCTCGCTGGGAGCTGCAGGCTGAAGATGTTCCTATTCCGCCATCTTGCGTGGGAATCCTCCATGGATAACCTTTTTAATGTGCTGTTGGATTTGGTTTGCCAGTATTTTATTGAGGATTTCACATTGATGTTCATCAGGGATATTGGCCTGAAATTTTCTGTTTTTGTTGTGTCTTTGCCAAGTTTTGGTATCAGCGTGATGCTGGCCTCATAAAATGAGTTAGGGAGGAGTCCCTCTTTTTCTATTGTTTGGAATAGTTTCAAACAATAGAAAATCCGTCTGGTCCTGGGCTTTTTTTGGTTGGTAGGCTATTAATAATTGCCTCAATTTCAGAGCCTGTTACTGGTCTGTTCAGGGATTCAACTTCTTCCTGATTTAGTCTAGGGAGGGTGTATGTGTCTAGGAATATATCCATTTCTTCTAGATTTTATAGTTTATTTACACAGAGGTATTTGTAGTATTCTCTGATGGTAGTTTGTATTTCTGTAAGATCAGTGTGATCTCCCCTTTATCATTTTTTTACATGTCTATTTGATTCTTTTGTCTTTACTTCTTTATTAGTCTGGCTAGCGGTCTATCTATTTTGTTAAACTTTTCAAAAAACCAGCTCCTGGATTCATTGATTTTTTTGAAGGTCTTTTTGTGTCTCTATCTCCTTCAGTTCTTCTCTAATCTTAGTTATTTCTTGTCCTCTGCTAGTTTTTGAATTTGTTTGCTTTTGCTTCTCTTTCTTTTAATTATGATTTTAGGGTATTGATTTTAGATCTTTCCCACTTTCTCTGGTGGGCATTTAGTGTTATAAATTTCCCTCTAAACACTGATTTAGCTGTGTCCCAGAGATTCTAGTATATTGTGTCTTTGTTCTCATTGGCTTCAAATAACTTATTTATTTCTGCCTTAATTTCATATGGGACCAAAAAGAGCCCATATAGCCAAGACAATCCTAAGTAAAAGAATAAAGCTGGAGGCATCATGCTACCTGATTTCAAACTATACTACAAGGCTACAGTAACCAAACAACATTGTGCTGGTACCAAAAGAGATATGTAGACCAATGGAACAGAACAGAGGCTTCAGAAATAACACACATCTAACACCATCTGATCTTTGACAAACCTGACCAAAACAAGCAATGGGGAAAGGATTCCCTATTTTATAAATGGTGTTTGGAAAACTGGCTAGCTATATTCAGAAAACTGAAACTGGATCCCTTCCTTAGACCTTATACAAAAAATAACTCAACATGGATTAAAAATTTAAATGTGAGGCCTAAAACCATAAAAACCCTAGAGGAAAACTTAAGCAATACCATTCAGGACATAGGCATGGGCAAGGACTTCATGACTAAAACACCAAAAGCAATTGCAACAAAAGCCAAAATTGACAAATGGGATCTAATTAAATGAAAGAGCTTCTGCACAGCAAAAGAAACTATCATCAGAGTGAACAGAAAACCTACAGAGTGGGAGAAAATTTTTGCAATCCAATCATCTGACAAAAGTCTAATATCCAGAATCTACAAGGAACGTAAACAAATTTACAAGAAAAACACAAACAACCTCATCAAAAAGTAGGCGAAGGATATGAACAGACACTTTTCAAAAGAAGACATTTATGCGGCCAACAAACATATGTAAAAAAGCTCACATCACTGGTCATTAGAGAAATGCAAATCAAAACCACAGTGAGATACTATCTCAAGCCAGTTAGATGGCAATCATTAAAAAGTCAGGAAACAACTGATGCTGGAGAGGATGTGGAGAAATAGGAATACTTTACACTGTTGGGGGGAGTGTAAATTAGTTCAACCATTTTGGAAGACAATGTGGTGACTCCTCAAGGATCTACAACCAGAAATACCATTTCTGGGTATATATCAAAGGATTATAAATCATTCTACTATAAAGTTACATGTACAGGTATGTTTATTATGGCACTATTCACAATAGCAAAGACTTGGAGCCAACCCAAATCCCCATCAATGTTAGACTTGATAAAAGAAACGTGGCACATATACACCATGGAATACTATGCAGCCATAAAAAAGAATGAGTTCCTGTCCTTTGCAGGGACATCGATGAAGCTGGAAACCATCATTCTCAGCAAACTAAGACAGGAACAGAAAACCAAACACCACATATTCTTACTCATAAGTGGGAGTTGAACAATGAGAAAACAGGGTCACAGGGAGGGGAAAATCATACACTGGGGCCTGTTGATGGGTAGTGGGTAAGGGGGAGGAATAGCATTAGGAGAAATACCTAAGGTAGATGATGGGTTGCTGGGTGCAGCAAACTACCATGGCACATGTACACCTATGTAACAAACCTGCATGTTCTGCACATGTATCCCAGAACTTAAAGTATAATAAAAAAAATTCATTTATCATCGTCACCCACTTGTCCTACTCAGGATTATACAGAAATAGTCCAATACTTCATAACATTATAACAGTTAAAATATTTGATAACATTTTTATTCCTTGGGATGCACATCTCCTTCTGCTGCTGATCTAAGCTCTTATATCATTCAAGACGTTTTCTCAGGATGTGTCTCCTAATAACTTCTTCTAACAAATTCTCTCTTTGGCATTCAGAGCTTAGCATGGTAATCTCTTCAGTCTCTGACCAATGCAGACTAGAAGCCAGACTACCAATTTTGTTGCTACAGATAAAATTCTACGTGTGAACCCTGCAACTTTGTTAGTGCATTTTGCCTCCACCTCCAGGTCAAGTCGCTGTTGGACCTCCTGCATATCTGACCTACACTAAGCATACCCCATGATAAAACTCCCTGCTGCAAAGTCTTGCTTGTCAAATTGGGCAAACTAATATAGATTCAGAGCAACATGCATTATAGCTAACTGACTTCTGAAAATAACATCCTATCTTAGGGCATTAATCACTCTCATTTTAGACATTTATAAAAGTATTAAATTAGATTTCTGGAAGACATTGGGTGTAATATTACATCTTGAAGTCTACTGCCCATATGGTCGGCTGTTGGGGTCCTAGATATGATCTGAAGCAGATTATGTAGGAATTTTGGTGTTTTCTTAAGGTTATTTTTTCTTTTCCTTTTTTTTTTTTCTGTAAGCTTCCTTCCGTGGGCTAATGATATACACTATATTCCTGGGGCACATGAATTAAAAATCTCCAGACGTTATCTCCTTTGGACTTTGATTGCTATCATTGAAGGAGAAGATGGTTTCAGAATACTCAGGTCATGCTTTATTCAGAATGCCCAGAAAAAAACAAACAAAACATATTCCCTTCTCCTCTACCCATCCCCGCAAAATGGCAAAATCTACAAAAACAGTTTGGACTTCACTGAAGCAACACTTAGGATTTAATAATGAGGCATTCCTCTGGCTTCACATCTGTTAATGTTTTGCAGTAGTCTAAGATTACAAGGGAAACCAATAAAAAATTTGTGACAATAATCAGGAAAATTTTGATGGGTTAAGACACTATGTCTTTTCTACCTTTTTTTTATTTTTAAAAAGGGAAGTATTATGTGACTGCTTATGAATTACTTTGCAACCTCCTAGTACATTAATATAACAATCATATTTATGCCAGTTTTACACTTTTTGTCTTTTAGATGCATTAGGTAAAGTAATAATGTTTCTTTCACTAATCTTAGTTTTTCCTATGATTTTTTTCTCTTATTTTACATGTCTCTATTTTGTTTTCTTGACATTCTTACCTATCTGCCTTTGAGATAAATATCTTTCATTATTTCTGTTGAGTGCAGGTTGAAAGAAGTAAAGAAGTAGAAAGCAGTTTCCAAGGAAGACAGAGAAGGATAAGGGAATGTAAGACGACACTCTTTAGCAAAGGGTAGAACATTGTGTAGCAAAACAGTCTGATCGTTGTTATACATTGTTTGGATACTACCTAGCCACATTATAGTACTATTTATTTGTGTGCTGTGGGAATTGACACACAATGGATTCTACCCATGAAGAGATGGCATTTATGATGATATAGACACAAGTGTGGCAATGCAGAGTCTGTGGTTAATAAATCTGAAATGTTTTCAGGAACAGATGGATTTTGGGGAAAACATTTTGGCAAATACTGTTTTCATTATAAACACTCTCCTGGGCTTTTAGTTCATAGCACGGCTATTTTCTTTTGAATAACAAAAGTATACTAATTTGATTAGAAAGGTGAGGGATGGAAGGTGAGGAAAATATTGGAGGTAACTGAGTTTGGTTTAATATTTAAGATTAGCTTTAATCAGAATGCTAGTTTTTAAAATTAATATCTAAAATGTATTCATCTTGCCTATTTACAAAATTTCACCTCAGTATTATACTGGTCTCTATCTAATCTCATCAATTTCCCTCATGTACATTTTCAGAATCAAAGTTTTGATCCTTAACACCATATCTATAGCTAAGAAGTTATGAATATCTTCCTCTGAGCAATGGTAGTTATTTTAACAGTACATTATTTTTACGCTTTCAGATGTTTCTTTTTGTCTTATTTTTGTAAGTTTATTTATACAGGAAAACAGATATCCATTTGGCTTTGTTCATGCATCCGTAACATTTTTATTCTTAAAATTCAAATCTGTTTATTTTCTGGGGGGCAAAATAAAAAGTATGACATAATAGTTTTCACGTTGAAATATTATACTTTCAAAGCTGACAACAAATTATTGTGAGAAGAATTATACCAGCAATTTAATCACATGAGCAAGTCTTATCTCTCAGAAATAACATATGTTCCGCATTTTCAGCAGTATTTAGTAGCATCCTGCAAAAACTATAAGCCTTTAAAATTCTTTAACTCCTGGACTTCATTAGCTATTTTTATAGGCATACAGAGGTCAACTGCACAAAGCAAACATGTTTATGTTTCCATAAAGTTAAAATAAGAAGGTCTACCTTAGGATCCATCGTAAAGCAATCCATACTTCCTAAGCTTTCTAAAATGAAAGGGAGCAGTTGCAGAGCATACTCTTTCCTATCCAAAAGGGAGTTTATTAATGTGAGGAACCTGAAGCAGACAAGAGAATTTTATGTAAACTTTGGATCACCAGACACTACTTTATTCTATAAAAGCTCTACAAAGTGACATATGCCAAAGTAAATAACTTTTGTAGTTAAGTCAGCATCTCCACAATTTTGTAGAAAACCAAACCCATTTGTTTATTTTCATTGCAGTTGAAAAACACTGACACATGAAAGCAAGTTGATCAAATCTGTTCCAAATTGCAGAGTGAAATTTAAAGTGTTAGGAGAGAGATGAAAATAAATGAACTACATAAAATACATGTCTAGTCTTTGATTTTTTTTCCAGTGTAGTCTTCTTTTTAATCATTTAAGATATAAATATATTTTTTCTTTGAGTTTCCAGGTATTTCAATGAAAAAAAAGCCCCTTTTCTATTCATTGTCTAGATAAGAATTTTACATAAGGAAGAAAAAGAACCACATTTGAAGATAACCTACCAAAGGAACCAGTTTAAAATCTGAAACTGAGCATGTGAAGCTGCTTCAGGAGCTGCTTTGGCCATAGTGCTTAGAGGCCATACATTTTTTGCTGGTCTTTCCTAAGTCACAGATGCATAGTTTAGCCATACAAATATTTATTGTTTTCTCTTCAATTTATTATAGCTCAATCCAAACATATATTTTCAAACAAAAAATAGTAAAAAGTTTGAGGGTCCTTTTTTTAATATTTTATTTTATTTTATTTTATTTATTTTTTTAAGATGGAGTCTCGCTCTGTTGCCCAGGGTGGAGTGCAGTGGCTTCATCTTGGCTCACTGCAAGCTCCGCCTCCCAGGTTCACCCCATTCTCCCACCTCAGCCTCCTGAGTAGCTGGGACTACAGGCGCCCACCACCATGCCCGGCTAATTTTTTGTGTTTTTGGTAGAGACGGGGTTTCACCGTGTTAGCCAGGATGGTCTCGATCTCCTGACCTCATGATTTGCCTGCCTCGGCCTCCTAAAGTGCTGGAATTACAGGTGTGAGCCACCACGCAAGGCCAAGTTTGAGGATTCTTAGACAATTTAATCTAAAATAAATATCTGTATCTTTACAGTTGCTTATATATTAAATTTGTGCCATGTGGGTATAGGGAGATTCATAGAAAAATACATGTCTTAATTATAAAGCTATTAAAATTACAATGAGTTTATTTTATAGTTTCTTTAGGAACAACTTAAGTATTGAAAAATCAAGAAACTGTATCCTGTAGTTTATAAATACAATGGACATATGGAAACATGACAAGTTATGGAAAGAGAGGGAATGAATTAGAAGCACTTGCATTTTTTTCCTGGTAAGATTCCTTGCCTTTGACAGTTTAAGTCAAACGTGTAGGTGTCAACGAGCAGAACAATGTACTTGGAATTAGGTATACAATGCTTGTTAACAGTAACAAGGCTTGTTAATCAAAATCTCTACAGACCCCACTGAAAATATCTATTCATATATAGGAGCGGCAAATAATGAACATATTCCCTGTGTGTGCTTGTTTAGCACAATCAGTGCCTTTAACTTTCCCTGAAAAACATTTTCAGTATCTAGGGCAATTTTCCACATTCAGCCTCCGGTCCACTCAGTCATGCCAGATTACTTTTACTCAATTAGCAGAAGGACAAAAATTGAGAAGGGGCCAAAGAAAGCAACTAAAATAAATACAAGCGACTAAAGGTAAATACAAGTTTTTGGACACTAGCATTGGTATGGACAGACTGTTAGCCTGAGGAAAAAAGAATGTTACTTAATAGCATTGTTCAATTATCTGACTGTATCTTATATTCAGAATACCAATTATCTATTACCACTGAGGGGAAAAAAGTGTTTGAAATTAAATAATCTACTATAGAATGTATACATAAATAAAAAGTGGCTGCAAATATACTATGATAAGTGGAGTAGCAATAGAAATAACAAAATCCTCTTTCCAAAGAATGATGTGTTCTAGAAAAATCCGTCTGTCCTTGCCCGGCTTACATTTCTGCTAAGGAAAGGGCCTATCAGACATGTTTCTCTTAATGTAGTGCAACTCTGAGTTTTGAAATATTGTGAGACCCCATATCTAAAAGAAAAAAAATTAATCAGCTGGATGTGGTGGGATGCACCTGTAGTCCCAGCTGCTTAGAAGGCAGAGGTGGGAGAGTTGCTTGAGCCCAGGAGGCTGAGGCTGCAGTGAGCTGTGATCACATTACTGCACTCCAGCCTGGACAACTCTTCAAAATCTTCAAAATTACAATAGTCTGCATTACAGAAAATTTTCTATAATATTCAAAACTCAGAGTTTTATGAAGTCCCAAACATTAATATCTGCTTTCAAGCTAGGTTTGACAGTTTTATATGTGTCTTCTCCCATGAAAAGGTCAACAGCAGGTAATTAGTTGATATATGTTCTTATGTTCCCAATGTAGATCATTAGAATTTGTTTGTGGTTTCTAAAGGAACAGTTACTTGAAAATAGTTTTGAGTGGCTTGAAAACAGTTTGCAGAATGCTATCTCCATTTCTATGGGAGCAGCCCCCCATTCTAGTGAATAATGTTGGATTTTGATATTCTTTGGTACATTCATAAGTAGCTGTCTAGATCAACATTGACATATAAACCTTCAGGTGAGGTTGACTTTACATAGTAAAAGTTGTAAACATTTTACAATATAAATCCATTTTTATATGCAACATATCAAATTTGTCTTACTGCCTCCAAGGTATTTATTTTAGGGTATCTATCTATCCATCTGTCTATCTATCTATCTATCTATCTATCTATCCATCATCTATATATCTGTCTATCTTCAGTGATCAAATTTAAACATCTTCAAAATTACAATTCTTAAGGCTGGGTGAGATAATTTAATTTCAGTAATTTGGGAGGCTGAGGCAAGAGGATCACTGAGTCCCAAGAGTTTAAGACCAGGCTGGGAAATATTGTGAGACCCCATATCTAAAAGAAAAAAAATTAATTAGCTGGATGTGGTGGGATGCACCTGTAGTCCCAGCTGCTTAGAAGGCAGAGGTGGGAGAGTTGCTTGAGCCCAGGAGGCTGAGGCTGCAGTGAGCTGTGATCACATTACTGCACTCCAGCCTGGACAACTCTTCAAAATCTTCAAAATTACAATAGTCTGCATTACAGAAAATTTTCTATAACATTTAAGGCAAAGTTAAAAATTCAAAAATATTTTAAGCCACTGCGTAAAGAAGTGATTATCCAATGCATCCAATTTAGAGAAAGACTCCAATAATATGGGATGCCAGCCATTATGTGGAAATGTGGAGTCACTGAGAAGTACAAAATATTATTTTCCTGTGATATGAGTAAATTTCATAAACTTAGGAGCAAAATCAAAAGGTAATATG
This sequence comes from Homo sapiens, assembly GCF_000001405.40. Classification (NCBI taxonomy): domain Eukaryota; kingdom Metazoa; phylum Chordata; class Mammalia; order Primates; family Hominidae; genus Homo; species Homo sapiens. The sequence continues at coordinate 66,411,059 of NC_000013.11, read as the reverse complement.
AAGTGAAATATAATACAGATGAAATTGCTTCTTTGAAAATTCACCTGTTACCATTATGAGGAATAACAGAAGCAAGTGTTGAATTTGCTTAGAGAATTCTGTCAGCACTTAGGTTTTATTTGTTGTTTTTTTGGAAAATATCAATTTCAAAACATTTCATTATTGATACATTTCTTAGAAGTTTTCCAGATTTTTTGGTAACAGAGATATAGGAAGAAAAATAACTAAAAATATTTTATCTTCCTTAGGTGGAAAAAAAATCGGCATTTTATTTTCTACTATGGTAGCTGACAACATTAAACTTGTAGGACAAAAAGAATGAAATGATTCTAAGTCATAATCTCTTCCAAAGTTTCCTAATTCAGTGAGCGATATTCAGCTTCTCACTTTCCTCATAGCATCCTTACACTCAGCAACATTTCTGTCCTGCAGGAGCTAACCTGCTCAGCAAGAGATTTAGGTAAGACTGCAATGGCTGGAGCATTTCCAAATGTCTGGTCTTCCACTTTCTGGAACATGAGAAATCATTCATTTTGAACAGTAACATCTGGCCCTAAAAATGTCCATAATGATAACTATTCAAATTAATCAGAAAGTGACATTGGCATAAGTTGTAGTTTCCTGTGGCCACTCAGGAATGTTCAGCATTACTTGTGGGATTACATCTAATTGTTCATTAGTTGTATATGAATATAATTTGCTGTTCTCAACCATTTCCAAACTGAAGAACATGCTATAGGTTTGATCACTGTAAAACAATGCTAGGGTACTAATCCTTATATAGAGAATCACATTTCTCCATTGAAGCCCTCCTCAAGATGTCATTTTAAAAATTTCCATTGAGCTTTTTTTTTTTTAAAAAAAGGAAGAATAAAGACTTCAGAAATACACTTCTATTTTTCATCTTTCCATTATTACAATAACAGATAAAAATAAACACAAAGGCTATTTTTCTCATACTTGACTGTTATATTTGTTACTTTATATCCAAGTTAAAAATCTAAAATTGATTTCCCGTGTGAAGTGAGTTTTAGCCAACCATCTGCTCAGGAGAGGGGAAAGGCAGACAAAGCTCATTCTTTCCTGCTGCTGCTTCTCACTGCTGTTAGGTGACTACTGGGAACCTTAAAATAGGATTGCCAGGTTTAACTTTTCAGAATGTGGAGTAGGCATATCTGTCTACTAGGGATTTGGGGCAGGGAAGGTTGTACTTAGACCAGCAGGACTAGCTAACGTATTAGGTACTGATGTTGTTGAATGCCATAGATGGGAGCACAGATGTCTCAAACATGTCCTGCTTCCCATCTCAAATTCATGATTCAGCAATAAAAATGAGGTGATCTTGAATATATAGATTACCCATGAGCCTATGTCTAAACTTGAATGGTATTACAATAACTGGTTTTCTTAATCCAGTGGCTTTCAATTTTGGGGATGAGTATGTTGGAGAAATCTAGTTTCGGTGCTGGTGACAAATTAAGGGAACACCTAGGGATAAAGAGATGTTATTAAGTCGGAGAATTTGTAATAATGTTCAGATGTAGAAAATACCACACACCTTATAGCATTCATGGTGAGGCTAATTGTGGAAGAGAATTCCTGGAGGTATAGAGTTTGCTACCTTTGCAATGCAAAATGTGTTTTCATAGGGAAAAAAGGGGGAGGACAACAATTAGTGCAAACCAAAGTAAATATGTAAATATGATATTTGCTGTATTTCAAAATCTAGCATTTGAAATACAGCAAATACAGAAATCATGTTTAAATGACCATGGAATTCACAGTAAGGGAACATAATGTTAAACATGTTTTTCTATTGACATAAATTTTAAATCTTATGCCCTGAATTTATTTTCTCATATTTATAAAATTCTTTTTGGCCACCTGGCTCCTTTTTTTTTCATTTCTCAAAGTCTGTATGGAATTCAAGCATTAAATCTCTCTGCCTCTACCCAATCCAGTCCACACATAGTCCTCCTTATTTTAATCTCTTCCTCTTTCTCCCTGCCATTTCATTCTATTCTTGTATGTATTCTTTCCATTATATTACCTAATCCTTACATAGGAAGCATTTCTATACTGTCTGCTTTACTTCACAGAATCTCCTCAATATGTTTCTATAGCCTTAGAAGTAGGAAGATTTTTGTCCTTATATGTCAGTACAGACTTTTTTTCCTCCCCAGAAAAATCTTAAAAGCTAAAATTTATCAAGTGAAAAAGAAATAGTAATTTTGAAACTGGAAAATGTTTACTACCTAATGCCATTTAACTTAAGCCTATTCAGTGATTTCGTGTATGTGACTTCCATAATTATTATTTGAAAAAAAAAAGGCAGAAGAAGAAAAGGACAAAAAGAGAGAGTGGGGTAAAGCAGTGTGGGATAGGAAGAAGAGAAAAATATGTGCATTTGCATTTGGTTGTTCAAGACTCAAAGCAACTAGGCATTCACAAGGAGCTATCCAAATGTTTATAGTAGGTTCTACTATTTAATGAAAGTAAAACAAACTAAAACCAAAGACTGTAATTATGTTTAACATTTCCAATTTTTTAAGGAATATAAGCCAAAATGTATCCATGTGTATCCATGATTCTAGCTTACTTAGCTCCTGTTTATGAAAATGTATATCCAGAGAAAAAGTAGTTATTTTATGTTACATTTACTAACATTTAAGTTCTGTCATCCCTGTTAAGGAAATTGGGAATGGAGACAATTCCTCAGTAATCATACCGAAGTTCCTGCTGCTTCTCTGCCCTTCAAAAGTGATCCCTGCTGGGAGATCGAGACCATCCTGGCTAACAAGGTGAAACCCCGTCTCTACTAAAAATACAAAAAATTAGCCGGGCGCGGTGGCGGGCGCCTGTAGTCCCAGCTACTCGGGAGGCTGAGGCAGGAGAATGGCGTGAACCCGGGAAGCGGAGCTTGCAGTGAGCCGAGATTGCGCCACTGCAGTCCGCAGTCCGGCCTGGGCGACAGAGCGAGACTCCGTCTCAAAAAAAAAAAAAAAAAAAGTGATCCCTGCTGATAAAACTTTGTTTCTATTGAGGATATTCACTTGAATTTTGTTTAAAATCAGAATTGTTTGTCTCAATCATACAATCCACTGCATTCTAGTGAACCTGACTTATATTCTTTAACAATGTTTAAAATACTGAAATATGATAGACTACTTAAATGAAGTTGCCTTATATTATTAAAGTACATGTAGTTTTAAGGTGTAAAGAGAGCCATCAGAGGGATTTTTTTCCCAGTGTCTAAAAAAATAAAAATTTGTTTTATTTTAAATAATCAGGGATGTCAAGAATACCAAAACTGATGGATTACAGTTCTTTATGTTAAATGCTCAACATAATAAGTTTTCGTGTTAAAAATTAGTGGTAATTGTAGATCGCTTCTAATATTTTATAATGAGTTAAACTGAAAGCAATCTTCCTATGAATGTTGTAGATGCCTCAGTGAAGTGAAGTGTTTAAGATGTGATGCCTTGAAATGTTCTAAATTAAGTTTTATACCTACATGGAAATTACAGCTACAGCAACAACATTAAAAAACAACACCCCCCTCCTCAGGACTCCCCCATGACTAGGATGGGATGAATGCTGCCTAAGGCCAGACCACACAATTGGTTCTTCTCTGCTACGGAGTTATAGAATAAATTTAGAATAACAAAGAAAGGCTATTAGTGAGTCCAAACCTGTGTCCCTTATTGAACACAGTATTTAGCATGCAAGAGTGAACATAGATTAGAAGAAAGAGATTCTGTCAGGGAGCATTCCTAAGCCTCTTCCTGGAACATTTTCTTCTCTCTCAGATGTATTTACGCTTGAGCATATTTATTGCTGCCTTTTTCGTTGCTTTGTTAGTATTACTAGCATTTTAAACTTTGAAAAGTTTCCCATCTCCGAGGAGAAATGATGAAAGTCATTTAGTAGTAGGACATTGCTCCAGTGGAGAGGTTTTACCCTCTAATGCTTTTAAGTGTGTCTTTTAGACTATAAGTGAGATCTGTGCCTTGTTTCTGAGATAAGCACATAAACCTTGTTTTGCTAAGGTACTGCTTTCTTTAGCTGCCTCTTGGGTACTTCTTTCTAAACCACTGTATATGGTTTTGCTGAATCAGAGAAAATAGAAATTTTTCTGCAGCTAAAAAACCTCTTATATGTATTTGAAACAAAAAAATTGATGATATCAGATGAAAACATGATGAAGGAATCTACAGCTTATTGGCATTTATTAATTTAATATATATATGCATCTTGCTGTCATTAATGCTTAATTTCTATGGTTGTTTTAGTTATTTGTTTGTTTTCGCACCATCTAGGTGCTGATGATTCAGTGGTGAATGAAAACACCAGGTCCTCTTTACAGGGTTTAAGTTCTAAGTAATGCAGAGATTAAGAATATAACTTTGTGTTTAAACAAAGCTAAACTGTGATCCTAATTTGACCCGTTACAAGCCACACGAAGATGAATATGTGTAGTAAATTCTCTGAGTCACAATTTTCTCAAGGGTAAATAACAGATCATAATCACTTTTTTGAAGTTTATGTTACATAATGAAAGTAAGGAGCCTAAGTCAAACCTTAATGGGAAGCGTTACAGTAAATATTAGTTGTCAGTAATGCTTGATGTGTGCTTATAGTCTAGTAGTAACAGGAGCAGTTTTTACATTGACTGTGTGCATCACAAATATTGTCTGCAAACTTCCCAGCAATTCTGGAAGGTGTCCATATAGTTATCTTGTTTCATCGCTGAAGAATCTGGGGCTTAGGGCAAGAGTCTAATTAAAACTTGCCCAAGTCTCACAGCTGCTACTTGTCAGAACAAAGGTGAACCACATTCATCTGATGCCAAAGCCCATGTGTTTCTCCTGCATTCATCTGATGCTTAATCCAAGGTCGGCACTGCTTGAAGAAGCCCTTCTCTTTTTTCCTCTTAGAGAGAGAAACAAATTGTACCTTTTACTATCCACAATCCTGCATGCCCAAAGCAGCAAGACAGTCAGCTAACTTCTTCATAAATACAGCACTCTGGCAACAAAACCACAGAACATATTTTAGCCAACCACTATTAAAATAATCTCTCTCTAGCATCACCTCCTCCCTGACTCATTCCATTCCCAATCAGTCCCTTATACATAATGTCTCCATGTAATTTATCTTTGAAACTAGGGCATTTGGAGGAGTAAAAGGGGGCACTAATAATCATTACTCTAGATTAACCATTATAAACCAGCTCCATCCTGGAGAGGCCAAGACATACGGTTGCCACATTTATAAGACTCCAAGGTTTAAATTACGGTTAGATTTGGAAAATACTGATGATAACAGGTAGAAACATTCTGTCCTCCTATATATGGACACATACACCTTTCCTTTTGAAGGCCAGAGTAAAGTCATTGCATCTTTAACGCAGCCTTTGGTTCATGCTCAGTCACCCTCTGTAGCAATGTAATAACTTCTAACATTCCTTGCTCCCTCAGATCAAGGGGAGATGAGTATTTGGCACCTTCTCCTTATAACATTTAAATAATCTATTTTTCTGTTCAGATGATCTATGGATAAAAACACTTTATGTTCTCCTTGAAATCCTTTGGTCGGTGCCCATATACACAACCTATGTATTTAGAAGGAAATGTGCTATGAAAAATGGTTTGTTCAATCATAGCTAAGTATCTCTGCAAAGGAAGATGCATTTGTAAACTGTGCAAATGCAAATTTTGCTATCACAGCAACCACCAGTTATTTGCAACAGTTTCTTATTGCAAACAACATCTTGAAAACTGGTGCTAGGTTAAATCTTTTATATGAGAATAATAAAGAGAAATGAAGAAGTGATAAGCAGAGTGTTTAATAAGATGATTGAATCAAGATGAGGGGAGATGGAGGAGAAGAAAGAAAAAAATAGAGCAAATGGAAATGGACAAAAAGTAACTATCTGTGTTATGTGTTTGCCTCATATTTTACTGAGATTTATCCATCTAGGATCAGTAAATTTGCTTAAATGCAAATGTCAGCCCATCTTTATCAGGTGTCTGTGATGCAAACAAATATCATTTATTTCTTTAAAAACAATTTTACTGTATAGACATAACATCTAAATAGCATACAAGGAATAAAAAAATGGAAAGAGGATGGATTATGAATCTGGTTTTACAGTATGTTATAAGCAGGAATGTTTCTACAATTCCCATTAAAAATCACACAAAACACATAAGTGAAGTAAGTAAGTATATCTTAATGTGATAGAAACTTAACCTAAAGTAGAAAGGGGGGAAAAAGGCATGAAGGTAAAGATGTGAGTAAAAATATTGAAATATTATTTAGTTCTACTCTCCCTCCAAAAATGCACTAAAACAGCATACGTAAATTATAAGGTTTACAACTACATTATGAATTTCAGTGGCATATTTAAACTGAATGATTCACACCTTGAATCATAATTGCATTTATTGTCTTTTCATTCCTTCCCTCCCTTCCTCTCTTCTTGCTTGATTCATTCTTTTTAAATTTTATTTATTTACTCATAGTTGTGGATTATCAGCCTCCTTGTGAATCCAATTTCCTTACAAGAGATTTACCCTACTTTTTCATTACCAGCTTTACATTTAATTGTATGATTACATTTCCACTTTTGGAAACTCCCCCTTCCCTTATTGTTCCTACCTTTCAGAAATTCTGGCAATAAAACCATATTTTCATTCTTGGAAATGTTGGCCTCTGCTCATCCCTCACATTTCTCTCTGACTATAATTTCTTTGCTTTATTGTTTCAAATATGAGAAACTTGTGTCTTCCAATGGTTCCTATCACTTACACATAAACAAGCATCAGTATTTTCCTTATTTATCAGAATTAAGCCAGGAGTAAGCAGTGCCTCTATTTATGTCTACTTTCTAAGAGATAAAATTGACTTCAAGGCAAGTCTTAAATTTTATCAGATATTCTACTTTTAGATAACTGAGTCATCTTGCAGTTTTCCTGATAGTTAACGTACCCATGAGCACTGCCAAATTTAAGCTGTATTAGAAAAGCATTATCCGTGTTGCAGACATTTCAGTAGAATCTCAGCCTTTATCTTTTTTTCTCCAATCAATTGTTCTCTTTGTATGATTACCTGAAAAACAATGTACCTCCCAGCAACTGTGGACTATTCATTTTGTTCCAAGTTTTTCCTCTTATTACTGTAGTCCGTTAGTTCTCAAAGTAAGGGCTGGGGACTCCTGGGGTCTGTAAGTTCAGAATTATTTCACAATAATAGTAAGGCATTCTTTGCTTTTTCCAGCCTTATTCTCTCATGGGTGGAGATGACAACTCAAAGGCTATATCATGGGTGATGGCTTTATTGCTCTGATTTTTAATGGGTAAAGAGTGATCCTATTATTCTTTGTATTCTAAAATTTTCTGTTTTAAATTATAATATACTAAATATTGATAGATGTAACCCACATACAAAAGCTCTCTAGAGTCTTCAGTATTTTGTAGGTGTATAAGGAGCTCCCAAGAATAAAATAGAAGACCACTGCTATAGGCCAGTCAGATAGTGTTTTACCAAGTCCCAATTTATCACTATAAAATGCATAATTTATTTAAAATTACAAGCATATTTAACTTATTTCTCATACTCAATGAAATTTAAATTTTACATCCAAACTTTGGGAAGCTGAAGCAGACAGGTTGCTTGAGCCCATGAGTTCCAGACCAGCCTGGGCAACATGGTGAAACACAATCTCTACAAAAAAAATACAAAAAACAAAAAAAAAAGCCAGGCATGGTGGTGCCTGTAGTACCAGCTACTCGGGAGGCTAAGGTGGGAGGATTGCTTGAGCCTGTAAAGTTGAGGTTGCAGTGAGCTGTGATTGTGTCACTGCACTCCAGCCTGGGTGACAGAGTGAAACCCTGTATTGAAAAAAAAATGAATAAATTGTACATCTAAAGCTGTAAATGGCTTTAGGAGCCTTTTTTTTTGACAGTTCCTTTTAAGAGTTACCAATAATTCTCCTGTCTTTTTCTTCTTTCTCAGATACATTTGTTATACCTATAGAAGCTTTTATGTCTAAGGACAATGTGTTTGTTTTTAAGCAGTATTTACATTTGTGTTTATTTCATTAAAGCATATTAGTAGTAGTATGTTTTTAGTTAACTGCCATCACCTTTTGATAAAATTAACTGACATTGGAAAGTATTTAAAACACTTAGAGACATAATGTACATTGACTTTTGCTTATTATCTCTGTCATTATTGTGTCCATGTGATCAACAACCTTTATTTTTCATTGTTTTGTTTTCCATTACGTGAAGTTTATTTTTCATGACTAAGTCAAGAGTCAACATGATTTCAGTTCAAAATGCTGAGAAACCGAAGTTTGCAGCAGAGGTAAATTTAACATATTACATATTTATACAGTGTGTCAGCATTAATAAGAATTTGAATTTATAACAAAATTAATAGTGACATCTCTGCTGCATCCATTAAGGCAATTTGATAAATCAAAGATTCAGGCCAATCAACAATCAGATTGTGATCATTATGACTTTAAAATCTTATATTAGGAAGATGGATATAAATATTTAATCTAAGTTACACTGACATTTACTCTATATACCCAGTTATAATATATTATTATAATAATAAGATAGATATTAGGGATGTTAAACATATTTCTTATGCAAGCTTTTAAGTTCAGTGTTGCTTTTATTAAAAAATACAAATAAATCATTTTTTTTCTTAAGCATAAAGACATTTCTTGTTTACTTAACAGGAACTCTGCCAATACTCAGTTTCAGAATTGGTTTAATGGCAAGTTAATGATGTCAGCAAGGAATGATGTTTTCCCTTCTACTCTGTCACCTTTATTCATCTTGTTGCCACTTGGTTCTAACATGGCCATGATAGAGTCAAATATCACGTATCAATTCCAAAGGCAGAAAGCCATCTGTGAGAAAGGGGAATAACTTATTTATTTATTTTCAAGCAGAAAGAAAGATTTGCTCAGAAACCCTCTGACAGACTTCTAATATCTCCCTGCCCATAAGTGGATCACTTGGTCAACCTCCTGGTCAAGCAAAGCTTGGATAATGAATATCAAGTGGAACAAAGACAAATTGAATAATTGATTTATACTGTTTAGTCACCTGTTGGGTGGGGTACCTTGACACTCTGAAAAATATGCTAGTTCTGGCAGAAAGGGAAACTAACAGCTTTTCCACAAATGATAAGTTATAAACACAGAAACATACAGAGGAGGCTCAAAAATGGAGAGGGTCAGGAAGCCCAATCTGAGTAGTTGGGCAGGAGGTACACTTGAATGCAGGGTATGCAATCCAGATCTAGAAGGCAGAGTAAGAGTTAGCCAGGTAAAGACATGTGGAAAAGCAACCATAAAAATATTTATCTAGGACCTTAAGTGGTATAAAAAGTCTGAAGGGATCTCGGTTAGTGAGGGCCAGTTTTCATTTTATAAATTATATTTGTTAGAAGGTAATTAGAATGCATTTCTCCCCCACCATATGAGTCCATTCTCATGCTGCTAATAAAGACATACCTGAGATTGGGTAATTTATAAAGGAAAGAGGCTTAATTGACTCACAGTTCCGCCCTGGCTAGGGAGGCCTCAGGAAATTTACAATCATGGTGGAAGGGGAAGCAAATATGTACTTCTTCACACTGCAGCAGGAATGAGAAGAATGAGCAAAGGGGGGGAAAAAAAAACTCATAAAACCATCAGATCCCATGATAACTCACTCACTATCACGAGAAGAACAGCATGGGGGGACCGCCCCCATGATCTAATCACCTCCCACGAGATCCCTTCCCCGACACCCCAACACATGGGGATTACAATTCGGACTACAATTCAAGATGAGATTTGGGTGGGGACACACAGCCAGACCATATCACCCACCTATGCATGGGCACGTTTTCAAGACTCAAATAGTGCTAAGATTAAACCAGCATAATCATACTATTGCATACCACATAATCATACCATTGCACCAGGTCAAAAAAGCACTTTCACACACTTACGATTTCCCCACACAATTAAGAGAGTGCCAGAAAGTCGTGTCATTTCTAATTTTTATTTTTTCTGTTAATTGTTCAAGGAGGCAAGATTGCTTATTGCTTTCTGTAAGATGACATTATCAATCCCTGGTGGACTCGTCTTAACTTCTAAAGCACAGAGGAATGGAAATCACTGACTGAAGAGTCTTGGAATCCACTAGACTATTTTTTTTCCTTAGATATTACACTATCAAGTTGAACAGTTGAAATCTAACACTTTTTATTATATTTGCTGTATAATCATTGTTAAAAAAAACTGTGCATTTTCCACTCAAATTTTCTTGAGACTTAATCAATTATTTTTCCATCCTTTATTAATTCCAATCCTTTATCCATTAAATTAGCCCACTTCAGCCTACCTGTAGAATAGATAGCCTATGAGTTTTCTTTCAGTGGATGTGGAAACCCAATAATAGTGACTGGAAAACATCTGTCACTCCTGCTATTTATTACTGCAAATGCAAATTTATAAAGGTATCTGGATATAGTATGACTCATTTCTGCAGAAAAGCTATAATTGGAGAGAAATTTCTAACTATGGGTAACTGATGATGATATATTTTGCTTTTACAGATTTATTATAGAGATATGACATACTTATGCATTTCCTTTTATTAAGATTTATTTTTAAGGATAAAAAAATCTATTTATTTCTCATCTTCAACTGTTAGCAACTCCTTGCCTAAGAATGATACTCATTCATATCAGCAGTTTTCATTCTGGCATTGATAACAAAGCTGTGTCTTAACAGACTGGTATATTTAGCTGATTATTAGAAATCAGGTAGATAGGTTTCATGCCAAAAACATGGAAGTAGAAAAATACTGTTTCTAAATCTAACTTTAGTTTGGATGACCAATGACAGCAAGTACTTCTTACAGTGATAGGAGAGGAGCAGGCTGCAGTGGCCTGAGTTACTGCAGAGTGTGAGCGAGTATGGAGCCACCTGAGCTGTTAGAGGGTTAACAATGCTGTAGACTGCACTGGGAATAGCTTTGCTTCATGAAGCCTGGATTTCTTCTCTTAAATTGAATTGGAAAGTCAGAAAATCAAAATACAAGACAATAAATTGTAACCCAGGGTCTGATTCTCACTTTTTCCCACTTAACAAATTAAATATTTTGTATATATAAACAGGTATTTGGTGGGTTTTGTTTATTTGTTTGTTTTTGAGGCAGGGTCTCACTCTGTCACCCAGACTAAGATATTTATTTTTTATTTACTTTGGGTAGCATTTTACTTAAAAACCTGTCCTTTTTTTTCTTTTTTTTTGGTTCTTTATTTTTTGCTTCTTTTTTTTGACAAAAGATCATTTCCTAGAGTAAATAAACAATGAGAATTGTAATTCTGTTTTGACTGTTTGAAATTTAAATGATCTTATTAATATGCCTTAGAATAAAATAAGCAAATGACCTGTAGGCTTAGGTACACATCTTACTACACTCAAATGTGTTTTCATATTTACTTACTCTGACTCTCTCATTCTAATTCCAAACAAGTATCAGTAACAGTACAAAACTTCTTTTCCCAGTTTCCTATTTTAAGCATGGCCAAAAGAAGAGGAGCAGAGAGGAATCTTCACTCCTGTCTAAACCACTTGAACATCAAAAATAAGCCGCTGGCAAAAGATAGAAAGATGCAGTCTGACCCCAGGCTTAATACACACATTTCAGAAGTTTCTTTCTAGCACAGGAAATAGTACAGCCCCACCCTAGGTGAACCTATAGATATCCAATTTAGATCAAGGGAAGAGCCTAGGTAGAGACCCAGGCTAATTACTCAGGAGAGAAAGATAATTGAATACTTATAGGGCCAAGCTGTGTGCTAGGAGATTTCATATACATTCTCATTGATACTCCACTGTGCATCTACAGAATAGGAATTGTTATTCCAATATTTATAAATAAAAAAAAGAAAAAGCAAGATTGTAAAAAGCATAATAATAGTTTCCAGTCCACTATTTTCTATTTGCATGTGTTAGTACTATGATTCAGTTACAGGTGTGTCTAATTCCAAATACAAAGCTTTTTCCCCCTGCACAGTGCTATTCAGGGCCACTGATTTAATGAAAGGTGGGATTGAGTCCACCTTACCCCTTGGTAGCATAATCAACAAATCTCACAGTATACAATTACAAATTATTTTGTCTGGGTGCATGCTATTTATGCAGAATGTATCATCTTTGATATTTGTTTTGTTTTCTTATAAATTTTGTTGTGTTCAGTAGATGAAAATCATACTTTCATTTGTAATAACAATTGCACACAGATATTTTAATAACTATTAGCCATTATCTGGTGATTGACATGAATAGTGAATTGTTCTTAATTTTTTAACTTTTCTAAATAGGTACTAAAATGCTAGTTTTGAATGTATATAAAATTATACGTGTTAATTCCAGAAGTCAATTTATAATTCATTTAAATGTTATCTATAAACTTTTTTCAGAATTAATGGGAAATACCAATTTAACATATCTGTGAGAATCAACAAAGGAGAGAGTAAGAAACCCTAACGGGGATATGTATTTTTTTTAATAGACAAATCAAGTCCTCAATTAATTTAAATGTCTCTAAATCTCCCAGGTCTTTTATGCTTTTTTGCTGATTCAAACCTAAACCCAACAGCATATTATATACAAAATGAAGTCTTAACGATTCCAATAGCAGAATTTCTAAATACATGCATTGAATGTGTTTACAATAATTCAAGAAATGTCAACCCAAAAAATTCTACACTCTTTACTAAAAATCTTGTCCTTAATTTGGACACAGAGTCTCATTTTATAAAGATACTTTCTTAAAGCTACAATTCTCACTCCATGTTTTGTTTAAATTCTGAGGTATATCTGGTGACCTCACTTCTTCCAGTCCTAACTCTGCCTGTCATATATTATATAATATTGGACAAGTCATATAACCCTTTGGAATTTTATTGTTCTATGATGTAAAATGATGTTCTATGGTATAAGCCAGAACATTTTTCAGTTCTGAATTAACTAGGATTACATAAAATTAAATCTATTGGCATTATTAATTTTATAATTTCAATATATATAATTTCTCTTTTTTCAAAAATACTGATTACTTCACAAAGACAACAATAATTATAAAGGTTGTTATGGGCAATAACAGTTACTTCACACCAATAATTTTTTGTTATTTTGCATTCATATGAGAAGCTGTTGTCCAGTTATCTGCTTCTTTATGGAGAATAAAAGATGATGCTGAGTGGAAAGAAAAATTAATTCAGGAATTATTTTAGAGCAGTTTGACACACCAATGATAACATGGAACATATGGAACAGTTTCACAAAGTTATTTAAAAATAAAAAATATATAAATGTACATATATTTTGTGTATATATATACAAAATATGTATATATACACATATATGTACAAATGCATTATGCATGTATATTTTGTGTATGTATACATATATACACATATATATCGACATATATGTGTATATATACATATATATCGACATACATTTTGTGTGTGTATACATATATATATATACACACACACACATATATATATACACACACACACACATATATGTATACACACACATATATATCGACAGAGTCTCACTCTGTCACCCAGGCTGGGGTGCAGTGGTATGAACACAGCTCACCGAAGCCTTGACCTCCTGAACTTAAGCAATCCTCCCACTTCAGCTTCCAAAGTAGCTGAGACAACAGGTGCAAGCCACTATGCCCAGATACTTTTAAATTTTTTTGTAGAGACTGTATCTCACCATGTTGCTTAGGCTGGTCTTGAGCTCCTAATCTGAAATGATCCTCCTACCTTGTTCTCCCAAAGTGTTGGGATTACAGGTGTGAGCCACTGTGCCCAGACAAAAATAATATTTTTATGGTTTGTTGTTACCGTTTTTAGACACAGGGCTGAACACTCCTTGAATATATTTCAATCAGTATATCAGTTCAATCACAATATCAAACATTAATGTTCTCTTGGAGTGGATGTTCTGCCTGAATTCAAAGGTGTTTTTGATTCCAAAGATATGTACCTACATTTTTTTTCAGAATGTTGGAATTATTGATCCAAATGATTTTGGTTTTAATGTAAGACAAATGAAAGATCCACTTGTCTTATGGGCCCTAATATTACCTACTCCTCTTTTCTGACTTCCAAATTCAAAATCTGTAATACTGTACTCAACTGAAAGCTTTTATGTCCCAAGCCTCATGATGGGCATTTTCATATACATTCTTGTATTTATTACTTACAACCATCATATGAATAAGGGTGTTACTATCCCATCTGTAAACTTGGTATGTGGCAAGGTGGGTAGTTAAACTGAGACTTTCACTATATCCCATGTCCCACTGCAACAGAGCTGACGCTAGAATCACAGATATTTAGTTGTTTGTCTATCTATCTGTCTGTCTATCTATTTCGTATATTCATTTATGATCATGGACAAGAATAAAATAAGCATTGGGGGATGTAATGACTTGTGCTGATGAGCATTTGCTACACGTGGAATTAGTGTTCGAATGACATTGGCTGGTACGTGAAAGTTTGTGTAAAATAAGCCTTAGTCCGGGTCTCCAGCATGTGGTAGGTAATTATCCAGTCAGTTGATCACCTATTCGGGAGAAGCTACTATGCCCTTGGCAAGGGTTAGATTATGTTCTTGTCTTTGAGCAATTTACGTTTTAGCAACATGGTTATTCATAAAGGGGAGTTGAAAAGAGTTCTATAACAATAAGAATTATAACCCATCTTCCCCAAATGCCCTCCTAATATTCTGATATTTCTTGAGAGGCAAGAAGCACTGGGTATGTGTACTTTTCTCAAGTTCCCAGGATAATTCTGATTCTTAACATCCCTATACCTAAATTCTCCTCTTGATTATACTAACTTCAAGCCTTGAAACTAGCTAGATACATTCTATATACAAACTCAACCTTCCTACTCTTACTTTCTCTAACTCTTTTTGTTTATATCTGCCTCCTTCAATAGATTTAAATCTTCTTTGAGGAAAGAAATACTTTTTAAATCATCCTTCCACAATCCATACTTCAGGTAAACTATACTAGAAGGGTGCTTTTCACTTGGTAGGAACTTTAGAAATCACAAAGTATAGTAAATATGCAACAAAACTTCAGTACTAATCAGAATACAGCACAAAAAAAGATACTATAAGAGCATTTTTTGCAGTTTTGAATGCACAAATGTTTACACCACATGGTTTATACTATACCTGTCAAGTGCATAATGATGTTTTGGTTTATAAGTCAGGAAGAGGAAGCAGAGTATTTTGCTGACACAAAATATTGTTCTTAATATATGACTTCTGTTATTTGGGTACTGTACGAACTCAGTTTGTTTTTTATTTTATTTTATTTATTTATTTATTTATTTATTTTGAGACAGAGTCTTACTATGTTACCAGGCTGGAGTGCAGTGGCACGATCTTGGCTCACTGCCACCTCTGCCTCCCGTGTTCAAGCGATTCTCCTGTCTTAGTTCCCGAGTAGCTAGGATTACAGGCGCGTGCCACCGTGCCCTGCTAATTTTTGTATTTTTGGTAGAGACGGGGTTTCACCATCTTGGCCAGGCTGGTCTCGAACTCCTGACCTTGTGATCCACCTGCCTCGGACTCCCAAAGTGCTGGGATTACAGGCCTGAGCCACCACGCCCGGCCAAACTCAGTTTATTTATTTCCAACTTTGTTATAAAGTCACTCTTCAAGGGAGCAGAAGATTTTTGAATGTATCAATATTACTCAAGAAGATCCCTCAATTGCATATTGAATGCAAAAATGAGGAGTACCTCTACTTTTTTCCATCATTTAAGGCCCATTACTAAAATTTGTTTTATTGAGCATTTCATTGGCATTAGAGTTGTTCTCATGTATGAGGACTAATGTCATGTTTATCTTTCTCAAGAGGCAGAACTGTACAAACAAGCAAAAAAGAACATTGTATATGACCAGTATTGTTTTGTGAGGACATACCCTTGAGCCTTGCAACTTTTGGAATTTCTCTCTTGAGAGACCAGCAGAATTACTTAAAATATATATACTCCCATCTTATCATTAATATACATCACAATAATTTGTTTTCATTCAGTATAGAATATTCTCTTCATTTTTAGTTGTCAAGCAGCTGCATTTATTAACTATACTCTGTCATCTCCTGTGCATAGTTGTACTTTTAATTCATTTTAAAAAATAGCTTGTGTTCACTCAAGAAATATCATCATCTAACCCACTCCTTTTTATCTTGTTTGTTCCTTAAAATTGTATATTAATTACATTTTGTCTTTAACTAAACACCAAATTAGAAAGAGGGCAGTTGACATTGTAAAGGTGATAGCCACTTAATATATATTTAAATGAGATGGAAGTTGGAAATTTTTCAGTCCTTTTTTATAGTTTGGAAAGAACATTAAATTGAAATATGCCTATATCACCCATAAATAAGCATACTTAATTGTGTTATGGACACATAGTTATGTTGTAGATTTTTATGTAATTGATAAACAGTAAAGAAAAGGGCCATAAAACATTGAAATAGTAACAAATCCCAATATTTTAGTCCGATTTTCTTTTCTTTTCCACTCCTAAGCAAACAGATAGGCATGTAGGTATTCCACCAGAGATATAAATATTAACTTCTTTCTGGAAAACATAGTAGAAGTTAGCTTTTAATAGAAGGAAATCTAGATGCTGATATTTCTTAAACTATGGTACTGTCTTTATATTCTACTCAAGAAGACCTGTTTCACTGAATGCCATGGAAGGGTACCTTTAGAATTTATCATTTAGGTGAGTGACCCCTAAAAATCTGAGATGGTTCTTCAACTAAGTTATCAGATCTTCATCATTCTGTCTACATAATCACAGTAGTGTTCTAACTGGACCCCCTGCCACCAAATCCCAGCCCACTAAGTCACCTTCCACATTTCTACCAAATAAAAAATGAAATAGTATTTTCCTCCTCAGCTTCACAACCCTCTATTTCTCCCGTCAGTCATAGTATAATCTCAAATGCCTTAGCATTGTACAAATTAGCTCCTAAAAAACTCTACAGATTCCACTCGTTTCTTGCCTCACACCTCCTTTCTCCTCACTTATTCAATAAATATTTCCTAACTGTCCAGTAGGTGTTAGCATGAGTGACAAGCCAAAGATAAATGAACTTCAGTCCTGTCATCGACAGCTTACAGTGCACTGTTCATTTAGAAGACAATTCAAGCATCACCTCTGGAAACAAGTCCTTATCTTCAGTTAACCTTGATCTTTCTTTCACTATCCTGAAATTTTAGAACAGTTTATGCACATTTATTTCATTTATTTCTGGGCTTCTTGTGCAGAAGTTACTTTTAAAGTTATTAACTTATTTAATAAATATATATTCAGCATTAATTATATGTTAGTGAATGGTCATTGGCAAAAGCTACTTTGGATTCCTGTGGGCATTCCCTAAGGACATGAATCTCCTATTTCTGTCAACATGTCCATACATTGCATTATGTTCAGTGTTGTTGGGTTTCTGTTCTCCAGCCAGGTATCAGCTACCTCCACCACTGTGCCAGCTTCTTTCCCTGTAGAGCTTTGAAGAAACAGTGCCAACTCAGCTCTTTACATATAAAAGAGTTAGCAGTGGTGCTGTGCCTATGGTTGTTTGCAGGCCTTCTTTTTTTCCACCTATTCTTACAACACAAATCATTACTTATCTTGCCTGTGTAGATAAGTGGCTACTTGTAGACATGAAATACCACCTGTATTCTGAATTTTCTATTATCAGTGTGCAGATGTTTTTAGAAGAATGCACACTTTTTTAGATTCAGGATTTTAACATCAATAAGAATCGTGTCATTTTAAGACTAGAATGAAACTTACACTTAGAACAGTGAAGTCTAGACCTTCCAATAGCTCTACTCAAGGTCACACAAGTCAGGTGAAATATTCAGAGCACAGAAAAGTTGAAGGTATGGGACAGTGTTTTAATTTCTATCTAAAACAACATGCAAGATTTTAAAAGCTATCAATGTTGTTTACACAAGGAGTAAATTAATTATTCCTCTTCCAGTGGGTTTTTAAAGTGTTACCTTCAGAAAAAAAAAAAAAAAAGCAAATGCCCATGTTTTTACCCTACTCTGCTCCTTTGAAAATAAAAGCAATATGCTGCTTGCAGAGATAGGGAACTTCTTTTTAGCTCAGTCATGGTGGGGCAATTCAGAAATATAAAGATGCTACCTTTGTAGCATTTTTTTTATGCAGTGTAACCTAAAGTGGTGCTGGCTACTTTTACCTATATAAGAAATGAGAGTGCAATTCAAGCCACGAAATGTAGACTGCCCAGGAAAATATATTTAACCCACTGATTGATCTCTGCTTCACTTTGTGCTCTGCAGACTTTAGAGTTTACAGTTCCTGTGGCAAACAACACTGTTTTAAATTTAAAGAATAACTGAATTGCACTGCAAACAAATTGAGGAGCAGCTTAAGGAATAAAGATTTCATTCTGGGGAGAATGGTAGTATTATGACTTTTAATTCAATGAGTGGTGGAATGAATTTTGGATTTGTTATTACATTTTCCAGGATGAATTTAATAAATATTTTGAAAATTATGAGAGCTATATAATTTTTAAAATGCCATGAATAACAATTCTTTTGTCTTGTATTGCAACCTTTTCTCTAATTACTACTTAATATTTAATGCTCCCATCTTAAAATATATGTCTCACTTGGCTTAACAAATGGTTTCCTTAAATGATTAGCTAAATTTATTTTGCTTACCTTTAAAAAAATACATATTTTTTTTTCTCCAGTCACTTCCTAATCTTAGTATTTCAATTCAGTTTCAGTTGACAAATTTTTATTTGATACCTAGCTTATTTCAGTATCCAAAATAAGACAAACGCCCTTTCTTCAGTGATTTGAAATTTCTCTCTCATTCCTAGCTTTCCATAGCAGTATGTTTTGAGATGGCTATGAGTGTGTATATTAATATATTGTTTTCCTATAACAGCAGTTACCATTTAAATTTAAAAAACAAAACAAAACATATATATGTTTCTATGTGTGATTGTGTGTATGTATGCACAAACATATATATATATATATATATATGCATATATGGCAAAGAGAGAGAGAGAGAATGATTGAAGCATATTTTTACCACAAATTGTACATTAGATTTATTTTGGGCCACCTGATTCTGTATCAAGGCATATTGGATGACATGTATCACTTTCATGGCACTCATAAACTGAGCCCTTTAAACTGAATACATGATAAATTCCTTCTCTAAGACTTCTATGGTATAAGCTACCTTCAAGTTGTTCATTTATTTATGAAGGTTTAGGTTTGGTTCTCTGAATTGGGGGAAAAATTGCAATTCATGATACCAAGAAATGAGCATAGACTTCTTGCCATGCAACATTGAGTTTGTGAATCTAACCTGAATATATAATGTACTTTTTTAAAATTCATTGGCAAGTTCCTCTTTTATGAAATCACTGAAGCTCAAGGCTCTATTTGATACACTTGTTGACACTTGGGTGCCTTAAAAATGTACCTGTTCACTGAAGAAAATGATAAAACAGACAGAGCATTTGTAGAGTTTAACAGTATTTGAAACCTTCTCGTTACATTATGCAACTTTCATTAGGAACATTCAAGACATCCACATGAAGAATATATTTGTAATTGCATAGCTTGTCAGTAGGCAGTACATATGCAGAACGTAAAATTTTAAATAGTTGTTGATCACTTAGTGTAGCACAATTCTCTTGAAATTGTGGTTACTATTGGACGTTATTTTCCTTTTTATCATTTTACAGGAGGCAGTTTATTTTATATTACAGCATTAGACTAAAAAGAATTAATCAGTAACAGAGCACTGTTAAAATAAGGGACAATATTGGTAGTATATTACATGCTGTTTTCCACTAATGCTCTTAGTGAAACTTAAAGCTGTCATTTGAGCTTATTTTCTAAAAGGACTGAAAAACAAAAACTCTACAGGACTTATTTTATCATTGTATCTTTTCCTAATGGTAAGGTGCTGGGTTGGGATAAAGACATACAGCTGGGAAAACTGCCTTGGCATGCTCTACTCTATATCAACGGATTGATGAACTGAGAAGCTAGTCCCAATTCTCCATGATAGCAGTTTCTATGCTTATCATACAGATTCTATTTCCTAGCATGTGATAGCCATAGTCTCTAAGGCAATGTTGTAGGTGGGATGATTTTGCCCAGATTTTTTTTTTTTTTTGAGATGACTCCATCTCTGTCACCAAGCTGGAGTGCAGTGGCATGATCTTGGCTCACTGCAACCTCTGCCTCCCAGGTTCAAGTGATTCTCCTAACTCAGCCTCCCAAGTAGCTGAGACTACAGGCTTGTGCCACCACATCTAGCTAATTTTTGTATTTTTAGTATAGATGGGGTTTCACCATGTTGGCCAGGCTTGTCTCGAACTCCTGACCTTAGGTGATCCACCCAACTCGGCCTCCTAAAGTGCTGAGATTACAGGCATGAGCCATCACACCTGGCCTTGCCCAGATTTTTACAAAACCTCTAGCTGTCCTATCCATTTATGGCTGTCGTTTCCCCAGGAATTCTTATTTATTCTGGAGATCTAGTAGAGAATGTGATCTAATTATAAGGTCAAAGGGTGACTTCTTTTTGCCGTGAGAGTGAAGAAGAAATGGAGTGCCATGAGACGGACCAATAGTCCACATTGATCTCTCAGATTAATGGTAACTCAGGCTTAGTCTATCATGCTTGCCATTCATCCGCAGAGTTTGAGAGGCAAGTAAATCATTTCACTGGGGAAATATATTCTCTTTTGGATTAGCACTTTGAAGAACAGATACGTGAATTTTAGACAGTGATTAAATATTAGCAATTTTTTAATATCAAATAATGTAAACAGGCACATTTAGATATATGTGCTTGAAGATATCTCTGTTCAGTTTCTGTCTTTGTCTCTCACTCTCTCTGACTGCAAAAGATCGGTGACTATGAAAAGAAAAATAATTTTGTGTGTGTGTGTCTATGTGGTACCATTTTCTTCAAGAAAAGAAAACATTAAAGAGATAACATTCTAGGAGAAAATGTATAAAATTCTAATCACAGCCTTTTAAAATACTTTTTTTAGTTGAGGCAAAATCACTGTCTGGAATAGAACTTTCATGATGGAAGTCATTGACTTATTTTTTGAGTCCTCATGAAACTGGAAGATTAGCGTTTAGGAAGCCAAAGCAGATCAATATGGCTCTTCTTATCTGATATTACATTTAGACCCCTCTAGCTCATCAAGGCACTTGAAGTCCCTTTACCAGCTAAGTTTTAGCCAGCTGAGAGCAGACATAAACATCCAGTTTTAAGCCTTTTTTGGTACCCTGTGTTCATATCTACGGGAAATCCCATTGAAATGAATTTATATACCATTAAAGTTTATTTATATACCATTAAAGTTATGTACAAATCTCAAAATTCCATCTCTGAAGGTCCTGAAAAATTAAACCGTGTTTGAGAATTATTATAGCTTCAAATTGTCACCCTTATTCCTGACTCAGAACTTGACTTGTGCATAATGGCAGAACATATTTGTTGATGCATTTTTAGAAATTGCTTTTCATGAACCAGTTCCCATCTGCAGCCAATATAAGGAAACAGGTCACATTTTTTTCAAAGTTCTTTCACATTAGTTTCAGTCATTTTAAAACATAGTTTGGAAAATGAAGAAAAGTGAATATTGGAGAATAGAAAATGATAAATGGCCCCATAAAGATATTTTTAAACACATTATAAACATTAGGACTAGATGCTAAGATTTGAAATCGTGAATTTCTAAATCCAATGATTTTATTCATAAAATAAGGAAAATTTACTTTGTGCATGATTCTTGGTTACTACAATGATTTTACAAATGCATGTTTAGTAGTGGGAAGAAATATGATTAAGGAAAACACATGGACAGAAGAAATGAGATTGGACACACAATCTAAAATAAAATGTTGCATAATAATTTATTTTGAAATAATTTAAGACAAAATATGGTTAATTTAAGCTGAATATTTATGTTGGTCATTATTAGTTTTGTTTCTTGGAAATATGATCTGAATATGTATGGACCTACTGTGTACATATTCTGAGGGGGCTACATTTTTACATATTTGTGAGAATGGCTCTATTTTTTTCCAAGAGACTTGCCTGACCACATTTGTGAAAATACATATTGGTTAACAGAATTTTGAAATAAGTACTCATGATATCCAATAATATAAATAACAGCGTCATATGAAATGAACATTTTTACCCTCAAAATACAATGAACTCTTGTAACTTCTAATTATATTTTGTGCATATTAAATCGCATCACTTGGATCACAGGCATGAACATTTTTCTTTCAATTCTTGAACAAAACAAATTTTTAACTGTAAACTATAAACTTCTCAAAGTTAAAAATAAACCCTATAAATTTTCAAAGCCACCACATCTACCCATTACATATTACTGAAAAATCCTGTGAAGTGTTTGAGGAGGCTTCTAGAAGGAAAAAAATCTTGGTAAAAATCATAAATACTTCATTGACCATGTTTGAACTTTGGAAAAAGTCACTGTGAAATCTATATTAATCCAATAAATGAAAAAAACTAAAATCAGTTCACTGAAATTATTATCCTATGTACACGAATTCTATTTCCAGTGAGTAGGGAGTATAATTCTTATGAGTGTAAACATTGTCATACATCTTACAGTTTCATAAATATAAATGATATATTCTCCATTCCTTTTAGTCTGGAAGAGTTCATTATATTGGAAAACACAATTATTAAGGGAAATATATCTTTACTTTGAGTGGTCATGGATAAAATTTGAGACAACTATAAATTAGTGAAATCAATCTGATAGAATACTCATTGAAAATATGTTTGCAATAATCACCCTCTCTCAAGATACGTATTCCAAGGGATTTGACTGACATCCAAATAATAACAAGCTGACTTTTAAAAACTGCCGAATATTAGCTTGGGAGAAAGAGATCTATCTAAATCTATTTAATTTATTGAATTATTTATTCATCAAATAATCATGCAACCATGCACCAGCACATAGTAGGCTCTGGAGACTGAGGTGTAAATGGAACAGGATGCTGTGTTTGAGAAGCTCCTGGTCAAAAATCACAAAAGTAATAACTGCAGTAAAAATGTTTTTGTCAGTGTCTTAGTCCATTTATGTTGCTATATAGGAATATCTGAGGCTGGGTAATTTATAAAGAAAATGTTCTGCAGGCTGTACAAGAAGCATGACGCCAGCTTCTGTTTCTGGTGAGGGCCTCATAGAGCCTCATGACAGAAGGCGAAGGCAACAGGGAGTCAGTATCACAGGGCAAGAGGAAGGAAGGATGAGACGGAGAAAGGAGGAAGGTGCTGGACTTTTTTTTTTTTTTTTTTTACCACCAGATCATGTGGGAAATAAGAGTAAGAATTTACTCAATGTGATGAGAATGGCACCAAGCCGTTCATGGGGGATCTGCCTTTTTGACCCAAACTCCTCTCACCAGGCCCCACCTCCAACAATGGGGACCAAGTTTCAATATGAGGTTTGGAGGGCACAAATATCCAACTATATCAGAGAGTAAACCTACTTGAGAAGCCCAAGAGGAGAAAGGCACAAGCTCTTTGTAATTTTATGGGAAATTTCACACTGCACATAACTTTTGAGATACATTTGAAGGAAGTGTAGAAATCAATCAAAAGGTGGACACTGTTGCTTACTAGGTTGGCTAGACAGTCTTCTAATAGATAATGGCTCACAGTCAGGAGAGGAACAATAATTAAGAAGATGCTTTGAATCTGAGTTTTTTATTTGTTGGTTGTGCTTTTAAAGAAATATGTTCATGAAGACCATTTCTCAAAACTGGTATATTATCCTTAGAGTGTAGAAGAGTAAATGGTTATTGTAATGCTGAGAACTAATTACAGGCTTGATTTTTTTGTGTCTCAGAGGTCAGTAAATTGACAACTTGTGATTTTTCTTGGTAGAACATAAAAACCTTAAGAATTATTTTAAAATACAAGTATAACTATCTTGCCATTACTACATGAATTGAAACACTGAGAAACTATGACATCATATAGCAAATTGACTTTAAGTAAAAATGTAATAATGGCCTATTTTTTAGTTCTCTGTCTGGTATTTTGCTCCCAACAAATTAATATTAATAATAAAGGCTGTTGCCATGTAACACATGCTCAGTGATGTTGAAGAGCACCCAATTTTGTTAATTCAGAATTGAATTAAATAGCCCTTCCTGCCAATCACTATATGAATATTTCTATGGACCCCATAACTTTTGGAATGCATTTGCAAAGTAGAGACTATAGTATAAATACTCTATAACAGATTAATATAATTAATAATTGCAAAAATATTTCTACTATTAGTAAGACTATGCTGTGTGAAATAAGTAAATAAATCATTGTTTTAAAATTACATTTAGTAAGTACTTCTTATATTCTTTGACAATAAAAAACATTCATCCACCTAAACTTAATTCACCAGTTCAACCCCCATCCAAAAAAGTCATGTTCATTGCATGTTAGTCAGGGGACTCTATAGGGTGGAGTGTAGTAGAATACAAAAGAAGGAGTCAAAGATACAGTATTTGACTTTCAAACAATAAAACACCAAAAAGCAAACTTAAGTAATGGAGAGGGGAATTCATTTCACAGGATTTTATATTGAGATAGAAGACTGAAGGTCAGTATCATAAAATAATAGTGAATTATAAGTTTTAGAGACAAATTGCATAATGGCATAGTATTATTGTTGAACAGTGCAAGACACAGTACTGTTTTGAACTAACGGATAATATGCAACATCACTGCAAAAATATTTGTGTATTTATAAGAGAAGAACCTATGGACCATTAAATTAATGTATTACCAACATTTTTTACTCTAGCTAAAAGATACTTTTTCTTCCCTTTTTTTTTTTTTATCAGATACGTTTCTTAAAACAAAATAGGAAATACAGTTGTAACTGTGTTCTTTTGCTACGTTAAACACAAATACATGCCTGTCCACCGAAGGCTTTTACATTCTATGGTTTCTCTCAAGATTGACATATTATTCCCCAGAGTTCTCAACCTGATTTTGGTTTCAATTAAACCCTACTAGAAAGGCAATATTTGAAATCGCTGTTAGAATTCAGATGTAAATAGACCCATTTAACTCTTATTACAATGACAGTTGATTGCCTTTTTGTAAACTTACTGTTAGAATCTTCTACAAATCCATAACCATTTTAGCACAGCTATAAATTTAAATTATATAATAAGAAGGAATAATGAAAAAATACAAAAGTTCCGGGAGGCTATTGAAAATATCATCTTAAGTCTGATTAGTTATTTCCATTACATCCATCGACACCTTATTTAGATAATCTAAACACTCTGGTTAATTTGTGGGGCTGGAATGGGAAAAGGGGGCATTTTATGAGTCAATAATTGAGTTAATAGTCTTGAAGTCCTGTTATTTGGGGAGGATAGGGCGGGCTAGACGGAGGCATGAGAAAAAATTACAAAGGGGATTTAATTTATATGTATTAGTTTTTTACCTTTTCTGATATCCAGTGCACATATTCTTCATTTTTCATGACCCACAAAATATGCTCATTTATCATTCTTTGTACTATACATACAGATTTAATGTTAGATTTTATGAAGTTTTAAAACAGGGTACTTAACTAGTAATCAAGGTAAGTACATAACAATTGAATATTATTCAGTGCTAAGAAAGAAGAAAATTCTGTCATTTGCAACAACATGAATATACCTGGAGGACATTATGCTAGATGAAATAATCCAGAGAGAGAAAGAAAACACTGCATGATCTCCCTATATATGAAATCTTAAAAAAAAATGTCAAATACATAGAGAATAAAGCAGTGATTACCAGGGGTTGGGGTAGGAGGAAATGTGAAGAAATGAGAGATGTGGAACAAAAGGTATAAAGTGGCAGATATGGGCCGGGCGCCATGGCTCACACCTGCAATCCCAGCACTTTGGGAGACCGAGGCAGGCGGATCACTTGAGGTCAGGAGTTCAAGACCAGCCTGGCCAACATGGTGAAACCCTGTCTCTACTAAAAATACAAAAAAAAATTATCTGGGAGTGGTGGCAGGTGCCTGTAATCCCAGCTACTCGGGAGGCTGAGGCAGGAAGATCACCGGTGCCCGAGAGGTGGAGGTTGTATTGAGCCAAGATTGTGCCACTGCACTCCAGCCTGAGTGTCAGAGTGAAACTCCACCTCAAATAAGTAAATAAATAAGTAAAATTAAAATGGCAGATATGTAGGTTGAATAAATCTAAAGATCTAAGGTACAACGTGAGGACTACAGTTACAGTATTGTATTACATACTAGAAATTACCTAAGAAATAGATTTTTGGTGCTCTTACTCCACACATATACAAAAGGGTAATTATGCAAGAGACTGGATATGTTAGTTGGCTAAAATAACTATGTCATTATGTGTAAGTGTATCAAGCATTATATTTTACACTTTAAATATGTGCAATAATTTTTTTTCTGATAGAACAACAAAAACAGTTTAACATTCATCATAATATTCCTCTCTTTTTAAATTTGCAATGAATTTTTTGTAAACCCTAATACATTTAACATTCCACATTTTCATCATACAGTCTTCTAAAGCTAAGGTTACTCTCTGGAACTATAATCAAATTCCAATAGAATTCATCTATAAAATTGGATGTATTCAACCTTTAACAATATGTAATAAAATTATATTTCTAAGACCAAAAACCAACAAAGTGTATAAATATGTGAAAACTAAAGATCAACTATTTATAATGTCCATACTGGATGCACAAATAGGAAATTCTTTATTTGTATAATGACTAATATGTTAATTATTTATATAAAATTTCATGTTGTCGAAATTACCATTTATACTTTGACTAGTTATTTCTACTTAAATACAGTGATGCAGTTTAGATTTTTAATGTGAAATCTAAGTCCTCAGAAACAAACATATTTAAGAAAAAAGGACTAGGGCACATATATTTAATGATGTTCACGAATCACCTATTATCATAAATAAATAACCAATTAACACATTTTACTATAAATATTAGTTTTTGAAAAGTTATTGCTCCTCTCTGCTAGAAGATTAGCTTGCTAAGGAAATGTGGTGCCTGGATTATTTCTGTCTAGAAATGTTTTACACTATTTGTGGTGATATTAATATAGTGTATTGTGTATGAGAAAAATGAGAGTATAGAAAATTAGAATGATTGTAAGAAATTCCCAGAAAGTGGAAAGACTGATTTTAGCTCATCAATGAAACATAGCAAAGGATTTGTATATGTTATTTTATTTGTATTGAAAACCATGATTACAATGTATTTTTGTTATTTTGGCTGAGATCTAGATGTGTAATGTCCTAGAATTGCAGCTGGAGTAACTAGGTAGCATTCAAATACTTGGAAAACAATTACAACCAATTAGCAAGTTGACTTTGATGAGCACTACCCTTGAAAATGACATTGTACCTTCCCCAGGAGGAGATACGTTTCTGAGCATTTTGAATGAAACATGAACACCAAGCACTCAATTTTTCTTAGAAGAAAGGTAATGAGATACAGTTCTTTAAAACCAATGTTATGAGAGTAAAATATGTACGAAGAAGGAGTCAAAAGACCCTTCCTCTTATACGTTGGTGAAGCACTCATACGGAGGCATGCCATTTTTTGTGCTCATTGCATCTCCTTTTTCTTAGATAAATGTTCACAGTGTAATTTCCCTTCTATTCAGACAGTGTTGTTGATCATCAGAAAATAATGCCTGATAATACTCAAGTGAACTATATTGTGCTTTGTAAATATATGGTACATTTTCCTCCATATTCAAAATAATCTTCTGTTTGTTTGTTTTTGTTTGTTTTGAGACAAAGTCTCGCTCTATTGCTCAGGCTGGAGTGAAATGGCATGTTCTTGGCTCACTGCAACCTCCACCTCCCAAGTTTAAGGGATTTGCCTCAGCCTCCCGAATAGCTGGGATTACAGACATGCGCCACCACGCCTGGCTGATTTTTTGTATTTTTAGTAGTGACAGAGTTTCACCATGTTGGCCAGGCTAGTCTTGACCTCCTGACCTCAAGTGATCCACCTGCCTCGGCCTTCCAAAGTGCTAGGATTACAGGCGTGAGCCACCGCGCCTGGCCACAAAATAATTAAGAATATTTTGTAATCCTTAGATCATATTACAGCTTGTCTTTGAGTTATAGAAAAATCAGAAATCCTCACTATTAAACTGTACCTGTCTGATAAATGTTCACTTCATCTCTAAAAATTAATTTGTTCCTAAAAATAAAAAGTAGTTTACTAACTGATCAAGTGAGAAGTTCATAAAATTTCATTCAAACATGATTATAATTGCTACAACAGCCATGTTCTATGTCTTTGTTTCTATTTTAAGTTTTTTAGTAGCTAGGACAATAGCAATTGGTAATTCCCTTCTTATTTCAAATAGGACACTTTTTTTTTTTCACTCAACTTAGCAGCTATATTTTCTGAGTAACCACCAACCCTGCCATTCTTGACATTAATAGACATCCTGTTTCTAGGTCTCATCAGATATCTTTCCTTACCCATGGGCTAGGTGGCCTATTCTTGCTAATTAGATTCACTTCAAACAATTTGACTTATCAGTACACATTGGATTTGAATTAGGGTCATTTTCAAAAAAGTACATTTGTTTTCATGATGAATTTAGAAGATGAAAAGTTTAGCAAGTAATAGATTTCCTGAGTAAGAGTTCACTTTTAAGCATAGCTGTAAAAGGAAAGATTATACTACTTTTCCTCTATTCATCTACCCTTTTTCATCTTTATATAACAACTTCTTTGTAGAATAAATCATTGGAACGTCTAACCTGTACTCTTTACACAATAATCTATGCCAAGTCACAGGTTTTCTTTTTTTTTTTCTTTCAATAATTCTACTCTTACACATCCCTTATCACATTGAGCTTGCCCTTGGTATAGATGGCAAAGTGCTAAGTGAGGATTTAATTATAGCCATTTAGAGTCAACTTAAAAACTCCTGTCTAATTTACTGCAGTTCTAAAGTAGAGCCAGGGTGAGAGTTGGAAAGTTTTAAAACTACTCATACATAAGATGCTTACAGGGAAGTCTATACAGTTTGAAATTCTTTTCAAGGAGAAATGAAAGAATCAGGAGAATTTTTTGTAATAAAAATCATTTGAAAAGACCTAGTTTAAAATTTTGACTGCTTTTCATTGCCTTCGCCTTTGTTTGCTTTACTGACTGGCTGTATGCTTATTTTTTCTAAGATCGCCAACCAAGACTTTTGCTATGCTTATGATTTAGGGCACATTTGTTGTTGTTGTTGTATTTTGTTTCTATGTTTCAGAGAACGCTGTTTTAATTTACAAAAAGCCAATATTGTTTATTTTTAGTACTAAAAGTAAGCCTTACACAGTGTAACAAGAATAAAATTGTTTTGAATTATTTGTAACCTCTATGGAAGCTACTAAGGGGCTACTTATACACATAAGTTTTACTATTTGAGCACAGTCATACATTTTAATAAAATCAAAGATTATGTCACTATAAAATGAGGAAATGGATGCTCCACATACTTGTCCAGCATGGTTCTTTTACTTTTAAATCCTAAAGATCTATTATTTTTCATAATGAATTCAAAACTCTTTATAAGATGTAATTTTGTCACCTGTGGAAAAGAAAGTTGAAGCCCTGATTGAAGCTTAAGGAATACAAAATAATTTCTGAGAGACTGTTGCCAAAATGATGGTCTCAGAGGGAGAAGTGCATCTAACTCCTAGTTTTGAAATATAATTTCAAACTCTCTTCTTCAAAGAAAACTATTTTTTTGACAAGAGTAAAGATGGGGTAACTAGATTGTTTTGCAAGCATGTTTACATTGATAGAAACACTTTTTTTGTGTGTCTCTTACTGAAAGTTGACACGCGTATTACTTCAACTTAATCAGAGTTAAATTTTGGGTCCTAAAGAAAAAAACAGATTACATCATATCTTACAGACCATGGAGGGAAATGTGATTTTCTCTCTTTAAACAACCAAGATCTGGCTGGCGCGGTGGCTCACGCCTGTAATCCCAGCACTCTGGGAGGCCGAGGCGGGTGGATCACGAGGTCAGGAGATCGAGACCATCCTGGCTAACACGGTGAAACCCCGTCTCCACTAAAAATACAAAAAATTAGCCGGGCGTGGTGGCGGGCGCCTGTAGTCCCAGTTACTCAGGAGGCTGAGGCAGGAGAATGGCGTGAACCCGGGAGGCGGAGCTTGCAGTGAGCCGAGATGACGCCACTGCACTCCAGCCTGGGCAACAGAGCAAGACTCTGTCTCAAAAAAAAAAAAAAAAAAAAAAAAAGGACAAGATCTATTCTCTATTTTTTTTTCTTCCGGCATTATGTGTAATCTACTATACTCATTACAATGTCAATTCACCATGGAGTTTCGTCTTGTTTTTGTCTTATCACTTCACAAGTTCCTCAGATTGCTTTCAGTTCTTTCAGTGTGAACGCTTAAGGAAATCCATGAACTAGGAAAAGAATATGTAATATCTTTAGATGCCATTGGTATTGACAGCAGTTTTAAAGTTTATTTCTTGAAATCCCAAACATAGCTATTATTTTACCTAGTTTGACTGTCTTATTATCCTAGTGTTAGGAAGCTAATTATCATGTCTATTTAAAAAACACAATATATTTCTCAGGATTAAAATCTATATCGCTGCCACCAAATTGCTTATGATCAGAGAGCCAGTTTGCTCTCAGAGAGGTTATATACTTTTTCTATATGCTACATATTAATTCCTGATATCAACTGTATGTTTGAATGACTGTTGATTTAACTAGGTCCATATATATTCTAAGTGAAATATATATATATTCTACGTGAAATTCTTGGAATTATCTTTCTTCTTCTCTATCTAAAAATTGACAACCTAATTTTGGGGTTTTATTTGTTTGTTTGTTTTGAGGCACAGGCCATTTGCCCCAACTAGTTATTCAGAATGCTTTTTTTGTTTTTTTTAAATCAGAGTCAAAGGTAGTTGTATTTTTTAAGAAATAATTCTGGAAAGCTGATTGCCTGAATTTGATTTATTTATATATACAGGCAAAAATATAATTCAGACACAGTATTTTAAACTTTTTATCGTTTAAACACGGCACTCAAACTACTAAGATACTATGCCGAGTTCTGACTTGATTGCCAGGGTAATACAAATGAATGCCAGGGTAATACAGCACTATAGATACCCTGCCTCTTTGGCTCAGAGCTTTGTAAGCATTACCTTGGTCTGTGGTGTCCTGCAGAATCTCCTCTCAGCCTTTGTTTCATTTATTTATGCAGAATTGGTGTCATACAAAGAAACTGTCATGTGTAATTCTTGCATCTCAGCATAACTATGCATTTTTCCTTGCCACTCAAGAAATAACCCCAGAACACAGTGATGGAAAGTAATGAGTGACGTGACACTAATTTATATTTATAAAAATATATAATACTTAAAGCCTTTGGTCCTTTAATTTTAATATTAGTAACACATTCCTTGCAATATCAATAAAAATTTGTATACTCCAGTGTCACACTGCTATTGAAAGCAATCATATTTTCACTCCGAAAAACCTGTTTGTAAGTTGCACTCAGCTGTCCACCCCTTCTCACATCCTCTTGTGATGTGCAGCACACATGGTAGGACAGATGGCCGGAGAGAGGTGTATTACCTATGCCCATGCAGCAGTTTCTCTGTGCATCTTTTCCATTAGCATATGACTCTTCTGCCCTTATTTCTTCATCTGCTAGTGTTAAGCGAAGTAGTCACATCTGCTGTACAGATTGTTGGGATACTTCCTGCTAAACAATTAGGTAGGGATTGCCTATACAGTGGAAAATTCTAAGTGTCTGTTGCTGCATAGTTTCCCTTGAGAGACAAAGGCCAGATATTGACAGCTTGAAGGTGACTTGCTTGGTGAACTGTGTCATCTTTCTAATTCAGCAGCAAACTCCAGGTTCACAGAATTGAATGACCTACACTCTTTTCCTTATTTGCTAGATGTCTAAAAATCCTAACCTTACATATCACTCTTAGCTATGAGTGAGACAATAAAACTTAGTTCTAGTCCTTTTATGTGTAAACATTCAACAGCTTAATTTATAGGTAGTTATAATAAGTTCTAAGAGCTACAATTAGTCTTTCTAGATCTTTCCTATGTAATAACATTTAATGAATACTTATTTACAAGAATAACTATGATAATGATACACAAGAGCATTTCCTAACCACACAAGGACTCAGGTCTAGGTGAAGAAATTCTAGAATCATTCTACAATCATAGGTCTTCAGTGCAGCTCCTAAAAACAGGTTTTCAGGTTTCTCATTTAATTTTAAAAAATGCAGTCTTTACGATGACTTTCTTGTAGTGTCTGATGAGGTCTGTGTGAAAATTTACAGTTAAACACATACACACACAGAGAGATTATTCATTGTCCCAATCTCAGAAGGACTGTTTTACAGAGAGTATATCTTTGGATACAAAAAAAAAGCACTTACCCATCTCCAGTTAAGGAGCTAACAACTGTAAAATGAACTCAGGATGGATTACTTCTCACAAAACCTAGGGCTTGGGCAAGCTGGTATAAAATATTATTACATCTTTGAAAGGTTGAATGAAAATAATTCCAGCACAGTTCATGTGATTAAATCTATTTTCATTTGAACACACAGATTGCACTTCTCTTCATCCTCAGGGCTTTTCGGCAAAGTTATTTCTATGATCAACCCTTTAAAGAGGAATAGAAAAATGTAACCTAGAGTCTCATTTTGAATAAATTTTCCTTTCTCTCCACCATTTAAATGTTTTCCAAGTAGATTTTAATCTATTACACCAATTAACAGAATGATACATTTAGGATCAGCTTGTAACAGAATTGGAACTATTACTGAAATGTTGACTTTGAAAATCTTGTGACAGTGACTACACCTAAAAATACAGACAGAAAGAAACATTAGGAAAAGAAAAGAGAATACCAGGCAGAAAAATTAAGGTGAAAGAATGACGGACATATAGATAACACAGGGTTGACAGCAAGAATTTTATCAGTTAGCTCTAAATTGCACAAATTTGAAGGAAAGAGACAGATGCAATTTTCTGTGTGCTTTCAAAATATTTCTTAGCACATGCTAAGTCACATTTGTTTGTTCCCGCAAGTGCTCACTCTCCCTGCTTTTTTCTTCAGAAGAAAAATATTTTTCTGGTTAATTCCTTCCAAGTCCTTTCATATTATTGACTCCAGCAGACTCTGGGATGCATCAGTGGACAGCCAACCAAGTGGTTAACTTATATATTGAGTTATGCATACACTTTGCTTTTTGCATGTAAATTCAGCATATCTTTTTTTTTCTTTTAAGAATGAAAATATTTCTAGAGTAAAACTATCTTGATTTGGTTTTGGTTTGTGTTTTCATATCCCAAAACATTCCTACCATGGTTGCTGAACCAGCAAGAGCAGTATCACCTGGGAACTTGTTAGAAATGCAACTTCTTGAGCCTCGTCCCAGACCTCCTGAATCAGAAACTCAGGGCGGGGACTGGCAGTCTGGGTTTTAACAAGCCCCCCAGGTGCTTCTGATCCTTCTAAGATTTGAGAACAACTGGCCTCAAATATGTTCAATGTACAATGAGCTGTACAGAGTGGGTGGCTACTAAATATGACATGACTGACTGTCCCACTTCGGTCCATGTGCATGCAAAACTAACAATTCTGGCCCAATTATATTTTCTTCACAGATATGGTGATTTCTTACAAATGACAATATGACCACACCAAAACACAAATTCTCTCCGTACCTATTACATTCTGTGCAGGGCATCTTGGTTAAGCCGGTT
Organism: Homo sapiens; assembly: GCF_000001405.40. Taxonomy (NCBI): domain Eukaryota; kingdom Metazoa; phylum Chordata; class Mammalia; order Primates; family Hominidae; genus Homo; species Homo sapiens. The sequence goes on along the minus strand of NC_000013.11, from coordinate 66,377,013 downwards.
TCTAGTGTTGTCAGCACAGATTTTTTTATTATTTTGCTACTATTAATAATTTAGTATAACAGAAGGCCATATTACTGATGCTATCATCCCAGATAAATGGTTATTTCATTTTTGAATAAAGCAGGAATAACAAAAAACATTTCAATTTAAACATGTAAATGTACAGCCATTTGCCCATCTTTTTTAATGTATTGCCAGAATTGTCTTTTGGCAGTAGTCTCCTTAATGAAGTTCTACTTTTCTTGCCTAATAGTAGTATAATTCATTCATTTTCATAATCTTCTACATAGATCTAGCATTTAAAGATACATGTAAAGAAGTTTTGATACACTCTTCTCTGAATTTTTATGATATTTCCCTTCAACTGTCACACATTTTATCCACAAATAATTGAAAAATACTTGTATTTTTTCTTTTGTTTGGGTAACTTGTTTTCATTTTGCCTTTTAAAAGAAAGCATCTTAGTTTTCATGAAAAAAAGTCATCTGTTTTACTTTGACTTTTTAAAGTCAAAGTCAATATTAATGATGCATAAAACTTTAATGAAATTACATTATTATAAGGAGAACAACTGCAAAAAAAGATCATATTAATTATATGAAACAAGAACAATTTCAATTTTAAGATCAATTTCGAGAACAAACAAAAATACTTAACTCAGGCAGGCAGCCCAGTTGGTGAGAGTTGAGGAACAGGAGCTAACTTACTTCACTTCAGCATTCAGTGTGTGAAAGGTTTTAGTCTTTAGACTTCAGACTACAAAAGACACCCTCAGTTTATCTAGTGAGTTGTTTAAAGGCAAAGGTGACAGTTTAGTGACCCTCCACTGTATTATGATATGGGTTAAGGTGCTAGGTTCTCTCACTCAACTCTGTTTAATTCCTTCTATTTTTGGTAGTGGTAAATCTGGGGGCACGGAATTTTCTCTCCACATTTCTGTGTGAATGATTCTCATCTTGGGTAGGAAACTTTGAATTGTTTAACTTCATGGGAGTCAGTTATAAGGATGAGCTGCCTTTATTGGTGTTTTCTGGTTGTTTGTAAGTTGAACATCTGTTTCTTATTAGATGCACTGTACTCACAGAGGAGAACTGAAGCCTATTTTTTTGTTGTTGTTTTTTGCTTTAATTATCTCGTGAAGCACTTTGACCCTAATGGAAGCTCAACTTGTACTATGGAATAATGGAGTAGTTGAGGGGAAATACATTCTTGAGGGGGAATATATCCTCTTGGCTCAGATATAATGATTTTATACTGTATAAAGTAATACACTTATTCAGGTCATATTTCATCTTAAATAATAGTTAAATTCATGGTTATAAAATATCATCAATTTGTTATATGCACTTTCTTACTTCTGCCTGTAATTTAGAGTGTTTTCTAGCATGGCTACATTTACATTACCAGCCAGTAAGAAATATTACAAGATAATACTTAAAATTTTGTAAATCACAGTCACTAATTATTGAAGACACTCCTTTCTGTCACTTGTCCTGCTATTTCCTATTAAAGTTGCATTAAAGTATATAGGTATTACCTATAATGATTGAGAATGGAAGAGCAAATATACTACAAGTTTTTTTTTCTTATTACATTAACAAAAAACAAAGCAATAGCCTAGTTTTGAGGACGAGTAAAAAGTATATGAAATGAGTGAGTAAAAATAATATCACAAAAGATCTGATTCAATTGAAGGATAGGAAATAAAAAGTTTCCAGGTTGCTAAGTTTTACTAATTACAGATGACATGTGGGGTTACTTCTAAGAAATTTGGGGACAGAGTTAGAAATATTATCAGTAGGCACCTGAGTAATTATATGGAATTACAGAAAAATTGTCTTAACTTCATCTGTCGATGACTGGCAACTTTTGATAAAGTAACTATACTATTGGCAATGAAATTTATGTTATCGTTTAGTAGCATATTCGATATTTTAAGTAGAGTTAATCATGTATTAGACAGTACTCTATTAATCTCTGACTGGCCTTTAAATCTTCCTGAGTTATACTTAACAATTCATATCTGTTTACCTAAAACTGTCAACTGATTGAGTTCCTTTAGACAAATTCCTTCATTTTTCTGATCTGAATTGTCCTCAATGAGAACATTAGCTGTGATGATCTACTATTCCTTCAGCTCTAACAAACTCTGACCAGTCTGTCCTCAATGAAGAAATACATCTTGTTGCTCAACAAAGGAATATATTCTGTTTTATAGACATATACCCTGCAGTTAGTGACAGTTTAAGTTTAGAATGTGAAATACCCCTGAGCTGCGATCTTTCTGATAATCCACCTGGATGCATTTTGGGAGGTGGAAGTTTGATGGAGTGGCATTATGAAAAATGCTGATTCACAGCAGGCAGAGAGAAGTGACTGGAAATCCACCTACTATGTACTACTTGTGTGACTGGGGCAAATTTTATGACAACGTCCTCATTTAAAAAATGAAAATATAAGTCTATCTTCTTAAATTACTGTAAAAATTAAATTAAATTAAATAACGTGTAGAGTACCAAGCTCAGTGATAAAAATTGCTATTTCCTGTCTCCCCGGCTTCCTATGGGCTGCAATCTAAATGAACAAAAATTCTCTAATCAAATTTCTAAAAGTATTATCTTTTTAATTCCTCCTTCACGCTCATTTTTCCTATCTCCTCTTCATGTTCTGTCAAATTCGCATGTCCCTTGTTCTCTTCCCATTCCTTCCTCTCTAATGCTATATGGAGAACTTACCTGAAAGATCAACACTTAATAATAGCATGCAGCAAGGAGAAAATAAATATTGGATTTTACAGTTGAATTATATTCATATAAATATACAGACCTGGTAAGTGAGTTCAGATTTTTGAGTCTATATTATCTCCTTTGTTCTCAGCATTGATCACAATGCATTGTGCAATGTTCATAGCTAAAAATGGCATTTGCCCACCTTTGACAGTCTCTGGCAATCCCCTGCAGCAATTAACCTAGCAATTATCATTGTTTACACAAAACCCATCAAGGAGGTCGGCAGATGATAATAATATTTGCCTTTCTTGTACGCAAAACACTAATAAATGTATTTTTGAAATTCTGAATAATCCTATGATATAAGCAGGTATTACTGATAAATTGTTTTGAATCATTAAGTGACTTTTACAAGGTCTTATAAATAGAAGGTATCAGAAGCCAAGACTGGAAGTCTGGCCTTCTATAACACTGTGCTCATACCCACGGAGTGGGAACTATGAAAACCTTTGTTTGACAGGATCCAACAATTAATTTTATCCATTTGTTAAAATATTACTACCTACTCTTATATAGATCAAATTTTCTCTTCCTTATTTGTGTTGCTGTTTAATAGATCCTGGTCATTTTTAAAGGTCATTTCTGTTTGACATTCTCTCTCCACTATTCACTGTATTGAAGAAATAATTCTGATTAAATATACGAGTGTATCTGTGGTTCTTTCTTCATCTTTCATTTTTTCTTTCCTTTTCTTTTTTAATTAAAAAATTTAGTTGCAATAAAGCATATGTAACATAAAATTTACCACCTTAACAATTTTAAGTGTATATAGTTCAGTAGTGTTAAATATATTTACATTTTTGAACAACTAATCTCCAGAATATTTTCAGCTTGCAAAATTGAAACTCTACACCCATTAAACGACAATTTCCCATTTATTCACCCCCCAACCCGCCACCACTGGCAATCATCATTCTACTTTCTGTTTTTGTAAGTTTGTAAGTTGGATTACTCTGGATTTCACATAAATGAAATCACTTGGTATTTGTCTTTTTGTGTCTTATTTCATCTGGCATAACGTCCTTAAGGTTTATTCATCTGGTTTGTGTCAGAATTTCCTTCCCTGTTGTGGCTAAATAATATTTCATTATAAAATATACCATATTTATTAAGAGTTTATCCAATTATTGACTGATGACCTTTTCGATTGTTTTCACCTTTTGTCTATTGACAATAATGTTGCTATAACACTAATTTACAACTATGTCCATGAGATTCTGCTTTTAATTCTTTTGGATATGTATTATACTCAGAAGTGGTATTGCTAGATTGTGTAATAAGTTTATTTAGTTTTTTGTTTCTTGAAGAACCATCATAGTGTTGACCCTAACACTAGAGCCAGCCATCTATGTTACAAGGCACCCTAGGCACCAGGCTAAATTAGGGTCATCTAATATTCTCTGTTCTCTGGCTTACTCCTAATGTCCAATCAGTGATCATATTTTACATATTTCACCTCCTCAACATATTCTGATGCTATCATGCTTATAGATGAAATTGCTTCATACCCAGATCATTATATTTGTGTGCTTAGGGGCTTGTCTTGCCAATGGACATTCCCTTCTTCCAATATGCTTTTAAACTTATGACAAAGAATGTCTTTATAATGCCACTCTGATGCTGTTCTTCTGCTTGATATTTAAAAGCTTCTCCATTCATTGGCTACTATGCGATCAAGACTTGTTATAATTTTAACCTCTTACCCATCTAGCTTCTACCATTTCCCTTCACCAAGTCTGTCTTACTTTCAGAAATATATCCTTCACTTTTTACTTTCTGATCTTCTCGACTCTTTTTATATGATGTTCACCATCTGGAAATTTATAAAACATACTTACTCTCGCTCTCTCTCAGTTAAATCCTTTATGTCCTTTAGGCCGCAGATAGAATTCTGAAACCATCCCTGATTTCATGTTTTTTACAACCTTTCCAAAACTAGAACTCTGGTATCACTTTATTGATTTTTCTTCTATGGAATTTATCACTTTCTGTCATGTACTTTAGTTATTTATAGATCTTAATTTTTATACAAGATTTAGTTTCCAAACTACAACTTGAGGGCAGATGGTGCATGTGTTTTCATCTTTTCAACTTCTGTGGTGCATAACAGAGCACTCTGCACACAATTAGCAATCAGTACATATATTTGAGGGTAATGAATCAACAAATAAATTAACATAAGTATTAAGAAGTGGGAGGGAGTCTCTTCAGATTCTTAAAGATGGTGATAGCTTCATATTTGCTAAGCAGAGAAAAAACAAGGAGAAAGCTATTCAAGCAGGGCTTGTAGTTGAGCCTGAAGATCACAAATCTTTTAGGCAAACTCCTGCAGCTTTTCTCTGCAGGGAAGAGATCATGAGGGAAACAAACAAACCAAAAAGTTTGACTTCTGCAACAAAGCTCTGAGGAAAAAATGTAAGTAATGGCATAGGATTTTTCTTATTATCAAAAGTAGTGTTTCATTCGGCGTTTAGTATCCTGTTTGTTGTTCTTAGTTTATTAGCCTGGAAGCTAAAAATTAGCTCAATTTAAAATTAAGAGCTACTTTAATCTGTTAGGTTCTTTAAGTTATATCTCTATTTTATTTCATGGGCATTAAGAATTAAAGAAAAAAATAAATTTTAAGGAGTTTTGTTGTAGTTAGTTGGTGCAAAAGGACACATTATTTTGAACAAACAAGTTTTTCTCCAGAAATATTATAAAATATACCTCAATACATACCCCTCCAACAAAGGACAAAGCTTTAATTAATTGAACTAAAGATATATCCCTTGAAATACAAAGTCTTTCCTATACAGGCAGAGTATACAGAATGTCAAAAAGGTATGATTATAAATTATATCTTTCTTTGATCACACTAAGAATGTGTAATATCCAACCATCCAAGAAAATCTCAATATCATGTATTAAAGGCAGGTTAACTGGAAAGTCACCAAGCTAATTCCCTCACTTTTCCCATGTTGATTGACTTTTTTTCTGGGAGATGCTATTTTAACATTAATGACTTGAAAAAGATTAGGGAAAATGCGATCATGAAAGATTTTCTCAAATATAGAGAACAATTTTACCACCTTTGTGCTATTTTTGAACTCACAGTATTTCTTTTAAAAAAGCATCTTACATCATTAGGAAAGATGTTCTTATAATCAAAAGGGAACATTTATGATTTCCCTCAAAGCTCATTAAGTTTTAATCAGCTATGTCTGTGTCATTATCATTTCTAACTTTCTAATAAAGGCAGCAAAATATTGTTTTGAATTTACCCATGATGAGATGTTTAAAAAATATAGTTGAATAACATGACTTTAATTCTTAAATTCAAAGAAATGTTGACAGCTTTAAAAGAAAAATCATAATAGACACTAGGTAAAAATAGCAAGGAAGAGTTTATTCAAGACTATGGCAATAGGAGGCCAAAAGCAGTGGTTAATACTTGTAATCCCAGCATGTTGGGAGTCTGAGGCAGGTGGATTGTTTGAGCCCAGGAGTTTGAGACCAGGCTGGGCAAAATAGTGACACCTTGTCTCTACATAAATTTTTTGAAAAATTAACTGGGCATGATGGCATGTACCTGTAGTCCCAGCTACTCAAGAGGCTGATACGGGAGGATCCCTTGAGCCTGGGCATTCAAGGATAGAGCGAGACATGATCACACCACTGCACTCCAGTTGGGGCAACAGAAGGAAACCCTGTCTCAAAAAAAAAAAAAAATGAATACATAAATAAAAAAGAAAAGAAAAAACAAAACAAACAAAGAAACAAAACGATTATGGCAACAGAAGTCCAATTTATTGTAATGAGGGAGGAAGTTGAACACACTTTACCGAAACAAAAAGGGGTAAACAATGGGAAAGTACTGGAGAACTGTAGCAGGGAGGTCCATCTATGTAATTAGCCATCTGTATTTGCTAATTGGTGCTTATCCAAGTTAAGCTTCTACTCTCCCACAGAGACTGGGAGACAGGGACTCTATTTTTCTAGATTATTACATTTAAGAAGGATGGCTCCTAGGTCCTTGAGGAAGACATTCCTGATTTGTAGAAGATTTACATCTCAAAGGGGCAGAGCAAGTATTTAAAATCACATGTTTATTAAGGTAAAAGCTCAAAGAAAAGGAGGTCAGGGACCTAGAGTCAGTGTTGAGTGCAGTGAAGAGGAATGTTAAGGCCTTCTTGGGACCAGTGGATATTTGACTTAAAAAGCAATGATAGTTGCTTAGCAAAACGTACACATTTATTCTTCACTGTATTTTTCACTGGAGAAATTCTGACCCAATATATGTCAGAAATTCTTTCCAAAGAAAATACTTCCACTGCTTTCTGGGGAATGTTCATTTCTGACATTTTTGACAAAATATCATCCCAAAGGACTACTAATAGACAATTTTTAGGCCATACTGTCAACAATTTCCAGTAACAGTCTTTCAATCAAAAGTATTTTTTGCTGGCTCATTCCCAACCAGCCTTCACCATATACCATATTCACTTGCTAACTCAGAAAGAAGCACTGTTACTTTTAAGTTCAGTTACTTTTAAGTGTTTAACTTCATACCCTGTGACTAAAGAATCTCCCTCTATTCTTTGCCCCATTTTAGATTATTTAAGTAATAAGGAACATAAAATTACCTTCTTTTTCAAAAAATAAGTAGTAGTATACTTGCTGAGGTAGTGTGTTATTTTAAAGTCAAGAGATTATCAAGAGTGCAGGAATGCAGAGAACTCTTCTCTACATCAAGAAACTTGCATTTTACTAAAGAAAAGAGGAAAGAAGGAAGAGATCTTACATTTCCTTCTCACCAAGTCAAAATCCCATTTAAAAAGAAAAACTCATCTGATTCTAATGTTATGTCATAAACTAACTATAGGAAACAAAATTGTGTTAGTATAAGTGGTATATCAAAGTGATACAGAATTAACCTATAAATATTCCTGATTTATGCTAAATAAAGTGAATTAGCAAGTATAGTGCACAAGTTTAACCACATATTCTTCTCAGATAAGTGTCAAAGTATCTATGTAGTTGCAGTAAAGGGCACAGATGTTCACCCTTAAAAACACTTGTAATTAAGACACATTTAAGGGCAGATGCAGCCATTTCTAAAGACTAGCAAGTATACTTGTAAATCCAACAAACCAAAGAAAAATCTCTTTGAACTTTCTTAGTTTTATTTTAGCAAGAGAAACAAAAGAAGGGTCCTAATTAATATGGCTTGGCTGCATCTCCACACAACTCTCATCTTGAATTCCCATGTGTTGTAGGAGGAACCCGGTGTGGGGGTAGTTGAATCCTGGGGGCAGTTCTTTCCCATGCCGTTCTCATGATAGTGAATACGTCTCATGAGATTTGATGGTTTTATAAGGGAGAGTTTCCCTGCACAAGCTCTCTCTCTTTGCCTGCTGCCATCCATGTAAGACGTGACTTGCTCCTCCTTGGCTTCCAATTATAAGGCCTCCCAGCCATGTGGAACTCTAAGTCCATTAAACCTCTTTATTTTGTAAATTGCCCAGTCTTGGGTATGTTTTTATCAGCAGCATGAAAATGGACTAATACACTAATCATATAAATGTATGGTGGTTTAATTGATACAACATTTGCTCTCTAGCCATATATGTGTATATATAAATACACACACACACACATATATATATATACACGAATATACATATATATAAAATAGAATGTATTGAATGTAAATTCATAATATTTAATTTTTTTTCAGAAACTGGTTCTGAAATGTATAGGGAAGGTTATATCACTCTTATTTAATATAAAATTGGGGGTGTCACTTATTTTAGTAAGCCTAATAATTGAGCACTAAAAGGAATTAACAAATACCTACTTTAAGAGAGAGGAAAACTATCTTAAAATTTTGCATTAATAATATATTCAACAATTTAAAATTGTCTTTAAAATTCTGAAACACATTTTGGCTGTATCTCTTGGTAAAAGGAACACAAACTGGTGTACTTTCAAATTAATTTTTACATTAAAATTTTAACTCATTTAGTAATGTTAAAGACATTTAGAAAATGTTCACTCTCTGTTCTAGAAAAGTTAAATTTAATTTTTATCCTTAAAAATGCACTATTTTTCTTTCTTTTTTAAACTGAATTTTATTGATATGTACCTCACTTATTCTGGCTTCAAATATTTAGTTTGTCATTTACATTTTTTTATCAAAGTCCTCACTTAAATGTTCAATTTGTGTTTCAAAACTTATTTATATTTTGACCTTTTGATTGCACTTTAAAGAGATGAAAAATTTCTAGAAAATGTCTAAGGATTGCATGGAAGTTGCTTACAAAGAGGTTTAATTTTATGTGTTACATATGGAAGGTATCTTTTTCATTCTTTCTAATAAGCTTTACAGAGTTCCTAGAATTATTTTTTAAAGGCAAACTTCATCACATCCTCTTCAAAGATATTTCAATGGCTTTCCCTACTCATTTTAATATAGTCCAAACATCTGAGCAAAGCATAATGCTTGTGAATGGCCACTTCTTTTACTTTCCTGGTTATCTATTTAGTGTCACCCCTTCAAAAATGTGAGGCTCTATCACACCATGCAGCTCCCTATGCTTGCCATTTTATTTCTTTCTACAGAAGCATGTGAAACCTTTTTGTTTTTTTCCTCCCACTGGCCACCTTTGAACCCAGAATTTTTCAGTCTTGATGTGATATTGCAATGAATCAGTCAGGGATGTTTAGTTAAAAATGCTTCCCTGGAGCATAGCTCTTGGTTTTACGATTGAGCCTGTAGTTGCAATTTCAGCACAATAGTTAGAACTGAAACATTTTGGTTGACAAGGAAATGTGCATTTATTTAAAATAATTGTTTATTGACTTTTGTATTTGTAGCCTCTATTCTGAACTTAATGCAAACAGAGTGTCTGTTACGTTTACCACTGTGAGCATGTTTCTATTTATTTGCTTGTAATTTTTAAAATGACTCTCCCTATTAGTTATTTTTGGAAATGGATTTGAAGTCAATAGATAAGCATTAGAAAAATAAAATGTTGCTGAAGGTGAAGGAGAAATAAAATGAATAAATAACCTACATAATATACGTTTAACATTGGTTTGGTTTGGGTAGACATATGAATAATATTGAAAAAAGTAAATGTACAAATAAATTAAATAAATTTAAAAATTAATGTTGCACTAGCACAAAAAGCTGTGAAGATTATTTTATACATTATGTGTGATATTAAAAATAGGAAATGAAAGATGATTAGTGTTGATTCTTGCTAAACATAACCACAGATGCTGAAAATTGCTGGGATTTACTGGGCATGTAATGTTTGAGGTAAATTGTAATGATAAATGTTTGTGAGTTAAGCTGCTTCTATCATATACTATAAAACTAACTCAGGTGAACCAGGGTAATTTAAGTATAATCACATATACTATCCAGATACACTGAATTATAATGAAATCAATTATTTATTGAGCTTTTACTATTTTTATCAGCTAATGTTTTGGGGATGCTTATTATGTGTCTAGGAGCTCTGTACACATTTACCATAAGAACTACGAAATGCTCTCTGAGAAATTATTAGAAGTTTAACACCTTCACTTCCCTCTATCTTAGAGGGATTACTTAGAGTGCAATTTACTTAGGTAAATAATGTACTCACATATTTAAAAATTTAAAAATAGTCAATATTAAAAAGTCTCATAGTTCAATTTTACAAACAAGAAATGAAATGCTATTAGAAGGATTTAAAAGAGAGAGAAATCAACTTAGGTGGACATTTTTAAAGGAAAGATGGAGTCTGATTTAGGGTGAGTTGAAGGATAGCGTCCTAGAAGAGAAAAATAACAGATTCTTGAGAAAATATTACTCAATAAATTTTAGGAACATGCAAAAAAATTACTTATGGAAATCTGTTGATATTAGGTGTTCCATAAGTAGAATTAAAGAATGATTATAATTAGGAAAATAACTTTTTAATTCTGCAAAGTTCAATAATAAGATGAGAATAATAGCATTTGGGGTGAGAAAAAGATTTTTAAAAATAAACTAATGGGATTAAAAGAAGCCAATAAATCATCTAGGTTCAATCTAAAGCCCAAGGAAGAAATAATAGATTTTCTTGGCCACTGTTTTATCCCCTCATTTTGATTTGGTAAATCCTAGTATTAATATAACTTGGCTGAAAGTTTTACTATGTATACTTTTTGAGTGATTCTGAAACTGTTACAATAAATCACAGAGATACTTTTCATATTTGCAAAATTTTATGCTAATCTCCCATTATGCCTATATAATTATATGATTTCTCTTAGTTACATTTGTTTTATAATAATTAATAAAACAATTCATTTGTTCAGTAATGAGTGAAAGAGGAAGAGAGAAACAAAGTAAAAGGAGAAGAGACAGAAAGGAAGAGAAAAATTCACATTTAATAAACATTTATTTGGACCTTACTACGTATCAAGCAATGTATTAGACACTAGGGGTTTAAAGACAAAATGTGTTACTGCAAAGGGAAAATTACAGGCTAAATAATTAACTATTTGAGATGGATTTGGTAGTTGCATTCATATACCTAAAAATACCTCTTGATAACTTTTCTCTACTTTTTAACTTAATAAGTCTATTTCTTCTCAACCATCACTACCAGAGTGCAAGAAAGACAAAATAAATATACCTGATTATCATTTAACACAGCAGTCACACATTTGAATCAATTAAAGTAATACCTCATCTGATGAGATGTGCTTCTGTTTCTAGGACTGTAATTTTTACTTGAATTGGAAGTCATATTTTTCACAGCTACTAGCTTTTCCTGATTTGAGGGAGCTGGTGACATTGTGCCAGTTATAACATCATCTGCACATGTTGACAAGTGTCTGAAGGAGAGAACCAACTGTTTAAAATACACCAAGATGACTCAGAAATAACTGTCAGACAACCATGTTCTCTAGAGGTAGCACATCACTTGGACTACAAGAGCCGTTAGATGACATTTCTCCAAGACAGAACCTTGTCGTTCTGCTCCCTGCCTGCTGTAGCGGCTTCACTTTTGTGATGTGATGAGCTAGCAAATAGCATGTAGGAAGGTACTGAACAAGTGTAAGAGGGGGCTGTATTTTAACCCCAACTGTGCATATCAAAGGAAATAAATTAAGTTCATTTGTGTGACTTTCTTTTATGAAAAGAGAAGTGGAAATGCTTAAAAGGGCAGTCATCATAAAAATATTTCTGAGGACGCAGCCATCCTTTCTGAAATGTATGTCACAGAAATTAAGGAATGGAAGAGCTTGTAAGAAATACCTTCTGAGTCTTTCCCAGGTTTTGAATTTGTTAGCATCAGAGCCTCTATTTGACTTGAGTCTGCCGTTCGCATTGGCAGTTGTACAATTATGCTCTCTCCTGTTTTCAGCATAATCTGTGCATCTACTCTGCAGAAAATGCAAGAAAATCAGTCTGCACCTCACACCTATGAAGGATGTAGCAGTAACTAGCTATTTGTTCTCTCCAAGGTTTTCTTTCTTATATAGAGATCATTTTTTCCCCTTCCTTAATCTACAGTGGGATTTCTTTCTCTACTTCATTCCATTTTCTGTGTACACTGGTAATGTATTTCTAGCTGTCAGAAAATTAGGCAACTTAATGCAGTGGGTAGAAAGGAGATATCCCTAATCATTTCCACATATATTCCAAGTGTATTACTTCCACAAAAAAGAATTTTTAAAAATAAACTTACTGCTCAGTAAGATCCTGATTCAGAGAGTTGCTCAAGTGAAATCATATCCTTTTCTGTACACACACCTTAAACATTCACCAATTACAGTCAGTATTAAAGTTCCAATGATGAAGGACTTGCAAAGGTTTCCAATTGATCATATACTCAATCATAATTAAAAATGTAGGGTTTCTTCCTCCTTCTAGTTTCATGGCAAAATGTATCTGAGTATATGTAGATAACAATCAAATCACAGATAGTTTCTTAAACTTGATCCACTGTATGAATATGCATTTAAATAAAATAAGCACAAAAAGTAAAACGGATATGAGAAAATAAACTGTTTCTTTCTTCCTTTTTTTTTGTTTGTTTTTTTGGACATTGAGGTTTGCTCTTGTCGCTCATGCTGGAGTGCAATGGCGTGGTCTTGGCTCACTGCAACCACCGCCTCCTGGGTTCAAGAGATTCTCCTGCCTCAGCTTCCCGAGTAGCTGGGATTACAGGTGCCTGCCAACATACCCGGCTAATTTTTGTATTTTTAGTAGAGACGGGGTTTCACCATGTTGGCCAGGCTGGTCTCGAACTCCTGACCTCAGGTGATCCACCTGCCTCGGCCTCCCAAAGTGTTGGGATTACAGGCACGATCCATCACACCTGGACTAAACTGTTTCTTAGAAACTGTAAAAGTAGTAGGCCCAACATCATTATCCCAAGTCTCAATGTGTGTTCATGTAGTATCTACACACAACATGGGGAAAAGAATGCATTATGCATGAATTGAATATGTTCACATGTACAAATATAGTCACTTATATTTAAGTACATTGTCTCATATGAAATTCAGTAAAAGTTTATCTCTGCCATCTGGATTTTACATATTTTGGTTATAGAATTTTCTGTGGAGTTGGTTTTGTGTCTACAAAATAAGCAAAAATGATGGACTTGTAATAGTCTGCTACATAATTCTCCCTTAAACGTTGTGTGTATGCCTTTTGTGAAACACCCCCTGCAGTGTTATTTAAATATTGAACTTCTATTTTATAAATTTTCTTATTACAAATACATTGTTCATTTTTTCATTTTCATTGAATCCGATACGTATAGTTCTCAAATCATTTCCAGCTAATGCTTAAGCTGGATATCCTAATGGACAATCTTAATTTTAACTTTTTTTGCCAAAAAAACTAAAAAGATACAAGAGAATATATTGTATCCTAAATTTCCTAATGAGGAAAAATTAAAGATCTGTTAAAATGATGATAAAGAAATCTGAAAGAAGTTTGTTTAGTCACACAGAGAATCTCAAACATAAAAGGACCTTTACACAAGTTGTATCTCTTTTTCTTTATTTTTTGAGAGAGAGTCTTGCTCTGTCACTCAGGCTGGAGTGCAGTGGTGCAATCTCAGCTCACTGCAACTTTTGCCTCCTAGGTTCAAGCGATTCTAAAGCCTCAGCCTCCTGAGTAGCTGAGATTACAGGCGTGTGCCACCGCACACGGCTAATTTGTATTTTTAGTAGAGACAAGGTTTCTCCATGTTGGCCAGGCTGGTTTCGAACACCTGACCTCAAGTGATCCTCCCACCTCAGTCTCTCAAAGTGCTGGGATTACAGGCCTGAGCCACCGTGCCTGGCCTGTGTTTCTTTATGAATGAAGGAAGATATAAGTGAGATAAAGTATGTGCCTTGTGTAAGATGTTGCTCATACTAATTCACAAGGGCTACAATTAGAGCCTGATATAATGATCCTTTTATTGCACATTGTGCCACAACTGTTTAGTCCCCATCAGCTTCCAGAATCAGATGCACACACACAGAAACATACCCTTAATGAAACCCACAGAGAGAGAAAATGAAAGAGAGAGAGGAACAGAGAGAGACAAAGAAGAAGAAAGAGAAACATAAATACACATATCCTTCAGCTCTTCAACTTCTCAGAGAGTAATCATTTTATCACATAAAAAATATGTCCAGTAGTACATTTTCATGCGTAGAGGCTTTTCACAATGAATAGAGGATTTCACCTCTAAAAATGTGTGAGTCACACATTTTTATCAATGACTTTCACTCTCAGAATCACAGTAAGATATCTGTAATGTTGGGATCTTCCCATAAAAATGACTTTGAGAATAGCCCCCTGATGGAATAGCCTGAAAATTGGCTAATGCTTAAACTGAATAGTATTGAAATGGAGTGCTCACAGAGACTACTACACGAAACAACAATTTGACTACAAGTTTTCCGTTACATCTATATCTCACTGGAGAATAAGTTGCTTTAAGCTAATAGACTGAGTTTAAACCCATAAAAGATTTTAAATCACTGTTAAAACATACAGGTACTCTATCTATTTGACAATTTTATTAATCAATTTTATCAAAAGCTAATAGAGGAAATGTAGGTTGCATTTAAAGTGTATTCTAATGATATTCAGTGCTCTAGATATCAGTAATTTTGTTCCAAAATGATGTCAGAGTAAGAAGATGAATCCAAAACCTTGGCCAGGGATTTAAAATAAAACTTTCCCTAATTTAATGAAAATTTTCTCAATTTAAAAATATGATATTACAAAATTAGTAAGAGATTGTTTTATTCCACATTTTAAAACATTAGTTTTAGTGTAATCCAAGAGATAGTAGATGGTACTGCATTCACCAGCTAAGTAAGGAACTCTGGATACCTGCTCAAACATTAATCAAGGCAGCGGCTATCATTGCAGATAAACCTATGCATTTTTAATAAGCTTGTTATATAACATATACCGCTTTGAAAAATGCAATGCTTTGTACCATTTAAAAATGTAAACTTATTTACCTTAAAATGTGTAGCTTAATGATCAATAGATAGATGAATTTATACAATAGGGTGTTTTTCCCTTTTTTCTTGAACATGGCAGGCATCCTGAAATATATGCTTTAAAATTATTTCAGGAGCTCAATTTCGAAATCTCATTTTTGCCTTAATTTTCTGACACCTGAGATATCAAATGAATGACATCTTAGAAAAAAAATCCTGTTCAGATACAAAAAACTGATGACATAAAAGACTAATGTATTTATTACTACCTAATTAAATCACATTTTCTTCTATTACCGGATCCATGAGAATACTCTTTCTGTATTATTGTGGATATATTTGCATTAAAATTTATTAATTTGAATGAATAATTATTTACCCACATTTAATTCACATCACATACATATACAAATAATTAGAGCAGTGCATTTTAACTCATTTAATTAGAATTATAGTTGGATAGAAACTTATTTTACTGCCAACAGACAAAATTTAAAGTGAGTGGAGGAGTAAAGGGGTATAATTATGAGATTAGTGCACAACTCTTCCTGTTGGATGAGTAAAGTCATTGTGGGTCCGTAGATCCAGTCCGTTTAATAGATGCCAGTGGTGCTTTTGTCTATAGTCAATGCCCCACTGACTTAATAGAAACACACTAGGGCCATGTTATTATGCAGATTACATCATCAGCTATCCAACATTGGGCTATATAAGAGCACTTGAGGAAACACAGTAGTCACCCCACTTCATTTGCTCTCAGTGACCCACTGTTCTCAATGGTTTTCCATAAAAAAATTAGCTCAGCTGGGAGAAGCAAAGGTTTAAGAGATTATTAGGTACTCAGACAAATAAGTTACCTAGTGCTGGGTAATTGCTTAGATTCAGTTCCTGTGAGTTGCTCCTCCAGCTTAAAAGAACTGTTAGAAAGGTATTGATGAGGTTAAAAAAAAATCTTCACTTAACATTTATTTCCATTCACCTTGAAATCCACCACTGCTTTAATGCAATCAATCACTGAGACCCTGAAACATGAATTGTGTCAATTTCCAGTGATTTTCAGAGAGCCTAATACTATGTTCAATTTTTTAATATACAATAGACTCAAGCCACATTTGTTACTTATAGGTAGAAAATTTGAATTCCAGCATAAAAAGAAAGCAACTTTCAAATATTGTCAAATAAAGACTGTACACAGTTGCTCAAACTATTTCATGTCTCCTTTAATTAACATTCATAAGCACATAAGAAAGAAAACCTCTGAGTTTTAAATTTAAGTTAAAAGTCAAGTTGTTTTAGTAGAGAATAGGCATATTGCACACAGAAACGTCCTCTGAGAATCACAGCTAAGGATTAATAAACACTTCCCCCATTTTTGCTCTTGGTGTGAGTTTCGTTTTGCATATGCTGACCTTGGTTTAGGATGTGGACAGTTTGTTATTAAACTTACAACCTGCCATCAAGGTGGACGTCAACTTTTTGCAAAACTACTGCTATCTATATATTTCTTATTTTAGCAGCATGTCTTTTCAATGATCACACTAATATCCGAGGCATCAAACAAGGACATATGCAAAAAAGGACTCTTAGTTTTTGTGCAAAGGAGACTGTGCAGTAGCTCTGCTTTGCAGGATTCTCTGTGTGATCCTCCCTCACATTTCATACCTACTGCCAACATCTCCCACATAGACCAAATGTCTTTTACTTAAGACAAAAACACCTTTGCACGGAGCTAACCAAACAAACTTTAAACTTCTTTTTCATCACATCTAAATATATTTAAAGATGTATAAATAGCTACCATCACCCTAACTCATATTCATCTTTTTATGTATTAAAAATATACATACTTATACTTTTAACAATGTAATTATACATTTTACTAGTGCAGAAATAATAGAGATTTCTGAAAACTGAATAGCCCAAACAATGCCTAAATGAATAAACTGAATGGTTAAGCTTAGAAATAATTTCTAAAGACGGCCCTTTGTTTCCATTTAATTCAGGCCTTCCTGTTCTGACACCTTCAACTCAAGACAGAGAAGAAATAGTTTTGCTTTGTCCTCACTGTAGTAGATTTGCCACTATGTTACTAGACAGTCTCAATGTTTCTCCTAGAATGTAATTCATCTTCATTGTTTCTGTGCCGACAGGATGGAACCTGCTTACAAATTTTACAGCTAGCAATACTTTTTATTGTTGTTCTGAAAGGGCTCCTGAGGGCTTTCTATTTTATTTTTAGGAACATTCTGAATTTTTTTCCCCTTTATGCTATACTTTCCACTATTATGAGTGATGACCCTAGAATCCTGGGGAGGAAAAAACAACCGGCACCCACCAAACTCTGTAACTGTCATAAGTTTTAATACAATCTCCCAATACTTTGATTTATTGCAGGTGCTACGTTTTAACTATGTTATAGCTAATGAAGGATATCAACAGCCCCTGCGGAATGCTGATATTCTTTCAAACTAAGAAGCCTTTAGTATGTCTCAAATGTCTTTCAGATGAAAAAAATAATACAATAAGGAATGTAATGACTTTCTAGTGTTTTTAGATATTGAATTAAAACTTTAGGTAACAAAATCGTAGTCAATTATGTGAGTGAAATATAAAATTATATAACTCAATGTCAACTGTGTTCTATGTTTCACCTTACTCTTATGATAGTCCCTAGGCTTAATTATCCTTGAAAGAAGCCAAAACGAAGCCCAATAAGCCAATGTAGTATGAAATCACCATTAATGAGCGACTTTTGCCTGAAATTTGTGACTATTTTTGGATGACTCTAGAGGGAAAAAATATTGTTTACTAGTCAGCAGTGGGAGGGAAGCTTTGTGAAAAAATCAAAGTTGGTAGCATTTAAAATGAAACTGAATATGAATGTGGAATCTTGTGAACATTGTAGGGACTTCTGTCTATAAATCACCTTGGGAGAGGTCATTTATCCTCATATGAAAAACAGCACAGGCAAACACACACACACTGAAACTAATGGTCTAATGGTTAGGTTGGAGATGGAAATAAACAATACACTTATTTTATGTGGAGGAGACAGATTTGTTACTCTTACATCATCAGTTTTTATACTAATATTGAAATCCAGTTGCCAACTGTTTTGCAATAGTTTATAAAAGTAGGTTCAATCCTGATAAGCATTTATAAACATAATGTATACCTTGAAAAAAAAGTTTTCCGTAGATGAAAATTTGTAATTATCCAGTATAGAGAAGTGAACTTAACTATTTTAAAATCATTTTTAAATTTATAAAGGACCTGTTTTCACCATGCAAGCTTTAAAAGTTCCTTTGCATACCTCATATAGCGAGATTTTTTCCCTCTTATTTTGATGTAACAATAGCTGAATGAAATCTGCTAAATTACTTCTAAGACATTAAGTAGTTCACTTTTAAAGAAAGAGTAATAAATGTATAGTAAATAATTATAATCCTACCAAAGGTACTATACTGAAACAAAAAGATTATGCATTTAATATTTTATAAAACTGAGACTTTCCCTTAAGTAGTAGCTTTCTTTAAGTAAAAATTATTAATAATTTACTGCATATTGTTTTAAAGAAATGATAAAGTTATGAAAAGTATTATTCTAGAATTATAAACCTACCCTGAATTTTGGCAGACAATTTAATTATATTGCTTGCATTGTATCAAGTTTTAATTAGAATTACAATTCATGTTGCATTGCTCACAGTATATTACTGATTAACATTTTCATGCTAGTAACAGAAGCAGTATGCTTATTCCATTTATTATGATTATAGAATTAAAATTCTGTGCGCTTTCTGCATTAATAAACGTATTGAAGGATATTGAGAAAAGATTCTAAAAGGTATATTATATAGATTATATTTCAAGAGTGTTTGCTTCGTTGCCCAAATAAAGCTCTGCGTTCCATGCTGAAGTTGTTATAGCTATCTAAGCTGTGTTCTCAGCTGCAGAGAACTTATTGTGAGAGCACACACATAGGTTTTAATCAAGGCATATCCTTGGCAATCAAAGAAACATTGATCATAATTGTTATTCGTCACGGTCTTGCAGTGTAAGAATAGACATCTGAGAGAAATAAATTATGTGAGGTTGAATCTTTGTATCCAATTAAGCAACTAAGAATTTTAACACATGGAGTTATATATGTTCCTATGTTTATAATCTGCTTTTTCACAGGAAGAATCTGAGAGTAGCTATGAAGGATTTGACATCCTGCTAGTTCGAATGACAAAAAAAAATTAGTTGATAAATTGTCTCATTCATTGTGGCTATTCTCTGTTAGTGTAGGCAATGCACTCCCTACTTTTATGGGGAAAATAAAATTTCCCTAACAACCTGCCTTTCAAGATTTTCTCCCTGATGTTACCCTGAAGAAATTCATTGATCCTGAATATCTGATTTCAACCATGTACTGATTTAAACCTTTCACTATCTGTTTGCATGTTGCAGTTTTCTCCACGCCTCCTGATGTAAATGCCACCCACACTTCTCTTTACCCATTGGAATCTTACCTGATCACCAAGGCCCACCTTGGTGCATCTTTCTTTATGATGGTTAGGGTAGGACTTCTGAGTTTATTTCTCTCTCTTAATTCCTTTGAGATCCTGATTATGTGTTGCTATATAATCATATCATGCTTCTCTTCTCTCTTCCAGAAGCTGCAAGTTCCATTTTGTTGTGGCAGGGAATGTAACTTACTAATCTTTCTAATATTTTTTCCCCCACACACTGGTATGGGGAAATGGAAAGGCGGGCTTTAAAGTGCATTGCCGGGCTTGCTTTTTCAAGTCTACAATGTCCTAACCCTGTAACCTTAAGCCGATTACCCAATAGCTGTGTGTCTGTCTTCAGGTGTGTAAATGGTACATAATGACAGTACTGTCATCATAAGAATGTTGTAATAATTAGATAAGATATTAATTCATGCAAAAAGCTTTATCATATCTAGTAAGGATGTAGCATATATTTATTCAATAGTTAAGTAATTCAGCTTACTGTAACTACAAGATGTCTTCTTCCTTTTAAGAAGTAGTCATTTGTTTACTCTGAATCTGATGCAGTTGTTGTGATGGTCCTACTGTATCATCTTTGTTTTTGCACTTTGTTTCACTTGCCTTTTGTGTAAAAGCTACATTAATGTTGTTGATATAATGACAGACGTTTAAAAACCCTTCATTTTTTTTGGAGTGAAAAACACCGACAAAGAAAAAAGAAAATACTAGTGAGAAAGACAAATGAAGGCTATTAGAATTGTAGAACAAGAATTATGAACCTGCAGAGAGGGTATATAGAAAAGATTTGAAGAAATCAGATTTTGTTCATCAAAGATAGATGTTGGAAAAGAAAGTATATTTATAGAAGCTGATGATTTTGTCAAATACCTAAAAAGGCAGATTTATTTAGAGAGTGGGTTTCAAACTATCCTTTAAAATACAAGACTTCCATGAAGGTGCTGCAGGGATTCTGCAAAAGCTTAATTGGCATTCCATTTTATATGATTTTAAAGCTGTAATTTGAAAAGTGTCCATTCAAACATATTGTATTTTCAAATCATTAATTCATTGGAGCCCTCCAATACTTTTTGTTCTGAATTGATTTTTATTAGTAAATGTTTTAATTTTTAATGCATAGTACACAGTTATTCCAATAAAATTTCACTTTGCCTATAGTATATGTTGGTTTCCACACAATTTCATTTATTTTAGTTATCTTATTTAATAATTTTTTTTAGTACTTAAAAGTAGTTTAAAAATATCTAGCTTGAGAGTCATTTGGGGTAGACACCTAAAGGGAACTATTAGTCAGAGAAGACATCATTGTGAAGTCTGTGTTTCCACTGAAGTTTTCTCCTGAGAAACAGTCCAGAAGGTATTGTCAATTCTTGTTCTTTTCAGTAGTTATGTTCTATAAAGTCTCCATGAACACTGAATTAGCCAATACTGAATCATTTCTCCTTGGGGAAGTACAAAGTTAGGCCCCTGTGAGCCTGTGGTCACTTTATTTTCATCAAACAATCAATACATAACCTTGTTTTATGTGTGTTTCTGTTTAAAGATGCCTTATTTAATGTATATTGTTAATTCATTAAATTAAACTCAATGGCCAACAGTACGATAGCTCATGCCTGAACAAAGCTGATCTAACACATGTGCTCTTTCTGTTAAGGCACATCAGAGCCTTCTAGTGCTTAAGAACACTAGACAGCATGTCAGCCCTATGCTTGAGGCCATTTTAAACAACAAAATCACCATCAAAAAGTGCAGAAATACAGGCAAAAACAAAAACAAAAGACATGACACTAAACAGACAATGAAAAGGACACTTTTTTCAGTATAAATACTGAAACAAAAAGGCAGGAGGTTGCCTTGTTGGAAGTCAGCTGGAAACATGGATATTAGGTTACTCAAATATTCTGTTGCACCCAGTATGCGCATGTCTGTGACTCACTGCAAAAGGGTGATATTGAGTTTTGTGACAAATTTGCAAATACAGAATCTGTGAATAAACAGGACCAACTGTACTTGCTTTCTCATCAAGCCTGGGGATTAAAAAAAAAACAGTATCTACTTGGCTTAAGGCCATTACTAAGGTGAGAAACTACATGGCATCTCTGTAAGTATGCTGTTAGGCTGAATTGGGAAAACTTAACCTTCAGCTTGTACTCTAGCCCTGTCACTCCAGTGTGATCCATGGACCGACCGGCAGCATTAACAGCACCTGGGAGCTTGTTAGAAATGCAGACTCTCAGGCCTTATCCCACCCAGACTTAACTGAATCAGAATATGGGTTTTAGCAACTTGTATGCACATGAAGGTTCGAAAAATACAAGCCCTGGAATATAATAAGTTAATCTCTAATTGGTAAAGTGATAATAATGTCTGCCTTGTCTGTCCAGGCAAAAGTTGAATGAGGCAAGTTTATATGACAATTCTAGGTACACTCCTAAATGTCATAAAAATATGGAGAGGCAAGCAATGGGCTCTAACGTTGGTGAAAAGAGGGAGGGGCATATTTATTACATAGCTAAATCAGCCTGTTCAAAATGAAAGCTTTTCTATTTTTTTATTATTTTATAAGTCTAAATTTCTTAAAATCTATTTTTCAGCAGTTGCACTCTTTTGCATTCTTTTTTTCCCTTCTACCGCTATTAGAAAGTGCCGCTTTCTACTATTACTTATTTTGATTATGTTAAAAAGAAACAGAGTATGGCAATTTTTTCTTCCTAAGGAAAAGCTTTGCAACAGAGAGGCAAAATTAGATTTTAAAAATATCATTCTCAAGATCATTGGGGCCAATAATTTTTCTCATTTAAGAATACACACAGGAAAAAAAGCAGACAAAAAAAATAAATCACCTTCATCTGAAAAACAAGAGATGACCATGCTGGGATTTCTTTAATGGATTGGTATAGTGTGAAATACCTTTAACTTTTATTTCTGCCTTTTAAAAGTGATTGAAAGAATATCTCTCTTTAAATATATCAAAGAAACTTCCAGTTGCAGAGTAAATTTCCTGGAAAATCAGAGGGAGTCTGTATTTAATCTTATTGTTTCCAACTCCTCTTTGGGTAAAGTTAAAAAAAGAGAGAGAAAAAGAAAAACAACCCTCTTCAACCAAGCTTATAAAGCATGTGGTTACGAATAAAGTGATAAGAGAGAAGTAGAAAAAAGGAAGAGTTTTGCTGCCTTTAAAATATTATCAAAGCTCCTAAAAGCAAATTTTTATTTTCACATTAATGTGGAGCTCTAATGTGCTGTTAGATTCTAATAAGAGGATTTTCCTTCTTACCGGTTGTTTTCATTCACAATATTTAGCCACCTAGTGACTGACTAGTGCCAGGTGGAATTTTTCCAAGCATGCGATATTTACAATTTTCTCTTTACTGGTTGCTGGAGACAGTTAGATAAAAATACAGCAGCAAATAGTTCTATCTCCAGAAGAGTGTACATAAGTATCTGAGACTCAAAGTCAAACAGAAATGCATTGTTTAACAAACAGAAGCATTGTATTACATTTTACAACTATGAAAAAAAAATTGTATAAAATAAGCATAGAAAAGTTGAAATGAGTGTAGTTTAAGAGACAAAAATTTTAAAAGGTAATCAGCTATATAGGTAAAGAGAAACACCAGTAGAAACTGAAAGGTATACAGAATAATTAGTAAGTGTATCTAAAAATTTGCCTCTTGAGCACCAAGAGCACTTTCAAGCAATAATCTAAAATTGAGTCAAAAATCTGAATTGAATGAAAAGTGATGCTTAAACACAACGTTAACAGTAACCTTATCCTGTTTTATTTTTAACATCCACAGATACACTACAGGAAGTTTTTTATCTAAGTTGATGTATGAACTATCTACCGCCTGCTAGCAATGGATATGTCTTAAATTCTACTTTTTAAGTATGCTCTTGAAGTTTAAGCATTAATATTTTGTATTTTTCAGCCTCTTCATCCCTTCAAGGTTTTATAACACTATTGATTTCAGTGTCAGTGAATCATTATGTTTTTTGAGGACCACTTGCTTTCTACCAGTATGTAAGTGCAGCTGCTGGAAAAATGTATTTTAAGGAAACTATACTTAGATCACAAGAAAAATCAAAAGAGGGGAAGGTAAAGGAAGGAATTTCATTGAATCTTGAATCAATAGTATTTGACCTTATCCAGCATTTAATTGATTCGCTCTTTAAATGTGTAAAAATGGAGGATTACCCTCCCTGGTTAGAGAGGCTGTTTTACAGCCTCTATGTACATTTGTATTGATCATGGCTGCATTAGGTCATGGCTATCATTTAATGGCTAGATCAGAGTGGAGGAATTCATTTAAGTGTTCCACAGTGCTGTGGTGCTTTTCTGTAAGTTGCCAGATGTTCGTGACAATCAGTGTCAACTAACAGTTTTATTTTGGAACTGCAACTTCCTGGAAACACTTTTAGCTATTGTTTATAAAACACATTATACAGAAAAAGTGACAAGATGGGTTATTATTATGTACTAAATGTTTGTATCCACTCAAAATTCATATGTTGAAGCACTAAACCTCAATGTGGTGGTATTTGGAGATGGGGCCTCTAAGGATGTAATTAAGGGTAAATGAATATAAAAGGGTGGGGCAAGTGATCTGATAAGATTAGTGTCCTCATAAGAAGAAACACCAGGAGAGCTCACTCATTAGCCCTCTCCACTGGAACTCCAAGAGGTCCTGTGAGTACATAATGAGATGGCAGACACCTACAAGCCATGAGAGGAGGCTTAAGAATGGAACTTATTCAGCCAGCTGGTCTTGACCTTAAACTTCCCAGCCTCCAGAGCTATGCAATATTTCTGTTGTTTAAGCCACTCAGTTGGTGGCATTTTGTTATGACAGTCCAAGCAGGCAAATACAGTTATATAGAGAGTATATAAAACAGCAAGGGCATGCAAAGGCACAGATAATGTCAAAAAACCCTCTGAATTAGATGAAGGGAACAAAAGAGGTATCTTTGGTTGGAATGTTTATTAATTTGTGGTTAAAGTTAATAAGCTTTTTTGAGACTGTTTCATTGTGTAACACTGATGATAGTTTTGAGGAAAAAGATGCAGCATAAGAAATGAATGTGTAGGCCGGGCACGGTGGCTCATGCCTGTAATCCCAACATTTTGGGAGGCTGAGGCGGGTGGATCACCTGAGGTCAGGAGTTCAAGACCAGACTGACCAACATGGTGAAACCCTGCCTCTACTAAAAGTACAAAAATCAGCTGGGCGTGGTGGCTGATGCCTGTAATCCCAGCTACTTTGAAGGTTGAGGAGAATCACTTGAACGTGGGAGGCAGAGGTTGCAGTGAGGTGAGATCATGCCATTACACTCTAGCCTTGGCAATAAGAGTGAATCTCTGTCTTAAAAAAAAAGAAAAGAAAAGAAAAGAAAAAAAAAAGGAATGTGTAAGGTGAAGTTGGTTTATTTTTTTATATTGTTATACGGATGATTTGCAATGGACCAGAGTTGAGAAGATATAGCTTGGAATACTGATTCACCTACTTTTTTGCTTGATGATTTTGGGCATGTCAGTCTCTTCAAAATGTAGTTTCTTAATGTGTAACTCTGGATAATAATACCCTAAGTGATTATTTTGAAACTTAAATAAGGTAACATGAATAAGCTTAGCACTTGGTACAAAATAGTCACTCAAAAATATTTGAAGATTTAAAAGGCTATTCCCATTTTTCATTATTTCATAAATACTGATCTGGTTAAATAAAATATTATATGTTTTTTAAAGACAATTATAAATCGAACGTCTTTCCCTTCACCCATTACTTACTCGAAATATACAACAAACAACTAATTTCTTAGAAAGGACAGAAGTAACCCCATGACTGGAGCTTTTGGTATTGTCATCAGTAGGAGACTTCCGGCATGAAAGATGTAAAATGGGTCAAAATTACCTTTCCATTATTAGTTCCTATCATGATCCTATTATCTTCCAGTACTCTTTAAATGAACTTGCCCAAGATACACCTAGCCAGGCTGGGCTCATCTGCCAAAACTTGGAAGGATAATTTTTATACATAAATTATGGGGTTGTAGAAAGAATCAAATGAAAAAAAAAGTAAAGTATTTAGTACAGTGTCTGGCACGGAGCAAGTTCATGAGAAATGATTATTTGTAATAAGAGTTATTTTAAAATCATTATTAATATCATAATTCTATCCTTTGAGCTATGCTGTCCATCTTCTTGGTTATGTTCAGTTGGTCCTATATTCGTAGGACCTGTAGACATGAGAAAAGATTAGCAATGATATTTGGTAAGAAGATAAATTACATTTTGGCCTACGAAAGATTTCAAAATATATCAAGTAACAAAGGCATTCTCAATGATCCTGAGATTACAGTGAGATGGAAGCTATAGAAGAATTGTGAGAGATTCTGATTCTGTTTGAGACATAGATGTAGAAAATAAGAAGCAGGAATGCCATTTAGGTGGTTATTGCAATAATCCAAACAGGAAATGATAGCTACTTGGACAAGGGTGCTAGGAGTGGAAGTGATGAGAAGTGTCAGATTTTCATTTTTGTGAAGATCCACAGAATATGATTGTGCACTGAATGTGAGACAGAATAAAGGGTAGTCATATAATTACATGTTTTTTTGTCCTGAAACACCAGAAGAATTGCTTTTTCATTGACCGAGAGCCAGAGAAGGAAAATCTGAGACTAGATGAGACTAGCTCTGCAACAAATACAGTTAGAGAAGACAAGAGGGCTGAAGACTAACGGCTGAGCCTGTAAGACTCCAGTACCTAGTAGTTGTAACTAAGACATGTGAGAAGGAGTGGGCAGTGATGTCACATAACTCCAAGAGAGTGTTTGCTCCAAGTCAAATGAAGAAACTACAGTATCTCAATAAGGAAGAAGTCATTAAGGGCTGTGTTACAGAGAGATGGAATTACCTGAAGATGTTCAGCCTATATGGTTGGAAAAATTATGTTGCTTTTACTAAGCACTGGGGAGTCAGAAAGAAGAGGTTTGGGGCAGAAGGTAATGAATGTGCTTTATGTCAAGTTGAATTTATGATTTGGGTGAGATCTTAAGTTACTTATTTTTGACTTGAAATATGAGTGTGGAGGTCAGAGCTAGGTCAGAACTGGAAGCTGTAGATCAAGTGTCCTGTGAATAGAGATTGTGTCCAAGCTGCAGGATTAGATACTATCAATGAGCATGTGGAATGTGACGTGACCGATGGAGGGATCTTGGAAATGCCAAACTTCAGGGCAGGATAAAGATTAATTTTTAAAGTGTGGAGAAGTATGACAGTGTGAGCAATATGAGAAAATTAGAAATGTTATAATATCTATAAAGTCAAAAATTTCTTTTGACTATACAAATCTATAGTTAAGATGTGCTCGCATAGTAGTAGTTCCCTAGCTCTAACCTTTCCAACCTTGTTAAGACATGCGGCTTTCACGAGCTCCGTTCTCTTAGCTCGTAACTGGTATCTGACATTTTCCTTCTGCTACCTTTTCTGTTCATCCAGCTGGCAAATCTCTCACTACCCCCTAAGCCAGGTAAAGGTAGCACCGCTGCTTTGGGGACTACTTTCTTCAGTGCTGTCTCCTATTGCCCCAAAAGCCACTAGTACTCTCATCAGTTGCTTTTGAAGATATTGGCACTTGGTAGCCCTGGCACATCAGATGCTAGAAGCCCTGCCAGGGCTGCAGGCTCTGCTGCTGTGAAAAAAGCTCTGGGTGTGCCAAAGCTGTGACATATTTTCTGTCTTCTCCAAAGCACAATGCCACACTCCGATATAAAGTGGGAGGAAAACCTCTCTTGTCTTCTATGTATTTGTCATAATCATTTCTGCTTTGGGTCTCAAATATCCTACAGCAGTAACTTGTCATCAAGGAGATAATAGAAACCGAGACAGAAGACAAACAAAGTGCAGAGCACAGGCGTATGCTTTAAATCACCCCTTTCCTTCAACAACCAAGGCATGCCCTCATGCACTCATTTATTCAACAAATATTTAGGGAGGGTCTAGTATGTGCCATCCTCCCTCCTCCAGGAAACACTGCCTGCTGGTTGCCACACAATGAGGTAATGAAGTGTTTTCTTCATGCCAGCAGGCCTCTAGACCCTTGTTTGTCAAACTCTCAGTAATTCAGAATTGCACCACTGCAGTTTCTGATTGAGGATGTTTGGTTTGAGTCCAGAAATCTATTTTCTAGATACTTCTAATGTGCAGATATGTCTGGTGACTATTTTTGGCATCTCATTTATATCTGAATTATGTGTGTACACAGCTTAAATCCTAGGCTAAAATTCCCACGACACAAGGGAAGGGAAAGGTTACAAGTGTGATAAGGGGTATGAGTATTATACAGAGGAAGAACAACATGGTTTTCAGAAAATAAAATACAATTTGTTGAACATAAAAGTCAAATGTGACCTTGAAAAAATAATTTCAGTCAAGAAGTAGGTACTGATTGCAAAGATTTTAAGGGTGATGAGCAAGTAGAATCTATCAGGTGTTAAGCTATTAACCATTAGAGAAACTTGGCAGCAAAAAAAAAAAAAAAAAAAATGGCAAATAGCACTATACAAGCACTTGAGAAATATGGCAATAGGTTAGAAGAGAAAGTTTCTTTTTGAGACCAGCCTGACCAACATGTCAAAACCTTGTCTGTAGTGAAAATTAGCCAGGTGTGGTGGCGGGTGCCTGTAATCCCAGCTACTCAGGAGGCTGAGGCAGGAGAATCGCTTGAATCCCGGAAGTGGAAGTTGCAGTGAGCTGAGATCGCTCCACTGCACTCCAGCCTGGGTGACAGGCTGAGACTCTGTCTCAAAAAAAAAAAAAAGAAAAGAAAATGTTACTTTTTGTTGTTGAAATTTTTTTCTTGTTTATGACATGGGGCAGTTATTGAACATTTCTATGGTAGAAGTAGTCTGAAGACAGGGAATGTTGAATGGAAGTGTGTGTCTGCATGGTGGCAGGGATTGGGGGTGAAGAGTGACAATTTACTGATCCAGATGCAGGTAAGCTGGTAAGCCTAGAAGACCCCAGAAATGTGACAGAAAAGAGGGTAAAACAAAACAGGGAAAAGATTGGGAGGAAAGTGGGAGATGGAAAAAGGAAAAAGATCATTTCTGAGAGACTAATAAGAAAAAAGGAATGAATGTGAAGAAGAGATAAAGAAAATTAGAACCTCAGTAGTCTGAGTTAAATATCAGGTGATACCATTCTCCAAGAATGAGGTGATTAGGACTGAACTGAGGCCTGAAGAAAGGCTGCTATTTGAATTGTCCTGTGACTCAGTAAGTGATGATTAAAGGAATTGTTGAATAGCAGCTCGAGTGGAGGTAAGGTCAAACAGCACAGATTTGTAGAAGAGCATGTCAACTCCAGTGTCTGAATTGTTCCAGCAATAGCTCGCAGCTCAGGAGAGAAGTAAAGAAAGCAGATGGGGAGAGGCTTTTTCCACCTGGACAATTAGCCAAATGGACACAGCTGAAGGTCGGCAGAGCTAGGCTTACAGGTGCTTGCAGGACCATCTAAAATGGCTGACCATGGGTCAAGGCTGGGCAGGAGGGCCGGTAAGGCTGAAGAGAGGTTAATGAACCAGGGACTAGGAAGTGACTAAGGTACTACAGATCTCAATTAGGATGACAAATACATTCAGTAGGCACAAGAAAGAAGACATGATGAATTTTGTTTGTAGATAATTTCTGAAGTGATGTTTTTTGGGAAGTGGTGCAAAAAAATAATGTTTTTTGTTTGTTTTTGTTTTTTTTCCGAGTGATAGAATCATTTCTTCCTAATCTGACATTTGTTTTGGTTCCTAATTTGCAGTCTCCACCATAGCCTAAGGCCTGAAATATTTATACATTTTAAGTACACTGAATGATAAGGGAATTATAACTGTTAAAGACATTTTTTTCCATCTAAACAAAATGACTCACTAAAACTATTAAAATTCAAGATGTAAATGCAATATACTAGTGCATTCTATTTGCGTATTACATATGTTCAGAAACATGAATACATTAAAATGTGCTTGGTATGCAATTGAACCAGAGTTTTAATATATTTTTCTTTGGAGACATTCTTAAATTTTCCATGCCAGGTACATTTTATATCAGTGTATAAAATTTATATAGCTAGCTGTAACTTATAATTGTAATACATAGTACTTGTTTCATTATAAAAATGTGTTATTTACACACAAAGCCCTTCAGAGCCTGAAAGAGTTAATATATCCCCATAATCTTAAATTGAATACAATGAAGTGACTTTATTGGGGGGAAATTAGCATTTGTATTTCCACTATGGTTGGCTTTTTAAAGGAGTGTTGCTGACTCTTGTGGCTTTATTTAAAATTAATACAAATACTTAGAGTGTTTGTAATTCACAGAGCTGTGAGGGCCCACTGGCATTCATCCGAGCTAATTCCTCATTTGAAGGATGTAAGAAGCCACACCAACACAGGTTAACTGACCCATAGGCAGTTAGAGAAAGAGCCAGTGCTCTCTGGATGATATAGCTCCTGCCCTCTATCTCATCACAGAAGAGATTTTTAAAATAATCCTCCCCAGTTCTGCATTTCCAGAAGTATCCTAGATACCCAGGCTGCTCTACCAGCCATAGGCCATAGAATGGGGGTATTGCAGGAATTGAAGCATTGTGATGGATGGGTTTATACAGCAGTGGCAAACTCTGGTATTGATTCAGAAGGTTTCACTCTCACAAAATAAGCCTCTGCACCTTGCTTTCAAAACTGAGGGAAAAGATGCCAAAGTTGTATCCTAAAAGGTTAGTTATTTCAGCAACCACATTTTCTAAGCTCTCTGCCTGTGCACACACACACACAGCACATGCAGTAGAGATATGTCTGTATGCACACAAATTCCTAGTCAAGAATCAACGTTTCCGTGGTTGTGTGCTCGTCATGGAAGATAACCAAAGATGAGTGATGACAAGAGCCTTGCTTACAATTCTTGCTGTTTGGAGTGTTTGCGAGCAATCAAGAAATGCTTGTTGTTTTGTTCCTACTTCAAGAAAAGGAAAATACTCCATATTAATTAAACACATTTGGCTCGGTGGTGTAAGTGTGACAAACAGAGATGTGCCAAACTGCCTGAATATAATTTGGGTCGTGAGCAAATCACTGCGCCTGCCAGTTTGCAGACAATTCCTAGTCTTTGTGGTCTGTCACATCTCTTTTCCATTAGCTATTTACCATCTGACGAGGAAAAGAGTACACTAATTTATTTCTTGGAAAAAGATATCCTGTTTTATTGACGGCTTTTCCCCTATACGCTTATTGTGTGGTGTACACTTCAATGCCTTTGCAAATTGCTCACTGGGGTCTTTTCCTCAAACAGGGAGTGTTATTGTAAAAGAGATGGAAAATACTTTTTAAAGTCAGCCTGTTCTGCTTTATCCTGATGACATGACAATTGTTTTTAGATTAGCTCATACGCAGGGTACGCTTCAAGACACCTGAAGGAGTACTTACAATGGTGGACATGGCGCATCTCTGGATTGGACAGCAGGCAGCTTTCTTGCTCTGTGAACGAGGTCCAAATCAACCTTATGCTCCTTAGTTTACAGGAAATTCAGGGGAAACCTTTTATTTACAAACAAGGAATACTTGCCAAGATGGAATAAAAAGGCAACTGATTAATCAGCATGCCGCCTTCATCTTGAAGGGCCTCGTTGCCTGGCCCTTTTGAATGTTCAGGAGATTGGCCTTGTGTGAGAGGGATGTACTGTGGAAATGCCTTTGATAGCTCAGTGATTGAGTCTGTCATGCTTTGGAAAGGGACAGGACTTGGTTTAAACAACCCTGCCTGATAAAACACAGTGTGCATGGCTGGAAAAAAAAATTACCTCATTATAGCTCAGTGCTGTTGCCCTTTGGAGTAAAATGAGAGAAAAGCTTGCTCTGGTACTTCTGCTGATAAAATTCACTTTCTGGAGCACAACCAAATCCCAGCATATATCATCTGAGAGAAATAAAGCAGTCAAAAAATTGTATTCCTAAATAGGCCTGGAACATCTTGGCAACTGCTAAAGCAACACAAAATAAGGAACACTGCCCTACTAGCTCGACCCTTAAATTATGCAGCTGTTCATTACCCGAATTATACATCTCAGGCTGCCCTTTGGAAAAAGGCATGGAGCACAGAGCTGGAACAATCCCTGAGTTATAGTACAATAAGAAAGACCTCCTAAAGTGTCACATGCATGTAGTGGAAGATAAGAAAGCCCAGCTTAAGTTCCTGGCATTTTAAAGAAGGCAATCAAGAAAGCCTTTGAATTCCTTAGTTTTCTTTCCCTGCAATTAATTTGCATTTTTATGTTAGTTAGACAAAGCATCCCATTCATGTGTCAGCAGTCCTGTGTCAGTCTTCTCTGGAGACGTGCATGTGTGTTTTGGTTTAAGCTGCACCGTATTTACAGAGGGACCCTTAAGAAACATTAATAACAGCAGCAGCAGGCCTACAACATTTAGAGAATTGGTAATGAGAATATTTAGTATCTCAGAAATAAAGGCATCATAAAAATAAAGCCATTATATAGCTAAAGGGAAGGACTCTAAAATTAATTTTACCCCTTGTATTGGATTTTACATTTTGGTAAAAAGTGAAACATATTGCCCTAGTTAACTTGAGACTTGGGTAGCACATTTGATTTATTTTGTTATGGTAAGACTCATACTTTTTCATTATCCAATATATACCAGCAATACTTACATTGCATCCAGCTGGTTGTACTAATATGTCAATGTGCATTTGGACCACTGTCAGGTGAAGAGTTAAAAATACTTTATTGGCCGGGCATGGTAGCTTATGCCTGTAATCCCAGCACTTTGGGAGGCAGAGATGGGTGGATCACCTGAGGTCAGGAGTTCCAGACCAGCCTGACCAACATGGTGAAACCCCATCTCTACTAAATACAAAAAATTAGCTGGGCGTGGTCCCAGCTACTTGGGAGGCTGAGGCAGGAGAATCACTTGAACCTGGGAGGCGGAGGTTGCAGTGAGCTGAGATTGTGCCACTGCACTCTAGCCTGGGCAACAAGAGCAAAACTCCACCTCAAAAACAAACAAAAACAAAAAAAACCCCAAAACTTTCTTTTTCATTAGTATGCAATATTTTGGACAATATTAATGAGGATACTTACACTTTCTATCAGATTTTTTACTTACATTAAATGGCCAAATTAACTTTTTAAACATTTCCTTTTCTAAGGGATACTTTGACAAATGATGTGACATGTTCCTGCATGAAACAAATAATTAAAGATTATGAGTGAGAGCTGAACAATATATTAGGCAAAATTGAGATGATTTCAAAGCTTATTTTTGGTCCCCCTCCAGTCTAATTTCTCTGGGCTCATTTACCATCCTCAGCCCTTTCCAAATCTAAAGCAGTAGGCAATGCCCCCCGTTCCCACAGCGATGTTCATGTCCTAACTCCTGCAACTAGAGGATATGTCAGTTGACATGACCAATAAGACCTTGCAGATGTAATTGGATGTTAAAATGCAGAGATTTGCCTAGACTGTCCAGGTGGACCCAGTCTAATCATGTGAGCACTTAGTCACGTGAGTGCTTACACGCAGATATATTTCTCCAGCTAGGGACAGAAAATGTAGGATAAAAGGGGAAGTCAGAGAGATTCAAAGTGAGACGGGCTCCCTTGTTGTTGCTGGTTTGAAGTGGGAGGTGCCAATGTGTTGAGGAATGTAGGAGACCTTAAGATGACGAGCTTGGTTCCCAGCTGACAGCCAACAAGAGCAAGGAAACAGGGACCTCAGCCTTACAAACACTAAAGTCGGACGACAGTTTGAATATGCTGATAAGCAGATTTATCTCCAGAACCTCTAGAAAGGAATGCACTGCTGCCAATACCTTGATTCTGTATTTCCGAGACTCTCAGCAGAGGACTCAACAGGGTCACTCTGTACCAGACTTGTGACCTATAGAATTGTGACATGATAAATGGATGTTCTTAAGCCACTCAATTTGGGAGTAATTTGTTACATTAGCAACAGAAAATTAATATACCTATCCTCCAGTATTCTTTCAGAAGTTTACTCTTCCTGAGAACATCTGCATTGTAACTATTATTTTTATTGATGGAATTAAATATATGTCCCCAGCTACAGCAATTACAGATACCAGTGAAGTTGTTGTGGGTTGGTTGTTTTTTGCTTGTTTATTTGGGGAGTGGAAATGAAAAGGGATCTCTGTTTACCAAAAATAGCATGTCAGAAGGTTGTAGAGTCTAATAATGAAAAGGACTCTGGGGCTGAGCACGGTGGCTTACGCCTGTAATCCTAGAACTTTGGGAGGATGAGGTGGGCGGATTGTCCAAGCTCAGGAGTTCGAGGCCAGCCTGGGCAACACGGTGAAAACTCATCTCTAATAAATAAATAAATAAATAAATAAATAAATACAATAAATAAATACAATAAATCAGCCGGATGTGGTGGCGGGAGCCTGTAATCCCAGCTACTCGGGAAGCTGAGAAGGGAGAATCGCTCAAACCTGGGAGGCGGAGGTTGTTGTGCCACTGCAGTTCAGCCTGGGTGACAGAGAGAGACTCCGTCTCAAAAAGAAAAACCATAAGAGAAAGAAAAGGACTCTGGAGACAGACTGAAAGGGTTTGCATCCTGAATGTATCATGTAGGATCTGTTTAACCTCAGTCAAGTTTCATAAACTTTCTCTGCCTCACTTTCTTTATTGGTAAAAGGAGAATATTAATAGTAACTATCCTGTTATAAGGAGTAAATTCCTCAATACATGTAATGTCTGGCATATAGTAAACGGTTTATAACCATAAATTATTTTGATGATTATTATAGTTGCCCATCTTTATAGTTGTAAAACGCATTTAGCTATTTTCATAGGAAATCTATTTTAAAAGCAAGTTGTTGTGTTTTATTAATTTTGAGTATGTTTAAAAATGAAATAGTAGCAATTCTCACACTTAAAATTTTGCAACAGCTGCTATTTCTTTTAACATTGAAACATGTTCTTAAGTGATGACTCAACTTTTTTGTGGCAACTGCTCCACATTATGGATGTTTTAAAATTATATGTTCAGATTCATTTTAATTCCAGTGACGTAAGAGATAACAGTTTTAATAAAAGTTCTTTCCTATTCAGAAATAATGATGTCAAGTTTCTCTCTTTGAACTTATGAAAACATGAATGCTCAGTCCCCACCCAGCCCACAGCAGAAGAGGCAAGACTTCTCTTTTCCATCTGTTCACTTTTCTGAGACTTCAATCTAAGTGAGGTGGACACTTGCCCTGTTATAGCTTGCAGCCCATATAGCTGCTAGCAAAGTGCACGTAAGTACACACTTCAAGTGTGCATATTTACATCTCCCTTGAGCGCAGTGAGACACAAGCTCTCCTCCAGTCTGCCTCTGTTCTGCCCTGACCATGGCCTCGTTCTGGAGATTTATGCCCATTGCTATACAAAAGTCCTGTGCCTGTTAGTACAGGATTAGTTCTAGCAAACCAGCTCAGTGCAAGTGTACACCTTATACCCCAGAATACACCTAGATATAAGACGTTTGTTTTGTCTCTGGGTCACTTGCACAGCAGAAAAACCAACAGAATCATTAATTAGGTCGGTGTTTCTCTAGCTCTAATGTGCATAGGAATCACTTGTGGATTTGTTAAAATGCGGGTTCAGATTCAGGAGATCTGAGGTGGGGGCTGGGCTAAGACTTGACATTTCTAACAACCTATTGGGTGACACCGCTGCCACAGCTCCTTGTGGCACAGTTTGCATAGCCAAAACCTAGAGCAGCATTTAAAAGCAAGTATCTTCTTTTAAAGCAAGTTGGCCAGGCATGGTGGCTCATGCTTGTAATTCCAGCACTTTGAGTGGCCAGCGCAGGAGGATTGCTTGAGCTCAGGAGTTTGAGAGCAGCCTGGGTAACAAAGTGAGACCTGGTCTCTACAAAAAAACTAAAACATTAGCTGGCTGAGGTGATGCGTGATTGTAGTCCCAGCTACGGGGGATGCTGAGGTGGGAGGATTGCTTGAGCCCAGGAGAGTTCAGGCTTCAGTGAGTCATGAGTGAGACTGTGTCTCAAAAAAAGTAAATAAATAAAATAAAAAATAAATAAAATAAAGCAAGTCATTTTCATTTATGAGTAAGTGACAATACATTTTACTTTGCACTCTAAATACTTAAACATTTCATAGTACCTGAATTTTACTATAGGAATATAGATTCAGTGTCTGACTTTTATGTAAGGGCAATGGTAATCAAGATAAAGGCTTCTATGTTAAATAATTTCCCCCTGAAATAAAGGTATAAACCCTACAGAGAATTGAGATTTGCACTTTAGTGTTAAGGCATTCAGAAAATCTACTAATACAATAATTTCTAGTAATTCAGATTTTGTAAAAGAAAGAAATGTCTGTTTACCTATGACCTACTTGTCATACGTTGGATCATCACACAGGTAGGCGATCTGAGCAGAACACCTCACCTCTTTGTATAATGGAGAATCAGATAGTGCCTGTGGCTAGAGTTTTTATGTAAGGATTAAATGAATTAACCATGGAAATAACTTAAACAGAAAGCTTAGATTAAAAAGAATAAAGTCTTTTCAAGCAAGTCAGCATGTGAAGTGTGAAGTGGCACATATTTGGCAGATCCTTTTTGAAGAACATCTTTGAGAGGGTTTAGCTGTCACTGTTGAGTCTCCATTCTATGGGCATAGCTGAAATGTGAAAGGAACTCAGTTTTGTTTGCGATTAAAAATCTACATCTAGTCCTTCCAGCATTACATATTGCCCAAATTCATTTAAGCCCATTAGTTTGGGGCAATAAAAAGCCATGTAGTAGAAAAGTGTCACCATGAAAACTATCCCTTCAAGAAAAAATTTTAGGTTCTTTTGTGCCTCCCAAATCTACCTTTCTCTTAGCTGAGGAAAATTGCTAGCCTCAGACTAGTTGAGGACAAAAAACGATAAGCTCCTCAGGACTTTTCAAACATGAGTTGTTTCTTATCTCTTGCCAAATGAATTTTGGTTTCACCATATAAACAGTTTAATTTGAAATATTTGAAAATAATATTCTGCCATTACATTATTTATTTACTTGAATGGCTAGAAATATGTAATTACTCTGGATTTTTTAATTGAGGAAAACAATGGTTAACTTTTGGTTTGAGAAACCTCATGTTTATCATTCTCCCCAAGTATAGTTGCACAGGGAAGACAAAGGAGGAAGTTCATGTCAGTAAGTTGCTAAGCCTGAGGAACAATAGATTTTTAAGAGGTGTTGAGGGATTCAGCTTCAAAGAGAACCAAAATTATGTGCCTAGAGAAACAAAAACTGAATAAAGGGCATTTCTGATATGATAGAAGTGGTGAAGAAAACCAAAGAAGTGAACTAGAAGAAGCCACAGGTTGCTATACTATTCCCTTTTTTAAAAAGTGCCTCCAAAGTGTGGATAGAGCTACTTTTTCATTCTGCTATTTGACTGAACCACAAATGCATGTTCAAAAAGATTAAAATTAAAAAGAAAAATGAATAGATGCATTTTGTCTATTTCCTAATGTAAAATAAAGCAATTGCATACACATTGCAAAAAAACATAATCATGGCACAGTGTATTTGCTTAGCAATGCTATTCTGAATGTTTTATTATATTCTAGAAATACTATCTTAATAGTTTTCAACAAAATATCTGTGATGTAAAGAAACAAGTAAAAGTATGTCTTTGATAAAAAGATGAATTACTAATGTAGTCAGAATGCCAGAGGAATGTGGTTCTCTCTAAAACTTAGGTTAATCAAAAGAGGTGTAGAAAGACTTCCTTTAGGTTCACCCACACCCCCCCAACACACATCTCTCACAATAAATTATGCTGAGAAGAGAAAGGGCTCATCTGCCATTGAGTGTAATGTCTTAAAAATGGGTATTCTCCTATTTAAGAATACTGATAATTAAGTTTAAAAAATAAAGTAATACTGTTTTTTTGTTGTTGTTGTTCTCATTACTACAGACAATAAAAATGAATACCTTACTAGGTTTGTTTCAACTCACCTGTGATCATAAAAGCTACAACTGTGGCCACGCTGAGGGTTGAAGTTACGTTTTCTCTCTTCTGGTCTAATATAGTTTCAGACAGTTGCATATATGAAAAACTCGTCTCCTGAAACTAAAGGATGTGCATGTTTTTGGTAAAGGTTTTCATTAATAATCTCAAATCATACACTGCCAAGAATCTGCCACTGTTTCAATTTATGGTTATTTGGAGTTCTCGTGTTTTTCTGCCAATGTGAAAATTGGTTTTGTGGAATTGTTTATTGCTGCTTCTTTACTTCTTTTTTTTTCTCTTCTACCAAGAGAATACTTCATCTCTGCAGAAGCAATGGAAGCCTAAAAGGATAGAACGTTTTCATGTCAGAAAAATTAAAGTCATAAAGGAGATAGATTTCTAGAATTAAATTAGAATTGAACAAGTCAGTTATGTGTACATCCATCAGCCCAGTGGTCAGGATCTCATCTCCACTGAAACAAACTTAGCTAGAAGGCAGATAGAATTTCTCACACAGAACCACCCCCCACCCCTCTACACACACACACTTTTCACAATAAATTATGCTGAGAAGAGAAAGGGTTCATCTGCCATTGAGTGTAATGTCTTAAAAATAGATATTCTCTTATTTTAAAATACTGTTAATTAAATTTATAAAGTAAATCATTATGAAACCAAATATTAAAAAGCTTCAGAAAATATTTACTTTCAGACCCAGAATATAACTTTGATGCTGTTTCTATCATTTCTTGCCATCATAAAATTTGTAAAACCTCTCATTTTAATTATTAGTTATCAAAAAAAGTTAAATTAATACTCACTAGGGATACTAAGCTAAATTATGTTTTGAACACTTCAAGCTCATGTTCCAGTGCACATGATTCAGGAAGGATTGTTGTAATATAGACATAAGAAAGACAGGTGTTAGGGAGGCAGAAAAGAGAGGAAAAAGAAAGAGCGGGAATGTGTTAATTGGACACCTATGTTCTGTGTACTACTGTGTGCTATGCTACATGATTTCGTTCATGTGTTTTAAGAAGCTTTGCAATTTTGAGAGGTAGACATTACCATCCTAATGTATGAATATGAAAACTGAGGTTTTGGCTGCCTAATTAACTTCCTAAAGTCACAAGGCTCACATGTAAAATATACAGTTATCTGGAGCCAGGTCCATCTGATCTCAATGGAGAAGAGAAGCTTGTTCCCTGATTGTGGGCATTCCCTTTATCCACCCTCATTGTAGTGTATGTTATTCAACACTGTTGCCATATTCTTAGTGGTATTTTGAGCTTCTAAAATCAGGAGCACAGATTTGTCTTCCAACATCAGGCTAAAAATGCATTCAATTAAATTTCTCCTCATTTGAAACAAATGTTTCTTAAATAAACACGAGATCTCATTGTCCTTTTATTTACTTTGTGTAGTGGCTATGACTATAACCTCAAAGTCTCCTAGTACAGTTTAAAATATCCTTAAATTACTTAAGATGTCCTTGTCCTAGACTCAGAAATAAAAGTTATTATCAGACATTAATAGCCAAGGAGTCTGTATTTCTGTTTGTTTGTTTGTTTGTTTGTTTTAACAAGTACCTCCAGATGAGTTTGCATCCCATGAAGACAGGTGGAAATACTGGAAATACAGAATGACAGGATTGCAATTCAATAGTGCAAGTCTTGGGATTAACCAGTTTTGAGACAAGATGTAATCATTAAAAGCCAGACATTCTACTCTCATACCTCAATCACCAAGGGCCTTCCAGAATGCAGAACTCTTAGGTCTTTTGGGTGAATCACTTACCTAGTTTTTCAAAGAAGAGTTATCCTTTATTTATGTGTTTGCATTTATCTCCAAAGACCAAATAAAATATCAGGGAATAATTTTCAGGGCAATCTTGTTGATAAATATATATATAAATTGAATGGAAAGTTTTATAATTATTATTGAGCCTAATTTTGACCTCATGTTATTTTTAGTATTTTTAATAAAGTGGTTTTATATTTGATATTGGGAATATACCAAATATTGCTTTTACTGTTATTATATTCCTATAGTGCTTTTATAAGCAAACTCATCACACCATCTACTTAGTATCTGATGTTAATTTATATTCAAATGATCTTCAAATTTATTTTAGGGAAAGAAACATTCCCTAAGGGAAAGAAAAAAAATTATTATAAGGACAAAATTGTCTAATTATTTAACAGTATCTTCTATAACTGCAAAAGAGAATTTTGTTACTTTTAACTTCAGTTTTTTAAAGAAATGTCTAGGTAGCTTGCATATAATATAATGCATTTAATCCAACTGCCTATATTTACTTGCTTAAAAATAGAGTATTTGGAATTAGGAGGAAGATGCTTCTGGGCTGAGGTTGATAAAACAACCAAAAAATAGTTTCTATGCTGACTTCTCTATTAGGATAAACAAAGAAAATGATGTTAAAGAGCCACAGATTACCAACATGCATCTTATTATTCAAAACCTAGAAAACTATGAATTATTAAACTTAACTTCAACCTAATTATATCCACATAGCAAACTCATTTATTGTCCTCTTCATAAACCTACAATAAAATTAAACTATTTTTCTTTATAGAGGGTCCATCAAAGGTTATTTGGCATTTTTAAAAGCATCCATAGGCTATTTTATATTAACATATATCTCTTCTTTGTAAATTTATAATAAACTTTTAATTCCAAAATCTCTATTAAAATCATTGAGATAGCTTTGTTATTTTTAGAGGGTGACATCATCTCTCTAATTCAGTTTGAACAGCTCTGAAGTATATAACATAGGATACATCAGGTCTCTATTGTGATTTTGCATTTAGCACCAAATCTTACCCACTTCTGACCATCCAAACATGTATTCTCAGCGGGTACAGTACTGTGGATTTTGTAAATTAAAAAAAAAAAAATCCTGCAAAGCCTTTAAGCGGAGTATTGAAATGTAGGACAAATTGTTGCTTGTATATACTTTTTAACACTTACATTGACAAAGTCAACAAGATCTCCAGTAGTCCTATCACTCCTGTGCATAGGGAGTGGATTCCTATAGAGTCCTCAGATGGGGCCTTTCATATCTCATTTATTTGGAAGGTTTCTCTTTCCATTATGTACCCATTACCACACATGACTGCTTATCTTTAGAAGGGGCCACAGTCCAGAGGATGTTGGGGAATGGAGTTAGACAATCTATTCTCACAGGTTTTCCAGTGTGTGCTCTGCCAAAAGCCAGATTATTGCTAGACCAGTCTTGTGCGGCAAAGCTTACTTGACATTGACAATACGGGCCTCCGGAAACCATGCTCTCAAATACAGTAGACACCCCCGTGTACTTTATACTAATATGTTACTGGTTTATGAAGAAAATAGTCAAGTTCCTCTTATTTATTGTTAAAAATCATTAAATAAAAACTGTCAAGAAGAAAAGCTGTAGAGTCAAACCACATTTCACAGTAACACAATATTTCATCCTGCCTACCACTGTGGCTATAAGTTTTGAAATCAGACAACTCTTGGTTTAAATCCTTTCATGCCCACTTATTAGCTCCGTTCTTTTATACAAATTAATGTTT
Source organism: Homo sapiens (assembly GCF_000001405.40). Taxonomy (NCBI): domain Eukaryota; kingdom Metazoa; phylum Chordata; class Mammalia; order Primates; family Hominidae; genus Homo; species Homo sapiens. The sequence continues at coordinate 66,335,599 of NC_000013.11, read as the reverse complement.
CTGATTTTCCATTTATTCTTTGCCAAAATAAGAATAAAAAGACCTACCTCTCAAGGTTATTAAGAATTACATAAGATAATGTGTATCTGATATTTGGCATGGTCCCTGGTATATAAGTACTGCAAAAATGTTAGCATTTTTTGTTTGTTCATTTAATTCGTTTTATGTTGGTGTTGGTTGTGAGTGTTGCTGTTATTATCTAAACAAGCTAACAAGCTACGAAATACCTAAATATTATTAAGCATGTAGAAAATGTCAGAGCAAGCTCGATTTTAAGAGGAGATAAGTAGGAGAGGACACAATTCTCAAAAATCAAATGAAAAAATAACATTAGGATCTAGAAATGTTGTACTTCAGCGTAAGTAGAGGTTGAGTTTGCTTATTGGGTAAGGATGACTACCTAGTGCTTTCTTTTATATGTCCTGCTGGGCTAGCAAATAATAACACCCTGAAGCAAATAGTAAGGATTTCTGTAGTGTATGCTTTTGACTTAGGCTACTGTGATGTGATGAAAACACCAAGGGTTTGAAGGCTATTTAGATGAATTGCAGTCCTAACTATGCCACACATTGTTTTATGAAGCTTTGGGCAAGATTCATGTTTTCTTTCATCACCTATTGAATAGATAGGTATAGAAATACCTATTTTGGGGGAGTAAAACTAAATAATATGAAATTAATGAATAAAAATATGCTGTAAAATATTACATGATTATATGGGGTAGCTTGTAATATACAATTACAGGTTCAAATATAAAAGTTCATGCCTTTATCTGATCTTTATAAGATATGAATCAAAAGAAATTTTTTTTGTTGTGAAGCTAATATAATTTTGTGCCCTGAGTCACCAATATTCCACCAATAAGCATGAAAAGTAAGTTAAAAAGAAAAATTAGTTGTATGGTATGACCTGACAAGAAAACTTTTTTTTTAGTAGTAAAGACATACTTATTGTAAGAGTTAGTATTAGATTTTCCAGAGAAACAGAAAAAGAGAGATTTAAAAATTGGGCTCACATTGTTGTGGAGGCTGGCAAGTCCAAACTTTGTATGGAAGGAGGGCAGGCTGGAGAGAAGAGTTGATGTTGCATTCTGGAGGCAAAATTTCCCTTTCTGTTGGGGGTCTCCATCATTCATTCTCTTAAAAAACTTCAACCTGATGGTTTGAAGACCAACACACACATTATGGAGGTGTTTTCTTTATTTAAAAGTCTACTGATTTATCAGCCATAAAAAAGAATGAAATCCTGTCATTTGCAGCAACATCAATGTGCCCTTATTTTAAGTGACATGAGCAGACAGAAAGCCAAATATCACATGTTCTCACTCATATGCGGGAGATTAAAAGGTTGGTATCATAAAGGCAGAGTGCAGAATGGTGGTTACCAGAGGCTGGGAAGGGTAGTGGGGTGGAGGGATGAAGAGAGGTTGGTTAATGGGTTAAAGAAACACAGTTTGATAGAAGAAATAAGTAGTATGTGTTTGATAGCACAGTAGAGCGACTGTAGTTAACAATAAAGCATATTTCAAAATAGCTAGAAGAGAATATTTGGAATGTTCTCAACACAAAGAAATGATAAATGTTCCAGTGAGAGTATCTTAATTACCCAGATTTGATCATTACACATTGTATGCATGTATCAAAATATCACATGTATAATTATTATGTATCAGTAAGAGTGTACTGATTTAAAGGTTAATTTCATCTGAAAAATACCTTCACAGGGACCTTTATGTTGATGACTGACCAAATATCTGGATCCCATGGCCTAACAAGTTGACATAGAACATTAACCATCACAGGGTCACATACATTTTTTACAGAATTGAACTTAAATCATTCTGTTAGTAATATATACTTTAAGCATCAAAGCAAACATGCTTAAACAAATATTTTCTTCATGCTTATTCTAATCAACAAAAATAACCCTTCAAAACTTTTTTCTGAAAGAAGTCTGCTTAAGTTTTCCTGTTTCCATTTCAAACCTGTAATTTTTATACAAAAGAAAAAGAGAAACAAAATGAAAAATAAAGATCTTCGTTCTTAAGTCATTCTATTTTAAAATTTCTATCTAAAGTAATTTTTATCCTTCACAGAGGTAGCTGGTCCTTGGGGACCCACTGTTTACTACAAGACAGAGAAGAAAGCATGTTGTCAAGGGACAGCGGCTTGAGGCTGGATTGTGCAGAACATGGCACCCCTGCTGGTCTAGCCTTCATACAGGGTGCCTAGTCCATCATTTCTACCTCAGTGCTATACTGGTGTAGCAAAGGGAATTTCAGATTTCTGATGTCTCATGCAGTTAATGTCTGGGAGCAGGTTAAAAATAAAATCTCCATCGTATCCTTTGACAACTATTCTGAGACTACTACATTATTCTTGTTCCTTCAAATCTACACATACTACTTGCTTATTTCTCTTACCTTAGATAAAAGCTCCTCATTCTTGTCTTTTTACATTTTACCTTGCATTTGACATGGGCTAGTAAGAAAGTCTTCCTTGCAATGGGAATTCAGTATGTTTTCAATTCTATCATAATTAAAAGTCTTTGCAGTTGTAAATGCCACCTTTAGGTTAAATATAAACCAAGCATCTGTCAGCATCAATGTAAGAGAGCAAATAATGCCTTAAATGCTAAGAGAGTAAAACTCAAACTGCATTGAAATGAGCTTGTCATCTCAATGAACATTCATAAACACATCCCTGTTTAGTTCTGTGAAAGAGTAGAATTAATAAGTACATATATTTTCACATAGTGATTTTATATATATATATATACATATATATATATGCCTTTCTTTAGAGTTGTGCTAAACAGTGTGATTTTTCTAATGCACACTGCTCTGTCCCCTTCTCCTCTGGTTCCTGTTGCCCAGAATGTCCTTCCTGTGGAATAGATCCCAGGAGTCATCTCTCCTAGGAAGCTTTCTGTGACCACCCCTCCTCTGAGAGGCTAGACCTCAGTGCTTTTAGAGCACATGAGTATCTCCCTGTCATAGCATTTTCACCTTCTCTATTGACTTGTGTGCCTCATCCATGAGACTTAAGTGTTCCTTAAAGGTCTTTGTTTCCCTAGAGACCAGCACTGCAGTCTGTAGAATCAGTATTTATTTGTTGAGCCAGTGAACTACCAAAAAGTAATAGGTCAGTGAAAAACTGGTGAGCTCCATTGATTCAATAATTAGAACTGTGTAGATTGTATTAATGAAAGGGCTTGGTAACATTCTCTTTCGACAAAATGAAGATTATCATGGACAACAGTGGCTTGTTCAGAGCTGATTGAAGACCTCATTCTAACATGGTGTATGCTCTCTGGCATACACCTTACTTCTTGTTTCTGGTTGTCTCCATCTCCTTTGAATGGGCACAGCAGCATTGCTTCATAGTGGAAAGTTACTTAGCACTTCTAAATGCCTCAGAAGTTTGGAAGGAAATTCTTTCCTAGGTAAGCCAAGGAGCGTGGAGAGCCTTTGAATCCTCATCTTAGTGGGGCCACTGAGAGCAGCCTTCTCTTTGCTTTTTAGCAAACACCTGCTGGCAACCTTGAGTCGCTGTCATCTCCCTGACTGCACTCTCTTCCTTTGCTTTATAACATTTATCACAATCTGCAGTTACTTTAAGTCAGCATTTGGTTATTTCACTGCAGGACTACCAAAGAGGCAACATACAGAATCCTACCTTCAGTACCCTCTCTCCATTTTCATTTAATCATTCTGTAGCCTATCTCCTAAATAAACATAGAAGTTAAATAAATACATTGTGCTTCAGGTAAAGTCTCATAGCTTTCTTGCCAAGGAACTTGTTGTTCCTAAGTTCTGAGACAGAGCAAGTATGAATGGTCTACTCATTTATTGCCACTAAAGTGTAACCCTCAAGGGGATACTCTGTCTTGTTCCTAGTTGTATTCCTTATACCTAGCAGAGTAACTGAAACAACCAGAGGATCAATAAAGATTTGCAGAAAAATAAACCTTCTGCTAATTCATTTGGGTTGATCAGTTTCAATAATTTTTCTCATTAAGTCATAAAACATTTTGGGCCATTTTATATTACTTAAAAATTTATTTCACCAAATCCTCAGAGAAGTTTTGATCACTTATATGATAATTCCTTAATGCACGTGGATAGGCCCAATGAGAAATTTCAGCAAGTGTTAATTCAAATAAAGAGATGTATTGTAACCATTTACTTCTCCTCTGGCGCTCATGAAGTTCGGGGCCAGAGGGCTCCCATAATAATATTTCAGTATGTGTTGGCCAACCTTCATCTCATTCATTTATAGATTTGCCAAGACTGGATTTTTCCCAGTAACAATGAGACATGACTGTAATTTGAAAAGTCTCCCCAGTTGTATGGAAACCATGGAGTCTTGTTTGTCTTATATTTTTTATGCAATATAAATTCTTGTTTTAAATAACTGAATATGTTCCAGGATATGCAAACACACATGGATGTACACACACGCAAACACACGCACATACACACAGACATACAAACTTTCTCTTCACAGCACAGTTTAAAAATGTGTCCACGATTTTCTGAGACTCATTCCACTGACTCCTAATCAGGATCCTTCGAACTATAATTTTCTCTTAAAATGGAGAAGTACATTTGTGAGATATTATCTCAGACATAAATAAAATATCCTGCAACACACATTTATTCTCAACAAATTTCATAGCCTGTCAGATGTGAGCCTAATTTTTTCCAAACAGTATCCTCTTTGCTTAAAATATAGTAGCCAGTTCAGGAAAGATCTTGTGCTAAGGCTGGATGTGATGAATAGAGGCCATTTGTACTTGAACACATAGCATACTGCAGGCATTTGTTTTATGCAGAATTGTATGATTACATGCAAGGTTTCTTTCTTCTCTCAAGTACAAATAAAACAAGGCTTAAAAGCCTGTAAGATCTATATTTTAACTCTACTATACCAGAAAAATTTAAATAATTTTTTTTTTTCTGGAAGTTTGTCCTTGATCTTTTCTTTTAAGGCTGGGCTTTCCCCCACCCCCACACAAATTACATTTTCCTCCTTTCACCTTAGCAGAGAGTAGGGTGGAAAACAAATCCAGCACTGTCAACAAATCTGTCCAGTGGGCTATAGTTGAAGCACAGTAGGTGTTGGCAGAAAGAATAAGAGTCTGAAACATGGTAAATATGCAGCATGGGCAAGTGCTTATGGTGGGTGCTGAATTTGGCCGCAGGACATGCTGAGACAGACACTTGTATAGACAACTGCTTCTAAATATGTCACTGGATCAGCAGGAAACAGAAGATCTCCCCACTTCTACTTTCAATTCTGAAAATGGACCCTATGAGCAATTACTTGGTGAATTAGCAAGCATCCTGAATAAGCAGCCAGTGCCAGGCTATTGGACCAGAGGATTTTAAAGAGCAAAGAAAAACAGGAAGAGACTATCAAAATAAGTACTGAACAGACTTCTATATGATTCATGCCATGTGCAAGTGGCATGTAAGGGAATGAAGTGGTGGAGTGCAATGTTTCTCAGCCAGTCTTGCTGTTGAGCACTTACAAAGTGTTTCTAATCCTCTAATTGGGTTAAATTCATTTAATTAGCACTGAAAAGATGCAGTTTAAGTGCTTAATACAACATTTATATTCAGAACAGCTACCAGATGTTTTTTATTGTAGCTATTGCAAAGTTATGCATTTTTTTTCTAGAAATGCAGTACTTTCTTATAATAAGAAAGACCTGTTTTGCTTCAGTAGATTTTGGCTAAGCTATGAAAGAAAATTCATATATATAGTGCTATCTGTATCATTTTAGAAAGGCCTATTTTTATACTTTCCATTCCGCCTACCTGTGTACAATTACATTTACAAACAAACTTCACAACGCACACATGGAGACACACAAGCACACATTAGTCTATTAAGAGCTGAGAAACAGTAAGGCTGTCTTTGGTTGACAAGGGTTAAAAAGTGAGCCCTGGACATTTTATTAAAAACCCATTCCATGTATTAGCCACAGGGAAAGATGTTAGAGAGCACCATGAGCCATATTGTTCTTCATCAACTGGGGACATTCTCTTTACAGTGCTATACTCTCTCAAGGAAAAAGGAACTTGGAAAAGGTTGAGCATAGATTCCTTAGGGGAACAGGGCTGGGAAATGAGGAGGAAAGATAAGGGGAGGTGGGATAATTAGTTGAAATTATATACTTGAATTGAATCTGCACCTTCAGTGACTGAGCAGCTCCCAGAATCTGTTAATGCTAACTTTTTAAAACATTTATTTTCAGACTGTTTAATCTAATTTTCCTAGATCTCAGTAAAAATCAGAATAATTGTCAAGCATTCAGTGTCTGCCAATCACAGTCATATAGGCAACTGTGGCTGAGGGCTTTGACTCAAAGTTATAGTTATAAAAGCACTGAAATTACAGTTTAGTCTGTAGCAGAACCTACCTTGGTTAAATGATATATGCTGTATGATGTGACTTACTATTTTCTGTCTTCCTCTACTATAACTTTACAAATTCCTAAATTCCTATAGTTAACATAAAGCAAAAATACAGCATTTAACTTAAAGTGTAAATACTTTTTAACTTATTTTCGTGAAAATAAGAAAAGAAAAGGTAAGTGGAATGCTGTTAGAAAATGACATTTTTGAATGATTAAAAACTGACACATTAAAATATTAACTGTAGTTCAGAGACAAAAAGAAGGCTTAAGAATTCCTTCTTTAAGGTAATTTCCAGTTAAAAAATGAATGTTCAGCTCTTAGGGACAGTCTCCAAGAAAATATGCTTTGATATTTCTTTGAAGCTCAATTCAATATCTTTGTCTAAGGGAAAAAAAAATCACTTCTTGACTGGAGAAATCATATTGAAACACTAAAGTGCTTACTCGTGCTGCTGCTGTCAGTCGCACGTGTCACACTTGGTGACTGTCCTCAATCCAGGCAGAAAAACCATTCTCAGTTAACATGGATCAATTGGAAAGAATATAAACCACTCCACTGCCCTTAAGACATACGGACGTCAACTCTCACAAAGGTTGCTTGAGTGCTCAGTAGAAATGAGAGCAGTCTGGGAGGATTCTGCTGTACAAGGAGGCTAGATCATAATACCACCTTGTAAATTTTCTGTATTTTAGATAAAAATAAAATAATGAATAAATAAATAATATGCTAATACCCACCTTAACTATTGTATCCTTTGCAATAAATGATAATATCATACTTCTAAGGCACTTCTTACTTTCCTATTTTTCTTCTGGTGGTGTCAAGGTAATCGTTAGTTTAAATGATGTGAGCCTACTGAATCGGAGCTGAGCCAGTATTATTTGTGTCTGAAAAATATTCCTGGTTTGATTTCTATAATTACAAAAAGAAAGAATAAAAGTAATAAATTATAATAATCTGGTAAAGAATTTTGTTCAATGCTTCAAAATTATTTTGGAGGAATAAAATATTTTTGTCCTTGATGAGAGTAAATCTTTGAAGATTAAAAACTGACTGATGAGTTTTATGCAATAACTAATTATAGATTACCCTGCATCCATTTTGGATACTTAATAGGATCTTTGAAAGGTTAGTGATATTTTATTTATGTTTTCAACATTGATCTTTAATAAGTAACTAAAGGCTTATTAATTAGATGTCAGATTATACCAAATCAGTCCCAAGGATTGTGGAGAAATATAGCTTTAGAGAGATTAAAGACCTAGGCAGGAATAAACAAAATAAGTTCATTCTAGTTTTCACAGCTGGGGAGATACAGTATAAGAATTGGGATGCATTGGTTATACATCCTTCATTTTACTTTATAATGATTATATACAATTTTCACCTAGTACATTTATCCACTTGATTTTTGATGCTCACAAATAGCCTCATAATGCATCAGGTATTATACTTCATAATTTTATAGATATAGAATTTAAAGTGCAGAGAAAATACATAAGACCTCCAATGTCCACTCCTATAATAGCACAGGTATTTGAACTTTGGTGCTCAAAATTGAGTCTAGAGCTCTAACCCACACTGCCTTTCATGAGGATATGTTTTACATACTTACATAGTGCTTATTTTTGTTACTCCTAGGTTAATATTTTTTAAAGAGCGTTAATATGGTACATGTAGGAAAAAGGGAAGACACACAAAGGACATAGTTCTAAACAAAATAATCCCTTTTGCTTCTCAAAGTTCTACACCAAGAGGTCTCCCATTCTCCTATTTATGGAGGTGAGGTCCCCAAACCAAAGTAATTCAAAGTACATTTTGAGAGAGTAGCAGATTGTTACCCTTCTTTCCACCAAATATGGAACTAGATACTGGGGCTTTGTGGTACAGCATGGGGGATTTAGGTTAGCCAAAGCAACAAAAGATCCCTGATATCAAAACTTTAACATGTGTCGATCTGGCAACAGGGTTACTGTGGAGGTTTTTCCTTAGCATCCAAAGCAAACTAACACACAATACATTCTTAGTAATGTGACTTGGTGTATTTACTTCAGAGTTTGATAAGGCTATTTCTAAGGCTTGGTATACAAAAGCGTATTTTAAACTTTGGAAAGATAATTGTATTAAGAAAGACAATTTGGACTGCCTTGGAGAGGTAACAAAATACAGAAAAAAAAAAGAAAAACAAAAAACCCTCATCGTTTGGAGGCAAGAAGCCCAGATTATAAGTATTGTGCTTGTCTGAATGATAAGCAGCAGGTCTGAAACTAAGCCATTGTGCTTAAGTTGGGTGGGGAAGAAGAGGCATTTTGTTTTGTATGTTTAATAGTTTTTTAAACTTAAATTCATACATTTATTTTTATGTAAAAAGCTTAAAAATTGGATAAAATTTCAAGATGTCTTTGGCCTTTTTTCACTCACAGGAATATAATTATCATGAATTAAAATGCATTATGCGACTAGGAGCGGTGGCTCACACCTGTAATCCCAGGTGTGAGGGCTGAGGCAGGTGGATCACCTGAGGCCAGGAGTTGGAGATCAGCCTGGCCAACATGGCAAAACCCGTCTCTAGTGAAAATACAAAAAATCATCCGGGCGTGGTGGCGGGCGCCTGTAGTCCCAGCTACTCGGGAGGCTGAGGCAGGAGAATGGCGTAAACCCGGGAGGCGGAGCTTGCAGTGAGCCGAGATCGCGCCACTGCACTCCAGCCTGGGCGACGGAGCAAGACTCTGGTGTGTTTTTTTTTATTGTTTTCGTTGTTTTTTTTTTTTTTTTAGAAGAAGAAGAAAACACATTACACATCTATGAAATTGTTCTGGTGTCAATGTGTATGTTTATAAAACAATATAAAATACATGACTCCATCTCAAAAGGTTTATAATGGGGAAACATGGAATACTGGGGAGACACAGTCAAGAGAACACTGCTGGGGTTACATATATGTAAGTGAGAAAGGATTGATAATTTGTATCCACCTGTGTCCTGGTTTAAGCCATATAAAGACGTAATCAAGATGGTACAGGAGGAAAATAATTTTGTTGTCCTCGTACTTAGAGCAGACTACTAAAAATGTGAGAAGCCAGAGGTGAGTAAAAACAAGGCGGTTGGAGTTTTCTGGATATGAAACAACCCGAAACTGGATGGAGGTTTGATAGAGTAATGAGAGGAATAATGTACCTGAGACATATAACAAGGGAAAAATAAGCCACACTTCCTGTCAGTTTTCTGAATAGGAGGTGGGAATGATCTGACAATTTTACTTCATTACGATTGTAATGAACCTGTGCTTCAAAGCTATTTAATTCAGTCAAACTCCATAGACACAAGATCACATAGTTAATCTAATTCTGTGACTATTTTTTCTGAGTATCATTTGAAAGTACTTGTATTCACTAATAGCAACCAGAAGCCTTAGCTTTAAAAATTGTGAATAAAATAAGAGTGACCTCCCATTGATGTATGCTTGGATTCAATATATGTACCAGCAACAGCGACCCTATAGAAAATATGTGTGATATGTAAATGCAAGTGCACACGATCATTCTTAAGTACCATTAGTCTAAGTAAATTCTGAAATGATGTACAGGAAGGCATCCTTTATCTCTCTGAAGGCTGGCTTACTTAATAAAAGAAAATCAGAAATTTAACCTTGTCAGCTCTAACTGTGGAATAGGCTGACATAGTTTAACTCTACACAAATGTTATCTCTGCCCTTAAAATTATTTTGGCTTCTAGAAACTTTTCTCCCCCCATCTCATAGGATACAGAAAACTCGTCATAAGTCCTAGAGACATCATGAATGCCTTTTAACCTTAATTCATGGAGCTGGGAAGCAATCAGTTAGAGACCTAAAGACCAGCGCTTATCCTTCTCATCTTAATAGAATAGCTTTCTGAATAACTATTCTCCCTCAGCAAAGACCACAACATCCATCGCTAGAATGAAATGGCAAATATGTTTCATATAAAACTAAAACTAGCTATGGAATTCATTGTAAAAATACACATCAAGTTTGTATTACAGGGACCCCACCTGTTTTGTTGTCCAGAATTTGAGCAGTGTAACAGATTTCTAGTGAAAAATATTGTTTCTATATTATTACTATAATAAATGATATTCTCATGAGTTATAGTGGGTACAATGTTTATAACTTAGTCAAATTTTAGATAGAAATATTTTAGATCTAGATTGCTAGATACTGACATCTAGTATCCCACAATTGAAGTGAGAGATGACAGACGCTCTAAGTTTGCATATGTGTCCAGTTTTACTTGATTTTAGCATGAGTAAAACTTTAAGGTTCTGATGATCAACATGAAAATATTGGTGACAGAACTCTACAGTGGTAAAACTTGGTGAATTATATTAATCTACATGTTTTGAATATTTCCAGATTATAGATGATGTCTTTCTGTGTTTATAAAATTAATTGCTCTGCTTGCTTAGGAAACTAAACTTTCTTTTACACTTCCCCTTGCAATTAGCTTTTCTGTGCCACTCTCACAGTGCCTATTCTACCTTTTCAAATGTTTTATTACATAGAATGGCCAATGGCTGCATTTTCACTTTAGGCTATTGTAATTGGCACATATAGTTTTATTTTATTTTGGTCATGCTTGTTGTAATTACCATTATTCATCTAAAATTAATATTCTCTATCAATAACTGGCAGCAGCATGTGGCCTTGTTTTTGGAATTAGAAGCTCTAAATTCATCCTAGGTCGAAGTAACTTGTGACCTTTAGCAAGTCACTTTATCTCTCTAACCCATTTTTCCTAATGGAAATAATGGGGTTAAGGGGAATGCTCTCTAACGTTTCTCTTGGACAGTTCAAAAACACCTGGTTTTGTCTACAATATTCACCAATAGATCTACCTTTTTTGTCTCGTGAAGGGGAGCAGATGGCAGGATAGTGGAGTAGGATTGTTATATAGCAGGACCCCTAAGGTATTCTCTCAGATGCAAAAGGAAGCTCCAGCCTCATGGGTTTCCCATGGTCTTTCACAGTTTGCTGTCTTGGTCTACAGTACTCTGCTCACAGCTCATCTGTCTTCCTCTCTAATAGTCTTCCTTTAGAAAAAGTAAAAGAAGAGGAGGGTGGAGCTAGAGCAAAATTGTGGCCAGAAAGGAATTCTTCTCTTACAAAGTGAAGTCACAGCATATATAGGCAATGTACATTTTAGTGATGCAACTTCAATTGTATTTGCTGAGCCAAGAAAGTTAGACAGAGAGGAGAGACAGTTTCAATAGTCCAGATGATTCTGATGGTCATTCCTTCCAAGGATACTAAGCAGATGCCCCGGAGTAAACTGCTGTGGGTGACAAGTGTATGTGTTTCCTCAGAGCTCATGCTTCTTAAAATGTGAGCATCTTGACATCCTGAATGCGCTTCAAGGATAGCTTTGACTATACTTGAATTTTGTCTTCATTACTCACTTTAAAACCTACTTAAGATGTGATGCCGCCATAGGTTTAAAAAAAAAAAAAGTTCCAAAGCAAAACAAAACCAATAAAAGGAAACAAAATAAAAATCTGTTTACCATAAAAGAATCTCTACACTGCCCACAAAATCTACACTTTGAAAGAAATAATGTAAATTACAAGAAAGAAGCCAAAGAAACAAAACTCTTTAATTCCTTAGAAGAAAACCAGTTCTTTGTTTCTTCAGGAACACAATGATTTTTTAAAATCTTATTAGTTTTGCCATAACTTTTTGCATGCACATATACATATATTTTTATTGCTTATTATTGCCTATAAACGACTTACTCTTTCTTCTGCCATTATTCCTTAATAATTCAATTCACCAAGTGGAAGTTTCTAGTTTAAGTGCAACTGCAATTCCCCTCTTAAAATGTGATAATAGTTCCTTTCCTAAAGTTAATTTTTGAAGTAATGCCAAACGTTCTTGAAAAATATTTGGGAGGATATGAAGACTCATTTCAAACGATTCTTAGAGGTACATTTCCTTATTCTTCTCTGTAAGCCAGTCATCAAACCTAAAAGAGAACCAGAGACCAAGGATTTTAGGTATCTTGACAAGTCATGTTACATATCACAATTAACATCTGCACTGCTAATCTTGTCAAGAAAGGAAAACACTGAATATATGAATGCTTGGAAATGCAGTAGCTCTTTCCTTCCTTATTTTAATAGTTCTGTTAAAACTATATTTTTGCTTTAAAAATGGAAACATATAACATATCACAGTTCACAGTGAAAGAATTTTTCTGTTAAGTATGATTAGAAGAATTTTTTAAAAGAGCCAGAAAGCTTTACCACAACATACTTTTTTTGTAATCCATTTGAACATGAAGTATATAAAGATGTTTTTTATACATCTAGTTTTGTTAGCAAAGCTGAGAGTGATATACGTGCCCACATAAATGAAATCAAAATGTCCAATAAATACTAATTATAAAATCACTGGATCTACTTCAGAAAATTTCATGTCATTGATTCTTAGAGTATATAATTTCCAATGCCTGTATAGAGTATTTTTCTATCTGAAAAAACAAGTTCTTGAATTAATAAGGATTCTATCATGCAGTCACCAACAAGGATGCTGTTAAATAAACAGAGGCAATGTGGCCTGTGCCTGATTCTCTAATGATATGAAGGAAGCAGATGGTTTGAGAAAAGATGTGTCAGTGCAAGATGGTAAATCATAAACAGGCATATATTGCCAGCTTACCTTAAATCCAGCCTGCTTTCCAGTCCCTAAAGATCCCTTAGTGCTGCCACTCAAATTGAACTTAACCGTGTCAGATTTTTGATTGATATCTTTAAACACGTAGGCAGTATAGACAACGTATGAGAAACTGAGCTGTGGCCATTTTCACAATCAATACTGATCATCCCAACCACGGTGATCATAGGTTAATTTACACCTGTCATTGAGATAACCAGAGGGAATGGAATGGCTTGGCTTTTCTCCATTCACTTGGTATATTTTGTTAGGGACTTGAGTACTCTGAACCCAGAATGTATTCTCATAGAAAGAAATTTTTAAAAGCAAAAATCTAGCATGTCCTTCAAGAAAACAGCAAACCATAATGTGACACCAATTTAGCATCAATTTCAAAGAATAATAATAATGATAATAATCACACCCCCCCCATGCATCCAAATATACAATGTATGGCTCTGTCAATGTAATTTATATCATTTTATCCACTTCACATATAATTTAAATTTAATAAAGTTTATGAGGAAGTCACATCACAGGCTTAGAATATTCTAGTCCATTGGCACTGAAGCTAAGCAAAATGGACCCTGGGGTGTCAAGCAAGGAAATAAACAAAGAATGGATGACAAGAAAGAAAGCATCTACTCCACAGTGAGATCCAAAGAAGAAACTTCAAGCAACCTTGAAAGAGAAAACACTAAAAAGTAACTTTAACTCTTATAGGGGATTAGAAAACACAGGGTTTGCTCATCTTTTGGCATGAGCAATTAGAATTTTTGTTTGTTTTGTTTTTAAATAAATGCTCTGTATGTTTACAAACATGACCTACTCATCTATAGTGACCATTTTAATTAAACAAACCAATGAAAACAGGCTTGAATTTCAGTATATTTAACAGACCATCTTAGGGATTCAAAAGGCTCCGAGATAGGCAGCCAGCCAAACAACGCACTTTCAAAGAGCACTAGCTCCTAAGGTAGTAGTGAGGACCATCAACCGAAAAATGTAGTTTATATCAGTTCAAATCTGCTGTTGGCATCACACTGATCATCCATGCTCAATCACCTGGATTCCATCTTTAAAAATCTCATCTTTATATGAGGAAAATGTAATTTGCTGTTGTGATTTCTAGTTCATATTTTAAAATGAGTTAGTTTATACTCTGCTCACCCCCTGCAAACAAGCATATTAAAGAAATCATTACATCGTTATTTTATAACAAATAGAGAGATCTAATGGCAGATTAGCATTCAGCTTCTGAGGAAAAAGTTGGGCATGTTTCCTGTTTCATGACTTTGGGTTTCTTCAACTTAATGCCATAGAACTTGGAGAGCCGTTTTTAATCATTGGTATATATTTACAGTTTGCTTCAGGAGCCCAGTAAGCTAAGACAGTGTAGCAAGGCCTGGTATATGTCTTAAGCTCTGCCTGAGGTGTTTGTAGCATATCCAATTGAAAGGAGAATACATTGTAGTGGCTATAACAGTGATTACCAAGAAGCCAGGCTTTAGATTTAGCGAAAAACACTCCGAAAGGAAAAGAAACTTGGTCCCCAGTAGCCTTGCTTAAAGGGAGAACATGAAAGCTATACGTGATGATCTTAAAATCATCTGTTTAGTCAAATAACACCATTTCATCCTCTATCACCTGTGTCACATTTTAATCAATGAGGCTTCGGAACTATAATTAAGACCCACCTAATGTAGTTATATTAACTAAAATAATACTACTGTCAACAAGGTAGCCCTAAAATAGCTTATTTATGAATAAATAGGTAGATACATATAGATACAGATTCTCCCAAGATACATACCCCAAGTAATTCATTAGTTATAACATGGCCATGAAGTATGCTGTTTCTTGGTGTTCCATTTACATTTCATGCTGAAAGGGAGAACATTTGGGAGTGTTTCAGACAGATAAAAAATACTCTTAGTGATTGATTTTGAACCGAAGCCAATTGTTCTAGACAACAGCTTAACTTTATAAATCTTGCCAAAGGTTCACAGATCTTGAAACTTTTGACTGTCAACTAGATTAAAAAATAAAGGTTCACTGTGCAGTTCACTTTTATTAGGGAGAAACAGACTGACATCCTAAGCAGTATCGATAATATTTGGCAAGGGCCAGCTGTCTTATGATTTTATTAATGTGGTAGACTGAGGCACAGAGGCCAAGTCAAGAACTTAAAAAAGGAATTACTTAACATACTTTACAGCATGAAATCAAAAAGACACAGAGACTGCGATTATAAATCCAGCATAAATTTTTACTTCCAATGAATACAAAACTAGATTAGTTATTTTGTAATGTTTCATGCTGCAAGGTGCCCCAGTGTTTGTTAAATATATAAAGCACATTTCAAAAATTTTTACTAAAATATTAAAGACAATAGAATATTTCATTTTCACTGGCTCACTTTTCATCAACTCACAAGGATACTTTAAGTTTTATAATTTCTATTTTGACTTATTATCTTAATAATTGGCTTGCATATTACCTATAGGTAATAGGAAGCATTGTTTCTAAGTTGATTGTGCCTGTCAGCATTAATGGTAGAGGATGACAAAGGAATTTGGAAATTATGTTTAGACCATTTAGGTCTTCACAGTTTGGATAACAATTGGAAGGTTATCTTAAAGAACATGTAACGATTTTATACCAGGTGATTCTCAAAATAGCAAAAACAAAACTTTTCCACATTTGCTTTTGACTTTTATATTACAAGTTATCTTGTTTCTTCATTCTCTGGTGTCCTGGCTAGATTCTTTTGAATCCTCCATAGCTCTTTCAACGTTCTAGGCATATCTCACCCTCCTTTTGCCCCTTCAGGCCTAGGGGTAATGATAGTTTCCTACTTTTTTAGGTCCTTGTCTCCCTCACTAAATCCTTATTAGTTTAATTTCACCATCCCACATGCCACAAAAGCTCCTTCATTAAACTCTTTTCGATTAATACCTTTGAGTGCCATTTCTTTTATGCCAGCACACTGAAAGATGCTCAAGCCATGGCACCTCACAGGGAGGAGTCATGCTTTCACATTGTGATTTGATAAATGCCTCAAAGCCTTCTCTACCACAAAGTCAAATTCATCTGCCATTGCGCTTCAAGAACCCCTGTATTTGGATTAAAGCAGCTTTATAAGGCTCTTTGCTATGGTTTGGCTCTGAGTCCCCACCCAAATCTCATCTCAAATTGTAATCCTCACATGTCGAGGAAGGGAAGTGATTGGATCATGGGGCACTTTTCCCCACGCTATTGCCATGATAGTGAGTTTTCAAGAGATGTCATGGTTTCATAAGTGTTTGAAATTTCCTCCTACACACACTCTTTCTCTCTCCTGCCGCCTTGTGAAGAAGGTCCTTGATTCCCCTTGCCTTCCACCATGATTGTGAATTTCCTGAGGCCTCCCAGCCATGCGGATCTGTGAGTCAATTAAACCTCTTTCCTTTATAAATTACCCAGTCTCGGGCAGTTCTTTATATCAGTGTGAAAACAGACTAATACACTCTTACTGAAGTGTAGATATCCTTCCAGAGAATAATAGCCTTTTTGGTCAATGACATTGTAATATTAATAAGCTTATCAGAGAAGTCACCACCAGTTATTATGCCAAGAAGATGGGTAATTTAAATAGGACAGTTTGGAAAATAATAAAGCATATTTAATTGTTAAGGGAAAGCAAATCTAGATGGAAAGCAAATGTGATTAACCATAACTTTTCAGAAGAAATTATTGGAAATAACCCAGATGATGCAAAAAGATAACCCTTCAGGAGACAAGGTCTATTTGTGCACCAAGACTGTTTTCTTCTAGATACAGGATTTCATGGCAATTTCTCCCTCTGCCTCCATTTTGTTCCCTTACATTAACTAAGACATTTTATTCTGAGGGTAATACAGGCTTTCCTAAAATTTTGCATGCAAATTTTATCTTCATCTTGAGAGATTTTTAAAGATTATTGAAAAGCATATTGATGTGGCAACAAAATTTTTACATTTCAGAAACATGATAAATAATTCATGCCTTGTATAAAAGTGTGATGACAATGGTTTGTCTGTGATAAATATGGCAACATTGTATCTATTGAATATTTGGGACTGCTCGTCACACTACTAATAAAACAGTAACTAAAGTATAAGAGACACAATTTCTCTTCTTTTGTCAAAAAATAGCAGTTGATGATTGGCAATAACAGAGCAGAAAAGATTGCAGAAAAATCTCTGCAAAATGTATATAGATGTTATAAAATTCAAATGCAATATTTATTATTTTAAGAGAGAAATTTACCTTTCAAGAAACCATATTAATGAAGTAATTTCCCTGGATTTGCAAGGTGTGTTCAGAGATAAACATACATTTTAGATTGGAAAACGTAATCCTCCTATGTATCACCCTGAGAGGGCAAAATTTCTCTCTACAAACTCTATTATACAGGCCATTTTCAATAACAGAGTAATGGCATTTTCAACAGTTCCCTTAGGAGATTCTTTCAAAATATAACATTTTATTTCTTCCCATTTTAGAGTAGTTTTTCTTTATGTACAGCTGAATTTAAGCAATGTATTTCACAATGGTATTCTACATGTACACTAAAATGACATATTAGCCTTTTAAAAAGTCACCTTTTCCCCCTAAACTTTGTGAAAAGTAATTGCATCCCTTATCATTGTAAGCCAATATAGTTATAAAAAATCTAAACTACTTTTAAGTTTTCAATAAATTTGCTAATCATCTTTTTTTTTCTTAAATATCCTCCCACTTACTTGAATATACCTGTATCAAAGGACTAAATTCTGCACTGTTGTCTGTATTTCATCAGAGCTCTGTCTCAGAATAATTACTAATAATTATTTTAGCATCTTTAGGCTGTAAGGAAATGTTTTGTTATGTATCCTGTGAATCTGGATTTCTGAAGACTAAAAGCTCTGATGGTTAAAGAAATTATGATTAAATGGTTAGGTGGGATACAAAAAACAACCTAATTATATTTTACTTTGGGGAATTCCCAGTCCCTTTAACTCCAAAATAGCTGGGAGATAAGTGATCTGAATGCAGCTATTTTGCCTTTGTTAATTTCACTTGAACATTCCAAATATTATTAAAAATATTATGCTATAAATTCTTACCAAAGTTTCTCATGTACAGGTTAGAGGTGTTCCTGTTATTCACTATTTTCTTGATGAAAATTATTTGCCACATAATGTTTTACATGCAGTTTCTCTGTTGGCTCACCAGTCTGAGGCTCAGTGCTAACTTTTTTTTTCTAAATATATCTAATAATTATCTGCAATGTGCCAGGCCATAGAAAGAGATGTTGTTTCATAGCTACATAGATGTATGAAAAAAGCAAAGTGTGTGATTTCATGGTGCTTATATTCTAGTGTGAGAGATAGACCATTAACAAATAAATGTATTGTGAAAGGTAGTGATGAGTGCTATCAACAAAAACAAAGCTAGCGGGCCGGGCACAGTGGCTGGCACCTATAATCCCAGCATTTTGGGAGGCCGAGGAGGTTGGATCAGTTGAGATCAGGAGGTCAAAGCCAGTCTGACCAACATGGCGAAACCCCATCTCTACTAAAAATACAAAAATTAGCCAGGCGTTGTTGTGCGTGCCTGTGATCCCAGCTACTTGGGAGGCTGAGGCAGGAGAATTGCTTGAACCCAGGAGGTGGAGGTTGCAGTGAGCCAAGATCACGCCATTTTACTCCAGCCTGGAAAACGGAGTGAGAATCTGTCTCGAAAAGAAAAAGATAAGAGGATAAAAATTGACTGAGTAGAGGATATCATTATTTTTAAAGGTGGTAAGGAAATGCCTCTATGAAGAATTGACTTTTGAGAGGACACCTACATGAAGTGAAGGAGTGAATCTAAGTCCCAGGAGAAGAATATTCCAGGCATACATAATACCAAATCCACAGACCCTGAGACTACATTAAGCATGTTCAAGGCACAGCAAGAAATTCAGTGTGGGAGAGCAGGGAAGTACAGGGAAAGAAGTGAGGTATGAGATTAGAAAGCTCTGCAGGAACCAGATCATGAGAGGCTCTCTAGGCCATGGAAAGGAGTAATGGCTTTCACCCAGGTGTGATTGGAAGCAGAGGAGTGAGGCATTCTGCTTTAAATACTGTGTTAGTCTGAATAATAGTCCCCCAAATATATCCATGTCTTAGTCCCCAGAATGTGTGAATATGTTTACCATACATGACAAAAAGGACCTTCAGGCATGATTAAGTTAAGGATCTCATTTTGAGATGGGAAGATTATCCTGGATGATCCAGGTGGCTCCGTGTAATCAAAGTGATCCCAGTAAGAAGGATGAAGGAGTCAGAGGAGATGGTGATGTGATGATGGAAGCAGAGGTTAGAATGATGTGTTTTGAAGATAGAGGGAGGAGTCACATGTCCAGGAACATAGATGACCACAGGAATCTGAATAAAAGGAAAGGAAATGAATTCTTTCCTCAGAATTTCTAGAAGGAACCAGCCCTCTCAACACCTTGACTTTAGCCCAGTGAGACTGATTTCAGACTTTTAACCTTTAGAAATGTAGAAAAATAAATGCTGGTTGTTTTAAGCCACTAAGTTTGTGGTAATTTGTCTCCGTGGCAACAGGAAACAAATGTAAATATGCTAGAGATTAGTGAATAGAATGTTGAGAAAATGGGGAAGAAGCAAGTCCTGTTAAGAAATGAGAGTGGCCACTGGGCCCAGTAGCTCACGCCTGTAATCCCAGTACTTTGGGAGGCCAAGGAGGGCAGATCACCTGAGGTCGGGAGTTCGAGACCAGCCTGACCAACAAGGAGAAACCCCGTCACTATTAAAGATACAAAATTAGCTGGACGTGGTGGCACACGCCTCTAATCCCAGCTACTCAGGAGGCGGAGGCAGGAGAATCACTTGAACCTGGGGAACAGAGCTTGCAGTGAGCCGAGATTGCGCCACTGCACTCCAGCCTAAGTGGCAGAGCGAAACTCCATTTCAAAAAAACAAAAAAAAAAGAGAGTGGCTTGGGCCATGCAGTTTGCAGGGAAGCTGGTAGATGAAAGGACTTGCTACGTGCTTGGTTATGTGATTTGAGTAAAAAACAGATGTAACAAATTATCACAAATTTAGAGACTTATAGCAACACAAATTTATTGTCTCAGTTGTCACCCATTTAGTATCTCATGAACCTAGGTGGGCTTGACGTGCTTAGGGTCTCAGAAGGCTGAAATCAAGGTGTCAGCTGAGCTAGACTGTTATCTGGAGGCTCTGAAGAAGAATTGGCTTCCAGTTTATTGAGACTGTGGCCAGAATCCAGTTGCTTGTGTTTGTAGGACAGAGACACCTGTTGTGTGCGAGCTGCCCAGTGGGGGGCTGCCCTCAACTCTTAGAGGCTGCTCTCACATCATTTTTATTCAGTCCCTTTGTCTTCAAAGCCAGCAATTGCCAATTGAATCCTTCCCGTCCTTGGAATCTGGACTCCCACCTGCCACCAGCTGGAGAAAACACTCTGCTTATAAAGGACTCATGTGATTAGATTAGGCCTACCAACAATCTCTTTTGATTAACTAAAACACAACTGACTAGTAATTTTATTACATCTACAAAATCCCCTTTGCCATATAGTTCAACACAATCACTGGTTCAATCTTATCATATTCATAGTCGCAGAGATTAGGGTGAAAATATTGATGGGAGAGGCATTTTAGATTTTTATGTAACATGTGTCAAGGACGATACTCCAAATACCTTTTTTCCTGCATTGAGCAACTAGGTCATCAGTGTGCCATATACAAGAACGGTAAATTCAGGGGAATTTTCTAAAAAAATGCAAGAATTGTGTAACTTGAAAATGCCAATTAGTAATCCAATACTCCTGATAAGTAGATAGTCAAATATACTGATATTGTCCCTAGGAGAAAGATTAAGGGCTAGAAATATAAATTGGGGAATCCACATATTTATGTTGTGTAAGACCAAGTGATTACATGCGCTCACATAGGTGAAGTGCAGATAAAGAGCTCTGAGCATTCTAACATTTAGGGATCTGGCAAGGGTGTGGTATCATCAAAGGAAACTGAACAGGAAGGTGAGAGATGGATTAGGAAAATCTGGAGAATGTGGCTTGATGGATCTTGGACTTACCCCCCAAACCTACCGATTCAGAATTTGTTGATGAGAACAATTTGTGTGCTTAAAACTCTCCAGTGAACTCTAATACAAGATGAAGCCTGAAAACGTTATTAGTTTAGACCACTGGGAAAGGAGCGAAGGCAGACAGGTAAGTTCTAAATGTCTTGCGTTTCAAAGTGTGATTCTTGAACACCATCAGCAGAATCACTTAAGGAACTGTTAGAAATGCAGGAACTCAGGACCCAATCAGATGTACTGAATTGGAATCTACATTTTAATGATTTTCCTAGGTGACTCATATACATATTAACATTTGAGAAGCACTGAGCTGTGATATATTAATTTAAAGTGATGGTAAGACAGTCCAGGTGTAAATACACACGCGTATACCTACAGATCACATGGATTCCATATCTGATGTTTTATTCCATTTAAAATATAATCTTTCAGACATCTTTTAAAGTATATAAATTATTATGTCTTTAAATCCTTATTAATTTAGCAAAGTATTTTCCCCCATTTATCCAATGCTTAAAATCACTTGGGGCAAGTCTCTACCACCTCTGATGATTGTGAGAAGTGGAAACGCTAACCCAGAGACTAGGAGAGAAACAAGGCTGAAGTTATATTATTAGTGTCCTGGGTACAAATTGTCAGAGACCACAGGCATGAAAATGAACGTCATCAGTTTTTCCTGCTCTCATCTGATTAAATATCCCTGGAATAGGAAACAGTGGAATTGTATAAAGGCAAATTGCTTCATAACATTGTGTACTACTATTGTGTATGACCTGTATTCAGGCTCGCTTTTGCAACACTTTTTAAAGGGGACAAAATATTATGTAAGTGGCTTATTTTTCACTTGGACTTCAGCCTGAAAATTAATCTCTAAAGTATTATTACTTCACTGCTTAACACCTTAGTCTGCACTTTAAAATGTGCTTCACATCAAATTAGATTTACCAAGTTTGTCTGAGAAACAATGCAAATTGCAAGAAATGGAGAGTAATTCAGGAGATAGCAGTATATGAATGAATTTTTGAAAGGAAAAACGTGAAATACTAATACAAGAAATGATGAACTATAGAAGAAAGTAAATATGATCTGCAATAAGGTAAATACAATGTTCCACATCAAGCAGTTTGCTTAAACATTGAAAGTTGGTTTGAATAATGAAGGTCTGTCTCTTTGGACTATTGTCATTCAATGGATTGCAATGTAAAATACTAATAGAGAGCACATAAAATTATCAGAGAAACTTTTCTTTACAGCAATTAGCTTTAGCAGATGAGAAAAAGGCAGCTTATTTTCATGCCCTGCAGAAGAAGGCTGAAGATGTACAAGGAAATGCTCTTCATTCTTAGTGAGCCATAAAGTCTGTTCAAATAGCAATATCTTCTCTGGCAGTGAATTCCCTGCTTGGCGTGGCCATGTGTTATTGTATTTGGACTGTCTCCATCTGCAAATGTTGACTTTTCATCTGTGACCAAGGAAGAAATCTGTATGAGAAATGTGTAAAACATTTAATCCTTGTTTACTTGTTCACCAGAGGTTTTGTCCAATCCTGGTGGTGTGGATTCGTGTGCGTTTGTTTCTCAAGGTTACTGCAGATGCATTCACAAATGCAGATCTAAAACTCTGATAGAACCACTAGATTTTTATTTACATTTAAAAACGTAGTTATTCAAAATATAATTTCACACTCAAAAATCTAAATGTGACCTCAGTACTAGAGTAATTTTTTTTTTTTTTTTGAGGCAGGATCTCGCTCTATCTCCCAGGCTAGAGTGCAGTGGTGCGATCACTGCTCACTGCAGCCTCAATCTCCCAGCTCAAGCAATCCTTCCACCTTAGTTCCCCTGAGTAACTGGCACCACAGGCGCATGACACCATGCCTGGCTAATATTTGTATTTTTTGTAGAGCCGGTGTTTCACCGTGTTGTCCGTGCTTTTCTCCAAGTGCTGGGATTACAGGCATGAGCCACCATGCCTAGCCTAATCTATCTGAACAATAGATTGATTTATCATTTCTTTGCTCTCTCTTGGGCTTTTCTTTACTGAAATGAAGTAGCATTGGAAAGTTTGATTCTCATGTTGTATCGATGACAAACCACAATGATATTTAATTAAGGAATAAAAGAATGTATAGAGGGCATGCATCAAAATCTAGCCTTTTTATCCTCTCAATTTATAGGTAACAGACTGGGAGCTAGGGAGTCTAAGCTTACTTTCTTAAAGTCCATACCAATTCATCATTCTACTAGGGCTAAAATCTATTTATTTGTTTGCCTATCTGTAATGATCTTGTGTCTTGAGATTTTCCTATCGATTCTGATTTTAGATATTCTATACAATAGTCTTTTGAATCTAACATGAACTAAATCAGAAATTATTGAATAAATGAATGGAAAGCATTTCTCCCCAAAGTACACACAAATCTGTCATATTTACCTTTGGATTTGGACTGTCCACATAACTGTTCTATATGATTTCATATAAAATCTGAATACAATGGCAATGAGATTCACACCCTCTGGCTGGTTTTCTGTATAATAAGAGCGGAGTAATAACTAAACATCTATTTATTATTGTATGACATTCATTTAAATGTATTGATTGGGCATAGAATAAAGTGGGCATAGAATAAAGTGGTCTGAAATAGTAATGCAGTCTCCAAAGGGCATGAGGGCAATGCTGAACTATTTCCTGGTTTTCATGCCAACTTTCATATTTGAAATTAATTTTACCATGTTTAGATTTGAGGCAAATTAATGGATTTTATTTTTAATAGCAACTGTTCAATAAATATAGAACATAGAGTAGAATAGTGGATATTAGGGTGTCTATCAAGTAAATTTGCCTCTGACATTTCTTTCAGGTCCCTCCAGATTTACATAAACCTATAGTTTTAGCTTTCCATTCAATCCACAAAAAAAGTTATGCTGGTACACACTGTCTCAAAAAATAAATAAATAACACACACACACACACACACACAGAGAGAGAGAGAAAGAGAGAGAGAGAGAGAAAAATTGAGGGATAAAATGAGCTAGTAAAAATACTAAATTTTGTTGTGTTAGTATTCTGGAGATACTAAAATTAACTTCAAATGAATGAATGAGAATATTTGTTTCCCCGAAATTTTATTATAGAAAGATTGGTTAAGGCAAAGAACAAGTATGAAGATTAAGATTTTGCTGAGCATATCAATAGCTGTAAGTGCAAAGCAAAATTACAGAGTAAAAGTTTACATAAAAAGGAAATTTCTTTAAAACATCACTATATCTAAATGTCAGGGAAACTGCTTTAGCAAATCCAAATCAGTGGAATGCATCTTTCATTTTAAAGTGTTTGGGAGTGCACAAGTCTTTGCTTAATAGACACTCATGATAGCACAAAGTCTTGGAGAAATACAGTGAAATTGGAACTTAGGAACAAACGTTTTGCATAAAAATAGTGATGTATGTTCTTACTACAAAAATAATATTATAACATGACAGTCAGATGTGTATTCCATCCAAGAGGAATTTGCCTATAATAAAAATTGAACAAAATGAAAAATGGAGTGAGATGTGATGAATTTGATCCTAAATCATATGAAAATGACTTATTTATTTTACAAACCAATTTTGGCAGTCGGTTTAAACTTATGTTACCTAACAGTAAAAATTCTAAGAAAAATTTATTCATAGAAAAGATGAAAATTTCATACAGTATGAAAACTAACCAGAAATGTAAAAAGTCCCATAGCTTTTTTAAAGAAATGCCAGTTTCTAGCTTTGGTATTAAAGGGTTTCAAATAATGAGATTGAAAGGTCGGTGGTCAACAGGCCAGAAGCTATTTCTTAATTACAGCAGTGAATTAATCAATGAAGTAACAGTTCTGCTTCTGGTTATAGTAAAATGACATCAAGAACCACTCAAGTATTCTACTACTTAAGTATAGTTGGAGTTCCATTAACTTGAATTGTTTTACACTTTAAACTTGCATCTTTTAAAGTTAGTAATTCAGGCACCTGTCTGAGAGCTGCTAATGCCTAAAACTTTGAAAAATATTTTATTTGGTGTTTAACGAGAAGATGAGTTGTGTGAAGATGAATTTTGAGACCTGATATAAATATTAACTGAAACAACTTTCCAGAAGCTTTTCATTATGTGCTTTTGTTTTTGCTTTCAAAATTTAAATGCAGAGACAGATGGCTTGCACGGTGTTATTTGCACTTGTGATTTTATACACACCAAACCCAAGGATAACCAAACTCAGACATTAAAGACTGTGCAAAGCAACAAAGAATTTGAGTTAAAAAAAATCAATAAATGTTTCAGTGTTTAAAAAATTTATGATAGATTATTTTAATTATTTTAAAAGAAAGGAAATAAACTGGTGTAATGATAAAATTATAGAAAGTATTTATAAGTAGTTTGGAATCCTGATCAGGATTCTACACATATATTTTATGATGTAGCACAAATAGTATATTATAAAATTTATGAAAAAATAGAGAAACAGAAAAAAACACAGATGCACATGATTACACATGCACAAACACACCACACTCACACACAAACAAAATCTGAAAACATCTAATAAGAATCCAGTACAATGATACATATGATGAATGTTAGGTTTTAATAAATATTTGAGAGACTGTATGAATGAAAAACAAATATTATTCATCAATTAATATAATTACCTATAGTAATAATAAAAATATATCAAAGAAAAAGGATTACAGTTTAGTGCATATAATTTTTGCAGTATTAGCAAACATCTGAGATTTAAAACCCTGTATATTTATGGAGAACTATAGATTATATTCAATCATATTTTGGAAAATTTCAATATTTAATAACAT
Organism: Homo sapiens; assembly: GCF_000001405.40. Taxonomy (NCBI): domain Eukaryota; kingdom Metazoa; phylum Chordata; class Mammalia; order Primates; family Hominidae; genus Homo; species Homo sapiens. The sequence goes on along the minus strand of NC_000013.11, from coordinate 66,309,508 downwards.
TTTTAAAACAATGTTTTTCTCCTTTTTAAAAGCATAAAAACTCAGTCAGTACTTCTAAAAATGAGAAAAATGAGTTAGAAACTAGTCAGTTATTAGCATATATCAGATTATAAACATGTATAGGGCAGGGACTGACTTAGGAGACCAGTCGAATGAATGTATTCCCTTTAATAATTCATCATGGAATTTTGAAAAAACATATACTTTTTCTTTTTACCAATTTATGACACTGACTTTAAGGAAGAAAACATGGAAGCATTGTTATTTTCCCATGATAAAACTCACTGGGCTTTTGTTTTTTGTTTTGTTTTGTTTTCTCCTTAATATCACAGCAATTACTGGGAATTACATAGAGACCCAAAGAAACAAATTAAACTTTTCCCTATTTAATGTCATGTCCCAAAATAAAAACTTACCGAAGCATAAAGTAAGTACCCCATAAATACATACACCTACCATGTAACTACAAAAATTAAAAATAAAAACTTTTAAAGCATAAAGCAAATTATATTTTCCAACAATACAGCTCATACTGTAATGATACACAGCAGAGAAGCAGATTATTGATGGATTGATTGATGTATATAGGTTTTGTTTTTGTTTTTGTTTTTATTTTTTGCTGTCTTGGCTCAGTTTTGAGCCCCGGTCTAGAGACTGGTCAGTTTCCCCTTCTTGAGCAGCTAAATCCATATTCCTCTAGTTCTCTTCTAGTGATCTCACACTTCTGGGTCACAAAGCAACCTCCCTAAGCAAATGCTTTGATACTAGATAATTTGACATTGCTGTTTTTACCTGGTTCTTGAGAAATTATTCAAATTAGCCAGTCCTCAGAGAGCCCTAAAACCCTAGCTAACCCTACTCAGTTTTTCATATATAAACTGTCCCCTAGAGCTCCAGTTTGTTGTTACCTTGTTCCCAGATTCAGTCCCTTGTATGGCTCTGCCTGAAAGGCTTCTCCCATTTAGAGCTCCAACAAAAAAATTCTGCCTTTCATGTAGAGTGCCATTGTGCATGGCTGACCTGAGGATGGATCTTTAAAATTTATACAGCAACCAGTTATCTGAAAGACTTACTTATGAATCTACAAAACTTCTATAAATTTATTTATAGACTTTATCAAAATCCTTCAAGTTTACTTACAGGAATGAATCATGGGAAGTACAATGTACAAAGAACAAGTAATATTATTTAATGAAAACAAACTCATGTTTTGCAAGTTAAAGATTTTGTACAGTACATAAAATTGTAACTGTAAATGTCTTAATGCCAATTATGTAAAAAAAAGTTTAAAGAAATTGAAGAAGAAATGATGTACCTTAGCACAAAGTCTATCTGATAAGTTATAAAGAGAAAAACGTTCCTAAAACAGTTAACGGCCCCCAGATCATTTTAATGACACCTTTTACTTCCCTCTCAGCTCACTGCTCTTAAGGCAATTATGTGTTTCCCAGAATAGCTCCCAGCTTCATGAGGATAGTGTTGACATCTGTTTTGTTCAAGGCTGTAGTTGTGGTGCCTATCACAGTGCCAGCACATAGTACATTCTCAGTAAATGTTCGTGGAATAAATAAATGTTGTTGGTTGTAAATATTTTTTAAAAGGATAAATTATATTTCTTAAAATGTGTCACTCAATGCTGAAAACCTAAGGTATACATATTCTTATAAACGCGCACACAACACATTCTCAATCTTCGAGTGATATGTCTTAAATTAATAAGATGGCAGAGTGTGTTGCATAAGGCTAATTTTAAAATAGCCTTGCACATCCTCTCTTTTTTGATGAGCTCAATAAAAACCTGATGTAATGACATTTCTGAGGTAGCCAGTAATTTTTTTTCTCTTTGGAGATTTTAACAATAAAAAACTTATTAATGACGCTGGAAATGTAAAGATTAAAAGTTTGCTTGTAGGCTTCAAGATATGTTACATATCAAATTGGTGATTAACTCCATTGATGTTTAGAAAGGAGTAAATATATTTAACAGAGAAGTTAAATTATTCATTTATAAGCTGTCACAAAGTATTGCTAGGCAAAGGAATTTGCTGTTGAGGAAGCATTTGGTGTAAGATTTGTGAAATCAGCGTCTTCTATTATAATTACTTTAGGTCTGCCTTTAAGCAGGAGATATCTTTAATAATCCTCAGAACATTTTCAACCTCATAAAAGTTTAATTAACAATTAACATTGTTCGTAGATCACCACTATTGTTTAGCACTGTGAAGAATCAGAAGACCGATGTGCCATTTTTTTTCCATCAATTTTCAATCTAGTTGGGAGGAAATTAAAATTAAAACTTGCAAATGTACGGAACCCCCTCCAAAAAACAAAAAATGGAATTAAGGTAAGAGTTGAGGGAGCTCAATTAGGAAATTTGTTATTCATCAATAAAGAAAGCTCTGTGGAAATCAAGGTGCATATGAAGCATGAATTGGTAGAGTTATGGAAGCTTGCTTTTGGTGTGTGGGACATAAGCTGACCCTTGAAGAGGTCAGTAATTAAATGAAAACAGGCCCGGCAAAAAGCATCTTCTAAGCCTGTGATCCTAATGCAGGGAGCGTGGATTGGTTTAAGCAAAATGTGTTAGCTTTGTGAATGCAGAGTCACTGAGTACACCTAAGGGAGCCTAAAAGTGATAAATTAGTTTGAACTTTTAAAATGTGGCCAGATTGTAGAGGGCAAAGAAAGGCTCATAGAGAAGTTTAAATTAAATATCCAAAAAAGTGAGTAATCATTGGAGGTATGTGAGAGGAAAAGTTTTAAGTAATGAATATGTGTTTAAACAAAATAAAACTGTTTGCTCTTGAGGGGATGGGAATATGGTTCAGATGGGAAGTAATTTTAAGGATATTCTAAAAGGAAGACTTTTAGATATAAAAAAAATCGCTAAACTTTGAGTTTATATGAAATAGTGCATTTCAGCCCCTTTTTTCACATCTAGTATCTGTTCTGTTTTTAAACAATTTTTTTATATCAATAGTTTTTGGGGTACAAGTGGTTTTTGGTTACGTGGATGATTGTATAGTGGTGAGGTCTGAGATTTTAGTGCACCCATCACCCAAGCAGTATACATTGTACCCAGGAAAACTACATTCTGTATCTATTTTGATGTTGCCTGTGGTTTGCTGTCTCTGGTCTTTACCATCAACTGTTTCCTGTCTCGGTGGGAATTTTTTTTTCTCATGCAAGAAATAATTAGAATATTATAAAGGCAAATAGAAAGCTCACAATTATTGGACGTTTAAAAATATTAGTTGTGCTAACTTTGGTTTTAGCAAAGACCTACATTCCAATTATTGAGCGATTTAAATTGATGACTAAGCAAACTTGCAGGTATGTTTACTTTTTTCTGCATTTTTTTTCTGATGACTCTCTGCATTTGAAAATGCTTTATGCCTCAGGCATTCTTGTGTATCCACTTAACTTCATTTGTAAAATCAATTCCTAATTTCCAAGCTATCATTTATCTATCACGTGGCTGTTTAATCAAGGGGGGTAAGACAACAGCAACAAAGAAACCCAATTTATTTCTTAACCATTTGGCTTATGTTGTTTTTTTAGTAAAGGGCTGATTTCTATTTTAAACAGTCAGAAAATAGTTTACTTTCGAAATCCTGGTTAAAATGTATGTTCTAGATTGCCTGCTGGTGAAAAAAGTAGAAGATAAATTCTATGATCACTTTCTTCCCCCTGAATGTTAGACTCCATGTGATTTAATTTGCAATTTAGCTTCAGTTTTATACCTTAGAAATTTAGAAAATAGTTAAGCTCAGGGGAACTAAACACTGTCTGGATTCAAATGGCTTCTTCTTTACTTGGATTTCAGAATGTTTGCAGCTGACCAGGTGTGTTGTTAGTAAGATACAATAGTTATTCTTTAAAATGAGTATTTAACTTTTCAAAAATGTGACAAAATATTTTCATTTAAAAATAAGGTGTTTATGTAGAAAAAAACAATATTTTATATAATCATTTAGAGTATTTATTTTTAATGATGCTATGTTTCAAGTGGTAATTTTGCTTTTTAACTTAGTGGAGTTGTATTATTTATATATTCTTTAATATTACACATACAAATTGTTCTACTTTTTATAATTTATCATAAATATGAGTTTTTTTCTGGGATTTCTTAGAATATAAATTAGTAATAATCTGTATGCATCATGGTTATATCTGTATACATCATGGTTATACCTGTTTACCCATATCTGTCTTTTTATCTATCTATGTCTTTGGATCTAAATAACTAAATAATGGATTAAGAAGGAAAATATTAATAGATCAATCTTACCTCCCTAACAAATTTGATGCCTTTTGTGTTAATCTTTAAAAGATGGAGAAATATATCTTTGAGTTGCTTGACTTGATACACTTTTATGAAAAAATAAGATCACTAATAACATACTTTTTCTCTAAGATAATTCTAATTGAAAATTTTAACCACTTCCTTTTCTTATTTTCTCTCTCTTGTCTTCTGCAGATGGGCCTTTGGGTCCCCGAGGATTAGCTGAAGCTACAGAGATGTGCACTCAAGAGTGCTTGGTTTTGGGTCACTCTGATAATTGCTGGATGCCTCCTGGCTTGGGTCCATATCAACACCCCAAATCTCCTCTCTCAACCTTTGCACCCCAGAAAGAATGGGTGAAGAAGGACAAGCTTGTGAATGGGCACACCCTGACCAGAGCCTGGAAAGAAGACAGCAACAGGAACCAGTTCAATGACCGTAAGCAGTATGGCTCCAATGAAGGCCATTTCAACAATGGCAGCCACATGACAGACATTCCTCTGGCAAATCTGAAGTCTTATAAGCAAGCAGGAGGTGCTACTGAGAGTCCTAAGGAGCACCAACTCTAAGAAAAGGCTATATGGGACCTAATAACTTTAAATAGACATGCTAATACCGTGTGCGTCAGAGCTTTATGTATTCAATAGATCTCTACAACTATGCCCCTTCTAGCAGGGATACCTATAACTTTGTGTTAGCACCATGGAGAATACAATGTTTTTGCAACATATGAGAGAAGATAGTTCTAGCCATGCAATTTTGTTTACTAGAATTGATTACACTCTCCAGAGATCTCTCCATTGTGCAAATTTTTTTTATTATTGCATTTTATTTTGACCCTGGACTGCTGCTATGAACAATAGAATATGCATTTGGAAAGTAAGAAAGTTTCATGGATTAGAGTGACTGAAAAACATATCCAGTTAGAAAATTGTGCTTTTTTTTTTTTTTTTTTTTTTTTTTGTCATTGATTTGTGCTGGGACTGCTATACTTGACATTATACTGCAAACAAAACTTAAAGAGATAAGCATTAAACCTATTGTGCTGTTAACAACGTTAGTGGACACTTGTAAGTCAATCAGTGTTAAAGTATTTGTAAATAGAAGCAAGCTATTATTAACAACTTTTGTGTACTTATAATGTTCACCTAAAAATGTTGTAGCATAATTCTGTGTTTTATGGTTGCTTCTGTCCTTCTTTTTATTTACCTCTTTGTTGTTATTTTTGTTGTTTCTTTCAGTGAGGTGTTTCTGTGTTAGTAGTCTGTCTTGACACACATTGTTCAAACAATCTCAAGCACTTGTGTTTAAAAAAGGTTCTGAAATCTTGCTTCTCATATGATAGCTTATGATGCCGGAATTCTGTAAACAATAAAGATGAAAGAAAAAATGAAAACTTTATACAAAAAAGGACTTCTGCAAAAGCTTGGAAATTCAGAACCTATTTTTTATCATCTTATTTTCAAAGTAGGCAAAAGCAAAATCACTTAATTAGTACCATTAAGTGAGAGAGTAATGGAAAACTGTTATCCATCAAAAGTGATATAATATCCTGTACTTGTCACTCATGTAAAACTAATGTATCAAAATTAGCATATATGGAAGAAAAATCACTATTCAAAAATAGTTTCAATTGGGCAAATGTGTGTCTACAACTTTGTTGAAATGGCAGAGTCTGTGTTGATCCTCATATACAATAATGTTGTTGTAACACAAGTGTTATTAGACCATAGCCACAAAATATTTAATGTGTTGTGCCTTCATGATGTAACAGAACATTCTCCAGGTAGGGTAGTTGGGGGAAATAAAGGGATAAATCTCTAATTATTGCTGTTTAACTGTTTGTTATCATAGTTGGTCAATGCCTGGCAGGTACCAGCATATTGTCACTTAGGTCAAACCAATAAAGTGACAACTAATGTTAATAAGATCTCAGTTGCACGTGCAAACAAATCCAAATTCGAACATTCTTAGGAGGTTTTTGTTAAGGCATGACAGATGATTTAAACAAATAAATAGCATGCAACAAAATGTCTTTATTGAAAGAAGTGGAAGTTATCTTAATGCCACGGTTCACCATCAATTTAAAAGTAAAAAAAACAAAAAAAAAACAAAAAATTTAAAAAAAAGGTTTGCTAATCTGATAGTTAATTTGTTCTTACCAAAAAATAAAATTACTTTGTAAATAGCAGTTCACATTTTTCCACAGTATAATGGAAAATAATGGGTAGGGGTGCATTGCTTATTGAAGTACATTTTTGTCGGTTTGTGAGGGGTGTTTGATGACTTTGACAGAATAAATATCTAAACAATTATCCTTGTTACTGCTTTGCCAGTTCTACGTTATTTACAATTATTCAGCTCTTGCAATAAATGTTCTGAATTCCTGATTGCAGTGTGTTAATTCTTAGTCAACATCCAAATTGGTTATTTATACTTCTAATTGTTGGGTAAATATATGTTGATAAAATTTAACATTTATTTAGAAATTAAGGAAGATTCATTGGGGTTTAATACCTATCCTTTGAAAATGTGAGTACCAAGATAAGTGTTCAATTACCCTAATGGTCTTCAAAACTATTCTTTAGGGAAATTCATGGAGAAAGTTCATTGACTTTCTGGTCAAGATTCATGCAAATTTCATCAGTGAAATCCCAAGTCAGAAACTGTGCTGGTAGCACTAGTTAGTAAGGTTATTTTTTTATTCTTTGTCTCTTTAATAAGATTTCATGGAACAAACTTTCATTGGCCAAGGCAGAAGATCATTCTGGGATTATGGCCTTAAACCCAGAGTCAAACTTCATCTGTATTTCTTTCAGTTTAGGAAAATAGGCACAGAAAGCTATCAAGGATAAGAAGACACACTCAAACATATGCCATGTGTGTATGCTCACCCTAGAGCAACTGCATCAATGTTCACTCATGCTGGAGTTTTGGGCTAGGTAAGTAAGCCTGACTCTTCAAGCCCTAGAGCTTTTTGGAGGATTATGAAATAGGATTTGGGAGTCAGAGGCATAGTGTTAAAGTTATTTGCCTGGACCATTGTCCGGATATGACATCCTAACCATTCATTCCTAATAAGCTAGACCTGTCCTCTAGTCTGAGGTACACTGCAGCACCACCCTCTTTTCCCTCACAGGAGTAGAGACTGCCCCAAGATACAGACAGGGAATGAATCCTGAAAAGAGGACATTCTGAAAAACAGAAATTAAAATCTATGCCTGCACAGTTCCTTTCTCTATTTTTCACCAATCAGGTAAGTCATTCACCTCTGCCTTGAAGAGTAAAGAGAGAGAAACTAATCTCATATTCTCTCCATGAATAAACTGGAAGTTTGAAAAAGGCATTCACCTTTCCCATTCCTACCACATTTCTTCTAATAAATACAACAATATATAGTCTTATGAAGACATTTGGTTATATGCTCTGGGTAATTTTAAGAGTAATAACATCACAAACCAAACTGAAGAATTTACCCATCAAGTAAATAAAACAGTACATTTGCAATGACCATTCCTTAAGTATCATCTATATTGCTTTATGGTGTTGACATTGGACATAAGAGTCACCATTTACCAGGAAATAAAAGTTATTTACATTACCTAAGAGAGCATACCTATATGAAATGTATAAAAGGATGATTGTTATAAAAATTATCAAATATTATGATGCTATACACTAACAATCTTTGAAGGCACATACAGAAATTAACTTTATAAACCTGAATATGACCTATTTGAATGAGTATTTCTACACATACTCTAACATAAATATATATTTAAATAATGGGTATTCATTAACAGACAATTGAGTAGTCATTTTGCTGCACTGATGCTGTTCAGTGAATCTCATTCAGAATCCCATCATTCCCATTCCGTGGCTAAAGCTACAAATGCAGCTGAGGCCCAGAGTTGTTCCAGTATTTATTAAACTGTTGGATAGAGGCCAGGGATGGTTAATTATTATTAATGAGGAGTTTTGGCAGTAAGGGATGAAAGGGATGCCTTGTCAATTTCAATTTTAATGTAGATGCCAGGGTGTTACTTTGCATGAGGGCAAACCAACCTATGAAAAGGAGGAGTGGTGTTGTGAGTCTAAAAATGCTTCATTGTTCTGCTTTGTTTTAAATAGAGCTGATCTTCCCTCCCTAAAGGAAGCTCCTTTATTTGTTCTTTTGAGAGAGAGTGCTTAAAAATTCTTCCAGTGTTCTTAAAGGCACAGTGATCACATAATAAATCCTCTATACACTTTTCTTATGCTTTCACAGCTACTAATCTAAATTTTAGTAGATATCAGCCAGACTTTGCACTGTTTAAAAAACATAAAATTAGTATCTTAATATTATAGTATTTTATAAGGTATAATATGTACTTGTAAAACATGGTTATCAAAATAATATCTTATTCATATTTTAGTTCACTGAAAGTATAAATTAATGTGTATTCCAAAGGTATCAATTTTCTGTTATACCACTATGTATATTTCAACATAAAATACGGAGCATAATTTCTACCTCTACATATGCATTTTTTATTTCTTAGAATTCTTAAACAGTGCACCATATTGAAATGAGTTCTTTCCGTATTTTTGTTATCTTAACCTATTACTTTGTTCTTGAAGCTTTATAGTAAAAAATCTATTATTTTTAAATAAAAAGCCTTCCATTTTTATTCTCATTTTTTCTTTATACCTTATGACTGTGTTCCTAACAGCACTTGTACAACACAATTATTTTTGGACTCATTCAATGCCACCTACTTAAGGTTCACATATTTGCAAATATATTGAATTACAGTGATTTTTCAAATAATATTACAATCCCATTTAAATTCTTAAATTCAAACACTGTTTTTTATGAACCTTGTGATTCTTCTGTTTGAATCAGTTTTTTTCACCTCGAATTTCATGATTAGTTTGGTTTTCATTGACCTAATTCTGAAAAATAATACCCAACAACAGTAGTAAAAATTTTTACCCTGAAACCCTAACACAGTAAAAGTTTTCTACAACATACTATTGTGTGATTGTAAGTAAAATTACAATATTTTTATACTTAATGAGATTACATATACTTTCTTTTAATTGAATATTCTCATAACCAATTGTGACAAATTATTTTATATGTGATATACATTTGGTTTATTACAGGAAAAAAGTCATAAAATGATTTTACATATCCTTAAATTCATTCACCATTAAATTTATACACACACAATCATACTTCAATGTGAATATAACTGAAAATTTGGCCTTGCTGGTGTGAATTCAAACCTCTCTGAATTTACAGGCACATAGTTGAACTTCCTCCTCCTGGAAACATTTTTTTTTTCCCCCTGGCTTCCTGGAAACCACAATCTTTTGATTTCCTCTTACTTCACTGGCCATTTCTTCTCAGGCTTCTTGGTTAGTTTCTCCTTTGCTTATGACTTATTTGAATGTTTTATAAGGTCCAAGGCTCAGTTCCTTGGCTTCCTTTCTTTTCTTATCTACACTTACTCTCTTGGGAAGCTCGTATTCCAGTCTGGACCCCTCCCCTAAACATCAGAACTTCTGATCCAAATCCCTTTTCAACAAGTATACTTGGACATTTCCAAGATGAGTCAAAATTAACATATCCAACATAACTCATAATCTCTCACATCACACACACACACACACACACACACACACACACACACACACGTCTGCTACTGCACCCAGTCTTCCAACTTCCTAGTTAATGGCACCTCTATCAGATATTCAGGCCAGAAAATTTAAAGTTATCTTTATCTCTTCTCTTTCATACTTGTGGAACATCTTTCTCTTTCTGACTGCAAAGTTCATCCAATCTGACCATGTCTCAATAGTTCCTCTTGCCAATTGGGCTAAGTATTATCATCCTTTTTCTGGATTATTATGGGTCTCCTAACTGCTCTCCTTCTAACTGGTCTTCTTCATGTAACCTTCCCCCATCTAGTCTATTCTAAGCATGCCTGAGAGATCCTCTTAAAACAAAGGTAAGCCAGACATCCTTCCTCTTCTCACAATACTCCAAGAGTCAGTTGTTTTTCTCAGAATGAAAATTAAAGCCCTTATGTTGTCCTACAAGGCAAATAAAGTGTGGATGCCCCTCTTCTCACTAATCTCATGTTTTATGACCTGTCTTTCTCACCCTGTTATGATCCATTGGCTCCTCATTGCTCCTCAAACATGCAGGCATGTGTCTGCCTCAGGTTATTTGCATCAGCTTTTCCTCTGCTGGAAATAGGCTTCTCAGATATCTGTAAAGAACTCCTTTCCTAGCTTCAAGTCTTAGCTTAAATACAATCTTCACCCTCAGGCCTGCACCAACCCTTCATTCTTTTTATTGTGAAGATATCTCTATCATCTCTATCTATCTATATCTCTATCTCATCTATCTATCTCTATCTCTATCTCATCTCTCTATCTATCTCTATCTCTATCTTATCTCTCTATCTCTATGTCTATCTCTATCACTATCATCTACTATCATCTATCTATATCTATCATCTATCTATATCTATTTATATGTATCTATCTATATCTGTCTATCATCTCTATCTCCCTTTCTTCCTCCCTCCATCTCCATCTTCCTCCCTCTCTCTTTCTCTCCCTACATATTTATCTATCACCATTTTAGCTACTTTAACCATGTTAACTATTAGTGTGCTATACAGTGGAGTTAACTGCATTCACTATGTTGTGCAATCATTATCACTATTTCAAAACTTTTTACTACTCCAAACACAGTCTATAACCATTAAGCAGTAAACCCCCATTTCCCCCTATCCTCAGTTCCAGGTAACTTCTAATGTACTTCATGTCTTTATGAATTTTCATATTCTAGATATTTTATATCTGTAAAAATGTACAATATTTGCCATTTTGAGTTCAGTTTATTTGCTTAACATAATGCTTGTTCTCAAGGTTCATCTGTATTATGTCATGTATCAGAAATTTATTTCTTTTTATGGCTGAATTATATATATAATATATAATATAAATATATAATATATAAATATAATATATACATATATAATCATAATCATATTTTGTTTATTCATTCATCTGTTAATGGACATGCATTATTAATACCTTTAGATGATTGTGAACAATGCTGCAATGAACATCGGTGTATAAGTACCTCTTTGAGTTTTTGTTTGTGAATTTCTCTAATTTGCAGACATATACTTTGAAATGGAATTGCTGGGTCATATGGTAATTCTGTTTGGCTGTTTGAGGAACTGTCAAGTTGTTTTCTCCAGTAGCTGGCCTAGTTTACATTACCAGAAGCAATGTGTGGAGGTCCAATGCTCTACATATTCACCAACACTTATTTTTCTCTTTTTTGGAGAGAGGAAAATCTGTTAGCCAGGCCATTGCCCAGGCTGGAGTGCAGTGGTATGATCAAGGCTCACTGTAGCCTCAATTACCTGGGCTCAGTTGATCCTGCCACCTCAGGATCTGAAGTATTTGGGACTACAGGCATGCACCCCCATGCCTGTTTAATTTTTAAATTTTTATTAGAGACACAGTCTCACTATGTTGCCCATGCTGGTGCTCATTTTTGTTTGTTTGTTTTTAATAACCATTTTAGCAGGTGTGAAGTGGTATCTCATTGTAGCTTTAATTTTCCAAATAACTAAGGATATTGATCTATTTGTGTATATTATTTGGAGAAAAGTCTATACAAGTTGTTTGCCTGTGTTTAATTGTGTGGTCTATTTGTTGTTGAGTTTTTGGAGCTCTTTATATATTCTGGATATTTACTCCTGATATCAGATATATGGTCTACAACTGTTCTCTCTCATTTTTATCTTTTCAGTTTCTTGATAATGTCTATTGATGCACAAAATTTTTAAATTTTAACAAAGTCCAATTTATTTACTTTTTTCTTTTATTACTCATGATTTTTATGTCATATCTAAGAATTCATTGCTAAATCCAGAGTCATAAAAGTTTGCCCCTATGTTTTATTCTAAATATTGTAATGTTTTAGCTCTTATATTAATGCTGTTGATCTATGTTGTGTTAACATTTGTATACAGTGTAAGGTAAGGCTTTATTCTTTTGCATGCTGATTTTGTCAATTTCCTTTTTTGTATCAGTTGAGATGATTGTTTATTTTTCCCCTTTGTTCTACTAATGTATCATATGACATGGATTGATTTTCTTATGTTGAACCATCCTTGCCTTCCTGGGATAAATCACACTTAGTCGTGGCTTAATGATTAATTTTAATACAATATTGGATTTGATTTCCTAGTATTTTTTGAGGATTTTTGCTTCTATATTCATAAGAGATATTTGCCTATATTTTTCTTTCTTTGTGATTTTTAATGTAGTTTTTGTATCAGGGTGTTTCTGGCATCATAAAATGGTATAAATTATCTTCCCTACTCTTCTGTTTTCTGGAGAAAATCAAGACGTATTGACATTAATTTTTCTTTAAATGTTTGGAAAAATTCACAAGTGAGGCTATCTGTTCCTTGACTGTTCCTTTTTGGGAAGTTTTAAATTATTATACTGATTCAATCTCTTTTGATAGGTTTTTTGAGACATTCTATTTCTTCTTAAGTCAGTTTAGGTAATATATGTGCTTCTAAGAATTTTTTAACTTTATCTAGACTGCCTAATTGTTTAGTATCCATTGGTTCACATTATTCTCCTGTAATTCTTTTTATTTCTGTAGAGTCAGCAATAACATTCCCCCTTTCATTTCTGATTTTCATCAACTGTGTCTTCTTTTTTTATTTCTTTGTCAGTCTAGCTAAATTTTGTCAATTTTATTCATTTATTCAAAGAAATAATTTTTGGCTTTGTTGACTATAGTTTTTCTATTTTATGTTTTATCTATCTCTGTTCTGATCTTTACTATTTCCTTCCTTCTGCCAGCTTTGCATTTAATTTTCTCTTTTTCTGTCTCCTCATGGTCCAACATTAATTTATTACTTGAGATCTTTTTTTTAAGATTAATTTATATTGCTACAAATTTTTCTCCAAGCACATTCACTTCATCCCATATGTTTGATATGTTGTGTTTTCATTTTTACTCATCCTTAAATATATTCTAGTTTCTTTTGTGATTTAATTTTTGTTACATTGGTTGTTTAAGGGTATGTTGTTTTATTTTCACATACTTGTGAGTTTTCCTTCTATTATTATTTTTAGTTTCATTTTATTGTTGTCAGAAAATATAATTTGTATGATTTCAAACTATTTAAATGTATTTAGTCTTGTTTTGTGGGTTAACGTATCTAATCACTGCATTTATTTATTTATTTAATTTATTATTATTATTATTATTTTAGAGACAGGGTATTGCTCTATCACCCAGGCTGGAGTGCAGTGGCAAAATTATGGCTCATTGCAACTGCTGCCCCCTGCCCCGGGCTCAAGTGTGTCCTTCCACCACAGCCTCCCGAGTAGCTGGGACCACAGGTGCACACAACCATGCCTGGCTGTTTTTTTGTATTTTTAGTAGATATGGGGTTTTGCCACACTTCTCAGGCTGGTGTTGAACTCCTGAGCTCAAGTGATCCACCTGCCTTGGCCTCCCAAAGTGGTAAGATTACAAGCATGAGCCACCGTACCTGGGCCTGACCACTGCATTTTAAAGTTGGAATTACTTCTCCAGCATTAACAATCCTATTTACAAACTAGTTTCCTTTTCTTCTCCCATAGCACTGAACATATTCTAACATAGCTATACTTTACTTATTCATTTACAATGCTTATTGTTCATTATCTTCCCCCACTGAAAGATAAACTCTAGTTTACTAATGTATTCCAAGCCCCTAGAATCATGCCTGGTACCAAGCAGATGCTCAATATATATTTGATGAGTGAATGAATGAACCACTACCCCAAATCTTAGCCTTTTTATTTTTACAGAGTGTCTACATGAAATAGGAAGAAATTGATTCTACTTGGGCAATAGCCCAATTTTCAGATGTATAATAAGGTCCTTATAACAATAAATATAACATTACTTTCCTTTCATGTTACGTGATGGGAAAATTCTAACAAAATGTATTATTTGTAAACAACCGAAATATTTTGCTTTCCACAATTGTTCTTTTTTATTCCCTTCCATCTAGTTGCTGGAATTTGTCCATTTGCCCCCAGGGGAACCGTTGACTTCAATAAAATTCAGTAACTTTCAAGAGCAAAGTTAATGTTTTTCTAGAAACTTGCTGCTTTGGAAGAAAGTACTGATAATGAAATTAATTTTTATTTTTAACTTGCACTTTTCTTTTGTAGAATTCATGTTTCTTTCCGTATACCTGGAAATTTGCACATCACATTGACTGTGGTGTGTGACTGCTACTTTGATAAGTAATAGTTTCTTCCTCGATACTTCATGACTTGAGGTGATCACAGAAGCCTCCTTTAGACTCTGTTGCATTCACTATACATCCCCATCCCACTGCTATGCACCTTCACCCAGGAGATGCTATTCTGGCCATCAGCCTTACAGAAAAAGACTAAGGTGATAGCAGGTGTCATTTTAAAACTGCATCTTATGGCTGGGTGTGGTGGCTCATGCCTGTAATGCCAGCACTTTGGGAGACCGAGGTGGGTGGATCACCAGAGGTCAGGAGTTCGAGACTAGCCTGGCCAACATGGCGAGACCCTGTTTCTACCAAAAATACAAAAATTAGCCGGGGTTGGTGGTGGGTGCCTATAATCTCAGCTACCAAGGAGTCTCAGGCAGGAGAATTGCTTGAACCTGCGAGGCTGAGGTTGCAGTGAACCAAGATCATGCCACTGCACTCCAGCCTAGGCAACAGAGTAAGACTCTGTCTCAAAACAAACAAAAAAAGAGTATTTTATTTCTACCACAAAGAGATTTTAGATCACTTTAAAAACCCCACAAAACTCCACACATCACAGAAAAATAAAAGTAACAGAAAATTAAGCCCGAGGGAATGTGTAGGTTTGTGTGTGTATGTGCCATGTATCAACTCATGTCACCAACTCTGCACACTTTCCAGGAATGGACCATCCATTTGATTCTGGGATTATTGAAAGCTAAAGAAAAACTATCAAATAGACAACAATCAAAAAACATGCCATTTACCAGTTGAATAAGTAAAATATATTTTTACATCTCAGTGGATCACATGCCACTATTACAATTTTCTCCAAAGCCTGATAACAAATGGACATTAGTAACTTAATACTTTTAAATGGACTCATATTTTTCTAACTTATCATTTTAAGTAATAGTTTATATAAATCATGATTCACACTGTATAAACTATATAAAATTCTACATAAGACATATTTTTACTTCACTTAGAGTAATATTTTTAAATGTTAAATTATATATCACTTAAGTAACCCTGTTTACAAGTTCCAGCCCTTGGGAAATATTATAATAATGGCATCTATGCTGATCGACCCCTAGGCAGCTTATATCATCAAGTTTCCTATTGCTATCCAATTCTCCTGTTTGATTATGGAAAGGAATATTTCTTTTAGAAAAGCCTACAGTTTCAAAAGGAGAAAATAATTACCTTGGTTGCCATAGCTAGGATGACCATATCCCTGTGACGTAAAATTGATACACATCCAGCCTCAATGATGGGTCTTTATTCCTCTCTGCCTGTTTAAAGCATCTCTAATGAAATTATGTTTAGGATCTAAAGGGCCACTATCCCTGGTTATGGCAGAGATTACAAAAGATGGTTGGAATATTTACTAGTTGATTAATCTGAGTTTTATAATGTGACATACCTGATGTACAATGTATTTTTAAAATTAGGGTTTTATTTACCTTTGGTTGGGATTATCCCATACAGCTGTAGAAATAGTGCGGGTTTCAGCAGAGCCCAGAGATCTTCAGAATAATTAACAGAGATGTCCGTCATACACATCATGAGAAAGAGTATTATTTCCTAGAAAACAAAAATCTACCTAGCTGCACAATTCTCAGACTGAAACATGGATATATAGCAAAACTGTTTGCTGTTCTTTATTTTCTACACCATATAAACATCTTCTGCAGTGAGGTTTACCTTATTGATTCATTAACAATTATAACAACTAACATTTATTAAAGCACTTATTTATTCTATGTTCATCACAGTTCAACAGATTTACCAGTATTAGCTAATTTAATTTTCTCATGCTTTTTAAAAAGATATGCTGTTTGTGTCACCCTGTCACAGATGAGAACACTGAGATACAGGAAGACTATATGTATCTACTCAAGATCCTAGGGTGAATAAGTAACACTGCCAGCCTACTAGGCTGAGTGTAGAGTCTGGGCTTCAACTACTATGTGATATCACCTCTTCTTATGAAAAATTCAAGCACTCTTTGATTCTGGATCTCAATGATAAACTGCCATTTTTTAAACAACAGCAATAAAATGATTTATTAACTAGTTCTGCAATGAAGATTCTCTTTCTACTTAGAGTTTTATTTACTCAATGTTTGATGTACTTATATGTTGGCTCAAATATGTTATTAATTAAATGTGTAGCAATTGTGCTATTCAGTCTTGAGATAAAAATAACATAGTCTAAAATGACACACAAGTTTAGGGTGAATACAACCTCATCAGAGTTACTGGGAAATCTAGTGAAAGTCTCTGCTGTTAAATAAAAGTGCTGAATTCCTTTCACGTGTTCTAGGTATACCTATTCACAGATTCTACCTTTTTACACTTGCTTTCTGTTCCCTACCTTGGAAAATCAGGTGAGGAACAAAGTGAGCCACACATCAGGCTTCTATTGCCAATAAACAGGGCATTAAAAGGAGACCAAAATCAGTCTGGTAATTAACTTTAGCAAGCCTATTTTCTTCTCGTCATGGAAATGCAACTCCCATTGACATCAAGGGGAGCTTTGTGCTCACATGGAGAGGAGAATGGTCTCCCCAAGCATCATGGAGAAAGCTGTATGTTAAGCTTCAAAGCATAAGTGCCCTCTATTACTGCATCACCAATTTTAATCAACTGTTCTTATATCTACAATTTGGCTCATTGTCCAAATGGGGAAGCACCTCTTAATTTGACAAACAAGAATCCCTGATAACAGATATGAAACAAATTACTTATAACGCCAAGGTCGTGCCATGTAGTAGTACTTCATTAGTCTTCCCCTTTCCCCAGGAAAAGCTGACTGTGTGTTTTAAATGTCAACTCTCTGTAGTTCACGGTTTTACAGTGCACTCTTTTATAACACAGAGTGATGAAGAAAAATAACATAAGGTATTAAATATAAATATTCAGTTAATAGTAGTTTAATAGTATCATTCAATAAGCCACTGCTCCTTTAAGCCACATGCAAAGGGTAACTTCTTATTTCTCTATGGTATTTGGTTCTTTAATTATTTTTAATGACATTATTGCTGATAATATTGCACATCGGGCACATAGAAAACATCTGCTTCCTTATGTGCACACGGAAATCAGTGTGAGAAAAACAGCTAATACTAAACTTCTTGAGAAAGAAAACATATACAGACATTCTGTTTAAAAATGTTAAGCTTGGAGCAGTTGTATGTTTTATAATTGATCTATTTATCTATCTTCCTAGGGAATTATCAAATTATAGATTCATATTACTCTTGTATGTTAGTTTTAGTATTTATTCCTAATAATTTATGAATATTTTTGTATTAATCAAGTATTGTTTTTACAATTTGAGAATTCTAGGCAGAGAAGATAATCCAGCACAAATACCCATGTGTCGATGGAGTGACTTTTAAACTATCTAATGATGATGAAGTATCATTAGAAAATACATGACTTTGGTTATGCGTTCCAGTGGCTCATAAATTAATTTAAACCTAGGTGATATAAAGTGAAATGCTTAGCTAGTTTATAGATGATGCCTTCAGGAATATTTAGTGGTAGTCAAGTTTCTTATAAAATTTCAATATTTATTAGAATTAATAATGGATTAAGGATAAGGAGATTTAGCTTACAAATCCTACTTACATAGAAATTTAAAAGAGATAATGGTCCCAAAGTTCATCAAATTGAGAAATTTCCATTTTTCAGTGTAAAACCTGGCATTTTATATAATTGATACAATCATCTTTTAAAGAAGTGAAATGAGGAGAATAATAATCTTCAATTCATAGGCTTATTATGAAGATTAAATAGAGTAATTCATTAATAGAGTTTAGAATGGTGTCTGGAATATCAGAAGTGCTCCATGAATGCATTTAGTAGTAGTAGTAGTAGTAATAGTAACAGTTTTTCTAAACTTCTTCTAAATAAATAAAATAATAAAATAAAATAAAATAATTAAAATATCATGATGATACAGGTCCTTACAAATACATTTTCTTTAGTTCTGTTCCTACATATTGTTATCAAGATTTTCAGGAATGAACTTCCCTTTACTCTCATAAAAGACCTTGCCCGAGCTTCAGAGAGCACAAATACCGTTAGGATAGAGTTTCTCAACTTCTGACAAAAACAGGTAGAAAGTTAACTGAATCCCCTGGCTTATCTTTCTTCACTTCTGTTAAAATTCTTAAATTTTCTGAATCCATATCTCTCTGCACATTCAGGCATATTCTGTAATTACTTTATCACTATTTTATATTTCAGCCTGAACAAATTCAAACACACATACACACATACCAATTTAGAATAGATAAATTGGGCAGGAAACTGTATGCACTTTTTTTTTTTTTTCTTGAGACAGGGTCTTGCTCTGTGGCCCAGGCTGGAGTTCAGTGACACGATCTTGGCTCACTGCAATCTCTGCTTCCTGGGCTCAAGTGATTCACCTGTCTCAGCCTTCCTGCTAGCTGGGACTACAGGTGTGCACCACTACGCCCAGCTAATTTTTTTTTCTATTGTTGTTAGAAACGAGGTTTCACCATATTGTTAGGCTGCGCTTGAACTCCTGAGCTCAGGTGATCCTCCCACACTGGCCTCCAAAAATGCTAGGATTACAGGCATGAGATACCACACCCAGCCAGGAAACTGTACTTACTCATTTTGAAAGAGATATGTAACTGTTGGCTACCATAGCTCCTTCATACAGAATTATGGGCTCAGTAGATGCCAAATCTTCCACATTTTCAGGTGATGCTTAAATTCCTACAATCTCTCTCTCTTTAAAATATGTTGTGGTCTTAAAACAAACAAATAAGGCAAGTGGATCACCTGAGGTCAGGAGTTAAAGACCAGCCTGGCCAACATGGTGAAACCCCGTCTCTACAAAAATACAAAAATTAGCCAGGGATGATGATGAGTAACTGTAATCCCAGTTACTCAGGAAGCTGAGGTAAGAGAATAGCTTGAACCCGGGAGGCAGAGGTTGCACTGAGCCTAGATCAAGACATTGCACTCCAGTCTGGGCAACAGAATGAGACTCTGTCTCAAAAACAACAATAACAAAACAAAAAACAAAACAAACAAACAAACAAAATATATTTATGGGCCAGTCATGGCTTAGGGTAAGTGGGTTGTTAGTTACCAGCAAATTCTCTCTTCTATTTTCTGTAAATTCAATCTCTTTCTTTTTACTTGCCCCTTTTCATAAGTATTTGAGATTGCTCAAACCTCTATAATTTAAAACAAGCAATAAATAATAAAGAAATAAATAGAAAATCTTTCTTCCATTCACTTCGTTCATTGCATCATTTGTATGATCCACTTTACAATCTTTTTCAATGGGTGAATCAAGCCACCAACCCATCACAATACATTTCTCTAAACCTAACCATCCAACAAAATTTCTCTGTTATAGTATCAGAATTCACTTGACCAAATTTATTCCTAAATCTAAAGGCCACATTTAAGACTTTATTTCACTCAACCTCTTAGCAGCATTTCGCATCTTAGAGTGTTTTACTGCTTTATTTTTGAATCAAAAAACTCTGCTGGGTTTTCTCCTGTATCCTTAGGGCAAGCCTTCTTAATATTCTTTGCAGAACTCCTTTCTTTCTCCATGTTTTGAATGCTAGCTTTCCCTAAGGTTGTCTTCTCTCTGCATACCCTATGTGACCACATTCATGCCAATGGTTCAGTTATAAGTGTCCCAAATCTACAAATAGAGTGCAGCTTTTTCCACTACACAGCAGATCCATGTAAACAATTGGCCAGTGAAATACCCCAGAAAGACCTCAAACGAATTCCACTCAACTCCTCTCTGCAGCTTCTAAAGAAGTCAGATCTTATGCTTTCAGGTTATGTAGCCAAAGCCTTTGTGTGTCTGGTCAGGTGGTGCCTGAACACCAGAGCTGTGGTGGATGCTGCTGTAGCTACTAGGATGAGGTGTGTTAGAACAATCCTCAAAGAGGCAGCCCCGAATATCTGATTGGGCCAGGGGACACAGAGTAGTGTGACAGACCTTTCCACTGCCTAAACCACCAAAGCCACTGAGGGCCCATTAGTTAATTGGTGCTGAGCAAATTTTGGTCATTGGAACTGCCTAAATTGGAACTGAAACAGGGACCACGGAGGAGAAGAAAGTTCTAACAAAGATATTTATCTATTTCTTGACTTGAAGTGCTGAAAACCTGTTCTCCACAGTAGCCAGTGTATTTTATCTAAAATGAGATCTGACCCTATTACTCTGATTTAAAACTGTTCAGTGCTTCTCTGTTACTCTCACTCCAAAATTCCATGTGCCTTAAAACAGCTCTACAGGCTCTAGTATGCTCAGCCCTCTGATTACTTTTCCAGCCGTTCTCAGGCTACCTCAAACCGTGGATCACTCGATGATCCAGCTAAATTGAATTTCGTTAAGTTCCTTGAAAACACCACGCTCTCTTTTTTTGCTTCTGGGCCTTTGCGTATGTTCTGCAGGCACATTCTGCAGGCACATTCTTCCTTTTCATTCTTTAAGTAGCTAACACCTTCTCATTCTTCAGGTCAGAGCATAAAACGTAACTTTCACTAGAAAGGCTTTTCTGACTGCTTCCAAGTAATGTGACACTATTTTCTCTTATACCATTTACACTGTATTTTAATTGTCTATTTACTTGCTAGTATCACTCACTAGACACTAAACCCCTTGAGAATATTAGGTCTTTGTGATTTCATCATTGAGTTCATTGAGACTTTGATATAGTAGAGGTCCAGTACGTGTTTGTGGAATCAATAAATGTTTGTGGAATCAATTTATGACTGTACTCAAATTGTAGAGTCCTATATAAAGTGAAGTGTTTTCAGTCCTTTTAAGTGCACATGGCTACCATTAAGAGTACTTGGAAGACAATCTGAGTGCAGGTATAGAGGTACTGCAAGGTATTATAAAGATATTAAAGGTATTATTAAGCCAAGTTAGAAAGATTGTTCTGCTTTCTTTTTCTCAGATATCCTATGTGCATTAGGGCTGGTATTTCTTTTAATTTTTTGTTTTCTTTTTGAAGTAAAAATAGACCTACCTTTTTTTTTTCTTTTTTTTTTTGCTAGGAGGTGATTTGGACTTTACTATCTTTGCCAGACTGAAGCTGACACAAAAAGACAGCAACAAAGGGGATCACTCCTTTAGAAGACAGGCACTATAGAAAAATTGAGTGGTTTCCCCCTTGCCAAAGTGTTCCTCTGTTGCACTTTTTTAGTGTCTTTTCAAAATATTATCAAATTAAGTTGGAATTGCTGATTTATTTGTTGGCTACCCCACTAACCAGGAACTATATGAAGGTATGTTGTGGGAAGTCAGGGACCCCGAACGGAGGGACCTGCTGAAGCTGTGACAGAAGAACATAAATTGTGAAGATTTCATGGACATTTGTTAGTTCTCCAAATTAATACTTTTATAATTTCTTATGCCTGTCTTTACTGCAATCTCTGAACATAAATTGTGAAGATTTCATGGACATTTATCACTTTCCCAATCAATACTCTTATAATTTCCTATGCCTTTCTCTACTTTAATATCTTAATCCCATCATCTTCGTAAGCTGAGGATGTATGTAGCCTCAGGACCCTGTGATGATTGTGTTATCTGCACAAATTGTAGAGTATGTGTGTTTGAACAATATGAAATCTGGGCATCCAAAAGGAACAGGATGGCTGTGATTTTCAGGGAACAAGTGAGATAACCATTAGGCCTGACTGCCCGAGGGGCCGGATAGAACAGAGTCATATTTCTCTTCTTACAAAAGTGAATAGGAGAAATATCACTGAATTCTTTTTCTCAGCAAGGAACAGCCCTGAGAAAGAGAATGCATTCCTAGAGGGAGGTCTCCAAAATGGCCACTCTAGGAATGTCTGTCTCATGTGGTTACAGATAAGGGATGAAATAAGCCCCGGTCTCCCGTAGTGCTCCGAGGCCTATTAGGATAAGAAAATTCCTGCCTAGTAAATTTTAGTCAGACTGGTTGTCTGCTCTCAAACCCTGTCTCCTGATAAGATGTTATCAATGACAATGTGTGCCCAATGGGACATGAAACTTCATTAGCAATTTTAATTTCACCCTGGTCCTGTGATCTTGCTCTGCCCCCCATTTGCCTTGTGATATTTTATTGCCTTGTGAAGCATGTGATCTCTGTGACCCACACACTATTTGTACACTCCCTCCCCTTTGAAAATCACTAATAAAAACTTGCTGGTTTTGTGGCTTGGGGGGCATCACAGAACGTGCTGACATGTGATGCCTCCCCTGGACACCCAACTTTAAAATTTCTCTTTTTTGTACTCTTTCCCTTTATTTCTCAGACCAGCCAACACTTAGGGAAATAGAAAAGAACCTACGTTGGAACATCGGGGGCTGGTTTCCCCCGATAAAGGCAGAGATTGACTCTTTCTTTATCTCTTTGAAATAAGCATCTCATATAGGACTTATGCAATGGCAGACAATAAATGTATAGTGTGAAATATGTAATAAAACTTTTCTGTTTCTAGAAGTAGCAAGCTATATTTCTGATAAACATTGCAACTATTTATCAGAATGTTTAAATATATATATAAGCATATATATATATCAGATATGAGTTTGATTAAACGGTCCTTAAATATCATTTTTCCAACCTGATGTTCTACAACTTTGTAGGACATGATAAGTAGGATATACTTATGAAGAGCTATATGGGATAATGTAAGGTTGGAAGATAAAGATATAGAAGCTAAAGCAGAAAATCGAGACCCAACGTTAATTCTGTTATTTGTAAGTGTGCTCATTCAACTAAAAGCCTTTCTTGAAAACATGGTAAGAAAGCAGACATTTGACTTGTTTACTCCAACCTGAAGTTAAAAAAATCCTTCTTCCCAAAGTTCTTTTTTCTCTTGATTTTTTACTTCTTCAACTTTATATTATGGTATAAATAATTCAAAAACATTTCAAATTTTCAAATTCAGATATGAACTACTCAAGAACTATGCAGCAATTACTAAATGGCACTATAAGATAGAATGGTTGGGCTGTGAATATAAAAAAACTACATTCAAATACAGTTGTTCAAAGTTTTATGCATTAAGTACTGAATTATGAGTTATCAGTCATTCTTAAAAGGTGCATTTTATTTGAAATACTAAAAGATATTCCATAAGAGAAAGTAATTTGCACTTACTTAATGCTCCAATATTTAGAAGCAGTAATGCTTATGCAGTGGGAATAAACTGCTATTTTAAATTTACCAAGAATTTCTCCTACAGCTTAAAGTGGAATATGGATTTTAAAATTATTGAAGCTGTCATGATGGCAAATATGGGATTTATAAACAGATTTTAAATTTTAGGTTGGACATTGAATTTGTGCCTGGAAAATACTGTTCCCCTTTATTCTTGTTGGGTTGATCTGAGATCAACATTAACTCAAGCAGATACAGAGCAATCTTGAATCAGTAATGAACTCTAAAGGAAGACACTCATATGGAGTGATTATAATGTCATTAGGACTCAGAGCATGAGGAAATTACTATAATGTTTGTTCATTTCCTTTCTCTCCACTCCCACAAGAGAGACAGTGGGAATTTGACTCCAAGAATAAGGACAGAATTTGACCCCAGGCAGAATGGTTCAAGAAAAACAATTGATTCTGGAGTAAAAACACTGCTTGACTCTTAGACTATATTACCTGGTACCCATTTTTAAGATTTCTCTTCCTGCATTATAGTTCTTGATGTTATAATTAAATGTTAGCAAAAGTTGTCTTGTATATTAAGCTTGGTATTAATGACACTGGAGAGATTAATATAGAGCCACTCCCCTTTCTGGGAAATAGCAACTTTGGAGAATCAGTTATCAAACAAGAGGTAGTAAGTAGAATCTCAGAAGGACACTGCAACAAGATATGGCAAGAGAAAACCAAGATCAATTTGTTGGACTAAAGAAATGGTCCCTGGGAATTCTTAAAAATGTACTAAATGTAAACTTATTAAACACACATTTTCTAAAATCAAATAGGGTTTGGGGCTTAAACCTTGTATTTTGGGATTAGAGGAGGAAAAACTGCTTCAGCTAAAGAACGTGGGTAGTGGAAGCACTGGATTTAGGCATAGTATAGGTTCTGTTCATTTATATACACAAGCACTCATGCACTTTAAAATAAGTTATACCCCAACAGTTTGCTTGGATATTGAATGTTAGAAAGTTGGATCATTGTTCTCAAGGAGAGAGTCATATGGTTGCCATGGTTTTAATGTGTCCCCCAAAATTCATGTGTTAGAAGGTTTATCCTCATTTCAACAATATTGATTAATTCACTAATCTCAAGAATCGATTAGTTATCTTGGAAGTGATTTCCTGATAAAAGGATAAGTTTGGCCCCTATCCTATCCCCCTGCCCTCATCCTCTCTTGCCCTTCTGTCTTCTCCCATGGGATGATGGAATAAGGAGGCCCTCACCAGATGTAACTCACAGAACTTGGACTTCCCAGCCTATAGAACTCTGATAATTATTTTTTCCTTTATTAATACCTAGTCTCAGGTATTTTGTTTAGCAGCACAAAACAGACTAAGACAGAACACTGGTACCAAGAGGTGGGGAGGTTGCCATAACAAATACCTAAAAATGTGCAAGTGGATTTGGAACTGGATAGTGGGTAAAACCTGGAAGCATTTGGAGGAGCAGGCTAGAAAAAGCCCAGATTACCATAAGTAGAGTATTAAGGGTCCTTCTGGTGCGGGTTCAAAAGAAGAGAATAGTCTGGAATTTCTTAAGCAGTATTGATCAAAATGTCCATGAAAATATAAGAGGTAAAGATCATTCTGACTAAGTCGTAAACGGATTTGAGGACCAAAATATTAAAAACTAGAGTAAATAGTACCTTATTTTAGATAGAGTTGCAAAGAACATGATGGAATATCCTAAGATATTCCATCTTATAGAGTTGCAAAGAACATGATGGAATATCCTAAGACTTTGTAAAAGGCAGAACTTATAAGCAATTAACTAAGATATCTGACAGAAGAAACATCTAAGCAGCAAAGGATTCATGGTGCTGCCTGGCTTCTTTCTGTTGCTTACAACAAAAGGAGAAAAGAAAGAAATGATGAAATTCATGAGGCGTTCTTACTATTCTTTCTCAAAAGAATTTGCTAAAGAGATTAATAGGGTTAGAAGGAAACCAAGTGCTATTTATGAAGTCAATAAGAGAGTGACCCCACAGGCATTTTGGAGATTATAGAGACTGCCCTGCCCATTAGAGGACCAGAGCTCTAGGAAGGCAGAATTTTTTCAGGGGACAGGCCCAGGACACATTCCTGGGGCTGCTGCTCAGGATCACCTTGGAATTCTGCTCCTTTGATTCTAGAACATTGCTCCTTGGCTGACCCAGCTCTTTCTTAAGTGGGCACAAGTGCAATGTGGGCTCCACTATGGCTTGGGCCACTGCTCTGGAGGGCACAAGGAATAAGCCTTTATGGCAAGGCTTATTGATGCTGACTGGTACAACATGATGCTGACTCTGTAGACATGTACAATTCAAGGGCTTTGGGACCATGCAGCCTCTGCCTATATTTCAAAGGATGTACTGGACAGCCTGAGGGCCCAGGCAGAGACTTGTCACAGGGACATAACCACTGAAGAGAGTCTCCAATAGGGCAATGCCTAGTGAAGACCTGGGAGTGGGGTAGCCCCCAAGACCCCAGAACTGTAAGGCCACCAGCCTGCATCTCCACCCTGGGAAAGCTGCAAGTGTGATACTTGAACCTGTGAGAGCTGCTGGGTGGACTGAGCCCAGCAAAGCCATGGGGCTGGTGCTGACTGTGGCCTTAGGAACATAGCACTATCTGTGTATGCCTAGGATGCAGGAGATGGAGGCAAAAGGGATTATTCTTCAGCCTTAAGGTTTAATGTAATCTTGCCTATTGGGCTTTAGACTTCCTTTGCCCAGTTGCCTATTTTTCCCTTTTGGAATAGGAATGTGATATAATTTGGATATTTGTCCCCACTCAAATCTCATGTTGAAGTGTAATCCCCAGTGCTTGAGGTGTTTGGCTTATGCTGGTGGATCCCTAATGGCTTGGTGCTATCTTCACGATAGTGTGTTCTTGTGAGATCCGGTCATGTAAAAGTCTGTGACACCTCACCCCCCACTCTTTTGCTTGCTTCTGCTTTGTCATGTAAAATACCTGCTCCCTCTTTGCCTTCTGCCATGAGTAAAAGATACCTGAGGCCTCTCCAGAAGCTGAGATGTGGGTGCAATGCTTCCTGTATAGTTTGCAGAATCATGAACGAATTAAACCTGTTTTCTTTATAAATTGCCCAGTCTTAGGTATTTCTTTATAGCAATGCAAGAATGGTCTAATACAGAATATATATCCCATACCTGTCCTAGTATTGTATTTTGGAAGCACATTACTTGTTAATTTTATAGGCTCCAAGCTGGAGACTAATTTGCTTCAGGATGAATCATGCCTTATATCTTACCCTTATTACTCCCATTCATAATTGCTTCAAAGAGAATAAAATACTTATGAATCCAACTTACAAGGGATGTGAAGGACCTCTTCAAGGAGAACTACAAACCACTGCTCAATGAAATAAAAGAGGATACAAACAAATGGAAGAATATTCCATGCTCATGGGTAGGAAGAATCAATATCGTGAAAATGGCCATACTGCCCAAGGTAATTTATAGATTCAATGCCATCCCCATCAAGCTACCAATGACCTTCTTCACAGAATTGGAAAAAACTACTTTAAAGTTCATATGGAACCAAAAAAGAGCCCGCAAGCATTGCCAAATCAATCCTAAGCCAAAAGAACAAAGCTGGAGGCATCACGCTACCTGACTTCAAACTATACTACAAGGCTACAGTAACCAAAACAACATGGTACTGGTACCAAAACAGAGATATAGACCAATGGAACAGAACAGAGGCCTCAGAAATAACACTACACATCTACAACCATCTGATCTTTGACAAACTTGACAAAAACGAGAAATGGGGAAAGGATCCCCTATGTAATAAAGGATGCTGGGTAAACTGGATAGCCATATGTAGAAAGCTGAAACTGGATCCCTTCCTTACACCCTATACAAAAATTAATTCAAGATGGACAAAAGACTTAAATATTAGACCTAAAATCATAAAAACCCTAGAAGAAAACCTAGGTAACACCATTCAGGACCTAGGCATGGGCAAGGACTTCATGACTAAAACACCAAAAGCAATGGCAACAAAAGCCAAAATAGACAAATGGGATCTAATTAAACTAAAGAGCTTCTGCACAGCAAAAAATACTACCATCAAAGTGAACAGGCAACCTATAGAATGGGAGAAAATGTTTGCAATCTACTTATCTGACAAAGGGCTAATATCCAGAATCTACAAAGAACTCAAACAAATTTACAAGAAAAAATCAAACGTCCCCATCAAAAAGTGGTTAAAGGATGTGAACGGACAGTTTTCAAAAGAAGACATTTATGCAGCCAATAGACACATGAACAAATTCTCAACATCACTGGTCATCAGAGAAATGGAAATCAAAACCACAATGAGATACCATCTCACACCAGTTAAAATGGCAATCATTAAAAAGTCAGGAAACAATAGGTGCTGGAGAGGATGTGGAGAAATAGGAATGCTTTTACACTGTTGGTGGGAGTGCAAACTAGTTCAACCATTGTGGAAGACAGCCTGGCGATTCCTCAAGGATCTAGAACTAGAAATACCATTTGACCCAGCAGTCCCATTACTGGGTATATACCCAAAGGATTATAAATCATGCTACTATAAAGACACATGCACACGTATGTTTATTGCAGCACTATTCACAATAGCAAAGACTTGGAACGAACCCAAATGCCCATCAATGATAGATTGGATTAAGAAAATGTGGCACATATACACTGTGGAATACTATGCAGCAATAAAAAAGGATGGGTTCATGTCTTTTGTAGTGACATGGATGAAGCTGGAAACTATCATTCTGAGCAAACTATTCAAGGACAGAAAACCAAACACTGCATGTTCTCACTCTTAGGTGGGAATTGAACGAGAACACTTGGACACAGGGCAGGGAACATTGCACACCGGGGCCTGCCATGAGGTGGGTGGATGGAGGACGGATAGCATTAGGAGAAATACCTAATGTAAATGACGAGGTAATGGATGCAGCAAACCAACAGGGCACATGTATACATATGTAACAAACCTGCACATTGTGCACATGTACCCTAGAACTTGAAGTATAAAAAAGAAATGTATCTCTTTTCTTCATAAATCATCTAAGTCTCAAGCATTCTGTCAGAACAGCACAAAACATATTAAGACAAGAGGTAGTTAGTTATATATGGCATTAGGTGCCTCCAGAGCCTCTTTACCTGATTGATTTTTTTCTCTAGTACTCTTTGCTTGGGCACCACATTACCGTAATTTCCATGGCCATAGTCTCCTGCTTCCTTATAAATCTGATCGAATTCAACATGGATCAAAACAGTCTTGATTGCAAATCAACTGTTCTTTCAAATTTAAACAGTGTTTATTAACAGACAAAATAGAAAGAAGCTCCTTCTTATAACTCACTTTCATCAGGCCATAGATCTTTCCTCCCTTCCTTGCTCCCACTTTTTTAAAATCTCAATTTTGTAGGGAAATATAAAATGATGGTGAGTTGCCATTGTTATAACTTTGTACACTGAGAACAGAATCTATAATAGGCTTGATTTCCTTGACAATTCAAAAGTTGATAGAGTTAGGGATGTATCTTGCTGAAACTAACTGGTCAAGCCACTAGTACTAATGAAAAGAAGGAGGAAAGGCCACTTCTTGCACTCTTCCTGGGGCAGAATGAGATGGAGAGATGGAAGGACAGAGGCCATTGCTAGGAAGTGAATAGAAAGGCACAAAGGAAAGCAAATTCCAAGCATTAGCCCTGATGGTATCTAGAAAACTCTAAGAAAATATTCTTTGTAACCTAACTTGATATAGTAACCACTTACACAACAGACTTAGCTTTTATCTTTCAGAAACAAATATTTGTTAGAACACTGCTCTTCATGCTTGTTTTACACATGCTGAGGTGAAGAAGCTTTCCCTCCAAATTTTAATTGATTAATCACACTTTTTTTCAAGTGTAATTTCTACTTTTTAAAAATTAGAAACCTTATTTTGGTACACCAACAAAAATTCAGTCATTGACTTAAATTTGAGCAATTTTACTTTCTTTGGACAATTAAGATTCTATCTTATCTCTGTGATATTGATTATTTAAATGTTCATTGTGGTTAATGTTTATAGAAACCTATACCATACCCATTCTCTTCAAATATAACTTTATATTTTATGTGCAGCTGCAAATGAAATATTGAAAAAGTCATCTATAATTACTGACCACCTTGTAGTTTTAAGTCTGCAAAAGCACATCTAAAAAGAATAAAAGGCAATCATGTAAAGATTATTTTACTTAAAAGAAAATATTTAGTAATACTAAGTTAAGGGTATAGCTGCCTACTTAATCATATTAACTATATGAACAGTTGAAAATAATTTTGCATTATAGTAGTTATCTTAAATTTTTTAATTAAATTTTTTAATTCAAATTAATTAAATTGGGATTAAGAAATCTATCACACAAAAATAAAATATGCTTTAACTTACTAATTTTAAATATTTATATTTTAAATCTTTTTACTAAAAAACAAATTTAAGGGTCTTTTTTGTTTTAAATTGTGCTATTTCTAACTTTAAGAAGTTACTAAAAATAGCAGGAAATTATAATTTCTCAAAATCTAGATGAAGCTTGTTATTGTTTTTTCTTTTCATGATAGATGTGTTTCATAGTTGCCATATGTTCAATTTTCAAAGGTGGACTTTCTATCTCACAACAAACTTAAATATTATTGTGATTAATTAAAGAATACTAGGTTCCTTCTTGACAATGCTGGCTATGGAAAACATCTCTGTTGTTACAGAAATATGTTCTGATAATATTTTTGTTAAATTAACTAAACATATGTTCTCTTTTATTACTGAGGCTGAACCGGGTCAATAAATTTTGAACTCCTTGTTGCACAATGGAATCAAGCCATGATTCTATAACATATTAATTCAATTAAGTTGGAGTACTTAAAAATATGGTTCAATGAGTGATATGGTTTGGCTGTGTTCCCACCTGAATCTCACCTTGAATTCCCACATGTTGTGGGAGAAACCTGGTGGGAGGTAATTGAATTATGGGGACAAGTTTTTCCCGTGCTATTCTCATGATAGTGAATAAGTCTCAAGAGAGCTGATGGTTTTAAAAAGAGGAGTTCCCCTGCATAAGCTCTCTTTTCTCTAGTCTACTGTCATGTGAGATATGCCTTTCACCTTCTGCCATGATCATGAGGCCTTCCCAGCCATGTGGAACTGTAAATCCAATAAACCTCTTTCTTTTGTAAATTACCCAGTCTCAGGTATGTCTTTATCAGCAGTATGAAAATGGACTACTACAATAAGAAAAACTTTTCTTTGATTTTGGTATGTGTACTACTTCTTTTTCACACTTCTGATAAAGATATACCTGAGGCTGGGAAGAAAAAGAGGTTTAATGGACTTACATTTCCACGTGGATGGGGAGGTCTCACAGTCATGGCAGACAGTAAGGAGGAGCAAGTCACGTCTTACATGGATGGTGGCAGGCAAATAAGAGAGCTTGTGCAGGGAAATTCCCCCTTATAAAACCATCAGATCTTGTGAGATTCACCTACCATCACAAGAACAGCATGATAATGACCTGCTTTCATAATTCAATTACCTCCCACCAGGTCCCTCTCACAATAGGTGGAAATTCAAGATGAGATTTGGGTGGGGACATAGCCGAACCATATCATTTCACCCCTGGCCCCTCCAAATCTCATGTCCTCACATTTCAAAACCAATCATGCCTTCTCAACAGTATCCCAAAGTCTTAACTCATTTCAGCATTAACTCAGAAGTCCACAGTTCAAAGTCTCATCTAACACAAGGCAAGACCCTTTTGCCTATGAGCCTGTAAAATCAAAAGCAAGTTAGTTATTTCTTAGATACAATGGGGGTACAGGCATTGGGTAAATACAGCCATTCCAAATGGGAGAAATTGGCAAAAACAAAGAGGCTACAGACTCCACAGATGTCTGAAATCCAACAGGGCAATTAAATCTTAAAGCTCCAAAATGATCTCCTTTGGGTCCATGTCTCCATCCAGGTCACTCTGATACAAGAGGTGGTGTCCCATGGTTTTGGGCAGCTTCACCCCTGTGGCTTTGCAGGTCGCAACCTCCATCCCAGCTGCCTTCACAGGCTGGTTTTGAGAGTTCACAACTTTTCCAGGTGCATGGTGCAAGCTGCCAGTGGATCTACAACTCTGAGGTCTTGAGGACGAGGATGGTGGCCCTCTTCTTACAGCTCCACTAGGCAGTGCTCCAGTAGGGAGTCTGTGTGGGGACTCTGACCCTACATTTCTGTTCCACACTTCAACAGCAGAGGTTATCCCTGAGGGCTCCACTCCTGCAGCAAAATTCTGCCTGGGCACCCAGGCATTTCCATACATTTTCTGAAATCTAAGGGGAGGTTCCCAAACCTCGATTCTTGACTTCTGTGCACCCACAGCCTCAACATCACATGGCTACCAAGGCTTGGGGCTTGCACCCTCCAAAGGCACAGCCTGAGTTCCATGTTGGCTCCTCTCAGCCCCAGCTGGAATGGCTACAATCCACAACACCAAATCCCTAAGCTGCACACAGCACAGGGACCCTGGGCCCAGCCCATGAAACCACTTTTTCTTCCAATACCTCAGGGCTTGTGATGAGAGGGGCTGCTGCAAGGGTCTCTGACATGCCCTGGAGACATTTTCCCCACTGTCTTGGGGATTAACATTTGACTCCTCATTACTTATGCAAATTTCTGCAGCTGGCTTGAATTTCTCCTCAGAAAATGGGATTTTCTTTTCTATTGCATTGTCAGGCTGAAATTTTCCTGAACTTTTATGCTCTGCTTCTCTTATAAAACTGAATGCCTTTAACAGCACCCAAGTCACCTCTTGAATGCTTTGCTGCTTAGAAATTTCTTCTGCCAGATACCCTAAATCATATCTCTCAAGTTCAAAGTTCCATAAATCTCTAGGCCAGGGGGAAAATGCCACCAGTCTCTTTGCTAAAACATAGCAACAGTCACCTTTACTGCAGTTCCCAACAAGTTCCTCACTTCCATCTGTGACCACTTCAGCCTGGATTTTATTGTCGATATCACTATCAGCATTTTGTTCAAAGCTATTCAACAAGTCTCTAGGAAGTTCCAAACATTATCACATTTTCCTGTCTTCTTCTGAGTCCTCCAAACTGTTCCAACATCTGCCTGTTACCCAGATCCAAAGTTGCTTTCACATTTTCAGGAATTTTTTCAACAATGCCCCACTCTGCTAGTACTAATTTAAGTATTAGTCCATTTTCATATTGCTGATAAAGACACACCCGAGACTAGGAAGAGAAAGAGGTTTAATGGACTTACACTTCTGTGTGTCTGGGCAGGCCTCAGAATCATAGCAGAAGGCAAGGAGGAACAAGTCCTGTCTTACATGGATGGCAGCAGGTTAAAAGAGTGAGAGAGCTTGTGCAGGGAAACTCCCCCATATAAAACCATCAGCTCTCACGAGTCTCACCCACCATTATGAGAACAGCATGAGAAAAAACTGCTCCCATGATTCAATTACCTCCTACCAGGTTCCTCCCACAACATGTAAGAATTCAAGATGAGACTTTGGTGGAGATGCGGCCAAACCATATCATTATATGTGTCTAATGTATGGTATTTCTAATAAATTTATGTATTCCCATGACTCTGATTCACTTTGAATTAAAATTAACTTATGATTTCTACTTTTGTTTTTAATGTGATTTAAAAGCTGATTATATTTGATAAGTCTCTTTACTTTTAAAATATTTTTATCAGACATTCCTGGATTTTTGTACAAAAGCTTTTCTCCAACTTTTTCCTTATTGCTATCACACTGCTTTTGTTCAGGGATGGAACAGGTATTCTTTAATCTCTCTGAAGGTGAGACATGTCTTTTATATAGGAGCGTGTATGTAACAAAGTTCTAGCCAAAGACATAGAAAGGAAAGTCTTCTAGGGACTTCTGGGACTACTTTCTGTTTTTACCAATATCTTGATTGTATGCAGCTGTCTGGTTTTGATGAGAAAAAGGCCCAGGGAATCATCAAGGTACTAATCCAAATCCCTGAGCATAATAAGCTTATGTAGCATTCCAGCAATCACTAAACTTAAGACTTCCTAATAAGTGAACAATCAACATCTTATGGTTATTCCACCATGACATAGTCTTTGACTAATCATGCAAAGCAACTATCATGGACAAACAGGCATAGCCTCAATTCTGACAGTTGGTACAGTTTTAAACAAACAAGCAAAATCAATGGGATATAATGAAATAGGTGATTTTCCAACCCAAAAAGAGACTAGGAAAAATGAATATGCCATATGGGTGCAATGAAAATTAGGTGTCTTTATCATGACATCTCACTTTCATACTGTGATGTTCCTAGCCTAGGGCAATTTCACTTGCTGTCAAGTGAGAGATTGGGAAGACAGTATGATCTGGCTAAAAGAAAATAGAATGAAAGCTGAGACATCAGAAATGTGGTTTTGGTTCTATTCTGATTTTTTTGATAGTAACTAACAGCCTTTATGCAACATTACAAATCCAAGATGGTTAATGTATCTTAGCAAAAACAATAGACATACTTTTGAAGTACATTAAAATGAACTACATATTTAGATTAGTAATTATTTGTACAGATGAATTATAAATGCTACTATCACAATACACATTTATCTCACCTTAAAAATCATTTTCTTTTGAATTGTGAACCACATTAAATTTTATCCTTTAGCATGTAGAAAATAGAAAAAGCTGAACAGAAAAACCTGTACAAAAAGGCAAACAATAGTCAATTTTATAATACAGAATCCTTATTTTTAAAAAGAAGCAATAGTATTGATACAGAATGTCTTTTGCTTTCCATGTGGACATTAACCAACTGTAACCCTGTGACCAAAGAGATAATACTAGGCCATGAATAAAATGGGGCTATTTACCTTCACCTGTGAGGCCTATAAACTTTCTTTTACTTTCTCATTTAAAAAAAAAACAAACATTTTTTTTTCTTTTATCCTCTATGCCATGTGTACTACTTGGTAAATAATAGCTGCCTAATAAATATTTGCTGATATATCAACAGGTTTCCAACCTCATTAAGATAAAAATCCTAATGAAAACAATTACAGTTTTTAATCTATCAAATTAGCAGTTTCTAAGGAAAGTAATGAATACTGAAGAAGATACAATAAAATTAGTCATTTTTATTCAATGCTGGAGGGAGAATAAATTGATACAAGCATATAGTAGTTAGGCACGTTTCCTCTTTTGTAAAATAAAAACAAAATTGATTCCTAGATTAGATGAAATAATGTATAAAAGCATCCAGCACAATAGCTTGGCAAATGGTGAAAGTTAAATTCTGATAATTTACAATGAAAAGATAGGGAAGCATTAATTGGACAGATTTTTACACTTCTTTAAAATAATGGGTCTCCCTCTCAACCATAAACTTGGGTACCATATTTTTTTTTGTTTACTGTCGTACTCCAATACAATGTACAGTGCCCACCATATTATCATTCAGAAAATCTTTGTTAAATTTATAGAGTTTATTTAGCTTCCCTAATTATAAAAGAGAAACTTTTTATGCAAGCCTGAATAGATATCAGTGGGGAAAATAATACAACTTACATTCAGTGAATAAGCATATATAAGAGGTAGTGTGACAGTATAAAAACACAGGCTCTGAATTCCAAAGAAATGCATTCAAACTCTAACTTGCTGTTCACTATTCATAAGTTATTCAACCTTTTGGAACTTTCAATTATGTGCCTCCATACTGGAGATTATCAAAGACATCTCTCTTATGGTGTTTCTGTTACACTAAGTAAGAAAATATGCATTTAAGGCATTGTACACTACATAATCAAAGTGACACAGTGGATTAGAACTCAGATCTTTAACTATTTCACCTGAATCCAAAATTTCAGATTTGAAATATACCATAGAGAAGCTCTTTACAAGACCCTTTCCTGATCTCAAGACCCTTATCTGATCTCCAGACAAGACGCTTACCTGATCTCAAAGTTGGTAAGATTGTGAGATTCCCGTCACAGTCTGTGCTCTGTTCACTTCAGCACAATCTCTCCTTTTGTTTCTCCTTTCCTTCAATGATTACAATGCCTGAAACATTCCATGTTGCCTGTTTTCCATAGGAACCCTGTGGTTTATGTTAAGGGAGCATCTTAGTCTGTTTAGTGCAGCTGTCACATAATATTTGAGACTGGGCAATTTACAATAAACAGAAATTTATTTCTCGTGGTTCTGGAGGCTGAGAAGTCCAAGGTTGAGGGTCTAGCATCCGGTGAGAGCTTCTTGCTGTGTCCTCCCATGGTGCAAGGCAGAAAGGCAAGAGAGTGCAAGCTCCTGAAAGAGAGAGGTGGGAGAAGGGGGCTGAACTTATGCTTTTATTAGGAGCCCACTCCTGTGAGAACTAACCTTCTGCTGCAATAAAGGCATTCATCCATTCATGAGGGTGGAGCTCTCATGATCTAATCACCTCTTACAGGTCCCACCTCTCCACACTTTTGCTTTGAGTATTAAGTTTCCAACCCATAAACTTTGGGGGACACATTCAAACCACAGCAGGATGTGAATTAAGAAAACAAAACAAAACAAGACAAAACAGATCAGAGAGTGTGTGTCTGGTTCAGAGTTTGGTTGGCACTGTGAGTGTTGAAAAGCTCCCTCTTCTCAATATAGCAAACAGCCAGGAACTGTAAATTTGATTTCTGTCTACTCTCTTAGCAGGGAAAAAAGCTATTTCTGCTTAGGAAAGCTTTTGTGTAGTTGTGTTTGTGAAGTTAAAGTTCAAAAGAAATAGAGAAGAAGCAAATATAGAAGACAACTTTTTTGTTTTTTGCATGTTTTTCTGATATATTTTTTCCTCAAAGTTCCTATATATCAGAACCTAAATGAATAAGTTCAATTTTAAGGCTTATTAATAGATGATATTATCATTAATATAGTTTTTAGTGTTTCTGTAAGAGTGTTTATAAATGTACCAAAGTGTGATTAATGCTCTTATGGGTCTTGTATTTAGCTAGAAACTCTTTCTTCTTAATGAGACAATGCTCAAACAGACTGGCTCATTAATCTTGCAATTTCATTGGGAAGTCAGGATGTAAAGATTTAAAAATTAAGCAAATAATAACAATAATAGCAAATCAATTTATATGTGCCAGACACTGTATTAAGTGGCTTATATCTACTAATTTATTGACATCTCACAACAACCTTTTGAAGTGGGACTATTTTCCCACTTTATAGATAAGAAAACTGAGGTTGAGACAATTTAAGTAATTTGTCTAATGTCATACAGCCATCAGGTTTTGAGTTCAACAGTCTGGCTCAAGAAAATCACACCACTTACTAAATGTTAGCTAGTGATAATATTTAAACTAGAAATAAAGCTTACTTTTCATCCAGTTGTTTTCTCTATCTATATTGCAAGTAAACATCAAGTGAGTTTTCCAAGTTACTTTTTTTTTTTTTTTGAGACATCTTGCTCTTGTTCTCCAGGCTTGAGTGTAATGGTGCCATCTTGGCTCACTGCAACCTCTGCCTCCCAGGTTCAAAGGAGTCTCTTACCTCAGCCTCCCGAGTAGCTGGGATTACAGGCACCCACTACCATACCAGGCTAATTTTTTGTATTTTTAGTAGAGATGGGGTTTCATCATGTTGGGCACACTGGTCTGAAACTCCTGACCTCAGGTGATCCACCGGCCTCGGCCTCCCAAAGTGCTAGGATTACAGACGTGAGCCACAGCGCCTGGCCCCAAGTTATGTTTTCTCAGGAAGGAACCGAGACCCCAAATGAGTAAACTATGTGCAGTGATACTTTCATTCCATCAGAGAGAGAAAGACGCCAGAATTGTCCATCTCTCTTCTCATATTCCCATCGCTTTTGTGATTTCATCCAGTTCTGTGGGCTGCATTGTTAACTGTGAGTCAAGTCTTCTTGATTCTATGTCTCTTTGGAGTTTTTAATATTCCTTATTTTCTTACAATTTTCTATAAATAGAGTCATTTGATTTCAGTATTGTTCTGATTGTTTATAGAGTTTAGTTTGGCTGTAGATTACGACAATATCTTTTGTATAAAAGTATAATTTTATTAAACCGAAGGTGGGTTTTGTTCCCTTGATAACTTTTTGACATTGAGACTGCCAAGAAAGATGGATTTGTATTTTAAATGCTTTGAAGTTGAGACAATTTAAATAAGAGAAATTTCAAATGTCTCACTGAGACACAGCAAATTCCTCATTGCCTGAAGCAGATAAAGAAAAAGCTGACTTATCTGAGTTCCACTTTTGAAGCTGTTTCAAAATTGTAATGATGGTGTGTTTGTGTGTGTTAGAAGTTTTAAAGTTTAGTAAAATTATAAAGTAAAAATCAATAATATGAATGCTTTTGATAATATCACATTTTCATTGAGTTTTAATTTTCTGAACATTATAAGTTGGAGCTTTAGAAGGTAAGGCTTGAAAGAATATTAGTTTGGCAAAATCACCTCTAGAGGCGCACACATGTAAAAAACACTTTTTTTCATATTTCTGCCTCAATGTTTTATGTAAGTGAAATCAGATAAAAAGCATGTTTCATAGGACAGTTGAATAAAGAAAAATATCCTAAGATGTAGCCTGAAAACGAATATATGGAAAAAAATACGTTCACAGCTTCCCCACTTCCATTTCTAGGCCAGTTAATATCTACTTTGACCTCACCACACAATAAAAAGTACATATTATATTGCGATTCACCATACATGTCCAATTGCACAATTGAAATGAGTCTCATGAAATATTAAATGTGGTACACTCTATTTATGACTCTTTCTGTGTATTATTTTTATATATTATATATGCAATATTTTATTGTCTTTAAAACTGAATACTGGTTATTACATCCAATTGAACTTTACGATCTACTATTTAAGTTTTTGAAGTTTTGTTTTTGTGTTTGTTAAATGCACACAAAATATATTTATTGCCACTGATAAATTACTTTTTCTTACACTCTAATCTTAAAATTCCAGAAATATTGTAGTTAATTCCCACATCTCTATAAGTTCCCACAACAACTCTTTCCCGTTTTTTTTTTCATTTCATTTCAATAGCAACACCTCTGTTGAAGTGCTATGTCTAAAAGCTGTAGAAGTATTTTTTATAAGGTTGCTAGTTGCACTGATAGTTGTATAATATTCCATAGTTGTATAATATTCTACCAACTGTCCATAAATCACATAAAAATGAAACGTCACAGTTGACCCTTCACAGCCTGTTACTGCACAGATTGTAATAGATTTTGATTCCAATTTAGAAATAAGGCTTTATGTACTTAAAGACATAGATATGTGAAAGAATAGATGTGAGTTCTGTCATTCAAGTAGTAAAAGGATAGCTCAGCCAACTCACAGTCCGGATATATCCCAATTCCTCTTGGCTTCTCCTTTAGCAGAAGAGTGACTGGAACAGGGCCTCAGGCCCCATAGTCACCACTTTGCTTCTGAATTATTCAGTGTCTGTTCTGCCCTGACAGGGACTGCTTTCCCTTCCTGGACAGGGAATTCTTACAAAGCCCCAGGATCCATTTGGGCTTGACATCCAGTAATATTTGCTTGACTCAAATCCTTCAGAACCCAGAACTAACATGAAATTAGCAACATTAACTTTTTACCTTTTGTTCACAAAAGTAGCAGATTTTTTATTTTCAGATACAAGCAGGTTACTATGTGCTGTTTCAGATTCCAGAGTTACATCTTCTTTACATTTCCAGGTTGTTTTTTTGTTTTTGTTGTCGTTTTGTGTGTGTGTGTTTTGTTTTGTTGTTTGTTTGTTTGTTTGTTTGTTGCAGAGCTACAAACTGTGGAGGAGGAGAGCATCCTTCTTTCCTTAACTGGAATGAACAGACGGCTAAGGTTTCCAGGCTTTCACACTTGTGTTAAATAATTTTGCTGTCCACCAGAGATTTTACTTCTGGCATCACAAGCTTCTCTGCCACCTCCTTTTGTAGACCGTAGAGTGTGGAAATGTGGACTGAAAATGCTGCTGTGTTTGCATGGAGTTTCTGTTCGATATCTTTTCCTTCCTCTGCCAGCCTTGAAAGCACTGCCCCTTGCTCACATTCTAGAAACTCCTTTCAGGTGCTTAAATTCAGAGGATAATTTCCACCTTTGATTTTTCCATTTTCCTTCTCAGTTCTAATGTTTTTTTCTGTCTCGGTTTCTGTCTTGGTTGGCTATGAGTTTTTGTACCTCTATCATTTGTGATGAGAAACAGCCTTCTCTATGGGCCTCTGGTAGCCCCGGTAGTCAGGGGGCTGAGAGAACAGGGTACATAGCACTTATAGATTCTTCTTGCAGGAAAGGGTCAAAATCTGGTTGTACTTGCTCAAACATGTTTGTTCCTGCCTTATCCTCTTGCTCTTGGTGATGTAGAATAGCTTGGAAATTTCTATCATCTTTCCCAGATGGGTAGTGCTCCTGAAATGCCCCTTTGGGCATTGATGAAGACAGGGCAAAAGAAACCATCATTTAGATCTGCTTAGAGGTGTTGGATGCAGAAATAACAGAAATTCTGTCCATATTTGATGGTGACAGGGTATCT
This sequence comes from Homo sapiens, assembly GCF_000001405.40. Lineage (NCBI taxonomy): Eukaryota > Metazoa > Chordata > Mammalia > Primates > Hominidae > Homo > Homo sapiens. Next base: position 66,269,106 of record NC_000013.11, on the reverse strand, counting down.
CAAGTAATCCAGACAAACTGAGCAGTTAGCTTCTGCTTGAAGTCCTGCCAAGGCTGCTGCAACCACCATTGGACCTGTGAATGAAGGTCTGGAGTGAGGTGAATTTTCTTCAGAGGGTTGGGTTCTGCAGGAATTCTGTAGGTTTTGCAGATACATCCAGCTCCTTCCTGTTCCAAATGTCTCTTCATAAATTACAGATGGTCCTTGATGTTCTGGAAGGCCATGGTTCCTCAGTTGCAGAGGTAGGTGCCCAGAGGAGCTCTACTTACAACCTGGAGCCAATTGCAGATTAGTTGGGCAACTGGCCGTCTTTGGTAGCTCAGAGGATATGAAGCCAAAATCAGCGATTCTCTTGGTGAAAAAGCAGACAGGATTCTAAAGTGCCAATTTGTTCTTGGATCAGGTAGCTATGGGCAGTCTTCTGCAGAGGGTCTCAGGGAGGGATTTCTGAAGCCAGTCTTGCTGCAGATCTTGTGGTTAGTGATGTAAATATGGCATACATATACAACACTAGGATGGTGGACCTATTAGGATCCCCCCTATAAGAGATTGGTGGCCCCTCCCTCCAGAAGAATGGTTAGTACTATGCTGTGGATGAGTGAATATTCAGAGGTCCTGGTTAGTGAGGAAGGGATCTCTTGTGATTAAATCAGGCCAGGTGGGCCAGGCACTGTAATAATACACATGATATCATTTGTGTCTTCATAAACCTCTTTCCAGCCCCTCAACAAGCTTTAATCCCAGGAAACTGAAGCTCTGAAAGCCTCAATGAAGCTTATGTTCCAACCCAGATACATGCAACTCTGGAGACCGCCAATTTGATTTGAAGATGGGTCTTCCTATTTTTCTGTATGCCTAATCTATGCCATTGCTAGCCATTTTTTTTTTTTTTGCAGCTGCAAGAAAGCCATCAGTGAAATTTTAAGCGATTCAAAAGTTGTATTCTCAGATGATTAATCTTATAAAACATGTAGTTTCAGTATACTTAAAAGTTATAAATTTCGTCATGGGCCTGGTTTGAATGAATACAAGTTTATAATACCCTCCTTTTTCAAATATTTTTCATATGCATTTAATGCGAATGTGGGCCAGGTGCAGTGGCTTATGTCTGTAATCCCAGGACTTTGGGAGGCTGAGGCAGGAGAATCTTTTGAGCCCAGGGGTTTGAAATCAGCCTGAGCAACATATTGAGACCCTATCTCTACAAAAAAAATTTTAAATAGCTGGAAATGGTGGCACACGCCTACAGTCCAAGCTACTCAGGAGGCTGAGGTGGGAGGATCACTTGAACCCAGAAGGTCGAGCCATGTATATGCACTGAGTCATGATCATGCCACTACACTGCAGCCTGGGTGACAGACCCTGTCTCAAGTAACAAAAGTAGTAATGTAAAGTAAGAAAAGAAGTAAATGTGTTTTGAAAATGTTTAGCAATTCACTGATTCAGGACTTCTTCCTTGACAAACATGACTATTTTCAGTTTGTTAAGCTGGGTTTGCTGAAGACTAATACATTTGATTTTTCTGAAAATATACATGTTCAAGGCTTGTCTATGAATGTACCACTTGATTACATTTATTAAGAGATGGAATTCAACTATTTGTTATGTCTCATCCTTCTCTTATTTTCTAAAAAATCACTTCACTTGTAGGGATCAAATCTAATCTTAAATTAGTGAAGTTAACTAAAGCATAGACATTGAAAAGTTTCAGAACAGCTACAAATGCGCAGATTTGTTAACTGCAATTTGATGCAGTCTGATGCCCACCTGAATTCTCTAGCATCTTAGCCCCATTTTTGTACTCCTTCACACACACACACACACACACACACACACACACACACCTTTTCCAAGATGCTATTGTGGCCCGTAGTCTGTTTAGTTTAACTATGTTTGTTGTTCATATTTATGGTTTTTGGCATTTTCATCTGACTGCATTCTCCTATACCTGTTACATTTAAACATGTAGCTCTAGATTAGAGTTTTGGTTCCCGGTTCCCCACCACTGGACAGAGTCATTGGACAGTGCCTGGTTGCGTTGCGAGGTTTGCTGCTTGCTTCAGCCATCTCTTTGGTATCTATGTGTACTCTCTCCTACCTTTGTAACATCTACAGTGCAAGTATCAACCTGACTTATGCTCCGTCTCCTCCTCTCCCGTATGACTTCTTCCATTTGCAGTTCCTCTGTATTAGTCATCCACAACCATCTTATTCTCTAGCAATTGGCCATAAAGAAAATTTCTGAAAAATAAGTCACAATATTCCTTTAAGTTATATTTAAGATGAATAGGTATGTTCCTTTAGAGAGAAGTTAGAAGTTAAACTGAAAAAGTTTATTATCTTCTCTCAAAAGCTGTATTATCAGATGATCTATCTTATAAAACACATAGAAATTCGGTATACCTAAAAATTATAAATTTTGTCATGGATCTGGTTTTAATTAATGCATGGTTACTATGCCCTCCTTTTTCAAATATTTTTCATATGTATTTGAAGGGAATATGGGCCAGGTACTGAAATTATATGCTGAAAATTATAGTATACAATTATTTTGCCTATTCAGCTAGTTTTGTAAATGTATACTTTGATGTCCCTGATGCTTCAAACCTTGTCCTCTTGGAATGACATTTTTGGTGTTTTAGATGATACTGTCAAATTTTGCCTTGAGGCAATGCATTCTAACACAGATTTTTATTGGAACTGAGCAAGCCTCTTAATTTCAAATATTCAATTAATATATAATAAAGTAGTGCCAAATTTTATCAGTTCCAGAGTGCTACTTATATAGAGAGGTTATTGAATGTAAGTAGTATATGTATGCTGAGAATTTCCAACGTATACTAACTTTCTTCACTACTAGATTCCTTGCACCCCACACAAGGCCTGCATTTAGAAGATTCTTAATATATTTGTAAAATTAAGTAAATAAACTAATGCTCGTGTCCTCAATTCTAATATCAATAATAAAATTGACTTAAATAATATTTATTTGTCAGTGTTGGTAGTGGAATTTGTAATTTTCTTTTGCGCAATAAATGATCATGCTCTCAAGAAAAGAAAACAACAAGAAAAGAAAAAAAGAAAGAATTCAGTAGAATAATGCAATATGTGGTAAGTAATGTTAAAGCCTCCTTGGTGGTTCCAGTTTATTTTCCCTTAGAGTTTTTAAGTATTACAAAAGATACTGACATTAATTGTTCCAAAACAAAGCTTCATTTTTCTTCCAGATATGCGGAATGCTTCCATGAACACAAATTGGACCACTTCAAAAATATTTATGTTAATCAGTAACCGCTTTGGAGTGCGTTCATCCCTGTTAGCCTTTTTGATTAAGGAGTGTGTTAGGGGAGAATGAGCTTGCATGCTCCATCTCAACCCTTTCTCTCCACATTACTTTGAAACAGTTCCTTTGAAATACTATTAGTGCTACACTCTATCTATGTCTTGTGAATTGGGCTATTTTACGAACCTCTCTGCTCCCCCAACTCCCTTTGAGGACAGGATGGATTCAACTGCTCTTGGCTCAGTCTCCCTTCTTCCATCAGGAGTCACTGTGGTGGAGTAACAACCACAGTGTCAGAGTTCACACAGAGAAAAACAGTTCATAAGAGTATGAAACAACGAGCTAATGGTTCTAAGGACAGGCTACGTGTTTCCATGTAAATTTCCCTCCAGCTCTCCTGAGTGACTTTGAACAGGTTCTCCCTCAAACACTCTGCCATACAACCAGACGCTAGGTCAGGTAGCATCTCTGCAGGTTAAAGAAAACAAATTCTTTGGAAATAGCAGTGGGGTTGAATGTATGTTTCAGTGTCAGCCTGCAAGTGGCCTGAGCATGCCCGCATGACAGCGTCTCACGGCAACGCTTCTGAGGAAAGGAAATTGTAAGGCTGTTCCCACTGACAGTCACGCAGAGAGACTCTGCTGGCAAACTTCTGGACTAACTCCAGTCATTACACATTTGGAAAGGGTTTCACACAAAGGTATTTTGTGCATGAATGGTCTAGAGGAATAGGTTTCTGGACCAACTGGTGTGTAGCTAATTTTAAAAAGTCAGTTTACCATAACAATTATTTTATGGGCTGTAGAGCAGATCTCATTAAAGAAAGAAGGGAATCATAAATTAGAAGAGAAGCAAACACATTAATATGCCTAATGCTGCTTCTCTTAACATGAACATTACAAATAGGATTAAGCATAGAGCTTTTTCTTATCTTTCCTTCTGCTTTATTTAAAAAATAAAAATTAATGTTTAGTGAAGATTTTCAGATATGAGGTCTCTCAAATTCCTCGTTCTGTTTCTCATGAATATTTCCAGAATGCCTACTAGTTTGTTAAAAAAACCGCTTCAAAGTCGTCCTAATGCTTTTACTAGTTTACTTAATTTTCATAGACTCTTTTGTTTTATAGAAATATTTTGAAATTTGTATGTATTAAGGTTTTGTTTCTCCAGGTGGCTACCCACTTTCCTCTAAAATCTGTTTTGAAATTAGAATGAGATGCTTAAGGCTGTTCTTGACAGCTATTAGAGAAAATAAAATATGTATGCCCCATCACATCATTTGATGAAAAAAAGCTCAATATTTTCAGTTTCATTTAATTGATTTATTTTAGAATACAGGCTTTCATGAGGAGTGAGGTGGTTCAAACATTTGTTCCTTTACTTTTTATTTATCACTCCTCTCACATACTTTCTCCAAACACTAATATATATTTTCAGGCCAGGTGCGGCGGCTCAGCACTTTGGGAGGCTGAGGTGGGAGAATTGCTTGAGGCCAGGAGTTTGATATCAGACTGGCCAACATAGCAGGACCCCATCTCTGCCCAAAACTACCACAATTAGCTGAGTGTGGTGGCATGCACCTACAGTTCCAGCTTCTCAGGAGGAGGCTGAGATGGGAAGGTCACTTGATCCCAGGAGTAGTTAGTTCCAGGCTGAAGTGAGCTATGATTGTGCCACTGCACTCCAGCCTGGATGACAGCAAGACTCTGTCTCTCTCTGTCTCTCTCTGTCTCTCTCTCTCTCTCTATACACACACACACACACACACACACACACATATATAATGTGATTTTTTTAAGGAAAGTATTTTATGTATCTATGTAATATGTGCAAGGTACTGAACAACTGTAAGATACATTCCCCAAGTTTTAGGGATAGTTTTAAAGTTCTCAATTCTCTTATAAATCTTGTCGTTCAATTCCCTTTTTATTCTTTCATTAATCCCAAAATATTAACTGAATATCTACTACATCTTAAGCAGTGATGGATTCAGATTTGTAGAAGCCTGAGCTGATATAATTTTGGAGTCTGTTTTTAATAAAATATTATAGAAGGACATATTTTATGAAATGATGGATGTTTATCAGAAGCATTTGAACTACGAACACATTGCTTGGGGCCCCTCCCAAGGCCTTGGAAGGGATCTGTGTAAAGAAGAGACCCTGAAGCTTAGAGATTTCATTTTCTTCATGGGAAATCTGCCTGCAATTTCAAGCACTATGGCTAGTACTGGAGGTATAGAGATAAAGATAACATGATTAGCATTACATTCATGAAGCTTATGGTTTAGAATGAAATATTTAATCAAAACTCATATCCAACAACATTTCTGTCCCTATTCTACTCTGGGTGATCTTTTGACTTATGAAGCTCCTCCCACTTGATCTCCTTTCCTGTTCTACACACTGGGGGTTCTGATACCCAACTCACTGCATTCAAATTCCCTTCTTTTTTGACCACATCAAGTATTATTCTTAGAACTTTCTGCATGATCTATTTCTGAAATGGAAGTCTAATCTTACTCCACCGATACAAAGAAGTATTCCGGTTCCTGAGTAAAGGGTGGTCTCTCATGTCCTGAGGTTTCGCAAATGTGTTTCTCTATCTGGATACTATGTTTTCCGTATTTCCCCCCAGCAGAGTTCTAGCAATGCTTCCAAGCTTGGTTCCAACATCAAAAACTCTGAACATGACTTTGAAGGTAGACCTACCTGAATTCAATTCTTAACTTAGGCACACTACTTAACATCTATAAATCATGTATTTCTATAAAATGAATATAATCATGCTTCTTAAGTATTTTTTGACCTAGAGAAGTAACAGTTAAGGTAATGGATATGTAACCCACAATGTCACTATATAGTTTACATTTAGCCTTGTGTCAAGTTGCATCATAAGAAAGCTTCTTTCGCTCTTCCCCTTAGTATATTATTCATAACAGTCCATGTAGATAAACAACTGGCTTATGAATGCTAAATCACTAAGCACATTCTAAAAGTAAAAATGTAAGATATTTATTTTGCAACTCAATATTCATAAAGTAGGTTCCATATGACAAATTCATTTTGAAATATAGGGACTTAAAATTTTGTATGCCTTAAAAATTAGTATATTTTCCACCATTACATAAAATCACTTATGAAACCGTGGGGGTATAAAAAAGTTCAGGATTTAGAGCTAAAATTTGTGTATAATAATGATAACTATATTCCCTTCACAGACACCTTTTAATTTTTTTTACATTGCTTTGATTTTTGCTATGTATTTTAATAACCCTTTATTTCAATACTCAGCATTTTTAGAAATAGGGAGATATTCACAGGGAAATAAAAAGGAAATATCTAATTCTATTTTGAAAGTACAGTGCATACCTTCAAGCAATTTGTTATTCAAAACTTTCAAAAATCAACTTAGATTAAAATGAGTAGAATGAAAACACTGAACTTGATAATGACATTTCAAAAACTAAGGGATAGCTTTGATGAAATAATCTATTATTTAAAATTCCGATAGTGACAAAACGTGCACCATGTTTAAAATATAATTTCAAATAAATTTTATTTGGGCCTCAAAACACCTCTGTGAAGTAATAACAAAACTTTACCCAAATACTCACCTTCATAGTTTTCATCAGAAACTTTAAAATCCCAAGATATTGTATGATGTGACCACTGCTCATTTGAGGAAACATAAAGTACTAGTTAATCTGTTGGTTATTGGATTGGCTTGAATGTCCTACTTTGTAATTTACCTGCTTAAGAGCTTTTGAAAAGTTGCTTAAACTCTGGGTGTCTGAGCTTCTCCATCTGTAAAATGGAGATAATATATCACCTACTGAACAGTACTCCTCCAATAATTGAATAAGATGATCCAGGTAAAAAGAGAACTTACAAAAGTGTCTGACATTTAATATCTGTTCAATGCTATTAATGATTTTTATTATTGGTTCTGAAATTAAAAATTGCCTTCGATTTCCAATGTCTGCCAAGGGTATCTCAAGGGAAAAGGAAGTTACTGCATATTCTCTAGAATAATGCTGGAAAGAGACAGACTTGTTGGCAGAAGTGACATCACTGTAAAATCATATAGAAAGTATTACAAAACATTTGCTTTGGAAAGAACAAGTCAGTTATGTCATTAGAAAATCTTCACAAATTTATGTTTAAAGACTTTCTAAGAAATGTCCATTTTTTTTTTCAAGAGTTCAGGAAAGCCAACAATGTGCTGTGAATATCTAGAATCCAATCTTTGTTTTTTTTTTTTTTTCTGTAGTATTTTTAGTTTAAGGTGTCTTGAATGTAAAACAAAATCCAAGACTGGATCCTAGGAGTAAGTGGTAAGAGAGGGTATAATTAAGCAAAAATATATGAGATTCGTGAAAACTCTGGGATAACAGAGAAAAAATATTATAGGGAAAACCTGACCCTTGAAAGACTTATATCAATCCAAATATATTGTTTATAGAAATGAATCTCTGGAATGGTCCAGTGACTGATTGTCTGACATTCCAAGTAGGAGAGGTAATATAATATGACTTATGGAGTTGTCAAGGAAGAAGATAACTTAACATTGATTTGTTATTTTTGCCAAGAAGGTATAATTGTAATACAGGATCATATTTTAAATAGTAGAAGTCAAAATGAAAATAGTTGAATTGGAAGTTTAAGCTATTCTGAACTAACATAATATATAATTAAGCCCCAAAATTGAAGTTTGCAATGTAAATTTTTAAACTTTCAAATTTTGAGACTGTAATGTCATACTTTATGTAACAGTAATTATGCTGAAATTTAAAACAAAAACCATTTACTTGATCCTCTATTCAGTCCTTCATTCCCAGCATTACTACAACCCAATCCTCTACTGGGAGGCTTCCTAGTGAAGCAGGAAGACCTGACCCACAGCCTAAAAGCGTGAGTTTGAATCTGTTTTCAAACGGACAGGAGACAGAGAAATACTGGGCAGAAGAGGGCGATTCCCCAGTAAAAGCCCCACCCAGCCCTAAATGAGAACAGGTACTCCTGCTTTCACGCCCTAAAGTTGCCTTTTGGCCTGCTATGCGCCCCCTTATCCTGTACCCGTATAAATCCCAAGCCCCTGGCTAGATGAGAAGATGAACAGAAGAGCAGAAGAACAGCAGAAAGGCATGGTAGAGAAAAGGGAAGGAACGTCTGAACGCTGAGAGGCGTTCGGCTGGGGGCAGAGAGGAGATCCGCAGCCGGACAGTCAAACTCTAGGGTAAGATCATCTTCCCACTCCATCGTTTTCCAGTTCCCCATCCATCCTGCTGAACGCCACCTCCACCACACCACAAAACCCCTGCATTCGTCCTTTAAGTCCATGTGTGACCTGATTTTTCCCGGACACCGGACAAGAGCTCAGGATAAAGAAAGTTGTCACTCTGGCCATCTGTCCTTGCAAAAAGGCAGAGGGTCCACTGAGCTGTTTAACACTTAAGTGGTCTGTGAACAGCAAGGCTAAAAGAGCATACGTTAACACATGCCTATTTGGGCTTCAGGAGTTGCAGACACCCATCCCTGGACACTGTCATGGGGTCAGAGCCCAGGGGCACTTGCCTGGGCTCCTGCACCTGCCTGTCTGTGTTCCCCCTCCCATAAGGGGTTTGAGCTTGCAAAGTGGCAGAACACATGAGCCACACCCATGTAGCACATCCTGTGAGGGGGGTCAGGGAACTCTCCCGTTTCATCTTTAAATAATGTCCCCTTGGACAAATTACTGTCATCTATCAGAGCTTCTGTTTACCAATTTGTATAATGTGGATTATGATCCATGTACCCACACACCTGATATATTGGAGCATTGTATAGAGTGAGAGCTCGATGGATGTTTTAGAGATGTATTACACAGCTGAGCCATTTTTGTGCCATGGAAAGAGGAAGACTGTAGAGTCCATTAATCCTTATTTTGCTCTGCACCATCTCTGTGGCCTTGGGAAAATTAATGAGTTACCCTAAACTTCAGGCTCCTCATTTATAAAAATGGAGTTATTCATACTTACATAGAAAAAGTATCGAGGGGAGGAGCCAAGATGGCTGAATAGGAACAGCTCCGGTCTACAGCTCCCAGCCTGAGCGACGCAGAAGACGGGTGATTTCTGCATTTCCATCTGAGGTACTGGGTTCATCTCACTAGGGAGTGCCAGACAGTGGATGCAGGTCAGCGGGTGTGCGCACCGTGCGCCAGCCGAAGCAGGGCGAGGCATTGCCTCACTCGGGAAGTGCAAGGGGTCAGGGAGTTCCCTTTCCTAGTCAAAGAAAGGGGTGACAGACGGCACCTGGAAAATCGGGTCACTCTCACCTGAAGACTGCGCTTTTCCAATGGGCTTAAAAAATGGTGCACCAGGAGATTATATCCCGCACCTGGCTCGGAGGGTCCTAAGCCCATGGAGTCTCATTGATTGCTAGCACAGCAGTCTGAGATCAAACTGCAAGGCAGCAGCGAGGCTGGGGGAGGGGCGCCCACCATTGCCCAGGCTTGCTTAGGTAAACAAAGCAGCTGGGAAGCTGGAACTGGGTGGAGCCCACCACAGCTCAAGGAGGCCTGCCTGCCTCTGTAGCCTCCACCTCTGGGGGCAGGGCACAGACAAACAAAAAGACAGCAGTAACCTCTGCAGACTTAAATGTCCGTGTCTGACAGCTTTGAAGAAAGCAGTGGTTCTCCCAGCACGCAGCTGGAGATCTGAGAACGGCCAGACTGCCTCAAGTGGGTCCCTGACCCCTGACCCCCGAGCAGCCTAACTGGGAGGCACCCCCCCAGCAGGGGCAGACTGACACCTCACAGGGCCAGGTACTCCAACAGACCTGCAGCTGAGGGTCCTGTCTGTTAGAAGGAAAACTAACAAACAGAAAGGACATCCACACCAAAAACCCATCTGTACATAACCATCATCAAAGACCAAAAGTAGATAAAACCACAAAGATGGGGAAAAAACAGAGCAGAAAAACTGGAAACTCTAAAAAGCAGAGCGCCTCTCCTCCTCCAAAGGAACGCAGTTCCTCACAAGCAACGGAACAAAGCTGGATGGAGAATGACTTTGACAGGCTGAGAGAAGAAGGCTTCAGACGATCAAATTACTCCGAGCTACAGGAGGAAATTCAAACCAAAGGCAAAGAAGTTGAAAACTTTGAAAAAAATGTAGAAGAATGTATAACTAGAATAACCAATACAGAGAAGTGCTTAAAGGAGCTGATGGAGCTGAAAACCAAGGCTCAAGAACTATGTGAAGAATGCAGAAGCCTCAGGAGCTGATGCGATCAACTGGAAGAAAGGGTATCAGTGATGGAAGATGAAATGAATGAAATGAAGTGAGAAGGGAAGTTTAGAGAAAAAAGAATGAAAAGAAACGAACAAAACCTCCAAGAAATATGGGACTATGGGAAAAGACCAAATCTACGTCTGATTGGTTTACCTGAAAGTGACGGGGAGAATGGAACCAAGTTGGAAAACACTCTCCGGGATATTATCCAGGAGAACTTCCCCAATCTAGCAAGGCAGGCCAACATTCAGATTCAGGAAATACAGAGAATGCCACAAAGATACTCCTTGAGAAGAGCAACTCCAAGACACATAATTGTCAGATTCACCAAAGTTGAAATGAAGGAAAAAATGTTAAAGGCAGCCAGAGAGAAAGGTTGGGTTACCCTCAAAGGGAAGCCCATCAGACTAACAGCGGATCTCTTGGCAGAAACTGTACAAGACAGAAGAGAGTGGGGGCCAATATTCAACATTCTTAAAGAAAAGAATTTTCAACCCAGAATTTCATATCCAGCCAAACTAAGCTTCATAAGTGAAGGAGAAATAAAATACTTTACAGACAAGCAAATGCTGAGAGATTTTGTCACCACCAGGTCTGCCCTAAAAGAGCTCCTGAAGGAAGCGCTAAACATGGAAAGGAACAACCAGTACCAGCCACTGCAAAATCATGCCAAAATGTAAAGACCATCGAGACTAGGAAGAAACTGCATCAACTAACGAGCAAAATAACCAGCTAACTTCATAATGACAGGATGAAATTTACACATAACAATATTAACTTTAAATGTAAATGGACTAAATGCTCCAATTAAAAGACACAGACTAGCAAATTGGATAAGGAGTCAAGACCCATCAGTGTGCTGTATTCGGGAAACCCATCTCACATGCAGAGACACACATAGGCTCAAAATAAAAGGATGGAGGAAGATCTACCAAGCAAATGGAAAACAAAAAAAGGCAGGGGTTGCAATCCTAGTCTCTGATAAAGTAGACTTTAAACCAACAAAGATCAAAAGAGACAAAGAAGGCCATTACATAATGGTAAAGGGATCAATTCAACAAGAAGAGCTAACTATCCTAAATATATATGCACCCAATACAGGAGCACCCAGATTCATAAAGCAAGTCCTGAGTGACCTACAAAGAGACTTAGACTCCCACACATTAATAATAAGAGACTTTAACACCCCACTATCAACATTAGACAGATCAACGAGACAGAAAGTCAACAAGGATACCCAGGAATTGAACTCAGCTCTGCACGAAGCGGACCTAATAGACATCTACAGAACTCTCCACCCCAAATCAACAGAATATACATTTTTTCAGCACCACACCACACCTATTCCAAAATAGACCACATAGTTGGAAGTAAAGCACTCCTCAGCAAATATAGAAGAACAGAAATTATAACAAACTGTCTCTCAGACCACAGTGCAATCAAACTAGAACTCAGGATTAAGAATCTCACTCAAAATCACTCACTACATGGAAACTGATAAACCTGCTCCTGAATGACTACTGGGTACATAATGAAATGAAGGCAGAAATAAAGATGTTCTCTGAAACCAACGAGAACAAAGACACAACATACCAGAATCTCTGGGACGCATTCAAAGCAGTGTGTAGAGGGAAATTTATAGCACTAAATGCCCACAAGAGAAAGCAGGAAAGATGCAAAATTGACACCCTAACATCACAATTAAAAGAACTAGAAAAGCAAGAGCAAACACATTCAAAAGCTAGCAGAAGGCAAGAAATAACTAAAATCAGAGCAGAACTGAAGGAAATAGAGACACAAAAAACCCTTCAAAAAATTAATGAATCCAGGAGCTGGTTTTTTGAAAGGATCACCAAAATTGATAGGCTGCTAGCAAGACTAATAAAGAAAAAAAGAGAGAAGAATCAAATAGACACAATAAAAAATGATAAAGGGGATATCACCACCGATCCCACAGAAATACAAACTACCATCAGAGAATACTACAAACACCTCTATGCAAATAAACTAGAAAATCTAGAAGAAATGGATAAATTCCTCGACACATGCACTCTGCCAAGACTAAAGCAGGAAGAAGTTGTATCTCTGAATAGACCAATAATAGGAGCCAAAATTGTGGCAATAATCAATAGCTTACCAACCAAAAAGCACCCAGGACCAGATGGATTCACAGCCGAATTCTACCAGAGGTACAAGGAGGAACTGGGACCATTCCTTCTGAAACTATTCTAATCAATAGAAAAAAAGGGAATCCTCCCTAACTCATTTTATGAGGCCAGCATCATCCTGATACCAAAGCCTGGCAGAGACACAACCAAAAAAGAGAATTTTAGACCAATATCCTTGATGAACATTGATGCAAAAATCCTCAATAAAATACTGGCAAACTGAATCCAGCAGCACATCAAAAAGCTTATCCACCATGATCAAGTGGGCTTCATCCCTGGGATGCAAGGCTGGTTCAATATACACAAATCAATAAATGTAATCCAGCATATAAACAGAACCAAAGGCAAAAACCACATGATTATCTCAATAGATGCAGAAAAGACCTTTGACAAAATTCAACAACCCTTCATGCTAAAAACTCTCAATAAATTAGGTATTGATGGGACATATCTCAAAATAATAAGAGCTATCTATGACAAACCCACAGACAATATCATACTGAATGGGCAAAAACTGGAAGCGTTCCCTTTGAAAACTGGCACAAGACAGTGATGCCCTTTCTCACCACTCCTAATCAACATAGTGTTGGAAGTTCTGGCCAGGGCAATTAGGCAGGAGAAGGAAATAAAGGGTATTCAATTAGGAAAAGAGGAAGTCAAATTGTCCCTGTTTGTAGACGACATGATTGTATATCTAGAAAACCCCACTGTCTCAGCCCAAAATCTCCTTAAGCTGATAAGCAACTTCAGCAAAGTCTCAGGATACAAAATCCATGTACAAAAATCACAAGCATTCTTACACACCAACAACAGACAAACAGAGAGCCAAATCATGAGTGAACTCCCATTCACAATTGCTTCAAAGAGAATAAAATACCTAGGAATCCAACTTACAAGGGATGTGAGGACCTCTTCAAGGAGAACTACAAACCACTGCTCAAGGAAATAAAAGAGGATACAAACAAATGGAAGAACATTCCATGCTCATAGGTAGGAAGAATCAATATCGTGAAAATGGCCATACTGCCCAAGGTAATTTACAGATTCAATGCCATCCCCATCAAGCTACCAATGACTTTCTTCACAGAATTGGAAAAAACTACTTTAAAGTTTATATGGAACCAAAAAAGAGCCCGCATTGCCAAGTCAATCCTAAGCCAAAAGAACAAAGCTGGAGGCATCACACTACCTGACTTCAAACTATACTACAAGGCTACAGTAACCAAAACAGCATGGTACTGGTACCAAAACAGAGATGTAGATCAATGGAACAGAACAGAGCCCTCAGAAATAACACCGCATATCCACAACTATCTGATCTTTGACAAACCTGAGAAAAACAAGCAATGGGGAAAGGATTCCCTATTTAATAAATGGTGCTGGGAAAACTGGCTAGCCACATGTAGAAAGCTGAAACTGGATCCCTTCCTTACACCTTATACAAAAATCAATTCAAGATGGATTAAAGACTTAAATGTTAGACCTAAAACCATAAAAACCCTAGAAGAAAACCTAGGCATTACCATTCAGGACATAGGCATGGGCAAGGACTTCATGTCTAAAACACCAAAAGCAATGGCAACAAAATTCAAAATTGACAAATGGGATCTAATTAAACTAAAGAGCTTCTGCACAACAAAAGAAACTACCATCAGAGTGAACAGGCAACCTACAAAATGGGAGAAAATTTTTGCAACCTAGTCATCTGACAAAGGGCTAATATCCAGAATCTACAATGAACTCAAACAAATTTACAAGAAAAAAACAAACAACCCCATCAAAAAGTGGGCGAAGGACAGGAACAGACACTTCTCAAAAGAAGACATTTATGCAGCCAAAAAACACATGAAAAAATGCTCACCATCACTGGCCATCAGAGAAATGCAAATGAAAACCACAATGAGATACCATCTCACACCAGTTAGAATGGCAATCATTAAAAAGTCAGGAAACAACAGGTGCTGGAAAGGATGTGGAGAAATGGGAACACTTTTACACTGTTGGTGGGCCTGTAAACTAGTTCAAGCATTGTGGAAGTCAGTGTGGCGATTCCTCAGGGATCTAGAACTAGAAATGCCATTTGACCCAGCCATCCCATTACTGGATATATACCCAAAGGACTATAAATCATGCTTCTATAAAGACACATGCACACATATGTTTATTGCGGCACTATTCACAATAGCAAAGACTTGGAACCAACTCAATGTCCAACAATGATAGACTGGATTAAGAAAATGTGGCACATATACACCATGGAATACTATGCAGCCATAAAAAATGATGAGTTCATGTCCTTTGTAGGGACATGGATGAAATTGGAAATCATCATTCTCAGTAAACTATCGCAAGAACAAAAAACCAAACACCACATATTCTCACTCATAGGTGGGAACTGAGCAATGAGAACACATGGACACAGGAAGGGGAACATCACACTCTGGGGACTGCTGTGGGGTGGGGAGAGGGGGGAGGGATAGCATTGGGAGACATACCTAATGCTAGATGACAAGTTAGTGGGTGCAGCGCACCAGCATGGCACATGTATACATATGTAACTAACCTGCACATTGTGCACATGTACCCTAAAACTTAAAGTATAATAATAATAAATAAAATAAAATAAAATGTTTAACACTGCCCTCCCCCAAAAAAAAAGAGAAAGAAAAAGTATCATGGCTATTAAACAAGATAATGTGTGTAAACTGCCTAACACAGCTCTTTACATAGAGTGGGCTCTCAACAGATGGTAACTATTATTGTTATTAAATTATATAGTAGAAACTCATCAACAAGCTTGCTCATGCATGGCTTTAAAAGTGAATTTAAATAAATATTTAAGCATTTAGTTTCTGTTTTAAAAAATTATAGGTATGCATGAAATTTTATGTACCAGAGTGTAAAATTCCAGTAGTGTTATCGGGGTGTGTTTTTCCTGTTTTAGAACAGCATTTTTTCCTTCCACGGAAGAGAAGGGGAGATTTGTTGCCATGTTCCTATCATGGGGTCTCTGTTAGCCTGGATAAAGGATAAACAAATGTTTGTGGTACTCTGAGTGGTAATAGTAACAACAATGATAATAATTTTAAAATAATAAAGCCCCAATATTATAGAGGTGCTATTTCAAGCATTTTATATGCATTATCCAGTTTAATCTTCTTAACAACCTGAGACTAGCAACTCTTCTTATCCCCATTTTAAAGATGAAAAGTTTAAGGAAAAAGAAGTTAAAGTACTTGCCTAAGGTCACACTGTAAGGTAGTTATATGACCCTAGTGTCATATGACTGGTAGAAATCTAAGAAAAAGATTGAAAAAGAAATATAGAATAGGGGTCTTATAAACATCATTTTTTTTTGCTGACTTTTGAAACTCTGTGTTTTTGTTTGGTTTTATATTAACCACTATCACCATTGCCACCTACTCATCTTCAATTCTCTTTTCTTCAGAGTCCACCTGGGTTTTGGTCCGCATGATTCCACTGAAAAAGTATTAATTATCATACACTGAGTTCCTGAAATTGGCAAGCCCAGTGGCCAGGTCTCAATGTGCCTGTCAAGTCTTAGCACACTAGCCAAGTGGCTGCCTTCCTCCTGCTTGAACACTTGCTACTCTTAATTGTCTTTCTCACTGGCCATTTACCCATCTCCTTTGCTGGTTCTTCCACCTCTTTTGACCCCTGAAATTTATACGATTTCCAAACTTGCTCATCCTCTATACTATGCTCATATAAGGTCAATAACAAGATATTAACTATTCCTTCTACAATAATAATTCTTAAACATAAGTCTCATGATAAAGTTCTTACCTGCCCTGCAGCACACCAACACTTTTATCCTCAGTGCTCTGTATTTCAGATTACGACAATGCTGTCTACCCACTTGTTTAGATTAAAATCCTAGGAGTCATGCTTAATTCTGTGCTTTTCCTCACATGCACCTTCATGTCCAGTCACAACTATATTTAAATTGTAATTTACAGTCAATCATTTCTTAGTATCTCCAATGCTATACCCGAGTGCAATGACCTATTCACTGATTTCCCTGCTTCTTCTCTTTCCCTTCACAGTACATCTCCACATTACAGCCAGAATAATAAACTTTTTAAAGCAGTTATCAGATCACATCACAATAGAACAAATGTAAAACCCCTTACCTGGTTTGTAAGTAAGAAAACCATCTGCCTCAGATTGCCTAGGATGGACCTCATTTACTGCGATTGTCCTAAATTGTTCTAGCCTTTTAATCTGAATCCTTTTTTATGTCTTGTTGACAGTGTCCTTTTCACTCTAAAAATGTGTCAGGGGGTGTGGTCAAGCTAAGATGCACACTAATGATAAAATGAGCCTGCTCTTTACTATATGCTTTTATAGATGAATAGATAAATACTGCCTGAGATGTTTATAACACGGCTATAATGAAGCCCTGCCATAATAATTGAACTGGCAGTTTGGCCTAAGCTTGCAACTATTCATTAGAGATGAGGGCCTCTGAGCTGATTAAGAAGAGATTTCAGGGAAATCTCTAAGTGATTCTTACCGAGTTTCAAAAAGGAGATGAAAAGCGTAAAATGGGTGTGGTAGGCAAAATAATGGCTCCACAAAGATATTCTCTTCCTAATCCCTGGGATTTAGGAATGTTTCATAGGTGTGATTAAGCTAAGGACCTCGAGATGTGAAAATGACTATTAGATTTCCCCATTTAATCACATTCAAGTGGTTCAAATCTAATCACATGGGCCCTTAAAAAGAAGAGACATTTTCCCAGCTATAGTCTAAGTAAGAGGGAGATGGTATTATAGAAAAGTGATCAGAAAGCAGCAATGTTGTTGGCTTTGAGGATCTAGAAAGGTGCCCATAAGCCAAGAAATATGCATGCATGGCCTCTAGACACTGGAAAAGCAAGGAAACATATTCTCCCCTAGAACCTACAAAAAAGAACACATTTCTGATAACACTCTGACTTTAGCCCAGGAAGATCCATGTCGGACTTCTACAGAACTGTCAAATCAAAAACGTGTGCTGTTTTTAAGATACTACATTTATATAATATGCTAAAGAACAACAGAAACTTAACACAATGAGGAAAGTGGCAGAATTATAATTTAGCCTTTTCTTAGTCATTACTAAGATTATGAGCACAATGATTTTAAGGTCCTTGTTGCCAGTGACAGTTCCTATCACAGTTTTATACCTAGACCCAAGAATACAGCCCTGAGAACAGTTAGGTCAACGTGTCTGAGGTTTACAGATTTAGATGCCTGTATCCCATCCCTGAGTGAGGTTCTATTGATAGCTCCTTACAAGAAAAATGTTACTGACACCTAATTTAGAGATCTGGGAGTCTGGGACCCTGTTGGAGTCAGAGACTTAATCATAGTCCTAGCCATTCATGCTGTCAGTGAGAGATGCTGCCACACACACAGGACCTCTGACTTCTTAGGCATTGGGTTTATAGAATCTTGCCTTTTATTCTTCTGTGATCAGAAGCATGGGTCTGATGCTACTACGGCTTTGAGTCTCCACATCAAACCATTCATTCACCCCATGAAGTTGAGTTCCCACAATATCCTAGAAAAATTATAAGCCCTAAAGGGCACACTGTATAATAAAAAATTAAATATATCTATTTTGGGGGCAACAGTGAGGCATTTTATAATAGCTCAAGGTGGGGAAATAGAGAGAAGGCACTCCACATAAATGATTACATGAGAAAATACTAAGTATCATCAGGCAACTAAATGAATCATATTTCTTCTTCTGTCTTCTCTTGGATATTTTTAAAGCCATTTCAAGTAACGATATATATTATATTTGTATCTGCCACTCCATGAAACCTTACCAATTCTTCTCTGCTGCCTCTGACCCTTTGAATTAGAAAAATGTAGATCTTTTTGACTGATCTACTGTTAGTAATGTTCACTAGGAATTTATTTTTTGGTGTAAACATTTTCTCCAGCTTTCACAGACATTTTTCCCAATAACCTAAGAAAATTCTTGAGTCAGATTTCTAAATGTAATGTCTTTCATTAGTTGATTTTAAAACGTGTACAGAAATATAAAAAAATGCTCAGATATATTTTTCTTAATGATGAGTAGGGATTAGTACTGTCTCTCAAGTTCAGTCACATCACCACAACTTAAAAAAAGTTTCTGTCTGTGTGTAATCCTTATGTCAGTCAATTTTTTTTCTTTTTAATTGACAAATTAAAACCTGTATATGTTATGGAATATAACTTTGTTGAATTACCAATTAATTATTTATGGAATGATGCTTTTCTTGGTATTCTTCCACCTTCTACACATCACTTTTTCTCTTCCTGCTCCAAAATTTAGCACTTCTTGAAAGAGTTGAGATATTTGATAAGTATAATTTAATGAAATTCTTGATCACATACTTCCTAGAAGGTCTTCAGAGTATGAGTTTCTTAATAGAAAATCGATATAACAAATATTAAGTCATTAAACTGTGAATAAACTTTTCAAAAGTACTTAAATCTCATTCTTCTGGTTGCTTGCACTGTGCACTAGGAGCTGAAGAGTGAGGGGTTCCCTTCATTTGGTTTTCTCACTGGTTTCTGCTGCCTGTAAAGTTGGCAACAGAACCCGCGTTGACTGGGTTAATACGCATGAAAAGAGAGCAGCACCTGGGAGCCTGTTAGAAAAGCAGCAAATTTGGCTACACTTAGATATACCAAATCAGAATCAGAAAAAGGTCATCAGGTGACACACATGCATGTTAAATTGTGAGAAATGGTGCTTTGGAATACAATTAATGCAAGCCGTTACCAAATAGGACTAATTAATTGGACACCCTGAGATCATCACGGTTTTCAGTACTGTTACTCCTAGTGATCACACAGTAGGTAAATACTTTCAGAAAACGACTTACCTTCTGTCAACTATCATCCTTCCACTGTTTTGCCCTTCCTATCTTCTGAACCACCTGTCACTGTTCCCTTACTTTCAGTCTTTTCCAGCGGGCCCTGGTGAGACTAATAATGGTAATTTAATAATAAAAGAATGATGATGATGACAGAATGATCTTTTTTCTAGCACCTGTGACTTAAAAGACACTCTTCAATTCTGCAAACAAAGATATAGCTTCCGTACAGCCTATTCAAGATATTGTTGCTAATTCTCCTCCATTTGGTATACTTTAGAATCTTGAAAATTAGCTTAACCACTTTTTGCTGCAAGGCACAATTTTTAGAAAACTGTTCTTTCACTCTCACAAAAAGGTCCCTCATCTTTTGAGATGTAAGACGTCAGGCTATTTGATCAGCTTTTCTCCTTATCATTACTGCTATTTTCTTCCTTCTCTTTGACTGTTTCTTATTCTCCTAAGGCCTTAAAACCCAACCTCTGTCTTTACTTATAAGTGAACATGTGATTCAACTGCAGCATTGTTTGACCTCAATTTCAATGACTTTTATCTCCATGCTTTTTAATTTCTCTTTAACAAAACTGGACTTGGAATTATTCAAAATTATTACACCTTTGCAAAAGAAATGATTTTTAAAGAAATGACTCTATTGTGTTAGAAAAATTATACAAATTTCTCTCCCAGTTCTGCTTAGCTTTCAACATTCATCCTTATTTTCACTTTCTTGCAAACTCTTTTAACTCTCTTAGTCCTCTCTCTCTATCCTACATGCTCTGCAAGATCCTAATTCTGCTTGACACATATTTTGCCTTCTCAGCACCTAAATCTAAACAACTGAATATTTCTGGAGGAAAACTACAGCAGACTGCTTAGTTTCACTTAAAACTCATTACTTCAAAGGGTCACTCAATTGCTCTAAAATTTTATACATTTTTCCACTCTCTGAGAAAACAGTTTTATACCTTCTTCCTTTTGTTCGATATTCCTACATTCCCCTACAACTCACTTTCAGTTGATGACCATATCCAGATAACAATGAGATAATAAATGTCTTCAGAAAAGGACTGTATTATCTATCGACTGCGTGTGGTGGCTCATGCCTGTAATCCCAGCACTTTGGGAGGCCAAGGTGGGCGGATCACGAGGTCAGGAGATTGAGACCATCCTGGCTAATACAGTGAAACCCCATCTCTACTAAAAATACAAAACAAACAAACAAAAAATTAGCTGGGCATGGTGGCGAGCACTGGTAGTCCCAGCTACTTGGGAGGCTGAGGCAGGAAAGGCAGGAGAATGGTGTGGACCCAGGAGGCAGAGCTTGCAGTGAGCTGAGATCGCACCACTGCACTCCAGCCTGGGTGACTGGGTGACAGAGTGACAGAGCGAGACTCCATCTCAAAAAAAAAAAAAAAAAAAAAAAAAAAGGACTGTATTATCAAACAAACCCAAACTGTGAAAGCAATAGCTAAGAGTTCCTGACCGCTTACTATGGGCTTGGCCTTTTGTAGAGCATCTCATTTTATCCTTACAATAAACTTATAAGGTAGTTTATTTTGAGAAAACTGAGGAATCAGAAAGTTTATAAAGTAGTTTATTTTGAGGAAACCGAGGAACTGGGAAGTTAAATAATCAGCCAAGGTTACACTGGAACCTGAAGTCACAACCAGGTGGTCTGACATGAAAGCCCATTTCTTGCTCACTGAAATTTTTCTCCTTCCAGACTATAAACTCATATGCACAGACTTTTTTAAAAATTTTTTTATGCAGTCCACTCAGTACCTGCTATGTGCTAAACTGTGTTTTATGGCACTATGGATAATAATAATTATACCAGAAAAGATTTCACAGAAAATAGTAATTACTATCCACATGTTTTTTAGTGTTCAAAGGATACTGGACTCTGTCAGAAGGTCAGTGTCTAGTGTCTGCTCTGAATCTGATTAACTCTTTTATCTTGAGTAATACCTTTATTGTCACTGGGGCTTACTGGCACCACTTTTTTTTAATTGAAGAGAATTCAATGTGCACTCAGGATCCTTCCAGCTCTAACATATTAAGATTTTTAATGACCATATGCACCAGTCCATTTCTAGTTATGTGGTGAATTAAAGGTAACCAGAAAATGTGTGATGTTCCATAAACTGAAATGTTGGGTCAACGTCTCTGTTTCCTGAATCTGGGCAGGCTCTGTGAATACTCTGATAGAATATGACAGAAGTGACCTTTTGCCACTTTCTATCTTTTGGAGCACTCATAGTTGGATCTTGTATGAGTCCATTCTCATCCTGCTAATAAAGAGATACCCAAGACAGGGTAACTTATAAAAGAAAAAGGTTTAATTGACTCACAGTTCATGTCTGTCTCGCCATGGGTGGGAAGGCCTCAGGAAATTTACAATCATGACAGAAGGCAAAGAGGAAGGAAGGCACCTTCTTCACAAGGTGGCAGGAAGGAGAATTGCAAGCAGGGGAAATGCCAGACTCTTACAAGACCATCAGATCTCCCGAGACTCATTATTATGAGAACAGCATGTGGGAATCCACCCCTGTGATTCAGTTCCCTCTGACTGGTCCTGCCCTTGAGGTGGGGACTATGAGGATTACAATTCAAGGTGAGATTTGGGTGGGAACACAGAACCAAACCATATCATTCCTTACCTGGACCCTGCCAAATCTCATGTCCTTACATTTCAAAATGCAATCATGTTCTTCCAACAGTCCCCCCAAAGTCTTAACTCATTCCAGCATTAACCCAAAAGTTCAAGTCCAAAGTCTCATCTGGCACAAGGCAAGTCCTTTCCACCTATGAGCCTGTAAAATCAAAAGCAAGTTAATTACTTCTTAAATACAATGGGCTTACAGGCATTGGGTGAATGCATCTGTTCCAAATGGGAAAAACTGGCCAAAACAAAGCCCCATCCAAGTCCAAAATCCAATAGAGCAGTCATTAAACCTTAAAGTTTCAAAATGATCTCCTTTGACTCCATGTCTTACAAACAGGTCACACTGATGCAAGAGGGGGCTCCCACAGCCTTGGGCAGCTCCACCTCTGTGGCTTTTCAGGGTACAGCCTCACTACTAGCTGCTTTCACAGACTGGTGTTGAGTGTCTGGCTTTTCCAGGTGCACGGTGTAAGCTGTCAGTGAATCTACCATTCTAGGATCTGCAGTATGTTGGCCCTCTTCTCACAGCTCCACTAGGCAGTGCCCCAGTGGGGACTCTTTATGGTGGCTCCAACCCCATATTTCCCTTCTGTACTGCTCTAGCAGAGGTTCTCCATCTGTGCTCCACTCCTGCAGCAGACTTCTGTCTGGACATCCAGGCATTTCCATACATCATCTGAAATCTAGGTGGAGGTTCCCAAACCTCAATTCTTGGCTTATGTGCACCCACAGGACCAACACCATGTGGAAGCCGCAAGGCTGAGGGCTTGCACCTTCTGAAGCAACAGCCTGAGCTGTACCTTGGCCCTTTTTAGTCACAACTACGCTAAAGCAGCTGGGACACTGGGAACCATGTTGTGAGGCTACATAGAGCAGGGGGACCCTGGACCTGGCCCACAAAACCGTTTTTCCCTCTTAGACCTCTGGGCCTGTGATGGGAGGGGCTGCCATGAAGGTCTCTGACATGCCTTGGAGACATTTTCCCCATTGTCTTGGTGATTAACATTTGGCTCCTGGCTATATAAGCAAATTTCTGCAGCCAGCTTGAATTTATCCCCAGAAAATGGGTTTTTCTTTTTTATCATATTGTCAGGCTGAAACGTTTCCAAAATTTTATGCTCTGCTTCTTCTTGTATGCTTTGACACTTAGAAATTTATTCTGCCAGATACCCTAAATCATCTCTCTCAAGTTAAAATTTCCACAGATCTTAGGACAGGGCAAAATGCCACCAGTCTCTTTGCTAAAGCATCACAAGAATAATCTTTACTCCAGCTCCCAACAAGTTCCTCATCTCTATCTGAGACCACCTCAGTCTGGACTTCATTGTCTGTATTGCTATCAGCATTTTGATTAAAGCCATCCAACAAGTCTCTAGGAAGTACCAAACCTTTCCACATCTTCCTGTCTTCTGAGCCCTTCAAGTCTCTAGGAAGTTACAAACTTTCCCATACTTTTCTCTCTCCTTCTGAGCCCTCCAAACTTTGCCAATCTCTGTCTGTTACCCAGGTTCAAAGTTGCTTCCACATTTTAGGGTGCACTTATAGCAGCACCGCACTACCTCAGTACCAATTTACTGTATTTGTCCCTTCTCAGGCTGGTAATAAAGACATACCTGAGACTGGGTAATTTATAGAGGAAAGAGGTTTATTTGACTCACAGTTCAGCATGGCTGGGGAGGCCTCAGGCAATTTACAATCATGGCAGAAGGTGAAGGGGAAGAAAGCACCTTCTTCACAAGGCATCAGGAAGGAGAAATGCAAGCAGGGGAAATGCCAGATGCTTATAAAACCATCAGCTCTCATGAGATTCATTCATTGTCACAAGAACAGCATGGAGGACACCACACCCTGATTTAATTACCTCTATCTGGTTATGCCCTTGACACTTGAGGACTATGGGGAATACAATTCAAGGTGAGATTTGGGTGGGAACACAGAGCCAAACCATACCAGATCCCTAAGCTGTCATATTAGACATCTGAGCACCCTGCTGGACAGACCACATGTGAAGGATATGAGTCCTCATAGTGATGGAGAGTGACACTCCTGGGCACAGCTTTCCAGCTATTTCTGCCAAGGCACCTGAGATGTGAGTTAAGTCATTTTTGAGCCCCCAGACTAACTTAACTGCCAGCTGAATACTACTAAGTAACCCAATTTGATGCCATATAGGACAGAAAACTCATCTAGCTAAACTGGAACTGAATTTCTTGCCTTTAGATCCTGAATATAATACAGTGATTATTGTTTTAGACTACCAAGTTTGGTGTGCTTTGTAATGCAGTAAATAACCAGAACAGATTCTAGTTCTACTCATGGGCTTAGACTGTCATGTTTGCTTTTCTTTCCTAAACAATTTCTTTCCTAAACAGAAAGAATAAAACAACTATAAACAAAGCAAATGATCAGGTCTTCTGCCAATTTACCAAGGGAAAGAAAAGTTTGCAGCTGGCAATGAAATGTCAGATCCTCAATGCTTGTATATGCCTTGGTCCAATAGAGTATCCTGAAATGAAAGCAGTTAGAAAATCCAACAAGTATTAAATAAAGGTGCTGACAGAGGTAGCAGAAGACCTCATAATTAGGGACTTCTTTCAGGACACTGATCGGGGAGCACAACATTTTTCACGACAGGTTTAATATATGCTGAAACAATTTAAACAACCAAATTTATTCTTTTGTTTTATCCCACTTATTGACAATTTGTATGACTTTATTCTTGAGATTAAGTCTATGCTGATGGGGGTGGCCCAAATTTTACGATATGTCTATATTTCATTTATGGATGATCTGACAATTACATTGCTTGTAATCAGTAAAACTGAACAAAAGGAATATTTCATATAGAAAGAGTTTAATAATAATTCTTTTATCCATAGTACAATTTTCCTGTGACTGAATACCTGAAATAAAAAGAAATTGAAATACAAATGACAACCAATAAAATGTTGTGTGCATGAATCAGTGATGCTTGCAAGAGACTCTGAAAAGCCAAACATACCTGACAACTAAAGTAAGGCTGTGAAGAGGAAGCTCCTAGAAAAGTGTATGTGAAGTGCAGTCTCTAGAGAAGCTGCTTCTTTTGTGTAGCTACCCCCAAGTGAGTTCACAGCCAAGTGCCTGCTGGTAAATCTGGGGCTGCTTTGAGCAGCAAGACCAACAGTTGAGAAGGGAAACAGAGCAGACCAAGGACTAACTGAGACCCTCTGGCAACTCTAGGTGTGTCACTATGTTTGAATATTATGACCTTCTGAGACAATGGCTTTTTGTTTCCTTTTCACCTTTCAAATATCTCCCAATTCCTCTTTTGGTCAGTTAGAACTTAGAATCTTACAGGGTATGAGGTTCTGAGAAAATATTTTCCAGCCTTTTTCCAGTTAACATTACACAGTCCAGGACCATGCGCCATATAAATGTAGGTATTTTGAAGATAGCCAGTTCTTTTCTGGCTGAAACACTTAAGACGTCAGGGGCTTCTCCTCACACCCTTCCTATACAGGAGGTCAGTGATAAAAAGTAGAGAAGAGACTAGTTATATTTACAGGTTAAAATATGTTAAGGATAAAATTTACATGTTTATGATGTCTGCTAGCCTCAGTGTTCCATACCACACCTAAATCAAAGATATTAGACTTCACTAATGTTGGTGCAGATTATACTTCCTTACACATTATAACATTTCCTCTCAAGTAAGCACTGCTGTCACATTTCAACCATAGTCCATAAGATTCAGAGGGATTTTATCTTTAATTTGGAGGTGCCTGTACTCAAGGTAATCTTATATTTTTTCTCATTTAGTGACCTGATCTAAATCTTGCAAATTGCAAATTCTTGAGTTCTTGCTGCATGTAGCACCTATTTCTAGCTAGAAAAATTAGTACTCCAAAATATCACCTTCCCAATATCTAAGACCAGACCATGACAAAGATTATACATATCCTAAAATCTCAGCTTTATCCGATTCTCCAATCACAAGAGGATGATAAGATGAAAGAACATTCAGGATAGAAAAAAATCACAAGAGTTTTTTAGGAAATCAAGGAGAAGGGCAGCCAGGGCCAGTTATAGCTGGACTGAAGAATTGGACACTGGGTGTCAAGTAGAGCTCGTTTCTAATTTTCTCAATTGATTCCCCGAGACCCACTTAAACAGAACCTGACAGAAAAAAGTATAACTTTATGAATGTGGCTGGAAGTTAAAACTTGTCAAATAAAGAGTGACATTGATTGAGAGAGAAAGGTTATTTTAAGGCTTGTGAAAAATCCCTGGAGGACACCTAGAATTTTGCAAATATAATATTGTCAAGTCATTTCAGACAGGAATAAAAACATTTCATTTATATATATATTTTAATTTTGACCTTCTAAACCACTCTGAATTGCATTGGTTTACTTGGACACAAAGGGTACTCTTTGGACCTCACTCCACTTCTAAGTAAGAATGTTTGTTGTATTGACTAAGACCTTAGGCGATCCTCCACTTTTCTGCCCATGGGATGAGACTTTTTCTATCTCCAATTTTTCTCCTATAGGATGTAGGATTTTCACAATATCTATTCTACTCTATCTTCAGAGAGAGTGTAAATCTTCTTAAAAGAACTAGAATGATCATTTAAAGCTTTGCATTTAGTTACACAGTGATTCAAATACAGACAGTGACTTCCTTATCAGTGATCCTTAATTTTGACTTAGATTTTGGGTCTATAGGAGACATTTTTGTGTCTGTGTTCAGGCAGTCCCAGATTTCTCTGATGAGACTGATGGAAAAGGCATTGACTTGCATCAATTGTGATGATAGGTTTTATGACTGGACTGAGATCAGAAATTCATTTTACAGACCACTGAACAATTACTAAATGCCTGCTCACCTCAGTTTCCAACCATTCACCAATAATTTTAGTCCTGGGGTGGATTTTATGAATACTGGTCAAATGCTACAAGAGTGGAAATTCAAATTATTTGAAAAAGCAGGATGATTTTGCTTTGACATGTGACCTTACTGTCCTCTGGATTTCCTTTTCAATTTGTTTGTTTTACATTTTATTTGTAATCCACTAATTTCACATTAACACTCTTACTACCATTTTAAATGAAGGAATTTATAATGGATTTAACTAAAATTCAAATATAGATTAATTTACCATAAATTTTATTTTCTCCACTCTGATATTCCCATTTCTTATATGTTTAAACTATAAAAAAGCAAAACATCCTCCACAGCTAGCATTTAATAGAGACTTTAAATGTAATATGTTTCAAATAATTGTAGAGATATTTAAAATTATTCCATATAAATTTTTACCTTCTTTGTGAATCACAACATGACCAACAGCTAAATTTGAATTATAAAATATGTTGACAAATTAGTGATGATAGTCTAAATTGCCTCCTAAATTTCAGTGATTTAGAAAGCAAGAAAGTTATTTGTGTGTGTGTATGTGCATGTGTGTGTGTCTGTGTGTGTGTGTGCATGTGTGTTGTGTTAACAGTCTAGCATTTTATGCTAGCTTCTCACAGTTGTTCAGCATGCCAGACTGCCACAAATAACATTTGTTTCTCAAGATGCTGGTAAGTTCAATCAACTGGAAGGGGTAGAAAGTATGAAGGGATCTATTGAAAAGAGTATAGAGAAATGTTAGAAGAAAGAAAAGAGTTAAGAACAAGATAATTCATGAATGGAAAAATATGTATGTCAGAAGGTTCCCTGTTAGGACCTTTGATTTCAAATGACAGAAACCTAACTCAGAATGGCTAAGAGAAGAATGGGAGTGTATTAGCTTATGGATTTAAAATGCCCTGGGAAAGACCAAGTTCAGAGTGGCCAAAAACATAGGCTCAATGGGCATCATGCACCCTCACTTTCTGCCCTGAGTTCTGCTTTTCTCCACATTGGCTTCACTCTTAGTAGGCTCTCTACTTGTTATTGCCTCCATCATTGCTGGGGCAACATCCTCACAGTGTGAAGAATTACATAAAAGAGAACATATGTCTTATTATTATTTTAAAAATCTTACCATTTAGTGTCTCTAGCTCTGAATAACCAGATTTATACCACGTCTTCATCTCTGCAGTCAGGGGCTATATTAATATTTTAATTCTATCAAAACTACCTAAAAAGAGACTGATACAGGGAGGTTTTCAAGAAATTGAAATTCACTTACCTTATGAAAACATATTTCATGCAGTCATAATCATCAAATATTCACTAAATATGAGGAAAAACTCATATTTGTCAAGTAATAGATTAACTCTTTAATGTGGAAGTTTTCCTATTGAGTTTTTTTTAGTCAACATAGTGGTTTTTAAATTATGGATTCACTTATCCTTAGTCATGATTAATCACCTCTTTATGTTTGAAGAACATCCTACTATCTAGATTTTGATGTGAAATTATCTAATTTTCAAGACATGGCCTAGGCCACAGCAAAACACCTGTAAGAGTTGATTTTGCCCCCTTAGACTACGATTACGCTATGTATCCCCTAAACTCATCAAGAAAATTAGTTAGAAATTTTTCCTAAAATAGAAGGTGTTGAAGGCTGGTAGTTCTGGGTAACAGATATGAAGATTACTCAAACTGAAGGAAAATGAGATAGTTTCTCAAAGACGTAGAGTGGTACCAATCTTGTCATCAGTATATTAAAGGCTGAAGAGCTTGGATGGGAGTAGGTGGGGAATACCAATGACTATTTAGACCTGAGAACTGAAATCTTGGGATGTTGGCAAAAATTTATGTAGCAAGCTTTCAGCACAAGTTCTGGAGACTTCTCCCTACTGAATAAAAGTTAACTGCACCTGTATGGTGGTGTGGCCAAGGAGCCTTAGCAAAAGCAACAGCTATTAACCGAGAGCCAGCAGCTGCCATTTTTCATGGGCTATGACAATTGCAGCTTTCTAGTAAAACTCAAGGGAAGGAGAGAAAAACCAAGAAAAATAATTAATACAGTATTGGACCTAATGATAATATTGGTAAGTAAAGAATTTGAGCGAAACTTTTCTTTATATGACATTTTTTATCTTAGATATGTCATGGAACATTCATTCTTATTACATTGGCACAGATCAGACATCTGAGGATGGCATACTGATAGATCAGGTACCACTCCAGTGCTCAGTGCTAACAGCACCAGGCAAGGAACAACACACAAATGACTGAAAAGGATAGAACAGATGAAAGTGTGAAATGAAATACAAATCACAGGAATAATGAGATAGACAATGTTTTTAATAGTTCCAAACAAACTAAATAAGTGATCCCTGAAGTTTAGGAAGCCATGACAATGTTAATAGCAGGAAAAAAATTAACAGTAAGAAGATTATCCATTATGTGGCCCTAAAACAATCCATTTAGTGTAGACTGCCTGAGATGAGTGACATCCCCAAGAGACATACTGGCCTCTTCTACTAATGAGGAGCTTTATTCTACTTTGTTTGGAAAGGCATGTTATTTCATTTCTCTGGAATTACTCAGGGCCAAGTTGCTATAAACACACTCAAATCACCATTGCACACTAGTTAATGACACCTCTGCCTGACACAGGCCTGCCTCCCAGACCTTACACACCTTCTATATCAGAAAGCAAAAGAAAATCATTAGAGTTAATTTTTTCACCTGCTTTAAACCCCCACTAAGTGATAAATGCCATGTTCACAGGAGAAAAGATTGGGGTGGGCATGAGGGTGGGAAATGTGTTGCCTCAATAATTGTCTAGTTTTAAGCCATTCACAAAGAACATATAGCGAGTTTTATTTTTTTTCCCTCTCTCATTTGTTTCTCTCTTTCCCATTCACAACAAAGAAATTTTCATCAACATTAGTGCTTTCTGATTATAGGTAAGAAAAGAAAACACAGACTATAAATTTTATACTTGGAAGGGCATACTTATAACTTCATAAAATGACATAATAGTAAAAAGATATGCCAATACGTAGAACATTCTAGAATAAAATACACACATAGAAATAGATAAAAATATGTGTCTTTTTGAAATATCCTTATTAATTTTTCAAAACGGGAATAAGAAATATGTATAATATTTAAATAAAACTATTATGTAGAAATCAAATTACATTAAAATAATCATACTATGTTTTATATTTACTTTTGTTATAAATTAATTAAATAAGTTATGATTAAATCACTTCCAATGTAGGTAATATCAATCTAGGTTTTTTGAAATTAAGGTTCATTTAGAGCTATAAATTAGGAAATATAATCCAGCTATTTAAGGAATATAGAAATCAATGTGTGATATATGTGATTTTGTACTCATGAAGAAATATGTGTTTTTAACATAAAGGTCTCAATAGTTATGTTGATATAAAATATTGTTTATTTTTTAAATTAAAATGAAAAATGCCATCTTCTATCTTCAAACGTGTTAACATTTTATTTGTTGGAAAACTGAATGTTGCCTTTCATTTATCTTCCTGGACAATGATCATGACTGTTGACATCTGCCAGCAGTACCAGTACAGTTATGTGATGCTCTCATTTTCCTACCTGGCAAAACTGCCATTGTTTCTCAGCATGGATTTGTGGAATTAGTGAAAGAATTTAGGATAGAGCCTATATCTGGCATATTTAGGAAAAAAAGACTTATGCATAGTTTCAATTCTGAATCTTGACTGAACAAGGGATCAGATGTGAAGTAACAGGTCAGGTTGATTTGAAAATTACATTTTGGAATTTTTTTTTTGTTTTAGTTATTAGAGAAAACACATTTTGTCTTACATATTTTTAAAAAACCAACCTTTTCAATATCACTTCACATTACTTGCTTTTTAATTTTTTCTTTGGTAGCCCAGTCAAAAGAGTTGAGTTTTCAAGCCAATAAAAAATGTAAAACGTCATAGTTTGTATGTATTAGTGGCCTTTTTTTTTTCTTTTTTACCACATCCAGACTTAAACTACTGCCATCTTGAGGAAGGAAAACCAGCTGTGTTGTTAAATTGCTGCCCCGCTTTGTCCTTTGTGAAGAACATGGCTATGAGCAGCCAAGCACCATTGTGACTTAAGTGCACTCGGAGATCATCTAAACTTGGCTTAATCTTTTCTCTATTTTCCACAGTCTGTTTAATAATCATTACCATTGACATTCATACTTTCCTTCCTGTTTGTTAGGGCTTGATCTGACCTCCCTAAAACCAGTGCTGACCATTATAATACCATCAGTAAGAGCTCCCACCTGGCTGTTTAAGGGATTAACTATCTGTGCTGCACATTGAAGAGGGATTAGTTTAAGAACAATAAAGGAAAGAAGGAAACAATAATCTTTTGCCTGACAGAGCAGTCTAAGAAGGCTGAGTTACTTTAATGAGCTTCTGAAGAAATCTCTCACCAACTTTTAAACACGTATTAATCTGTTCTGGAAATACTGTAGAATGTATGTATTTGTATTCCATGCCATTTTCTAATCTTGATGGAATTTGAGTTAGTCTGTTTTGCTAAGATAACAATGTGCCAGGTAGAAAACAAATTCCAGTTTATCAAGGAGATATTTATTAGTAAGATTTATTGTAAGGGAATAGAGGGACTATAATAAGGGATGGAGGACAGCTGCCATAGGGAGAACTCTCTAGACACAAGATCTGCAAGAGTCTGAAGGGTTAGGGAAACCAAATTATTTTATAAAGAGGAGTAAACAAGACTAAAAAGAATGGGGCATGAGGAAAAGAGGTAGAAAGGTAGAGTGATACGATAATAGATCATAGAATGCTTTACTCTTCCAGAAAGCTCCTAGAACTGACAAAATAATTCAGCAAAGTTTATTGATACAAAATTAATGTACACAAATCAGTAGCTCTTCTATATACCAACAGCAACCAAGCTGAGAATCAAATCAAGAACTCAACCCCTTTTACAATAGCTGCAAAAAAATAAAATACTTAGGCATATACCTAACAAAGGAGGTGAATGACCTCTACAGGGAAATTAAAAAACACTGCTGAAAGGAGTCATATATGACACAAACAAATGGATATACATCCCATGCTCATGGATTGGTAGAATCAATATTGTGAAAATAACCATTCTGCCAAAATCAATCTACAAATTCAATACAATTCCCATGAAAATACCACCATCATTCTTCACAGAACTAGAAAAGACAATCCTAAAATTCATATGGAACCAAAAAAGAGCCTGCATGAGCCAAAGTAAGGCTAAGCAAAAAAATAAAAAATAAAAATCTGGAGACATTACATTACCAGATATCAAACTATACTATGAGGCCACAGTCACCAAAACAGCATGATACTGGTATAAAAATAGGCACATAGACCAATGGAACAGAATAGAGAACTCAGAATAAACCCAAATATTTACAGCCAACTAATCTTCAACAAAGCAAACAAAAACATAAAGTTGGGAAAGGATACCCTATTCAACAAATGGTGCTGGGATAATTGGCAAGCCACATGTAGGAGAATGAAACTGGATCCTCATCTCTTACCTTATACAAAAATCTACTCATGATGGATCAAGGACTTAAATCTATGACCTGAAAATATAAAAATTCTAGAAGATAATATTGGAAAAACCCTTCTAGATATTGGCTTAGGTAAGGATTTCATGACCAAGAATCCAAAAGCAAATGCAATCTAAACAAAGATAAATAGCTGGGACTTAATTAAACTAAAGAGCTTTTGCCCAGCAAAAGAAACAGTCAGCAGAGTAAAGAGACAACCCACAGAGTGGGAGAAAATCTTCACAATTGATACATCTGACAAAGGACTAATATACAGAATGTACAACGAATAAATTTTTAAAAGATACTATAACTGTAATGTAAAGGAGAAGTAAAAGAAAAGTAATTTATAGTATAATTATATGTGGTCAATTATAAATACTAAGATGTGAATTTATTAGAAATCAAAATGAAGTATATTAGATTTTTGAATCTGCATATAGAATTGCCCAAAACAAAATAGCTACAAAAAGCACACTTTGATAATTCAAATTCTGTGACCAGTCTCTTCAATAAATGATGTTAGAAAAATTAGATACTCTCATGCCAAATAATAAAATACACACTTATCTCTCACCAAATGCAAAAATCAACTCAAAATAAAGATTTAAATGTAAGACTTGTAACTATGAAATTGCTAGAAAAAAACATAGTGTTGAAGTTCCATGATCTTGGTCTGGGCAAGAAGTTTTTGGAAAAGAACTCAAAAGGACAGGCAAAAAAAGCAAAAACAGACAAACAGGTTTACATCAAACTAAGAAGCTTCTGCACAACAAAGGAAGCAATCAAGAGAGTAAAGAGAAAACTTGCAGAATAGGAAAAGATAGTTACAAACTATACATCAGGTTGGGGTGTATTAGTCGGTTTTCACACTGCTATAAAGAACTGCCTCAGACTGGGTAATTTATAAAGAAAGGGGTTTAGTTGACTCACAGTTCTGCATGGCTGGGAGGCATCAGGAAGCTTACAGTCATGGCAGAAGGCAAAGGGAAAGCAAGGCTCGTCGTACATGGTTGTAGGAGAAAGAGAGAGAGACAGAGCACAGGGGAAACTGCCACTTTTAAACCATTGGATCTCCTAAGAACTCCCTTATTACTATGAGAACAGCATAGGGGAAACAGCTCCCCAGATCCAATCACCTTCCACCAGGTCCCTCCTTAGATGCACGGGGATTATAATTCAAGATGAGATTTGGGTGGGGACACAGCCAAACAATATAATTCTGCCCCAGCCCCTCCCAAATATCATGTCCTTTTCACATTTCAAAACAAATCATGCCTTCCCAACAATTCCCTAAAGTCTTAAATCATTCCAGCATTAACCCAAAAGTCAAAGTCCAAGTTTCATCTGAGACAAAGCAAGTCTCTTCTGCCTATAAGCCTGTAAAATAAATAACAAGTTAGTTACTTTCAAGATACGATGGGGATACAGGAATTGGGTAAATGTTCCTATTCTAAATGGGAGAAATTGGCCAAAACAAAGTGGACAAAGGCCCCATACAAATCAGAAACTCAGCCAGGCAGTCATTAAATCCTAAAGCTCCAAAATCTCCTTTGAGTTCATGTCTCACATCCAGGGCAAACTAATGCAAGGAGTAGGTTCCCACAGTCTTGGACAGCTCCATCCCTGTTACTCTGCAGATTACAGCACCTGTGGCTGTTTTCATGGGTTGACGTTGAGTGCCTGTGGATTTTCCAGATGCATGGTGCAAGCTGTTGGTGGATCTACCATTCTGGGTTCTGGAGAATGGTGACTCTCTTCTTGCAGCTCCACTGGGCAGTCCCCCAGTGGAGCCTCTGTGTGGTGGCTCCAACACCACATTTTCCTTCCATGCTGCCCAAGCAGAGGTTCTCCATGAGGTATTCACCCCTTCAGCAGACTTCTGCCTGGACATCCAGGCGTTTCCATACACCCTCTGAAATCTAGGTAGAGGTTCCCAAACCTCCTCTCTTGCCTTCTGTGTATCCATAGGCCCAACATTATGTGAAAGCTGCCAAGGCTTGGGGATTGCAACATCTGAATCAATAGCCTGAGCTGTACCTTGGACCCTTTTAGCCATGGCTAGAGCTGGAGCAGCTGGGATGCAGAGTGCCATAACCCAGAGCTGCATAGAGCAGTGGGTCCCTGGGGCTGGCCCATGAGACCATTTTTTCCTCCTAGGGCTCTGGGCCTGTGATGGGAGGGGCTGCCATGAAGGTCTCTGACAAGCCCTGGAGACGTCTTTCTCATTTAACTGCCCAAGCTGCTATGAAGGTCTCTGACAAGCCCTAGAGACATTTTCCCCGTTGTTGTGGCTATTAACATTTGGCTCCTCCTTACTTATGCAAATTTCTGCAGCCAACTTGAAGTCCTCCCCAGAAAATGGATTTTTCTTTTCTACCACATGGTCAGGCTGAAAATTTTCCAAGGCTTTGTGCTCTGCTTCCCTTTTAAACATAAGTTCCAATTTCAAATCATCTCCTTTGTGAATGCATGTGAGTGAACACTTTCAGGAAAAGCCAGTTCACATTGTGAATGCTTTGCGGCTTAGAATTTTTTTTCACCAGATACTCTAGATAATCTCTCTCAATTTCAGAGTTCCACAGATCTCTAGGGTAGGGGTAAAATGCCACCTGTCTCTTTGCTAAGGTATAGCAAGAGTGACTTTTGCTCCGGTTCCCAATAAGTTCCTTATTTCCATCTGAGACCATCTCAGCCTGGACTTCATTGTTTATATCACTATCAGCATTTTGGTAAAAATCATTCAACAAGGCTCTAGGAAGTTTCAAACTTTCCCACATCTTTCTTTCTTCTTCTGAGCCCTCCAAACTGTTCCAGCATCTGCCCATTACTCAGTTTCAAAGTCGCTTCCACATTTTCAGGTGTTTTTACAGCAGTATCCCTCTCCTGGTACCAATTCTCTGTATTAGTCCATTTTCACACTGCTATAAAGAACTGCCTAAGACAGGGTAATTTATAAACAAAAAGTTTAATTGACATACCGTTCCACATGGGTTGGAGGCCTCAGGAAACTTACAATCATGGTGGAAGGTGAAGGAGAAACAAGGTGCATCTTATATTGTGGCAGGAGGGAGAGAGAGTGCAGGGGAAACCACCACTTTTAAACCATCAGATCTTGTGAGAAGTCCCTCACTATCACTAGAACAGCAGGGGAGAAACCTCTCCCATGATTTAATCACATCCCACAAGGTCCCTTTCTCAACACGTGGGAATTACAATTTGAGATGAGATTTGGGTGGGGACAGAGAGCCACACCATATCAAGGGGTCAATATTTATAGTACATAAGGAACTCAACAGCAAGAAAACACATAACCTAATTAAAAAATGATCAAAAGACCTAGACAGATATTACTCTGCAATAGAATAGCAATGGGTATATGAAAAGTGCTCAGCATCACTAATCATTAAGAAAATACAAATTAAAACCAGATTGAGATATCACCTCACTCCAGCTATAATGGCTATTGTGAAAAAGAAAAAAATACAGCAAGTGTTAGTGAGAATATGGAGACAAGGGAACCCTACATATTTCTGTGGGGATTTAAATTAATACAGCCATTATGAAAAACAGTATGAAAAAATTAAAAACAGAACTAACGTATGATCAAACAATCCCACTACTGGGTATCTATTTAAAGAAAATAAAATCAAGTACTGACTCCATCCTGCCACCCTGTGAAGAAAGTGCCTACTTCTTCTTTGCCTTCCATCATGATTTACCAAGAAAACCAAAAAGTACTTAGTTCATCAAGGTGTCAGCCTATCTGTTCTTCATTTTGGGTGGCACACATCAAGAGAACTATGCTAAGTATTCAAGAGTAAAGCATGATTTTTACATTCTTAGGCATTCATCTTGAGCTAAAGAATTTGAGAACTGAAATCTGAGAAGAGAGTAATTACAGGTAACAACAATCCATCTGAGTGACTAAAAAGTGACTGAAGACCTCTGTCACAAACTTTTTTAAGGAAACACTATTATATGATAGTTTAGCAATCTTTAAAAAGACATTAGCTAAGTCAAGAGTGTCAGGCCTCTGAGCCCAAGCCAAGCCATCGCATCCCCTGTGACTTGCATGTATACGCCCAGATGGCCTGAAGTAACTGAAGAATCACAAAAGAAGTGAATACGCCCTGCCCCACCTTGACTGATGACATTCCACCACAAAAGAAGTGTAAATGGCCCATCCTTGCCTTAACTGATGACATTGCCTTGTGAAAGTCCTTTTCCTGGCTCATCCTGGCTCAGAAAACACCCCCACTGAGCACCTTGCAACCCCTACTCCTGCCCGCCAGAGAACAAACCCCCTTTGACTGTAATTTTCCTTTACCTACCCAAATCCTATAAAATGGCCCCACCCTTATCTCCCTTTGCTGACTCTCTTTTCGGACTCAGCCCGCCTGCACCCAGGTGAAATAAACAGCCATGTTGCTCACACAAAGCCTGTTTGGTGGTCTCTTCACATGGATGCGCATGAAATTTGGTGCTGTGACCCGGATCGGGGGACCTCCCTTGGGAGATCAATCCCCTGTCCTCCTGTTCTTTGCTCCATGAGAAAGATCCACCTATGACCTCAGGTCCTCAGACCAACCAGCCCAAGGAACATCTCACCAATTTTAAATCAGGTAAGCGGCCTCTTCTTACTCTCTTCTCCAACCTCTCTCACTGTCCCTCCACCACTTTCTCCTTTCCACTCTTCAATCTCTCCCTTCTCTTAATTTCAATTCCTTTCATTTTCTAGGAGAGACAAAGGAGACACGTTTTATCTGTGGACCCAAAACTCCAGCGCCGGTCACGGACTGGGAAGGCAGCCTTCCCTTGGTGTTTAATCATTGCAGGGACGCCTCTCTGATTATACGCCCACGTTTAAAGGGTGTCAGACCACACAGGGACGCCTGCCTTGGTCCTTCACCCTTAGCGGCAAGTCCCGCTTTTCTGGGGAAGGGGTAAATACCTCAACCCCTTCTCTCCTTGTTTCTACCCCTTCTCTGCTTTTCTGGGAGAGGGGCAAGTACCCCTCAACCCCTTCTCCTTCACCCTTATCAGCAAGTCCCGCTTTTCTGGGAGAGGGGCAAGGACCCCTCAACCCCTTCTCCTTCACCCTTAGCGGCAAGTCCCACTTTTCTGGGGCAGGGGCAAGTACCCCTCAACCCCTTCTAATTCACCCTTAGTGGCAAGTCCCACTTTTCTACGGGGCAAGAACCCCCAATCCCTTATTTCTGCACCCCAACCTCTTATCTCTGCACCCCAATCCCTTATTTCTGCACCCCGACATCTTATCTCTGTGCCCCAATCCCTTATTTCTGCACCCCGACCTCTTATCTCTATGTCTCAATCCCTTATTTCCATGCCCCAACCTCTATCTCTGCGCCCCAATCCCTTATTTCCTCACCCCAACCTCTTATCTCTGTGCCCCAACCCCTTTTCCCACTTTTCTGGAAGGTAAGAACCCCCGAACCCCTTCCCTCCATTTCTCTACTCTCTCTTTTCTCTAGGCTGGCTTCCTTCACTATGGGCAACATTCCACCCTCCATTCCTCCTTCTACTCCCTTGGCCTGTGTTCTCAAAAACTTAAAACCTCTTCAACTCACACCTGACCTAAAACCTAAATGCCTTATTTTCTTCTGCAATGCCGCTTGACCCCAGTACAAACTCGACAGTAGTTCCAAATAGCCAGAAAACGGCACTTTGAATTTTTCCGCCCTGCAAAATCTAAATAATTCTTGTCGTAAAATAGGCAAACAGTCTGAGGTTCCTGACGTCCAGGCATTATTTTACACATCAGTCCCTTCCTAGTCTCTGTGCCCAGTGCAACTCGTCCCAAATCTTCCTTCTTTCCCTCCTGCCTGTCCCCTCAGTACCAACCCCAAGCGTCGCTGAGTCTTTCTAATCTTCCTTTTCTACAGACCCATCTGACCTCTCCCTTCCTCCCCAGGCTGCTCCTGGCCAGGCTGAGCTAGGTCCCAATTCTTCCTCAGCCTCTGCTCCTCCACCCTGTAATCTTTTTATCACCTCCCCTCCTCACACCTGGTCGGGCTTACAGTTTCGTTCCCTGACTAGCCCTCCCCCACCTGCCCAGCAATTTACTCTTAAAAAGGTGGCTGGAGCCAAAGGCATAATCAAGGTTAACGCTCCTTTTCCTTATCCCAAATCAGAAGTGTTTAGGCTCTTTTTCATCAAATATAAAAACCCAGCCCAGTTCATGGCTCATTTGGCAGCAACCCTGAGACGCTTTACGGCCCTAGACCCTAAAAGGTCAAAAGTCCATCTTATTCTCAATATACATTTTATTACCCAATCTGCTCCCGACATTAAATAAAACTCCAAAAATTGGAATCTGGCCCTCAAACCCCACAACCGGACTTACCTCACCTTCAAGGTGTACAATAACAGAAAAAAGTTGCAATTCCTTGCCTCCACTGTGAGACAAACCCCAGCCACATCTCCAGCACACAAGAACTTCCAAACGCCTGAACTGCAGCAGCCAGGCGTTCCTCCAGAACCTCCTCCCACAGGAGCTTGCTACACGTGCCGGAAATCTGGCCACTGGGCCAAGGAATGCCCACAGCCCGGGATTCCTCCTAAGCCACGTCCCATCTGTGTGGGACCCCACTGAAAATTGAACTGTTCAACTCACCTGGCAGCCACTCCCAGAGCCCCTGGAACTCTGGCCCAAGGCTCTCTGACTCCTTCCCAGATCTTCTCGGCTTAGCGGCTGAAGACTGACACTGCCCGATAGCCTCAGAAGCCCCCTAGACCATCACAGACGCTGAGCTTCAGGTAACTCTCACAGTGGAAGGTAAGCCCATCCCCTTCTTAATCAATACGGAGGCTACCCACTCCGCATTACCTTCTTTTCAAGGGCCTGTTTCCCTTGCCTCCATAACTGTTGTGGGTATTGACGGCCAGGCTTCTAAACCTCTTAAAACTCCCCAACTCTGGTGCCAACTTAGACAATACTCTTTTAAGCAATCCTTTTTAGTTACCCCCACCTGTCCAGTTCCCTTATTAGGCTGAGACACTTTAACTAAATTATCTGCTTCCCTGACTATTCCTGGACTACAGCTATATCTCATTGCCGCCCTTCTTCCCAATCCAAAGCCTCCTTTGCGTCCTCCTCTTGTATCCCCCCACCTTAACCCACAAGTATAAGATACCTCTACTCCCTCCTTGGTGACTGATCATGCACCCCTTACCATCTCATTAAAGCCTAATCACCCTTACCCCACTCAATGCCAATATCCCATCCCGCAGCAGGCTTTAAAAAGATTAAAGCCTGTTATCACTCGCCTGCTACAGCATGGCCTTTTAAAACCTATAAACTTTCCTTACAATTCCCCCATTTTACCTGTCCTAAAACCAGACAAGCCTTACAAGTTAGTTCAGGATCTGCGCCTTATCAACCAAATTGTTTTGCCTATCCACCCGGTGGTGCCCAACCTGTACACTCTTTTGTCCTCAATACCTTCCTCCACAACTCACTATTCCGTGCTTGATCTTAAAGATGTTTTTTTCACTATTCCCCTGCACCCCTCGTCCCAGCCTCTCTCTGCTTTCACTTAGAATGACCCTGACACCCATCAGGCTCAGCAAATTACCTGGGCTGTACTGCCGCAAGGCTTCATAGACAGCCCCCATTACTTCAGTCAAGCCCAAATTTTATCCTCATCTGTTACCTATCTCGGCATAATTCTCATAAAAACACACGTGCTTTCCCTGCTGATCATGTCCGATTAATCTCCCAAACCTCAATCCCTTACAAAACAATAACTCCTTTCCTTCCTAGGCATAGTTAGTGCGGTCAGAATTCTTACACAAGAGCCAGGACCGCACCCTGTAGCCTTTCTGTGCAAACAACTTGACCTTACTGTTTTAGCCTAGCCCTCATGTCTGTGTGCAGCAGCTGCCACTGCATTAATACTTTAGAGGCCCTCAAAATCACAAACTATGCTCAACTCACTCTCTACAGTTCTCATAACTTCCAAAATCTATTTTCTTCCTCATACCTGACGCATATACTTTCTGCTTCCCGGCTCCTTCAGCTATACTCACTCTTTGTTGAGTCTCCCACAATTACCATTGTTCCTGGCCCAGACTTCAATCCGGCCTCCCACATTATTCCTGATACCACACCTGACCCCCATGACTGTATCTCTCTGATCCACCTGACATTCACCCCATTTCCCCAAATTTCCTTCTTTCCTGTTCCTCACCCTGATCACACTTGATTTATTGATGGCGGTTCCACCAGGCCCAATCGCCACACACCAGCAAAGGCAGGTTATGCTATAGTACAAGCCACTAGCCCACCTCTTAGAACCTCTCATTTCCTTTCCATCGTGGAAATCTAT
Organism: Homo sapiens; assembly: GCF_000001405.40. Taxonomy (NCBI): domain Eukaryota; kingdom Metazoa; phylum Chordata; class Mammalia; order Primates; family Hominidae; genus Homo; species Homo sapiens. The sequence goes on along the minus strand of NC_000013.11, from coordinate 66,228,015 downwards.
CCTCAAGGAAATAACTTCTCAGTGTTCCATCTGCTATGCTACTACTCCTCATGGATTATTCAGGCCCCCTCCCTTCCCTACACATCAAGCTCGAGGATTTGCCCCCACCCAGGACTGGCAAATTAGCTTTACTCAACATGCCCCAGTCAGGAAAGTAAAATACCTCTTAGTCTAAAGAGACACTTTCACTGAATAAGTGAAGGCCTTTCCTACAGGGTCTGAGAAGGCCACCGCAGTCATTTCTTCCCTTCTTCAGACATAATTCCTCAGTTTAGCCTTCCCACCTCTATACAGTCTGATAACAGACCAGCCTTTATTAGTCAAATCAGCCAAGCAGTTTTTCAGGCTTAGTATTCAGTGAAACCTTTATATCCCTTTTGGTCCTCCATCTTCAAGAAAAGTAGAACGGACTAAAGGTCTTTTAAAAACACACCTCACCAAGCTCAGCCACCAACTTAAAAAGGACTGGACAATACTTCTACCACTTTCCCTTCTCAGAATTCAGGCCTGTCCTCAGAATGCTACAGGGTACAGCCCATTTGAGCTCCTGTATAGACGCTCCTTTTTATTAGGCCCCAGTCTCATTCCAGACACCAGACCAACTTAGACTGTGCCCCCGCAAAAAAAAACTTGTCATCCCTACTATTTTCTGTCTAGTCATACTCCCATTCACTGTTCTCAACTACTCACAGATGCCCTGCTCTTGTTTACACTGCCGGTTTACACTGTTTTTCCAAGCCATCACAGCTGATATCTCCTGGTACTATCCCCAAACTGCCACTCTTAACTCTTGAAGTAAATAAATAATCTTTGCTGGCAGGACTATGCTGAATCTCCTTAGGCACTCTCTAATCAGATATCCTGAGTTGTCCCAATTCTTTGACCTTTTATACCTGTTTTTCTCCTTCTCTTATTCCATTTAGTTTTGCAATTAATACAAAACCGTATCCAGGCCATCACCAATCATTCTATACGACAAATGTTTCTTCTAACATCCCCACAATATCACCCCTTACCACAAGACCTCCCTTCAGCTTAATCTCTCCCACTCTAGGTTCCCACGCCACCCCTAATCCCGCTTGAAGCAGCCCTGAGAAACATCACCCATTCTCTCTAGATACCACCTCCCAAAAATTTTCGCCGCCCCAACACTTCAACACTATTTTATTTTTCTTATTAATATAAGAAGGCAGGAATGTCAGGCCTCTGAGCCCAAGCCAAGCCATCGCATCCCCTGTGACTTGCACGTATATGCCCAGATGGCCTGAAGTAACTGAAGAATCACAAAAGAAGTGAATATGCCCTGCCCCACCTTGACTGATGACATTCCACCACAAAAGAAGTGTAAATGGCCCATCCTTGCCTTAACTGATGACATTACCTTGTGAAAGTCCTTTTCCTGGCTCATCCTGGCTCAAAAAGCACCCCCACTGTGCACCTTGCGACCCCCACTCCTGCCCGCCAGAGAACAAACCCCCTTTGACTGTAATTTTCATTTACCTACCCAAATCCTATAAAATGGCCCCACCCGTATCTCCCTTCGTTGACTCTCTTTTCGGACTCAGCCCGCCTGCACCCAGGTGAAATAAACAGCCATGTTGCTCACACAAAGCCTGTTTGGTGTTCTCTTCACACGGACGTGCATGAAAAAGAGGGTATTTCCTTATAGCTGCAATGAAATCTGTAAAGAAAACATAGAAAAGAAAATCAGTATCTTCATGTGATATCTGCACTCCCATGTTTACTGCAGTGTTATTCACAATAGCCAACGTACAGAAACATACAGAAACAACCTGTGGCTATCAATAAAGAGATAAAGAAAATTATATATATATCACATGGATAAACCTGGCAAACATTATGTTAGGTGAAATAAGCCAGTCACAGAAAGTCACATAGTCTTGCCTGGATGTGGAATCCAAAAAAGTTGATCTCATAGAAGTGAGGGCAGAATGTTGGTTACCAGAAGTTAGGGTGGTTAGTGGAGAGAGAGGGTTAGGAAAATGTTTTGTCAAAGCCTATATAATTACAGTTGGAAGGGAGGAATAAATTCAAGATATCTATTAAATAGCAAGAAGACTACAGTTAATGATGATATATCGTATCTTGAAAAATGCAAAGAGAGTGGATGGTAAGTGCTCTCATCACACACAAAAAAAAAAACTATGTGAGGTAATGCATTTGTTAGTTAGCTAGATTTAGCCATTTCACAATGCATACATACTTCAAAATACCATGTTGCTCACAATACATACATATAATGTTTAAAAAATTAAAAATTAAAAAAATTGTGATCAACATGAACAATAATAACATGATTTTCTGTGATAAGGAATAAGCCTTGATAATATTCCAAAATTAACAACCTTTTCTAAATGAAAAAAGTTTGTGGCATTCCTGGAAGATGTATTTCTATTTAATTTGTGTGAAAATGTTTGTGTTCATGTATGTCTTAGTCTATTTGTGTTGCTATAAAGAAATACCTGAAGCTGGATAATTTCTAAAGAAAAAGGGTTTGTTTGTCCTATGATTTTGCTGGCTGGAAGATTGGGTGACAACTTTAGGCTGCCTCTATTCATGGCAGAAGGTGATGGGGAGCCAGCGTGTGCAGAGATCACATGGTAAGAGAGGAAGCAAGGCAGAGAGAGGGTGGAGGGAGGTACCAGGCTCTTTTTAATAACCAGCTCTCAAGGGAACTAATAGAGTGAGAGCTCACTCATTATAGCAAGGAAGGCACATGCCTTTCATGAGGGATCTGCCCCTATGACCGAAACACCTCCCATTAGGCCCCACCTCCAATGTTGTGGATCAAATTTCAACATGAGATTTGGAGGAAACAAGCATCCAGACTATAGCAATATACAAAATAGACTGGGTGGCCAAGCTTACATAATTATAAAGTTTTTCATGTACATAAAAGCAAGAGATGAGGCAATTTTTTCTTATGTGGGACTTGAACAAGGTATCCTTTATATTGCGTTCATAAAGCTTGACTAAACTTTTGACAGAGTCTCCCTGAATCTGGGCCTCTGATCTGCCTTTTCTTAGAGTATTTATGTTACAACACTTGTCATTGTAAATTCTTGCCCTGGCTCTTTGAGATGTAAATCTGCAAGCCTTCAGGCAGTCTTATAATCCAGAAATGTCTTTCTGAGGATCTGGTAGCCATCCCTTTGAAATGCGATCAAGAAAGATAGTGCCTCTATTTCCCAGTCTCTGTGAAAGGTGGGAGCCTAACTTAGATGAGCTGGTTAGCAAATACAGCTGGCCTAATAACAGTGAGGAACTACACTCATTGTCTTCCTGTGCTTTTTCACTAGCTTATCCCAGAACTTAAAAAAATGCTTCCACCTTTTCTTTCAGAGGAGCTGAGTCTAGACTCTCTCTCTCATTGCAAAAGTCTTGAGTAAAGTCTCTTTTGCATGTTTAAACTGCCTGGTACAATTTCTCTTTGAAAGATCTCTTGGCATATTGAAATAGATTCACATCCCAGGCCACTGCTCACTAAATGTTAGCAACATCTCCCAGTTTATAGCACAACCAAAAATCTCCCACACCATTTTTCAGAATTCTTTCTGCACATGGTATGACTCCCTGGAGGTTCACTAATTTAAAGTTGAAGTGTCTATCTCTTAAAGACCTGAGTTTATAACCTGTCCCCATACCTCTTATGGGTATGTAACCCCGAGAAAGTTGCTTAAACTCTCGAAGATTTAGTTTTTGCTGCTTATATATATGTAATAATGATAACCACTGTTTATATGGCTAATCCAAACATGCCTTGTACTAGAGACAATTTATAAGTAAATTACACAGTATTATCACAGCACACTTGTTTTCAAGTTATCTCAGTTCAACTACATTTGAGAGAGAGAAAAGGAGGCTGAGAACATTCCAGAGGGACTGGCTGGAAGAAGATAGTTATAGGTTTCTTGGACCTCCTGGAGAAAGCTATTGAAGAACTAATTAAGAGCCAAAGAAAACATTGCCTAACAAAATTAGCTGTAGCTGGGAGACAAATGCAAAACAACAAATAAAGAAGATGGAAGCCTGGTAATTTTGTTGAAGAATTCTATGCAATAAAAGGCTTGAATAAATTAATGTCTAAATAGGATCCTTCTAGGGAATATTATAGAAAATACGCTAGTAAGTGCATTATGCATTTATGCATACTTAGATATATTAAGAATTGTATAGAAAATACGAGTGTGTTTTTTTGATGAGTAAGAGATTTAAAAGAGTAAAATTACTTAAAAATTACTTAGGAAACATTTGCAAGTTTTGTTGCATGCACTGACTTTGAACTCTAATCCCTCTGGGCAATGCATGCCTTCACTGTATAAGAAGCAGAGGAGTCTATATTACAGATTGTATAACAGCCATAAGTTATTGTTGGCACTTACATATATTCTGCAATATGCTAAGCTTTCTACATGCATTTGAACTCCACAACTCTCTGAACTAAGTATTATTTTATCATTCTGATTTTCCATTTGAGGAAACATGGCTATAGCATGCATAAGTAACCTGTCCAAGATCACATGGCTAGAAGTGGTGTAGTTTACACCTGTACCCAAAATGTTGAGTTTCTGAGTTGGTGTTCATAATTACTACACTCTACTTCATCTAAACCCATGAACATACACTTGCTAATTTCTCTGCCCTTCAAAAAAATGTAAATAGATATTTACTGATGATCTTACATAGGATGTACAGAGCATAAAGAATACACATTAACAGATTTGCCCTCCAAAAATATACTCTGTAGAAAAGAGAAAGAAGCCAATGGAAGGTCAGTGTTACGGGAAATACAATAGAGATAAAATCTTATATAGCATGTTAGAAACCACAGAAAAGAAAAACGGTTGCTACTTACGAAAGTCCCAGATGTGGCCTTCGAGCATGTGATATGTCACAATAGGTAACAGGGTACAGATGGAAGCAAAGTGTGCAAACTGCTAGGGTTTTTGAGACAGAAAACAAAAACATGTCATATAACCACTCATGAACTTTATTTTCTTTTAATCCATAAAATGGGTATAAAATAAAGGCTGACTTTGGATCCAGGGCTGCAGTTCAGGCAGCAGGTGATGGCTCATTATGCTGACTGCTTGTGACAACAATTCAATTTGAAATTTTGGGCATTCATTCTGATTGGTTCATGTAAATGCTAGACAAGTTACTAACTATTCTGAGGATCACTTCTGCTTACATTATAGGATTTTTAGGTGAATATACCTCAGATAGTTTATGTTAAAGTGCTTTATAAAACATGTCAATGATAATGGTAATGTTTGCTCAGGAAGAATTTTGTCAATTTACAATTTAAAACAGCTTGCAGGTATACTTCATGATATCAAAACCTTGACTTTAATTCCCCAGGGCCTATCTGCTATAAATGATGAGATTCTATACTTTGTGAACTCACCTACCTACATAACTAAAGACAGGGACTATGATTTGTAGCAGGGACTGGGAAAGAATTTGCATGAATCGGATTCCTGTTCTTGGCAATTTTAACTAAGAATATTAGAATGAATTTGTCAGTTGGTAGAGAAACAGAAAAGGAAAATAGAATGACAACCAAAATACAAAACAAAACCCAGAACACAACCCAGCCTTCTGTTAATTATCTGAGTCGTACTTAAGGGGAGGACACTAGAGTGAAAGTCGCCACATATTGCTAAGGTCCCCAGGGCTTCCTTGAGTCTAGAAACCTTTCACAACTTGGTCTTGAGTAAGCCCAACCTTGTGAACATTTAGTTCTTAAATGAGTGTGGATTGCTTCTTAATATCTCTAACAACATACTATTTTAATTTGATCTATTTTTGATGACTGTTTTATCCTTACAGCGAAATTATCCAAATTAAGATAAATGACTTATCTAATATTGTATTCTAATATCTAGCAAAATGCCTTGCATAAAATAGGCAATCAAATACTTAAAAAGAAAATATCTATACTAAAACCTTTGTTTTGTGAGTTTTAAATTGTCAATACGTTCTTTCATATATATGTATATTGAAGAAAAATAAATTTTATGAAATAGAGAGGAATCTTAAAATCCATTAAGGTAAAGATTTTGTCTTTTCAAAATGTCTCCAAGTCATATAATTTTTCCCTACATATGAATTGACCTAAAAACTACTTTTTTTTTTTTACTCTTTTAAAATACATACCATAAATTGCCCTTAGACAACATTAGTATTCCTGTTTGAGTTGATAAAAACCTTTGTAGTTCACTGCCATCTTCATTATGCATGAAATGTGACTATATGGAATATACCGTGACTCTAGGAGCAATAATGTATTACCTTGAGGCTTACATAGATCAAAATCTGATGGCTAGATTGAGAGATAGGATAAAATGGAGGTTGAACAAAATTATTTTTAGTTGCGGTTTCTTGACTTGACAGAATAAAGTTTTATGACTATTTGGTCTATTTTATAGTGAGTACCATGAATCAGTCAAGAAGGTTGATGACCAACTTACAACACTACTGGCTCTAATAATGTGTATTCATCTCTTCATTTTCCATGATAATATTTTGTCATTTTAAAATTCCATTTTTATTAGAGTCCACCTAAGCATATTTTTTTATCACCACAATACTTCCCACAATGTCTTGTTCGAAACTTATCTCTGATATATATAGTTCATTAAATGATTCATATTTCAGTCCTGGTAATAGCCCAGGGAATGTAAATCTTGAATGAAATAATTTACAGAGAAAATTATAAAACTCATTATGCACGAAGAATGAGAACTATGTTTACATAGATTTACTTTTTATTCCTAACTGAGGGTGGCTTTCTACCAATGTTAATTATCCCTTTTGGTTTTTAATTGAATTCCTAAGTTTTAGATTGGCACAAGACTACTCGGCAAATTACTGCATTCCCCAGCTTCATTTGAAGCTCTCTGTGAGTGGAGATAATGTGAGTGGAGATAATACTTTTATGTAGCTCTTTTAAGAGGGGATTTTGCCCTTTCCTCCCCAACTGAGATATAGGAATGATTGCAAGAGCTCAAGCAACTTCTGTAATCCAGAAGCTAGAAACTGCATACTGAGGATGACAGGGCTGTCCTATGAGCCATATCTGGCTGAAACATACCATCAAAGAGAGATATATGACATTTCAAAGCTTCTATAGTTTTTGGTCTTTTTGTTGTAGCAGCTCAGACTGTACTCTAACAGTACAGTAACATTTTAAAATTCAATTTCCATTTTATGCCTCCATTATTTCCTCATGTTCATTCCTTTTAAAGAGGCTATTCCCATTTGTTCAGCTGAGAAAGCCTTAATTCTTATTCTTTTTTGATGTGATACTTGTCTTGCTTCATCCACTGTGGGCTCTCTTCTATGTTTCGTAAGCACTATGGTCATCCAACTTTCTGTCGTTATTTATGGGCATTTAAAAATCAGCTATAGCCCTTTTAATTTGCACCTTGATGGAAGTAAGGAAATGTAATTCATTTCTATATTTCCATCCTCAGCCCTTAGCACATTGCTTGGCACATGCTATGATTCAAGAACTGTGTTTTGGATGCATGAACACAGAGAAACCTCCAAAAAGGGAATCTAAACCAGAGAAAAGCAGCCTGGGGACCTTGGGTTGGGGAGAGAGGAGCTACCTCACTGCTGGGCTTCCCTAAGGACTGAAGAATAAGGGAGAACACCAGAAACTGAATGCTTGATTGTTATGCATCTGTGCCTCAGGGTGGGTTTTTTTTTCCCTTAATTTTAATTTTAATTTTTTAGTGCCAGCTGGCAGAGGCCACTCTTCCCCTACCAGCTGCCTGCCTGAGGTGCTGGCCAGCTGCCGGCAGCTGTGCTATGGAAAGAGAGCCCACCAGTACCCAAGACAGACCACTGAATATCCCTTCTGTAAGCTTCCTTGATAACTCCCCTTTCTTAACATCTAACCCTGCGAGTTGTTATCCTTTGAACAGACAACTTTCTTCAAGGATTGAAGTGGATGTAGCTCTCTAAAAAAAGGCTTAGTGGATATCAACTTTATTTTCATGACCTTGTTTATATATTCTAGTCACACTACATATTTTTGTTTGTGACTGTCATGTGTGGAAAGGTGTTCCAGGACCTAAATATCATAACAAAAATAGGCATCTCAGTTGAGTGACTGCTTCTTTTCTCATTGCTTTTCCTGGTAAGTGAGATTGTTCAAGAAATTCTTCTCCCTCTTTTTTGGCTTCGGGTTTGTATTCTTGTTCCTATCAGTAGTGACCATAAGTTGTCACCTAATGGAATTAGTTCAGTGACCCTTACAAACTAAATTAACACTCTATCTCCAGTTTCTACTGGATATGTGTCTAAATCACAGTTGGGCACCTTGTTAGCTGCCTCAGTTAAGAGTTCAGTGAAAGAATAAGCCATCCTCCCCTTTCATCCCTAGGGGCTGTCTCTTAGTGTACTAGAGGCTCATTAGCAGCCTTGTAACACTGAGATTGCCCACAGTATACTTATTCTAACAGGTTTTCTTACTTTGAGACATGGTAAATGTCTATTGCAAATCCTGTTGACATTTAATTTTCAAATTATCTTCTGTATTTGTTTGCAATTTACTCATAATATATGCATAATTCCAATCTGTTGAAATATTGATTCTGATTTACGATTTAGTAAATTAAGGAATGGTTGGGTTGCATATTAAACTTTGGAAGTGACTCACAATATATTACATTTATATTACCCTTTAGAGTTGCACAAAGTCCTTCCATAAATACTGTCTATGAGCATAATGGGGAAAAGAATCATGTTTAATTTATCTTTAAATCCTTAGGGATATAACCCAATGCTAGCACATGAAAGACACATAATACAGGGTTTTTAGTGAACAACCAATCAAAGAGGATGATAGATGTGATAGTCTTAAAATCTACCCACAAATTAGTTGATACTTCTTGTATTTGTTTTCTATTGATGCTGTGATAAATGACCACCAAGTAAATGGCTTAAAGCAACACAAATTTAATATCTCACATTTCCTGAATTTAGAAGTCCAAAATGGATCAAAAATCAAATAAGGGCTCCAGCCTTCCAGAGGCTTGAGTTGAGAATCTGTTTCCTTGCCTTTTCCAGCTTCTAGAGGCTGCCTTGCCTGGGCTTGGCCTCACTCTGACCTCAGCTTTTGTCATCTCATCTCCTTCTCTGACTCTGACTCTCCTGCTCTCTCTTATTAGAACCTTTTGTGATTACATTAAGCCTGCCTGGATTATCCAGGATAATCTCTCCATCTCAAGATCCTTAACTTAATCATATCTGCAAAGTTTCCTTTGCCATGTAAAGCATAGCATAGATCTCTGAGATTAGAAAGTGGCATCTTTTGTGGGGGGTGGGAGGCATTATTTAGCCTACCACACTCAAGATGTTAGTCTAACTCCCCTCCTCTTGAATATGGACTGACCTTAGTGAATTGTCTAAGGAATAGAGTACAATTTAGTGACACTACAGGACTTTTCAGGTTAGGTTATTTGAGTCAATACAGTTTCTACCTGGCTCTTTTTGTCTTGGGTTTTGAAACCCTAAGCTACAATATAAGAAGTCTGGTTTCATTGAAGTTACTATGTGTTAGAGAGGCCAGCTGGAGATCACATATACACATGGTGAGATCACACAGAGAGATGATCAAGAGACAAGAGGTGTTCTAGCCCCCAGATGTTTGAGTCTTCTCATTCTAGACACTAGATATGTGACTGATTGAGTGAGGAAGACAATCACTCACATGCCTAGTGTCTAGGATAAGAAGATTCATCCTTAAGATGACTCCAGTCCCAGCCACCAACTGACTACAACCATAGAAAAGACTCGAGAAAGACTGCTGCCCGAGGCTTGGCAGAAAAAAATGTGTGAATGAAATCAATTAAAGGTATTGTTTTAAGCTACTGTTTTAGGGTAATTTACTATGGAGCAAGAGATAATCAGAAAAAATATAAAATATTTTTCCAACTTTAAAGATAAGAAAACAGAAGTTTAAAGATGTCAGCATATAGAAACATTCATGAAGCAAACCCAAATTAGAGAAGAATTAGAGTAACATCGAAAGTACTGAACAGGATCCTGGCCAGATCTCTGAAGTCCAGGTTCTAACGTTTGCTTGTGTGACTTTAAGTATGAGTCTTAATATCTCTGTGTCTCAATCTCCTTATCTGCCTTATCTGTAGAATGATAATAATAATAGTACCTACTTCATAGGTATATTCTGACTATTAAATGGTATAATGTAGATAAACATAAAAGAGTACCTGAAATTATTAATGCCACCAAATTATAAGCTATTTTTTAGTGTTTCATTATCAATTTAGTGCCTTTCTCAGGCTTACCAGTTTCCTTCCAAATAGCACTAAACTCAACTCATGAATGTTCAAGAATATTTTATGAAGATGTCCCAGTTGTCTGGGTTCTACCTCTATTGTCCCATTCAGAAATTTGAAGGGGGGTGGGAAACTTCCCAAATGAATGGCATCTCTGTCTGGAAGCAACTCTAATTCGAATATTTATTGGGCATAATTTGGAGATTCAAAAGCTTATTACTAATGTCCTACACTTTTTCTAAACCAATAGAGAGACTATTTCTTATGGAAAACCCTCTTGTCAGCGAACCAATTCTCAATTACCATTGAACTTTCTCCCACCATCTGCATATCTTCAAATATCTGTTAACTCCTTCCATTTGTCTTCTTACCTTCTACAGTTAAGTTATTTATCTATGATCAAGAAAAAGCATGTAACCAGGTTGCTGGCAGTAAAGGATCTATGGAATCCTATTTCCCCACTGCCCTAAACATTTATCAGCAAACCTCTTACATATCCCCAGTTGGTTTTACCTCCTATCACACTTAGCTCTTATTTCAATAATTGTAGTTTCTTAAAATCCCCAACTGCTCCAGCACTTTTCTTTTCGTCTAATAAATGGTACCAACATCTAAGTCACAGAAAAATATAAAATCCATGTACTCTTACATGGTCTTTTTTTTCCTCACTGAGAAACTCTCGTGTGTCACGTCAGGCAGTCATTGTTGGCAGACACATTCAATATTTAATCCCAGCCAATATCTTCTCAGGCAGTCGTGACAAACTCATGTCTCTCTAGGGATTTTAACTACATTTAAGAGAAGTTTAATTTTCTCCTTGTGGTTTAACCCATCGTTAGAACTCCTCCAAAAAGGGCCGCAGTTACAGAAAGAAAAAAATAGGCATCAGTCCAAGATTTCTTCATTTTTGTTTTTCTTTTGCTTTTCTTCTGAGTTTGCAATCTCATTACCTCTGCACCCATCAACACACACTCTTCACAGTCACAGCTCCACTTTGTTTGGAGCTCAAGACTCTGACCTGTTTCAAAGCAATAACCTATTTGTGCACAGAATGAAAATCATATTAGTGAGGTTGGGTGTTTTTCTTCTTAGGTACTTCTTTCTGTGTTCCAGAGTCTGATAAATCATTTCTTCTGACACTAAACTCTTTAGTGAGAATTTTTTAAATAACCAGTTGACCCTGGATTTTCTCGTGTACTCTCTAACTTGAACCACACATTCTACTATCAAGACAAATCCAAGTTGGTAGCCAACACATCTTCCTGAGAATTTGAGCTAGTTAAGTTAAGAACAAATGAATGTTTTCTTGATTCTTGGTATTAGTAAGAATGGAAACCTGAAGTTGATAAAGTTTTTGATTGAGAAAAGTAGTGTAATGAGGTTTTGCTTTTACCCTATTTCTCCTAAGTGAAGAACGACAAGGCATTGACAGTGAAATTAGTCTCTTCATTTATTGATTTGGCTCTTAAAAAGAAAGAGATTTTAGAGATGTCAAATAGTAAAATCAAAAAGGGATGTGTAAAGAAGTTTTTAGAGAAGCAGAATGGATGCAGATATTCAATGACTGCTTGAGACCTAACGAGAAATATTGGCTGGTTGTGGTGCCATATGCTCATCATCTCAGCCCTTTGAGAGACTGAGCTGGGAGAATTGCTTGAGGCCAGGAGTTCAATCCCAGCAATATAGCAAGACTTGATGGTACATACCTGTAGTTCCAGCTGCTTGGCTGGATGAGGTGGAAGGATCATTTGAGCACAGGAGGTCTATGCTGCAGTGAGCTCTGATGATGCCATTGCACTCGTCTGAGTGATAGAACAATATCTGGCCTAAAAAGAAGAGAGAAGAGAAGAGAAGAGAAGAGAAGAGAAGAGAAGAGAAAAAAGAAAAGAAAAGAAAAGAAAAGAAAAGAAAAGAAAAGAAAAGAAAAGAAAAGAAAAAGAAATCCAGCCATGAAGAGGGTCCCTGTGGTGTAGGTAGCTAAGAAAATTTTTAACAGTCATACTGAATATTTAAGTGATTTCTTTTTTATGTTGTTTTGTGATTGTTGTTATTTATCAAACATAGCAGTGAAAAGTTCGTATTAAAGCAGAGTATCCCAAATTTGGTAATCTGAAATCTGGAATGCTCCAAAATCTGAAACATTTTGAGGACCAACCTGATGCTTAAAGAAAATCGTCTTTCAAATTTGGGATGTATGGCCCAGCAGGGTGGCTCATGCCTGTAATTCCAGCATTTTGGGAGGTCGAGGCAGGTGAATCCCTTGAGGTTAGGAGTTTGAGACCAGCCTGGCCAACATGGCGAAATTCCATTTTTACTAAAAGTAGAAAAAATTAGCTAGGCATGGTGATGCATGCCTGTAATCCCAGCTACTCGGGAGGCTGAGGCAGGAGACTCACTTGAACCCAGGAGGCAGAGGTTGTACTGAGCTGAGACTGTGCCACTGAACTCCAGCCTGGGCAAGACAGCAAGACTCCATCTAAAAAACAAAAAACAAAAAAGAGCTACTTAACCAGTAATAGTAATGCAAATATTCCAAAATCTGAGAAAATCTTAAATCTAAAACACTTCTGGTCCCAAGTTTTTGCATAAGAGATAGTCAACTTGTACCACAAACCTTGTTGGTGGAGCTTTGGGAAACGGGAAGAAAGGTCAAAGCATTCAGAAGTGGCCAAGTGACAGAGGAAGGGCAGCCACTATAGAAAGTAAAACAAGTGCAAATCAATAATGTATTTGAAACAAAAATTTGGTAGAAAAACATGAGAGTAACTTCTTTAGAAGCCTAACAACATTTATGAAATTCTTTGACTTTTATAATTACATGGAATGGGCCTCTAGCAACTTTCTTTGGATATTAAAGGGAATGTTAACCAAGAAGTGTAGAATAATTTGCTTGTTATTACAAATTTTTATTTCAGTTTAGATGTAGCTCCAAAGCTTAACAGCCATCTAAAATAAAAAAAGTTCTCAATCTGAGTTCAATGTGTTCTCTCATAATTACTCATTTTCTCCAGTATTTCTTGTTAATCAATAGCACCTGCACACACCTGGAAGTCATCTTTCATTTTCCTTTTTCACTTCCTACATTAGGGCATCAGGCTGTATAGGTTCTAATTTTTTAAAATTTTTATGGATTTAGGGAGTATAGTGCATTTTTGTTCCATAGATATAGTAGTGAAGTCTTGGCTTTTAGCATAACTATCACCCTAACAGTGTGCATTGCACCCAATAGGTAATTTCACATACCACACCCACCTCCCACACTCCCACCTTTTGAAGACTCCAATGTTTATTTTTCCACGAACTATATCCATATGTACAGTGTATATTGCATATATATATATATATATATATATCTTTGTGTGAGTATGTGTGTATGTACGTGTGTGTATAACATTCTCTTTATTCAATTATCCACTGATGGACATTTAAGTCGATTCTATAATTTTGCTATTGTAAATAGTGATGCTATAAATACATGAATACAGTTGTCTTTTTGATATGATACTTTATTTTCCTTTGTGTATAAACTCAATAGTAGGATTGCTGGATCAAATGGTAGCTCTATTTTTAATTATTTGAGAAATATCCATACTATTTTCAATAGAGGGTGTACTAATTTACATTCCCAACAACTGTGTATAGGCATTCCCTTTTCTTTGCATCCTCACCAACATCCGTTGTTTTTTGACTTTTTAATAATAGCCATTCTGACTGCTGTAAGAGGATATCGCACTGTGATTTTAATTTGCATTTCTCTGATGATTAGTGATGTTGAGCCTGTTTTCATGTTTGTTGGCTGCTTGTATGTCTTCTTTTGAGAAAAAAATGTTCATATCCTCTGCCCACTGTTTAATGGGGTAATTTTTTTTCTTGTTGAGGTGTTTGAGTTCCTTCTAGATTCTAGATATTAGCCCTGTGATGGATGTATAGTTTGCAAGTATTTTCTCCCTTTATGCAGATTTTCTGTTTACTCTGATGATTACATTTTTGCTGTGCAGAAGGTTTTTAGTTTAATTAAGTCTCATTTGTCTATTTTTGTTTTTGTTGCGTTTGAGAACTTAGTCATAAATTTTTTGCCTAGACCAATGTCCAGAAGAGTTTTTCCTAGGTATTCTTCTAATCTGTTTTATAATGTCAGGTTTTATGTTTAAGTCTTTAATACATCTTGAGTTAATTTTTGTATATGGTAACAGGTTTCATTCTTCTACATATGGCTATCCAATTTCCCCAGGACCATTTATTAATTGGATCTCTGTTCCTCAGTGTATATTTTTGTCAACTTTGTCAAAGATCAGTTGGTGGTAGGTGTGTAGCTTTATTTCTGGAATCTCTATTCTGTTCCATTGATCTGTGTCTGTTTTGATATGAGTACCACACTGTTTTGGTTGCTGTAGTCTCATAGTATAACTTGAAGTCTGGTATATGATACCTCCAGCTTTGTTCTTTTGGTTAAGATTTTGCTTTGGCTGTTTGGGCTGTTTTTGTTTCCTATGAATTTTAGGATTTTTTTTTCCGAATTTTGTGAATATAATGTCAATACTCAGATAGGAATTACATTGAATCTGTAGATTGCTTTGGGCAGTATGGTCATTTTAACAATATTGATTCTTCTAATCCATGAGCATGGGATGTTTTTTCATTTGTGTATGTCATCTACAATTTCTTTCAGCAGTATTTTGTAGTTCTTGTAGAGATCTGTTACCTTCTTGTTTAATTGCATTCCTAGTTTTTAATTTTTTCATAGCTATGGTAAATGGGATTGAATTCTTTATTTGGTTCTCAGCTTGACTCTTATTGATATATAAAAATGGTACTGATTTTTGTATGTTGATTTTGTATCCTGAAACTTTACTGAAGTCATTTACCAAATCTAGAGGTCTTTTGTAGAGAACCTTATGGTTTTCTAGTTATAAAATCATATCTTCAGCAAACAGAGCTAACTTCACTTCCTCTTTTCAAATTTGGATACCTTTTACTTCTTTTGCCTGATTGCTCTAGCTGGGACTTCCAGTACTAAGTTGAATAGAAGTAGACAGGCACCCAGAATGGTGCCATGCTGCAGTTGTCCAGTGCTAGGAAGCCAGTCGGACTTTACATGAGTTAGAGCAGTGTCTCTCTGTGATCTCCAGGCAGCTTCCTATGCCAAGTAGAGGCCTGTGAGGGTTGAGGGGCTCTCTTGTAGCTGGATTGTAAAGGTCTGTGGCAGAAATGTGGAGCCCTGGAGGTCTTTCACTTATCCCTTCCCTGGGCTAGGGAGCAGCTCCAGGCCCCAGCAATCCTGACTGAGCAACCCTGCTTCCCCCTCCTTCACGCTTTGTATTTTTTATTGCCTCTCTGTTGAATCCCAGTGTTCTCTCTCAGATGAGCTATTCAAAGTCTTTCATTTATCCCTTCCCTGGGCTAGGGAGCAGTTCCAGGCCCCAGCAACCCTGACTGAGCAACCCTGCTTCCCCCTCCTTCAAACTTTGTATTTTTTATTGCCTCTCTGTTGAATCCCAGTGTTCTCTCTCAGATGATCTATTCAAAGTGTGAATATCTACTAAATATTTTGGTTCTTCTCTGTGGAAGAGACAGACCACAGCTGTTTTTAGTCAGCCATCTTGAACCTCTCCCCCTAACTGTTTTCTAGTTCTACTTCTTAATAGCTTTCAAATCTCTCTCCAACTCATCATCCCTTCCCACTCTCTCATGGATAGCTTTAATTCTCACCTGGTGCTATGGACCAAATGTTTGTTTTGCTCCCCCACCCCAAGCCTTATATGTTAACTTTCTAATGCCCAATGTGATGGTATTTGGAAGTGGGGCTTTTGGGAGGTGATTAGATTTGATGAGGTTATGATGGTGAAGCCCTTATGATGAGTATAAACCAGTTATTAAAAGAAGAAGAGACAGGAGATTTGTTTTTCTGTGTGCACATAGCAAGGAAATGCCGTGAGAAGATATAACCAAGAATCTAGGCCTCACCAATAACCTGACCACACTGGAAACCTAATCTCCAGCCTCACTTTCTGCATTCAGAGTTATAACAAATAAGTGTTTGTTTTGTAAGCTACCCAGTCTTATAGTAGCCTGAACTAAGACACCTGGTTACTACATCAGCCCCTAGAAATCCTTGCCACCTGCTATTTTGTCCCTTTATGAATCATTCTAGATCTTGCTTTGAGGGCAATCTTTCCATAGTACAACTGGATTATCTGTTTCTTAGGTGTTGAGTCAAATTATTGAGTACTTACTATGTATTAGCCTTGATGCCTTGCTCTTTTCCTATATAAATTAATTTATTCATCACAACACAGCTATAAAGTAGATACTACTATTACAACTTCAAGGAGTATACTAAAGGGAGAAGAAGTAATGTTCTCAATCCCAGTATTAAAGCACAAAAATACAGCATTTTTAGTTGCTACCCTAAACAATAATTCCTAATATTACCTTTTGCTAGAATTCCATATATTTTACAAATATATTTCTTTATAATTTCTTTCATTGACTACTTGTCTCTTCCCCTTTGCCACTGTAGTCACCAGTTTATAAACCATAACATTTAAGCTTCTGTGCTTTGCACTTAATTTCCCCTCTAGCCAACTTCCTACTCATTCTGTAAAGCTCATCATGTACATCCCTTTCTGCAAGGAATCACTCTCACTCACATACCTCGTCTGTGTTAATTCTTTTTCTGTGGTCTTCCAAAGCACCACTTGCTTATTTCGTACAACACTGGGTTGTCATTGTTTTTTTTTCTGTCTGCTTCCCCAATAGTTTGTGAGCGCTTTGAGCCTAATGGCTGTGTCTTGGTATTCTCTGGTAGATAGCCTAGTGTCTGACTCATAATTTTCCATAAATGTCCACTGAATGAATCACCTAAGATTCTGTGTGGTAAGCACTGGTCATTCTTTCCTAGCAGTAGAAACTGTAGTTTTATAATTTCATATTTTCCCAGTTATCCTGATAAAGAAATTCAGCATTTCAAATACTGCTTTGTTGTTGTTGTTTCTTTACCTAAGAAGTTTTACGGGTATGTATAGCTTTAGAAATTTTTTTTGCATTTTAAGTAATAGCACCTATTCTTTTGGAACACACTTTGCCTAAGCCTCAAGACTTGAGACTATAGAACTTACAAAAAATTTCATTCTACTGTTAAACTTTGGAATGTAATTTTCAAAGTGCAAACAGAATCCAGGATTTATATTTAGTTTCTAAATTGGCATTTAGTTGGAGCATAGTATTGAAAATTGTCTTTCAATTTTCTGTTAGCTTGTCAGCTGGTATGAGTTCAATGACTTCAAGGTATAATATCTGCTACTATAGTAGCTTAACTACCTTAAAAATGATCTGTGACTAGTGGAATTCAATTTTGTATAGAACAAGTGTCTTCTTATATAATAATGATCATAAAATACTGCTCCTTTATATTAAGAATATAGTAAAAGAAACTGTGAGATTTTTATTCATAAAGGAATAAAGAGTTTAACAAAGGGCTTTAGGGTCATAATGTATTAATAGATAACAATATATTCATTTTCTTTATCTGAATAATAATTACATATTTTATGAGTTCAATTATCAGCCTAGGAAAACCTATTCAGTAGCGATACTTGGAAATGTGTATTTTTCATTTTGTGTTAATTAAATCATGCCAGGTATAATACAGGTGGCCAAGATTAAAAAATTTGTCAGCTGTTAATTTTTATACCTGTTTATAAAAAAGGAGGTACTTCAAATTTTCTTAATCTGATACTTATCATTTTAATTGTAAAGACCAAATGTCAAGTTGTCATTACAGGAATAGTTAACAAAGCAATTTTTTTTAAAAAAAAAAAAACTCTTGTACCTTATACAGGCTATTCGTGTTGCAATATTCTGGCATAGGTTTTAGAATAAAAGCATCATCTTTCCTGATTGTTGTATTTTATTGCTAAAGTAATTACTTTAGAGATATACTAAATATATTTATCATTTTTTTGTAATTTTATTGTAATACACTCAGATTAGTGCTCCTGCACAAAACCAGACAGAGATTTGTTCTAAGTTGAAAACAAGAGAGAAAAAACAACACTAGTATTAAGAAGAATAAATCTAAGTTTATGTATCATTTTTAAAATGGCTTCTCAGAAATATTTATAGCATCAAAAATTATTTTTTCTTTCACTCTTAGAGAAATATGTTTCTATTTTGTCATTGTTGCTACCATGACCTTGTTAGTACTGAGGGAAAATGGGGCAGTTTATTACTTTGCTATGGCTGCCACAACAAAATACCACAGACTGGCCAACTTTAATAGACATTTATTTTCTCAGACTTCCGGAGGCTGGAAATCCAAGATCAAGGTGCAGAGAAGTTTGGATTCTTCTGAGACTCTCTCCTTGGCTTGCAGATCATCACTTTTTCAGTGTGTCTTCACACGGCCTTTTCTCTGAGTGTGTCCACCCCTAGTGTCTCTCTTTATATCCTAATCTTCTTATAGGGACATCATCCTAAAGCCTTACTTTAACTTCGTTACCTCTTTAAAGGCCCTGCCTAGAGATATATTTACATTCTGAGACACTGGGGGTTAGAACTTTAGCATAAACATTTTTGAGGACATAACTCAGGACGTAACAAGCAGTGTCAACATATCAACACAAGCCAAGTGGTGTGATCTTTTTCCCTTTTATGCTTTGCAATTTAAATTCTTTTTATAAGAAAGAATATTTGGGATATCTATAAATAGCTATATTGAAAGACTGTGGTTTTCTCTTTCCAAGTGTATATAGGTTTGATTTATTAAGGATAATGGTCTCATTTAAATTATAATTATATTGTCATATTACCTATCTTTATGTAATGGTGCCTTTTTCTTATGGTTTCTGTGTAATTGTCTGTGCATTACAAGTGACTTTATTAGGACCATCACATGACGTCAGCTTTTTGCTCTGCGGCATAATGGCAAAAGAAGAATTCAATGTGATTACTATATTGAATAATATTTTTAAGGATAATATACATCTCATGGACGCAGAGGAATCAGACTAGAAATGAAAAATTTTCCTCATGTGAGGTCTCTAAATATAAATCTGAATGCTATTACATTGGTTAAATCTAATTTCCCAGAAAACAGAGGAAAAACTATGAAAGGATGAGATTTCTTTTTAGGGAAACAGAAAATGTAATAGATGAGTGTTTTTTAAAACCTCAATAATGTGTTCACTATATAGTACATTTAAAATTGTGTTATTTTAAAATTTGTGATTATTTATTTAGTAATTTAATTAAATAAATATCTTCCATCAAAAGTGATGACAATAGTTGATTCATTCAAAGAGCGTATCCATGCAGAACTGTATAAAACTGAAATTTGTGGTATTAGCTCAGTACAAAACAGCATATTATAAACTGGCATCATAGAGTCCCTGGAAAATACACATGTAACTCAGTGTTTGACCTACCTAACATGGCTAAACAAATACCTCCTATTGTTCTTTATTTCCCATCCCTGTTAGGGGATGGCCATGACTTTATGATATCAGATACTATTTAGTCTATGTTGCATATATTTTTCTCTACCAAGGCTACTATTTTTTGCATCAGTAGTATTTTAATAAGTAATGTCCTTCTGAAAAATATATATGGATTTCTTATAAACCATTACTCATGATTGAACCTTTAAATATGTACCATCTTTGTAGACAGGCATCTGAGGTATTAACTAGGGGAAACTACTTGCTCTCAAGTTCCTGAAATCAACAAGGGAAGACAGAAAAGCAAACTAACTTTGCAAGACAATGTTTTAACTGTAAAAATAGAGGTAAATATGTGCTTAGAGTCAAAGGCTATGGATAATTAATTCAGGCCCAGGAGTCGAGTTGATGGGTAGTGTCTGGGTAGATTTCCCAGAAGATGACAACACTGGAAATAAATTTTGAAGGGATTAAGTGTGGGTAAAGAATGAGGAATCCTCAGTGAAAAAGTATTGAAAGATTCTGATCTTTATCTATTAGAGCATGTTCCAAATTTGAAGATAAAAGTTGAAATAGCAAGAAGAAGGGTCAACTCCTTGGACACTGAGGCTACAGACAGAAGTGAGACCCTTTTGATAAAGAACCTTATGCACCCTAATAAGGTATTTAGATGTTATCCTATAGGTGATAGAAGTTTGGAGAGGTTGGTTCTGGGGATAATATTTTTAGAAGATGTTGTTTGCAATACAAACTTAGAAGTTTCAAACCACATACATGTATTATTTCACAGTTGTCATGGGTCAGAGTCCACACTTGGCTTCTGACCAAGTCCTCTGCTCAGGGTCTCCCATAGCTGCAAAGAAGGTGAAAACACACAAGGGTGTGTTTGCATCTGGATGCTTAACTAAGGAAAAATCCACTGCATTCAGATTCCTTCAGGTTTATTCAGGTATTTTATAGAATGCATTTCCATGTGATTGTCTGACTGAAGTTCCCAGCTTTTTATTAGCTATTGCCTGGAACCTAATTTCAAGTTTTAGAGACTACCCTCACATCTTGGCCACGTGGCCTTCTGCATAGGCAGTTTGTGACATGACTGCTTGTTTCTTCAAAGACAGCAGGAGAACCTCTCTCTCTCCTTTCTGCTGAAACGGAGTCCTATGTATCATAACACGGTGATAAGGTAATACCCCATCACATTTGCCATATTCTATTGGTTAGAATAAAGGTACAACTTTTATCCACACTCAGAAAGAGCACATGATATAAAGGTTTGCAATAAAGAAAATAACAAACAATATATAATAGACTGGAACTACTCCTATTACCCAGACCAAGAAAAACAGCATTACCTATGAATTTATTGGAAATTTAAATTCTCATGTTTCACCCCAGATCTAATGAATCAGAAACTTTAAGAGCAAGACCAGTGTTCTGTGTCTTAACAAGTTCTTCAGGTGATTCTCATACCTGCTAAATTTTGAGGACCACTGATTAAATGGCAAATCTTCTTTTTCCCCTATGAATAAGGTTTGATATATCATTTGGAGGAAAGAAAGAAATATATCCTTTCTTTTATGGGAAAAAGAAATGAACTGGGGAATGGTTCCAAAATCAGTTTATCTCTTCCAGAATTAATAGGAATTGTAGTTACAAAAAAGAGTAAAGAAGAGAAGAGAAACTAAAATAAATAAATAAGAGACAGTAGGTGAAGCTAGGTTCAAATGATTAAAAACAGCAGTACATGACAAAGGATGGGAATTTGAGCAAGTAGATACTGAAAGCAATTCCTGAGCTAAATTACAGGAAATGCAATGAATTTTTATCTGTTTTCTATATTTAGGGACCTGGCTTAAACATTAGTGATAAGATTTGGTGTGTTTTTATCAAGAGACAGTCTATTGAATGAAACAACTATGGGCTGAGAAACATTCACACTCAAGGGACAGATAGAAGAAAACATCATTACCTGGTATGGTTTGTCTGTGTCCCCACCAAACTCTCATCTTGAATTCTCATGTGTTGTGGGAGGGACCCAGAGGGAGGTGATTGAATCATGGGGGCAAGTCTTTCCCATGCTGGTCTTGTGATAGTGAATAAGTCTCACTAGATCTGATGGTTTTGAAAAATGGGAGTCTCCCTGCACAAGCTCTCTCTCTTTGCGTGCTACAATCCATGTAAGACATGACTTGCTTCTCCTTGCCTTCTGTCATGATTGTGAGGCATCCCAGACACATGGAACTGTTAAGTTCAATTAAACCTCTTTCTTTTGTAAATTACCCAGTCTCGGGTATGTCTTTATCAGCAGCATGAAAATTGACTAATACAGTACCTGTATTGTTAACTAAAGCAAGAGAGAGAACAGGAATCTTGGAAGCTTAGGAAAGGAAGATTTAAAAAATAAAGAAAATATTCAAGGGTGTTGCATACTACAAGGGCAGTTGTGTTGGAACATATTAGTTTGAGATACAGACCTAATTCAAACCATTTAAAGCAACAAATACTATCTCCTAATGCTAGCATTAGGAGATATACCTAATGCTAAATGACGAGTTAATGGGTGCAGCACACCAACATGGCACATGTATACATATGTAACAAACCTGCACATTGTGCACATGTACCCTAAAACTTAAAGTATAATAATAATAAAATTTTTAAAAACCAACAAATATCTGCATTAATAATTTATTTTTCATATTAAAGAGAAATCTGGTATAATGGCTAACTGGTTCATTCATGGCGAGTTTATGTTTTCTCTCCCTGTCTCCCTCTCTCTTCTGCTCCTTTTTTCTTAGAAGATCTGGGCTGATCTTTTATTCCTGGGGAGAACAGGGGAAGGATATATTTCTCTCTTTCCTCCAGCATCCATATACATTCTGAAGGAAGACTCTGTTTGGTCCTACTTAGATCACATGACGACTCAAAGAGGATGACATATTTCTACTGTCTGGCCTGGGTCATATGCTCACTGTTGCAAAAAGATAGAAAAGACTGCTGTTGGACCACAAATATTGTCAGTAAGGTAAGTCCTGAGAAATATCTATTGGTTTTGATGCCAGAGCAATTTAAGTAGAGGATCTGGTAGAAAAGCAAGATTTTGCAGTGATTAACATGTAAAGAAAAGAAGGTGATAGTGATTGGTTCACGTTCTGTCTGTGGTATCATGACTACTGAAATTGCTTCCTTTTTCTGTGTTTTTGAATTTTTATTTGTATTCTTTTTAAATTGTTTACATAGAAATTCATCAGAGAGCCCCTTACCCAGGTTTTCTGATTTTCAGTTCTGATTCAGCTCTTTTTTTTTCTTTTCTTTTTTTTTTTTTAATTATACTTTAAGTTCTGGGACACATGTGCAGAACATGCAGGTTTGTTACATAGGTATACATGTGCCATGGTGGTTTGCTGCACCCATCAACCCATCATCTAGGTTTTAAGCCCCATATGCATTAGTTATTTCTCAGAATGCTATCCCTCCCCTTGCCCCTCAACCCTGACAGGCCCTGATGTGTGATGTTCCCCTCCCTGTGTCCATGTAGCTCTTTATAGAAGTAGATACCAAAGTAAAGAAAAAGAACCTATCTTTATTCCTATGTTCTCACCTGAAATAACCACCAATAAACTATGACAAGAGGTTCTCTATCTTAGTCCTGTGCTCTCCAGTGGCACCCCTGTTCAAGGGGCAGGAAATCTACATGGTCAGAGCCACACCCCAATTTCTAGATTATTTTCTAGATTCCAAATTCCCTGTCGAAATGGCTCCACATCCATTTCCAGGACTTGCAAATTCTCTGCTCCATCCTGATCCAATAGAGGAAAAGCACATCGTAGTTATGCACCACCTGAGGCCCAGCATGTGAGTTTTTGCCTTTTGGAGATGAATAAGGAAGTTGGACATGTTGGACTGTGCTTAACGAATGTATGGGTATGAAGCTTCTCACAGCGCTGGAGCTGGAGGGAAAAGCATAGTGGTGGATGCTGTGGACCAGCCCTCCTTGGCATCCACATTCCAGCAAGAAACTACAAGGGGTCCAAAAAATTTGAAGTTAGCCTTTCAGGTCATTATGAACTTATAGTTGTCAAAGTAGAAGACTAGTCTGTGGTGTATTTAACATTTTGTTAGCTTAATTGGTAAGTTTTAAATATTTAGACATATGTTATATAAATCTCCATTTGTACTCTGGCTTTAAGACTCACAACTGTTAAGGGCAGATTGCATGCCTGCAGGGGACAAAAGATACAATAAGATGTGATTCTGGTCAATCAGTTGGTTATAAACAATTTGTAAATAACACATTATATTCTATGCTATAAATATATTCTATGCTATAAAGTTCTGGTTCCTTGCTCTGGTCTTTGTTCACAATAAATGACTACAACTATGTCTACACTTGTATCCATGCTCTTAGGTAATTTATTCCTACACAGATTCTGTCCTTCTTTATGTGAATTAACTTGGCTAATGGAGCAATACCAATGTAATATAAGCAGAGACTTAAGAAATACTTTTTCATTGGGGCTTGTCTGCTCTTGCTATTCTGAGATTCCTATCATGTAAAAAAGCTTGAGATAGTCTCTTGGATGGTAAGAGACACATGGCCAAGTCATCCTATTATCTGAGCTGCCATCAAGCCTACCATCAGACATATATGTGGGGCCATCTAATCCCAGTTGAAGCACTAGTTGACTATAGAGAGATCAGCTGAATCAGACCAGATCAGAACAGTCCAACTGACATAAGCATTTCTTAAGTCACTAAGTATTGGAGTGGTTTGTTATATAGCAAACCTATTGAAACATTTACCCAGGATTTTCATTACTAAGTCATTTCTTATTTTCTTTATAATATATTCTAAACTCAACGTAATACAGAAGATGCTTTCATCTCTAATCTATGCTTACCCCTTTAGCTTTATCTCTTTGACGTCCCCCCATCTCTAACCCTTACCTCCCATCTTTATGCCATGTATAATGGCTTGAAGGCTTTCAAACATCCAAAGCTCTTTCGTATCATTGACTTTGTTTTTGCTTCTCTTTCTACTTTGATTTCCCTTCTATTGTATGTTCTGATTCCCTTCAAGAGCTAAATATGTACTCATTTTTTTTCAAGGCCCTTTTCCTGTCTTTTAATTTTTTTTTTTTGGCCCACTGACGTAGAGTAGTGCATTCTCATTTTGTCCCATTGCACTATAATATTTAATTGAACCCATTAATCTACACTTATTGCTCTCTTTCTGTTACATTATAAGTGAGCCAGCCCTTTGACAGCAGGAACCATTACCTGTTTGTCTCTGTATCCTCAACGTCGAATAGAGATGATGATATAAACTTAATGCAAGATGGGTGAATGACAAATGAGAAAAGAAAAGAGAAGGGAAAGATATACAAAAAAAAAAAAAAGTAGACAACAGATACAGACATCTTGTTTTGCTTCCAGGACTGAGATGGAAGGAAGACAATAATTCAAATCAAGGGGAATATTTTGTTTTTATTGTTATGGGCTGTTATTTTTAAGTTGACTTGAGAAGCTGTTCGACAGCAAGTTTTTATGAGGAATAAAAAGAGTCAAAATAAAGGCAGGGGATTAGTTTTTGGGTTCAGTGTCTTGAGAATGGCACAGTTGGATGTATTTGGCTAACTGGCATTATATGAAATAATTTTTTTCTGATATAGGATATAAGAATATCAGTGTGTGTGCATGTGTGTGTGTGTGTGTGTGTGTGTGTAGCTGTATGTATAAGTAATAATATAGGAAATTGAGTGAGTTCTCCATCACATTGTTTCTACTTACTACATGAAGTTTTAGGCAATCGGGGAAGTTCTCCTGTAAGCAAAGGAGAAAGAGAAATACGAGGGAGTGGAGGAGTGCAATAAAGGTCTGGAACAGCCAATGTGTTGAGCTTGGGAGTGGATCAATGATATTTAAAGGATATGTAGGCAACTTTGTTATTTTCCATTACCTTTCTTTATTGGCAAACTGATTTATTGCATTCTTTTTCCGGCGTATTTTTCAAAATTGGTCTTAGTTAATCATACTTTCCCATCTTGTTACAGAACTTTTTAATTTTCTTATTTTTTAGGGGATAATGTCAGAGTTATATATAATCTGTATTTGGCTGAAAATGGTTTTATAGTTGTAAACATATTAATTTTAAAGCAATACTAAGGCTTCCCATAATCATTTCACTTTTAGTACTTCTATTTATTTTGT
This sequence comes from Homo sapiens, assembly GCF_000001405.40. Lineage (NCBI taxonomy): Eukaryota > Metazoa > Chordata > Mammalia > Primates > Hominidae > Homo > Homo sapiens. Next base: position 66,202,034 of record NC_000013.11, on the reverse strand, counting down.
GACAGAGTCAACAGTGAAAGAGATTTATTCAGTTTGAGTTATTTAACATCTGTAAGGATTAAGTTGACAGAATTGTTGTGATAGAATTAATATCGTCTTTATTCCTTGGCATAGAAAGATATGAATAATTTGAAGTCTGATTCTCATCCCTCCACTTCAACGCACACATTTTGTGGCTTCTCAAAAAAAGATCAACTTGTTTCCGAAAGAGCTTATAAATCTCTCTTTAGAGTATGACTGGGTAAATACATAGCTCTAGAATAAATACTTTGGTAGAAAAATTTTGGAAAGAATCATGATGAAATGAAAAACATCCAGATGTTGGAATCAGAAAAAGGCCTGAATTTACATCCTGGCTTGGCTTCTTATTAACTTTTTGACAAGGGACATGTTTCACCCTCCCTTTTAGGGACAGTTTTTAAATTTAATATTATAAGATTACTGTTAATGTTCACTTAAATAAAACTCCTAAAGTGGCAAGCAAAATGTGTGGCATATAAGTGGTTCTTGATAAATGGTTTGCTCCCTTTTTCTTTTACTCCTCTGGATAACAGCAAAGTAAAACTTTACAAATATCCAGTTATCTTTTGGTAGATAGGTTTTTCTTCAGAAAACCTGAGCTGTGCCACATGCTGGAGATGCTTAACATTATGCTTTATATACAAACACGGCATCACATTTATATTAACAATGTTAAATGTCTTTAAGATTTCTTTAGGGGTATTTGTGTTTGCAGTGTTTCATTTACTTTTCTGTTCAATGTCCTGCTAAATGCATAGTGGGTATTAGAAACGAAATGTACTTAAAGAAGGAAAATATCCAAAAGCTATTCAGGTGTTTGAGTAGTGAAAATGTGTGCAAACCATTTTTGTGGTAAAAAAATTTACATAAACATCTGTGTATATATGTATAGATATACTTTTTTTCCAACCTGGAACACATTTGTGGATGGTTACTGTTGGGCGTCCCACAACTCAGGTTCCTTGGTATACTCAGTAGGACAAAAGGAGAGAGAAAGAGAGATAGAGAGAGAGAGAGAGGTATCACAGAACCTAATCTCCAAACTTAATTGGCATTCTTGATGTTATCCTATCAACAATTCCAGTCCCAGACAGTACACAGTCTTTTAGATATCAGTTTCCCCCTGACCCCCACCAAGGACATAGACAAAGAGAGTGTCATATGAACATCAAGGGGGACCTTTCTGAGAAGAGAAAATCCAACCAGATCAGGAAGATACATTTAGAATGTATTAGCATAAAAGACAGCAGAGGGCCTTGGGGAGCTGTTGGAGCAGCTCATTCTTCCTTTGCACTGCTCTTTGATCTCATGGAAATGGCTCTTCTTTAATTCTGTATTTAATTTTCAGATATTCATTCTCTCTCTCTGAAAGACTGTTCAGAGTTGCCTGAGCTCAGATTCTAGAGCAAGCAATTGTTATTAAGTGCCTCCTGTAGACCACTGACAACAATAAACAAAGCATAAAAGGTCTATAATCAGGAAGTTAGAACCTACTAGGTGGGTCAGACTGGAGACGAAAGGATTATTTAAAACATTAAAATGAGGGCTATAAAAGAAATGGGAGGATGAAATATAAAATAATGTTATATTCTTCATTTTAATATATGTGTTTTCCATGATTTCAACTAAGAAAAATTTATAACTTGAATTTTATTTCTTAGAAACTTCATCTTATGAATGCATATACCTCCCTGGCGAACCAGATTTTTATGGCCAGGGAAGAAGTAGATCCAGGAGCCTGGATAAAGATCAGTAGCAAAAATGATGCCATCTTTGCCTCTCTGTGTATATTTGGGAAAATATACAAAGCAATAGCTCCCAGAATATACAGTAATAAATTCAGCAAGGAAGTCAGGAGATCTGGATGGCGTAGGACTGAAGAGTTCAAGAGTCTGGAAACCCGAGTTTGAATTACAGCTCTGCCACTCACAAGCTGGTGATTTTTGACAAGTTCCTAAACTTTGGTAACCGCTAGTATCCTCATCTATTAAAATAAGTGTTATAATAATCTCTACTCCATAGGATTCAGAATTAAATGAGGTGATCCACAAAAAGCACATAGCATGTATTATTATGCTTAGCATAGTATTGTCCAAAAATATTATTTTTACTAATATAAAATATGGTTTGATATCTTTAGCAGTATCTTTTTCATTTTTCCATTCATAAAACTGTATACACAGATATACATGAATATTTGCATGAATATGAGACTATCTATAGAGTGCAGTAAAGTGTTGGGAATATATGTAAATTAGTTTTTATCTTTTATTTTTATTTTTTTATTTTCCAACTTTTATGTATTTTAGGTTCAGGGGGTACATTTGCATGTTTGTTATATGAGTAAATTGGGTGACACTAGAGTTTAGTGTGCTAATGATTTCCTCCTCCAGGTAGTGAGCATAGTACTGATAGGTAGTTTTTCAACCCTTACCCTCCTCCCACCTTCTACTCTCAAGTAGGCCTTGGTGTATGTTGTTCCCCTCTTTGTTTCCATGTGTACTCAATGCTTAGCTGTCATTTACAAGTAAGAGCATCCAGTATTTGGTTTTCTGTTCCTGTGTTAATTGGGTTAGGATTATGCCCTCCAGCTCCATCCATGTTGCTGCAAAGGTCATGATTTCATTCTTTTTTATGCCTGTGTATCATTCTGCTGTATACATGTATGATGTTTTCTTTATTCAGTCCACCATTGATGGGCATCTAGGTTGATTCCATGTCTTTGCTATTACAAATAGTGCTGTGATAAACATATGTGGACAAGTGTATTTTTGGTAGAACAATTTATATTCCTTCGGGCATATATCCAGTAATGGGATTGCTGAGTCAATTGGCAGTTTTAAGTTACTTGAGAAATCTTCAGACTGCTTACCACAGTGGCTGAACTAATTTACATTCCCACCAGCAGTGTATGAACTTCTCCAACATCTGTTATTTTCTGACTTTTTAGTAATAGCCATTCAGTCTGGTGAGATCGTATCTCATTATGGTTTTGATTTGCATTTCTCTAAAGATTTTTGATGCTGAACATTTTCTCATATGCTTGTTGGCTACATGTATGTTTCTTCTTTTGAGAAGTGCCTGTTGATGTCCTTCGCCATTTTTTCATAGGATTGTTTGTTGTTTGCTTGTTGATGTAGGTTCCTTATAGATTATGCATACTAGCCCTTTGTCAGCTGCATAGTTTGCAACATTTTCTCTCATTCTATAGATTTTCAGTTTACTCTGTTGGTAGTTTCTTTTGCTGTGCAGAAGCTTTTTAGTTTAATTAGGTCCTACTTGCTTATATTTGTTTTTGTTGTAATTTCTTTTGGAGTCTTTCATGAAATTTTTGCCAAGGCCTATGTTCACAATGGTACAATGGTATTTCCTAGGTTTTTCACTTCCTAGGTTTTTTCTTTTCTTTCTTTTTTTTTTTTTCAGTTTTAGTTTTAGGTCTTTACATTTAAGCATTTAATCCATCCTGAGTTGCTTTTGGTATATAGTAAAAGGAAGATATCTAGTTTCAATCATCTGCATATAATTAGCCAGTTAACCCAGCATCATTTATTAAATAGTATTTATACCACTTTTTCCTAATGTAAAATATGTTTTGATATCTGTAGCAATACCCTTCTCATTTTTCCATCCATAAAACTCTGTACACAGATATACATGAATATGTGCATGAATGAGATTATATAGAGAGTTAAATGTTGAGAATATATTTAAATTAGTTTTTATCTTTTATTTTTTTCTTTTCCAATTTTTGTTTTAGGGCTGAGGGTACATTAACAGTAACTGTTTGTTATTGTTGACTTTGTCAAAGTTCAGATGGTTGTAGGTGCATGGCATTATTTCTGTGCTCTCTATTCTGTTCCATTAGTCTATATGTCTTTCAACCAGTATGATGCTGTTTTGGTTACCGTAGTCCTGTGGTATAGTTTGAAGTCAGGTAGTGTGCTGCCTCCAGCTTTGTTCTATTTACTTAGGGTCGCTTTGGCTATTCAGGCTCTTTTTTGGTTCCACATACATTTGGAATAGCTTTTTTCTAATCCTGTAAAAATGATTTTGGTAGTTGGATAGGAATAGCACTAAATCTGTAAATTACTTTGAGCTGTATAGCCATTTTAACAGTATTAATTGTTCCTATCCATGAACACGAAATGTTTTTCCATTTCCATTGGTCATCTCTGATTTCTTGTATAGTTCTTTCACCTCCTTGGTTACCTGTATCCCTAGGAATTTTATTCATCTTGTGGTTATTGTGAATGGGATTGCCTTCTTGATCTGGCTCTCAATTTGGATGTTGTTTTTGTATAGAAATGCAACTGATTTTTATACATTGATTTGTATCTTGAAATATCCTAAAGTTGTTTGTCAGTTCTAGAAGCCTTTTGACAGAGACTATGGGGTTTTCTAGATATAGAATTATGTCATCTGCAAACAGAGATCGTTTGACTTCCTCTCTTCCTATTTGGATGTCTTTTATTCCTTTTTCTTGTCCAGTTGCTCTGTCTATTACTTACTATGTTGGGTAGGAGTGGTAAGAATGGGCATCTTTGTTCTGATCTGTTTCTCAAGAGAGATGCTTCCAACTTTTGCCCATTCAGCATGATATTGGCTATGATTTTGTCATAGATTGCATTTGTTATTTTGAGATATGTCCCTTTGATGCCTAGTTTGTTAATGGTATAGTATATGAAGGGATGTTGAATTTTATTGAAAGCTTGTTCTATTAAGATGATCATTTGGTTTTTGTTTTTAGCTATGATCATGTGATGAATCATATTTATGGATTTGCATATGTTGAACCAACCTTGAATCCCAGTAATAAAGTCTACTTGATTGTGGTAGATTAGCTTTTTAATGTGTTATTGGATTTGAATGCTAGTATTTTGTTGAGGATGTTTTTGTCTGTGTCACCAGAGATATTGGCCTGAAGTTTTCATTTTTTATTGTTTCTCTGCCATTTTTTATGTTTCTCTGTTTCATGTTTTATTGTTTCTCTTGTATCAAAATAATGCTGGCCTCACAGAATGAGTAAAGGAGGAGTCTCCCCTCCTTGAGTTTTTGGAATAATTTAGTAGTATTGTTACTCTTCTTTATATGTCTGGTACAATTTGGCTGTGAATCCATCTCCTCCCGGGCTTTTTCTGTTTGGTAAGTTTTTTATTACTGATTCAATTTCAGAACTCATATTGACCTGTTCAAGATTTCAATTTCTTCCTGGTTCAATATTGGAAGGTTTTATATTTCCAGTAATTTATCCATTTCTTCTAGGTTTTCTAGTTTGTATACACAAAAGTGTTCAAAGTAGTCTCTGGGGGTTGTTTGTACTTCTGCAAGTTTGGTGTGAATGTCCCCTTTGTCATTTTTGATTGTGTTTATTTGGATCTTCTCTATCTTTTTCATTGTTAGTCTAACTAGAGGTCTATTGATCTTATTAATTCTTTCAAAGAAGAAATTATTAGATTTGTTGGTCTTTATTTATTTTGCATCTCAATTTTCTTTCAGTTCAGCTCTGATTCAGCTCTGATCTTGGTGAATGATATTTTTAGCAAGCTGTTGAATTCAGTTTTTTGAGGGTTTTGCATCCATGTGTATTAGAGATATTGTCCTGTTTTTTATATATATATATATGTATATATGTGTATATATACACACATACATATATACATATATACATACATATATACATATACATATATACATACATATATACATATATATGTATATATACACACACACACATATACACACATTATATATACACAAACATACACACATATATATATACATTATATACACACACACACACACACATATATATATATCTCAGGACAATATCCCTAATAAATATGGATGCAAAAACCTCAACAAACTGAATTCAATGGCCTGCTAAAAATATCATTCACCTAGATCAAGTGGGATTCATCCCAGTGATAAAAAGATGATTCAACATATGAACATCAGGCCAGGTGTGGTGGCTCAAGCCTGTAATCCCAGCACTTTGGGAGATCGAGGCGGGCAGATCACGAGGTTAGGAGATCGAGACCATCCTGGCTAATATGGTGAAACCCTGTCTCTACTAAAAATACAAAAAATTAGCTGGGCGTGGTGGCAGGCGCCTGTAGTCCCAGCTACTTGGGAGGCTGAGGCAGGAGAATGACGTGAACCCAGGAGGCGGAGCTTGCAGTGAAACGAGATTGCGCCACTGCACCCCAGCCTGGGTGACAGAGCAAGACTCTGTCTGAAAAAAAAAAAAAAAAAGAACATCAATAAATGTGATGAATCACATTAAAGGAATCAAGGGAAAAACCATATGCTCATTTCAATAGATGCTAAAAAATATCCTATAAAATTCAACATTCCTTCATGATAAAAACTCTCAATAAATTGTTTTAGGAGAAAGGTACAATACAGTAAAGGTCATATCTAACAAACCCACAGCTAACATCATACCTAGCAAGTTGAATGATTGTCCTCTAAGATCTGGAACAAGACAAGGATGCCTACTTTTATCACTTTTATTCAGCATCATACTAGAAGTTCTAGCCAGAGCAATTAGGCAAGAGGAAAAAAATAAGGCGCATTCAAGTTGAAAAAGAGGAAGTCAAATTGTTTGAAGATGACATAATCATATACATAGAAAACCTTAAAGACTTTACCAAAAAACTATTAGGAAAAAGAAATGAGTTTAATAAAGTTACATAATCAGCATACAAAAATCAGTAGTGTTTCTATATGCCAATAGTGAACTACAGGTTAAATGCAATCTCTATCAAAATACCAATGACATTCTTCACAGAAATTAAAAAAATCTTAAATTTGTATGGAAATGCGAAAGACCTCAGATAGCCAAAGCAATATTGAACAAAAAGAAGAAGGCTGGTGGCAAAATATTTAAAATTGAACAAAAAGAAGAAAGCTGGTGGCAAAATTGCTATGTGTAAAAGCTCAATTAATTTAAGTACAGTAAAGTTACTCTTAAGCTCTTAAGAGCTTATCAGGATGTTTTAAGCTTTGTAAGTTGAGTTTTTCTGCATATTGAAATAAATTATATAAAATTTTAATTAACAGGTTATCTAGACATGTTTTGGTTGTACAAACACACACACACACTCTTAATTTGGCTATCTCTTGTACAGTACTTTAAAATTCTCTTGAACTATTATTCCAGCCAATGTTGTGGTGACCAATTCTATGTAGATGTTGATTTGCTTTATGAAGGGACAATTGGGAAACCTATCACCTCACCACTTAATGCACCTGTCATTTTCTACCATGGGACCTCCTTCAGAGTCACTCTTTACTCTTGCACATACAACCTAGAAGTGCAGAGCAATTAATGATGCTAGGGCTACTTGACCTATGAGAAAAGAGAACGGAAGAATATATGCTTTCCTTTTTCTTGGTGGAGAGTTCTTAAATATCTCCTTAGATATAGCAATATTTACCTACAGTTGAAGACAGTTTGGTGAGGCCTTGTATTTGTTGTCCCTCTTCTTCCAATTTATTCCACTTGTCCTTTACTTTTCCATGGAATCCCATTTCCACAAGTACCATATGTAAGCCCTATGTCTGATTCTAAGGGAAGCCAGGTCTATAGACATAACCTAATATGTCTATTTTTTTTCTTTTGTAATAAGTTACAATTTTGTGAAAAGCTCAATCTTTTCTAAGTTTCCAAATGTATTGACAAGGCCGGGTACGGTGGCTCACGCCTGTAATCCCAGCACTTTGGGAGGCCGAGGCGGGTGGATCACGAGGTCAGGAGATCGAGGCCATTCTGACTAACACTGTGAAACCCCGTCTCTACTAAAAATACAAAAAATTAGACGGGCGTGGTGGCGGGCGCCTGCAGTCCCAGCTACTCGCGAGGCTGAGGCAGGAGAATGGTGTGAACCCGGGAGGTGGAGCTTGCAGTGAGCCGAGATCGCGCCACTGCACTCCAACCTGGGCCACAGAGCGAGACTCTGTCTCAAAAAAAAAAAAAAAGTATTGACATAAAATTGCTCAAAATTATTTAGTATAATGAAATTTTATTTAATAATTTATAAGATTCACAACAAATTTATTTAGCTTTAAGGCAACAACAAAAGAAAAGAACAAGTTTACCAATTGAAGTATGATGTGTTACTGATTATAATACACTACGATTTCAGAGATGTTAAAATATAAAGAAGTACATTTTTAGATTTAAATACTAGCATTGATTTTTGTGTTTTTTAATCTTTCAATCTTTTTGTCTCTGCACCTTTTAAGTCTTTCCAAAAAATAAACATTTTTGCTTCATTGGCCAACAATTTTTATAGTTTTGTTTTCTATTCTGATCTTATGTTCATTAATTCCTTACATATACTTTTTTGGGATAGTTCTACACTTTTTTTTTTTTAACCTTCTCATATTATAGTTGAACCTTATTAGTTTTCCGTCATCTTTCACTTAATTTAAGCTTATGGAACTAAATTTTTTCCTCTAAATAATACTTTTCGAGAAGTAGAATTTTGAGTACAAATAAATTCTAAATTTTTATTTGTATGATTTATTAATAGTATTTTACTTGGAAGACATTTATATATTCATTTTCAAACTTCAGCATGTATAGGGCTTATATAAGTAATATTTTAATATGAAATAACATATTTACATTTTGATTAGGAAATGTGTTCTGAATGATACTTGGCTATGTGTAGAGAGCCATTTTATGGGTTCTAATACACTGTCATTTATTTAAAAATTTATATAGGTAGGCTTAAACATACATATGTTTATTCTCAAATTTGTAGACTCAGAGTTTTACTCCTTCCCTCTATTTTATTATGGTCTCTCCTTTTTGAACTTCTACTAGATATATATTGAACTTTATTGTTTTGTTTCTCATGTCTTTTAATTTTTCTGTCATATATTTGATTTCTTTGGGTCTCTATGTTTTTATTTTCGATAATTTCCCAGCTATATCTTCTACCTCACTCATCCTTTACTCATCTTTATCTAATTTCTTATTTGATCAATCCAACTTTTTAGTATATATTTTATTTACAGAAGTTCAATTTTATTTACTTTCAGCCCTGCTTATTCATTTCAAAATTGTTTTTATGTCTTAATCATCTTATTCACCATTTTAAAATCTGTTTTCTAATGATTTCATTACATAAAATTCTTATTTTTTTGTGTTTGTAAAATCTTGCTCATGCCAGATTGTTTGCACAAGTGTTTTGTTACTTTAGGTTATAGTGCACATTCAGTGTAAATTTATCTCTAAAGACACTAGAATCTTCTCTAATTTGAAGTGAATATTGACCCTGTAGAACACTTAGTACTGTTTCTATCACTTTTAACCCCACCCCAGCCAACTTTGTATGTTATGTTTTCTGGTTTGAGTGTTTTTGAATCATGTAAGACTTACATGTTCAAACTCATGTAAGGTCATATAAATATTTATTAATTCTCAGGAAAGATTATTTTTATCTTCACATCAAGGTTAATCAAAGATAAACAAATTTGTTGTTTACCAGATGTCACAATATTGATTTTTTTTTCTAACCTACTTATTCAACAATAGTGGTATCCTTTAAATGTCCAAATCAATGAAGTTACTCTTTAAATGTTCAAGCTCTGCAAAGTAGTCTGAGTTCCAACTGCTCACTATATGAAGACATAGCCTTACCTTCTGTATTGCTTTTGAAACCAAAAATTTTTGTAACTGTGACTGTATCACTCAATCCAAAACCATCACTCCATTAGATAGATACAGTCTCTGTTTTCTCTTGCCACTCTAGTTTTCAGTTTTATCTTTATGTTTTACCCATCAAGAATTCCATTCCCACATATTTGGCTATTTTTATTGCATATAAAGGTATACAACATGATGTTTTGATGTATGCATACATAGTGAAATGGTTATCATAGTTAAGGAAATTAACATACCCTCATTTCCCATATTTACTACCCTCCCCATTTTGTGTGTTAAGAGCCCTAAAATCTACTTTCTCAGCAAAATTTTAATACAAAATGCAATAAAAAGACTTATTTATCCTACATAACTATAACTTTGTACTCTGTGACTTACATCTGCCCATTTTCTGTCTCACCCCATACCCAGTAACCATAGTTCTTCTAAATATTCAACTTTTTAAAAAAGATCCTACATATAAGTAATATAATGCAGTATTTATCTTTCTGATTGGCTTATTTCACTTACCATAATATCTTCCAGGTTCATCCATGTTGTTGCAAATGACTTCTCTCCTTTGTTATGGCTGCATGATATTTCATTGAATATATGTACCACAATTTATCTATTTATCTGTAATGGGCACTTAGGTTGTTTTCATATCTTAGTTATCATAAATAATGGTGCAGTGAACATGGAAGTATAGATATCACTTTGAGGTGAATTTATTTCCTTTGGGCATATAACCAGAAAAGGAGTTGCTGGGTCATATAATAGTTCTATTTTTAATTTTTCAGAACCCTCCATATTGTTTTCCATAATGGCTGCACCAATTTACATTCCCACCAACAGTGTACAATGGTTCTCTTTTCTCCACATCCTTGTCAACACTTGTTATTTCTTCTCCTCTTAATAACAGCCATCCTCAGCCATGGTTATTTGAAAAAATTATTTTTAGCACATATGCGCAAAGACACTCAAGATGTTTTGTCTACAAAATGCCAAATTTATGTTTGCATAAATAAAATGCAAATTTATTCATTTCTTAAAGTTCACTGATATAAAATCCTCAAATGCTTTCTTTTACCTTATGTGAGAAAAAAAAAAAAAACAACTTGATCATATCTCTGTGTAGCAGAACTGCACAATGGATTTGACATTCAGATCCCTGAAAAAAATTTAAAAAGCTACTACAAACCATTGTACAACATAAAAATCTTAAATAGCTCTGTGGGTAGAAGAAAATATAATTGTAGGCCTTCATATCCAACCAAAATTAGCAGTTACTATTTTTCTACTCCAGAAAAATGCATCTAATGGCAGTTTACTGAAACTCCATCATTGCAAAATGTCACTCGCATAGGAAAAAAAACCACTCTCATATAATCAGAGAAACACTATGTTTAGCTCATTTCTCCAGCTTATCAACCCTCAAATTTGATAGTTTTTAAATATAACTACAGCAATGAATTATGCAGTTATGAAGAAATGACTCACTACACAGGACTTTAATTCATTCACTGCCACTAATGATTGTAGCCATCATTTCAATATCACTTTGAAATACATTTTTTTGACAAATATTATGAATGCATAATACTATAATGTGTAAGAATCCCTGAAAAGAAAACAAATGCTCACTCGATTTAAAATTAAATATACAAATATAAAATTGGTGATTTAAGAAGCTTTAAAATATTGCTTGTATATTGTTTTCAAATGACTTATCAAGTCATATTTTAAGCTATTTATAGTGAACATCTTTCATGCCAGTTACTAATTTATTGTTTCTCAGCTCCAAATCTATCATTTCTGGCCTTTTCTGTTTTTATTGGAAGTGCTTCACCCCCAGCCATTTTTTTTCTTTGATACCTGGTACAATGCTTATCATTAGATGGCATTACAAAGAGTCTAGCAGCTTCCTTGCTAGTAGTGTGTAGGAGAACCAGTGGTGCACACCTTCTGGGCAGTTTTACATCATTGCATAGTAGAATTGCTGTATTTACCAAATAAAGATACAAGTCACTACACTCAATTTGAATTTCATAGAAACTTTTTGGCAACATTTGGGACATATTTATACTATACTTTTATTCATTGTTTGTCTGACATTCAAATTTTGCTCGACAACCCTGTGACAGTTTTTGGCTTGCCAGGCCTGGACAGCTGGCATCTTGGTTGGCATTCCCTGCTCAGCAGGTTTGGACTGCAGGACCTCTGCAAATTTTGTCATCCAGTGGGCCACAGATGCCCATCTTCTTCAACAAAGTCAGGCTTTCAGCCCAGGTTGGGGTATTGAGTGGTTCTTCAATGTTTCTTTGTTCCTTGGATACTCTTCCTTGGCCATAGATATAGCAGCTGCTCTCTATGTTTGTTATTTCTGGTTTTTTTTTTTTTTTTTTTTTTGTGCTGTCTTCTGTTTAGTAGTTAATCACTTTTAGTTAATTATTTTTTTGTGTGTTAAGTTTTCCCTATACCAATTCCTGATATGGTTCCTATATCTTAACTGGACCGATTCTGATGCAGAATTGGTACTGGATGGGGCTCTAACAGATAAACCTTTAAAGATGGATTTGGGGATCTATTTGGTCATAGCCATGGGCTTGAGCACATTGCTGATACACTGATCATTGGGAAGCATGATAATCATAAATCAAGGCATGCAGTGGCATAACAATGAATCAAGCTACCACCCGTGTTTGATTTTGATGAAGCACCAACTGAAGTATGTGCCTTGGGAGCTTTAGTGGCAGTATCACTTGACCATTATGGCAGTGATAACACTTATAATAATCATGGTATAATTCTTATAAGCAGAGGAGTCTGCTGAGTGCACTGGAACACTTACAAAAATGACAAGTTCAGATCTGTTAACCCTCAGGTCAAATCACGATCTGAAAACCAGAGAGCTTCCATGACAACTTTCAAAGAATCTCTTATTTTTTTAGCCACTAAGCTGATATTGTTAAGAAGTCAAACACAGTAAATGTGCAGGTTGATAAATAACTGATTGAATTCACCATGTCACCATGTTTCTCATGTGAATGTTGCATTGATTGGGAAATAATGGAACCTTGTTGCTTGGAAAGAAAACATTCATTTGGATTCAGATAAAAGACATGTCAAACTCCCAAGTCAATGTGAGCTTCCCTAGACCCATAACCAGAGTCAAATCTTGAATGTCTGCCCTTATCTGAAGGAGACTCAATGGCCCTCACCCTCCAATGTATCTCCAGCATCTAAATCAACAGCTTCTGTGTTAGTAGTTTAAGAAGAAACAGTGGTATTCACCCTCCAGCAATTTTCACTGACATCGCACCAAGATCCTAGCATGTTTTGTTGGCATCCTAGGACCTGGCTTCCCTGGGAGAAGTGTGGTAGAGATCCAGTGTTTTCCATCCTCCAGCAAGTTTTGCCAGCACCTTGGCATGTAGTTTCCTTGCTCTTGGTATTCAGTAGAGCCGAAGTTCCACATTGGTCATTGAGCTTCATCAGCAGCACAGTGGGCAATTTCTACTCCCTGGCTTTATCCTGCCAGCAATACAGCAACTCAGCTAACTTCCCTAATATCCAGGAGACCGTAGCTACACCCTCAACATCAAGGTCTGTCATCTCAGCTTTGGTCATGGGTGGACTTGCTTCCAAGATTATTCCTTCTTTGTGTACTCAGACTTAAAAGTGGCCGTTTTCTACATCTACTTACTATTTATGTGTCATTTGGAGTTATCTTTAACAAGTTTTAGTAATTTGTCCCTTTTTTTACAAGTGACAATTTTATATCAAATTCTTCTTATTTAGAAAAATTGATTTGTCTTCTTCTTCTTGACTAGACCCTGTCTAATACATTTACATTCCACTCAGATTTAAATACCTTTTACATTGGGAAAGCATTTTGGCAACACTGTCTTACACCACAAATTTCCACTATGTAATTGTAGTTTGATGTTATACATGATGTTCAAGGCATAGTAACCACTGCAGAAGAATGGCTGGAAATTTACAACAGCTGCTGTGGAGTTAAGATTTGGGGGCATGGAGCGATGTATCTATAGACCTCAGAGGCTATTCCTGTGGCCAATTTTATACCCCAGCTTGGTTTTTCAGCCTCCCAATGAGTATATTACATTTCTGACACCATTTTTATTAATTCTCTCTTCTTGTACATTAGCCAAAGTTGACTTTTATTGTTTACAAACAAAACTCTGACTAGTCAAGCAATAAGATGTCAATGTAGATTACTGAGGTTTGTTTTGTTTTGTTTTTGAATAATTAGTTGTTGAGAAACTTTTCTGCTAGAGCAATGATTTAAATTCATCATTGATTTGGCATGCAATTAAAGCTTTGACTCGTGACTGATTAATATATTACTAGAACTAGCCAAATTTAAAAAAATAAATAAACATTAGATCTGATACAAACATTTTATCAGTGTGAGGATACCCCTAAATGGAAGATTAGGTTTTAAAGTTGTGTCCATCTGACATGTCTTGTCGTAGGCAGAAACTAGAATTCCAGTGGGCTCCAGTGGGCTCTTCCCCACCTCTTTTCCTGTAACAGAGGTGATTTTGATTTTCAACATGAACATATTTTATAGGAAACCATTTATTTTTCAATTACTTTTTTCAGTATGTTTCCCGATAGTTTATATCTTAATTTTCCAGAATGATAGAAATAAATGTTTGCATATGGAAAATAATTTTAATAAATGTGGATGTTTATTAACAATATATTTATGTTTCAATGCTTGGACAAATTAACATCTTTATAAATTTGGCATTGAGAAATTTTGCAATTGCCAAGGAAATGACACCATAGATCCAGAGTAAAATTAATCTCACTATCTTCACTGTATACTCCATTGCATAATCTGAATTTGTTTCACAAAGAAGCAACTATTATATGATCAGTGCAGGGAATTCAACAGTAGTTTTGCTTTTGAAATGAAATATAAAATATAAAACTTGTTAGTATAATACAGAAAAGATTCTCAAAATTAAAGCAAAATTCTAAGTATATAAAAAATAGGTTTTGGCAAGATGTGGTGGCTCACACCTGTAATCCCAGCACTTTGGGAGGCCAAAGCAGCTGGATCATGAGGTCAGGAGTTCGAGACCAGCCTAGCCCGATATGGTGAAATCCCATCTCTACTAAAAATACAAAAATTAGCCGGGTGTGGTGGCACGTGCTTGCAGTCCCAGCTATTTGGGAGGCTGAGCAAAAGAATCACTTGAACTCAGGAGGCAGAGGTTGCAGTGAGCCGAGATGGTTCCACTGCACTACAGTCTGGGTGACAGTGTGAGACTCCATCTCAAAAAAAAAAAAAAAAAAAAAAAAAGATTTTTCATTGTCTTTGAAAGATTAGACTTCCTATTCAGAAAATATAAAATGTGTATATTTTGACCATTTATGTGTATTCTGAACTAAAACTATGATTTTCCAGTGACAACGAAGTTTTTAGATGAAGTTAATGGCCAGTTATAAACAGCAGAGGAGCAGAATTTTAGAAAATAATTAATATAGATTATATACATGGATGAGGCTTTTTAATGCAAATTTCTAAAAATATAAAGATTAATACATGAATTTTATAATTGAATGACGGAATCAAGAGCAGTGAAAAAATTATTATTTGGAAAAAACTGAAAAAATCTTTAGCTTGGTTAACAGCTGAACAATAGTGGACAAGGGGCGATGATAAGCCTGCTTATTTAAAATACAAGGGAAAATGGCCCCATATAAATTCATCTACGAAATGCAAGCATAATGAAATAATCAACACTATTCAAAATTGCTTTGAAAAGACTGTCTCAGTATGGGACAAGGCAACTTAAGGAATAAGGTAATTTATCTGTAGGTTGAAACTTGAAATGGAAGTTTGGTTAGAAGAAGAAAGAAAGAAAAGTAAGTAAGAGAGATTAAAGTCAGCAGT
This sequence comes from Homo sapiens, assembly GCF_000001405.40. Taxonomy (NCBI): domain Eukaryota; kingdom Metazoa; phylum Chordata; class Mammalia; order Primates; family Hominidae; genus Homo; species Homo sapiens. The sequence continues at coordinate 66,186,426 of NC_000013.11, read as the reverse complement.
GCCAATCCAAGATCTTTTGCTAAAAGTAGTTTGGATCTAGTGTATATCGGTCTTTTCCCAATTCACTTGCCAGAGTCCCGCACACATACACTGAATCAGAGTTTTGGGAAGTGAGACTTGGACATGGACTTTTGAAACACCACTCCAAGTGATTTTGATGTTCACTACTTGAAAGAATTACAGATGTAAAATATTTGTATATTTAGGTGGTGGAGTTGGATATGTTTTAAATGAATTTACTTAGTTAACTTTCTGATTTTTTTTAAACATAATAATATTTTGCTTTTGCTTATAAATTTAATTGAACATAAAAATGTTTACTGAGTATCTGCTATGTGAAGAATGAGAACCTGTATTTATAAAACACATTTTGAATTTTTCTCAATATTTTACTGTGAATCTGTTATCTCTTTTCGAAGAGAAGAGGCATAAAAAGAGGTTCAAGACCTTCCAACAAGCATGCTCAAATCAATAGAATGGTCTGGGTTTATTTTATAGACAGCAAATATTTTTTAAAAGGAAAAGAAATCAGTGCACTTTATCCAGAGGAAGAAAATGGATAACTATCTTATTGCATTATTAAATCAATAGTGCTAGGATAAGGAATACAACCACCAGCATATAATATTAGGGATTACAGATTAGCTTTAGATATACTCAGTGTGCTTTTGAATCCAAAATTTTGTATTTCAACACTAATTTCTCTCCTGAGCTCTAGTACCAGAGTCACCACAGTTTAAGTGATAATTCGATTTATATAGAGTTCTCAATATTAATATGACCAAAAGATTGTTTCTCAAAAAGCTCTTCTGGCCCCTCTTCCCCGTTTTAGTAGAGGTACCACCTTCACTAGGTTGCTTGGACTAAAAACCTAGTCGTCAACCTTGACTTCTCTTTCCCCTAAACTTAAATCCAATTTATCAGGAATTTTCATCTACTTTTGAAACCACCTTTGCAAAATTATGACTGAGACAGAGAAAGAGATCTAACTTAACTGACTCCATCTTGCTTCTAACCTCCAAGCTGTCCTTGTTTATTCCTGGGTATAGGCTGAACTAACTTTGGGAGAAACTTAGTTTATAGTTTAAAACAAAGACAATGACAGCCCTTTTCCAAAGCAGACCTCTTTCTTGCCTGGGGACTAGACTGCCTTTGTAGTACTAACATTAGCCATGAGTTAGAAATTATGCATTAAAAGTCATGAAGCTGGAGGTTACAAGAGTCTAACCCTCCCTAAACTGCTCCTTAGATCAGTGATTGAGATATTTTGCAGACTTTTGATCCATCTGCACTTGATGGATCAGCTGGCACCACCCAGACTGATAAACTGGCTCATCTGATCTTGTGGCCCCCACCCAAAAACTGACTCAGTGCAAGAAGACCACTTGGACTCACTATGATTTCATCTCTGACCAATCAGCCCTCTCGGCTCACTGGCCTCCCCCCCAGCCACCAAGTTGTCCTTAAAAACTCTGCTCCCTGAATGCTTGGGGATACTGATTTGAGTAATAATAAAACTTTGGTCTCCCACACAGCTGACTCTGCATGAATTACTCTTTCTCTATTTCAATTCCCCTGTCTTGATGAACTGGCTCTGTGTAGGCAATGGACAAGGCAATATCGAGTGTCAACTTGAGTGGATTGAAAGTTGCAAAGTATTGTTCCTGGGTGTGTCTATGAGGGTGTTGCCAAAGGGGATTAATATTTGAGTCAATGGACAGGGAGAGACAGACCCACCCTCAATCTGAGTGGGCGCCGTCTAATCAGCTGACAGTGCAGCTAGAATAAAGCAGGCAGAAGAATGTGGAAGGACTAGACTTGATGAGTCTTCCAGCCTTCATCTTTCTCCTGTGCTGGAGGCTTCCTGCCCTCAAATATTGGACTCCAATTTCTTCAGCTTTTGGACTCTTGGACTTACACCAGTGGTTTGTCAGGGGCTCTTGGGCCTTTGGCCACAGACAAGGCTGCATTGTCAGCTTCCCTACTTTTGAGGTTTTGTGACTTTGACTGGCTTCCTTGCTCCTCAGCTTGCAAATGGCCTATTGTGGGACTCAATTTGTAATTGTGTGAGTCAATACTCCTTAATAAGTAACCCTTCATATATACATCTATCCCATTAGTTCTGTCCCTCTAGAGAACCCTGACTAATACAGATTTTGGTAACAGGAGTGGTTCTAGAGGAACAGAATTGTAGGGATGTATTTCTTTAGTTGGTTTTAGAGCTTCTGGAATTGGCTGCTTAACATGTTTAAACCCAAAAATCCTAAAGACTACTTCTAATAGTATGGAGAACATCAATAGTCCTTGGTGTGAACTGTTTAGAGAATTATGCAAAATAAGTGCATTTGAAACTCCTAATTCACCACTCATGAGAGGCAAAGAGTTTAGTGACTCTATACATAATACCTTTGACCACATGTGGAGAACCAAGGGATAAAATGAAGTTGGTTGGTTGCTCCTAAGTTCATCGGACAAAGTGATGAAATAAAATAATGAACTCAAGGATTCTAACTCCTTCCTTCAGGAGCACATACTGAGCCTCAAGTCTTCTAAGATTACCCTGAGTGAGAGTCTTGTCTCCTGTAGACGAAGGGCTGAAATTTTGGAAAATCAGATACAACTTCTCATCAAGAGAGTGGCTGACCTGCAATGACAGGTGCACGCTCAGTCTCATCAGCTCTCTCATTAAAGTGAAGGCATTGACTTCACTTTAGAAAAGAATGAGATCCTGCAACTTGGAATGGGGACACGTGGGAGGACCCTGATGAAGCTAGAATCACAGAGCTTGTAAACTCTGATGAGCTTTCTCTGCCAGAGGAAAGAGCCTCCCCACCCCTAGTGGTGGCAACATTTCCTCCTCCACCCATATGCCATCAGCCCTTCCACCTTTGCCTGAGGAGATTAACCATGCACTGCCTGAGTCAACAGTGTTAGCCTCCCCTGAGGCAGTGGCCAGGTAAGACAATGATGATTCTCTTCAGGACCTACCCCCAACACGGCTATTTGCTTTTAGACCTGTAACTAGACTCAAGTTCTGGCAAGACCTTAGAGGTGAGGTTCAGAGTGCGACCCATGAGGTGTGCTACACTCAGAAAGAACTGCTAGAGTTTTCTAATTTATATAAGCAGAAATCTGGAGAACAGTCATAGACTGAATATTAAGGGTGTGGAATAATGGTGGAAGGAACATAAAGTTGGATCAGGCTGAATTTCTTGATATGCACCCATGAAGCAGAGATCCTGCATTTAATGTGGCAGCTCAAGGAGCTGAAAAAGGTTCTAATACCTGGGAGGTGGAGGTTTCAGTGAGCTGAGATCACCGCATTGAACTCCAGCCTGGGCAACCAGAACAAAACTCCATCGCAAAAACAAAACAAAACAAAACAAAACCAAAAAAGGTTCTCATAATTTATCCACTGTGAGAGAGCTGGAAATGCCTGGTCTCCCTTGGTTTAATGTAGAGGAAGGGACCCAAAGGCTTAGGAAGATTGGAATGCTATAGTGGATTCATGACCTTAGATCTACTCATCCCAGCTGGGATGGTCCAGAAGACACACCCTTTACCAATACTTTGTGAAATAGATCTGTGAGGGGAGCACCTGCATCCTTGAAGAGCTCTGTGATTGCTCCTATCTGTATACCAGATCTTACAGTGGAAATTGCAGTCACTCAATTAGACAATTTAAATGCAATGGGAATAATTGGATCCCAAGGTGACAGGGGCCATGTGACAGCACTCAGTCATCAGAGGCAATGTGGACGTAGTTACTGTGATGAACAGCAGAGGCAAGGCAGCAATCAGAATAGTCTGACTCATGTAGAGCTCTGGCATTGGCTAATTAATCACGGTGTTCCTAGAAGTAAAATTGATAGGAATCCCACTGCATTCTTACTTAATTTGTATAAGCAGAGAACTTCCAGGTCAACTGGAAGAAAGGCTAATTTCAATTATGAAAATAGAGAATCACAGCCCCTCAATTTCCAGACATGAACCAGTTTATACACCCAGAACCCTTTGAATGAAAGGGAGGCTGGATCCCTTAAAGAAGGACCCAACTCCACTACCAACAATTTATACTGTTAATCTTTTCCAATCCTTCCCAAGGAGACCTCCAGCCTTTTACCAGGGTAACTGTGCATTGGGGAAAGGTAAATGATCAGAACTTTTTGGAACTATTTGACACTGGCTCTGAGCTGATATTGATTCCGGGGGACCCAAAATGTCACTGTGGTCCTCCAGTTAAAGTAAGGGCTTATGGAGGTCAAGTAATTAATGGAGTTTTAGCTCAGGTCCAACTTACAGTGCATCCCCGGACTCATCCTGTAGTCATTTCCCTAGTGCCAGAATGCATAATTAGCAAAGACATACTTAGCAGTTGGCAGAATCCCCACATTGGCTCCCTGATTGGTAGGGTGAGGGCTAAAATGGTGGGAAAGACCAAATGGAAGCCATTAAAGCTGCCTCTACTTAGAAAAATAGTAAATCAAAAACAATATCACATCGCTGGTGGGATTGCAAAGATTAGTGCTACCGTCAAGAACTTGAAAGATGCAGGGGTCGTGATTCCTACCACATCCCCATTCAACACTCCTACTTGGCCTATGCAGAAGACAGATGGATCTTGGAGAATGACAATGGATTATTGCAATCATAAGCTTAACCAAGCAGTGACTCCAATTGCAGCTGCTGTACCAGATGTGGTCTCATTGCTTGAACAAATTAACACATCTCCTGGTACCTGGTATGCAGCCATTGACTTGGCAAATGCCTTTTTCTCCATTTCTGTCTATAATGCCCACCAGAAGCAATTGGCCTTCAGCTGGCAAAGCTAGCAATATACCTTTACTGTCCTACCTCAGGGATATATCAACTCTCTGGCTTTGTGTCATAATCTTGTTCACAGGGATCTTGATTGCTTTTCTCTTCCACAAGATACCACCCTGGTCCATTACATTGATGACATTATGCTGACTGAAACCAATGAGCTAGAAGTAGCAAACACATTGAACTTATTAGTAAGACATTTGCATCTTACCAATGTATGGGAAATGGGAAATAAATCTGACAATGTATGGGAATTACCCATGCCATTAACAGTGTATGGGAACGGAAAATAAATCCAACTAAAATACAGGGAATTTCTACCTCAGTAAAATTTCTAGGGGGTCCAATGGTGTGGGGCCTGTTGAGATATTTCTTCTAAAGTGGAGAATAAGTTGCTTCATTTGGCGCCTCCTACAACCAAGAAAGAGTCACAATGCCTAGTGGGCCTATTTAGATTCTGGAGGCAACACATTCCACATTTGGGTGTGTTACTCAGGCCTGTTTATTTGAGTGACCTGAAAGGCTGCCAGTTTTGAGTAGGATCCAGAACAGGAGAAAGCTTTGCAACAGGTCCAGACTGCTGTACAAGCTGCTCTGCTACTTGGGCCATATGATCCGGCAGATCAAATGGTCCTTGAGTTGTCAGTGGCAGATAGCCATGCTGTTTGGAGCCTTTGGCAGGCCCCCATAGGTGAATCACAGTGGAGGCCTCTAGGATTTTGGAGCAAGGCCCTGCCATCTTCTGTAGAAAACTACTGTGATTTTTAGAGACAGCTCTTGGCCTGTTACTGGGCTTTCGTAGAAACTGAACGTTTGACTGTGGGTCATCAAGTCACCATGTGACTTGAACTGCCTATCATGAACTGGGTGCTTTGTGACCCATCTAGCCATAATATTGGGCGTGCACAGAAGCATTCCATCATCAAATGGAAGTGGTATATACGTGATCAGGCTCAAGCAAGTCCTGAAGGCACAAATAAGTTACATGAGAAAGTGTCTCAAATGCCCATGATCCCCACTCCTGCCACCCTGTCTTCTTTCCCCCAGCCTACATCAATGGCCTCATGGGGAGTTTCCTATGATCAGTCAACAGAAGAGAAGACGAGGGCCTGGTTTACAGATGGTTCTGCATCATATGCAGGCACCACTCGAAAGTGGACCGCTGCAGCACTACAGCCCCTTTCTAGAATATTCCTGAAGGACAGTGGCAAAGGGAAATCTTCCCAGTGGGCAGAACTTTGAGCAGTGCATCTGTTTGTGCACTTTGCAATGAAGAAGGAATGGCCAGATGTGTGATTATATACCGATTCATGGGCTGTAGCCAATGGTTTGACTGGATGGTCAGGGACTTGGAATAAGCATGATTGGAAAATTGGTGACAAAATTTGGAGAAGAGGTATGTAGGCAGACCTCTCTGGTCAAAAACTGTGAAGATATTTGTATCCCATGTGAGTGCTCACCAATGGGTGACCTCAGCAGGGGAAGATTTTAGTAATCACTGGATAGGATGATTCATTCTGAGGACACCACTTAGCCTCTTTCCCCAGCCACTCCTGTCATCACCAAATGGGCCCATGAACAAAGTGGCCATGGTGGCAGGGATGAGGTTACACATGGGCCCAGCAACATGGACTTCCACTTACCAAGGCTGACCTGGCTACGGCACTGCTGGGTGTCCAGTTTGCCAGCAGCAGAGACCAACACTGAGTCCTCAATATGGCACCATTCCTCAGGGTGATCAACCAGCTGCTTGGTGGCAGGTTGATTATATTGGACTTATTCCCTCATGGAAAGGGCAGCACTTTGTCCTCACAGGAACAGACAGTTACTCTGGATATGGGTTTTCCTATCCTGCCTGCAATGCTTCTGCCAAGACCACCATCCATGGACTCACAGAATGCTTTATCCACCATCATGATATTTCACATACCATTGCCTCTGACCAAGGCACTCACTTTATGGCTAAAGAAGTGTGGCAATGGGCTCGTGCTCATGTAATTCACTGGTCTTACCATGTTACCCATCATCCTCAAGCAGCTGGATTGATAGAATGGTGGTATGGCCTTTTGAAGTCACAATTACAATGCCAACTAGATGACAATACTTTGCAGGGCTGGGGCAAAGTTCTCCAGAAGACTGTGTATGCTCTGAATCCGCATCCAATATATGGTACTGATTCTCCCATAGCCAGGATTCACGGGACCAGGAATCAAGGGGGTGGAAGTGGAATTGGCACCACTCACCATCATCCCTAGTGATCCATTAGCAAAATTTTTGCTTCCTGTTTCCATGACATTACTTTCTGCTGACCTAGAGATCTTAGTTCCAGAGGGAGGAATGCCAATGATTCCATTAAACTGGAAGTTGAGATTGCCACCTGGCCACTTTGGGATCTTCCTACCTTCAAATCAACAGGCTAAGAAGGGAGTTACAGTGTTGGGGACTATCAAGATGAAATCAGTCTACTACTCCACAATGGAGGTAAGGAAGAGTAAGTGTGGAATACAGGAGATCTCTTAGCGTGTCTTTTAGTATTACTATGCCCTGTGATTAAGGTCAATGGGAAACTATAACAACCCAATCCAGGCAGGACTACAAATGGCCCCGACCCTTCAGGAATGAAGGTTTGGGTCACTTCACCAGGTAAAAAACAATGACCTGCTGAGATGCTTGCTGAAGGCAAAGGAAATACAGAATAGGTACTAGAAGAAGGTAGTCATCAATACCAGCTACAACGACATGACCAGTTGTAGAAATGAAGACTGTAATTGTCATGAGTATTTCCCTCTTATTTTGTTAAGAACATGTTTGTTCATGTATACACTCGTAATAAGAAAATATCTTCATTTTATTTCCTTTCCCCTTTATCTTGTGACATACGATTTATTGACTTCATATCAGCATTTGAGTATTGCTAACTTTGTGTAACAATATTTAGGTTAAGGATTAGTGTGCTTCTGGTTGTACAAAGGATAGCTGTATTATGCTAGGCCTAATTATGACCTTATTATTGCCTTTATTTGAAGATTACGTATGATTTCAGGGGATGTTTATGGGTTCAAGTTGACAAGGGTGGACTTGTGATGGTTAATATTGTCAACTTGATTGGACTGAAGGATACAAAGTATTGTTCCTGTGTGTGTCTGTGACAGTGTTGCCAAAGGAGATTAACTTTTGAGTCAGTGGACTGGGAGAGGTGTACTTACCCTCGATCTGGGTGAGCACCATCCAATCAGTTGCCAGTACAGCTAGAATAAAAGCAGGCAGAAGAATGGGAAAGGACTGGACTTACTGAGTCTTCTGGCCTTCATCTTTCTCCCATGCTGGATGCTTCCTGCTCTCGAACACCAGACTCCAATTTCTTCAGCTTTTGGACTTGTGGACTTATACCAGAGATTTGCAAGGAGCTCTTGGGCCTTTGGCCACAGACTGAAGGCTGCACTGTCGGCTTCTCTACTTTTGACATTTTGGGACTCAGACTGGTTTCCTTCCTCCTCAGCTTGCAGACGGCCTATTGTGAGACTTCACCTTGTGACTGTGTGAGTCAATACTCATTAATAAACTCCCCTTCTTATATACATCTCTCTTATTAGTTCTGTCCCTCTAGAGAACCCTAACCCACTATCCTAGCCTAAAACACCTTTATGTCTCCGAGAATTGCTGCAATAGCCAAACTTGTCTTCCTGCATCTACTCTTCCAACAACATAAAGTCAGTTCAGGAAAGTGACAGTGTGTTCCTGTAAAACTTGAAAGTAGTTCATATTGCTCCACTGTTCTAAACCCTGCAAGTGGCTTCCAAAAGAATTTAGAAGTGGGACTCCTTTTACGATCTACTTGACTTTACCTAATACCCTGTCAAGGCCCTTGATTTCAACTCTATACATTCTTTTCTTCCCTCCTTCTCTTCCATCTATAGCCAAACTTGGTCTTAGGGGCCTTGTTCTCACCATTCCCTTTGTCTGTAAAGATATTCCTACAGAAATCATTGTGCTTCACTCCCTCTTGTCATTTACATCTCTGTTCAAATTTACTTTCTCAGAGATGCGTTTAACCATTCTAAGTCAAATAGTCCTCCCTCAAGTTACTATCAAGCTCTTCATTTTGCTGACTTATTTTCATTACCTGAAATTACATGTTTCCTTGGTTATTTGTTTAAAATCTGTTTCCCTCATGAGATTATATATCATAAAGCCAAGACTTTTAAGATACTGAATTAACTTTAATTTTTTTAAATTAAAATTTTATTTAAGTTTGCAATTATAGCTTTAAGCTGAGGGTTTAGAACCTGTATATTATGCAAAAAAATTAACTTTTTAAATAAGTGCATTGGAAATAAAGAATGTTATACAGTGCTTTCATTCCAAAATATCAGTCACATTTTTTATGATGTCTGAATTGCCTAACCCTTGTGAGGCCCTTTCATCTGTTCCGCATTAATTTTCTTATTTACAAGCACTTTATTGACAGTGAGAGGGCAGATACTCAAAGCCCTATTCTTTATCATTCATCCTCTCCTGTGAAATTTGGCACCACTCACCTGTTCAAACTTTTGTCCTACCTGGACTCCTAGACTTTTCCTGATACCCTTTCCCTGCAACTGACACCAGATTAGTAAAATGTGGGGATCAGTTTAGGCTTAATGACCAGCTAGGAATTCCGTGGGGACTACAGCAGCTGTCTTAGAACCATTTAAATTTTTAAAGGTTTTCAATCTTTTATTTTACACCTATTAATTTTGGACTCTTTGTTTATTTATAACTAAATGAAAATCCAACACTCCTTCCCTCATTTTACCCCCCAAAACGGAACACATTGAGATCACTGCTGGCATTCAAACTTAATTAGGTCAGGCGCAGTGGCTCACGCCTGTAGTCCCAACATTTTGGGAGCCTGAGGTGGGTGAATCACTTGAGGCCAGGAATTCTAGACTAGTCTGCCCAACATGGTAAACCCCATCTCTACCAAAATACAAAAATTAGCCAGGTATGGTGGCACGTGCCTGTAATCCCACCTGCTCGGGAGGCTGAGGTAGGAGAATCGTTTGACCCTGGGAGGTGGAGGTTGCAGTGAACTGAGATCACGCCACTGCACTCCAGACTGGGTGACAAAGGGAGACTCCATCTCAAAAAAAAAGTTTCCTTAATCACTGACTTTCAAGTCTTACTTCTCAATATTCTCATATAGACATTTTAGAATATCCCAATCAGAAATATTCTGATATTCTAAATTGACCTATAAGAAATGTTTTCTGGGCATCTAATAGGTAGAAAAATCACCAGATACAGGATAACAGATTGATGAAAGAAAATTTTAAAAATTAAAACAAACACACATTTTTATAATTCACTAGAATGTGAAGGAAGTTGTGGGTGCATACATGAATAAAACTGGTCTTGAGATGATAATTTTCAAATTGAGTAATAGATATATGATGGTTTAATATTCTATTTTCCCTCCTTTATATACATATAAAGCAGATATATACGTAGGTATGTGCAATTAATTGGTTCTCAGTTACCCACTTGATACTCATATATTCTAAATGTTAAATAGAAGGGCTTTAGAACCACTACATGTTTACTTATATTACTATCTACACAATTGAATGAATATTTATCTTTGCATTTGTATGTTTTAAGTTAGGTAGCCCTTGAAATTCACCATTTGTAAGAATGTATATGATTTTGTATGCCATATGATATGCAGAAAAAATTTAAGAAATCAGAATTACTTGGTAAATATTTTTAGGTGTTTGCCTGAAGCATTGGGATGCACTTACAAGGAATGTTAAATCATAATATTGTCTCAGAATGTTTTCATTTGTTTTAATTAGGTAACAATTATTGTTAAGTCACATCACACTCTGGGGAGTGTTGTGGGGTGGGGGGAGGGGGGAGGGATAGCATTGGGAGATATACCTAATGCTAGATGACGAATTAGTGGGTGCACCACACCAGCATGGCACATGTATACATATGTAACTAACCTGCACATTGTTCACATGTACCCTAAAACTTAAAGTATAATAATCAAATAAAATAAAATAAAAATAAAGGCAAAATCTTCAAAAAAAAAAAAAAAACAATTATTGTTAAGTCACTAAAGAAGTTTCAAAAATGAGTGATACATTTAAAGATAAGGTAAAGTTCTTACCTGCATATGGTTTATAATGGGAAGAAAGAAAATGATATACTACTGTGTTTAAATAGGAGGATGGGGAGAGAAGGAGAAAAAGGGAAGGGATATCCATGAATATTTATAAAATAATAGGGACTCTACTCAGTGGCTGCACTAATTCCCTAGGGCTTCCTTTAAAAAGTCACACAAACAGCAGCATTTGGTTGTTTTATAGTTCTGGAGTCTAGAATCCCAAAATCAAGGCATCGGCAAGGGCACCTTCACTCTGAAACCTGTAGAGAGATCTTTTTCTTGCCTCTTCCTAGCTCCTGAAAGATTGCTGGCAATCTTTAATATCCTTTTGCTGGCATTTGCCTAACTTCAATCTTTGCCTTTGCCCTCATTTGGTGTTCTCCTTGTGGTCTCTGTGTCTTCTTTTATAAGGGTGCCAGTCATATTGGATTAGGGGCCTATCCTACTCCAGTATCGCCTCATCGGAATTTAACTATTCCTATAGGTAAAGACCCTATTCCTATTTCCGAATAAGTTACTGGGGGTTAAGACTACAACATCCCTTATTTTTTTTTCTTTCTGGTGGGAAGAGCACAATTCAACTATAACAGTGGCTTATGGGAAATATTAATAGAAGCTTATTAATTGGATGGAAAGATTACATGACAGTAGATATACAATAAAAGTTTTCCCAAATGAGTAAAACTGTATAGATGTATCTTGAGTAAAGTAAGAATATTGACAGATGGAGAAACCAAAGATTTTGTTTGGAAATCTGTGATTAATACAAGTAGACTAGAGAATAAGATGTGTTTGGATATCAGAAGGGGAAGGATGAAAACTTGAGTTAGGTGTATTTTAAGAATAGACTTCATTATCAGAACAATGAAAAATGGTATTCAATTCTCTAGATCATGTATAATCTATACATGCTACATAAGAGGTTGATGTGACTGGATCTGTGTGTAAAAGTCAAATCAATGTAGTAGCATTTTGTTGCTAAGTTGGAATGCATAGAGTGCAGGCAGCTGGAGTTAAGTCCAGGTTAGAGAAAAGACACCCTGGATAAAGTTATGGAAATGGCAATTAAAAGAAAGTGCCATTTTTTAAATCCATAATTGAATTTCTTTATAATAGAATTGAAATAAACTATTCATTTTTATTCCAAGCACATTTTCCTTTTTGTTTAAAGACAAATGACAAAACTCATAAGTCATTTTCCAACATTTGGTGTTTATATTGTCTCTGGAAAGATTCACACCAATTGCGTCAAAGCAGTTAACTTAAAATTATTGCAGATGTACTGTAGTTGGAGATCACGTTATTAAACTTAAAGAAGTTCCGTCTTCCTATATAGTGTTAAACTTTATTTTGTAAAAGTTGCAGTTTAAAAATACCTTTTTTGTTTTTATACGAAGCAAATTGTACACTGAAATGTTTTCTTCTTAGGAAAAAAGCATTCTAAAAATATAGTTAAGGAAGCATTTCACCAAGTCAAGAAAAATATATTTAGTTTCAGCTAAAAATAAATGTGTCCAAATGAAAACTGCATGCCAAACAATAACTTACAAATGTATTCATTCGTTCAAAAAAGTTTTATTGACTACCTATTATAATTAAACAACTACATCCAGCTAAGTTAGGACGTTTAAAAAAAGAAAAGCTTTCCAATGTGGTCTCTTCTTTAAAATTCCTCGTATTGAATAAATTAATGTATGATTCTTACCAAAATAAGTATTATTCAAGGACAAGAGTGATTGTTTATACAAGTGGTATAAATAAAGTGTTTGTAGCAGACGGTGTGTGCTGCTAATCCAATAGTACCACCAACACTTCATTTGTCTTTATCATCAGAACCCTTCTACCATTCAGGTATCAGAAAGCTACCTTCTATTTGATCTTTATTAGTCCAAGGCCATGTACTCACAGTAATTTTATTCACCCTCTTAAGAGATAGTCATGTGAATGGCCATGTGATAATTCTAGCAAATAATATATGACTCTGTCGGACATGTCTGGGAAAATTCATCCTCACTCTTAAAAACAAACACAAGAAAAGGGGCATACCTTCTTTTATCCTTGTGACTTTTCAAAGGCCTCATTTTCACTTTATGCCTGGATCTATGGCAGCCATTTGGGATCATGAGGTTTGCTAAGACTATAAGGATGGCAGAGTAGAAAAATGGAGAGAAACTGAATCCTTAATGATTTAAGCTAATAAATTAATCAACCATAGAAGAATCCCAACCTACCTTGGGATTTCTCATTATGTGCAATGCTATATTTTTATGATTTAAAAATCAGTTTTATTTTGTGGAAGATCAGTGACATGGAGCTAAAAGCCCTTGCACTAAAGCAGTTTAAAATAGATGACACTGGGGCTAGTTATTAAAGAATCATTACAATTTCAATGTATGCTGAAGTTGCAGGAGAGATAGGAGCTGTTTTAGAAAGGCAAAAGGTCTGAGCCATGCACTAGAAATCTCAATGTCAAATGATTATGTGAAAAACAGAATCCATTTTATTTATTTGATTGTATAGTTAACCTCAATTAATGAGAAGAAAATAGTGCTTTCCATTTTCATTTCTACATTTATTTTTTGCTCTAAACCTTTCAAGTTCATGTTGACTTAAAAACTAAACATGACCTTATAGGTGTTGTGTGCATGGTAAATGATATAGATAAGTTCTTTTATGTGTCTTTTATCTTGTTCTTTGTTATTTATTTAACTACATTTTAAGACCTATCGTTTAGTACTTTACAGAGAATATCCAAAACTGTGCACAAGAAGGCATCACATACCAAGACATAAAGCATAAATTCTATTATGGAAAATGATTAAATAAGCAAGAATCAAGCAAAATCTAAACGTTTTAATTTCTAAGGTTAGTTTATTATTAAGTCTTTAAAACGGTCATTACTGTCAGGTTCATTGCTTTATTCTGTTCTTTAAAAAAATCTGCGTACAATTTTTTGAACACAAATATCCTTTATACTTGGACTTTCTTAGATACCCAGAAATCCAATTAAGTTCTGGGAGATTAAAATAGGATATTAATCTAAGCTACTTAAGAGACCTAAGGACCTGGCTACACTTTTCTGACAATACTTTTCAACTCAGCTTACCTCTGTAAATAACATATATACTCTGCAATAAATATTATTATGAAGAATGAAAGAGGTTTAGGGAGGCTGAGGTGGGGCACATAGGGAGGGCTGACATTCTGGTGACATCAGGCCAAAGCTGCTGATTATTTCTGTGGGCCTTTCATAGTCTCTCTTGTTTTTAGTAAAGCCATGTGTGCCTGCAAACGATGTATAATATGTGTTATTTCTGGATGAATGCACTTAATTATCTCTAAAAATCATTTCACCAACAGATGTCTCCTCCTCCTTTTCCTTGCACTAATCATTCTCTGCAGTTGCAAACTTTTTTTTTTCTTTTTTTTTTCCTGAGTCCTTGTGTTCCCTCTCTTCTTCTTTCTGAAGGATTTCTCCCCCAAGGCAATTTTCCCCTCTCAAAATCAAAATGTGAAGCAGCATAAAAGACATCATAAAAGCTTTGAAAATGTTCCCTGGTGCATATTTTAATATAAGTACCAGATTTGTCTAAACAAAGAAAATGAATTTTCATCATTTTAGTAATTTTTGCAATGGAATCACCATTCAAATTTATCAATGTATTTATCCCTTATTTGTTTATCCATGTAAGTGTGGTTATACATCTTTATTTTGACAGTAATTAGAAAATGAAAAGAACTGTACCAAATGTTATTGTTATTCATTTTCATTTCTAGATCTCATTTTATGAATCACACCAATTAAATTGTTTAGATGTTAGGATACCCAAGGCTTATTGGGATAGATCCCTAGCCCAAGTTCCAACTCTCTAGAAAAACAAGCAAATAGGTCATCTGGGTTTAGCAATGAAAATAAAGCCAATTGTGATTGCACTTATATTATAATTTTATTTGGTCATAAGCCAATATTACTATTCCCTTTTGGATTTCATAAAATCTTGGCTCATTTGAAATGATTATGGTAGACATGTTTGCCTTCTAATGTATTATTCAACTAAAGATTTGATATGTACAATAAAATCAAAGCCACTTAAGTATTTGGAAATGACTGAATGAAAATAGAGGGCTGTTTGTGTATGAAGAAAACACACTTAAACCTGCCAATTTTTATGGTTGCTTTAATTAAGGATGGAGTTTTAAATTTCACAAATTTAAATTTCACCTTTTTAGTCATCAACTCAGGTAGTTTGTATTCAATGGGTTCTTAAGTTGAAATGCCCATATATTGCTCTGATAACCTTTCCTTTCCTCTTTCTTTTTTCTTTATGCATATCAAGAGCCTACAAACAGCGATGCTCATTCTAGAAGAAGTCCTAGTATTTTTAGTTTAAAAAAATTCCTGAGGTGATGGTTCCTATGTATAATTCCAGTGAAGAATTACTAAAGTGTACATCTTGGCCTAAGAAAGTTATGAGCAGGGTAGATCTATTTTTCTTTGATAGAATGCTTTCAAAAGTATCATTAGATTTTGGAAAGACTGCAGCCTTTTCAAATTAGAGTCTACTCAAAAAAGGGCTCAAAAAGTATTAGCCAATTTGAGGAATAAAAATCCAATTGGAGACTCTAGTGGAATTCAAATGTATTATAGTATGTTTGATGTGACTTACATAGGGATGAGTGTGACCTTGAGAATATCATTTACATTTCACATGCAATTATTTTTATCTTCCCGCATAATTAGTTTATTTAATTATTCTTTGAGCTCTAATATTCTGTGATATCTTGATATCTGTACTCTATCCAATAGACTGAATAATTTTTTAAAAACATTTTTATTTTTCAAAAAAGATGAGAAAAAACATATATAATGGAAGATTTAAATAAATTAAATATTGGAGACAATGAAGATTAAGGCAAAAGACCAACACTGTCAACATCAAGTCAAAAAATCTCTTTTATTGTCCATCAATTCCTGCCTCCAGGCTCCTTAGAAGCCATTGTGTTTAAATAAATGCAATCATAATATTTAGAGTAGTGATCTTTATAGTGGAATGCCTTAAAAATACTAGCACTTTCAATTATTTTAACACATTCATATCCTACTGCTCATTTTAGTGTATGCTTTATGATTTTAATAATATATTTATCATATGGATGTAAATAAATAAGTAAATAAATAAATAGGCATAATTGTTTCAAAAATTTGACATAACTCTGTTTGGAAGATACTGCTGTATGAAAAAAAGTACCAGTTTTTGAGCAAAGATAATGTTCTAGAAGACTCAAGTGCTGAGAGAAATACAACGTGCAAAGTAACACTTAGGTCAGGAAGCATAAATACCTTCAAGAGTGAACCAGGTAACACAAATGTTTAGAGCAGCTTGCCTCGAGATAGCAGGGTGTCATGGCCCTATGAGATAGGAATGGCACCCTGACTAAATGTATATATATTACATATAATATAACACATATTTATATATTATATATAATTATATGTAAGTATATATTTATCTAAATAAATATAGCTTTTATATATTATATAATATATACTTGTATATAACTATATATGATATATAATTATATAGTATATATTTAATACATTCAATTACATATATAATGTTTTATATATTATATAAATAATTTTATATATAGTAGTAGTCCTTCACTAGGGTTATATGTTATAAAACATACTACATATATCTAATTTTCATATATCTAATTTTTAATATATATATTATACATACACATATATACATATGCACATATATGTAGTGATTCTTCATCAGGGTTACATTTAATGTTATAAAACATTATTTAAAGCTGAGTGTGGTGGATTGCACCTGTAATTCCAGCTACTTGGGAGGCTGAACTGAGAGGATCTCCTGAGGCCAGGAGTTTGAGAACAGACTGGGAAACATAGCGATACCCTATCTGTAAAACAAAAGAGAGAGAGAGAATAAGTGGGTATGGTGGGACACCTGAAGTCCCAGCTACTAGGAAATCTGAGGTGAGAGGCTTGCATAATCCCAGGAGGTTGGGGCTGCAGGGAGCTATGATCACTCCATTGCACTACAGCCTGGGCAACAGAGTGACACTTTGTCTCTACAATAAAGAAATAAAACATTATATATATCTAATATATAAAAACATTTTGACTGTATCAAACTTTATATAATATATAAATTAAATATTATTTTTTAGTTACCAAACAAAACATCTGCAGGCTCAAGGGTTAGACTTTGCTATCTGTTGAAATACATAGTGCCTTCAGCAATGATTTCAGAACAAATGAAGAAATCATAAGCTTCTTCAGTTAGTGACTTCATTCAAAGTTTATAGGACAATATTAAAATACAATTTTGTAAACATGATTGAAAAAATATAGCTAAAGATTTTTTTATTCTGTTGATATTTTCATAGAAACCAGAATATAGTCAAATAAAGTTATGCTCTCTATCATGGATCTAAAGTAAAGGTATCTTGTAAAATTGTATAAGATTACATTTATAAGGAAAGGAAGTCAAGTAGTAGTTAGGAGAAAAAAACTTATTGTGAGCATTGACTATCTTTCCATATATAAGTTCCTGTGTTCTCTTCAAGGAGACAGGTGACAGAAGTACACAAACCTCCTTTAGAAGAAATATTTTTATATTATCTATAAATTAAATAAAATCTGGTTTGATATGAAAACAATGGCATATCATAGGCTGTGACAGAGGATCTGAATATTTTTCAGGGCAAATGTTGCAGGTATGATGGAAAGGGCCACAAGCCAAGGAATGAGGATAGCCTTTAGAAGCAGAAAAGGAAAGGAAATAGATTCTCATCTAGAGCCTCTACAAAGGAATGAGCTCTGCTGACACCTTGACCTTAGCTAATGAGGCCCATTTTCTGGAGAATTTGTGATTTCCAAAACTGAAGGTAATACATTTATGTTGTTTTAAGCTATTAAATTTGTTATTATTTGTTACAACCACAATAGGAAATTAATACAGCATTCTTGAGAACCTCTAATATAATCCTTTCCTTCCATTTGGATTTCTAGACTAAATTTGTCAAGGAAACGGCCAGGCATGGTGGCTGATGCCTGTAACCCCAGGACTTTGGGAAGCTAAGGCAGTAGGATTGCTTGAGCCCAGAAGTTTGAGTCTGCAGTGAACTATGACTCACCACTGCCTTCCAGCCTGGGTGACAGAGTGAGACCCTGTCTCAGGAAAAAAAAATAAAAGCAACAGTTATATTTTCTATACTTCTGTAATTTTCTATATAATTCTTTCTCATCTGCTGGCAGTATTATGACTTTTATGCAAATCTGATGTCTCTCATTTTTTCTACCTGGCATACTTTTATTGTGTATGAGTTTAAATAATAGTGTATGTTTTTCTCTCAAAGTATACATTTTTGGGTTTTACACAAAAATTTCTTTCAATTACTGTATTGTATCACTTTATTTTGTGGCAGTTTTTTAAATTGTTTCTGTAGAGGACACTCATATATAAACCAGTATCCTTTGATTTCCCATCTTCTCACATTCAGTAACACGTGCTTATTCTATTTATTCTTGGATTTTGAGTTGGTGATTTAGCAAGCTATCCTTTGCACGTACACTGAGAATTATTATTTAAATTAATGTAGTCTCTCAAAATGAAGAAAATTATACATAGTGATATGAATTTGTTTATACTTTTTTCTGAAATTTAACACATTGTTTTATAATATAAATGTTGGCATCCCACAATAACCCTTAGTGAAGTTGTTGATTCTTCAATTATAGTATTTGGAAGCAGAATGAAAATGACCTGGATGAAAAGAAAAATAAACAGATGTTCATATGATGTTAGTTAGTTCCCCCCAAAAAAGGCTTCCTAGGAAAGTATTTAACCCAGGGAAATTAAAGTTAGAAGGTTTGATCAAAGACCTATCACTCCCTATTGGAAAAATGAAGATTTGTTGCATTGTCACTGGAGAGAAGACTGGAGGTAGTCACTCAGAGCTAATTGTGTGTGCCGTATTTAATAAGGTTGGTGCCTAATGGACTTCATCACAGGGAAGTCTTTATTGCCCAAGAGACCTTGACATCAGAAACATTATTGGAAGGGTTTCTGTCTACACATGTAGCCAGCTATTTACCTGCCCAGAGTTAACCTAAGATTTTTTTCAAAAGGTTGATTGGTTCAGCCATTACTTTGATTTCCTGTCTCCTGTCACCTTTTGCAGTAATCACATAAGTAGTTTTTGTTGTTTTTTTTTGTTTTAGCAACCTGGAATAAGAAAATAGTTTTTCATTTGTACTAAGAGGTGTTTTTCATTAAACAACCTGATCAAAGTTTCTATTTTCAATTTATATGCTAATAAAGTATACTTTAGAACTTATAAACATGCATTACCCAGTGGGATTTTATTCCTGGATCCAACATAATCTATGGGGTCAGAGGATCTCTTCAGATTAAAAGAGTTAGAGGAAAGTGGTTGTCAATTGAAAAGTATGAGGCCATATGCACAATGAGGTAGAGGATTAGAGCAATTAATAATAAATTAAAGAAAGGTTAGAACAAAATGCAGATAGGGCAAACATAACATATATATTTTTTGGCATTAATTATCCAGAATTCTTTATTCTAAGAATGTTTTATATCATATGATTGGTGTAAGTGTTGCTTATCTCTTGAAAATTCTCTTACATTTTTTGTTTCTATTATGTATATATAACTTACTGTAATGCATAATAGGTATTACTTTGGTCAAATTAAGTAAGTTTTGTAAAACCAGCTATGTCTACAATGATTTTCTGAGATGATCTCTGATTATAATCTCTGCTTTTGGTAGTGAACCTAAAGAATTTCTGAAATATAGAGAACAGTGTTTGTTTTTATGCGAGTGTTGTTCTCAGGAAAATCTGATGGGCTTGACATGAGAAATTGATTAAAGGAAAACCAATAGACAGGTCAATAAAATTTGTATGAAGAAGCTTACAATTGACATTCTACCCAAATAGGCATAATATAGTTATGGTTAAATTAGACATTTTATTTAAAAAATACTGTACAGTACAGAAAAATATCAGCAATTGATTGGAATGCCATCTGGTGAGACATACAGAGACCTTGGGAAAGTAGAGACAGTGAGTTAGCAGAAGCTATGAGTAAACTAAAGCCATGAGCTAGAAGAATTCATAAGCAAACCAAATTCAGAAACCAAAAGATACATATAATCAGGTCGCTGGAATCTGTTGACAGCAGCAGAGGCTGGAGAAACATAAACAGAAGTTGAATGTCCCAAATAAAGTTCTCCAGATAATTCCTGCTGATAGAATAGTCACGGGTAGCAGGAGCAGATGAGTGAAAGACGTAGTATATCATTGAATTCTGTGATTAGCAGCAATTCATAAAACTACTGTATATGTGGGTGCTTTGCATGGAGATTTTTCTTCTCAATTTGATACATTTATGGTTTTGAAAATAAAAGTGCTTTCAGACACACATGAAAGATCATCACTCAGGGTGGATAATCCACATTTTATTCTGGACCTTCTTTCATTAGATGATTCTCACTCAAAATTGAAGATTTTTTTCCTATGTATTATTAAACCATCTGATAAAAAACTTATGCATTCCCCTTCTAATTTATGCTGAAGTAGCTCAGTGAACTAAAGCCCTACACTGCCATATTATTGTATTATTTACAGAGATGTATGGAGTAAATCAGTGTGTGTGCATATGATTGTGTGAGGCATGCTGTTATAAGCAATCCTAGTGATTCCTAATTTAAATTATTTATATTAAAATATTTTCAAGACATTCCTGTGATAGACATTCCTACTATTCAGTAATATTCAATTTATTTCTTATGGGCAGACAGATAAATTGTGATGCGGTAGGGAAGTGCTGGGAAGGGAAGAGTATGGTCCCTTTAAATGATACGGAAGGGGGAAGGGCGTGGTCTCTGGCTAGGGCTCCACCCCCGTAGACCTAGGTGAGGACAGGCATTTTTGTTTTCCTGCCCAAATGTTGCATTTTCCCGAGACCACCCTGGCCTGCCGTGCCCCCTATGAAAACCCAAGACCCTAGCAAGGCAGAGACGCAGGTGGCTGGACGTTGAGAGGTGCACACCAGCAGAGGAACACACGGGCAGCTGGATGTTGAGAGGAACACTGACTGGCACGGGCACTCAGGTAGGCCATTGACTGGCAGAAGCAGAACACGGTGGAGTTTGGCTGGGGCAGTCGGAGGAGAGCCCAGGCCGCTGAGCAGCCCGACGAAAACCTTCCCACTGGCTTCTGGCTTCCCCAATCTGCTGAGTGCTACCTCCACTCAATAAAACCTTGCACTCATTCTCCAAGCCCAGGTGCGATCCTATTCTTCCGGTACACCAAGACAAGAACCCAGGTTACAGAAAGCCCTCTGTCCTTGTGACAAGGCAGAGAGTCTAATTGAGCTGGTTAACATAAGCCGCCTATAGACGGCAAAACTAAAAGAGCACACGGTAGCACGTGCCCTCTGGGGCTTCAGCTATAAACATCCACTCTAGACACTGCCCTGGGGTCAGAGCCCCACAGCCTGCCGGCTGTATGCCCCGCAAGAGGTTTGAACCTCTGTTGCTCCCCAAGAGGTGTGAGCAGCGGGGCACTGAAGAAGCCAGCTACTTCCCCTGTCGCACGCCTTGCGAGGGGGACAAGGCAACTTTTCCTGTTTCAGTTGCACCTATCTACGTGAAGAGAGATGTGGTCAATGACTTTGACCTAAAGTTATACATATCAATTTTAGATGGAAATATTTAATTATCAAAGATCAACTCCAACTTGTTTTTTCTTCCTCGTCACGGACATAGTGTTACAGGTTAGCATATAGGTAAAATATCCAGTACATGAAGAAGAACTGTACTGTATGGTTGCTCAGAACATTCACTGGCTGCACAAATGAGAAATACATCTCTGTTATTTTAAGCAACTGAGATTTTGGGGTTCTTTGCTATCCTGATGTAGTCTAATCTATCCTGACACAGCCCTAAAGGAAGGGAACCATTACTAAATTTTTTGAGTATTAAATACAGCAGCTTTTGTCAGGTGAGGTTTATCTCCCAAATGTTTTCTTACTTTAGGGAGGAATTTCAAAAGATAACAGATTTATGTTCTCTTTATCAGACAAAAGTTGTTAATGTCACATTATTTTATAAGTAGTAATAGTAATTTATATTCTAGCCCTTCAGAACACTATGTTAAAATAAAATAATCTCATTTGTAATTCAGCAGATTTTGTTTGCCTAATGTTCATGACTACGTAAATAGATTGCATACTATTTCTTGAAGAATATTAAAGTGTTAATTTACAGATGCAAGTTTAACACATCAGATGTGTAAAATGTTTCCATGCTTTACTCTGTTATTTAACCTTTTATTCTGTATGAATTTGTAATAATCTTAGCTGGAAATGTTCAGTAAATAATTTTTGCTTCTTATCAGTTCAAATATTTTATACCCTTTGGATAATGGTAAGGTAGCTTCTTTATCTCTCCTTCTGCATCCACTTCTATAACTACTTTGACCAAAATAAAAGGATAATTATAACTGTTTTACCTCTTTTGACATTTATTTGGTTCTGATCAAATGTGATTAAAAGGAAAATGTGGAGTAGTTTCTAAACGTTGCTCCATCTACTAAGAACTGGCATGTAGAAAAACATATGAGCAGAAACTGGGTTTCACCATGTTGGCCAGGCTGGTCTGGAACTCCTGACCTCACCTATTCGGGAGACTGAGGCGGTAGAATCTCTTGAACATGGGAGGCAGAGGTTGCAGTGAACTGAGATGAAGTTACTGCACTTCAGGCTGGGCGACAGAGCGAGACTCTGTCTCAAAACAAAACAAAACAAAACAAAAATATATGAGCACGTATAAGTAGACATATGACTTGCTTTGACCAATGAAATAGAGCAAAGATAAAGATGTCCTCTTAGGCAGAAGGCAGACCATAGAATGAAGAGAATGCAGAGCATAGAATGAAGAGAATGCAGAACTGATCCCACACTTGCCCTTTGATGCAAGCAAGAAATAAGCCCCTTTTTGCTTTAAGCCATTACGTGCAATGTGAGCAAGAAATAAACCCTTCGTTCTTGAATCCATTGCAATTTCGGAGTTATTTCTTACCACAACTGTATCCAGCCTCTCCGGACTACATTAACTTTGCCCTATTTCTGTTAGAAATTGCCTCTTTGTGCCTTTTTTAATATTTAGGGAAAAATACATCTTTTTATTAGTGATTTGCTTTAGGCACTTATTTTTCTTTCATATATGTTCTAATCATATTCCATTTTTTTGTCTGCCTCAATTTGCTTTATAATACTCAGCTTTGAATTCACAAAATAACATATTCTTTTAATGTTATTTTGAACAGTTAATGTTTCGTTTTATTAACTTTTTTGGTATATGTCATGAGACTGCTGTATAATTTTGATTTTAAAAAATTACTTAGTTTTCCATACAAGCATAAATATAGTTAATGTATTAGGCCATTTTTGCATTGCTATAAATAAATACCTGAGGCTGGGTAATTTATAAAGAAATGAGGTTGTCAGGCACAGAGGCTCATGCCTATATTCCTAGCATTTTGGGAGGCTGAGGCAGAAGGATTGCTAGGAAGCCTAGGAGTTTGAGAACAACCTGGGCAATGTAGTGAGATGCTATCTCTATAAAACATTTAAAAAATTAGCTGGGTATTATGATGTGGGCCTGTGGTACCAGCTACTCAGGAAGCTGTGGTGGGAGGATTGGTTGAGACTGTGATCATACCACAGCACTGGAGTCTGGATGACAGAGTGAGACTTTGTCTCAATAAAGTAAAAAAAAAAAAGAGATTTAATAGTTTCATAGTTCTGCAGGCTGTACAAGCATGGAACCAACATCTGCTCCACTTCTGGTGAGGGCCTCAGGCGACGTAGGAGCAGGCATGTCACATAGAGCAGGAGCAAGAAAGAGAGTGGGGAGATGCGGGCACACTTTGAAACAACCAGATCTTGTGAGAATTCACTCACTATCTCAAGGATAGCATCAAGCCATTCATGAGGAATCTACTCCCATGACCCAAACACCTCCCACGAGGCTCTATCTCCAACATTATGAATTGCATTTCAATATGAGATTTGGAGGGGCAAATATTAAACTATATTAGTTAATAAAAAATCACCACTTTGAAGTGCCAATTTTATCATATGCATTATTTTTCTAAAATGTTCAAATGGCTTTTCATGTTATTGGGGGATCAGTAAAAAATGTTTTAATTATTATAGCTTTAAGATATGGTTTAATTAGGGAGAGAAAAGGTATTCTCATTTGTATTATTCTTTTAAATTTATAATTCTTATCCATTTGTCTTTTTACAACAAATTCAGAATGATTTTATTGAGAATTATTTGGCTGAGTCACACAAAAAATACTGCTGAGATTCTATTTCAATGACTTTTGCACTCATAAATTAGTTTGGAAAATTAACATATTTGCAAGGTTTATTCTTTCCACTTGGGATGGAAAAATGTCTACAAATTTTCTCCTGATTCTCTAGCACTTTCTAAGCAAACATTTATAAAATTATCTAAGGATGAAAATATTTTTCCTCTTTTCCAATAGTTATAATTTTAATTTATTTTCCTATGTTCATTATACTGATTTCATTAAGAATAATAATAAGTAATAGTGACAGAAATGTGTACCATTGTCCTATTCCTGAGTTTATGGGAAGGGTACAAAGGTTACCTTGCTTGTATAGTGCTGGCTATTAGCAAGAAAAAGTATTAGTTTAATCATGATGATTTTTTATTTTACTAGAATTTTTATTGGGAATGGATGTTTGTTTTACATAAAGCTTTTCAAATTCTACTAAAATAATCAGATAATTTTTCCATTATATTTTTAATGTGATTAACTACATAAATAAATACATTTTGATTTATCCATCTTAGCCCTCATTAAACACACCCTCTATCTTTGTAATAGTTTCTTTATTTTCTCATTCTTAGCTCCTCTTCCTATTCCAGCTTTTTTAAAATTTCCTTTTTTATAAGTTTAGTTTGGTAGCATTTCATTTAGGGTTGTTTTACCTGTATTTATACAAATGGACCAATCAAGGTCTAGTCTAGAAAAATAGAAACCATATCAGATCGTTTTTAAAAGATAATTTTACATAGGGAATTGGTAATTCCAGAACTAGAGAGCAAGCCGGGGGAAAAAAAAAACATCCAAAAAGGAGCAGAGAGACAACACAGAGGTAGCAACTAAAGAAGCTGCTATCTCTGCTCAGACAGGAGGAGCAAAGTCAAGATATGGTTGTTACCAGAACCTGGAATATAGCAGAAGAGGCCTGACAGAGCTGGGTTCTAGACCTCCGAGGAGGTATTGTTTGTACCTCAAGAACTTGGAGAAGGCCCCTTGAAGAGCTGAAACTCTGAGAAGGAGGCACTGGCCACCTGGTCTTGGTACTGCTGAAGGTGCAGGATTGCAACTGTTTCTGGGAGGTTGTAACAAAATCAAATAAAAACACTAGATTTTAAATTAACTCTGGGGCGAAAATCTTTTTGAGATGATGCTGACAGAGACAGCAAGAAAAACGGTAAATAAAGCATGCTCATTTCCCCTCCTACCTTTCATTTTTCTTCTTTTGATACCTTTTATTGTTGACAATTAACAAGCAGCAGCCAACAAAAAAGAAAGGCAGTCTTTGGATGCCCAGCCCCAACAATGCAAAAGTGTATAGAAAGGTGGCTTTGGAGCTCAGAATCAATGGCTTAATAGATGATCCAGTGGAGCTGGTTTCTAATTTCTATTTGAATATTGTTAGTATGGTATCATATTTTCTTTGCTCTGGAATAGTTATATAACATAAGAATTTTCTGTCCATTGAAACTGTAAATGCAATTTGAATAAACTCTCTGAGTTCAGAGCCATTTTGGAGGGAATTGTAGGTGATTTATTTGATTTTAGCCATGCTTACTAGCATGTTTAATTTTCTACCTTTGTATAATCCTTGACAACTTTCTGGCACATTCTGGAAAAGCTTTGTTTCTGCTCTCTCCTGTTCCTTCTACTTTGGTGAAACATTGTCACATAATACCTAGTATGTATTGATATTTAGAATTTTGAGATAAAATACTAGCTTAGAACATAGAAATGTTTTATAATGCAATAACAAATACATATATATATAAAGATGTAAACATGCATGGCAACATACTCAGTTACACAAAAATCACATATTGAATAATACAATCTTAATGTAAACACACTTTTCTCAAATATATATGAAATTTTAGAACAGACCTGATTTAATACTTGAATTAAGTAGACTTGATGGATCATTAATCATAAAGGGCAGTTTAAATATGATTGTTCTAAATGGGTTTCTCGCTCTCTTTCTAGCAAGAGCTTAAGAAGGTTGCTTAAGCTGAGTACCTTGACTTGAGGTCCAATATTTTCCTACCTTTGAGGAAAACCAGACCTTGTTTAGTCACTGTCATTTATCACTGGACTTGAATAGGGGTTATTATGAGATAAAAGAAACATAAGAAAACTTTTGAGAAAAATTAGTTTTTTTCATCTTTTTTTTTATTTTTTATTTTTATTTGAGACATGGTCTCCCTCTGTCATGCAGGCTGGCGTGTAGTGGCATGATCACGGCTCACTGCAGGCTCTACCTCCAAAGCTCAAGCAAAGCTCCCACCTCAGCCTTCTGAGTAGCTGCGATTACAGGCACACGTCACTACACTTGGCTAGTTTTTATATTTTTTCAGAGACGGGTTTTCCCCACGTTGCTCAAACTGGTCTCAAACTCCTGGGCTCAAGCAATTCATCTGCTTCAGTCTCCCAAAGTGTTGGGATTGCAGGCATGAGCCACTGCACCCAGCCTCATAGATTTTTAATGTTCTGAGTCCCCTGTGGGGCACTTTCCTTCATAGATCATCTGGCCTGTCTTGTCTAGAGATTCCAGGCCAAGCTGTCTTTGAAGAAATCTCTCCTTACTTTTTAGTTAGTAGCTTTCTTTTTTCAAGTTTTTGGATGTTTGTTATACAATGGTACAAATCTTCAAATCTCCAAATCTCCAATATGAGGCTGACGCTAATGATGTTAAGCATTCTAGTGTTTCGACTCTGATGTATTTAATTCCTCTTAATCTCAGGTGCATTTTCTGAGCATACCAGGAAGTGAAAATTTGTTTACCTTTTTGAAGAGGAGTGTAAAAATATATTCATGTATTATTCTCTTTTTCCAAACCTTTCCTGCTTTACAACATGGAATTCTGTTTAAAATAGAATTTTATCATAATAAATAGCAACCTAAAATTAAAATATCAAATTGGTTTAGATATATAAGACTCGTAGAGAGATAAATGCAATATAAAAAGAAGTATTTTCATATTTAATTTTGTTAATCTTTACAAAAGTGGGGGAAAAACGCTTTTAAACCATTAAATGTCATGAGAGGAACTTTAGTTTTACTGACAGTGTTCTGAGAAGAAAATTTTGCTCTTGACCCCGTCTTTTATAATCAAAAAGTATAATTATTTTTTAATCTGAGAGCATTTTCCCTGATGTACCAGTAGAATTATTCTTTTCTTCTTTGTCTACCAGTAGTATTCCAAAAACACGACTAACTACAAAGCAAATCTCCCAATGCATGTGTCAAAACAATGTGATACATGCCTGAGTGTAATACCAGAAACAAAGCTCTGGTGATGTTTCAACAGCAACACTTAATTAAGTTGTTGTTCATGCAGTAAATACAACATCAGACTCTTGGGTCCATCATTCTGAGCTAAGGGACAACACAGCTTCACAGACTCTAATAACAGAGCATGCTTCAAGCAGAGTAAAAATATTCATCCAAAAGAGAAAGTAGATATTATAGCAGATTATCTGATTAAACCCTAGTTTTATAAACCCATTTTATTATAGAGGCAGGGATAGCAAATGAAAAAAGAATTGTGATAGTCAATAAAGTCATCAAACTTAGCAAAATAATAATATGGGAAAAATAATCGCATTTGCAGTTTAAAAGATTAAGGGAAATTTGTGTTAGAATTATAATTAAGATGGACATAATCTTATTTATTTTTTTGAAGTCAACTTTAACACTTTAAGATAGGATGATATCAGACTGCATGTAGTTATATAGAGTCAGACCATATACAGGGGAAAGAAAATTATAGTAAAAGTGACTAGAAGAATGAACTATATTGTTTTTATAATACAAATGTTTCCTGCTTGCTGATGTTTTATCATTTATTTTAAACAATATTTTGCTAGTTTCTTTAAAAGTAAGACAACAGAAACTCAAGGTCCATGATATTATGTATATAAGAAAGATTTTCCTGAGTGATAGATGTCTTACCTCTTAATTAATAGATAAAAGTGGATTTAAAAATCAATTTAGGAGCATGTATGAAATTTAAGGACATTTAGCTTTATAGTCTACCTTAGATCATACTAGTTATTCAATAATTGCACAATTTGATTGCAATTATGAATTTCATTATAGAAATAACACTTGTTTAATAGTGATCTCTAGGTCTATAATTCATAAGTACTTGTTTATGTACATAAAGTATGATTTTAACCCTATAGAGTATTTCTTCTATAAGTTGTAGAAAAGTGTTCTAGAAGTTAATAATACAGTTCATATGCTAGCTAACAACTTTGTGAAAATATAAATTTTGCTAGTTTACTTACACAACAGGACAGAAATGAGATTTTGCATGGTTAGGGATATACATTGACTAAAAGCCAGGAATAACATGAAAGAATAGGAATAAGCAACAGGAGGTCAACATAAATAAGTACATCAGCTTGTCATAGATATTCAATTTGGCTCTCCCAGTCTGCAATCCACCTTCATTAAATTTAGTGATATTAAGCTGAAAACAACCTTTCCCAACCCTCTTAGAAACAGGGTCTGGATACAAGTAAAGTTTCCTAATTAGTTGCAAACATATAAGGCTTAGAAGGCAGAGATGAAGCTGAAGCTCTCTCCTGCTGCTGTGTCCTCTTCTAGTAAGATGATGAGACATAAGAAAGCACTGATGATCAGACTCAGAAATCTAATATCTAGTTCCCACCTTTCTGGGCAATGACAAGCACTTTTGGCCAATCTTGGTGGCTGTAGTAGCAACACTATCTTCTTGTATTCTGGATAGAAGATAGTTGGTATTACTTTTGACCATTATTAGAATGATGGCCTGCTCACTGTGGCACCTCCACGACTACTAAGGAATCAGTAAGCTTCTAACTCACTACATTAAATTCATTTCTGCTTGATATAAGCAGAGAGGTTTCTGTTTTCTGCGTTAAAGGTTGACTTATAGATATAATGTTTAAGGAGTTGACTTAGAGTGTTAGCAATATTAGAAAAAAAGTAGGGAAAAAGTAATACAGGAAGTTAAAAAGAAGAAAAGGGGGAGGAAATGAAGTTTGTTATTGATTATTGATCACCTCCAATATGCTGGCAACTGTCACTGTCACTTTCACATGTCTCAATTGCCTGGATGACAGATGTGATCTTATAAACAATAAAAATAATAAATCAACCAACTTTCCACTGTCCATTACATTTATAGGTTCAGGTTAGATAACAGTAAAGGCACATTTTGTACAATAGCCATCCTGTCATTCTCAAAATACACACTTAGACACAGCTAGGGCTAGTATGATATTGTTAGAAGCACACAAAACTTACAAAACATTAGGGTACCTTCCTCATGTATAAGTTTAAAAATCTTATTGTTACTAACCCAGAAATATTCTGACATTGCATAATGTCTGACATTGCATATTATGTCTCAGAATGACTGCTTTGGTATTTTTATGAAGGATGAAACACCAAAAATTTCCTCCATCAAAAGTTTGAGTTTTGGTTTGCTAATACCCTAAGGAAATGCTGGTATACTTATTAATAACCTAGAACTACTCTCAAATTCTCACCTCCACTCCCATGTCACTCCAGTCCAGTGGAGACCACTTCTTCATCTCAATGACAACCACCTTAGAAACTCATGCTTCCCGAGGCAAACCACTCTCACTGATGAGCCAGTCTACAGTGTAAGACAGATAATCTAGGTTGCCTTTTTTATGGTTCTCCTTGTTCTTATTGTTTCTAGTTTCATTCAAGTCTAGAGCCCTATCCCATGTACCTACAAATTGTATTAACCTCCTGAATTTAGACAAATTCCATTTTGTTTGGTGAGCACCTCCCTTTATATTATTGAGTTTACTAAGTGAATTCTTCAACATTTGTATAAGCTGACCAAAATGGCTACTGCTGCCCATTAGCCTTTTAGATCCATTCTCCCTATGGAGTCTCCAGTGCCACACTTTGAATAAATACCCTGAAAACCATTCCTGTTCTCTACTATTGTTCCCCATCCATTGGAAGCAACTATTTTTCAAAGCTAATTAGAAGTGACACAGCGATTCTCCTTTCTCTGAACCCTAAAATGAAATCCTCAGCTTTTTCACTAGAGATAGCCTCCTTGTCTACATCTGATGCCCATCCTCACCCACAACCCCATCTTCTTCTGTTCTAGTAATAACAAGTGAATACATATCATGCTGTAAAACAAAATAAAGAATAATTGATACCAAAGTAGAAATAATCAAGTTATAAAATATTTATAATATCTAATACTATTTTCCCAAGGTTATTTTATTTGATACTTTATTTCATTTAAACAAAGAATCTTACCTGTAGAATGTAAGATCTATAGGGATAGATACTCTAACAATTGCTGTATCTTCAGCTTTCAATAGAATCCTTCAAAAATAGCACTCATATACTAGTTTTTATATGAATAAGCAAATAAGAATGAATTAATTTGACTTCACTTAAAGATACTTATTATTGTCAGTGTATGTTGAGCATAATTTACTATTTATTTATAACTGAACTTTTCTTGTTAGAGGCATACATTTAGTTTTTCCACACACAAAAAAATGTAAAGTTGCTATTTAATCCTGCAAAATGTATGATGCAGTCAGCTAACTGGTACCCTTGATCTCTTTAAATATTCTTAGTTCAGACAAAACTAAAGAAAAGAAAGTAAAGTATTCTTAGTGTCTATGAAAAGGAAATCTGGTCCAAATCAAAGAAATAAGAATCCTCCTAATAAATTGAGGCAATAAAGGTACTGTAGCATATTTATTACCAGTGGATTGGCTTTTTCTTCCTCCCAAAGCCCGTGTATTTCTCACCAACTAACTTTACAGCTCAACTGGTGAACCATTTCCTATTGCACAGGAAATGTAACCTAATTTGAGTTTTTGCTTAAGTAACAGGCAATAATGTGGTTTTGTTGCCAAAAAATATATCCCCAAATTGGACACAAATGCCTTCTAGATTATTCATAGTTTGGATAATCCATATTCCTGCTCTCTGATAGTTGAGAATTATCTGTAATACATTCCAAAAATGTGATAATTACTTAAAATAAAAATAAATCTTTTCTATACTTGCAAGCATAATTTTGATATTTATACTCTGGATATTTATAATGTAACATCTGTCTAAAATTTTATGTGCTATTTAAGTTAACCATGGTTGGTTGAATAAATTAGCAGAAAGAATTTTATTAAACTATAGTAATAAAAAACAAATGTCTTTAAAAACAAAAATATAGGTAGTATAAACTGATTTTATATTACATATACCTTTGAAAATGACATTACATAAAGATATATTTATTACTTTTTTCTTAAACAAGCACACCCCACCGAGAAATCCTTGATCTCTGTGAATAGTTTAACATATTGTTTTAATCATTTCTTACCAAATAAATTGCATTCACCTAACATTTGCTTGTCTCATTGCATGAAATAGCAAGTCCAATATTTGATTAAATGTACAATTAATCCAGAAAAAGAAGAATGACTCAGCAACATTTCTTTATAGAGTTTGTATCTTCTGCAAATAGTTGGTTTGGCTCCTGGAGAATACACTATGATGATATTAAGCATTTTTGCCCAGAAGAATATTAATCATTTTTATAGATAAAGTAAATAATGTTGGTGTGATTTTTGCTTAATGTGAAGGTAAATATATAAACCATATAGTCACTGTTAGGAATCTTCACAGCTCTTTCACAGACTCATTGACATAATTATCCAATTTATTCACTGATTCTGAGAGTATTCATTGAGTCTACTACAGACCCAGATTTATGCTATATACTACTGAGTTATAAGCAGATGAGTGTCAACACTTTACAAGGAGCACAGAGTACTATGGGAACAAGTGTAAAGGGCTTCCCAAATGGAAAATAGCTGAGTGGAATTCTTCATGATTAATGCAATTAACCCACTCCTGATTCTCTTGGTCTTCCAATACACTCTCTTCAGCATTTCCAATATTATGTTTCCTGAAAATGAATCTTATGTTACTTTTCAAATTAAAATCCTTTCTACTGCTTTCCTGGCAAAATCCAAACTTCTTTGGTGGCTCCTAAGAGTGTGATTTGCTGCTGCCCACATTTACAGACTCATCTTTAAAAAGTTCTTAAATTGTCCTACATCATAAAACCAAACAATATGAGTTTTAGTTAGTGAAATTTATTTATTTTTATTATTCTTCTGACTGGATTGCTTGTCTCCAGCTTGCTCAATCTTATTGATATTTTCAGATTCATGTAAGGTTTCACTAATGAGGAAAACTTTTCCAGATTCATCAGACTGCTTAGCGGGCCCTCCATGCTACTCCCATATTATCTGGCACTGTCTCTTAAATATTATATTGTATTGTATCATAAAAGCCTCTCTGCCAAACTGAATGGGAAATATTGAAATACAAAGGCAGATTCATTATTTGTACATTCCCATGTTTGCACAATGTCTGACACGTAGTAGGCAGTCAATGAAAATCTATGGAATAAATTCAACAATGATTGATTGTGGAGCATCACTGAATTGCCTTTTTGTCTTTTCTCATTAAAGCATTTCACCCCAGGAAGAGAACAATGGAAATATATAACTACTGGGGACTGCAAATCCTTTCCACTTCCACTTCCTAAGTGATATCCCCATCTGCAGTCTTGTCCTCATTAAATTCATCCCAGATGGTATTAGGAGGTGCTCTTTTGTATACTTTTCATTGCTGGGCTGACCCTGAACTATGTTTTTATGATATGTTCACACTCGTATGATGTGTTTATGTGTCCATGACTTTCATGTAGTATTTTTGCATCTAATATGTAGCACAGTATCTGGAACATAGAATTTTCTCAATAATTTTTCATTTACTGATTGATCCATTTAGCAATTATGTTTTCAAGGGCTTCCATCAAGTGGGAGAAATAGATATTAAATGATCACTGATCCAGTGTTTGCAATATTACAAACTGAGATAAGCAAAGAGAAAGAAGCAATATAACCCTAGAGGTCCAATTAAGAAAGCATCTGACCTAAACTGGGACATTAGGTGAGTTCTCGCCAAGAATATAAGTTTAAGAAAAATGTAAATGCTTATCTGGTGTTAGCTAGGTGAAAGTATGCAGAGAGGAGGGAATTCTAAATAGAAGAACAAAAATATGCAAAGACCAGTGGTTGAGAAGCATGACATAATCAAAGAATGAAAAGTATAGCTTGGCTGAATCTTAAAGAGCAAAGTAGTGTGTGGTATGACATCATAGGGAAGAGATGGTCAGGCAGGGGTCAAACCATTGGGCCTCTTCTGGGCCAAGGTAAAGATTTGCCTTTCTCCCTTCCTTCCTTCTTTCCTTCCTTCCTTCTTTCCTTCCCTCCTTCTTTCCTTCCTTCCTTCCTGGACCAAGGTAAAGTTTAGACTCTCTTCCCTCCCCTCCTCTCCCCTCCCCTCCCCTTAGCCTCCCTTCCCCTCCCCTTCCCTGCCTTCCCTCCCCCTCCCTTCCCGTCACCTCCCCTTCCCTTCCCTTACCTTCCCTTCTCCCTCCCTCCCTCCCTTCCTTCCTTGCTTGCTTGCTTCCTTCCTTCCTTCCTAACATTGAAAAGCAATTGATAGGTTTAAACAGGAGATATAATAATATTTTATTTTAAAAGTGACTGAAGTGTGTGGAGCAGAATATAGTAAAGCCTAAATAAATAAATAAGAAAGAGACGAGGAGCCCCAACAAGAAATGAAGTAGCCAGTCTAGGGTGGAAATAATGCACACGATGATAATAAAATGAACGAATTTGGAGGCAAACCCACCAAAATTTAAAGAGATATGGGATGCAAGGGGTGAGGAATAAAGCTTGTGAAGTCAATAGGATGGATTTTGTTCCATTTCCCAGGACAGTGCAGCTACAACAAGAATATAGGAAAGAGTACATGAATGATATCATAAAATTCAAGAGGGATAGTATGGTTTCTGTGATAATAATACTATTGAAACATTTGAATAAGAAATTTGAAGTTGAAGAAGTCAAATACCATATGAAGAGAGTTGTCAAAAAGAAATTCATGGTAAGAATTGAAAGAAACACATGAAGTATAATATTATTTTCAGAAGTCATTATAAAAGTGAAAGTCCTCTTTATATTTTTGTTTTTGAACTATGCAATGGAATGATCAAGATGAATGTGGTGATTTTAATGGAGAGGTGAAGTGATGCAACGTTGAAAGTCAGTTTATTAGGAAGGATGAAATTGAGTGATAATGGTGAATGGATTAGTCAATGAATCATTGATGCTGTTATTAAAGAAGCTATAAATTATTAAGCATGAAGATAAGAAACAAGTGAGCCAGGTGTTGAAGTCATTAACATCAAGGAAAGTGGAGGAATTGTATTGATCATTTGGAAAAGATGCAAAATGATATGGCAAGACTTCAATTAAGAGGTGATAACTAAGTAGGAAGCGAGAGAGCTAAAGTTTCAGTGGGAAGTGGCAGCAGAGCAATAGTTGAAAATTTGTACTGCAGTATACAGGCAATGCGGGTACAACTCCCTCTTCAGTAGAGTCTGGGAAAGTGGGAGATGGGAAAAGTGCCACTTTTGTGCTCTGCCAACATCTTATCTTTTATAATTGCAAATTACAGGTATACAATTCAAATTAACATTTTTAAAAAGGAAGTTTACTTGCTCTCATAATTGAAAATCTACTTTGGTGCATATCTTGGTGCAGGCATTCAAGTGATGAGTCAGTCTTTCTCTCCTAAAATAATCTTTGCTTTGTGAAAATGTCAATGACAGGCTTTCACAAGATGGTGGCAAAGATAATTTTCAGCCAGTAGAGACCTACATTGTCATTCATTCTCAAATCATTCACTGTTTTCAAATAGTACCAACAAAAATTACAAGGAGAGCTTATACCGACCTTGCTGCATCACATGCTATCCTCAAACAAATCGCTGTGGCCAGAGAGATGTTGTACTCTGGCTAGTGACACCTCATTCATGTGTCTGCTCTTTTGCTAGAAGGAAAGAAGGAATGACTCCTCTAAAACTTTATATAATGAGGTTCACTTTTGAAAAAAGTCTGTCTTGATAGGAAGAGAGAGTCCCCCAAATTCTCAAAAAAAATTTTTGCAAAATGTACCTCAAAATCAACATTTCTAAACTGAACTAATCTTTTGCTAAAAATCTATTTCTCCTTCTATTTCCTATTCCCTAATCAGTGACTATTTCATTTTTTTGTTATTCAAGAAGTATTCTGAAAGTCATTCATGACTTTCATAAAAGATAATTTGTAAATAGTTAGAAAAGTATTTGAAGAAAAATATTTAGATGTAGTTAAGGCTTATAAGATAAGCAAAGAAGATTTTTGAAATATTAAAATACTGCCATGATATTAATAGTTATCTTACATTTAGCATCTATTAAATTCCAGAAATATCAATTACTATGATTGTTCTTTAATCAGAAGTCATTATCCCATAGTGATTTTTTTTTTTTTTTTTTTTGAGAAGGAGTCTCACTCTGTTATCCAGGCTGGAGTGCAGTGGCACAGTCTCGGCTCACTGTAACCTCCACCTCCTAGGTTCAAGGGATTTTCCTGCCCCAGCCTCCCGAGTAGCTGGGATTACAGGCATGCACCACCACACCCTGCTAATTTTTGTATTTTAAGTAGAAATGGAATTTCACCATGTTTGCCAGGCTGTTCTCGAACTCCTGATCTCAGGTGATCCACCCTCCTTGGCCTGCCAAAGTGCTGGGATTACAGGAGTGAGCCACCATGCCCAGCCATCACATAGTGATTTAAGATGATAGGATCTGGAGTCAGCCAAAATTGTGTCTGGCTTCTTGTCTACTAAACAACACTGTTTGACATTAGACAAGTTTCTTCATCTGTAAAGTGGAGACAGTTATAGAACCATCTTTATAGATATAATGTAAGGATATAATGAGATATTGCAAATAATGCAATTGTCTCTATGTGATGTCTGGTTCATGGTATATATTCAAAAAATAAGATACACTATTAGGATATTATTAAACATTTCCTCTTCTTCGAGAGTTGGCCTTTTTGTTATGGCTTTCAAATGAGGAGTATGTTGTTATTCTTGTTTAAGAATAGACGGTGTTTCTGTGTGGAAGGCCTAGTGGTGTCAGAACGGCCAGTTTCCACTTGGATGTTTAATAGTCCTTGCTAATGTCTTAGATTATTTGATATAGACATCACAACAATAGAGACTGGAAACCTGCCTGGCACCTGACTGCAGACTAAAACCTCCTGGGTATTACCTCTGCCTCAGGCTCAAAGAGGGAAGGTAAGAAAGGGAATGCTGACCTCTTTCACAATATGAAAGTGGAAATAAAAGTCAAAAATAGAAAAAAGAATACAGTTAGGTGAATTTTTTTTAATCCATCTTTAGTTTTGCTCCAGCAACTTGAACTTACTTTTTGTGGTGATTCAAATGGCTCTACCTATCTGTCCTTTGCTGCCTTTCTCCCCTTTTTAATTTTAACAGTAGGGTTAATGAAGTATGTCTGGGACATTGTAGTAACTAGTCAAACCCCATTTGAATTGTTTAATCAATAAAGTAAATAACTCTCTTGCCAACTATATTAGTTTTTCTTCCATTTTTCTTTAAGAAAAGTGAATGTGAGCGTTCAAGTAGAGTTTTAAAAGATAGCATAGATAAAACAACCCATTGTAATTGGTCACTTCCTTCCTGTGTAATAGATGTAAATTTTAATAAAAAGGTTTTTATGCTTCTGGACATGAATTTAACAAATTTATAATGCAAAGTCAACCTACCCTCAAATTATCATTGTCCTATACCATGAAAATCCATTTAGAAAAATGGAAACAAACTACATGTATTGGATATAGATGTGAGAATGGGGGGACTTTCTTACCCCTCACCTCACGTTTTTCTGTTGAGGGACAGTAATTAGTGTAACACAAGCTTGGTCTTTTTTGCTTCCTCCCTCATTCCTTACCAGGGCAAGTCGAGTGAATTATCAAACTAAGAAATTTGGAAAGAGAAAGTGAGTAAATATACGCAGCATTACTCAACTTCTTTCTCTTTGGGATTGGCTTCTTTACAGAGAGAATACATTCTGCTCTGTGCTGGATCCTTCCCTAAGCTTATCTCAGGTTTTGTCAACCATGGCACCATTGACATTTTGGACCAGATAATTCTCTGTTGTATGGCCTGTTCTGTGTTTTGTCAAATCTTTGGCATCATCCCTGGCTTGAATCTACCAGATGCCAATAGCACTTTCTCACTTAAGACCATTGAAATATTTCAAGATGTTGCCAAGTGTCCCTCAGGGTTGAAGGTTGCCCCTAATTCAAACCACTGCTTTGAGGCATGCCATCACAGAGAGGGTTGCCTAAGACTGAATGTGTGCCTCAGACTAATTTACACACCTAAATCAAATTCTACAGTAACTCTGATCAGTAGGAAAGCTGGTACCTTAACTTCCTACTATGTAAATTTTTGTCTCTGTTAAGCAGTCCAAACTTTGAAAGGATGTTGGGTATTGATCTTTTACAACCTCAATTATGAAGAAAGCACTTATATTGGTTTATCTGGTTGGAAAAAAAACTATAAATGCATTATAACTTGATTGATGGGAAGCTAACAAAGAGATAAAAATGTTAAAAGATAATCTTCACCTCCCTCCATATTAATAATTTGTATGAGGGCCACATTTCACTGCTTAAGAAGACTTTATTTCTTCAGATATGGAATCGGTTGGCAAGTTTTGAAAGAGATTGGAATATAGTCAGAGAAAGGAATATATTCTCTAAGTCTCACTTTGTCTAAAAACTATTTCTCACACAGTTGAAATTAATGGACAAGAGCGTAGGTTCTAATGTCAGATAGCCTTGAGTCATTTATTAACTCTGTAACTGCACTTAATATAAATATTTTCTCTGATCTTGTTTTCTTACCTTCAAGGAGGCTAATATTAGTGCCTTTTACACATTTTTAAAAAAAATTTTAAGCATTACATTAGATAATATGTGCCAAGTACTTATATGAGTATCTGGTATATAGGACACACTAAAAAAATTATAGTTATTATTCTAATTCACACTCAAAATGATGACAGCAGGACAAGTGTCTATTCATGATGTACTCAGAGCAGAAAGCAGAAGGATCATTGACACTCTGGGATCAGGAGAGATGAGAGGGACTATTGGACATCAGACAAGAGAGTGTAAGTCACCTGGTTGCTTAGCAAGCTTAGAAGGATAAAAGAGATCATTAGATTGTAGCTTCAATGCATAGAACAACAGAGTAGGAACATGTAAACTCAAAAAGTGGGGAAGAGGGATTTACTAGTCATTAAAGGAAAAATTAACAGAGGAACATTAACATCAGTGCTTGCCTCAGTTGCAGGGAAAACATTCTTGGTTGGTAGACAATATACTTTGGATTTAGTGAATGCAGAAGGTGTCAAATAAAGCCCTGCAGGCAGTCCACTTCTGAAGTTCTTTTTATTTCATTAGAAGATAACCGGTGAGAACAAGAGAATAGAATGACACAAAACAGATAACCAGTGTTAGTATTGAAATATTGACTCTAACCACACAAGATTTGGAGTCCTATTGGAAATAATGGTTAAGTAAAAATAAGGATTGCTGTATATATTGAAATTACCAACATGTAGAATACATTGTTTAACTTTCTAGTAAATGGTTTGGTTAGTCTCACTTAAACAGCTAATTTTCAAAGATCCAATGAAAGAACACCACTCAAGTGTTGTTGAAATAGAAACATATGAACCCAAGTAGACACAACCAACCACATGAACACAGTGAGGGTGCTTAGGAAACAACTTATCACAATTGTGTATGACAGTGGTATTGATTCTAGTTGCACAAGTGGTGCCTGAGCAGGCATTGTTACCAGATAACCCATTCTTACAGTAGTAGGTTAGAGAGACATTTTCACGTTGTTCTAAGTAGGATCAATGGCCCTTGGGGTACAGCTTTGCCCATACCTTCTTAGCTGGCAAGGCATTCATACAATGTTAAATAATGTCAGGCCTCTGAGCCCAAGCCAAGCCATCGCATCCCCTGTGACTTGCACGTATACGCCCAGATGGCCTGAAGTAACTGAAGAATCACAAAAGAAGTGAATATGCCCTGCCCCGCCTTAACTGATGACATTCCACCATTGTGATTTGTTCCTGCCCCACCTTAACTGAATGATTAACCCTGCGAATTTCCTTCTCCTGGCTCAGAAACTCCCCCACTGAGCACCTTGTGACCCCCACCTCTGCCCACCAGAGAACAACCCCCTTTGACTGTAATTTTCCATTACCTTCCCAAATCCTATAAAACGGCCCCACCCCTATCTCCCTTTGCTGACTCTTTTCAGACTCAGCCCACCTGCACCCAGGTGAAATAAACAGCTTTATTGCTCACACAAAGCCTGTTTGGTGGTCTCTTCACACTGATGTGCATGAAATTTGGTGCCGTGACTCGGATGGGGGGACCTCCCTTGGGAGATCAATCCCCCGTCCTCCTCCTTTTTGCTCTGTGAGAAAGATCCACCCATGACCTCAGGTCCTCAGACCCAGCAGCCCAAGAAACATCTCACCAATTTCAAATCTGGTAAGCGGACTCTTTTTACTCTCTTCTCCAACCTCCCTTCTCACTATCCCTCAACCTCTTTCTCCTTTCAATCTTGGTGCCACACTTCAATCTCTCCCTTCTCTTAATTTTAATTCCTTTCATTTTCTGGTAGAGACAAAGGAGACACGTTTTATCCGTGGACCCAAAACTCCGGTGCCGGTCACGGACTGGGAAGGCAGACTTCCCTTGGTGTTTAATCCTTGCAGGGACGCCTCTCTGATAATTCACCCACGTTTCAAAGGTGTCAGACCACTCAGGGACGCCTGCCTTGGTCCTTCATCCTTAGCGGCAAGTCCCGCTTTTCTGGGGAAGGGGCAAGTACCCAAACTCCTTCTCTCCTTGTCTCTACCCCTTCTCTGCTTTCCTGGGGCAGGGGCAAGTACCCCTCAACCCCTTCTCCTTCACCCTTAGCGGCAAGTCCCACTTTCCTAGGGGGCAAGAACCCCCCAATCGCTTATTTCTGCACCCCAATCCGTTATTTCCGCACCCTGACCTCTTACCTCTGTGCCCCAATCCCTTATTTCCGTGCCCCAACCCCTTCTCTGCTTTTCTGGAGGGCAAGAACCCCCCACCCCTTCTCCGTGTCTCTACTCTTTTCTCTGGGCTTGCCTCCTTCACTATAGGTAAGCTTCCACCTTCCATTCCTCCTTCTTCTCCCTTGGCCTGTGTTCTCAAAAACTTAAAACCTCTTCAACTCACACCTGACCTAAAACGTAAATGCCTTATTTTCTTCTGCAATGCCGCTTGACCCCAATACCAACTCGACAGTAGTTCCAAATAGCCAGAAAATGGCACTTTGAATTTTTCCATCCTGCAAGATCTAAATAATTCTTGTCGTAAAATAGGCAAATGGTCTGAGGTGCCTGACGTCCAGGCATTCTT
This sequence comes from Homo sapiens, assembly GCF_000001405.40. Classification (NCBI taxonomy): domain Eukaryota; kingdom Metazoa; phylum Chordata; class Mammalia; order Primates; family Hominidae; genus Homo; species Homo sapiens. Next base: position 66,145,555 of record NC_000013.11, on the reverse strand, counting down.
TTACACATCAGTCCCTTCCTAGTCTCTGTGCCCAGTGCAACTCGTCCCAAATCTTCCTTCTTTCCCTCCCGCCTGTCCCCTCAGTACCAACCCCAAGCGTCGCTGAGTCTTTCTAATCTTCCTTTTCTACAGACCCATCTGATCTCTCTCTTCCTCCCCAGGCTGCTCCTCGCCAGGCCGAGCTAGGTCCCAATTCTTCCTCAGCCTCTGCTCCTCCACCCTATAATCTTTTTATCACCTCCCCTACTCACACCTGCTCCGGCTTACAGTTTCCTTCCGTGACTAGCCCTCCCACTCCTGCCCAGCAATTTACTCTTAAAAAGGTGGCTGGAGCTAAAGGCATAGTCAAGGTTAACGCTCCTTTTTCTTTATCCCAAATCAGATAGCGTTTAGGCTCTTTTTCATCACATATAAAAATCCAGTTCAGTTCATGACTTGTTCGGCAGCAACCCTGAGACACTTTACAGCCCTAGACCCTAAAAGGTCAAAAGGCCGTCTTATTCTCAAAATACATTTTATTACCCAATCTGCTCCCGACATTAAATAAAACTCCAAAAATTAAATTCCGGCCCTTAAACCCCACAACAGGATTTAATTAACCTCACCTTCAAGGTGTACAATAATAGAAAAAAGTTGCAATTCCTTGCCTCCACTGTGAGACAAACCCCAGCCACATCTCCAGCACACAAGAACTTCCAAACGCCTGAACTGCAGCAGCCAGGCATTCCTCCAGAACCTCCTCCCACAGGAGCTTGCTACACGTGCCGGAAATCTGGCCACTGGGCCAAGGAATGCCCGCAGCCCGGGATTCCTCCTAAGCCGCGTCCCACCTGTGTGGGACCCCAATGAAAATTGGACTGTTCAACTCACCTGGCAGCCACTCCCAGAAACCCTGGAACTCTGGCCCAAGGCTCTCTGACTGACTCCTTCCCAGATCTTCTTGGCTTAGCGGCTGAAGACTGACACTGCCCGATCACCTCGGAAGCCCCCTAGACCATCACGGCGGACGCCGAGCTTCAGGTAACTCTCACAGTGGAAGGTAAGCCCATCCCCTTCTTAATCAATATGGAGGCTACCCACTCCGCATTACCTTCTTTTCAAGGGCCTGTTTCCCTTGCCTCCTAACTGTTGTGGGTATTGATGGCCAGGCTTCTAAACCTCTTAAAACTCCCCAACTCTGGTGCCAACTTAGACAATACTCTTTTAAGCACTCCTTTTTAGTTATCCCCACCTGCCCAGTTCCCTTATTAGGCTGAGACACTTTAACTAAATTATCTGCTTCCCGGACTATTCCTAGACTACAGCTATATCTCATTGCCACCCTTCTTCCCAATCCAAAGCCTCCTTTGTGTCCTCCTCTTGTATCCCCCCACTTTAACCCACAAGTATAAGATACCTCTACTCCCTCCTTGGCGACCGATCATGCACCCCTTACCATCTCATTAAAAACCTAATCACCCTTACCCCACTCAACGCCAATATCCCATCCCGCAACATGCTTTAAAAAGATTAAAGCCTGTTATCACTTGCCTGCTACAGCATGGCCTTTTAAAGCCTATAAACTCTCCTTACAATTCCCCCGTTTTACCTGTCCTAAAACCAGACAAGCCTTACAAGTTAGTTCAGGATCTGCGCCTTATCAACCAAATTGTTTTGCCTATCCACCCAGTGGTGTCAAACCCATATACTCTCCTATCCTCAATACCTGCCTCTACAACCCATTATTCTGTTCTAGATCTCAAACATGCTTGCTTTACTATTCCTTTGCACCTTTAATCCCAGCCTCTCTTCACTTTCACTTGGACTGACCCTGACACCCATCAAGCTCAGCAAATTACCTAGGCTGTACTGCTGCAAAGCTTCACAGACAGCCCCCATTACTTCAATCAAGCCCAAATTTCTTCCTCATCTGTTACCTATCTCGGCATAACACTCATAAAAACACACGGGCTCTCCCTGCCAATTGTGTCCGACTGATCTCTCAAACCCCAGCACCTTCTACAAAACAACAACTCCTTTCCTTCCTAGGCATAGTTAGTGCGGTCAGAATTCTTACACAAGAGCCAGGACCGCACCCTGTAGCCTTTCTGTGCAAACAACTTGACCTTACTGTTTTAGCCTAGCCCTCATGTCTGCGTGCAGCAGCTGCCACTGCATTAATACTTTAGAGGCCCTCAAAATCACAAACTATGCTCAACTCACTCTCTACAGTTCTCATAACTTCCAAAATCTATTTTCTTCCTCATACCTGACGCATATACTTTCTGTTTCCCGGCTCCTTCAGCTATACTCACTCTTTGTTGAGTCTCCCACAATTACCGTTGTTCCTGGCCCGGACTTCAATCTGGCCTCCCACATTATTCCTGATACCACACCTGACCCCCATGACTGTATCTCTCTGATTCACCTGATGTTCACCCCATTTCTCCAAATTTCCTTCTTTCCTGTTCCTCACCCTGATCACGCTTGATTTATTGATGGCGGTTCCACCAGGCCTAATCGCCACACACCAGCAAAGGCAGGTTACGCTATAGTACAAGCCACTAGCCCGCCTCTTAGAACCTCTCATTTCCTTTCCATCGTGGAAATCTGTCCTCAAGGAAATAACTTCTCAGTGTTCCATCTGCTATTTTACTACTCCTCATGGATTATTCAGGCCCCCTCCCTTCCCTACACATCAAGCTGGAGGATTTGCCCCACCCAGGACTGGCAAATTAGCTTTACTCAACATGCCCTGAGTCAGATAACTAAAATACCTCTTAGTCTAGGTAGACACTTTCACTGGATAGGTAGAGTCCTTTCCTACAGGGTCTGAGAAGGCCACCGCAGTCATTCTTTCCTTCTGTCAGACACAATTCCTCAGTTTAGCCTTCCCACCTCTATACAGTCTGTTAACAGATGAGCCTTTATTAGTCAAATCAGCCAAGCAGTTTTTCAGGCTCTTAGTATTCAGTGAAACCTTTATATCCCTTACGGTCCTCCATCTTCAAGAAAAGTAGAATTGACTAAAGGTCTTTTAAAAACACATCTCACCAAGCTCAGCCACCAATTTAAAAAGGACTGGACAATACTTTTACCACTTTTCCTTCTCAGAATTCAGGCCTGTCCTCGGAATGCTACAGGGTACAGCCCATTTGAGCTCCTGTATAGACGCTCCTTTTTATTAGGCCCCAATCTCATTCCAGACACCAGACCAACTTAGACTGTGCCCGCAAAAAAACTTGTCATCCCTACTATCTTCTGTCTAGTCATACTCCTATTCACCATTCCCAACTACTCATAGATGCCCTGCTCTTGTTTACACTGCCAGTTTACACTGTTTTTCCAAGCCATCACAGCTGATATCTCCTGGTGCTATCCCCAAACTATCACTCTTAACTCTTGAGGTAAATAAATAATCTTTGCTGGCAGGACTATGCTGAATCTCCTTAGGCACTCTCTAATCAGATATCCTGAGTCGTCCCAATTCTTAGACCTTTTATACCTGTTTTTCTCCTTCTGTTATTCCATTTAGTTTCTCAATTCATCCAAAACTGTATCCAGGCCATCACCAATCATTCTATACGACAAATGTTTCTTCTAACATCCCCACAATATCACCCCTTACCACAAGACCTCCCTTCAGCTTAATCTCTCCCACTCTAGGTTCCCACGCCGCCCCTAATCCCGCTTGAAGCAGCCCTGAGAAACATCACCCATTCTCTCTCCATACCACCCCCCAAAAATTTTCGCCGCCCCAACACTTCAACACCATTTTGTTTTATTTTTCTTATTAATATAAGAAGGCAGGAATGTCAGGCCTCTGAGCCCAAGCCAAGCCATCGCATCCCCTGTGACTTGCACGTATATGCCCAGATGGCCTGAAGTAACTGAAGAATCACAAAAGAAGCGAATATGCCCTGCCCCGCCTTAACTGATGACATTCCACCATTGTGATTTGTTCCTGCCCCACCTTAACTGAGTGATTAACCCTGCGAATTTCCTTCTCCTGGCTCAGAAGCTCCCCCACTGAGCACCTTGTGACCCCCACCCCTGCCCACCAGAGAACAACCCCCTTTGACTGTAATTTTCCATTACCTTCCCAAATCCTATAAAACGGCCCCACCCCTATCTCCCTTTGCTGACTCTCTTTTCGGACTCAGTCTACCTGCACCCAGGTGAAATAAACAGCTTTATTGCTCACACAAAGCCTGTTTGGTGGTCTCTTCACAGGGACGCGCATGAAAGCTAATAGTATGCTGTAGTTTTTAAAACACTAAGTAATCTTTATCAAACTGTTTTGACCTGTGTTGATGGCATATTTTCTAAAGAGACTTTGCAAAAGTAAAAGTTTGATGGGCGCAGTGGCTCACGCCTGTAATCCTAGCACTTTGGGAGGATGAGGTGGTTGGATTGCCTGAGCTTAGGAGTTCGGAACCAGCCTGGGCAACACAGTGAAACCCTGTCTCTACTAAAATACAAAAAATTAGTCAGACATGGTGGTGCATACCTCTAATCCCAGCTACTCCGGAAACTGAAGCAGAATTGCTTGAACCCAGGGAGCAGAGGTTGCAGTGAGCAGAGATGGCTCCACTGCATTCCAGCATGGGCGACAGAGCAAGATGCTGTCTCAAAAAAAAAAGAAAAAGTAAAAGTTATGTGTCATTATTATGATTTTATCTACACACAGTGTAAAAGGGAGAAATGAAACCAAAACTCAAACCCAAATCATGGTCTTATCTTCTTGACATTTGAAAGTTTGATACCTTGAGTTGATTTTTTTTTCTAAATTTAGTATTCCTTACATTTATTATTATATATAAAGCACACTACACCCTAAGACATAGCTGAGCATGGTCCAGTTGCTTACAGAAGGATGGAAAAGCATCAGGAGTGGTGGCTCACCCCTGTAATATCAACACTTTGGGAGGCCAAGGTGGGCAGATCACCTGAGGTCAGGAGTTAAAGACTATCCTGGTCAACATGGTGAAACTCCGTTGCTACTAAAAATACAAAAACTAGCCGGGGGTGGTGGTGCATACCTGTAATCCCAGCTACTCATGGGGCTGAGGCAGGAGAATCGCTTGAACCCAGGAGGCAGAGGTTGCAGTGAGCTGAGATAGCGCTACTGCACTCCAGCCTGGGTGACAGAGTGAGATTCTGTCAAAAAACAAACAAACATAAACAGGTATGGAAAAGCAATCCAAGGCTGAAATCCGGGAATTTCCCTCAAGGTAATGTGTCCTTTCTGAGCTCCAAGGGCTTGAATAGGCAGTTTCCTTTAGCTTTTAGAATATCCACTATTCAGTCCAATCCTGTGTGTTCTTTAACACTCAATTCAGATGTCAGTTTCCCCAGCTTGTATACTATCTGCCTAACTAAATTAACAGCTGGGTCTTATCCATCTTTGTGCTCATTTGGTTTCTGTTTTGTTATTTGTCAAAAAAAATTTGTGAACTAAAAAGTTTATCCATCTTGGATAGTAAAATTGGCAGGAAATCAGACTTAGGTACAGAAGCTGAAAGTAAGCCTAGTGTGGGAGATAGAGGATAACCAAAAACAAACAAAAAACAACAACAAAAACCATTCTTTTGATTCATGATACTACCATTTGTTCAGTCATCCATCCCTCAGCCTAGAAGCCATGCTATAAAAGCTTATCTTAATTTCACTTCTTGTTTCCAAACAGTTATGATCCTAACCATTCTACTCTGACAGATTTTTAAATCTGTTCCCTTTTTAGCATACCAAACATTATAGCCCCAGTTCATGACCTAATTTGCAATTTCACCAGCAAATTTGTTGCTGATTTTACCTACTGACTTTCAATATATAAAGCGAATATGCTTAGTCCATATTTGGTTTTAATTGTAATACTTACATCTGTTTTTCTACATGTAATACCACCATATCTTTTTCTTAAAAAGTGCATACTAAATTTCAACTCTGTGTCCTATACTATACTAAAGAATACAGGAGAGATGAAAACACGTTTATCTCGCAAAATACCTATTCTTGAAGTGTTTATATCTAAGTAGAAGAAAAAAGCTAACATATGTCAAGGACAACTGGGACATGCTGTAAGCTTTGTAAATATTTGTGGAATGACTGAGTAAAGTTTAGCTTTGTAAGGTAAAGATCATAAGCACGATGGTAATGTAGAAATGAAGGAAATCAATGCTTATTACAGGAAGGAGATGCCAGTAAAAATATAGGTAGACATCAAAGAATTGGGTTAATTTGAGGAAGTACATAGTGGAACATAGTCTTCATTGACAGAAACAGTGGCCTCAGATACTAGGATTTTTGTTTGTTTGTTTGTTTTTTTAAAAAAAGGCTAACATACAGGGGCAGAACCTGGAATTTTCAAAGAAAAATTGCGGGAAAGAAACATATTCTATGAAAATGTTTTGTCATCTTCCAAGTTTACATACCTTGCTTTCTTCCTCATGCCTGTTAGCCTTGACCCGGGAGTTATCCCTAGGTGTTACCTCTTGCACACACACTAGGTGTGAGTACTGCTTGCTCTCATTTCTTGGTATCTGGCCCCATCATATTCTTCATTCATCACTGTTTTCATGGGGTTTTTTTTGGCATGCTTTATATACCTCTTATGGGTGTGCCATAGGTGTTCTGAGACTATAATTTCTAATTCTGATAAAGATCGTATGCTGAAACATGGGCTACAAGCTGGTGGCTCAGTTTGAAAAGCACAATCATTGTACAATCTAACAAGAAATAATCCCAACTAAAAACAAAGCAACAGACCTTTTACTGGCAAGATCAGAAGATGACATCTGTTAAGCTCACCTGGCAGAAGTGGTGCTTTTGGTCCACAAGGGAGCTGATGAAAAGGGAAGTGGAAAACACACATAGAGAACATGGGCCTTCGTGGAGAGATGTCAGTAATTAGGGGAATTTGCTTATGTGCTGCAGATGGCAGACACCAGAACCACATAATGTGTATGAATTTATACGTGTGGTTGGTTTCTTAGTAGAGAAACTATCACTAGTTTTATTTTATGAGTGTGGCTGTAGCTCCAATTCAGTGGTAATGGTCTGTATTCTGATATGAGTAAGAATAGGCGTCTATGTTTATGAACAGGATATGCCCTTTTAAAAAGTAGAACTGAACTGTCTTTGACACGGCATTTCTAAATGTTCATTTACAGAAGGGGGAGTTTACAAATGGTTATTTTGCTGATACATCATTTAACACTTGGGTGGACATAAGTAGCAAAATTGCCCAATTTTAGTTTTCGGTTAAAAACCAAGTCTGCTGGATGTGCTTTTGTATAACAGCTAGGTTTAATCCTCTGAAATAGTTAAGACAGTCTAGAAGGGTGAAGAGACAACAGTGGACAGTGAGGGAAAGTAGAGAAAATGTCAGCAACATCATTGATATTATTCTTATCTTTTTTTTTCCGAGCCAAAGGCTTTGAGAGAACTTTATTCTGTACCCGAAATTTGTGCTTTATCATATGCCTTTATTCTCCTATTACTCCTATTTTATTTTAAAGTTATTGATTAAACACAGGCTGTAGAGAAACCTGGACAATACTTTTATTCTAAAATTAAATTGCTATTGTTTGCTCTCTTGCTCTATTTCGTAATACGTCATTTGTGTAATTGAAGAAGAAGACAAAGATGTCTTGGAACCATGATATTGTTGGAGACACTCACGTTAGGGAATTTGAGGTAATCATCAGATTCATTAGATCTAAACTGGACATTCAAATGAGAGAATAGAAGGGAAAAAAGGCCAGTGGGTAGAGAGATAAAAAATAATATAGCCCTTATATTTTCAGAGTATACATTACAGAAGAGTTAAAAAACCATTCAAAGCCAGAGGCTGCATGCAGAACTTAGCAGGCTGTTCAAATGGAGAAAGATAGATTTGTACATTGGTATCAACTCTGGCCACAGTCTGACTCTAGTGCTTATGACTGATATTCCTTAGCCTCTAGGGCAACATTCAAGCACATGGGCAGAAAGAAAACAGAAATGGTTGAGCTCAGAAGAGAGCATTTATGAGAGCATTGCAAACAGTTCATTTTAAGGGTTTTCAAAATATGGTTGTAATATTGCTCAGTGACTTCATTCTGAAGTCTCTTAAAAGCACTCTCCTCAAAAATTGTAAGCTCATAAACACAGTTCTTTTGCTTCTTTCATTTTCAGTTCTACACTGTTCATTTCAGCAGTGAAAAATGGGAGTGAAAAAGATTGACCTGTGTGGTCAACTTAGACCTTAAATCTTAATTTGGCATACAGGAATCAAAATTATTAAATAGTAATCTCTGTCCTGTTTTTTAAAAAATAGGTATTTACATAGCTAAAATATGTCAAAAATTTGTATTGATGTCACATTTATCTGCCATCTGTGACACAGAAGCAAAGTTCTCTAATTGCTGACATCCTTTGGGTTACATGTATGTGTTTTCCACCTTCCTTTTTTTCAGCTGTCTTGTGGACTAACACAAAAGAATTGAAAATATTTTTAACTGTCAGAGTATATAATAGATGATACTTTCTTAACATCTGCTTTTTCTTGCTCTTCAGCTAGAAATTTCTATCAGATACATCATTGCTAGTAACTAGAGTCAGTGAAAGGATAGTTTTCTACTTCAATCACTTGTGACATTGCCTCTAAAAATTATAGACAGCTGCTCAGAATTGATTGAGGATGACCTCTTACCAACAGCCAGCAAGAAGGCAGGCCCTCAGCTGAATGGCCACAAGGAAATAAATTCTACCAACACTGTGAGAAAATTTGGATATGGAATCATCCTCAGTCAAGCCATCAGATGAAAACACAGCCTGTCAAATACCTTGATTATAGCCTTTTGAGACCCTAACCAGTCAGGTAAGTCATACCTGGACTCCTGACCACAGAAATATGAGATAACAAATATATGTTGTATGAAGTCTTTAAGTTTGCGGTGATTCACTACATGGCAACAGATAGCTATCCACCTGTAACTTTATATTTGAAGTCTTAGCAATGTAAAAATGATAATGAGACTGGATGAAAGGGCAACATGAAGATGAGTGTGCATTTACATGGGAAAAAATTATTAACTAGAGACAAGTTTACACTAAATAATGTAACAAAAGACATGTTGTAGTAAAACCTTGTCACAAGATACATACCTCCTACATATGCATTAGTATAGAAGTCAACATTTGATGGCAATGAAGTTACAAACAAGAGAATATGTCTCATATTTCTCTCACTATAATTTCCCTTAAAGTTATAAATAAGACCTATTGTTAAAGATCATGTCATATGTAACTAACCATGTCCTAAAATTATGACCACACTCTACTAGCTCTTTAAAATATATTATAACTTGTATTAACAATATCTATGCTATTTCAAATGTATTTGTTGATTAAGTAACATGCAATAAATGCTGTGTGAGTATTTCAGTATTTAGGGGAAGAAGTTATAATATAGAGGGACACCAATGATTCTGGGGTGCTTAGAAGCAAAAAACAAAGGAAAAGAAATGTGGGGACTGGAACAAGTAAACAGAAATGGACTGGGGCAAGTGTTCTCTTGGCCTTTGCTTCTTCCTGGGCTCTTCACACTTGCACAACAGCTCTCCGGCTTGTGACAAGCCAACAAGTTGATAGTTAAAAAAGCCAGAGAGCAAGCCTTCTTTTTCCTTGTTTTTCTTTCCTTTTTGTGTGTTTTGTTTCCCTACCTATATGTAGAAGCTCAAGAGTTCAATGTCATGGGTGTAGAAAATGCTCCAGGGTGTCACTTCACCTGTTTTTAGTTTGGGACTTAGTGTCATGGGTCAAAGGAAAATAATTTGCTAAGCTAGGCCAGCTCAAGAATCTTATATATACTTTATTCTTTAAACTATAAACTAATAAGCTTTTTATTTTAAAATACTTTTGGTTTCCCAGAAAGTGGGAATATAGAACAGAGAGTTCCCATATACCTCATACTCAGTTTCCTATATTATTTACAATATACATTAGTATATTTGTACTAATATTGTCATAGTTAATGAATCAGTATTGATACATTATTACTAACTAAGGCCCATACTCTTTTTTTTTTTAGATTTTTTTAGTTTTACCTAATGTGTTTTTCCCCCTGTTCCGTGATCCTCTTTAGAATACTATATTGCATTTAGTTGTTATGTTTCTTTAGGTTCCTTTTGACTGTAAGAACTTCATATATCCCTTTGTTTTTGATGACACTGACAGTTTTGAGGAATACTGGTCAGATATTTTGTAGCAACCTTTAATTGGGATTTGTCTAATGTGTCTCTCATGATTGGACTAGAGTTATGGAGTTTTGTTTGGAAGACTGCAGTGGTAAGTTCCATTCTCATCAGATCATAGCAATAATACATGAATCAATGACTTAATCAGTGTTGATGCTAATCATGATCACCTAGCTAAGGCAGTCTATTCCAGGTCGCTCCACTGTGAAATTATTCTCTATATTACTCTTTGCAAATAAGCCACCAAGCAACCCACACTTAAGGAGTACGGTATTTCATATGGAGTTTAAAGAATGGTAGGTATCAGGGTAGCATCTTTACAAGGGACATAGTAAAATGATATAATGATAATATAGCCATATTGGCATAGACATATAATATGTATTCTCAAACATCTATCAAATCTATCAATGTATTTAATATTTGTTTCCACCTGTCTACATAAAAATTCTATTTTTTTCCAAGTTGTGTATACTTCAGTGGTAAGGAAGACATTCAGTGACCTAGAGAGAAATGGAAGAGTTTACAAGGCTCTGAGTTTTTGACCTATCTCCTAAAACATTTTAGTCAGTCATATTGCAGAGAAGTAGCATAGACTAAAAAAAAAATAATGCTTGAAAAAAAAATCATGAAAAAAGCAGGAGAAGAAAAGAATCTCTGAACTGGAGAAAACTTCATCATAGAAATAACTTAAAAATAAAAATATATAAATTTTTTACAATGAAAACATACATAGTATTTGAAATGTGTGTGTGTGAATGACTTTCATATACAATCATCAATTTACACCACTGTAGAAGAAATGCTGTTATAAATATCCAGTTAATGTGACAAGTGATAATTTTTAAAATATACTTGAGAATTAGTAATTAAACTGGATAAAATATATCTAAGATGAAATTCATCTCAAATAGAGGAGATGTATCAGGTCATGTATCTGAGTAGTTTAGAGGTAAGAAAGGCTTGAGACCTGGTTTTATCAAGGATCCTTCTCCGTTTCTTTACTGTTTCTTCACTTTTGTCCTTTTTGTTTGTCTTTAGGCTGACCTCCCTCATGGTTAAAAGTGATTATGGCTAACAGTGAGTGTCTTCATCTCCTTGTAGGTGAGAAAAAAGCACTTCAGACCTAGCTATACAAAGTACAGCACTGTATTCTCCCACAGTGGAATTGATGATTATGGCTAGGGCAATGGAAAATGTTGGTTGGTTTAACAGAACAGAACCTTTCTACCAAACTGCTCTTACTCCCAGCATCCAACTCTCCACTTCTCTTTGCTGGTTGGTTTGTTCCTGAAATACATAGGCTCAATACTAGATGTATGCATACCCAAATAAGAACATGTAGAGTGCTACAAAGAAGAATGCATAGCAAACTTCCCATGTCCTGGCATAATAGGGAGTATATTTTTCTGCCAGTGATAATGAAAGTTTTGAAAAATTACTATATATGTTCTGCTTATTATTCAGAGAATATAAATGTAATCCATGTGCTTGACCATAATTTAATAATTAACAGATCACATGATTTCATAATCAGGTCTTATAACATGTTAGATAGTAATTATAGACAATTTTAGAGGGGTCTCAGAACACTGAAAATGTAGCAAATTTGATTCTGATATTATCACTAATGTAGATATCATTTGAATTAAGCAAATGCATGGTTGTACAAGTAGATGTATGTAATCAAGTGTGTAATTTTCTTCTATTGGAAATATTTTGAGCTTCGAATATAAAAAAATCACATTTAGGTGTTTAAACCTCTTCTTATCCTCTAATTTGAGAGATATTTTCTAGTACCTGATTTCTGCGACTGAAATAGAATCATTAGTTGAATATTGTCTTTTTTTAGATCTGTAAACTATAAATATAAAACTGTGCTAATTTACAACAAATAATGTTTCCAGCAATGAGAAATTAAATGTTTATTTAATATGTTTTTTTATTTGTAAGGGGCCATTGGTGTACAACACATTTGGCATTGTTGTTATCATTGTTACTTAGCATTAATATAACACAATGAATTTTTAAAATGCTTTATAATCATTAATTAGTCATACTTTGTAACACTTCTATGAGGTAATATGGTGATTATAGAAAATTAAACTACAAATAATGCAGGTTGTTGCCCTGAAGGAATTACCACTTACGAGTGAATATATTCCACATTATAGGTTACTAATCTGGAATTTTTTAGCTTCTAGCATTGACATATACAAGCTTAGATAATAAGACAAAAACTATGTTTGTATAACAGCTATGCCATTTCTGCAGTTATTTAATATTATGGCATTTGGAGTCTCTTTGTTCAGGAAGGCTTGCAGATACACTTGATTCAACTTTTCCATTCTTCTCAAAGTCATAGATTAAAGTTTAAAGAAAAAAATATACTGCAAATCATACATTTTTCTTTATTCTAGACCTCACCTTATTTACATAATTCATACATGTGCTCATTTATCTTGAAGATCCTTTGTTAATTTTCAACAACTTCCTTTTTTGTCAATATTTTCTAATCCCTCTATTAAGTTTCCTAATAAAGTTTATGTTTCCCAAAAACTATATATTTTGGGGCTTTTGAAATGCATGTCACAGTCATGTGTGAAAGTTCTCCTTAAGCATAATAAGACTGACCCATCCCAAACTGTGAGGAGACAGGGTGCAAGGTAGATTTTCCAAGTAGTTTTAAGTAGCATAAAAATTAGGGAGATTTCATATTAATTTAAGGCCCTCCTCCATTTCTCCTAGCAAATGAGAAACTTTGCAATACATAGATATTTCAATTTGCCATCTTTATAGTGACAGAATGCCTAAAAATACTAGCTAATAAATAAAATTAATTTGTTAATGTTTTTGTCTACTAAACTAAGATCTTTCCCTTAGGAATAGTAAAGTGTTTTAAAAACCACTTTATATGAAAATAGTACAGATTAACATTTTAAATTTATATTTTTAAAGAACAAATTTGATATGTAAGTACTATAATAAGAGGAAACAATTTTCAAGGAAAGATCTAATTTCTTAAGAAAGAAGAAGGATTTGGAGAGAAGTAACAATGGTGTCACTTAAAGGAGAAGAAAATTCTTACAGGCAGATGCTAAATATAAAGCATACAACTTAGTCTTTCTCATATGACCTAATACTCACTTAATACATTTTTAATGAATTAGAATAAATCGAAAAGAAAGTGCAAAGAAAGGAATATGTTTTCCCTTTGTTCTCTAAATTTCATAATTCAGATGGAAAAAATACTTCTAAGATATATGTGTGTGTGCATATACATGTATAGATATACATAGCTACATAGAGGTGAATTTATGTACACATGTATATCTGCACATACATAAATATATGTAGATTATATATATATTAGATATCTAATATATATGTGTAGGTAGATAGACCTATTTATGTAGAAATAGTAGATATCTAATATATAACTATATATTTATTTGATATATATTAGATATGTATGCAATAAATAGATATGTTAGATATATATGGATATCTATTACAGCTATGTATATATTAGATATCTACTATATCTATGTAATAGGTCTATCTACCTATATAGGTACATATATTAGATATTTAATACATAGATATACTATATATATATTAGATACGATATCTAGTATATCTATAGATATCTATATATACTATATATGTAAGATATCTAGTATATCCCTCTATATTAGATATATAGATATGCTAGATATATTAGATATATATTAGATATTTTATATATATATAATCTAGCGTATCGATATATATTATCTACATATTTAGATCTATCTACCTATGTATGTCTGCATATTTGACTGCATTTGACCTGCAAAAAAGGTAGTTTTGTTATCTAATCAAATAGTAGTTACTAGAGAAATTTGGTTAGAAACAGTGAGAGCACCTGGTATCATGAAATTAATACTGTCCTTGACAACTTTGCTTCTGGTTTTAATCCTACTATTCATTAGGCTGATGATTTTGAGACGAATACATTCTAGGACACAGTTTCATAATCCGTAACACAGGGAAGGGTATCTAGATTCTAGGACTTTTAATTTCTCTTTAGCTTCAAATGTGTTTTATGATTATTCACTCATTCACTAAACAAATATTTTGTGTGTTTTTTTTAAATACCTAATATGTTACATGCAATTTGCTAGGCTTTGAAGGTAAAGCAGTGACCAAATTTCCTTATAAATTAGAAATAACACTGGGTTATTCTTTCTTTACCTAGAATTAGAGAAATACTATACAAAGAATATACTCTATCCAGGACCTTCAAGTTATTCTAAATAGAAAGCTTCTTCTCTAGGGCCAGGCGCGGTGGCTCACACCTGTAATCCCAGCACTTGGGGAGGCTGAGGCGGGTGGATCACGAGGTCAGGAGATCGAGACCATCCTGGCTAACACGGTGAAACCCCGTCTCTACTAAAAATACAAAAAATTATCCAGGCATAGTGGGGGAGCCTGTAGTCCCAGCTACTCGGGAGGCTGAGGTAGGAGAATGGCATGAATCCGGGAGGCAGAGATTGCAGTGAGCCGAGATCGCGCCACTGCACTCCAGCCTGGGCAACAAAGTGAGACTTCATCTCAAAAAAAAAAAAAAAATCTTAGAATGAGAAGAGCTAGTAATTAAGACATTTCGAATTCAAAACTATGTTTATTATATATCTTTTTCACTCTTTAATAAAATGCTATACATTTAAAATAAAATGTATTACTAATAACTATTCTAAATAAACATTTTAAAACATCTAAAATTATTACTCCAGAAAAAATGGTATAGGTGGAGGTAGGACCAAATGCATGAAGATTTTCTTGATATGTTAAATGCGTACCTAGCAAGAGTACGTAAGGGCCTTCTTCCTGATATAAAAGAAGGAAAAGTGGCCGGGCGCGGTGGCTCACGCCTGTAATCCCAGCACTTTGGGAGGCCGAGGCGGGCGGATCACGAGGTCAGGAGATCGAGACCATCCCGGCTAAAACGGTGAAACCCCGTCTCTACTAAAAATACAAAAAATTAGCCGGGCGTAGTGGCGGGCGCCTGTAGTCCCAGCTACTCGGGAATGGCGTGAACCCGGGAGGCGGAGCTTGCAGTGAGCCGAGATCCCGCCACTGCACTCCAGCCTGGGCGACAGAGCGAGACTCCGTCTCAAAAAAAAAAAAAAAAAAAAAGGAAAAGTGAAGCCAGACTACTTGAGTGCTCAGCTTAATGACGGTGGGTCCTACACCTGAGAATATTAAAGTGCCTTCATTGTTTCTGCTGCGATCACCAAATAATTTGGTTTTATCATTGTTAATAGTCCTATTTCACACATTCTTTTTACGTGTTTAAAAATGTTATAAGACCATGGTCTCAGGCCACTTGTCTTTAATGCAGTCATCATCCATTGATTCATTCTTCATTACAGCTTTAGCACACTCTGCCAGGAAATTAATTTTGTATTTCTCTCTCCCCCAGCTCTATCAGGATCTCAAGCAAAGGTACTTTAAAGATACCTTTATAACCCATAAAGTATAAAAATCTTACTAAATGTAGCTTTACTCTAGGGTGGAGAAGGGTATAGAGAACCACTTAAAGTACCGAGAGAAGATCTTTGGATGATAAATAGGCACTCTCATCAAATGAGACTTTTTGTACTGTGACAGTCAAAAATGAGAAGCATCCAGATCTGAGAAGTGATGAGGAATATTGAATTGTATAGAGTTGGTTATGGCTTTGGATCCAAAAATGATTGTCCTTTGAACAAATTGTAATCCAGAATAGGACCAGCTAAGGGCTTGAAGGTGGCACTTTGGAATAATGGGAAGGTTTTGCAAAGGGCATGGTAAGGATTGTGTCATTTCATAAACACAACAGGTGTTCTAGGTTTTTATTGCTCTCTGGGCCCAATGACCAGCTGTTTATACTGTCTCTGGTGTTCCCCATTGTGACTGCTGTAGATAAAATGCACCCTGAATACTTAGTTCATTATGTGGATTGAGCAGTTTGCTCTTCTGAACCTTTCCAGATAGAATTTAGCTCAGCCAGCTACCCTATCCCCACTCCATCATGGTAATTACTGTGAGAGATTTTAAAATATAATTCTGCCGATTGCATCGAAGTGAGAACTTATAGAGTAAGCAGTATGATTTTTAGGACAGACTGGAACATGATAATAGCATCAAGAAATGGAGGAAATAAAAGTGCTTACTATGTATCAGAGATATGGTGAGAAAAGATGTGAGTTTCCTAGCCTGTGTGAAATTCACACTATGGTGGAAAAAGATTTTCTAGTTAGGCTTTTGTGGTTAAAAGGATCAGAATCACTCAAGTTACTTCTAGTAATGAAGAATTTAAGAGTAACTGTGCACCCAAGGAAAGAAATTGCATAATTAGGTAATAAGCAGATAGAAACCATTTTAGAAGAGACCAAAAGGAAAATTCAGAAACCTAAGTTCTTTAACAATCGAAAACAGTACTGAAAGCCATAGCTGTAGGAGTTTGGACCGAATCATTAATGATTACATGCTCTACTATAGTGTGACTCATGTTCTTTCCAAATTTCTGTCATTTTCCCCTTTTGCTATAATTTTACTTTGTCTTTCTGCTGTGTCTAGATATTTTGTCATATAGATCCTGTCTACTCATAAATTTTGCTTCCTTATAGATTTGGCATGCCATGATTGTTTATGAACCTGTCTCTTCCTTTCTTGTCATAAACTACATCAGGATTTCCTTCCATGGGTCTTTGCAGCTTTATTCTCTGCTAAAACTGCCTTATTCTCTCCACATTTTCCAATTCAAATTTCTGAAAGATAAAATATAATCACCAAGTTTATCTGTTTTAATTTTATTTTATTTTTTGCCAGTCTATTGATCAGGCAATCATCTATTTAGTGCTAATCTTTGATCCAACTTTCAGTGGTTTGGGCTGTGGGGAGCCACATCATAGGAACTAAGACTGTTTCAGCTTTTCTTTTCAAGTTAAAAGTAGATAAATCATAAATGACTTGCCTTACACAAAGAAATAATTTCAAAACAGTGTAAAGAATACCAGTGATAAGATCATGCAAAGTGCATAGTGGGGACGCAAGGAGATAATGAACAATAAAATTAGAAAATCAGAGACATTTTCATACAGAAAATCTAATTGAGTTAGAGTTGAGTAGTCCTTTGCCAAGTCCTTAAGTGGGTGGAAGAGCTTCTCAAAATGAGGGAAGAACATGTGTCAAGGCATAAAAACAAAAAAAGAAAAAAAAAACTTCTCTATATTTGGGAATGTATATATAGTTTTGTCTTGTGAAGGAAAAGGTAAGGTTAGGAAAGATGACAGCAATCATTTGCAGTAATATTTAAAGGCAAGGTAATGGAGATCTTCTATGTCAATGGAAATGATTAAGGATTTTATCCAATGGGTGATATGAAAACATAGAAGAATTTTAAGAAGGCTTGTGATATAATTAGATATTTATTTCTGAAAGAACATTCTGGCAATAAATAAACCAGGACTGAAGATGGACTTACTTGATGGGTCACTAATTAAAAATTATTTACAACATTGCTGTCTAGCTATAACAAGGTAATGAAATGGTACTGATTGTTGGAATGAAGATGTAAAGATATAGCTGGGCGTGGTGTTTAGGAGCATGTAATTCTAGCTACTTGGGAGGCTAAGACATGACAGTAGCTTGAATGCAGGAGGCAGAGGTTGCAGCGAACTGAGATCATGCCACTACACTCCAGCCTGAGTGACAGAGTAAGACCTCATCTCAAAAAAATACTAAAAAGAAAAAAAAAATAAAGATGTAAGGTAAGGACAAATGTGAGGGTTTTAAAAAACAATAAATGGACTTCAGTGACAGGCTTCTGATTTTAAAATAATGATAAAACATTAACACTATTTATTGTTAGATCATTATATTAAGTTATTCTTATTTTTAATTTTAATTATAAGATTTTTATTAAGAATGGCTGAGAAAATTTTATCAAAGAGGTCTAAAAAGACCATGGCCACTTCACAGAAAAGGAGGTAATTGAAGGCGGAGAAATCAGATTGACAAAATGAGCATGTGAGGTGGTGAAGTAGGGCATTCCAATATGAGGGGAATACAAAAAAATTAATTCCCTCTTCTTCTATAAAGCTAAAATGTACTCCCTCCATTCTTGAGGAACAGAAGTTACCTTCACAGTCAAATGGGTTATAGAATTTGTCATACATTTATTGTAACTGAATAGATAAATAAATGGTAATGTTACATATGAACAAATATTTAATTAGTTTATTTACTTATAAAGTACTTATTGACAAACTATTCCTCCTGTCTTGGAGCATAAATTATGATGGAGGAAATAAGGATAAAAATAAAGAAGTAAAATACATATTGTTTTTCAGATACTGATAACTATTCTAAAGAAAAATAAATTAGATAGTGAGAATGAGTAGAGGTGATGCCTCGTTAATCATAGAACTGATGGAATTAAAGAGTCCTAGGGGTGTGATATGATCTGGAAGTTCTGGAACTCTTTTGACGGATATAACAAGAGTAGAGACCATATGAGGTTAGTATTGACAGGCATGTAGGTGAGGCTGTGCCTTTGGGGAGTGAGAGAGATGGGATTCTTGTTTCTGCATACACAAATCTTTTTTTTTTTTTTTTTCTGGTGATCCTTGAGATGGGAATAGAGACTAAAAAGACAGAAGTCCCTCCAGAAGCACTGGAGCTCCTCAGCTCTCTTTTGTCTCCTGCGCATGACAATATGAGGTTCCAGAAGGGAGAATTCACCTCTTTATTCCTGGAAGGAATAAGCGGTCTAGTATTCTTATTAGACTCTATTTCTCTTGTTCTAACATCTGACATTATCAGCCTAGTTTAGTCGCTCTCAATGTTTGTTGCATATATATTGCATGGAAAGTTTATGAAAAAGAATCTCTTTGGATTCTACAGCTAATATTCTAACATAGTAGAGATGTGGTGGAACTCAGGAATCTGCATTTTTAACAACATCCAGGTGATTTTTATTTAAGAGCTCTACAGAACACAATTTCATAAGTATCAATATAGAGATTCCCATTTCCAACATAATAAATTAAAGCAAAAAGAAGTGATTTGCCTTAAGTGAGCTAGTAAAACTGATAGCACAATCAGATTTCAATATCTATCCGACATTAAAATTTTGAGTTTAGCTACCAAGTGGAATAAAATGTCCAGAAAGCCTGCGAGACACCTTCCAGTATTTCATAGAGTTGACTAGGCATGGGAAGACATCCTTGTCAAATATTTGCCATGCCACAAGCCTATCCTTATTTTAATTCCCTGGAAGCTGCCCTTGGTGGGCATGGCAGTTTAGAAGTCATAACTCTGAAGTTAAAAAACTTGCATAACAGAGTACTTCTTTGATTTATTTTACTTAGGCTTAGAAAATCATTTCCTACTTAAAGGGTCAAAAACAATCTTTGGGAAATATAAAATAGTCTTGTTTTTATCTTTAAACACAAGTCTAATTTAATTCAGCTGTTTTAAATTTCTGTGTTTAGAAATTTAAAAATTAAGGCCAAAAGCATAATCCTCACAAATGCAATAATGCACATTGTCAGCTTAGTTTTTCTGGTCTTTTACATGTTTCATTTAAACATATGCATTTGTATTCACATTATGAAGCAAAATGTTCATTCTGAAGTGGTACTTAATGCAACTGTCGCAGCCACTTTCTTCTTGTCTTTAAGGTGATTAAGCGACATGTATAAAATATTTATATTTTGAATATTAGGCATTTGTTTTTTCCTTATGGTGAAAACTTACCAGTATCTCTATTCTCAACAGAGAATAGGAGTTGCAACTTTAATATTTCAATATTTGTATAACTAAAAAGCCATATGTGTATGATGTAAATTATCGATTTATTATGAATGAAAAGACAGCTGGCTAAGCTTAGTAATAATTTCTATTATGAGTAGATTTTTAATGGCTTCAAGTTTTCATTTCAAATGTTTGAGGATGCACATGGTATTGTTATAGATCAAACAGTTTTATTATGTAAGAAATGTTGAGGACAGTTTTTCCTCGTAATTAATCTCAGAAAGTTCACTGGTTCTGTGGCTTCTCCTTTGACTTTCTATTTACGGGAAGATGGAAGCATTGAAAATAAGGTTAGATTAATTAAAGTAATGGGCTAAGACTGAGTTGCTGTAACAGCTGGTAGAATTTGGACTTTGATTCTAGCAGTACAATGCACATAAACACTAACAACAAAGGGTCATATGTATCCAGCATCCTTCAAATCCACTTTATTTCCAATACTCATCTGTCAGCTCAGTGTTCTAAAGGAGATTGTTCTAAGCCAAGATACATATATTAAAAGACATTAAAAAAATAAATTTTGAGGCAAAGATAATTGTGGGTACTCCTCTAAACTAATTATTAAATGATTAGAAGTTTACACGAACTTGAAAAATTATTTAAATCTTTACCTTAAATGATTTAATTAGTTTATTGAATTTCGCTCATATTGACATATGTGATATAGAACTGGATAACTTTGAAAAAATAACTAAAGAAAATTAAAAAGTTAAATATATACAATGAAGCTAGAAATGAGGCTATCATTAAAACAGATACCATAAATCCTATACGTTTGTCATGACTGGGCCAGAATTTTGACATTAATCAGTGAACATGAGAAGAGAAACCTAGTTATTTACAAAATCTATAAAATTCTTAAGATAGAAACAGAACAGTTATTTTAAAAAAAAACATTTCTGATTAGAAGGTGATGCATTAAAATGAATGATCTTAACTCTGAGAATATTATGTATGTAAAATTCATAAATGCAGTCTTAAAATACAGTATAAAAATGCAGCATACAAGAGAAAAAAAAAGTTGGTGTAGAATAATGAATACTATTCCAAGACCCAGTGACCAATTTACTAGTATTGTCTATCATAGAATCCGTCAATGTAAGACCCAGCTTGATATTTTTACCTGTACTCTTATGTGTTTTAATTCAAAAATTTAAACTCCTGGATTTTGGTATTACAACTAAAGGATATAAGTATGATTCTATAATATAAAGTTTTATAACAGACAAAATATGTTGATTGTGATTTAAATCAGAACCATGGTTGCCTGGTAGAAGTTTTGGGGGAAGACTGGGAAGTACATGAGAAAACTGTTTGGGTGATAGAAATACAGTGCTTGGGATGGTGGTCCCATGGATGTTTATATTTGTCAAAACTCATAAAACTGTAGATTAAAAATGGGCCAGGCGCAATGGCTCATGCCTGTAATCTCAACACTTTGGGAGGTCGAGGCAGGCGGATTGTCTGACGTCTGGAGTTCGAGACAAGCCAGGTCAACATGGCGAAACCCCGTCTCTACTAGAAATACAAAAACATTAGCTGGGCGTGGTGGTGTGTGCCTGTAATCCCAGCTACTCAGGAGGCTGAGGCAGGAGAATCGCTTGAATCAGGAGGCGGAGGCTGCACTGAGGAGAGATCGCGACACCGCACTCCAGCCTGGGTGACAGAGCATACCCTATCTCACAAAAAACAAAACAAAAAAAAACAAAAAAAAAAAACACAAAATGTATTTAAAATCACAATTCCATATAAAGTAATTTAATTTGTACTTGAATCATTTCCTATTATGACATACTAGAGTCCTTCTTAAGAAATATTATATTGTAATCATTTACTTTATTCTTTTCATGTTTAGAGGATAGAGACTGTGCTTTCCTTATTTAACAGTATATTCCCAAATGACCCATAATTCATGTTCAAAAATATTTTAAATGAAAATAGATCATAAGATCCTCAGAATTCTATTTTCATTGACAAGCGTGAAACATTTGAGCTGTCAAAAGTTTCCTTATTTAGAAATTAGGACACTATTAATGTCCTGCAATGTTACTTCAAAGGTCTCTGATTCCCAGAGTAGTGAAACATTTACAGTATTGTGACTGTACAGATTTATGTATAACTATATATAAAGCATAAATGTGTGTGCTAGTGCTTCATATTAGCTTAATTAAGCAGATAAAGTCTTATGACAGAGTAATTTTAAATACATATAAGCCAGCTGAACTATATTGACAATATTATCAAAATGGCAGATGATTTTATTGTTAGTTTAAAAGTAGTTCATGTCACTATTACTATTATAATATTTTAATCATTTTTATATTGATAATGATATGAAAATAGTTTATAGTTGATATCAATGGTATCCTAAATATTTACGTGCCATCCACTTTTCTACCATAGAAGGACTATGATACGTTTCCAAGGTGACAAAGAATGGCAATTTCTAGACTGTCCTGGAAACTATCTTAGACTAGGGAGCTGCTCCAACATATGAATAACTTTAAAACTAAGCCTTCACCTAAGACATCTGGCATGGAATGCCACAGACTTAGAGGGAATTATTAAGTATTTTAACCCATCTGAACTTGATTTTCTTTATTTTAAAAATGTGATCCTCAGTGAAATAACTCAGTAACTGAAAGTCGAATACCCCATGTTCCCTCTTATAAGTGAGAGCTGACCAATGGGTACACATGGACATCCAGAGTGGAATAATTGACACTGGAGACCATGAAAAGTGGGAGGGCTAGAGGAGGTGAAGGTTTAAAAACTACCTATTGGGTACAATGTTCACTACCCAGGTGATGGTTACACTAAAGGCCCAAACTTCACCACTATACAATACATATATGTAAGAAACCTGCGCTACGACACCCTAAATAGATACAAAAAATTTTTTTTTAATATTTCTCTATTTTTTAAAATAAAGAAATTGAGCTAAGTGCTTTTAAAAATTCCTCTCAAGTCTAAGTCTCTATGACTCCTTGGCTACCATAAATTTTTTTTTTTAAGTTATACCTGAAAAATCAGAATGTCAGATAAAATTTCAAGAAAGGAATTAACTTTTACGCATTTAAAATGGCATGGTAATGACTTTTGGAAAAACTTATTTTCCTATTTGGTTTCTCAAAATGTGTATATGCCTCCACTGAACATATAAGTAATGCCTAGAAAAAAATTGCACATTGAAATAATTTTCTTTCAATTTCACAGACACTAAGTAATATGAACAATTATGATATTTATTTCATCTTATATTTCTTTGACTTCATAGTATTCTTAAAATCCACAACAATACGTACAATTCAGTGTTTCCTCAATAGATATTCACCTTTGTCATAGAGAAGTCATAATAGAGAAAATATTTGTCATTCTTTTTGCTATTTGATCATAATTACCTTTTTTGTAAAAACAAGAAATAAAAAAAAACTTGTATATTTTAATAGATACTGCTTTGACCCCAGTCTTTCCCTCCTGTTTTTGTATAAGATTTTCGATATTAATAACTTACACACACATACCAAATTTCATAGCAGATGCATATTCTGTACAGCGTTGAGTACCTTATTAATTATTCAAGAATTTGTAGGTCTAGTTACAGGATCAAGAATTTCATTAATCATTAATACTGTTTGCTTAAATGGATTAGGATAAGCATTTACTTCTGACAACAGAAACACAAAATGTATAGATTACCCTTGTTTAAAAACTGCTTTCTCATTTCATTCACTTAAAAGACAGTTCATGTTTAGTCACTAACCTGTATTTTATCAGGGGAATACTGCCTTTAAATGAATGAATTTAAATGGGCATTTAAATTATTTTCTAACATTTTTATATACATATACTTAGAAATTGTTTAAAGTATATTTCAAAGAAAAGTAGATGTGGTGAAGCGCTTAACATTTTGTCAATCTGCCTGTAGTCCCAGCTACTCGGGAGGCTGAGGCAGGAGAATGGCGTGAACCCGGGAGGCGGAGCTTGCAGTGAGCCGAGATCGCGCCACTGCACTCCAGCCTGGGCGACAGAGCGAGACTCCGTCTCAAAAAAAAAAACAAAAAAAACATTTTGTCAATCTGTAAACACTTTCAAATATGATTAAAAGGTCAGAAATTTGAAGGTTACCATCCTAAGCAAAATGAAGTAAAAACTGAGGTAAACGTAGATATTAGAAGAAGAAAAAAATTGACAAAATTGAGGCTGTGTGCCTCATTTTATGGACGAGAAAACTTATAACAAGTGGCAATGTGACTAGTTCAATGTTACTAGTTCACACACGTAGTTAGAATAAGAACTAATGCTAGAAATAAAATTCCAGATTCTTGGCAACACTGCTACAGCATTATGCTATTCTACAAACTGTATAACTTTGAATCTACTCTGCTTGAATTGTGTAATTACCTGTAACTACTCTGCTTACAAAAACATAACTTTAGCACATATTGTTTTGCTCTTTTCCTAAGAGTATAATCCATGCTAAGTGCCCTACTAGATCCAGTGAAAGCATAGGACCCGTTATAATCATGGGGAAGAAAGCTTGTGTAATTTCATGAAACATCAATTTAGTAATTCCATTTTTGTTTATATGGCAATAGGAAAATACAACAAGGTAATCTTGAATTATCTGTTAAACGTGTTATTTCAAAATTATGTTCTCATTATGTGAATTGTCGGAACGATGAGGTCTATGTAATTTACAACCTTTTGAATAATTTGACTCCCTAGAAAGTCATGGGCTTGGATATGATTCTGGGAAAAATCAATGACTTAAGGTGATTATTTTCTCCAGTCTCTTTACTCCACTTATTCTGACATACACAACTGCTCATGGTTTTCTCAATGACATTTTCTCATGACCAAGTCTGCTCCACCCCCTGTTTAATCTCTACCAAGTATGAAAGATCCTAAAGCACATTCCAGTGTAAGTACGGATACTCTGTAGGACGAATCAATAAGGGAAAGTTAAGAAATGAAGCAGCTGTTTAGAATTCTGACATTATCATAATTTTGCAAGATGAAATAATTTTAATTGATGATGATAGGTAGATAGATATTTAAAAATCACGTAACTCTGAAACTGTATGAAGAACAAAAAACTAATTTGATAGAGTATTAGTGACATAAAGACAGGCTTTAGAAAGATTCTCTTGAGATACTCTTGCAAAAAAGAAGAATTTGGTTTGTAAAATGAGCTAAGAAAACTCCAGGAAGATCCAAGACATAAAGCGTTTTTTGTTTTTTGTTTTTGTTTTTTCTGAAACTGGAAGCCCATGACATATAGGAGTCATCTCAGGACATGGCATTTTGAAGCTGATGAAAAGTCTTTAAAATGGGAAACAGTGAACTAATAATAAATTATGTCTGAAAGGAACCAATTAGAAAAACAAAATATTAAAATGTTCAAAAATTGGGAGGAATTAATAAAACATATTTGAATGTGCTTAACAAATTTCTCAGCAAAGTGTTCTCTTAGTAACATAAAAATTGTCACAAATTGCCTTGAATCATTTTTATAATTGTTGCAATGTAGTTCTCAGGGTGAAAATTCAAAAAGCATTCTCTTTATGAATTTTTTTTATTGGCTTGTATATTATCAGTGGATAAGTCATCAAGCCAGGATAAAAGGACCATCACTTTCACTTCTATAATTCCTACTAGGAGTCAGCAAAAATACTGACAATGAGTTCTTTGACTAATTAGAAATTACCTGGGTCTTTCAAGCTTTTCAGCAACCTAAGAAATGTAGTTAGTATTTAGTAGTGAGTAAGTAGCGTAAATTCAGGTCTCTGACCTACCTATCAGAAATCACCTCACTGCCACATTTTTTTCTCTTTATATGTGGTTAAGTTCTAATATAGTCTGCAATATAGAAACCCTCAGGTCATGAATTCAAAACATTTGAATTAGTTCTAGTTTATATTTGCTTGGATATCAGAAGTCATTTTCCCCATATACCAATGTTTTCTAGGAACTTCACATTATTCGAATTGTTCAATGAAATTTTCTGTTGACAGACTATTAAAATAAATAGCTTTTTCTATATGCTTCATTATAATATAAAATGGTAGGGTTGCTGAATTCTAATAATATGTTTGGAATTTGGGAATAACCAACTGCAACGATGACGAATAACAAAAGATAATGTCCACTGGATAAGTAGATCCTCTGAGTTTTGCTAAGCACACTCAGAATGCAATGGCACAACTTGCTGAGCTTTAGTCTGCTAGTTTCACTGGACACTGGGGCCAGATAATTGACATTGCTGGCTACCTCTAGAACCACTACCTGTCAATTCCTAGGTCTCGAGATAGCAGGCAATAGTGTTCATTGCTCATAGTTGTTACCAAACTAGTAAGTAAAATCTAGAGGTTTAGAGAGTTTCTCTAAATTAAAATATACACATTCACAGTCAGAGGATATTAGATGCCGTAGCATTTCTTCATTTATTTTAAATTGTGGGTGGAGGGTGGAAATGAAAACATTTGCTTAGGTAGCAAATCCCTCTGAAAACTTTCCTTTTATGTACTCCAGAGAGTTAACAGTACGCTTATATTGAGCAAAGAAGCAATGCTACTCAACTTTTTAAAACACCTCTATCTGGGCTTCCTCTAAGAAGATAATGGAACAAGGCTCTATTTCACAATCAATATTCTTGTTAGACGGCATTACGACTTCATGGAATTCCGTTAAAAGAACCCCTCAGAAAAGTAACCAAACAAGAGTAGGTACCTGACTCTTTTTTTTCTCTTAATTTAAGTCAGAAACATTAAAGTTGCTAGCCGTCAAGCAGTAGCAAAAGTCAAGTACAGCCATTAGACTACAAAGTAGTCTGTAAATTATTAACTTTCCAACTATATAGCATCAAGCTAACATAAAATCATAAATATTAATCAGTAAAATTATTTAAAATATATAAAAATTATCTTAAAATGTTATAAAGATCTGAAAAACATGTACCTTGAGTTCTTCTAATTTATTAATATGAGTTTTTTCTATTTTAGAACTATTAACCATTAGCAAAATCTGCCGAAGGTAACTGTGACATCTATAGTATCATTACAGTAACTTTCAAATGTATTCTTTTTTGAGTCATCAAAATCAAAAAAGCACTCACACTAAAGATAGGTAAAGGTTTCAGTCTCAAAACTTCCTTCTAACCAGATCCTAAGCATAAGCAACTTGCGTACATGTGGCATTTATGGTAATGTGAATTTCTTTTCCAGGCAACAGAGAAGAAAGGGATCTGTATTAGTCTCCTACTCCTGTGCATGTTTCTGAGTCCTCAGGATCTCAGTAATCTTGTCAACCTGTTTTGTGGCATCAGGCTTAATCCAATACCAGCCTCCCTCTTATAGTGCGTGAAATGGACTGATTGAGAAGAATAGGGTTTCTCATTAAATGAGGCATTAGATTCTCTTCCTCTCAGCCTTACTCCCTTTTTATATGATTAGCATGGATTTAGATGGTGGCAGTGAATTACTTTATCTTCAGAGATGTTACACATTTATAGAAGCAGCTCTCCTTATTGTTTTCTAGACAGTATGGTCCCAGGAGTAAGCGTCACTGAGCAGCAGCCCTTCATTAAAATTTCTTGTGTCCTTTTCTTTTTCATGACAAATCTTTCAGGAATCTAAGAGACCAGTAAAAGATAACCTTATGATACATTATGTGCTGTTGCATTTCTACTCTTTCCGGATGCGAAAGTGGATATTGACTTCATAAATTCAACACTACTTGACTTTGATTGACAGGTAAGGTGATATGCACAGGACTTTGGGAGTGAAGGTTATACAAAAGAATTAAACAGGTTTTCTCTAAGCTTCTATTGTCTTTGTACTGCATAACCGGATTCTTCTAAAACTGGGATTGTCAATTTCATGTTTCATTATATTATGTAAAATTTAGGTGTTTATTTTGTGAAATTAAATAGTTATATTTCAGGAGCTTTCTTTTACAATGTGAACTAATGAGAATATTTGAAAAGTTTATCAATCTGACTTTCTTCTACAAATAATATGATATTAGAGGAGTTGGAGTAGGATTTGGATTAATATAATAGAAATTCTAAAAAGACTGGCTTTCATTTTTAATAGTATTTATATGTACTAACTGTATGACCTTAGATAAATCATTTATCCTCTGAAGCACACGGTTTTTACTTATAATATTAGACAAAATTCTTGCATTTCCTTAGAGAGACATTAAGTGGACCAAAGAGGTTATTGTAATAGTAATGTAACAATATTAACACTTTCAAAACTGTAGGGAAGTGCAAATAAAAGTATTATGCTAGATACTATGAGATTTGATACACATGATATTATGAAATGCATTTATATTTTGATAATTATTTATCAGTCTTAAATGTAAATGGTAATTTCTTCATGATCCACAGTGTATGACAGGATTAACATAAATGGTTTCTATATAATTTGGCAGAAATAACACTAGGTGAATTAGAATGAAAATAACATGAAACTACACATTGCTTTTCTCTCCTCAGCTAAATCACCTTGTGGAACCACTATTGGGAAATGTCCTGGAAAAGTTAGGTTACCTAAAAAGTAAAAACACATATATTAGTATCATAAAGACAAATGTATCAAATCCCAGACAAAGCTAAAGAAAACCATTATTTTTATTGACTTTATACAGTGTGATAAATAGTAACATTAGCTTTTAAAAGATCATATGGAAGACATCAAAATTATTCTTATGCAAGAATACTGTAATCTGCTAAGTCTGCAGGGTATTTGTGGCTGGATTGATTTTACCTCATTAAATATGAAAATGAATAAGTTAACCCAGGCTTAGTGGGCATGATATATATAAATATAGAGGCATTCTGTTATTTTTCAGAATCTTGCTATTTTTGCATCATGAAAAATTAAAGCATAGGTATTTTTAAAGCATTAAATAGCTTCTTCAAAGGCAAGGCATAAAATAATCAGTCCTGGATGCATGTCATTTGATAGCATAGTTGCCACCATCATTATTCCTAATTACTCTTGACATTTTGTCTATTATACCATGAGGTTCCTCCGAGGACAGAAATAATCAGCTGGAAGTGAGGGCTAGCTAATTATCTATATCGTATGAAAAAAGCTGTGGTATTATAGATGAAACATCAATTATGAAAATTGGTGATAAATCCTGACAGTGGAAATATATCTTGGAAATGACTTTAAGCCAAAAGTTTAGAAAACTTTGCCATTATTTTTTTTCTCCTCCATAAACCAATAAAATTTCATTTGCAACAGAAATATTTACAAGAACAGTTAAATGAATTGCATAATAAGGAACTACTTTATAAATTATAATTATCTTTTGAGCCAGAAAATGCAGAGTTCAGTGGGTTTTAAAATTGATTATTTATGCAAAATAATTATATATGTTGTTCCTGTGCTTTGGAAGGCAATTGTAATTGTTATTTAGATTTTGTTCTTGTTATACAATAAAACACTGGTTAATTTTGTAAACATAACTATATAAAATTTATAAACATAGTTGTAAATTTTGTGTGTATTTTTAACACAAAATTTGACCATATCATGCTTTTGGATTTGAATGTGGGTTGCTACAAAAGTCATTTGCAGTTTTGCTTCACCAGGGTACCCTCAAGCAAAGGTTAATTGATGAAAAGAATTAACTTACTTGCAACACGGGAAATGAAGTTTGTTCCGCATAATGCTATAACAATGAGTTGGAAAATGAAAGTTTTCCTCGTTTTACTGAGACTCTTACCATATTTTACAATTTTTACAATTAACATTGTGTGTTCCCTGCACCCAATTCTTTTTTCAACTCGTTTTGAATTTGTGCATTATGTTAGTGCCATTATACCATGAAATGTCTAGTTCATTGAGGACTCTGTAAATGAAGGAGAACATACATTTTATCAATGGGAACAACCCCACCAACTGAGTATACCTATAGCTGGGAATATAATTACAAGCAAATGTGATCAGATTGCCACACCTTAGCTGTTCTTATGTGGATCTCTATATCAGTGTTAGCATCTCATCTAGGTGCAGTACTGCTAACCTAGGGGAAAAATAGACATCAAGGATGCTTTTGATTATTTCAATGATTAGGTGAGAAATCTACTGGGATTTAGTGAAGAGCAGGCATACCAATTTATGAACTAGTCTGTAAAATTAAAAATTGCCCCATCCTAAATAATTGGCATACAAGTAGTATTGGGTGCACAAGATGAAATCTGGCATAGAGAGAAAATTCTGGTCTTTTAGTATCTAGTTACTTGTATCTAAAAATTTAAAAACATCTGTAAAATGTTAATATAGAGATAGATATGATTGCATGTGAATAATGCATAAAATAAATATGCATATACTATAGTCTATCCGTAAATTTACTGATACAGATTTGCAATAAAATAATGTTTGAAACTTTCTGCTTTAGAAAAGTAAATATCTATTCAGTTATACATGATAATTACTATCCCTCAGGATTATCTGTAGATGTGGGACATTTCTTTGATTACCTTCAGGATGAAGAAACCAGTGAAAGTTTTAGCTTTTTCTTTTGTTTTTGTTTTGTATTTTTGCCTTCTTTCCCTAAAGTCTAAACCCTTTTGCTTAACTTTAGGATAGCTTTTATCAGTGAAGCTCCACATATTTATATATATATATATATATATATATATATATATATAGAGAGAGAGAGAGAGAGAGAGAGAGAGAGAGAGAGAGAGAGAGAGAGACAGAAAGAAAAAGAAATAGGGATTGTTATAGGGATTTGACATTAAGCACTTGTCTGATCTGCTTAGGCAGTCTCTGTAAGGTTGTTGTCTTCCCATCTGATGCTGGAGTTTAAAACAGTCAGTTGGAAGAAAGAAGAATATAAACTGAGATAGAGCAAGGACAAGCTGGAACACATGAGCAGAAGCAGGCAGTTCTCATTGCCTCTAAGCTTACTGACCTGGGTGCCCTGTGGAAGAAGTTGGTGCCCTTGTCATGGAGCTAAACACAGAACTGGCCCTGGAAAATGAGAAGATGAAAACAGACATGGGCAGATTGAGCATTTGCAAGCCACGTACTAACCCTCACCAAGGAGATGAGCCAACCCATAAATGTGTTGGAGCTATGACATGGCTGTTGCCTCACTTCCACCTTCTAAATATCACACAAGAATCTCTTGTAGCCCATTCTAATTGGAAACAGACAGAGAAAGGAATACTAGGCTATGTAGTTCAGCCTAGCCTAGTTGATGCATTCCAAATGCACAAAAATAGTCACTCATAAGATGAGAACTGTGTCTTCCACTCCGAGGCTTAAATGATTTGTGCAATCTATTCTCATAGAGTATGGCTATATTCTAAATAGTGTGTATTGCGTGATTTGTAACAGGCCAACAGCAGGCAATATAAATATGGCCTGAGTTGTAAATGGTCAAACAACTCTGAGGCAAATACATTTTCAGTCCACACATATACAATTAATGTCTATAGAACCGGTTCCCTAAGAAGTGAATTAATTTAATACAACACGTTATTTAGATTTATTGAGAATTTAATGGCTAGAGTGATCTGTGGAATACTTAAGCAATAGAACATGACAAGCAATGCTGTAGTTTTGATTAATGCACTTCTTTGTTGCCTCCCATCTGCATAGAAAGATATTAATCAACTTTACCTCATGGTATGCTATGCCTTGTTGCAATTATAAAATGATTCTTTATTAGTAACATTTCTAAATTATTAATAATATTTGTTTTCCTTAATAAAACTGACACCTAAAATGTGTAATAAAAAAGTAATAGTGCATATATTTTTCTATGGTGGAGTGTTCTATTATTAGTTATGTGATTCAAGAAGTTTAATTGTCAGTATATGTTCCCCATAGTCAAAACTAAAACCCAAACTTGGAAATAATTAAAAGTGATAGCATGTTAATGAAATATAGCAGGTACACTCATGTACGATTTTTTTTATTATAGGTTTTACCTACTACTATAAAAGGCACATTTATACCTACTTCTTCATAGAACGTTTCAAACTGCCACAAAAATATTTTCATATGGTATCTACCCCCCCAATACTGCAGGATCTTATAATTGGGGGCATAGCCGGGTGTGGTGGGGCATGCCTGTAATCCTAGCTACTTGGGAGGCTGAGGCACTAGAATTGTTTGAACCCAGAAGGCAGAGGTTGAAGTGAGCCAAGATCAAGCCACTGTACTCCAGTCTGCACAACACAGATTCTGCCTAAAAAAAAAAAAAAAAAAATTGAGGGCAGTTTGTAAAAATATGCAAGTTTAGTGTCCAAAAGCTTTGGCAATAAAGTAACACAGTTTTTTGTTGTTTTTTTTTTAATACCAACTTCTAGTTCTAGTACCATGTCTTTCTCTCTCTTTTTTTTTTTTTTTTTTTTTTTTTTTAATGAGATAGAATCTAGCTCTGTCATCCAGGCTGAAGTGCAGTGGTAATATCTCGGCTCACTGCAACCTCTGCCTCCCGGGTTCAAACCATCCTCATGCCTTAGCTTCCCGAGTAGCAGGGATTACAGGCATGTGCCACCACACCAACACTGGGCTAATTTTTATATTTTCTGTAGAGACAGGGTTTCGCCTTGTTGTCCAGGCTGGTCTCAAACTCTTGGTCTCAAGTGATCTGCCCGTTGCGGACTCCCAAAGTGCTGGGATTACAGGTTTGAGCCACTGCACCCAGCTCTCGTACCATTTCTAAAACTTAGCTATTCAGGATATGAAACCTTTCATTTTTAAGATAAAGGAACTGAATAATATAACTTAAAACTACCATCCTCTTCAAATTTGTGTGTTTTGTGTTTTTGAATTCTACTTCATCTCTAACTTTCCTTCTCCTTTTTATTAACTAACCATGGAAGAGACACATAAGGAAAAAAAACATATTTTTAAAGAGGAGGAGAGAGAAAAAAAAAAAAGCATTGACTACTTGGTAGCTTTGCCCAAGGTAAAAAAGGATCATTGTGTGCATGTGCAGTGATTTTACTATAGGCACTCTAATCCTACTAATCTGCTCTAAAATATTATGGTTCTCTTGAACAGCTGTCACTTTTTTTTCCCTATATTGCCATTTTTTCATAGCCTTCTAAGTAAATCCCTCTTGCATTGTTTGATTAATTAGAATATCTAAGGAATGAGAAAAACCAACTTCCTTCACATGCTTAAGCGGACTTTAGATTGTATTACATTATTGGCAGAGAATGGAGCTTGTTTCTTCATTAATATGTTAGGTCACAGACTAACTTAGGTTTTTCTAGGTAACATTAAAGCCAATTGATCCTCTCTTAGAGTTTGCTGGAAAGAGCTTGTCTCAGATAGCGTTTCCCTGTAAGCAAGCTTTGAAAAAGAGAAATTTTAGTATGCACTCTGGAGATTAACACCGGAAGAATGGAAAGGCAGAAGCAGAATTGGACCGAGGGTGAAGTTAAGCAGTAATTCTGTCACAGTGAAGACCTCAGATGTCTTGCAAGGTAGCTCTGAAGCTGGGATGAACCCTTAGAGTTGTATTAAGTGACAACAAGGAGGGTAGATGGCTATATGAGCACAAGAATTAGTTATTGAATGTAGGCTGTCCTGGGAAGTAGCCTGACTTTGAGGAGCATGATATTAGTCAAGCAAGAGAATTTGAAGAAGACTGTCAGCTCAGCCATCTGCCAGCAACATTTCCACCAGCAGGAGGAATGTGTCCTTTGGTCCTAAAGGAGCAGTACATTAGAGAATCCCCTACAGAATGTTATCAATTTCCTTCATGCATTTCCATACCTCCTTCAGAATTTCATTTATTTGGAATTTGAGAAACCTGAGCTATTTGATTTAAAACAACACTGAATTTAGATCTTTTCCAAACTAATAAACAATATTTGGTCCAGAAATGTATCAGACTAAGCTAATAAATAAATCTTAAAGGCAATTAAAAGAAACAGAAGAACAAGGTATAGTCCCCAAATCAAATCATATCAAAACAAAACAAAATGTCTAGCAATTATGTAACTGTTTGGATAAATTATAAGACTATCATCTGATATTCAAGATAAGCAAATTCAAGAGGAAATATATTTCTCTTCTATTTCTGTTCACTGAAAATTTTAGAAAAATATTATTTGATAGAGCCACCTGCATGCATTCCGACTAGTACACTGCTGCTTGGCATCTACTGAATGTACCAGAATTCAAGCCAGAATGAACAGATTCCATTTCAACAGTCTGAAAACACTCAAAAATAACCAGACATGGTATTAGCATGAGAACAGACATGTCACATTCTGAACTACAGGTTAATATTCTACTTTCCTCAGTATACTTTTAAATAAATATGTTCAAGTTATATGTAATAGGAGAGAATTGATTATTGCAAAAAACAAGGTAAAACTGAAGTCTTTCTGTGAAATGTTTTCAAATATTTGGAAAACAGCCTGTCAAAAAGTCAATGCACGTTAAATGTAGTTGAAATACAGTTTGGGTGGTAATTTTATTTTACAGTAAATGTTGCATTAAAATTAGTCTTTAAGTATAAAAGTCAAAAGGCATATACACCATTACAGAATTAATCAAATTATAACAAATTCAGTTGCTTGTAGCTATCTCCTCACAAAACTATACCTTCATTGAATAGGAATAGTGTTTCTATTGAGTAGGAATATTGTTCTTATAAATTTAGACAAAAATAATATTGTAAATGTGGCTTCGTATTATTTAAAGGGCCAATGTTTGAAAAATCCCCAGTAAGTAAAATGGTCTTAGTTTTTTACTTTTTAATTTTTGTAGAAGTTGTTGTAGAATTATTATTATTATTATTTTCCCACTAGTCGTTGAATTCCTTGTGGGCTGGGTAATGTGGGATTTGTCTGGATGGCTGCAGGACTTAGTGCAGCATCTGGCATACCGTGGTTGTCTGCTTATGTCCATGAAAGTGCCAACGAATCAATAAATGCATTCTGTAATACCTGAAGGGAGAAGTCAGATTTCCCACACTAGGGAGGAGGAGAGCATAAGGTTTTTCACTTCTTTTTCAAACTTGAATAGTCCAGGTCATACTGTCTTGCAAATATGTTAGTATTATAAATGGTCATATTCATATCATGGCAACTTTGAGTCTTATCTGAAGCAACAAAAATATTGTTGTCTCTTTACGTAATCTTGAAATAGGGAAATAATTTTAACATCCCAAGAAAATAATTTATTATTGCTCATATAAAAGCCCTAGCTTATACCTTTTGTAATATGGATGGAAGTTTTGTATTTAGTATTCTTTTATACTCTTTTAAGATACTTAATTAAGATACATTCAAATTTGGCTCTAATAATATAAACCAATTCAGACTACATGACATAGAGTTAGTAATAATCTAATGTTAAAAACATATTGTACAAAAAAATCCAGTTCAAGGAGATAGGGAAATAAAATACAATCTAATGAAGGACAAATGAGAATGAAACATATGTTTTTGGATGACCAACAAACAAATCAAAGTGTAAAGCCTGTTCTTCACCCTAAAAAGTTTCCTCATTTTTCATTAAGGTCAATCTCTATGCCCCATAGGTTAACACTGTTGTGATTTCTATGGATGATTGAATTTTAAATTTTATCTCAATTTACCTTTCTCTTATTAATTTAGAAACACCAAAGGCATAATATTGATATAACTGAATTTCATATGCATTCACAAAAACAAAAGTTAATTTTAGGATGCGGTATCTTTATTGGGTGTTTGCAAAAAATCAGTGCTGTCTTTGTAAATTTTAAATGAAGGATTAGGATGATAATCAAAGCATTATTTTAAAATATAAACAATAGCCACTGCTTTTATTCAAGGAATAAGTTTAAAAATTCAACCAATTTTATATTCCATGATCTTACAAAACAAATGGAAATGATTTTAAAAGCAAAGTAAAATACATTCATCATAAAAAAATTTAAGTGTAGGACAGTTGATAAATTAGGACTATATTGTGGTGAGCTAGTTATATATAAATAGAATAATACCATAGCAAATAATGGATTCTCTTTATATCAAGCAAGCATAATGCATTAATAAATATAGTGCAGGCTGGGAGGGATGAAAGCAGTGAAAACTTTCAGAAGGGGAGTCATTTATTTTTGCAGTTAATAGGAGATTATTTTTAGATATTTTGTTACTTATGCCACTAGCCAAAACATTTTATTAGCCCTCGTATCAATCATGTAAGAGGCTGTTTTTTTGTGTATTCAGAGGGCAAGCGCTTGAGTCAGATGATCTGAGATTTTATCTTGACACTCCCATTTGCAAATGTGTGATCTCTCCTGTTCAGTTTCCTTATCTTAAAATGGGGGTAATAATCGTACCTACCTCAGAGAATTGTTGTGAGCATTAACGAGATAAATAATGAATGTAAAGCCATTAGTCCAGTGCCTAACACTAGATAAGCCCTCAATAAATGCGTGTTTTTGTTGATGCTGTGGTGCATGAATAAAAAAAGGATGACTTTACATGTATGAATTTATCTTAATGTCCAATCAATGAAAAATTTATTCCTTCATTCAAAAAGCATTGTTGTGAGCATGCTGTGGATTTAGCTGAGTGCAAGTGGAGCTCCAGAATGAATGGTCTACTGTCTCTATCCTGGAAAAATGTCTGGGCTAGTGTGAGAAGCAAGCACATAACATTGCATTACAATATAATAAGATCAATGCTATAATAGCAATATATACCAACTTCTCTATATAGCAACACAGAATACATTGACCTTGATTCTTGAGAAAAGACACATAGATAAACTTTTATGTGATTCATGTCTTAAAAAATGATGATGAGAATCTCAAGCTGGGAGATGTGAATGAAGAAGGGAAGAGGAGGATGTTCTTGGCTAAGGATTCAGTTTGGGCAAAAGCAAGAAGACACGAAAGAGTCTGGTGTACTAAACAATGATAAGTGCCATATGGAGAAGTGATGAGAAAAGATAAGGGAGTTGGAGAGGTGATTTTGATTCCTGCATGAAGACTCTTGGCGTGTGAAATTCACTGTGTTGTCTCCCTTTTTGTTGTCAGCACAATAAACACAATCATCTCTCCTTATATACTGACTTCAGAGAACAATGTTGTATAATTAATCAATACTCATTTAATTAATAAGAATCTAGGACTTATTTTACTCTAATAGAAGAGTGAACATTAAATATAAAGAGATGAGGAATTCATCTAATATTTGGCACTTTTTTACTGTGCTTCTCAAACTGATTAGTTTTGGCACAATCATATTTGTTGAATTTAATAATCAACTAAGGACAAAAAATCAAATATTTCAAGCAGCTGAGACTTTCACAAATCTTTTTTTAATACATATTTTTACTAGCATAATTAAGCAATTACTGCTTTTGGAAAATATTCATCTATGGCAAGGTGATTTGTTCAATGCCTTTTTTGTCAACGTTTTCACAATATTCTCAACAGAATCTACTGGCCCTGATAGAATTAGCTTACTCTTCTCAGCATTGATACAAATGTAAACCATTCTTTCATGCCATTGATGGTATTCTCTCACATATTGTAGTCATTTGTTGTATTCGAGAGGGTTCCACAAAATTTTGAATATGGTCACCACATGCACAAATCCTGTGAACTAGATAGCCAAAGATATTTCCTTGGGAACACTCTGGCATACATTGCCCGATAGAACTCTGAAATACCAGTCATAGTTGATGGGACGAGGTAATACCACTTAACCCAAATGATTAAGCAGATTTGAGTAAGGTCCTATATTCTACACTTTTAACATGCTCTGGTGTGATGCACCCTATTGGTCATAGGAACATAATTTATAGCACAAAGATTTAAAACATGTGAGCTTCAACAAACATTAACTGAGTTTTATTTTTCAACAGGAGAGGCCAGAGAAATAAGTGTGGAAGATATTAAATCATACAGCAACCCACATTCACTCTTGTTGAGAATAACTTATGTAAATAAAGAATGTTACAGATGGAAGTATGTAATTGTAATTCCTGAAAACAGTGTAGATGGAGAAAAAGTTTGAAAGTTCCCAGCACAAAGTGGAAACCTAAATACTTGTGTTGTTTCCATAAAACACCTGAAGAACAAAGCATAAATGATACCAAATGAGTAAAAACAACTCCATGATCATTTACATTAGAAGAATCATATGCAAGACCAATAATGATTTTTAAAAACTAAAGTTTTATGTTGTGAGATTATCTAACATCTTACAGAACTTTTCCCTTCTGTCATAGGCACTTGCTCTGTAATGTTAACTTACTTGATTATTAAAACCTCTAAATCAGCTAGACACCTAAAGACCTACATGGCTGACTATATAGCATTGTTTCTTTAAGGTAATTTAAACTGAAAAGGAGGATAACACATATTTAAGTAATATGTAGCAATTGTTCAGTTTTTCTTTTTTCTTAAAATTTTAAATTTTGCAAATAATTTCTTAATTCAGTCTTGAATGTTATAAAATTATATTTTTGTTATTTATATAAAATGATAGAGTATAGAAAATGTAGATGATCATTGCAATGATTTGTGTCACATAAACCCAATTGTGCACCCAAATAGATAGTTTGGATCTTGTAGAAATAAAGTATTTTATTGTGGACCAGAATGATTGGTATGAAAGTATTATATAGCCCATATCCTAAAATATCATCTTCATAGTACATACATGTGCACTGGAAAATTCGGTCTCAAAAATTAATGAAATCAAGATTTTTTTTAAAAAAAGCTTTGCATATTGATTTCAAGATTTTTTCCTAAAAAACTGCATATTGGTTTCTCAGTTACTTGTATAACTATTCCAAATCTCTTTTTTCCCATATGAACAATATTCTTCAGACATAAGTAGTTTGTTGGGTCCACATTAATTATATGTGAACTGTCTTTCATCTAATGGCAAAAGGATAAGATTCACTGAATCTCTTCTTTATATACAAAGAGAAAAAAGCAATTTCAATATACTATACTTTCTTAATAGATGCCGATACTTGGAAAGAGCACTGAAACTACTTTTATGACTATAGAAACATATTGATTCATCATTTAAGTAGTTCTCCTATTTTAGCTTAAAAGTAAAATCTTCAGATCTGGAAGAGCTCTAGAGGTGAATTAGTAGTATGCATGCATTAATTCATGAAAAGTTCAAACTGGTCTTGAGATGGCATTTTAAAGTGTTGACGAAGTTTAATCATTCTTTTCTTAGGTACTGGATATGACCTCAGCTTAAGTTTTGTATTGACTTCCAGCAGAGGTTCTGTACTGCTGTTTTTACTTCCTTCGTTAAAGTACTCAACATATTAACTGAAACAATCAATCAGATATACATCCACTAATATTCATGACATATAGTATTATCTCCTATATTTAAATTAATAGTTATTACATATACTACATGCCATTGCTTTCTTTTTTTATTATGTATTTTCTATTTTAGTTACCTCTCAGTGAAAAGTGATTTAGAAATTGTGTCAGTTTTGCAGATAAAATATGTGTACAGATGTTAAGTGCACATTCAAAATTGGCAGTACTTAACTCAGCCGGAGAATGGGGATCTGTTTTAAGTGTGCACGTTGTAATTATTTAAAGCTTTGTACATTTGGCATTTACTACATGAACATGTACCCTTCACAGTGCAAATGTTTCCTGTAAGTGGTATGTGAGTACTAGCTGATAAAGCTTTGGAGGCACTTAAGCACCTAATAGAGGTTTGGGGTACAGTGAGTA
Organism: Homo sapiens; assembly: GCF_000001405.40. Taxonomy (NCBI): domain Eukaryota; kingdom Metazoa; phylum Chordata; class Mammalia; order Primates; family Hominidae; genus Homo; species Homo sapiens. The sequence continues at coordinate 66,105,770 of NC_000013.11, read as the reverse complement.
TGAAGTGTTTTAATGAATCATGAGATTTTTAAAAGTAGCATTGATGCCACACTTTTTATCTGTGAAATGATTTGCATTCTCATTTTCAGATAAGAGAACTTGAATCCTAGAGTAGTCATAGGAACCATGAATGGCTACTTCAGAGTACGACTAGAGAATAAAGTATATTTCCTAGCGTACCATTTATATGGAGACATTTCTAAAGGAAAGGTATTGGATGGGGTAGGAAACATCAAAATGTTACTGTGTTCTGTGAATTTTTATCAAAAATAGATGAAGTAATTAATTCTGGATCAAAATAAATGCTTTCTTGATCACAGTCATTAAGTGGCCAGGTTTGTTTCTTATCTGTTGACTTAGTTAACAGATACAGAACACTACTGTTTTAGTAATTATGGTGTAGTTTCTATCATCCACTTCTACATTGAGCTCCTTCAGGGAAGGGGTGATTGTTTATTAATCTTTTTGTTCACATAAAGTGCCCCGACATAATGGGAAATTAATAATATTTGTTGGATTTATAATGATGCAATTGGACATTTCTGGAAAGAATTCACCCATGTTGAAAAATAAATCAGTGGATTTGAAGCTTGGGTAATTCGAATCTCATAAAAGATTTCTTAAGAAAACACTAGCATAGCGTTCATATGGCCCCTAAAATGCTAAGCATAATTTATACCCCCATATGGATAGACCTCTTTGCATCCTTTGATAATATGGGTCATTTATAGGGGTGAAGGATGAGTTGAATCTTCTCCACACCAAAATAAAGCATGTTCTTAACTGATCCCTGAGTCAGGAAGCCACAGGTAGTAATATCTTCCTAACATCTTCCTCCCTTTGCTTGGTTATGTGGATGTGCCTTATGCATAATTACAATTAAATGCAATTGTGCATCAGCAAAGATTTTTGGTTAGCATACCACAGCCAACTACAAGTAGCTGCCAAGTTTTTCTCTCTTGGTGAGAAATATAAGAAAAACTGGCCAGAATTTTAGAGAGAATAATAACTTATACCTACAAAATTTTCATTTTTAATGTACTTAAATATATATTGAGGACAAATGTTATTTGATCAGTTAAATCAAGGCATCACCTGATGTTATTGTGAAGTTCCTTATATAGTATGTTTAGAATTTTTTTTCCTTCTAAGTGTAAGGGGATTTGTGTGTGTTTGTGTGTGTGTGTATGTGACATGCCTTAGTCTTGCCCTTACCTGAGAAGTCTACTATGAATTTTGAAGATCCAAAATTTTATGATGCAGATTTCCCAGGAGAGTTTATGTTCTGAAATACTGTTACAAATAGCGGCACAAGTGGACGAAGGACTGAGTTCTATCAGACATTAATTTGTAATTAAAGAATATAATATTTTAGAAGTCTGAGTAAATTATTCATAGGAATTTGGTGCTTAGTAGGTTGCCAGGGAGTGAGCTTACACGGGAACTTTAGAATAAGATCCCCACTTCTTAAGTAGAAGTCTTTATTTCTAGAACAATTTTTTTACTTTAAAGTATCTGTAAAAAAATGTACATTGTTAGTGATTTTGAAATAGTAGTATAATGGCATACGAATTTTTTATGAAAATGTGGAGTATCTTAGCCTGTTGGACAGTTGTTAATATTTTTAGAATTAATATCTATATAAATTACAGATATTCAAGTAAGCCAGATTTGTGTTTTTACTTGGATATGCAGAATGAACAAGGACAGGGATTTTCCCAATGTCTTATAGTTGTGCCCAAATAAATTTATTATTGCAAATGTGATGGAACCATCACCTTTCTTTATTGCTATGTAGTTTTACAATGGTTTTTGAATACCCAAGCTAACATTTTATTTTAAATGGGTTATATTTTATCTTCTAATATCACCTGAAGAGTCTTAAAATCAGCAGTAAGTTATATCCAAGGAAATTGGATTCTATCATAGAAATAGAAACCCCCACCTAGCATGCATTGTTTGCTTCAATAATTGCTTGTGTTCAATTTTGGGATCCATTGTGTCTTTGAGCTTTTAATGCTTTGTTCATTTACTCATGTACTAACAAATATTAAAGTGATCTGTATGAATGCTATGTATTTTCAACCAACCAATTTTAGTCTTACAATCCAAAATAAAATCTTCAAAACTGCACCTGTTTCTGAGATTCATTGGTTTTCCTACTGTTCTTTATATATATACACACACACACATATATACACACATAGATATACATACACACACACACATATATATATATATACACATGCCAAATTTCCATAAGAGTCAAGACTCTTAAAATGTTGATTACTTTCACGGCCTCGATTAATCAAATATTAGCTATTTACATTAACAGTGTCTTTAGGTATGATACAAAGGTTACTATTTATCTTACATTTAAAAAGCAAAAAAATGAAAAAAATGAGTGTTTAATAATTTATACTTCAATTCGTTATGAATATTGATATAATAAAACATTGTGGAAAGTACTTGTGGCAAAATATTAATTGAAAAAATCTGGAAACAAAAATATATACAAATACATATGAATATACATACATATATACACAGACATATACGCACATCGTCTTGTATGTTTTCAGTGTGTAATGTATGTATAAAAAAAGGAATAAAGTATGCAATATATAAAACAGCTGTTCTCTATGTATAGTGAGATTATAGGACTATCATTCTGTCTATGGTGTATGACTGCTGCTGCAAAAATTCTAACTATTTAGTGAATTCACATTCAGGAAGAAGAATTATCTTTATATTGTCTCACTGTCCCCATCTGCTTCACTTTTCCTATAGAGAAAAGCAAGAAGACAGATGTAAAAGCAGGCATTCATTCTAGAAACATTAAATATTTAACAAAAATTGGATGCCAAGCAAGTTATATAGAAATTTGCCATTTACGTGGTTTTAACCACTTTTTATTTCTCAGCTACTGTTTTTTTGGTCTTTTTTTGATAGGCTTTTAATTATACCCATAAGAATGAAGTTACTTTGTATTAAACTTTGTCCTTAAATGACATTCTAAAACAATTTTAGTTTTCCTGAATAGCAGTTTCTTGTTCACTGTGTATACTACTACAAGACATATTTTTCAAGACCATATGATACCTATTATTAAAAGCTTATATGAATATTTTAAAATTGTATAGAAATATAAAATTACATTTTGAACATTATTTTAAAATTTACATATCTCAGTTTCTCAGATCCAGATTTTCTTACTTTTTAAATGTTCATATACATATTATTTACATAGATCATAATCTATTCTACATACTTTTACACAGAGATCTATTTTACATGACTTAAAATCCACTTGTAAAAGATATCATGGCTATAAATAAGACAATGAGGTTTTAAAAAGAACAAAAATATGCAGAGTTTTATAGACAAATGTATTTTCTCAAGTAAAACTAAATTTGGCATTAAGATTTTTCATAACCAAATGAATAGTAATACATGCCCTTGTTACATAATTACTTTTTTCCAGAATTAAAATCTACCCTAAATAAAAGATTTTCCATGAAATACATTTTGATAATGGAAATTTATATATATTGATAATAATCAATGATATATTGGGTAATATTTTTATGTTAACAGTAAACCGGTTTATCAGAAACAGATTTAATGTGGTAATCTTTACAGCTATTGCCAATGAAATTTGATATTATCATTATAATTAAAAGTAACATTTCTGGCCAGGCGCGGTGGCTCACGCCTGTAATCCCAGCACTTTGGGAGGCCGAGGCGGGCGGATCATGAGGTCAGGAGATCGAGACCATCCTGGCTAACACGGTGAAACCCCGTCTCTACTAAAAATACAAAAAAATTAGCCGGGCTTGGTGGCAGGCACCTGTAGTCCCAGCTACTTGGGAGGCTGAGGCAGGAGAATGGCATGAACTTGGGAGGTGGAGCTTGCAGTGAGCTGAGATCGCGCCACTGCACTCCAGCCTGGGCTACAGAGGGAGACTCCATCTCAAAAAAAAAAAAAAAAAAAAAAAAAGTAACATTTCCAAGAGTACTGGGAAAGTGGCATTGAGATTGATGGCTATGGGTTCTACTTCCCCAAGCCCAATGAAAATGAGACCATGCCTGGAAAATAAAAGCATAACAAATAAAATAGTTATGGAATTCTGTTAACACTGTTCTTACCTTCTATCGACTCAGTAAATATGGCATTATGATTAAAACCCTGGGGTTTGAAACTCAAAGTACTGGATTTTAGTTTATGTAGTTGTATTTACATTTTATGTTGGACACTTTAAACTCTTGGAAACTTTAATTTCTGTATTTGTAAGATTCCTGTCCCATGGGAGGAGTATAGGGATTAAATTAGAAAAATTTATTCTGAAGAATTATTTACAGGTATCAATACAAGTGGATATCAATAATGAAATGCATATATATGGTGAAAAATTACTATGGGGAATCATATCAGTAGAATAGGCAAAATTACTGGGGATAGATGATGCCTTGAAAGCTAGGAGTTGATAATGTACTGCAAAACTGATTCTACATTTAGTACATTGAAGATCACATATTTAACACAATGCTAATCACTATGCATATATGCGGGTACATATGTGTGTGTCTATCTGTATGCATATACACATACTGCATATATACATTTAACACCTGCAGCATTACAAAGTTACCAACTTATGTTTTGGTTCCAGAGACAAGTATTTATTTTTTCAAAACATGGTTTTTATTATCCTCTTGTCAATAAAAGTTATTATACAAATATATTTTTATATCTCAAATGGTGCTTTTCACAATGTTATTTATGTGACTATAATGGAAAAACAAGTTTAAAATTTAAAATTTAAAATTAATAAGAAATTAATAAGTTAAGGAATTCTGTTAATACTGATTCTTACCTTCTATCAACTCAGTAAATATGGCATTATGATTAAAACCATGTGGTTTGAAACTCAAAAGTACTGCATTTGAGTTTATGTAGTTGTATTTACACTTTATGTTGGACACATATTTCTAAACTTAAAATTATGTTGTTGTTTTTTTTAATTGGCCTTAGTTTATTTTAGTCTTTATTATCTAGATTTTCTCAACTACATGATATTATTCTTTTGTTTTAAAAGTGTTTATGTAATACAAGTCTTGAGTTATATAAAGGAGGCTTATACTCAATCATTAATTTTATTTAACACAGTTCATAAGAAAGCACAAAATTCTACTCAATCAAGTAAGTCAGAATTCATTATAACATTCAGGTCCACCCTAATCAATATATCTGCTCTGTGTAGCTTAATTATTCATATATACTGTACAAGCGAAAACTGATTCCAAAGCCTTGCAAGTTGAAACTGATGTCCAAGGAGGATAAAAACACACTCTCTGGGTGGTTTTGAAGGTTGAGGTTGGAAAGGGAAAAATAGGGCTGTTAATCATTAAAAATTTTAAAAAAAAGGTGCAATAGATGAATATGCTTACTTTGGCTACAATGACATTTGGTAACATTGAGAATTGTCCAAAATATAAAAAACATAATAGGTTACCAAGGCAAGTACCGAGTTAATCCTCTGGCTTTCCTGGTCTTTTCACACAGGCTGTATAAACACTTGTTGGAGACAGCGTATGGATAATTTAAAATTGATTAAATGGCAGAACTAGTTGATCTTAAAAGCCTCTACTTTTTTTTTTTTTTTTTCTGAGCCACAGTCTCACTCTGTCGTTCAGGCTGGAGTGCAGTGGTGCGATCTCAGCTGACTGCAACCTCCGCCTCCCGTGTTGAGGAGATATGCTCCTGCCTCAGCCTCCTGAGTCGCTGGGACTACAAACGTGGGCCACCACACTCAGCTAATGTTTTTTTTATTTTTTTTTTAATAGAGACAGGGTTTTGCCGTATTGGTAACTCAAACTCCTGGCCTCAAGTGACCCGCCTGCTTCACCTCCCATAGTGCTGGGATTGCAGGCATGAGCCACCGCGCCGGGCCCAAAGCCTCCACATTCTTATGTATTACAACCTTTCATCTTCTTATATGTAACTCTACCTTCCAGCCTTTATAAAGAATTGTCTCAATATCAGGAAAATGTATCTCCCAACTCCAGACTTGTCCTTGCTTCAGTCCATTTTTTATATTGTTTTCCATGTTGCTGCCAGAATATTTTCAAAACAATAATATGATTATGTCATGACTCTTCCCCCTGTCCTCCAAACTTTTATTTCACTTAACAGTTTTCCCTGCTTGTAGCACAATGCACACTAAAGCACATCTAACAAGGCCCTTCACCTTAAAGATTTATCACTTTTCCACCCATGCCATATGCTCTTCTTTCAGGCATGCTGGGCTAAATGCTATTTGCTGAACTTGTCATTCACTAACACTTAATAGTTTAGCTAGTTTATTCTCTCTGTACATTAGGCAAATTCAAAAGGATTCTTTAGTGCACTTGCAGCCTGTTACGTCTCTGAAAAGCTTCCATGACTACTTTTTATGCAGTTAGGCTTTTCTTTTGCGAGCCCCTTAATACTCTGTGCATGTCTTCTTTGTAGCATGCATTGCATTAAGATTGTTTGTGTATGTGTTTATTTACCTCCTTCAATATGAGCCTAGAGAGTAGGAATTTTTTTCATTCTTTTATTTCCTTATCTCAGCAGAATGCCATGCATATATGGTAAGTTGCCAATAAATATTTGTTAAATGACCAAGTCAATTTACCATTCCAATTCTTACTAATCTTCATATATTGGCTAATAATTAGGACTTTATGTAAACAATGGTTATAGATGGAATGATCGTGAGATTGTAATGTATAGGCCAAATAAAATTTTGTTCTGTGATTACAGTGCAGATAATCAGAGTTCTGTAAGATAAAATAAAGTTTAACATTAGTCTAAATGTACCCTTGGAAACAAATTAGGTGACTACTCAAGAAAGAGAAAGCTGAGTATACAAGGAACTATCGATAATTTACTAGGAGTGATGTGTACATGGAGGTAGTAAGCAGGAAAGTCTGGATAAATAAGAAACAAAAAACTAATTAGTTTCTTCCAGAAAATAAATAGAAAAAAATAGGAGACAAATAAGATGGTTGTTAAATGAGATGATTTCCATAGTAGTCTTCTAAAAAGCTTATACTTATTTTGTTCCATCTATCTATATATCTATCTAATCATCCATCCATCATCTATTCTTCTATCCCTATATAGGAGTATGACTTTTGAGTTGAAAAGTGACAAACATGATGAAACTTAAACAATTCAAAACAATATACATATAACTCTAAGTCTTATCCCATTGCCATACGACATTAATCTTCATTCCAAAAGAGCACAATTAACAGTTTTTATATGTATGTATAGTTCAAGAAATGTTCTAGACTCATGGAAACAGATATTTTGTTCTGCATAAATAGTGCATATTACACATACTATTTGCTTTTTTAAGAATTAATTTTAAGGTTATTCTAAACCAGTATATTTTGATAGAGTTTTTAATCAGTTGAATACTATTCTCATATATGATTGGGACTGTAATGATCTTCCTCAGTCTTTTATCAATAAAAATTGATTCCCATTGTTTGCTCTTCAAAATAGTGCTGCAAGAAATAGTCTTCTAATTGTGCCTAGCATATTTCTGTGAGTTATCTGTAGGTTTCATTTCTAGAAATGAAATTTTTAAGATTTATAATTACTACAATTTCTAGGTAAGCCTCTCCCAACATTTTCAATTGCAAGAATATATTGGTTGTTATCTCTTATGTTTGTGTGTGTGTTTTTCTTTATATACATACATAATCTAACAGTAATTCTGTAATTAGTCCTATTACTGAGTACATTTTTTATAGCTTTTAGTTATTCTCTTGGGTTTTAAATGTACACAGTCTTCAAATGTCAATGTTGCCTTATAGTTCCCAATTATATTTTCTTTTACTTTTCTCATTCCTGATTTAATAGAACTGTTTTATCATTAAATATGGTATGCTTTGGTTTTAAAATTATGTTAGGGAACTATTTATTTGAAAAAATTTTGTGAAAACACTTGAAGGGTGTTCAGCATAATATTGGGCAAAATTAAGTATTGTTTCTAAAGCTGTGTAGATTCTATGACAATTGAACTACTTATATGGTGAATTGTGTTAATAGAGTTCATAATATTGAACCTTTCTAGATACTCTTCCTTAGTCATGGTGTATTAGTCTTCAAAGTGTTCCAAGATTCTAAATTTTTAATATTTTATTTGAATTATTTTGGATTGATATTCATAAAGGAATTTGGTCAATAGTTTGTGAATACGTGTGCATTTATGCATGCATGAGCACTATCGTAGAGAATATACTTTTGTAAAATAAAATTAAGAGGTTTCCTTTTCCAATCTGTGCTCTAGAATAGTGTCAATAATTTTCTATTACTTAAATCTTTATAGAATTCACCTGAAAAATTCTCATTGTTGTCTTATTTGTAGAATGACTGGGAGTAATTCTTTGAAAATATTTCCAGTCCCTTATGCAGTAAATGACATGTTCATATTTCCAAGGTCGACTTTGTTTATTTGTAGTTTTACAGAAAAATCATTAATATAATGCAGGTTATCAATTTATTGACACAAAGATAAACAAAATATCCCTGATTGTTCTTTTTAATCCTCTTTACATGTTTACTTTTTTAGCCCCATTTTATTTACATTTGGGGTATTTTTGCTTTTTCCCATCCCAGTTTTCTTTTTCTTTTTTTCTTTCCCTTTTAGGTTTACTAAGCATTTTCCCAGTTTGTTTTCTTTAAGGTAACACTATATCTCTTTTTACATTAATAAATTCGTGTATATATATATATATATATATATATATATATATATATATATATATTCATTCATTCCTTTTGCTTTCCCAGTTATGTGCAAGGGTGTGTGAGTGAGTACAAAATATGTTTGGAAAGGCTAAAGAACAATAACAAAATGCACATTCAGGTACCACCACCAAGGCCTTTTACCTGTTCCTTACAATTAGTAACTACCCTAAATTTTGTTAATCATTCACCTGATTTTATTTATAGATTTTACTATCTTTGTGTGCTTCTATGAATAGTATATTCTATATATTTTTTTGTCGCAATGCTAGCCCAAGACTCCCTTCTCTGAGACATTCTTCCTTTTTCATGAACATAGCTAGCACCAGTTTGTGACTTAATAGTTTTATTAGCTAGTTACATGACTATTGAATTTTCAGGTTCCAACAGCCTTCTTCCAGCGTGCTCTCCCTCTGTCCTTTTCAGTCCAAACTGCCCTGTTTATGCTTGTAACATTCCAAAGAATCTCATGGGTCTCCTGTGTAAGTCACAGAGACTCACTCCATTAGACAGGAGGGCTCTTCCAAAGGACTTTTCAAGATAATTTCTTCTCTTTCTTGGTTTCTGCCGAGGTGACTGATGAGATCAGTGAATCATGTGCCTAATCACTTCAAAGACCCTTCTTTGTGACTCAATGCTATGACCTTTTATTCCTTCTGAAGCACTAGAAAAAGGTTGTCCAGTAACATACTTGGTTATCTCTCTAAAGCATGCTTTTTAAACAGTGAATATTCTTATTTTAAATTTTCTTCAGTCTGGATAGGTTGAAAATTCCCCTAATTATCAAGTTCCAGTTTTGTTTTACTTAGTCATTCTTCCCTCAATTTATCAATTCTTTTCTCTCTCTCTCTCTCATTTTATTGTAAACAGCAAGGAGAAATCAGAACACATCTTTAAAATTTGTAGAAGATCTAAGCTCTGTATCCAAGTTCATTGCTTACAAGTTTTGTTTTCCACATAAATGTAGGACATAATTCAGCAAAGATTGGCCACAATACAACGAGGATCCTTTTTTCCTCCAGTTTCCAGCAACATGTTTTTCAATTGCTTCTGAGGCTTCACCAGCACCACTTTTATTGATGATTTAGGTTTTCTCTAACAGGTTTTCTCCACATAATTCTCTTTGTACTCACCCTCAACAGGAGGATTTCATATTAACTACCAAAATTCTGGTTCTGATTATTTAGGTTTTCTAAAAAACAATCTTGCTTTCCTCTACTGTGTTCCTCACTTCCTTCTCAGCTATCTCCAGCAGAGTATTTAATATTCATTTTCTAATAACAGTCTGTTCAAGGTATACCATTTAAAATGCTTCTAACCTCTGGCCAGGCACGGTGGCTCACGCCTGTAATCCCAGCACTTTGGGAGGCTGAGGTGGGCGGATTACGAGGTCAAGAGATCGAGACCATCCTGGCCAATGTGGTGAAACCCCGTCTCTACTAAAAATACAAAAATTAGCCGGGCATGGTGGCGGGTGCCTGTAGTCCCAGCTACTCAGGAAGCTGAGGCAGGAGAATGGCGTGAACCCGGGAGGTGGAGTTTTCAGTGAGCCGAGATCACGCTACTGCACTCCAGCCTGGGCAACAAAGCGAGACTCCATCTCAAAAAAAAAAAAAAAAAAAGAAAAAGAAAAGAAAGAAAAAAAAATGCTTCTAGCCTCTATGCAGTACCCAATATGAAAGCCACTTCTGCATTTTTAATTATTTGTTAAGTAGCCCCCCATTCCAGTTACCAGAAATCTGTATTAGTTTCTTATAGCCACTGTAAGAAATTACAAAAGAACACAAATTTATTATCGTACAGTTCTGGAAGTTGGAAGTCTAAAGTGGTTCCACAGGGCCACATTCCTTCCTTCCAAAGACTAGAGAGAATTTGTTTCCTTGCATTTTGCAACTTCTAAGTGTTGCCTACATTCCTTGGCTTGTGGCACCTTCTTCCATCTTCGAAACCAGAAGCATAGTATCTTCCTTTCTTTCTAGACTTCCATTCTCACATAATCTTCCCTCTTTTTCTGAACCTTCTGTGTCCCTTTTACAAGAATTCTTGTGATTATATGGAGTCCACCTTTCTCAATATCATTAGTTCATTCATACTTTAAAGGTTTTTTGTACTATGTATTCTAGAAATTAGGACATAGGCAACTTTTTTTTTCTTTTTTTATTTTTGAGATGGAGTCTCACTCTGTCATACAGGCTGGAGTATAGTGGCACCACCTTGGCTCACTGCAACCTCCACCTCCTGGGTTCAAGCGATCTTCCTGCCTCAGCTTCCTAAGTAGCTGGGATTACAGGCCCCCCACCATCATGCCTAGCTAATTTTTTGTATTTTTAGTAGAGACGAAGTTTCACTATGTTGGCCATGCTGGTCTTGAACTCCTGACCTCAGATGATCTGCCCCCCACTTGGCCCCCCAAAATGCTGAGATTGCAGGCATGAGCCACTGTACCCAACTGGACATAGGCAACCTTGAGGATTTATTATTCGCCCTTCCCCAGAAGGGGAAAAATTATTGTCATTACCTGGTACCTATTTAATCACTATTTTGGAAGTATGGGGGTGGGGCAGAGGGAATGGGGACAATTTACTTTTATTTTACAGATTTCTGTTCCACAAAGAACCATGACTATACTTGAAAGACAAGAAACCACATCAACTGGAAAGCCTGGCCCCTGAAATGAATGCATTGCTTTCAGTAGGATTTGAAACTTTTTGTTTTTGTTTGTTTATGTTTCCTTAAGAAGGTGGCTGGTGAGTTCTATATATGGAAAAAAGAAAAAAATTATTGACACTTTTCACACACACATACAAACAATTATTGTAGGAGAACCAGATCGATAATCAGGAAACCTTTTCATTTTTGTGGGAACATAGGAATATTAAAATTTCAAGGCCCCCTTAATGTGATATATGTCACTTCCATGCTTATTCTTAAACAATTACAGCAATCTCTGGGTTTTCTCTATATTCTTTGGCTAAATGGATATAAAAGTTGAGTGGAGAATTCTGAGGAAGTCTTTGAAGATGATGCTGCATGATGCAAAAAGAGGCAGGATCCATTAATATAACTTACAAGACTACTCATGGAACACCTGACTGAACTATTGTCCTGACTGAAAATAAATTATTATTGTTTGTTTAGCCAGTGAGATTTCTTTTTACTTTTTAAATTTTGTGGGTACATAGTAGATGTATATATTTATGTGTTAATGTGAGATATTTTGATACAGATATGCAATGCATAATAATCACATCAGGGTAAATGGAGTATCCCTCACCTCAAGCATTCATCCTGTGTGTTACAAACAATGCAATTATACTCTTTTACTTATTTTAATGTACAATTAAATTATTTTTTACTACAATAACAAGCAAATTCTAGGTCCTATTCATTCTGTAGCCAGTGAGCTTTGTATAGTGGTTTGTTATCAAAGCTAACATTTCTTGCTCTAATATGCTATATTTCATTTTAGTATCAATTTTTCTTACCCAAATAGGGAAATGTTATTAATATTATTTTTTATTTCTAATTCTAACAATTATATATAAAAATCCTTTGGCTTTTCGATGTGCATTGCCATATTATTTGTGAATAATGACTTTTATTTATTTCTAATGCTTACCCCTTTCTTTTCTATAGAAGAATCTGAAGGTGTTTTTATTTCCGTTTTCTCTTATTTCACTGGCGAGGCATGCCAGAACTGTGTTGAATAGAAGTTATGAGTACTAATGGTAGGCTTCTTTGGGTTTTTTGATGTTAAATAAGATTAACATCAATATATGATATCCAATACAGTTTCACTTTTTTTTTTATATATAACTTTCATCTGATTTTTTTTTCAGGATAAGAAATTTCCCTTCTAATTTTAGTTTGATAAAAATACTTTTAAAAACAATAAAAATAAATGGAATTCTGCTAGATATTTAGTCATGCACTGATACAATAATGTATTTCTTCTTTTATTTGCTGTGGTAAATTCCATTCTGTGACTTTCTGTTTATCCAACTGAAGCAGGGTATTTCCCTGACCCCTTCACGGGACTCGCAACAGTGGTACCTCGTTTACTCAGCCCACTGCTCTCAACTCCTTGCGGGAGGGAGAGCACAAATGAGGTGGAAAGTGGAGTACACAAGGCTGGAACAGGCCTGCTGCGTCGGCACTGGCAGGAACAAGCTCCACGCAGGCCCACTGGCAGCATCCGGAGGGGGTGCCTCTCATTCCTGAAGCCCAAGAGGGCCTGTTACAGGACTCTTTTAGCTCTGCCATCTGCAAATGGCTTAAGTGTGAATAGCTCAGTGGGCCCTTTGCCTTTTAGTGTAAGGTGGCTGCCCTCCACTAGCGAGGGCAAAGGGCCAGTGCGACAGCCTTTTGTTTCCCCACTGTGGCTCCCGAGCTCTTGTCTGACATCTAGGAAAAATGAGATTGCACAAACAAATTGAAGGATGGTAAATGAGTGGGATTTTATTGCTGATAAAAGTGGCTTTCAGTGGGAAAGGGAGCTGAAAAGCAGATGAGAAAGGTAGGTAACCTTCCCCTGAAGTCCAGTCATCTCCATCCGGATTTTTCTACAAAGTTACACTGTTAAGCTCTCTAAAGTCAAGCCACTTCTTGCCAACGTCCAGCCATAGTCATGTCTACCAGCTGAGTCTGGGGTTTTTATAGGCATAGGATGTGGGGCAGAGCAGGCCATTGGTAGTTTAGGAAAAGGCAACATTGGAGCAGGAAAACAGGGATAGAGGTTCTCACTTTGGGCCACGGGTTTCAGGCTTTATGGCTTGAAGGTGGGATTTTGTCAGGGACCCACCCCTGTCTGCCTAGAATTTCTGAGCCTCCTGTCACTATCACAAACATCACAAGCAATCTGCTTTTTGGAATAAAGTCAACTAGGTTATGATGTATTATTTTTCAAATACATTGCTCAGTTTTATTTGCTTGTATCTTATTTAGAATTTTTGCATTCAGCATCATGTGTGTTTTTAGATGCTGGCATAATTTTTTCATATTATTAACTTTTAACATTCTGAGGCATCTGTTCATATCCCTTTTGCTCATTGTAGCTTCTTAATAACATTTCGAGGTCTGGAGAATCTGTAGTTATATCTCCTATTTCATTCCTAACATTGTTTATGTGTGCCTACTCTCCTTTTTTCTTGATCAGTCTCACCAGAAGCTTGTCACTTTTATTAGACTTTCAAAGAAACAGCTTTGGCTTTGTTGATAGCAAACATATGTTTGATTTCTATTTTATTACTCTCTATTCTTATCTTGACTGTTTTCCTCTAATTTCTTTAAGGTTTGTTTTACTGGTCCTTTATTAATTTCCTAGGAAATATGCTCTCTTCAGTTCATTATTTTTCTTTTCTAATATAAGCATGTATATAGAAATAAGTAAACTTTTTTTTTGTAAATTGGCTGATAGTGAATATCTTAACTTATGCAGGACATATATGGACTCTGTCAAATATCTTTACATTTTTTAAACCCTACTTTTAAACCCTTAACAAGTGTTCAAAAATTCTTATCCCAATAGCTGTGCAAAAACATCAATAGGCTGGCTTTGAGCAACAAGCCAGTTTACTGACCCTTGATTTGGCCTATTTCTCTTTAAGTAATATAACCTTAACTGATAAGTTTTGAAATATTTTTAATTAAGTTTATAAATATTTTCCAATTTCTAGTAGCACTGTGACTTTGACTCAAAAATATTTGGAATCTTTTTTCTTAATTTTGTAGCTTATACTTTCCTGGTCACCATTTTATTTTTAGTAATCTATTTATACTCTCTGTAATACAGATTGTAATGTCCTTCCGAGCCCTTGAAATTTGTTGAGGTATATTTTACAGTAAGTGAATATTCTATATATATTTGAAAACAGTATGTATTTTGTATTAGATTCAGTGTTCTATAGGACCTATATACCTTGTTAATTTTCTTAGACAGATTCTCTATGCATTCATCTAAATCTCTATTCTACCATTTTTGTAGGTATTGTTAAATTCGTAGATGATAATCAATGTAACTATGTAATTTCTATAAATTTTGCAGCTATGCAGCATTTGAATGTAATTTTTTAAAGTACTGATAAATATGTATTTGTAGCATCTCATCTTGAAGTTTTCATTTATTGTGTGTGTGTTTTTTTTAAGTTGTTTCTGGATGGAGATTTATTTTGATTTACCATTCTTTGGATACTTATCCTTCTTGAATATGTAGGTTGGCGTCTTTTATCAGTTCTTGAAATTTTTCAGTCATTATCTCTTCGAAGATAACCTCTTGGAGTATAATGGGTAAAGGATAAACACAACAAAATTGAATATGAGTTTATTGTTCAAACTGGAAATAGATAAATCATTATTTATTAGATTATATATTTGTGTATTTAAATATTTTATCATAAGCAGTTTTTAAAGCTGCTTAAGTTTTGGTTTTTGTGTATGTCTAGAGTATAACAGTGTTTTCATATGAAATGTTATTAGAAGAACATTATGACTGTATGTCAGATACCATGGTAAAAACTAATTTCAATTACTATTTTAATTTTAATTATGCTTCAGGACATGAATTTGTATTAATAGATCAAAGAGGAATAACATAGAATGAATGAGTTAAATGGTCTCAATGTCAAATAGAAAAAGCAGAATATTAATAAAAAGTAATCTAGCCAGAGTTGCTTATCTAAAGACATTTCTCTATAGCACATCTTGAGTTTTACCTTTTCTTCTTTCCTTTCTTCTTCATCATCAGGCTTACTGAAAATAACAGCAAGTTGCCAGATAAGATTTTCTGGATCCATCATTTGTAACAGTATTTCATTCTGTATAAAGTATATTGGAGGTAAAAATAATCACACTGAAAATCAGACTTTAAGTCTCCCAAAGTCCTCTTATTATGGATATTATATGAACTACTAAAATTTAATTTATAAACATCTATATACATTAACTAAATGTTTAAAGACTTATGAAAGTATAAAAACAAAATTCTCACACAATAAAGAAAGTGCTCTTACGGCAAATGACTTCCCAAATCTGATATTACATACTCAGCAAATGGAAGTTCTCTGGAGCACTCAATCAAAGCAATAACAGAAGTTGCCTTGTTGGGGCATTCTTTTATTACTGGCCAGTCCTTTATGCAAAGGAAATAAACTGTGTACATAGATAAGAGCAAGAGACAAAGAGAAATAGACTAAAACATTTTGATTAAAAAACCTTTCAGAATTGAAAATTATAATGTGACTAATGGCAATTTGTCTTAATGTTTGTTGTTCTAATGCTATTTGGAAAATGCCAGTCGTTATTTAAGATAAATTACCAAACATGGTGGCTCAGAAATATAACCTGAGGATATATTTTAAAATGTTGATATTGGATAGTCTCAAAATTGTTTTACCATTTAAGAAATATCCCTGTGATAGTTCTCTCTTGCCATGCTGCATGGAGAATGGTTGTAAGTACACATGATGCCTAGCTGAAATTTTCTGGTTCCAAAGCTCAACAGAAACTGGCAGAAGCTAGTTACCATGTTACCTTCTACCAAGTGCCAGACAGATATTGGGGTAAATACCCCAGTAAGTAAAGCATATGGATACCTCTATTTTGACTTATCTGGCTAACTATAATGCACTTTAAGATATTTCAACAAAATTTATCTGGCAGGAAATTAATTCTGGAAGACATTTTTATCCATAAAAAACATGGATTATTAGATCTGAAAATCTGAATATAGCATTGTCTCTAGGCTGACATCCAGCATGTTCAGGAATGCCACACTAATCAACTTCCCTAGAAATTTTATTTGAACAAAATACAAAAAACTTACTTCAAGGAAATTAGGTATAAGGAAAAACTTACTTAAGTATTAGGGGAAAAAGATCATTTTACTGAAAAATGAGTATTGGCTAACCAAGTATTGGATCCATTTGCATCCACGTGAATATTGAAGATGGAGGAGACCAGAGTCATAACTAAGGAAGGGAAAAACTTCACATCCCCATCTTTATATAACCTATACCAACACCATCTTTCACAATTATGACAAAAGAACCAGGGACACAGAAGATGTAAAATACAACATGTTGATAAGTAAATAAAAAACAAAAACAGAGTGCACTTTTTAATAAAAATACCATGTAAATTAGCCTCTAATCTTCCAAACAAAATCATCTGAGGTGATTCTATTTCTTGACTTTCACCTAGATATGCAAAAATTTGCATTATTATGTATGGGAAATTAAAGGAGTTAGGGACAATAACTGTAGACAAGTCTGAAAAAGAACTAAGTAAACATGGGTTCCTTTTGGAGATGTGGAAGAGCTTTATCTAGATAAAGCTATATCTAGATATGCTAGATAAATAGCATTAGTTCAACAAAGCAACCATATCTGATAATTGTCTGATTATTTATTTTTCAATTGTAATGATAGTAATTTTGCTATTAATTTTGGGACGATTGAAGAATAGTCTTAACCACCAATTTTCTCTATTAGAAGATTCTTCTGGGTCTTCTCTATTTTCAGCTGGCTTACTGATAACTCTCTAAGGAACGCATGAATTCAATACCATTGTTTGCTTAGGAGTCAACATTTTTGGTCAACGTAGTAACTGAAAATTGAAAGAAAAAATTGTTTCTTTATGTGTAGGTTTATGACAGAAGGGATAGTGTTAAATCATTAGGAATATTTTGATTAATAATGATAATAAGCAAGCATACTGAATATTTATGGTATGCTACACACAATTCTAAGTGCATTGCATGTTTTTAATACTAACAAAAATGTAGTTAGGTGCTATTGTTATCAATATTTACAGATCAGCCAGTTGGCCACTGGATTGATAAGTAACTTGTCCACTGTCACACAACTAAGTGCAGGAGCTAAAAATTAAACCCAGATATTCTGCATTTAGAGATTTCACACCTTATTGCAAGGTGAAATCCTCTGATATCTATAATTTTATTTATGAAGGTAATTTTACAAATAGACGTACTTGATGGTTTTTCCATATAATAAATATTTTCACTTAAAATGCTGATTTATACTCAGTAGAAAGTAATCTTAATTACTTTCAAGAAATTTTAATTTTAAAATTATATTTATTTCTATTATCCTTTATTATTTCAAACAATCAAAAACTAGAAAGCATAATTTAGGAAAAAAAGTGTATTTCCTGTATGTGGCTACTTCAACTGTGTGAGTACAATGAAATTCATCTCCTGACCGCTAAGTTTCCTTGTTTTCAGATGGCCTTTTTTCAACTGATTTTATTTACTTTCAAAGTGACATTTCAACAGAGGTATCCACTCTCATTTCCACTCTCCTTTGACATTTCTGTGACTTAGAGTGCAAGAAGCTGCTTGCCAAAGACTTGCTAGATTGATGTTGGGAGGAAAGAAAAAAAAAAAACCCTGCAGATAGCAGATGTTTCTTTTCTTCTTGTTGAGCCTATTACTTTGAAAAACTGACACTGCTTAAAAACAGATTTCAGATATTCTGTCTTTTTGGCAGCAAGAGTGAATGTGTTGCCCAAATGGAAGAAGTATAAGTATTGTCCACACAGGCAAGTAGAAGCCGGAGGATGGAGGAATGAATAAACTCTCAGTAATGGTTTACTTTTTTCTCTGTCAATGAGTAATTTAATACAAGAAGTCTCTAAGTTAACTGGACGGGTAGCTGAGTTATCCATTTCAATTTGACCTTGCATTGATATGGCTAAGATTCTAAATAGCACTTTATTTGATGTATTTGCATTGTTTTCATTCTCATTTACTAAGTGACATATGGAAAATATTTCAAACTTCAAACATTATTGCTTAGATTATTTGAAAGAAGGGTACATTTTTAAAGTCATAAGTAAATAATTAGCAAAAATTTATGAGATTATTATTATCACCACAAAAGACATCCAGCAGATATGTATTAGCATAAGTGCTCTTGCACAAATTATTAAAAAACAAAACAAACAAACAAAAAACTCTTTTCCCCAGATATACTACTTGGAAGAAATGGTTCCCTCTATGGGAAGACAAATTAGTCAAGGACATTTGTACTTCCAGGCTAAATGCAAACTTATGCAGAGCCTTGAAAGACGGAGCATGGGCTGGCTTGAAGCCCCTACATGGGTTCTACCTAGCATATTTGGGCAGGACACAAACTGCACAACTGAATTTTATAGCCCTGCAAATAGAATAAAGCATCTACCCAGAGATTTTCAAAATTTTTCTTATTTAATTTTCTCATACAGATTTCACATGCCATGTTCTGTGTGCTTCAAGATCCGTAAAATAGGTTTAAAGGATCTATGAATGGCAAAACTGTTGACTTGAAGACCAACTAGAGAAGGTTCAAGAATGCTATGGCAATTGTCATGATGTGTCCACTGTGCATTTTCCTTCTGGCTCCCCGACCTTCTCAGATGTTTCAGATAAGAGTTTTTGTTAGCTAATAGATCAAGTTGTATTATGGAAACCATTGCAGTCTAATTTCATCTGTGTTTATGAAAATCTTGCATATATTCTACCTGTATTGTATTTTACCTAAGTTATTAAAATATAGTAGCTGGTGAACCAAGACTGTTGTTATTATTGTCATTATTCTTGTCTTTTTCTCCTCCTCCTTAACATTAGTTATAACTTTTCTTTTTTTTTTTTTGAGACGGAGTCTCGCTCTGTCCCCCAGGCTGGAGTGCAGTGGCGCGATCTCGGCTCACTGCAAGCTCCGCCTCCCGGGTTCACGCCATTCTCCTGCCTCAGCCTCATGAGTAGCTGGGACTACAGGCGCCCGCCACCACGCCCGGCTAATTTTTTTTGTATTTTTAGTAGAGACGGGGTTTCACCATGGTCTCGATCTCCTGACCTAGTGATCCGCCCGCCTCGGCCTCCCAAAGTGCTGGGATTACAGGCGTGAGTCACCGCGCCCGGCCTATAACTTTTCTTAAGACTATGTAATAGTAATAAAATGATTCTTTTATATATGCAAGTAAAATCCTGGCAAGTTTTTGAGGCATTTAATATACTCACATATGCTGCTGTCCCTTCAGAATGAAAAATTTTGCAAAATGGTGATTTTTTTTTTCCATATAGAGCTCAGGATCTTATGGCAAACACAGGATAGAATCACCAAACTTCTGCAGATTCAAAGTTAGAGAAATATTTGGGTCTATAGTGACCCTACAGAAGATTTAGTGACAGCAAAACATAGAAGTCCAGTGAAATAAAATTTTATTGAAGAGAGAACAAGTCTCGGTTGGTGACTTAGTTTTAAAAATACTTAAAGTAATTTTTGCAAAGAACTATTTACAGCAAAATGTTTAATCCTGCAACTTGAGTGAAAGTATCCTAGCCACTGCCATCTGGATGGTATTTGAGCTTTAGGGAAAAGTGATTGAGCATGTAAGTAAGAAACAGAGAAGTCGATTTTTTAGACTAAGAAAGTTTTCCAATAGTTCTGCTCTGGAGAATGGGCTGTCTGTGCCATACCCATAGTACACAAAGGATTCATAAGGATATGCTGCTTTATCAGCAATCCTATGCAACAGGAAAATAAAACAGTGAAAATGGATTTGTCATACAACAAATGTCCCTCTTTTTGGTGTGTGAAAGCAGAATGGGCTTTTTAGATTTAATAACCCAATCAAGTTTTCTTGTTTGTTTGTTTTAACAATAGGGTAGGGACAACCATGAAGAGGAAAATACCATACTTCCTACTAATAAGACAAGTAATGGCAAGAGTGATTATTCAGGGAAAAAAAGAAATATGAATATATTTACTTCAGATTAATGTCACGAGTCATTTATCATTTTATCTGTATAAATTGCTGTACTCTTTATCTTGCAATTCTGTAAAATTACAAAGAATTATGTCTTATACTACTAAGGTTCACTGTGTAATTATAAAATACAAAAAAATTGTAAAGATGATATTTCTACCTCTGAAAAGGGCATTATAATAAGATTCTACTGCGATACAGAGAGTTGTGTCGATTGACTCCTTATTATTATCTTGTTCACTGCTATCCCTTCCCTCTCCATCGCATGTCTCTATCCCACAACAAAATAAATCAATAAATGAAAGATTTATTGAATTTTAATTGTTGGAAATATTTTCCCAAAAAGTTTCATTACAAAGTAATTTAAAGTGAAATCCTGAATCATGTGCAGTACTCTTTTTGAATTTGAAGTTCTGACTAGTAGAGTGTGTTATTCATGTAAAAGACCAAATTATTTATTTTATGATACCATTAGATTTAAATGTAAGCCTAACAGACAGCAAAGCACTGAATGTGTTTAAAAATGCTATTTGAAACCCATAAAGGTATGTGTGTATGCATCTGTTTGTATGTATTATATTTATGAACCTTATTGGCTGATGTTGAACAGTTGCAAAGTGTACGAGCTATTGGTTTAATCCTGTTAAGCTTTAAACTCAAACAAATCTTGTGTATCTTACATATTTTATGTAATCACTTGTAACAGTGTGTAAAATGGCAATGTATGTTTAATGCTATCATGTAAAATATTCTATCTTGGAAATATTCCAATTAAAAGTAAACAGTTTTTCATGGATCAAATTTTATTCTTTAAGAATGAAAGCATTATCCAGCTTTGACCTAAACTCACTTTGTTATCAGAAGCTAATTCTCACACTTGACAAAGTGTTATAAAAATTATTTTTCACATGTTAAGTGGAAAATAAAATAAACTTAAATAATAATGGCATATGTATGTATTGCTGAGGACAAAGCAAGCTGTGCATATTTTGCTGATATTTTAAAAATGCCATAAAGGGAATTAAAATTCATAGATCAATTAAGGGTTTCTTCCTTTTAGGTAAATCAAAATTAAAAATAGATAAGGTCTCCAGTAAAAGCAAGTATAGCATTAGATAATTATATTACAAGAGTACAAACACTAAAAAAGGGTAAACTGGGAAGTTCATATATTTAAAAGGTATAGCATTTAGTAAGAAAAATGCATTACATATCACATCCTCAGAAATTCAAACATGGTCAGTGTGTAGTAAATGTTGGATGAAGGAGTGAACAAACTTATTGAAAAAAAAAATAACTGAGGCCTCAGATCTGGTAGAAATCACAGGTAGTAATGACAAGAACTGCAAGGTAGAGAGTTGGATGCTTTGTGGGAGGCAGTAGGAATAGCTAGTGGCAGAAATACTAATAAAGAAAGGGATTATTGGGAAATGGGAAATAAACACGAATTATGGCAAGGAATTAGTGGTTGTAAGAGATTAAACTTTTTTGCGTAATATTAGAGAATATTAGGCATTTTAAAAGGCAAAGGAAAGTTTCCTATGGAGAATCAGATGTCTCAGAAGGAAAGAATTGAAAAAGTAAACATTTATTTGCACTCATATATCTTCTAAAATTAATATTTCAACAGAAACATGAAAAACACTCTAATTTTATGTCTGTGGATAGTCCAACTAAGCAGTTCCTTACTTCTTGATATCTGAAAAATAATTATTAGATTGGTTTTGGCTTGTAGAAACATAGGATTTCAGAAAAGCATAAAATAATTCTGGGAGAGAGAGAGACACACACTCAGAGAGAGGACAACTGAACAAAGTTAATTAATAAGAGACTCAGGAAACAGCATTTTGAAATATATCCATGGGTACCCTGTGATTTAACTATAAAATTTAATTTTAATTTACCCTTATTTTACCACACCATTCCATAATTCTGAAATAAATAGTTGTCCCTATTTAATAGTATACCCCCAAAGGCGTGACCCTGATTTCATCTTCTTCCTACCTACAGCTTACCTTAAAACAGACCATGTGATGTTTCTGTAAATGGTTCTGGTCATTGATATGTGAGTATATGGTTATTTGTGGTGAGCAGAAAAGGGATTATGCAGTACCTAGGCCTGGTAGGGTATAATTATTATTTTTGAATGCACATAAATGTTAAATAAAATATTTTATTTCAGCATTTATTTAGTCCATTAGGCATTAAAAACATTTATTATCAACATGTGTTATGTAAGCACTGTCTGAGATACAGGTCATAAAATGGTTAACAAAACTTGAAAAAGAATGGTACTAGAGCATTTTTATGATAAGAGAAAATAAACTATAAAATGAAATCCAGTCAAAAAGAAATAAAATATAAAGAAAAGTTGTTAAAAAAGGGATGAAAAGGCTGAATAGAAAACTATCTTAGTCAGAAACTAACAAAGTAAAAGTTGAGATGAAAAAATGATAAAATAGTATTCAGAAGAATGGACCAGAAGAAAGAATGTCATATAAAACAAGGAGGGGCCACCATGCACATATAGGTACGAAATAGTCTCACAACAAATAAAACAACAACTTATGAAATGGCAGGGAAAAATAGAGTAATCAAACACTGTAGTGATTGATTTTAACTCACATCGCTGAAAGTGTGACTAGTCTTATAAAATAAAGGAAACAAATAAGGATAACTTAAAAAAAGATAAAATTGTTATTATTTGCAAACGTCAGGTTCACCTACATGAAAAAATCAACTCAGCCGACAGAAAAAGTATCAAACCATATAAAAAGACTGAGTGAAGTTTTTGAATCCCAAATCAACTTTAAAAATCAATAAAATGCTTCTACACAATCAATAACTAAATAGAAAATATAATTTTTAAATGATATAATGTGCAATCGCAAAAACAGAAATAAAGTAAATTAAAATAAAACAAACAACAGCCACCGATATTTCTAGGAATTAAAGTATATACTAGAACAAAGAGAAAAATAATTTTAAAATTTAAGCATAACAGAAGTTTTGAATAAGTAGATATCCCTAGCTCTCAAATAGTCTGACTTATAATATAAAGCTGACAATTCTTTCTAATATAATACATAAAATTTAATCAATTCCAATCAAAATTGTCCATAGATTTTTTAGGAAGTCAATAACTCATTCTATAATTAACAGCTAAATATATTTTGAAAAATAATTTTATTTACCAAATATTAAGACATATTACAAAGCCAGGTAAATAAAAATATAATTACAAGTTGTGCAAGTATTGGCATACAGACGAATTGAACAGAATCTGAGGAGCTTAAAATCTGAACCACATATATGCAGAAATCTACATATATAGGAAGAAACACAATCAAATCAAAAATAGACTTTTGTTGATGATGAGAAAACCTGGCTTGTGTATGCACAAAAAATGAAAAATGGACTACAACCTAACACCATATAAAAGGTAAGCTTAAGGTTGATTAAAACTTGATTTGGTTAATATAGAATGTATATATATATAGAAACATCATACTGTATCCCACAAATATGAACAATTACTAAGTATTCATTAAAACAAAAGAAGATTTTTAAAAAACAATGTTGGAGCTAGGGTTTAGGGAAGAGTTTTATTTTCATTTGTTTGTTTTTTTCTTATTTTGGGACCACATTTTCAGTAATTATTATGCTTTTGCAAAAATAGAATCACATCAAAAATTTTATTTTTATTGTGAGCCACAAAATAAAAAAAAACTTTTAATCTGCTTATAAAAATAACCTGAAAGGTGAGAGGTGAAATTATTAACAGAAGTTAATTTAAGAAGATATTTATGGTTGACCAAAATGGAAGAATTTTTTAATATTTCCAAACACAAAAGTGGGGCAAAGTATTAGACTGTATTACATTAAAATTAAGAATTTGTTAAAAAATATTTAATGGAGTCTTGATTCTTGTTATAATTCGAGCACATTTATAAAAGGTGAGTACATTTTCAAAACTTATCAAACTCTATACTTAAAATGGGTGTATTGTATCCAATTTATATTTCAATAAAGTTGCTATCTAGAAACAACACCATGAATAAAAATAAGAGAGAGATGATAAAGATACTTGTAATTTCGAAAACTGACAACATAGCAATATCTAGAATGTACTCAAAAATCCTGCTACAATTGTGATAGCAAAAGAGACAGAAATATTAAGAAAATGGGCAAAAGTCATCACAGAAGGGGAAACACAAAAGACTAAGAAAAATATTGTTGAGAATATGCTCAAAATCATTATTAACTAGAAAATGAAAATTAAAATACAATAATAAATTTCTTTATATCCACCAGATTGCCAAGTTTTGGGCAAGATTTTAACAGAAATTAAGGTACATTTCTAATAATACATCTAAACCAAACTGTCTGATAACTGAAATACCCCATTACCTAACAGTCATAGATTTCTGCTTCTGGTTATAAATAATCTAGAGAAATTTTTAGACAGATCCATAAGGACATTTTAAAATATGTTCATTGCAGTATAGTTTAATATAGAAGTGAGTTGGAGGCTATCTACATGTCACTGTAGGAAAGAATAATCAAAATGTGCTGGATGCATTATACTGTTATTGAGCAAAAAATAAAAAATAAAAAAACAACAGAAACATCTCACTATATGTAAAGATAAAATATTAACAAATTCTATAAAATATAATGTTAAGTTTTAAAAAAACACTTTTGTCATTGAATAAACTTTTAAAAAAACATTTACTCAAAGTGTATTTTACTAGAATACATACAAATAAAAGATAAATATCAGACACATTGGAATGACAGCCAATGATGTGACAAGGAGAATGGGAAAGTGAAATGAAGACAGCATGGAATGAATGAACGAATGAATGAATGAATTAATTAATTAAAAGAGAGGCCTTGGACAGGATAATAATGATATATTTTTGTAAAGTAAAAAGAATTATTAACTGAACATTCTACCCACTGTCACTCTTCCTTTTTTTTGCTGTGAAATGAGTTCCTTTATGACAATATTGTGTGGAACGCAATGACACAAAAAAACATATTCTTTAAACCCACGGATGGTGGTTTTGGCAGAAGCATTGTGTGCAGGAAAGGCAAATCCATATTCAAAGTGTCGATTCCAGTAAGAACAAAATACTGCCCCGTCCATGATGGAAGTGGTTTAGTGTAACCAACGTGCCACCAGGTAGCTGGTTGATCTATCAAGTGAACAGTTCCACACAAGAGACTCAGAGTTGGTCTCTGCTGCTGGCAGATTAGGCACTTGGTGTGGCTGTAACCAGGTCAGCCTTAGTGAGTGGAAGTCCATGTTGCTAAGCCCACTTATAACTTTCATCACTGGCACCATGGCTGATTTGTTCATGAGCTCATTGGGTAATGACAAGGGTTGCTAGGGAAAAGGGCTGACTGGTGCCCACAAAATGGCTCATCCTTAATTATCACTTAATTATTAAAATCCTCTTCGTTTGAGATCATCTGTTGGTGGGAACTTGACATTGCACACATGCATCTTCACATTTGTTGCCCATTCAGAAAGGGCTATCCACATGTTTCTTCTTCACTTTTCCTTGGTACTAACTTTCCAGTTATGTACCTTCCAATTCCCTGAATATCCATCCAAACCACTGGCCATAGCCCATGAAGTGGTTTATAATCACATGTCTGTCCATTTCTTCTTCCAGGCAAAGTGAACAACCAGGTGCACTGCCCAAAGTTCTGCCCACAGGGGAGGATTTCCTTTTACATTTAACATAAATTACATGTGCCTTTAGTGCTATCTCAGGCCCAACATATATACCACTTCCATTTGACAACAGAGTTCTGCTGTGCATGCCCAACTTTATGGCTTGATGGATCAGATAAGACCCAGCTCATGATGGGCAGCTCAGGTTGTATGGTAACTCACTCAGTAGCCCATGGTTAAGTGTTGTTTCCACTAAATCCCAGTAGCAGGTCAACAGTTGTTTCTCAAGAAAATTAGTTATCCTTTAGCAGGATTTTGCTACAAAATCCTAAGAGCCGCTGTTGTGATTCACCAATAAAGGCTTGTCAAAGGCTCCAAACAGCATCCTTATCTGCCACTGACACTTCAACCGCCATTGGATTTGTTGGATCTTATGGCTTAAGTGACACAGTGGCTTTCACAGCAGACTGGACTCATTGCAGAGCCTTCTCTTCTTCTGGGTCCCAGTTCAAAACTAGCAACTTTGGGGAAGACTCAGTAAATTGGATGTAATGACACACCCAAATGAGGAGTATGTTGCCTCCAAATTCCAAAGAAGACAACTAGCCATTGCACTTTTTCCTCTTTTTGGTTGCAAGAGGAGCCAGATGTAACTGTTTATCATTCACTTTGAAAGGGATATATCATCTCACCCCACACCACTGGACCCTTGGAAATCTCACTGAGACAGAAGGTGCCTGAATTCTAGTCAGATTTAATTCCCACCCTCTGGTATTCAAATATCTTACTAATAAGCATAGAATAGTTGCTACTTTTTGCTCACTAGGACTGATCAACATAGTATTATTAATGCTATGGACCACTGTGGTATAATGTGGAAGTAAAAGGTGACTAAGATCCCTATGAACTACATTATGGCATAGGGCTTAAGGGTTGATATACCTGTGAGGTAGGACAGTAAAGATGAATTTCTTTCTAGTTAAAAGCAAACTGCTTTTGGTGGGCCTTATGAAAAGGAATGAAGAAAAAACATGTTCCAGGTCAATAGCTGAATACCAGGAATTAAAGGATGTGTTAATTTGCTCAAGAAAAGAAACCACATCTGGTACAGCAGCTGCAATTGGAATCACCACCTGATTAAGCTTATGATAATCCACCATCATTCTTCAAATTCCATCTGTCTTTTGCACAGGCCAAATATGCTAGTTTGGATGGAGATGTAGGAATCGTCACTCCTGCATCCTTCAAGTCCTTGATGGTGGCATTAAACTCAGCATCCTTCCAGGAGTGATATTTCTTTGATTTACTATTTTCCTAGTTAGAGGTAGTTCTAGTGGCTTCCATTTGGCCTTTTCCACCATAATAGCCCTTACTGCACAGGTCCAGGAGGCAATGTGGGAATTTTTCCAGCTGCTGAATATATCTATTCCAATTATGCATCCCAGAAATGAGAAAATAACTACAGGATGGACCCATAAATACACTGGGCCTGCTGTAAGATGAACCTCAGCTAAAACTGAATTGATCACTTGAACTCCATAAGCCCATATGCTCACTGGTTGGTCACAATGATGTTTTGGATCTGCTGAAATTAGTGTAAGTTTGGAGCTGATGTTCAATAATCCCTAAAATTTCTGATTATTTTCTTCTCCCCAGTGCAAAGTTACCCTCATAAAAAGCCACAGGCTCCTATGAGAAAATCTGAGAGAAAGATTAACAGTATAAATTTTCTGTCGTGTATCAGGGTCCTTCTTCAGGAGAACCCAACTTTCCCCTTATTCAAGGAGTTGGGGTCTGAAAATTCATCTAAACAACGGCTCATGTCTGGAAATTGATTGAGGGACCATTACTCAGTTTTTAGATTCAGGCTAGATTTTTATTCACTTGACCTAAAAGTTTTCTGCTTATACAGATCAAATGAAATGTAGTAGGCTCTAGTAGGCTATTTCACTTGTAGGAGCACCATGATCAATTTAGCAATAACATAGGTCTGCATGAGTCAGATTATTCTGAAGCTGCTTTGACTGTGCTATTATAGTAGCCACACCCATCTTGTTTTTGGAAGTTGAATGCCACCATTTGGCCACTCCCACCTATGATTAAATTATTCCCATTGCATTTAGGTTTTCTAATTCAGTGACTGCAGATCCCATTGTGAGATTAGACCTACAGAAATCTACAGTAACCACAGAACTCTTCAAAGGTGCTAGGGTTCACCAGGTGTGTGTGAACATGAGTTAAATGACAAAGCACTCTAACATTTGAATTTCTCTAAGCCTTTGAATCCCTTTCTCTATATTGAACCAAAGCATTTCCAGAATTTCCAATTTTCTCACTGTGGCCTACCTTCTGATCTATATTTGGCCAACCAAAGAAGTAGATTGTGAGAGTCATTTCTAACTTTTAGATATGCAATATTAAATGAAAAATCTCTGCTCATTGAATGCATATCAATAAGTTAAGCCTTACCTAACTTTATTTTCCTTCTACCATTTTCCCACACCCTTAGTATACATTTACACACATGCTCCCCACATTTGTCAGTATAAATTATAAAACTCAAAAAATTTCTTTGGTGCATAGCGTACCTCTACATGGGTCATACTTTGTACTTCACCTTTAAGGGCCTGCTGGGACTTTATGTCTAATAATAGGTCTAGAAGCAAAGAGTGGTGGTAGGGGCATGTCATGAGGAAAATCGGAATTGTCTTGCATTGCAATTGACTTGGGATGGGATGAGGGGGCCATTACAGAGAAACAGAATTTTAAATTTGAATTCTCTGAATAGGTTCTGGGGTTTCTGGAATTGGTTCTCTAACCTGATAAGAGTTGAAAGAAAGAGGAAGTGGAGAGAGGGAAGAGAGAAAGAGAGGGAGATAAATTAACGGATTACACAAGCCTAGAAGTCTCATGATTCACCATCTGCAAGTTGAAGACTCATGAAAGCCACTGAAATGATTCAGTCTAAGTCAGAGAACTTGAGAAGCAGGAAAGCTTATTATTTAAGTTCCAATCTGAGGGCAGAAGGTGATGGTCCCAGCTTATGCAGCTGGGCGAAAAAAAAAAGCAGCAAATTCTTCCTTCTTCTGCTTTTTGTTCTATTCAGGCTCTCCGTAGATTGTAGCCAAATACTGATTAGTCAGGTTGACACAAAATTACAATCGCACTATGTGACTCGAGTCTAGCCAATGGGATGTGAGGGTGAGGAAGACTTCCTAGGCACCTTGGAAATTTTTTATTTTCTGATAAAACAGCAAAAGTACACAAAGGAAAAAGTCTTTAAAAAATTAATTTGCAACTGCTACTCTTGCTTAGAGAGGTAAGAGTGGATAAAATGCTAAAGTTGCAGCAACTCTTTAGCAAATGTCAATAAGGACATCACCCACATGCTCACTTATCTATTGGAAGGATGGGAACATCTTGGGAAATCAATGGTTTCTTTAAGTCACAGAATAAATAACTTAGCCACCAACTTTGGAAATTAAGCAAACAGTAAATGTTCTTATGACTTAATCCAATTTTAACTATGGAGTCCTATATGTATAGCAAAATGCTCCAGATAAACTATATAATGATAATATTTTCATATTGTTCAAAAATTAAGGGTTGGTTTTCTTCTTTTTTTTGGCCCTAATGAAAATATATGGAAAACAACTTGTCTAAAGTGTAGTGCTGGGAGAAAGAACATAAAAAAACAAATATTATGAAATATGTCTTAAGATAAATAAAAATCATTAACAAATCACACGTTTAACCATAAATGTTCCCGAAGTATCTATTTTGAGACAAGCTGTCCTTTAGTTACTGAACACTGAGTATTGAATAAAGAGAGACAAAAACCATGTTAAAAATATATTTTTGTAACAGCTTAGTAGTAATAGGCACTTACAGATTACTACTACATTACTACTACATTATAGTAGTAATATTTTTAACAGTTTAGGTAATAATATGCACCATATAAAAATGTAAATATTTAAGAATTTATATATTTAAAAATATAAATAACATATATTAATATTTTAAACAAAAGAGTAACAAAATCAAGTTCCTTTGAAAATTAAGGTGGTAAAAAAAATCTCTGAAATAGCTAGGCATTATATAGTTTGGGTAATTTAAATGATATTACAGCTGTTAATATAGTGAACCTTATTTCTTTATTAGTCTTGAAGCAAAAATTTGTTAGAGTGCTAATGCCATGTCAGATGTCGTATCATCATGCAATTCAATGTTTGAACACACATTGTCAACATGATACATATCTGTAAATATAGAATACAACAAAACACTTATGCTATGAATAATGAGAGCATTGAATTGTTATTTGAAATCATTTATTCAAATCAGCACAAACTATATGCTGTAGAACATACCAATAAACACATTGTTGATATATTAAAAGTTCTAAGAAAAATAAGCATAGTAATAAAAATTGACATAATAACATTAAGCTTAGTAGCAAAAGAGTGAATTAGACTGTGGCCACTAATCCTTTCATTGACAATTAAATATGAGAATATTAGCTTATTATTAGTAGTATTCACTTTGGTAATTAATATCAATTTTCTAATGTCATTAACTACAGTGCCAAAATAGATTAAATTTTTTAACTCTTCAGAAATCATCACTTATGATATGCATAATACCACAAGTGAGAATAACAAAAAGTGATGTGAAATAATACATCTATCTTATTATTGTTCTGTGTTGATTTTTATGAACAACCATGAAAAAACATGTTTAGCTTATTAACTTTTCTATAAGAATAACTGACGATTTCTCTTTTGGAATGAGAGTAAAGTTTATCCAACCAGAAAGAAAAGTATGGTAACTACATTTCTCTCACTGATTCTCTAAGCTAAATATGCCGGTATTTCATCGTGAGGAGAAGAGTGTCTACTGTCAGGGCATCTAATCAGAGCCAGACCGGCTGCATGCCTTAGATGAAAGCAGGACAGGATGATCATGGCCCATGGCTGAATCCAGCTACACTTAATTCTTAAATGTACTTTTGTGCCTTCTTCTTTTAATGGTGCTTCTTTTGTTAAGAATATCATTCTCCTTTCCCCATTGCCAGAGGCGTTTGAAGCATAGTAACTCCATCTTGACTAGGAGCTAGGTAAATTGAGCCTGAAACCTACTGGGCTGCATTCCCAGATGGTAAGGCATTCTTAGTCACAAGATGAGATAGGAGGTCAGCACAAGATACAGGTCATAAGGGCCTTGCTGATAAAATAGGTTGCTGTAAAAAAGCCCGTCAAAACCCAGCAAAACCAAGATGGCCAGGAGAGTGACCCCGGTCATCCAAACTGATACACTCCTATCAGCACCATGACAGTTTACAAATGCCATGGCAACATCAGGAAGTTATCTTATATGATCTAAAAAGGGGAGGCATGAATAATTCACCCCTTGTTTAGCATATCATCAAGAAATAACCATAAAAATGGGCAAGCAGCAGCCCTTGGGGCTGCTCTAATGGACTAGCCATTCTTTTATTCTCCTTTCTTAATAAACTTGCTTTCACTTTATGACCTCACCCTGAATTCTTTCTTGCATGAGACCCAAGAACCCTCTCTTGGGGTCTGGATCAGGACCCCTTTCCTTAATACCATGAGATCATCACTTTTCATCCTTCTAGACCCAGCTGACAAATTGTTTCCATGAAGCTTTCACTAATTTTTAGCCATGTTAACTGTCCCCTGTACTATGCTTCCACAGCCCTTTGCTCAAACTCTTTTCGGTACTGTATTTATTACATTTATCTTCCAAACATACTCTTTCATGCTCTGCAGTGTAACATATTATTTATCTAATTTAAACCTATGAATCTCCCAGTTCCCCACAAAACATGAATATCCAAAAACTCCTATCGTAGATAAGAGTGGATAAAACATTAAAAATTGCAGCAACTCTCTAGCAAATGTCAGTAAGGACATCAGCCACATGCTCATGTATCTATTGGAAGGATTGGAACATCTTGGGAAATCAATGGCTTCTCTAAGTCACACTCAGCTTCCCAGAAGCTGATCTGACAAGTATTTCAGAGGAATTAGATGTCAGATAAGAGTGCTCTAAATTTCCTGCTAACAATTAAAACAACCTATCTTACAACCATCTCCATCCTCTTTTCCCTGCCTTTTGTAAAACTAAAGCCCTGTCCTTTGACTTTTATAACATCAATCTGTACCTGCATCTCAAATTCATTCCCTCATCCCTCTCATGAACTCTATAACATTGCTTCATTATTTTTCCACTTTGGGAATTCAACTTTGCCTCTGACTTGAAGATTCTGATCATCATTTCAATATGCTATATTATAGACAAATTTGTGCTAGTCAACACAATCATATACCCAATGTATATACTTTGTGCTTAAATTATTTGGCCACTCATGAGCATTATTCTTTAACATTACTCTGCTTTATAGAAAGATCCTGCATGGAGCGACGAGATTCTACAACTATGAGTCCACACCCTCCTATTCTGTTAATGTCATTTTTTGGAAACGAATTTTTGATTGATATCCTCATTTTGAGGTTTGTACTTCTGTATGCAGTCTTTAAATACTGGTAATACCAAAAGTTTCTTCCTAGAATGTCTTCTCAATCTGTATTCTTCCACTGGTAATTTCTCCCATGCTCTCTGTGCTATTTATCAAGTTGCTTTATACTTAATCTATAAGATAACACGTCCAATCACCTTCTTGACATTTCTGTTACCAGAAAAAGATCCCGATCCAGACCCCAAGAGAGGGTTCTTGGATCTCCTGCAAGAGAGAATTCAGGCAGAGTCTGCAGTGCAAAGTAAAAGCAAGTTTATTAAGAAAGTAAAGTAGTCAAAGGACAGATACTCCATAGACAGAGTAGGGCATTCCTGAAAATAAGAGGAGGAACACATCCGCCCTAGGCACAATGCTTGTGTGTGTGTATATATATATATATATATATGATAAAAATAGAACTTGGGGAGATGTGCTCTGCTACAAGGGTTTGTAATAAAGGATTAATTTTCTTAATTACTGTATTTTGCAAGAATTGATATTATTATCTTTAAAGCAAAATTAGGAATGCCTTTGTTCTCCAGATGTTGGGATATCTGGACACTCCCAAGTCTGGGTCTGTTTTAGTAAACATTATTAATTTGTTCCCTTAACCGTGAACATCTAGAGGCTAGGAATGCCTCATTTTCTGGGAATGCAGCCCAGCAAGCCTCAGCCTCATTTTCCTAGCCCTCACTGACAATGGAGTCCCTCTGGGTTTGAACGTCTCTGACATTTTTCCACTTGTATGCTTCAAAGGTACCACAAATTCTACAAGTCCAGAAAGGACCTAACAATCTCCCTTTTCCTTGTCACTTCCCCTGTTTGGGAAGTGACAAGTTATTTGTTCCAGTTATTTATTCCAGTTATTTGTATCTCAGTGAACAGGACCATTGTCCATCCAGCTTCACAAGTCAGAAATGTGAATGTTAACTGATTTCTCCCTCTCTCAGTGCCTTCCTATTCTAATCTATCACCAAATCTTGTTGTTTTTACATAACAAGTTATCTCTTGATTTCATTCACTTCCCTTCCTCTCACTGACATCCTGTCATCCTGTGTTTTAATCTTTTTTTTTTTTTTTTTTTTTTTTTTTGTGAGACACAGTCTTCCTTTGTTGCCCAGGCTGGAGTGCAGTGGCGTGATGTCGGCTCACTGTAACCTCCGCCTCCAGTTCCAAGTGATTCTCCTGCCGCAGCATCTGAAGTAGCTGGGATTACAAGTTCGCACTACCATGCCTGGCTAATTTTTGTATTTTTGGTAGAGACAGGGTTTCACCATATAGGCCAGGATGGTCTCAATCTCCTGACCTCGGGATCCGCCTGCCTCGGCCTCACAAAGTGCTGGGATTACAGGTGTGAGCCACTGTGCCCGGCCGTTTTAATCTATTTAATACCATCATTTTTTCATAAACTATTTCCATAGACTCCTCATCAGTCTTGCCTGTCCTTTAATCTTATCTCTACACTTCAGACACAATGATAGTTCTAAGAACCTCCTAATCTAAACATGTTAGCCCCTGCTTAAAATTTTCCTGCTTTTTATGATCCAAAAGAAAGGTTACTATTTGTAAAGTGGTACTTTACAAAGTAAAGTTTTTACTTTACTTTGTACTTTACAAAGTAAAGTACCACTATTGTATTGGTTACAATAGTGTTACTATTTGTAAAGGTTACTATTTGTAAAACAGCTCTGCCTTGTTTGAGCTGTTTTATTCTGATCTCTCCGGCCTCGCTTGGACTACTCTCCCCCAGTTTCTCAGAGCTCCAGTCACACTGGCCTCTGTTCATCACATATGCCATGTCTCCTCCTACTACATGGTGTTTCTTTTGCCTGGAGAATGCTTCTTAAATTTTTCATTCAATAAGTTCTCACTCACCTCAATCATATCAACTCAATTGTTTTGTTCTCAGGAAAGCCTTTTTTGACCCAGATTACTAAATCTTCCTTAGCAGTATGTCTCTTTTCTTCATGGTTTCTTATCACCTTTGACATGTTATATTTTTCTGTGTGATCATTTAATTTATACCTAAATTCCATGAAGGCTTGTATCTACCTTTTCTCTTCATTATGTGAAAGGGCCAATCATAGTGCTTGAGCTATGGTGGGTATTCAATAATAGAGGTTGAATGGACACATGTTATTTTGCAATTTTTAATTTACATATTTTTCTTCCTCCCTTAAGGTCATAGATGATGAAAGTATTAATCTTTGAATTCTGACTACCTTAACAGGTACTCAAATCTACAAAGAAAATATTGAACTCCTCCTGAAGATACAGCTATTTTAAACATTTAAAAAAATGAATTGTTTATTCTAGTTACAATGATATTTAATAGAAGAACAGTGAATTTGAAATGACTCCATTTTCCCTCCATTTTTACAATTGCCTTGTACTTTGTTTTCTTCTCCATTACCATTATTAACTTCTGAAGTGCTTTATACAATTTACATAGGGCTGCTAATGTGAAAAAAAGAAGGAATCACAGCATTAGAAGCTTATCAATTTATTCTATCAGGCTCTTGTAAAAAACTCTTTTTCATACTGGCCAAGGGTAGGGAAGCATCATTGCCTGTGCTTTTCTCCTGAGCCTATTTATTAACTAACAATTCCTAAAAAAAATTGTTGTAAAGAACTTAAGGAATTAGTTTACCTAGTCCTCACATTTTATTTTCTCTCGTTGAATTTAAAAAGAAATAATTCCTTTGAATGTTTCATAAAGCATATTAAAAAAACAATTGTGACTCTATAGTAAAATTGTACTTAAGTCCTGGTCTACAAAATAATCTCATAAATATTGCCCCATTGTATAATGGGACTTATAATATGCCAGCTATGTACATATTCATTTCATGAGAATTGCTATTCTGTTTAAGCTAAAAATGTTTAATGTTTGTATTGATAGGCTGAATGTCAAAGTTTTCTCAGATATTTGTAAATAATGCTGAAAAAATATTTTGACAGTCTGGACTGAAATGTGTTAATTAAAAGACAAATATTATTTTATGATGTAAAATATTATTTTCACTGCTTTCTACAGCTATTATTCATTTGCCCAACAATTTTCCTTATTGAGTGGAGAATAAACAAACTGCATCCCTGCAGTTTGTCTCAGAATGATTAAAAAAAAAAAAAGTTCCCAATTTGGTGTTCCCCAAGTGTGCATTAGTCAGACAGAGTTAATGGAGCTATCTATCACTTCCAGCTTTCCTCTGTGAGCAGGGAGCAGTAGATGACCCAGCTGACTCAGCTCAGCTAGTTTGTTCTTCATAGGCTGACTGTAGTACCACTGTGGTGGCCTCACTGTAGAGATCTAAGGCTGTGTTAGGCAAAGGTATCCGAACTACCACATCAACTCTAGAAATGATTCTTGCAGATTAGGTCTTCATTTGGATGATATAGGATAAAAAATCATTAATTATATTTTGGATGAATAAAAACCTTTAGGCTACTATTTTGTATTATCAAATTGGATTTAGTCATTGCTGTTATAGAATGGGTAGAAATGGGGGAAATATTCAGTAGTTTTAATCAATCACTGACATAAATAAACAAGACAGATAGTCAAATAGAGCATTATCAGTAGCTGCTGAAAAGATCTTGAGCCAAATTACAAAGGTAAGATTACGAAAAGGGAGTAATTGATTTCAAATTTTAGATACAAGATGATTAACTTTTTCTAGTATTTTTGTACACTTGTTATTTATTATATACCAAAACTTCACCTCGAAAAATATCACTGACTACTGCTGTTAAATGCCAAAAGTTTGCCTTATCTATCTTTTTCAATAGTCTTCCAAGTTTGAAAGTTCAATGAATGTGGGAAAAAGTTGAGAACAAGGTTGAAAAGATATAATGAAATATACTGTTATAGTCTCATCCCCCATGCCCAACCTAACTCCATATAAATTATACCATTTTCCCCTTTTAAAGTATTTAATTCTTGGGTGTAGGACTTTCTGTCATTTCTTTTCCTTTCCCTAGATTCCATTATTTTTGAATAATGTAGAGATCCAGGCACGTACCATCTTTGACATGTCAGAATGATTATTTCTAGAGAACTGTCAAGTTAGATCAACTTTCATTCCTATGTTAAAGCTTGAACTGGAGTATTTAATTCAAGGACTGCCTTTTGGAATTTGACAGTATGACACTAAGAATCTAGTGATAGATGTGAGATATACACCTGGAATTTGAATGATTTACCGGATGTTTGGAATCTGAATATAAATGTTACTAAATACATTAGTTCTATTCTAATAATAAATTAATAAAAGCATTAATTTGGTGTGTACTGGGTGAATTTTTGAAACATTTAAATTAGGATTATTCTTATAGGTTGTTTTAAATTTTTGTGAAATTATTTATATTATCTATATTAAAAGCAAGTAAAATATCAGTAGTCTATATTTGATTATGTATTGTTCATCATTCCAATAATACATTTTTAAGAAAACCATGTTTCTTTAGAATTATTTTAACTGTTGTGTTGAACTTCATGTAATTTTTTTGAAAATCTGCATGTTCCCCATTTTCAAGATATTCCTCCACCTTCTGGGACAAACTATAAAAGATAGTACTAAAGGCCAACTTCAAAGGACACTCAAACCCATACCAGTTTTGGAGGATGTAGGGTAATAAAAGTAAAAATATCAATTTGTCCATTCAAAGTTTTTTTTTGAGAAATGAGTTAAACATTTTAAAACATTAAACATTTTTTTACATGATGAATATAACAACCTAAACTGCCACTAAAATAAAGCATTCAATGGCAAAATTTCAAATATAACACAGAGATAAAATAACTCAATTTCATAGCTTATGTTTGCATTGTAGCAATTAGTTTGCTACATTTTTTACATGATGTAAAAAATACACTATGAGATTCACTGTAGAAAATAAACATCTAAGACAAATTAGTAAAATATTTTTCCAGAGTTAGTAAATTTAATGAGTAATAGAGTTGCCCCTCCATATCTGTGGGGAATTGGTTCCAGGACCCCCTCAGATACCAAAATTCACAGATGCTCAAGTTAGCAGCGGGGTAGCTGAAATGTCATTCACAACAACTGACAAGGGGCTCATATCGAAACTACATACAGAATCCTTAAAAATAAATCATTGACAAACATACAACTAATAGGTTAGAAAACAAATCCACATATTCTAAAAACGGAAATCCAAATGGCCCATAAACATGAAAATGTATCCTCTCTCATTATTCATCAACAAAAAGAAAACAAAAAAGTAAAAGAATCACAGTAAAATAACATTAGATACCCACAAGCACAATACTGAAAAGCTTGACTGTTGGCAAGTTTGTTGAGCAAAATAAGTTTCCACACACTGCTATAGAATAGTGTTAATTGATATATATTCACGTTTGGAAAAGTTGACATTATCTGTTTACACAGTCCTTGACCAAAATTTGGTGAGGCTCCTACTAGTTCTCTTTGACCAGGCCTCAACCTTGGCCTACCTTTACCAAGAGTCTTGCAAATCAGTTTAGCGAGAATCCTGCCACTGTCGCTATCTGACCAACTTTGATATCTGATCATCCTTGATATCTGACCAAGCTTCCCCTCTCATTGCCTTGATGTCTAAGTTCTTTGTCTGCCCTTAGGAAAAAGTATATCAGGTAAAAGTAGCAAGTGGCTACTTTTCATCTTGAATAGTCTTACTATTTTAACAAGTGTCAGAATGATTTATCTTCAGTGTTGGTCAGGTAAAATATCTCTGTACACTGTGACCTGGCAATTCTTTTCTAGCTATATACCTTCCAGAAACATGTGCTTATATACACCAAAATATATGATTCAAGAATACTCATAGAATTGTTTTGGATTACCCCAAATGGAAAAACTATTCAAATACCTATCACCCATAGAATGAATAATTATGTTATTGTTTATTCAAATAATCAAAATTTAAAAAAACACCAATTGCAAGCAACAACGTGAATATTGAAGAATAATATTGAGCGAAAGGAGTTGAATTGTTTTTTAAACTATTGGTTGTGTGTTTGTCAATGATTTCTTTTTAGGGATACTGTATGTAGTTTGGATATGAGCCCCTTGTCAGTTGTTGTGAGTGACATTTCAGCCACCTTATTGCTACCATTACATTTTTTAATGCTTTTTTTCATGAGCAGAAGTTCTTAGATTTGATGCATTCATAATTATCAATCATTTTCTTTATGTTTTCTCCTTTTTGTCATTTTAGAACTTCTCTCACTATACAGATGTCATGAAGTTATTCTCTTTTATTAGTCCATTCATTTCCCTTTGTGCTGTAAAGATAACTTTATTGTGGATCTAGCGTTCATGCCAGTAAACCTGTTTCTAATTTCTCCTCATTCTGTATCATTGATTTACTTCTTTATATAGCCAGTATTACAGGATTTTAATGAAATAGTTGTGTACTATATCTTGAAATCTGATAAAACAATTCTTCTCACCTTGTTCTTCTATAATGGGTCTTGACTCCTCTTGGCCCTGTAAACTTTCATATCAATCTAACAACATTTTAGTTCCACAAATAACCTGTTCAGATTTTTTTTGTAATATCCTTTCATTTATATCCCAGTGTTAGAATTGACATTGGTTTTCTTGGTGGTTCTCACCATTTATTAAGTAGACTTTCACTAAATAATCCTGTTTTATGCCCTAAACCCCCTCCCTCTGTTGTGTCCCCTTAGAAATATATGTTAAAGTAATTTCTAAAATAATGTCTTGCAGGTCTTAGAACGTTTGAAAGTGATAGAGACTGAGATTTGTAACTCATAACTCCTTTGATTTTATCTGCCAACATAACTTAAAAGTTACTTGAAAATTATATATTTAAACAATTTGAGAATTAAATTAGATGTTCATCTTAAGTAATTATTCCTTTAAATTGAAAAATTATAGGTTTTTTATAGGTTTTTTTCAAGCCTTTTGAGACTTATTACTGTCATCTCTTACAGACCACACTGTTCTTTTATGTGATTCAGCTAAACATGAACCATCAACTTTTTCTCCATTGTCAAATAATTGAAATGTTTTTGTATTCTACTTTAAGAGTGTCTCTTCGATAATACTGTGACAGAATTTATAGATATTACTAGGTGAAGATGTTTCAAAAAAGGTCAGTAATGTCAAGTGACAGAGGAGAAGGAAAAAAAGAGCAATATATCACTCAAGGTACAGAGTAATAAGTAATAAGACAATTTGAGGCTAGTGGAAAACTTAACCAAGTTGATAAAGTGTTAAGGATTACATGCTTTACAATTTTCAAATCAGTGAAAATAAATAATCCTGCTGTAAATAATTCAAATCTTGTAGCATATAATTCCCCTGAGAATCATTTTGTAAATGGTTTTATTATTAAGATTTTTAAATGTCTGTATAATTATCATTTTGTCTCTAATACATATTTAAATTTTTCTACCCTTAATTTTGTCATTTAAACTTTCCAGCGGCATTTCTTCCTTTCGACAAAATAGGTTTCTCTTTTAATGATGGGAATTGGTATAAAATAGGATTTGA
Organism: Homo sapiens; assembly: GCF_000001405.40. NCBI lineage: Eukaryota > Metazoa > Chordata > Mammalia > Primates > Hominidae > Homo > Homo sapiens. The sequence goes on along the minus strand of NC_000013.11, from coordinate 66,065,448 downwards.
TTAATAGAAATCCACCCTCCATTAAACAATCATGAAATGTTTCTAATCTGTTAATAGAGTTTGGGGAAAAGCCACTTAGAAATATAACTGTGTTTAGTATTTGTTATAAATTTCTATTTCCTGTCTTTCCAGAATATTATAAAATAACTATAGTCAATTTATTTAAAAAATGTGAAAATAATTATTTTGTTTCAACAAGAATTATTATTGCTCTGATGAACTATTATAAATGTAAATAACTCAATAAATGAACATGCCCTCTAGTAACCACCTTATTCTCATCTAGTTTCTAAGACTATTACATTTTCCTGTAATGAGGAAGATGGTCATCACAAGTATTATTTGCAAGAGCCAGCAATAAAATATCCTCAAATAAATAAAAAATGTTCACTATGTTACATACTGGTGACTTTCATATTCATTCGACTGGCAACTTATCAATTAGCTGATAAATAAATACAGTAAATATATATCTTAAATTGCAGGATTAATTTAAAAGTAATTGCATCTCTTCAGGGCACTTTTAACCATAGTTAATTGCTATTGTAATGTGGAGTTACGATTTCACTGCATTTTTAATAAGTTCAAAACCACCTTTGGAATTTGCCCCCTTGTGACTCTTCACCAGATATTTAAATCGTTTTCTAATGATATGCATTATAAGGGGTTTAACAACTAAGGCAAAAATCATTAAACCTTCCATTTTCATTTACAGGGCTTCTCATTTCTAATCAGCACTTTAAACCATTTCTTTTCTTTTTTTCTTGACTTTCATGCACTCTGGAATAAACCTTGAGAAAACACTTACAGCTAACATTTTAGTCAGTGTTTTATGAAAATTACACTGTCTTTTGATTAAGGCTTCATTTTAATAAAGAGATTAAAACAGGAAAAAACTATGCTTCCTTATTCACCTCTCATTTTCCATATAACTTGGGCTGTTCCTTTACTTATTGAATAAAATAAAGTAATGGGGCAATCTGACAATGGATCTAGTTTGTGAGTTGCCTCAAGAGTATACAATTTGTGGAATCTCTTTAGATAAAAAAAAGAAGAAGAAGATCTTGATTTTGTACTTTTATGAAAATTTGTGTTTCCTGAAATTACATAGCTGAAGTTCCTAGCAGGGCCTTTGAAAGTGTCTCCTCAAGCCATGGTCCCTGAAAATAATTCATTAGCTTCATGGCGAATTTGTCACTGTGAACAATACAACCTCTTCTGCTTCAACATGAGATCTGTGACACAAACTAACTCTCACGAGACTGGTAAATAGGGGAATGCTCTGAGTATAAAACAGTACTATTTTTGGTTGTGATTCCCATATAATTTTTGTCACAAAGTTAATGATGGTTTTATGTATTTGTTTGTGTATTTGGTTGGTTGGTTTTGGTCAAGCAAATACTGGCAGCTCAATGTAAAGAACACTAGCATAGTTGAGCATAGCAAGATTGGAGGGCTGAGTGCTGTGGCTCTCGCCTGTAATCCCAGCACTTTGGGAAGCCGAGGCAGGCAGATCACAAGGTCAGGAGTTTGAGACCAGCCTGGCCAATATGAAGAAACCCCATCTCTACTAAAAATACAAAAATTAGCCAGAACGTGGTGGCACTCTCCTGTAGTCCCAGCTACTCGGGAGGCTGAGGCAGAAGAATCGCTTAAACCTGGGAGGCAGAGGTTGTAGTGAGCTGAGATTGTGCCACTGCACTCCAGCCAGAGCGACAAAGCGAGACTCTATCTCAAAAAAAAAAAAAAGATTGGAGGAATACTGAACTCCATTCAGCCAAGCTTCTTCTTTTGTACTAAGGTGATTCTCCAGTCACCTTCAGTACTTCTTTTTTATTATTTTGAAATATTTAATTAACAAATAAAAATTGAATATATTCGTGATGTACAATATAAATATTTGACATAGGTAAACATTGTGTAATGATTATCACAATTAGATTAATGAACACATCCATCACCACCCATGCTATGCATCAGATCCCCAGAACTTGTTTATCTTACAACTGAAAATTCCTATTCTTTGACCAATATATCCCCTTTCCCCTCCCTCCTGAGCCCTAACAACCATTCTTCTCCCCTCAGCTTTTATGAGTTGACTTTTCAAGATTCCTCACATTTCAAGTGAGATCATGCGGTTATTTCTCCTTTGGTGTCTTGCTTATTTCATGGAGCCTAATATCCTCTGGGTTCATCTATGTTGTGGCAAATGACAAGATATACTTCTTTTATTATGGTTAAATAATATTCCTTCATATATATGTACCATTTTTTCTTTATCCATTCATCCATCAGTGGACACTTAGATTATTTGTATATCTTGACTATTATGAATAATGCTGCAATAAACATGAGAATGCAGATATCTCCTTGAGGTATTGATTTTATTTCCTTTGACTACATACCCAAAAGTAGGAGTGATAAATAATATGGTAGTTCTATTTTTAATTATGTGAGGAGCCTCTATTCTGATTTCCATAATATCTGAACCAATTTACATCCCCATCAGCATTGTACAAGGGTTCCCTTTTCTTTACATCCTCGCCAACACTTGTATTCACTTGTCTTATTGATAATAGCCATCCTAACAGCTGTGAGGTAATATCTCATTGTGTTTTTGATTTGCATTGTTCTGATTATTAGTGATGATTAGCACTATTTTTTATGACTGTTGGGCATGTGTGTGTCTTCTTTGGAAAAATTCCTATTCAGGATTTGTCTATTTTTAAATTAGGTTATGTGTTTACTTGTTATAAAGTTGTGTACATTTCACATATACTTTGGATATTAAAACTCTCCATAGATTAGGTATAGAAGGAAGGTACCACGAACTAATGATATAGAAGTTAAGAAGAAATCAATTAGGCTGATAGTAAGGGTATGGGAGTCTTCGGTAAGGCTTTTCATTTTAATGAAAAGCAGCCCCAAATTATCTTCCTTTCTAACGAAGAGCAGCCTACAAAATTGAGCTGCAGACATAGATATCAGCAGCTGCTCCAATCATGTTGAAGATGGAGGCTCCATCTTCCCTTCTCTTTGTCAGCCACGTGTGCAGTAAGGAGCAGACAAGATGGCTTCCATCACCTGGAAAGCCCATTTGCATAATAAGATTAGGATGGAGCGATCAGCCTTCCCCTTGCACTATGTAAAAGTCATACCAATCTGTGAGCCTTACCTAAATCAGACACCGCCTGCTCAAACCGGACTATAAAATCTGGCACATTTGCTGCCAGTCAATCCTTTTCCACTTGTAGACCCCTTTCTCTATGGAGAGAGCTGTTTCTCTTCCTCTTCTCTTCTGCCTATTAAACCTCTGCTCCTAAACTCCTTGTGTGTGTCCGTGTCCTCAATTTTCCTGGCGCGCAAGGAGGAACCCCAGGGTATATTCTCCAGACAAGTAGCCGCTTCACTAATAAAGTTCACCGCTAACAAGCCCACCGCTAACATCATAATCATAGCGAAAGACTGAAAATTTTTCTTCTGACATCAGAAATAAGTCAAGGGTGCCAACTCTCATCAGTTCTGTTCAGTATGGTACTAGAAGACCTAGCCAGAGCAAGTAGGCAAGCATAAAAAATGAAAAGGAGAATTTAAGTTGCCTCTGTTTGACGAAGACATGACTGTATGTGTAGAAACCCTAAAGATGCCACTCAAAAAACGGTTAGAAGTAATAAAAAAAATTGGTAAAGTTTCATAATACAAAATTAACATACAAAAATCAGTTGTGTTTCCATACACTAACAGCAGACTATCTGAAAAAGAAATTAAGAAAACAATCCTATTTACAATACCATGAAAAAGAATATGATACTTAATGAATTTAACCAAGGAGGTAAAAGATCTGTACATTGAAAACTGATGAAGAAGGCACAAATATATGGAAAGATATCCCATGTACATGAATTGAAAGAATTAGTATTGTTAAGATTCCCATACTGCATAATCTATTGATTCAATGCAATCCATATGAAAATTCTAACGACATTTTTCATAGAAATAGAAAAATATACTAAACATTATGGAACCACAACAACAAAGTAACTAAATAGTCAAAGAAATTTTGAAAAAATAAAGCTGGAGGCATCACACTGTTGGATTTCAAATTATATTAGAAAGCAAACATAGTCAAAACAGTATAGTAGTGTCATAAAAACAGAAACATAGATCAATGAAACAGAATAGAGAGTCCAGAAATAAACCCACACATATAAGGTCAACTAATCTTTGACAAGGGTGTTGGGGATACACAATCGGGAAAGGAATGTCTATTCAACAAATGGTGCTGGAAAAACTAGATATCCACATGCAAAAGAATGAAATTAAGCCCTTGTCTTACAGTATCTTAAAAAAATTAACTCATAATAGATTCAAAGTTTAAATGTAATATCTTAAACCATTAAACTCTTAAAATAAAGAATAGCAAAAACTCCTTGAAATTGTTCTTGGCAATGATTTTTTTGGATATGACATCAAAAGCACAGGCAACAAAACCAAAGATAAAGAAGTAGAACTACATAAAATTAAAAACCTTCTACAAGACAAAGGAAACAATCAACAACATAGAAGGCAACCTATGAAATGTGAGAAAATATTTGTAAACCTTATTTTTAGCTACTTAATTCATTGAAGTGCTGTGTTTTAGAAGTGCTTACTGCGAGTTGCTCTCAGCCATCATTTGGCCCTCAAACTATAATTTAGCAGACTCAAAGTTTTTTAACACTCATTGTATTTTTATCATTTATAAAGCTTTGTATTAAGGTTTAACATACAGACAGAATTTCTATGTAAATGTTATAAAGACAATTAAAATTTTAAAATGAGAGGTTTAATTTTTCCTATTGAAAATAAGGGAAGAGACTTATCCCCACATTTTTTTCCCTTAGAACATTTTCCTTAGAAAACCTGTAACTATTTTCTCCTCCTTTTGCAATATCTATATATTCTTTTGAAAAGTAGGTAGGCCTTTTGTCAGCTTTATTACCCAGGAATTTCTTTCTCAAGGATCTGGGAGCCATCCCTTTGAAATGTAAAGATCAAGGGAGATAGCAACCCTATCTCCCTGTTTCTGTGGAAGGGTGGGAGCCTAACTTTGGTGAGCTGGGCACCTCGCTCTAAGTTGCAAAACTATCTATCATAAAGACATAAGAAGTTTGTTCCTCCCATGGATAAAGTCAATTAGCTAACAAAGATGGTCACCGCAATTACCAGGTAAAGTTCAGATGAACTATGTATGACAAATGGTGCTGTCAAGACTTCCTACTTGAGCACTAGTTATTGTTTATCTTGAAAACATAACCAGGAATGGAATTGCATGGTCATAAAATGCATATATGCTCAATGGTAGTAGAAAATGGCAAACAGAAACGGCGTGATCCTATATTTAGAAAACCCCATTGTCTCAGTCCAAAAACTCCGAAAGCTGATAAGAAACTTCAGCAAAGCCCCAGCATACAAAATCAATGTGCAAAAATCACAAGTATTCCTTTACACCAACAATAGACAACCAGAGGGTCAAATTATGAATGAACTCCCATTCAAAATTGCTACAAAGAGAATAAAATAGCTAGAAATACAGCTAACAAGGGATGTGATTATCTCAATAGATGCAGAAGAGGCCTTTTATAAAATTCAACATCTCTTCATGTTAAAAACTCTCAAGAATCTAGGTATTGATGGAACATATTTCAAAGTAATAACAGCCATTTATGACAAACCCACAGCCAACATTATATTGAATGGGCAAAAGTTGGAAGCATTCCCTTTGAAAACTGGTACAAGACAAGGATGTCCTCTCTCACCACTCCTATTCAACATAGTATTGGAAGTTCTGGCCAAGGTAATCAGGCAAGAGAAAGAAATATAGTGTATTCAGATAGAAAGAGAGGAAGTCAAATTGTCTCCGTTTGCAGACTACATGATTTTATATTTAGAAAACCCCATTATTTCAGCCCCCAAACTCCTTAAACTGATAAGCAACTTTAGAAAAGTCTCAGGATACAAAATCAATGCGCAAAAATCACAAGCATTCTTTTACACCAACAATAGGCAAGCAGAGAGCCAAATCGTGAGTAAACTCCCATTCACAATTGCTACAAAGAGAGTAAAATACCTAAGAATACAGCTAACAAGGGATGTGAAGGACCTCTTCAAGGAGAACTACAAACCACTGTTCAAGAAAGTAAGAGAACACAAACAAATGGAAAAACATTCCATCCTCATGGATAGGAAGAATCAATATCACGAAAATGGCCATACTGCCCAAAGTAACTTTTAGATTCAATGCTATTTCCATCAAACTACCACTGACATTCTTCACAGAATTAGAAAAAAGTACCTTAAAGTTCATATGGAACCAAAAAAGAGCCCACATAGCTAAGACAATCCTAAGCAGAAAGATCAAAGCTGGAGGCATCATACTACCTGACTTCAAATGATACTACAAGGCTACGGTAACCACATCAGTTGTATTTCATTTTGGTTTCAATTTACCTTTGTTAATCAAATAAAATTGGGTATAATTTCATATGTGTATTGTACATTTTAGTATCCCCTTTCATGAAATATTTGTTCAAGTATTTTATCTATTTTTCTTGAGTTGCTTGCCTTTAATTTTTAACTTGTAGGAGATCTTTATCTATTCTGGATATGACTTCTTTATAGTTTTTTAAGGATTTTATTTACATTCACAATTATTTAATTGAAGTTAAATTCATACTTTAAAACTTGTTAGTATTTTATTAACTTGTATTTTTTGATAATACTCTTTAATGTTTGCATATATTTAGATCTGTCTGCCTTCTAAACAAATTTTTCCTAATTCTGTAATTTTTTAGGCACAATTCTATAAAACAAGAGGCTTTTCTGGAACTTATATACGGTATCATAGTATAAATGTCTTTATTTGAAAATTTGCACATAAAATAACTATATATATACTCTGTGGCCCAGGCTGGCGTGCAGTGATGCGATCTCGGGACACTGCAACTTCTGCCTCCCGGGTTCAAGCAATTCTTCTTTGGCCGCAGCCTCCCGAGTAGCTGGAATTAGGATTGCAGGTACCCGCCATCAAGCCCAGCTAATTTTTGTATTTTTAGTAGAGACAGGGTTTCACCGTGTTGGCCAGGCTGATCTCCAACTCCTGACTTCAGGTAATCTGCCCGCTTCAGCCTCCCAAAGTGCTGGGATTACAGGTGTGACCCACAGTGCCTGGCCTGATAATTATAATGATCTTTCAATTAAGTTTTGTTATATGGGCTAAAATTTATACAAAATAGTTTTTTATAGAAAGATAAATAGGAAAATATATATTTTTCCCCTAAATGAATTAGGAAAATAGAAAAGAAAAATAATCAGTCATTTCTGAATTATGCTTTTTAAATAGTATCTGTAAACAATGATTGCTTTTTGTCAATATGTACCACTTCTTTGTTTCCCTTATAGAATAACACTACCACTATAACCAAGTCAAAATTTTAATGAACAGCTAGCTCATTAAATTAGTATGAGCTAATTTAAAATTGTTTACAGGAATTTAACATAGGATCTCTAACGTAATACTAGATTACCATAAAAAACAAACATGATTAACACAAAAAAGGTATGAGACTATTTCAGTTAAAGTGTGAATGGTGAAATAAATGTAATGCCACCTATATGTTCCAATTATACATATGTAAATTTAATGAATTAGTATCTGGTATCTTTTGGGCATGTTACATATATAAATAACTATAATGGCATGGATTAGTTATATATAAGTCTGCATGTATATATACATAATTTTTGTATATAGTATAGTGTTATATACATATATATGTACACCAAGTTGCTCAATTATAAAAGGTAAGAGAATAATGTGAAGTTTAACAATTATTTTCACCACTCCAAATATTCTAGAAATAGCAAAACGGTCAAAGTTTCCAGTTCAAGATAGCAGACTTAGCATATATGCTTGTATAATACATTCTTCTTACTAAGCTGCCATTGATGTGACATTATACATTTATAAAAAGGAAAAAAGCTATTAGCATAAACAAGGAGTAGAAAAGATCATGAATGCTTGAGGTGATTTTAATAGATCTCAGAACTGGACTTTACCCCTATTCAAGGTATCAATGCCTATGACAGAGAAGCAGAAGCCGCAGCCTAGGGTAAGTGCATGAGGGGTCTGCAGTGAAGATGGGTGCTCTAGGAAGACCTGACCTCAGAGCTGGGGTTGGATAGGTACCCAGGACTAGACTGAGAATGGTGAGGAACAGGAATTTCTGTCCATAGACACCCCTAGCCTTTATTCATCTCCTTTCAGTACTTCCCTCTGAAAATGTGATGATCCTCACACTCAAAAAATGGCTGACAGCCTGGTTTTCTTCTGAGTTAAGAATGAAGAAAGATTTCTCTAAAGAAAATGAGTGCCCTGATTTTGGACAATAAAGGTTCCAAGGTCAGGTATTGACCCAGGTAGGCACAGAAGTGCTTACCTTCAGACAGTCCTGCCTTCACAGCCTAATGCCTGTGCTCATGCTCCCTAAAGTTGAAGGTTTCAGCCCATAAGCTCCACCTAAATCCCCAGATCTCCCTCTCAGCCTTCTTTTTCAGAGGAAATGTAACATGGAAACAGATCCAATAACTCAGCAGGGAGCTCATACCCCTTACATCAAACTATTCACTTGTCCTATTTCTTCATTTATGAAATGTAAATTTGCAATGAAGGACTTATACAAAAAAATTAACACTTATTAAAAAGGAAGATCAAAATAAACAAAGCAGTGGGCCTTGGGATCAATGGAAATTATGGAGAGAATATTTACAAAAAATCTATTCTAATTGTCATTCTTAGAGAAAGAAGGTATTATGCTAATTAAAATGTTTAAAAGATATGAAAAAAAACTAGCAGAGAAAAGAGCCATCAGCTATCACAAATAAATAAAAATTATAAATAAATATCAGACGATAAAATTTATCAGGGAGAGCTCAGTAAAACAAACAAAAAATGTGAAAGAAAACTGAACATGGGGGAAAAAAAGTCAATCCAGCAGGTTCAATTCTCACCAAAAGGATTTTCAGAAAGAAAGGTCAGACAAAATGGATCAAAAGGGAAAATTAAAACAGTGTCTTCTAAAACTGAAAACAGAGACCTAACTAGACAGATTGAAAAGCCTCACCAAATGTTGAGCAAAGAAAGTTTTAAGCCCACACAAAGACATATCCTCAAGAACTTTTATAATACCCTGGTTGAAAAGGGAATTTAAAAATCTTGAACAAAAAAATGTCACCAGCAACGGAAAAGAGTCAGACTGGAATCAGCTTCTCATTATTAACACAAAATATTTTACAAATAATGAAGCAAAGCCTTGTAAGTTATGATAAAATGATGATTTGAGTTTCAATATCTATATTAAAATGTCAATTAATTATAAGAGCAACATGAAGATAACTTTAACAATCAAGTACTCAAATAACTTATACTCCATATGTTATTTCTGAAGTTACTTGAGGATATATAGAGAGAAAACATATGGGAGTTCAGGAAAACGTGACTCTAAATATACAAGGATTCAGAAAACACTCCTTCTAACTCAGAAATATGATATCTGAGCAATAATCCTGAACAAAGTAAGTCCATCCTGGGAAAGGTGGTTTAAGGGCACCTGTGAATGGGGGAAAATTTTCTGTTTTATGTAGAATATGACAGTGAGGTGGATAAATTTAAAGTATAGTTAAGGCACATTATTCTTTAATCCATATTCAAATAAAATAATTTGATACTGCTACAAAAACAGCTGAATAAACAGATTCATATGAAGGAAACTTTCATATAGCAATTTGTTTTCTTTCCAACTTTTAGGTTCAGGGGGTACATGTACATGTTTGTTACAGGGTAAATTACATGTCAAGGGGGTTTGAGGATTTGGTGTACTGATAATTTTGTTACCCAGATAATCAGAATAACACCCAATAGGTTGTTTTTTAATCCTCACCCTCCTCCAACCCTCCACCCTCAAATTCAAGCCCCAGTGTCTATTGTTCCCTTTTTTGTGTTCATGTGTACTCAATGTTTAGCTCCCAATTATAAGTGAGAACACATGGTATTTAATTTTCCTTTGCTTCATTAATTCACTTTGGATTATGACCTCCAGCTCCTTCCAGGTTGCTGCAAAGGCTATGATCTCATTTTTTTATAGCTGCATGGTATTCCATGGTGCATATGTACCACATTTTCTTTATCTAGTCCATTATTGGTGGGCACCTAGGTAGATTCCATGTCTTTGCTTTTGTGAAGAGTGCTGCAATGAACATACATGTGCCTGTGTCCTTACGGTAGAACAATTTATATTCCTTTGTGTATATATCCAATAATGAGATTGCTGAGTCAAATGGTGATTCTCTTTTAAGTTCTTTGAAAAATCTCCAAACTGCTTTCTAGAGTGGCTGCACCAATTTACATTCCCATCAGCAGGGTATAAGCTTTCCCTTTTCTCTGCAACCCCACCAACATCTGCTACTTTCTGACTTTTTAATAATAGCTATTCTGACTGGTGTGAGGTGTTACCTCATTGTGGTTTTGGTTTGCATTTCTCTCTCTCTCTTTTTTTTTAATTATTTTAATTGTATATGTATATGTAATTATAATATATAATTCTGATATATCAGATTGTAAGCCTCCTGAGGACAGGGACATTTTTGTTGGTCTGTTTTTCTGTTTTGTTCTCTGCTGAATCCTCTTTACCTAAAACAGTGTCTGGCATATGGCAGATACTAAATGAATATTTGTTGACTAAGACAGTGACAAGTAATCTTAGCATACTGCAGGGCTTTTTAAGAAAAGAGGTATATACATTTCATGGAAAAATAAAACACATTTTAAGAATTTATGTCTTGTCACAAAAGCCATTAATAAATCGTATCATAGTTTAATGATGCCCATCAAAATGTGAGTTGAATGAGGACTATTGAATGGTATTAGAAGTTGAATATTCTTTTCATTACAGAACACCAATAGATAGATCTAGAATTATTGATATAATAATATTTTAAGTACTATGACCTTATAAACCTCTAAAATAAAAAAAAATCTAGATTATTAATATGTCTTACCAGGATACTAGACTAGGTAAAAATAAGAAATTCTTTTTCATTATAAACTTTTGCAATTTGATTTTTTTATCATGTGCATCTAATATTTTGATATTGAATAGGAAAAGAAGGAAAAATCAGGTAAACAAAGGCAATCAAAGCAGAAAAATCATGGGTAAAATTTTTAAATCAAGCTTTTTAAATATATTTAAGTACAGTTTGGTCTGTATCATAATGGTTGTCTTTGTGGCTTGAATAATGTTTTAAATCTAAATAAATCACATTTTTAAACTTTTTCATTTTCATATTTCAACTTGACATGATAAAGTGAGAATGTTATTACCTTTGGAATATGACTGTTTCTTGTCTCATACTATTTCTACTTCTTCTTTTTCAGAGTTTCCTGAGGAGGTACCTGTGCATGAAGAACCATATGGAAGGAAATTACTCATTTGGTAATAACTGTAAGATAATCTAATGTCATTCATTTAACATTGAGTTTCTCTAGCTTTTGATGCGGGTTATGATCTTAGGCCTGAAAATTGAGTGGAGCTGTTTATTCCTTCCTTCACATTCTACCTTGCTTCCTTCAAAGAGGACTTCAGTTTACCTAAGCAAGAAGCTAGATAAGGGATGTGAACTGACAGATCAAGCCTTATGGGACCAGTCACAGTCCAGGGATTGTTTATATCGTGGCACACAAAAGTCTCTGCATCTATAGTCAGAAAAAAAAAAAAAGTTGTATATGGCCCCAGTTTGTCTAGTGAAAAAAAATTTCTCATTCTTTGCCACGGAAAATTAAAATGAGCCTACTCACAGAGCAGTATCATCCTTAAGTGCAGAAACTTCCTACTAAAGGCAAGACCCAACAACTAGCATTCTGAGACTTAGAACTGCAACTCCCCAGGATAGCACTAAAATGAAGGCAAATAGAAGTAAAAGCTTGAATGGATGCATCTCATCCTTGCTTGTTGTGTTGACAATAAGAAATGGTAATATCCACACCCTTCTCAAAACTGAGGACATATTATTTGCCCAGTACTGAGTTCAAAGCCAGGGTTTCTTTTCCTCTTGTAAGATAACAGTACCTGCTCAAAAAAAAAAAAAAAAAAAATGCGGTTGGTGAAAGAACTACTTAAGAAATAATGTGAACTCTGGGTTGGCAGGATCAAACAAGCATTGCGGAAGTGGTACCTCAACTAGTACCTTCAAAATAGGTAAGATAGATGAAGGAGGTGTGAAGGAAAATGTAGGCCCAACAATATGGAGAGAAAACATAAAACAAGGGCTTAGAGTAGAAATGAACATGATACATTCAGGGGGAGCAACAGGCTCTATCTTAACTTGTGCTAAGAAGCAGTGAGATTTTAAAATTGCATGTATAAAGCATACAGCATTTTGAAGAGACGAGTGAGTCATGGCAGTGAATACCCTATGGGTTCTTGTCTGCTCTGAGAGCCACTCATCTGTTATGATGAAAATGTTCTGCATGTGTGTTTCTGTATAATCCTGCTTATTATGTTTGTAGATTGATGTTAGGTTTAAAAACAGGCTCTTGGTGAGATGGAAGAGCATTATGAATCTAAGTGTTAAACTACCAGTGCTCTTTAAGTGAAATGCTAATCCACACTCTGAATTGTGTAACTCTTAGTAAACCCTAAAGTGGGTGATGTAGAAAGTAAATGTGAGAATAATTGAGAACATACTAAAAGTGTGATAATCTGTTCTCACAATAGCTGGGTGGTCTTCACATTTAGGAAAATAGATGTTTAAACAAGTGTGGAAAAATGTGCTTAGGAATCAGTAATTGATTACAACAACAAAAAAAAGAAGCAAATACAATTTCCTCAGCCTACCTATAATAAAGGAAGTGAAGACTGATTTTCAGCCATCACCAACCGAACAACCAAAAGTTCCTCTGATGCCTAGTTAGAGCCAGAAGTGGTCAGCTGTCACACCATGGCAGCCTAGACAAGAGGTCACAGGACCAATTACAATTAAGAGATTTTTTACAGTGTTGAAAGGGAATCCTTATAATTCCAATTAACCTGGAAAAGCATGGATAGATTGGGTTTAATAAAAATTGCTTTAGTTAGAAACAGATTTTTCTTAGGAGTATTTTTTAATATAATTTGTTTCTTTTTCTTTCTATTTTTAGGAGGCAATATATTCAGCTAAATTAAATCTAAACATTTTTGTCAATTTTTCATCACAAGATACCAGCGGCATGCAATAGGCTTTAGTGATATTACAGACATCCTCATGACAATAATAATTGTTTGGAAAATAGGTGATGAAACTGTTTAATTATGTTTAATTTCAGTAAGTATTAAGCATCAGCATATCTTCTCACATAATTGATAAATTAATTTAAAATTCAAAGGTCCTAAAAAGGTGTTTTCACTCATCTCAGACCCACCTATTCTGAAATAGCAATCTCTGCAAAGAATCTCCTATATAATTTTTAAACTATGTATATATATACTATATATATAACTATATATAAATATATATATGAATTTTATATTAGGATAAAATTTATATTAACTGAATGTATATTATTAATGAAAATTTATTTTTTAATCATAAAGTAGAACTCACTATACTATATTATATTTGATAACAAGGAGGCAGACATGCTATAGCCATATAAGGCCCTTGCAAACAAAGCAACTAAGAGAAATCTCAGGGCATGTTACCATCCAAAGAGGAAGTAACAATGCGATTTTCAAAAAAGCTCAACAAAATTTGATATATATTAGACAAAGATGAAATTATTCTGATGTATTTTAATAACCTTAAGGTATCTTCACATGAAAGTACTGAAACATATACTTAATTTTTTATTGTTGTGGAAACAGAATTTCTATGAGATAATATTCATATATTTACACATCTGGTTTTATAATACATTTATTTCATCCAAAGAACAGGTTATAATTATTTAATCCATTCTCTGGCATAAAGAAATAGCATGATAAATATATATTGAGAGAATCTATATTTTACTATTGATAAAGCCAAGGTTCAGATAGACAATGCCACAGATCTAGTAAATGGTACAGTTGGGACATGAATGAAGGACTGTCACGTTCTAAATGCTGTGCACTTTCCACTATAAAATATCTTCTTTCTCTTTTCTTTTTATCCACTTTGAAGTGTTATTCCATTATTTTCTTTACTAAAGGTAGTTTTCTTGGTTGTCATTACTCTCAGATGGGTTCTAATACTTCTCTGGTTATCCATTATATTTAGAGTAGTTCCCATACTGAGAAACCATCTAAATTCTTTTTAGATTGGGTTTCAGTTTATAATTTTTTTCACCTTTAGTGACTTTTATCTTCTCTCAGTGTTTTCCTACACTAGATACTATCATCACCTGGCAACTCTTAAACAATTAAAACTTGAACTGAAGCATTCTTCTCCCCAGTTATCAACCAGTTTATTCATCTTAATTATTATCAATATACATTTTCTTCAACTGCAGATAGTCCTCCTGTTCCTTGAACCCTCCATTTTCGTTCTTTGTACCCCTTTCCATAATCTCTTCATTCATCATGTCTCTGAAACTTGGTGTATCATTTCAATCATTTTCTGATCCTATTTTTTTCCAGTTCTCTTTTTTCCTATTGCTCTTTAGCCACACTGCTTGAAGAAAACAACAACAACAACAACAACAACAACAAAAGCCTAACTTTTCTACACATACACCTGGCTACTAAGCACCATTAGAGATACCTGCAGAATTATGTAGATTTTTGCCAATACTAATTTATGACATTCTTCTTCACCCGGAACCTTGCAACCTTTTCCAAATTCCGTCTTCATTTCTTGCTCCCGTTTCTTATACAAACTATTTAAATATTTTGCACAAGTCTCTATAAATTGCCTTAAACTCTCCTTAAATTCCCCTCTCCACTTTTCTCCCACATTCAGAAATATCAACAATAGTGTAGAAATTGTTGAATTAATGCATATTTACATTGAAATAGGAGTCATTTAACAAGATGAATCCCAACTTCTGCCACCAAACAAATAAACTTACTTGTGTCTGCCCTGCCCTGTTCTTTAACTCTCCTTTTCCAATGGAAGCAATATCACTTACGAATTTTATGCTACTTTTTCTCCTCTCTCCTTTTATTGCTGCCCTCCTTGCTAAGGTCTATTCATTAGTGTATAAGCATTAAGTTACCAAGTTATCTCATTAAAGATCCTCAATCTGTTGGCTCTCTATCCTCTATCCTCCACCACAGCATTCTTCTCTTCAAGGTATTTTAAGAGTTTTCAACACTGTTACTTTCTTTACTTGCTCATATTCCTCACTTGAACCACAGCACCTTGATAATTGTCTCATCATCACAATAAAATTTATTTCAATAAATATTTCTCCATCTTATTACCAATAGAAAAAAATAAAATTCTTTTTACTTGATCCACTGGCAGTATTTCAAATTGCCAAACATTTTTTATACAATTATCTGTCTTCCTCCTAGTTTTCTAATTATTTTTCAATTTCAAATGTGGGCTGCCCATTCTGTAAAAGTTTTAAATACTTTTTTGTGGAATTTTTATTGATTTTTTAAAATTGTCACCATAGAATATTTACTGCTCATTTATATTAAATAGGACAGTGGCTGTCATATGGAAAGCAAGTGGTAAATATTTACTGAATGGATGAATTAAAATTATTTTTTCTGTTAAGACTTGCTGTGTGCAATGCCAGTCTGCTTCAGTTTCTAATGCTTATTTTTAAGTTATGATTTGAGATGAGTTTCTTCATTTTGGGGTATATACGGGGAATTGTGTTTCTTAGATTGTTTAGATATGCTCTGCTTAATTTTCTTCCCTTGCACGGTTAGTATAAAAAATAAGTAGGACTATAAAAATCTTTGTAAAAATTTAGACTGTATCACAAAAATTTTTCTTTTTTGATACAAAAAATTGTACAAAAAATTTGATGAGTATTAGAACCTAGTTTTGTTAACATAAACACAAGAAGGAATGGAATTTTACATTTTGGCCTAGTCAGATTTACCCAAACTTGCTAGAATCTATTTTCTTCAATATATTTCTAGAAAGAAACCCATTCATGATCATTTGTGATATGGTTAGGCTGTGTCCCCACCAAGATCTCATCTTGAATTGCAGCTCCCATAATTCCCAAGTTGTAGGAGGAATCCAGTGGGAGGTAATTGAATCACGGGGGCAGTTTCACCCATACTGCTTGTGTGGTAGTGAGTAAACCTCACGAGATCAGATGGTTTTATATGGGGAAACCCCTTTTGGTTGGTTCTCATTCTTGCTCTTCCCTGCTGCAATGCGAGACATGCCTTTCAGCCTCCATCATGATTGTGAGGCCTCCCCAGCCATGTGAGTCCATTAAACTGTGTCCACTAAACTCCGTGAACTGAGTCCCCAGCCATGTGAGTCCATTAGACATTTTTTTCTTCATAAATTACCCAGTCTCAGGTATGTCTTTATTAGCAGCATGAAAACAGACTAATACAATAAATTGTTACTGAGACTGGGTTGCTGCTGTAATAATACCCAAAAATGTGGAAGCAACTTTGAAACTGGGTGATAGGCAGGAGTTGCAAGAGTATGGAGGGCTCAGAAGAAAACAGGAACATGTGGGAAAGTTTGGAACTTCCGAGAGACTTGTTGAATGGCTTTGCCCAAAGTGCCAATAGTGATATGGACAAATAAAGTCCAGGCTGAGGTGGTCTCAGATGGAGATGAGGAACTTATTGGGAACTAGAGAAAAGGTGACTCTTGTTATGTTTTAGCAAATAGACTGGAGACATTTTGCTGCTGCCACAGAGATTTGTGGAACTTTGAACTTGAGAGAGATAATTTAGAGTATCTGGTGGAATATATTTCTAAGCAGCAAAGCATTTAAAAGGTGACTTGGGTGCTGTTAAAGGCATTCAGTTTTATAAGGTAAGCAGAGCATAAACATTCAGAAAATTTGCAGCCTAAAAATGCTATCAAAAAGAAAATCCCATTTTCTGAGGAAAAATTCAAGCCGACTGCAGACATTTGCATAAGTAATTAGGAGCTGAATATTAATCCCCAAGGCAATGGGGAAAATGTCTCCAGGGTATGTCAGAGATTTTCATGTCAGCCCCTTCCATCCCCGGCCTGAAGACCTAGGAGGAAAAAATGGTTTCATATGCTGGGCCCAGGGTCCCCATATTGTGTGCAGCCTAGGGACTTGGTGCCCTGTGTCCCAGCTACTCCAGCCATGGCTGAAAGGGGCCGATGTAGAGCTCGGGCCATGGCTTCAGAGGGTGCGAGCCCCAAGCCTTTGTAACTTCCACATGGTGTTGAGCCTGTGAGTGCACAGAAGTCAAGAATTGGGGTTTGGAAACCTCCCGCTAGATTTCAGAGGCTGTATGGACGTGCCTGGATGCCCAGGCAAACATTTGCTGCAGGGGCGGGGCCCTCATGGAGAACCCCTGCTAGGACGGTGCAGAAGTGAAATGAGGGGTCAGAGCCTGCACACAGAGTCCCTATTGAGGCACTGCCTAGTGGAGCTGTGAGAAGAGGCCCACTGTCCTCCAGACCCCAGAATGGTAGATCCACTAACAGCTTGCACCATGCACCTGGAAGAGCTGCAGACACTCAATGCCAGCCAGTGAAAGCAGCCAGGAAGGAGACTGTATCCTGCAAAGTCAAAGGAGTGGCGCTGCCCAAGACCATGGGAACCCACCTCTTGCATCAGTGGGGCCTGGATGTGACCCACGGAGTGAAAGGAAAGCATTTTTGAGCCTTAAGATTGGGCTGCCCCACTGGATTTCAGACTTGTATGGGGCCTGTAGACTCCTTGTTTTGGCCAATTGCCCCCATTTGGAATGGTTGTATTTACTCAATGCCTGTACCCCCATTGTATCCAGGAAGTAATTAACTTGCTTTTGATTTTACAGGCTCACAGGGGGAATGGACTTGCCTGGTTTCAGATGAAACATTGGACTGTGTACATTTGAGTTAATGCTGAAATGAGTTAAGACTTTGGGGGAATGTTGGGAAGTCATGAATGGTTTTGAAATGTGAGGACATGAGATTTGGGAGGGGCTAGGGATGAAATGATGCAGTTTGGCTGTGTCCCTACCTGAATCTCATCTTGAATTATAGCTCCCATTATTCCCACATGTTGTGGGAGGGACCTGTGGGAGCTAATTGAATCATGAGGGCAGTTTCCTCATACTGCTCTCTGGGTAGTGAATAAGTCTCAGGAGATCTGATGGTATTATAAAGGGAGACTTGTTTCACTTGCTTCTCATTCTCTCTCTTGCTTGCTGTGATGTAAGATGTATCTTTCACCCTCCTCCATGATTTTGAGGCCTCCCCAGCCATGTGGAATCATGAGTCCATTACACTTCTTTTTCTTTATAAATTACCCAGTCTTGGGTATGTCTTTATTAGCAACATGAAAACAGACTAATACAATTTGTAGAAACCAAATCCATGAAACCAAGGTAGAATTTATTGTTTATCATTTGATAACATTTTGATTTTGATACTTAATCATAATATAAAATTGGATCAAAGGTAAATTGATCCTCTAGGTACATACACGAGGGTTTTCTGAAATGCTGATATGCTGTCACATAATAAATGTTATCTAATATGTTTCTCAAATCTCTTATGAATTCAATTACCAAGAGATACTAAACAAAACAAGAACAAAAGAAATGATTCTAGCATATAAATGCCTTCTTCAAATGAGCCTTTGTTCTTCTACGAGGCTATGGATTAATTATCATCCTTATTCTAAGCATCTGGTTCACTGCTTTGATTTAATGAAAGGTTAGTTTGACCCCACACTCAAGCAGTCTTTATAAAGCAGTAGAAGTAACAATTATTATCTGGAGATTATTTATCAAAAGCAGGGTTTCCCAAGTATGAAGTGGTCACTATTTATCAAATAACTGACCTTCACATGCTAGATAAAGTTGACCTGAACTTTAGCTATTGCAAATATATTAAGGATACTAATTTTTCCTTCAAAATGAATGCTAAATTACCCAAGAAAAAAATACATTGTTTCTTTGAAGTGTTTACATGTTAACATTTTGCTATGATCAAGTGAAAGCTTGAAGGTTGTGAATATATACTCTAATAGTTTCTTATTTCCCCTAGATTAGTATTAATATAGTAAATGCCAAGTTACTGGCTCTTTGATGTCATTCCAATGCCTTAGGCACTTCTAAGAAACAGAAGTCGTGGGTTAGAAGGTGCCTGAAGAAAAGCGGAGAAATCTTTACTATTAACTGTTCAATATTTGAGTGTACATAGATATATACATACGTATGTGTGTTTCAGAAACAGACTTGAAAAGATTTTTGGAACAGAATCACACTGAAATAGAAAAATAATCAAATTAACATTGAAACTATCTTCTCTAAGGAAGAGATGAACTTACTGAAATTTCCCTTCCCACACCCCTTAGCAAAAGAAGGAAAGAAGCTGCCTTTTGAAAGCCTGTGGATATTTTGCACATTCTTGATGCTATAATCTGATCCTGATTAGAAGGGAAATACCGTAAAGTTAGATCAGGCTTACATAAACCATAGAGTAAGGAGATCTTGCATCTTTTCTTCCCCGCATCATTTTTGCTTGGTCTGGAAGCAGAAGAACTGAAGGATCAGAACTTGGCAGGGAGAAGCCATGAGCAAGGTACTGTCCCTTGTATCATGCCAGTGTTAGCAGAAGTTATTTTCAGATAAGGGTATTAGCTAAGGTGTTAGGATAATCAGCTAATTGATGATTTTACTTATAGTAGGAGGAGGCAGAGTTGTACCAAGCTCTCAAGTGCAGGGATATTAAGCTTCCAAGTCCTGAAACACCAGAGGTTATCTATCAATAAAACTCCCACAGCAGCTAAAGGAATGTTTGCAACTCTAAAAGTCCCAGAATAAATATTGTAGTTGTAGGATGGTTGAAACTGGTGTTACTATTCTAAATGATAGACAACTGGCTAAAAATATAAAGACTGAAAATGCCCCAGAGGTTGAGAAATCTATTTGCTCATGTTTCAGGTAAATGTTTCAAAATCTGTTTTGAAATATGTTGCTCTGAAGGGAAAGCTCTCTTTCTACTAACAATTAAGAACTACGTCTCTAACTTGTATACTTATATTTTGCCACTAGCAGTATTTCCAAAAGCAGTGGCAGTCCTACGTTCTCCAGTCATCATTCAGTAGCAAGGCAGGTTAGGAAGCTATCAAATTGTTTATCTATATTAAAACATGCACAGCTAGGCAAGTTACTAATAGAATCCACAGACTCCACGTTGACTGAATCCAGATAGAAAGATTGAATTAGCGTACCATTTTGTATTCAGTTATTCCTTCTTCACTTAGCAATGTGAATTGAGAGCCTACTAATGCCAAGCACTGCTGTAGCACACATAGAATGCGTCCTAAGCTGCAACCTAGGCAGGATTTCAATGTGCTAATTTGATGCTTCTCCTTTATTGTGACTGACTATCTTGGAACTATGTCTTATGAAGAACACTAAAGGTGGAGAGGAACAATTTGAATGAACTCCTTGGCCAGTTCCACCTCTCTAGAGATTGTAGAGATATTAACAGCCTAGACCAGTCAGAATATCCAATGACTACATTCACAAACAGAAAATAAACTCTTTAGTTAGTGTTAAACAAAATGTACGGAGTAATATGTGTTAGCAAATGCGTTGATGTCAAAAAAATACAAGTTCTCATCAGAAAAGGCATTGAGTAATGAAGATTAAACTCTGACTTGGAATTTGGTTTTATAGTCTAGTTTAAAATGAAGCAAAGTAAAGGATTAAGATCAAGCTTTCAAAAGCTTTCATAAGATCTTAGGAGACAAATAAAAAATTTCAAGCATGTTTATATTCATCTAAGTCTTCTTTTTGATTTTACTGTTTTGAAATATTAGAACATGTAATCTATTAGTAATCATTTTAGTTTAAAGAATAAAAAGAATATGCAAAGCATTCATAAATGTATTGATAAAATATTCTTAAAATACAAATCTTATTTCAGAAATAAATATAAAATATTTATTTCTATAAAAATATTATAACTTATGTCCATATTATGTACATTGTGATAACTATACGATCATCTTGCAAATGTGTGTATTTGAGAAATTTCATTTATTATTCATATGTTTACATACTGAATGACACATCAAAACTATAATACACATAAATCAAAGCTTTTTTCTTCCTGAATAATTTTTATGTAGACTTTTAAGCCAATTCGGTTGTAAACCTTTATCTTTAAAAATTTATATTTGTGGCTACAGGTTGCACTATATGCCTTGTTGGGCCTTGATGGAGCAATTGAGTCTTTCTGGAAATTGCTTCAAGACACCATCATAATTATTAACTTTCCTCTTCTTGTGACTCCAGCAGTCAGCATAGATCCTGTCCTTAGTAACTTAGTATTTCTTGAATAAATGAATAAATAGCAAACATGTCATTTGGTGGAATTATTAACTCAGGAGAGGGTTAGACATTTTTCAACAGGTTTTTTGAAAGCATACTGTGAACCACGCATTGATACAACTTACAGATATTTTATCAGCAACCCCCAAATTAGAATAAATTGACTCACTATTACTGACTTTCTATTTTATAGTTTTTAAATTACAAAGCAACAAACATGTTTTAGCATGAGGTTACTCCACTTGAATAACTGAGACATGCTGTAGGGAAAACCTGCTGATTTTTCTTTTTTTTTTTTTCTGGTGATCTATATCTACATTTTAGGATTTAGTAAAAGTAACTGAATGGCATCTGAAGGTTCACCTCACAGTGATTCTCAACCAGGAGGCATTCTGAAACTCTCAGGGAATATTTGTCAATATCTCATGTCTGAAAACATTTTTGGTGGTCACAAGATATTATGGGCATCTACAGAGTGGAAGTCAAGAATGCTGCTTACTATTCTACAAAATGAATATAGTTTCCTACAACAGAGAATTATTCAGGCCAAAAGGTCAATAAATCTGAGGTCAAGAAACTCTGAGTTAGAAGAAACATTCTTTCAGGGAATAACACACTGTATTAAAAAAAAAAAAAAAAGAGACATTCACATTTTTGAGACCTCAAAATAGGGGAAATAATTTGTGTCTAATAACGGAGCCTTAATTTCTTTCATTGTTATTGCTGAAAATAACAGAATAATGATATTTACATATATGCCTATCTATATTAAGAAAAAAATCCCAAATGACTTATACAAGTACAGGTGCTGGTACATACAAAAGCTTTCAGTACAATTAGACTAGCATTCATTCACCTCTCTCAATTCAGATTCACAGTAACTCAACAAAAAATGAAGCTGTATATTTTATCTCTAGGAAGTCATCTTTGTCTCTGTTGTATTTATGTTGCCTTTTAAACAAATGGACCACCAAATCCCAATGGCTTAATCCAATAGAATGTTATTTCTTGCTCAGCCAAAAGTCTAATACAGCTGTTCAAATTTGAAAGTAGCTTTATGCCATTTGGTGATACAATCTAGATCAGCTTCGTATTATGGTTTTACCATCTGCAGGATCTCAGAATATCTATTTTCAACTTGCAGAAGGAGAGAGCACAATAAACTTGCTTTTTAAATGCTCTAGCCCAGAGACTTACTCATTATTCCTGCTCCATTCAATTGGTGACAAGTGGTCACCTAACCGCACCTGGATTCAAAAAGTCCTGAACAGCAATGTTCCATCATTAGTTTCACATTATACAAGGAATAGGACACATTTTTTATGTGTGTGTACAGCTAGTTTTCACTGCCACAATCCAACTCATTTATCCCATCATCAACTTTGAAAATCTATTAATTACTGGACACTGTACTAGATTCGGGAGACACTTAAAAATGAATTGTTCTTGCCTTCAAGGGATGTAAAATCTAGTAGGAGACAGCCTTTAATCATCTCAGAGGTTATTCCTCTAAGTTGAAACCCTTTTGTCGAAAAAATTCAAAAGAGTCCTTTGAAATACCTCTTGAGTTTGTTAGTGTAAGTGTTATCTCAGAATCATTTATAGTTATGATCTCTAAGCACATTTAATTTTAGGGAAAGAATATAGGGGGAAATTACCATAATCAGTATCTTTGCTGGAAAGTTATAGCAAGAATTTCTAAAATCAAAGAAACCTATCACTAATAGGTGTCCCTGCTTACATAGAGGCAACTTTGGATTCTGATGTATTTCAAAAAATTTGCAAAAGCTACTTTCGTGTTTAGCTTTGCAACTATGCAAGGAAATGTCTTTTGTTCTATATTTTGCCATTTTTTTCTGGACATGGATAAATAAATAAAAATAAATAAAATAAAACTTGAAAATATGGCCACTTAAACATGTGTTGTACAAAGACATATGCCACATTTTACTATCCTCTGTGGTTACAGAGAAATCACTTCTATTCTGCTTCAAAATCAGTCCTATCCTTTCAAGCCGGTGTTTCACAAAAGTAGTCCCTTGGGAATAACCAGTTTATTTTTCTTCATTGTGACAGAAAACTTTATCTACCTATAATAAAATCCTTTTTCCTGTCTTAATAATAGACTTTCATTTTAACTTGGCACTTTACCTCTCAGAATGGAAGACTGCATTTTTCAACTTCTTTATAGGATAAGCGTGATCATGTGACAAATGAGACAGAAATGTGGTGGAAAGGTAGTGTGGCAACTATTAGATAATAGTTTCAGGGGAATGGATTCAACTCCAAAATCCATTGTTTGTCCTTCTATGTTGTTTGCTTCTACCAGTCAACACCTTGGCTCTGATATCTGCATCTTCAGCAGTCATATTGAACCATAAAGATTTCAAAAATATAGCTGTACGTATGGTATCATGAGGCAGTGGAAAGACAGGAGGCTGGGTTTCTGATGAATACTTTGGATCTGCCATACCTCAACTGAACATATCTCCAAATTTGTTTTTCAGTGAGAGAGAAATGCATTTTATCTTGTTTGAGCTACACTGATTCATTTGTTCATTTTCTGTCTCTTATTTTCAGTTGAACTTTATCGGAACAGGTACTCATAACAAGATGAGTAATGCTGGATTACACCTATACTTTCAAGATTCCAGTTAATCTTTATGTCTCTTATAAGACATTTTTCAGCTGCTCTAGAATTGGGTGATCCCTTCTCTGAACACTTGCAGAAGTTGCCATTTTTAATACTCTACTGTACGACTCCTTTTTCTGGTTTCGTTAAACTGTTGCAGGATAGCATACAACCTGAAAGGTGCACATATTATCCTTGCAGAGCTCAATGCATTTTCAGAAGGTGAATACACCCAAGTAACCATTATCAGTATCCAGGAAGACCCCTTTGTAATAACTTCCAATTGCTATACCCCACCAAAGCATAATCATTATCTTGGCTTCTATTTGTATACAGTTCAGACAAATCCAGTCTATGTTGTTTAAAATATGGTATATGATTTTGAGTCTGATTTGTTTTCTGCAATACTATGTAAGTGAAGCTCTTTGCTATAATCTGATAGTTTGTGTTCCCCAAAGTTTATATGTTGAAATCCTAACTCCACAATGATGGTATTAGGAGGTGGGGCCTTTGAAAAGTGATTAGGTTATGAGAGTTTCACTTATGGACAGAATTAGTGTTCTTAAAAAGCAGACCCAAGGGAGCTTGCTCACTCCTTCCACTATGTGAAGCCACAGCAAAAACTGGAATGTGGACGTTCATTACATACCAAATCTCTTGGCAACTTGACCTTGGACTTCCCAGCCTCCAGAACTGTGAGAAATAAATTTATGTTGTTTATAAGCTATGGTATTTTGGTACAGCAGCTCAAATGAACTAAGACACTCATTCCCGTTTTTACATGTTGTATTCATTTGTGCATTCATTACTTTATAATATTTTCTAGTATACTATACCACATTTAAAAGAAAAATTTACTCTAATAAACTGTTGAGTTTTTTCCCCTAGTTTGTGACTATTACAGTGCTACTAATATTATTTTACCCGTCTTTGGCAAAATTGTTCATTTCTTCTTTGTTGGGTATAGCTAGAAGTGTAATTGGTGGGTCACAGGATATAGGAGTGTAATAGTAACACCAAATAGTGTTCCAATGTGGCTACACAAATTTACACTCCCCACTGGTGGCCTGTAAGTAGTAATCCATATGTCTCACTGTTTATTGGGTAATCCCCATAGAAAGCTAACTAATCTAGGTTTTATTTATGTCTTCACTCTATTATGTATTGAGAAAAGGGGCACATAATTTCCATTTGCATAGCTCTCTAACCTACCACTTTTGCAGTATTCAGAAATATTTGTAATGATAGCTACTGTGTTACACTGAAAAAGTCTATTAGATTAATTATTAAACAAAGATTGCCAAAGTTAATAAGTTAATATTAATTAGGTCATTTTTAACAGTCTCAGGACATTTTTATATGACCTGTTATTGACTACACAGAGATACTTTAGTTGTTTAAATATAAGTAATACATTTAAACAAATCTTATGAAATTATTAAAATAAATTTAGTATTTTCAGGGTAATAGATAACAGATGTTTGGATATGGCACTCATGCTAACTAAAAATATATTACAAGTACAAGGAAGTTTGATCTGGTAATGAAGACATTTCTTTATATAACTAAAAGTAAGAAAGAATCTCCTACAATATAAACCATTCTTTACTGAGCCATGAACTTCACTGACCTCAGCTGGCCTAACTTGTCACTGGTAACTTGCTAGGCTTTACCACAGCCGTTGAGACTCATGGTGACATTATATTACCTAGCCACCTTTGCTCTAATCACTTCTGGCTTTATATGTACATACTATAACTTCATGGCTTTGTGGTGATAGCATGGCCTTGTGGTGATAGCATGGCCTTCTGGAAACGCATAAGTGCTATGTGCTGGAGAGAGATGTTGCTCTTTGGAGTAGGAACATTTATCTTGGTGCTAGCAAGAAAGAATTTGGATCAAAAGTGGCAATTACTAATCATTAATAATCAAGGTTAGCAGATCTAGAGTAGAGCTCCATACCAGGCCTATGCTGGAAATTTAGAATAAAAGGCAATGTGATTGTGGGAACATGTCATAAGCCATGAATATTGGAGAGAGTAGGACCATAGATAGAAAGCTGAGTTATTTTGGAAACTCCCTCCAAAACCCAGAACAGTGAGAACAGATACAAGGTTATCAGCAGGAAAGAGAACCTACCAGATCTAAGTAGAAAGCAATTATCAGGCCACAGACAAAGGAAGCAAATAAGGCTCTTCCTTGGATGACAATATTCTGTGGAAGTGGGGAAAATATGGGTAGCCAAGAGCGTCATACCAAATAATTTCAGACAGATCACACAGCCCTTGAACATGTGTATTTCACATGGCAAAGGGAGGAAAGAAAAGGAGGAAGGGGAAGAGTTGGAGAGGGAGAACATGTACACTGCTAAGCACTGAGGTTAGCAAAGTGAACTCAGTATAGTTACCACCATTACAGAATTTATGATCTAGAAGAGAAGGCAGAATCTTATATTATAGACTATAATGTTATGGGATAAGTTTCATATTAATATTGCCAAAGGTATCCTGATAGAAAGGAAAAACATAAAAATCAGATTCAAACAAACTTGAGATTCAATGCTGAGGCTGCCACTTCTTTATTCTGTTTATCTGTAAAATGGGAAGAATAATAGCAACCTGATACACATTTTTGTTATGATTAAAGGTAATGATCAATTTAAGTGGCCAGCTCTATAATCTTAATAAAACCTAATATTATTGTTTTAATGGTTTTTATTATCTTGTGCCAGGTACTTGTCTAACTCCTTTACATATTTTAACTAATTTAATCTTCATAATGTTCACATGAGGCAAGTATGGTTAGTACGTAATTATGTGTAAGAGATTTAAATCACAGAGAGGCTTAGACCAGAGACCAAGTTTGTTTACTTAGGAACTGGTTGAGTTATACTCAAATGCAAGCAGTATACATCTTAAGCAATTAATACATAATATGTTAACAAATAACAAAGTCAAGTGGGAATGCAGATGTATGTTCCACAATTCCTTTGTTTATAAGTAAACAGAAACCTGAAGTATCACAGACCAGAGCGGGTTGGAAATAAGCTTACTTAACTGAATCTCAGAAAGGTCAATGGTACAGATAGCCTTAGGATAACTGGACTCAGAAACCTGAATAGCATATTTCCTTCTCTTGCTCTTTCCTTAGTTTCCCTCTATGTGTTAATCACTCAGTGATACTTGATCCACAGCCAAGGTCAGTGCAGTGCTTGTCTGTTTATTGCCTTAAGGCTGTATAGGAAAATGACACTTATTTTCTCCAACTTTTGTTTGAACAATACCAAAGCAGAGCTCTGATTGGCCAAGATTGGGTTAATGGGCTCACCAGAAGCCAATGTGAGGTGGAATTTATGTCAAGAAAAGTGCAGACAGAAGGAGCAGGCCAAATAAGGTTACTGGGTTTTGGGGTGTGAGACATTTATCTGTCTTATTACAAAGTTCGAACTGAGTAAATTTATGTGGTTAGAGAGAAGGGGCTGGTGAATTCTAGGATGGCTTTGACTTCCTGAACATTATGCAAGCTTCATTTTTTTCTATCATATAACTTTAAATAAATTCATTACATTATTAATTATAGTTGTATCTGACAAATTTTAGACACCTTCAGTATATTCTATATGGCATCCTGATAGAAGGAGTTTTACTAAAATGAAGATTTCTGCTTAGAAGATAAATAGGACAAGAGATGTAAAATACCTTGAAAGGAAAAGAAGTCTTAATTCTTTACAAAAGGTTATCTGAATGATTTTCTTGATTATTTCCATCTTTTAAAAAGTTACATATTATGTGGTAATTGTTCTTTTAACTACCGACACAATTAATGCCTAATGCATGAGAAATATAATTTATGGTTTTACTTGGCATGTACTTAAGCACCTGCATAGCAATTACTGGTATGACATTTTTGTCTGCACTATAAAGCATTGCACATCTTCTCTTTCATCAGTTCAAAAATGAAGCAAAGAGCCTCACTCCTTGGGGAGTACCTGCCCTGATCTTATCTGGTAGAATGAAAATATGATTGCCTTCCTGACACTGTAAATTATTCTTTCCCAACGCTAGGATCATTCTGAATAGAAGTCTACACCATTAGTGTGACTCTTCTGCTCTATAGGAAGTTGTTTTACCTTTGCAATACTTAAATAGAAGAGCTTTCTTCTTTTTTTAAATTTTAAGTTATATAGCAAATGAACATCACAAAGGAGTATTTCTTATGAAATACAGGATGAAACATTTCTCCCTATTGTAATGACTAATATGAGGATCTCATTCAAATGGTGAGTGAATATCAAAACTAGAGTTGAATGAAATTATATTAATTTCTTTATTTGAAACAAGTAGTTAAATGGCTCTCTTTGGTGAACTTTTTCTTTGGCTTTTTTCCATTTACAATGAATCGGAAACACAAACAGCCAATAACTGTCACCACCTTGAAAGTAAAAGTGAAATCCTTGTTTGTGTGGTCTCTGTAGACATTTTCATGCCAAAGGTTGTGATTTCTCCAAGATTCTTATTATACCAAATGACCTCAAATGCTTTTGGATGAAGTTGTGCACTTGTGTCTGGTTTTTCTCTTACCTGATAACATTCAACTTCTTTTTTTTTTTATCGTTTTTACTGCTTTTCTATAATGTCACTTGATTTTTCCTCTTAGCCATTAATTTTTTTGAACTAAAAGGAAAAAGACCGCATTTTTAATACACCTCAAAATGCTTTTCTATTAAACTGTTCTTGAAAAACCTATTTTTCATGACACAATTGCAGAATAAACCTATGGTTAATACCTTATTTACACAAACGGAAGGCTGTTACATCTGTGTTTGGCGACCTTGAAACAGTATTGTGCTCTGTGCCCTTTTTATAACCTTAATTACTGGGGAATACAGAGCTTTAAAGAAAGACTAACATTTCACTTTAACATCCACAATAATCTATTATAAAGCCAGCTAAGCCAGTCCCAAAATACAGAGAAATGTTATTACATGCTCAGCTAGCTGTCAAGGGGCCATGAGTCAGTGGCTTACAGTTATCAAAAGTAACAAGGTTGTTCAGAATTTCCTCCAACAAAGCCAGCCAGCTTATGGAAGGATTAAGCTCTCTTTGATTAGAACAACTGGAACATGTCCTACCCCTTTAATTAGCATTCCCTTTTGCTTGGTGGAGGCTGGTAATTTGACACTCACATTAGGCATCTCAAGAAATGATTTGGTATATTGTCCCATTCATGAGCATTAGAGCCATGGTATATACTTCTGCATCAACTAAAATTAGAGCTTCCAAAGGATTTATGTTCAAAACCCTGTAAAATCTCAAGGGTACTATGCCCCTAATAGACAAAATGTAATAACACTCTAATATAATATGTGGCTGGAGACTTGGTTAGCCTTTAGGCATAGTGTATTACCCCAAGGCCATGCTCTTTTTGCTTTCTATCTTTGGGAACAAAAAGTTTTATGTCAGCTTTATTGATAATTTACCAGTTTACATTTTAATTCATACCTTAAAGCATTGCAGCAAGAAGACCTCTACTTATGCTGCTGGGTTACTTAGTTGGTGAGTTAATATAATTTTTCAGTGACCACACTAAACACAGCAGAGCAGAGACTACATAGAATCAAAGCAGGAGGTGACATGCTGCCATTCCTCCAGGAGCACATATTCTATGGAAAGCAGATTTAGGCATAAATATCTGCTTTCCCCAGTTTACAGGCTGTTTCTATTTACACCATTCTCTTTTTATGCACCCCTATTTGATTTGCTTCATTTTAATATACTTTCCTACTTTTCTCCATACAGTATTTCTTTACTCTTTCCTTCCCTCTACACCCCCTCTTCCTTTGAATGGGTAAGTATTGAATAAAAAATTTTTCCATTGTGAAATTGCATACTTTTTTTTTTATTATTATCCTTTAAGTTTTAGGGTACATGTGCACAATGTGCAGGTTAGTTACATATGTATACATGTGCCATGCTGGTGTGCTGCACCCATTAACTCGTCATTTAGCATTAGGTATATCTCCTAATGCTATCCCTCCCCACTCCCCCAACCCCACAACAGTCCCCAGAGTGTGATGTTCCCCTTCCTGTGTCCACGTGTTCTCATTGTTCAATTCCCATCTATGAGTGAGAACATGCGGTGTTTGGTTTTTTGTCCTTGTGATAGTTTACTGAGAATGATGATTTCCAATTTCATCCATGTCCCTACAAAGGACATGAACTCATCATTTTTTATGGCTGCATAGTATTCCATGGTGTATATGTGCCACATTTTCTTAATCCAGTCTATCATTGTTGGACATTTGGGTTGGTTCCAAGTCTTTGCTATTGTGAATAGTGCCGCGATAAACATACGTGTGCATGTGTCTTTATAGCAGCATGATTTATAGTCCTTTGGGTATATACTCAGTAATGGGATGGCTGGGTCAAATGGTATTTCTAGTTCTAGATCCCTGAGGAATTGCCACACTGACTTCCACAATGGTTGAACTAGTTTACAGTCCCCACCAACAGTGTAAAAGTGTTCTTATTTCTCCACATCCTCTCCAGAACCTGTTGTTTCCTGACTTTTTAATGATTGCCATTCTAACTGGTATGAGATGGTATCTCATTGTGGTTTTGATTTGCATTTCTCTGATGGCCAGTTTATTTATGTTATATGTACCAAAAATCATAAAAGTAATAAGCAGCTTGTGGAAATGAAACCCCGTTCATTCATATAGCTTTCAATGCAATTTGGAAAGAGAACTGTAAGAATGTGAAAGAAATGAAACAGCTTAATTGGAAAAAGGAAGACCTAATTGAAATGCTTTCATGTTTAGTACATTCTATTCTACAATTGAGTAGCTAATGCATTGATTTTATTTCTAAGGGGATGGACTATGTTTTTCTTCTAAGCTACACAATTTAGATTTAAATTTCATATTTTCTTCACATAATTGTCAGAGAATCATATATCAATGAAAGATTGTCGTATATTTTAGTCTTTCAAGAATGCATCTAAGTACTCTGGTACTTACACGTGTATACTAATCTATTCAGCCAAATATTTATGAGATGCCACTATTGATGAGTGGTACAGAAAGTATTTGAGAAGTCAAATGAAATTCCTCTCTATCCTCAAGGAACAGATAGGCTAATTGTAACTTCTAATAAAAGGCACCTCACTTAATTTGCAACACAATGAGAAGCTTTGTTATTACCTCTTTGTTTAGAAGCCATAGTTTATCTTTAGTCTCAGTTGTTTTTGTTAGTGTAGTTGTGTTTTGGGGTGGTTTGGGGAGAATGTGCCAGATAGGGGAGGGTTTTGTTTATTCTCTAATTAAGATTCATAAAATTGACTAGTCTTTTCTGAGAGTCTCTTCTTTCTTTATGAAGTAGAAGGTGGAATCTCAAGCTCAGAGTAGAGACATGGGTTTGGAGATATAATGAGGGTGGAGGAGGTTTTAAATGGCTGTTGTGGATAATGGGAGCTAAGCTGATTCTGGAAACATGGAAGAGTTGCCTATGTCCCACCGAGAGCCTAAATTTCTAACTGCGACATTTTTCTCCAACAGCTCTGAGCATACCAGGTGTACACAAAGAAAGACTGAAGATTATAAATTTTCCATGCTTATCTATTGGACGAAAAAGTTGCCTAGGAGTTGATAAGATTAAAAATAGACAATTTAAGAAAACACCAAGAGCAAACTCATTTTCCTGTAATAAGGAAGGCCTCAAAATTGTATTCTAATAAATATTTACTTTAGATATTAGGGTGTGATGTGGAACATGACAGGTCCTACTAGGCTATGACAAGCATAGCTCTCTGCCGCTTTTCACATTTTTTTCCTTAGTCTTGAATTAGGATTAACCTCAGAGGAGCATGCACAAAATTCTTTAAAGTTACAAGTACAGATATAGTTTCCTTGTGTGTTTTATTTTTAATTCCCACTGCAAAAATGGTGTAAGTCACCTACCAACAACAGTTCTTCCAAAAGTTACTATATAGATTTACAATCACTAGGTGTGTGATTTCTGAAATTATTTTTAAACCTCTAGGGCCATGCATCTTTGAAGAATATACAACCTATGTTCTAACACATGGAGACATTTTCCCCGGGCCAAAAAGAAGAAAAGTACTATAGAGAACAAAGTTATTTGTTTTATACTCTAACTCCCTCGTGCACCATGTTAAGCCACTTAGAATGGGACCAATGGGTCAGATTAGTCCTACAGGTTTGATTTGTTTCGTCCAACTAGCATTTAAAACTTTTTCAATTTGA
Organism: Homo sapiens; assembly: GCF_000001405.40. Lineage (NCBI taxonomy): Eukaryota > Metazoa > Chordata > Mammalia > Primates > Hominidae > Homo > Homo sapiens. The sequence goes on along the minus strand of NC_000013.11, from coordinate 66,033,041 downwards.
AAAGGTTCTCCGTGGGCATGCACTTTGCAGTTTACACACTCTCCTTCTCTTTTTGTATTATTTTGCTTCAGATTCACCTATTTATATTGCTTTCCTCCATAGGCATCTGAGATAGGAAATACTGCTTTCAGCCTACATTCTACCTCATTACATGTTAATAATAGTAAGAATAAATGAGAGTGAAGAAAGTTGCTTGATTTTAATTGAATAAGGGTCATAATTTAACGAGTACAGATGATTAACAGGTTTTTTTGAAAATGTATTTCTCAGATTAATTATATAAAATAGATACTTTTATCTGCATTTTATAGGTAAGGAACTAAGTTTCATTGGGTTTAGAGTATCTTCTCACAAACACAGTCTATAAGGAATAGAACCTTAATTTAAGTACTTTGGAGTCTGTCTCACTCTAGTTCTCACAATATTAATCTCAGCTCTACCACACAACTTAGGTTTTTGTAAGAACATTTCTGTAGTCTCAAAGAAAAAGAGAGGAATTATTTTTAACTGCTCCTATAAATCTTAAGAGGAAAAATTAAGATCATATTATGTTCTATAAAGGTTTTAAATTTTATCTTGTTCAATGTTTAAAAAAACTATGAAGCTTGAAGAGGTTAAATAATTGCTCAAAAGTTACACGCCGCTAGGTAGGCGAATTTGGATTTAAATCTGTCAAATGCAGAATGCTAACCTCCATAGCACCAGTGAGCTACGATTCAAGAATGTTTACTTAGACCTATTGTAATTAAAAGAATAGGTTGGCAGACCACCAACCTATACTTTCTAATCTGGTCTTTGTCTTTTGTGATATATGAGAAATCTTAAAAAAATAAAGGAATTTGGCTTCATATGAACCAAACTTGGGTATACTTGTGATCATAACATTTATAGTCATTATGTGCTAAATTGTTAACACAATTTTCATTGTGATTTTTGGGTTGAGTTTCTTATATTTCTAGTGCTTAGCCCACAGCCTGTCAATGATTAGATATTCAGTAAGTACTTGAAGAAAAAAATTGTTGCATATCATCAGATAGGATATACTGTGTATAATGACTTCCTATCAGGCATTTTTTTATCATTCCTAGATATTATATGCCTTATTATCAGGCTGTAAAACAATAACACTACAGATCAAGTATCAGTTACAGTTAAATGAAACAAGGGGTTTTAGATAAACATCATCTAACTAAAAATAACCTCAGATGACACATGTTTATTTCACAGTAATTGCACATATAGATAGCAAATTTTTTTTCACGTGTGGCTCATGATACACCAATTCAAGAAGCAAATTCTCTCATTTTTCTTCCAGATGCAATCTCTGATAAAATTACTTTGTGTATTGAGCAATACCAATCACACTTTTCTAAAATATCCACACAAGCATGCATGTTTAAAACATATTTTATGCCATTATTTTAGTTATTCTGTTAGCCTAAGCCTTACCAAGTCAGCATCCTAAAGTTAGCTTAGTTTCTGATTTATAGCAGAGAGAAGGTTGAATATTTTGGAAGATCATATTATATGGAGCTTCTACTTTTGTTTTATATATCTATCTTGTAAGTACTTTTTAAAATAATGCTGTTTGCTTATGAAAATGTGATTGACAAGAAAATCCCATCAGTTCCTTCTTCACTTGACCATGCCAATTTCATTAGGCAAAACATATTCTATTCAGATTTGCTTTTGAATTTGCATCTACCTGATATCTAGCTTCAGATACTACAATTATGTTATCATGTTTTAGGTGGTCAGTCTTTGTCCATTTCCTGAAAATTGACATTATTCATATATGAAATATATTTTATGAAATTCTAGATTTCTTATAAGAATATGGTTATCGCTGTTGATAGAACTATATTGAAATTCTAGTTTATTCACTCTCTATGTGCATGATCTTAGGCAAAGCCATTAAAATATCTTGGTCTTTAGATTTACATCTGTAAACACAGACACACTGTGAAAATTAATAAGATAATATGTGCAAAGTAAGTAGCATAGATTTCAGGTTATACAAATAACTCAATGTTATTTTTCTATTGTCAGGTTGTGTCTTCTATTCTTCTTCACAAGGGCAAATCCAATGTTAAGTGAGAATGTAAGGACCAATGTCCCTTCAGAAAAATGTGAGTTAGGTTGGGAAATGGTAGGCAACAGAATTAAATAAAAAATAAAAACAACAACAACTAATAATCACTGAATGTCAACTATATGTAGTGATTTTGAAGTTTTAGATGCATTTTCTAATATAATTACAAGACACCTGTGGAGTGAAAATATCACTCACAATTTACAGAGGACAAAGCTGAAACATCTGTCTCCCCCAAGATCACACATTAAATTGGTAGTCATAAGCTGTTGGGTTTCTATGTCTGTGTACCTTCAGTGAAAATAAAAAATTATTTCTCTTGTCCCTCTAGATTCATAAACATCTTCTCAACAAAGAAATGGTTGCTACAGGAGAAAAAGTATTTCTGTATCTCATCTCCCCCATAAAAGGATAAAATATTTTTATTTGTTATTTTCAAAGATCGAAATGTTCTTCTTCCTTCTGCTCTTTCCATATCATAAATCTAGATATGATTTGTAAATAATAGCTATCAATAGAGTGACTTCTCTTAGCAGAATTCTCTAGTGACTTTTCTCAGTAAATTTAAGAAAACTTTGTCTGCTTTAAATAGCATAAAAGATTTCTAAAATTGTAAGTATTCCCAAAAGAAGAATTCTAAGGTTTAAGTGTGTCTTGTTACCATCACCCCTAGGAGGTACTTTTAGAAACTATAAGATATAGGTAATACATATTCAGCCTTGACACTGCATAAAAATTGAAGAGACTTTTAGCTTCAGCTATGACTGTAAAGAATTAGAAGGTTTTCATTTCCATCCTCACAAACTGAAAATCAACAATTTTTCTTTGTCCCATTCTTCTTTGAGGTCACAGAACAAACCAACACCCTCAAATCTAGAAAGACAGGCAAATGCATAGAGTCACAGTCAAGATATGCCTACAAGGAGTAAAAGGTGCTGAAACCATAAACTGGTAGAAAAACTTACATGGTACTTTTGACTAAAGTGGGAGGCTGATTGCAAAATGGTAACTGAATGAGAAATTTGTGGGTCTGTAGTCTTGGGGATGGCATATTTTTGTGAGTTTTACCTCTGGAAACCTCATCCTGGTTCTCATGTGCATGACTCTGGCAGGAGGATGGTAAGAGTGTAATCATTGTGGAACACAAACTGAGCTCTCTCTGTAATAAATGTTTACTCTCTAGATGGAAGAACTTTGCAGGTCTTTATCCCACATGGGAGAAGGGTATTTCTTCCACTTTATCTCCTTCTATCTTCCCGTCTCAACTAAAGGGGAAATGTCAACATGTTCAAGTATTTAAAGAAACAGAGCACGGTAGCCATGGAGAAGACTAGAGTATTGAGGGAGCTGAGGGGGAGAAGCTATTCCACTGGATAAACATGTTTGAAGGTGACAGAAGTCTACTAAAAGACTGACACTTAATTGGAAGATTATATTATACTCTCCATCTTTCACACCTAAACACTACATCAAGCAGGCTCCAGTAAAAATAATTGTGGATTGTAGCTGAGAAAGCTGTAAGGCACAGAATCTCTCTGAGGAGTCCTTAGGAAACCCAGAGCCAAGAGAGGAGACATAAACAAGGACAGTAGAGGAAACTGAATTTTCTAGAACCTATAGCCACAGCAAGCATGACAGCAAACTAAAATGCGAAAACAAACAAAAGCATATCAGAAGATCCCAAAATTGTGGAAAATCTTCAAAAGGAATTTTATGATTCCAGTTGTGTAACTGGAATATCAGAAGTAGAAGAGAAATTTGAGCAGAAGAAATACATGAAGAAAGAATTGACAAGAAGTCTTCAAAATATCAACAGAAACCAAACCACAGATATAGAAACCTGAGAGAACACTAAGCAGAATAAATATTTAAATCAAAGAACTTTAAAGTAATTGAAAGCTAATTCATTTAAAAGATCAGTGAAATTGATAAACCTCTCATCATGCTATCTAAGAAAAAATCGAGAAGACACAATTTAACAACATCACAAATAAAACAACTGTCATCAATCCTGATCCTATAGTGCACATTGAAAGGAAAATTACAGAATGCTATGAACAATTCTATGGCCAAAAATTAATGCCTTAGATGAAATGGATTAGATCCTTGAAACATATAAACTACCCAAACTCACAAAATTAGCAATATGTAACCTGATTATCACTGTATCTATTTAAGAAATTGAATCAGTGATGATGGTCTTACACAGAAGTAAGCACCAGGCTCAAATGGTTTTACTGGTTAATTCTATCAACCATTCCAGGAAGAAATGGTGTCAAATCTTTACAATCTCATCCAGAAACTGGAAATAGTGAGCGTGTTTCCTAACTAGTTGATAAATGGAACAGAAAAAGAGCCTGGAGATAGACCTACAAAAATACAGTCTACAAAATTTTGACAGAGGAGAAAGGGCAATTCAATAGAGAAATGATAGTCTTTTCAACAAAGAGTGCTGGGACATTTGGACATCCATTTACCAAAATTGAACCAAGAAACACGTTTTATACCTTTCACAATACAGGTATACCTTTGACATTATGTTTTGGTTCTAGACCACCACAGTGAGATGAATATTGCAATAAAGTAAGCCACATCAATTTTTTAGTTTCTCAGTGCATATAAAAGTTATGTTTGTACTACACTGTAGTCTATTAAGTGTGCAATAGAATTATATCTAAAATGTATATACCTTGGTATACACAAATATAGATATTATATACCTCAGATATATCATCTGATAATTCAGTAAATCATAGTCGTTTTCTTCCTGGAGGGTCTTGCCTTGACATTGATGACTCTTGATTGGTCAGGTTGGCAACTGCTGAAGGTTGGTGTGGTTGTGGCAATTTATTAAAACAAGTCCACAAGGAAGTTTGTCACATTTATGGTTTTTCCCTTTCAAGAAAGTGTTCTCTGTAGCAGGCAATGCTGTTTGATAGCATTTTATCCATAGTAGAGCTACTTTTAAAATTGGAGTCGATCCTCTCAAACCTTACCACTGTTTTATCCACTGGGTTTATGTAATGCACTAAATTCTTTTTGTCATTTCAACAATCTGCCACAGAATCATCACCCAGAGTAGATTCCATCTCAAAAACAGCACCTTCCTTGCTCATCTATCAGAAGCAACTCCTCATCCATTCAAGTTTTATCACAAGATTGTAGCAATTCAGCGATTCACTGTTAATGAACTATCTTCAGGCTTCACTTTTAATTCCAGCTTTCTTGCTATTTATACCATATCTCCAGTTGCTTTTTCCACTGAAATCTAATCCTGCAAAGTCATTCATAAGGGGTGAAATCGACCTCTTCCAAACAATTGTTAAAGTTTCTATTTTGAACTCCTCCCGTAAATCACACGTTCTTAATGGCATACAGAATGATGAATCTTTTCCAGAAGTTTTCAATTTCCTTTGCCAGATCCATAAGAGGAATCGCTCTCTGTGGCAGCTATAGACATATAAAATGTATTTCTTAAATCATAAGACTTGAAAATTGAAATTACTTCTTAATTCATGGGCTACAGAATGGTTGTTGTGTTAGCAGGCTTAGGAACAATATTAAACTCCTTGTACATCTCCGTCAGAGCTCTTGGGTGACTAGATGCGTTGTCACTGAGCTCTATTGTTTTGAAAGAAGTCTTTTATTTCTGAGCAGTAGTTTTCCACAGTGGGCTTACTATTCTATAAAGAGGTATGTTGTCATACAGGCTTTGTTCCATTTCTAAAATACAGGCAGAGTAGATTTAACACATTTCTGGCAGGGTACAGTGGCTCATGCCTGTAATCCTGGCAACTTGGGAGGCTGAGGCGGGCAGACCACTTGGGGTCAGGAGATTGAGACCAGCCTAGCAAACATGGTGAAACCCTGTCTTTACTAAAAGTACAAAAATTAGCCAGGCATGGTGGTGGGTGCCTGTAATTTCAGACACCTGGGAGGCTGAGGCAGAAGAATCACTTGAACCCGGGAGGCGGAGGTTGCAGTGAGCCAAGATCAGGCCAGTACACTACAGCCTGGATGAGAACAGCAAGATTCTGTCTCAAAAAAAAAAAAGAAAAAATAATAATAATAACTAAAAAAAAATTCTTAACGGTCCTAGAATTTTTGGAATGGTAAATGAGCATTGGCTTCAACTTAAAGTCACCAGCTCACCAGCTGCATTAGCTCCTAACAAGGAGTCAGCCTGTCCTTTGAAGCTTTGAAGCCAGGCATTAACTTCTCCTCTCTAGCTATGAAAGTCCCAGATGGCATTTTCTTCCAATAAAAGGTTTTGTTGGTGTACACTGCAAATCTGTTATTATAGACACTTTCATCAATTATCTTAGCTAGATCTTCTGGATGACTTGCTGTAGCTTTAGCATCAGTACTTTTTGTTTCACCTTATACTTTTATGTTATGAAGATGGCTTCTTTCTTTAAACCTCCTGAACAAACTTCTGCTAGCTTCCGACTTTTCTTCTGCAGCTTCCTCACCTACCTCAGTCTTCAAAGAATTAAAGAAACTTAGGGCCTTGCTCTAGATTATGCTTTGGAATGATTATTCCCAATTATTATTATTTTTATTATTATTAGTATTATACTTTAAGTTTTAGAGTACATGTGCACAATGTGCAGGTTACTTACATATGTATAAATGTGCCATGCTGGTGTGCTGCACCCATTAACTCGTCATTTAGCATTAGGTATATCTCCTAATGCTATCCCTCCCCACTCCCCCCACCCCACAACAGTCCCCAGAGTGTGATGTTCCCCTTCCTGTGTCCATGTGTTCTCATTGTCCAATTCCCATCTATGAGTGAGAACATGCGGTGTTTGGTTTTTTGTCCTTGTGATAGTTTACTGAGAATGATGATTTCCAATTTCATCCATGTCCCTACAAAGGACATGAACTCATCATTTTTTATGGCTGCATAGTATTCCATGGTGTATATGTGCCACATTTTCTTAATCCAGTCTATCATTGTTGGACATTTGGGTTGGTTCCAAGTCTTTGCTATTGTGAATAGTGCCACTATAAATATACGTGTGCATGTGTCTTTATAGCAGCATGATTTATAGTCCTTTGGGTATATACTCAGTAATGGGATGGCTGGGTCAAATGGTATTTCTAGTTCTAGATCCCTGAGGAATTGCCACACTGACTTCCACAATGGTTGAACTAGTTTACAGTCCCACCAACAGTGTAAAAGTGTTCCTAGTTCTCCACATCCTCTCCAGCACCTGTTGTTTCCTGACTTTTTAATGATTGCCATTCTAACTGGTGTGAGATGGTATCTCATTGTGGTTTTCACTTGCATTTCTCTGATGGCCAGTGATGATGAGCATTTTTTCATGTGTCTTTTGGCTGCATAAATGTCTTCTTTTGAGAAGTGTCTGTTCATATCCTTAGCCCACTTTTTGATGGGATTGTTTGATTTTTCTTGTAAATTTGTTTGAGTTCATTGTAGATTCTGGATATTAGCCCTTTGTCAGATGAGTAGGTTGCAAAAATTTTCTCCCATTTTGTAGGTGTCTGTTCACTCTGATGGTAGTTTCTTTTGCTGTGCAGAAGTTCTTTAGTTTAATTAGATCCCATTTGTCAATTTTGGCTTTTGTTGCCATTGCTTTTGGTGTTTTAGACATGAAGTACTTGCCCATGCCTATGTCCTGAATGGTAATGCTTAGGTTTTCTTCTAGGGTTTTTATGGTTTTAGGTCTAACATTTAAGTCTTTAATCCATCTTGAATTAATTTTTGTATAACGTGTAAGGAAAGGATCCAGTTTCAGCTTTCTACATATGGCTAGCCACTTTTCCCAGCACCAATTATTAAATAGGGAATCCTTTCCCCATTGCTTGTTTTTGTCAGGTTTGTCAAAGATCAGATAGTTGTAGATATGCGGCATTATTTCTGAGGACTCTTTTCTGTTCCATTGATCTATATCTCTGTTTTGGTACCAGTACCATGCTGTTTTGGTTACTGTAGCCTTGTAAGTATAGTTTGAAGTCAGGTAGCGTGATGCCTCCAGCTTTGTTCTTTTGGCTTAGGATTGACTTGGCCATGCAGGCTCTTTTTTGGTTCCATATGAACTTTAAAGTAGTTGTTTTCCAATTCTGTGAAGAAAGTCATTGGTAGCTTGATGGGGATGGCATTGAATCTATAAATTACCTTGGGCAGTATGGCCATTTTCATGATATTGATTCTTCCTACCCATGAGCATGGAATGTTCTTCCATTTGTTTGTATCCTCTTTTATTTCATTGAGCAGTGGTTTGCAGTTCTCCTTGAAGAGGTCCTTCACGTCCCTTGTAAGTTGGATTCCTAAGTATTTTATTCTCTTTGAAGCAATTGTGAATGGGAGTTCACTCATGATTTGGCTGTTTGTCTGTTATTGGTGTGTAAGAATGCTTGTGATTTTTGTACATTGATTTTGTATCCTGAGACTTTGCTGAAGTTGCTTATCAGCTTAAGGAGATTTTGGCCTGAGACAGTGGGGTTTTCTAGATATACAATCATGTCATCTGCAAACAGGGACAATTTGACTTCCTCTTTTCCTAACTGAATACCCTTTATTTCCTTCTCCTGCCTAATTGCCCTGGCCAGAACTTCCAACACTATGTTGAATAGGAGTGGTGAGAGAGGGCATCCCTGTCTTGTGCCAGTTTTCAAAGGGAATGCTTCCAGTTTTTGCCCATTCAGTATGATATTGGCTGTGGGTTTGTCATAGATAGCTCTTATTATTTTGAGATACATCCCATCAATACCTAATTTATTGAGAGTTTTTAGCATGAAGGGTTGTTGAATTTAGTCAAAGGCCTTTTCTGCATCTATTGAGATAATCATGTGGTTTTTGTCTTTGGTTCTGTTTATATGCTGGATTACATTTATTGATTTCCGTATATTGAACCAACCTTGCATCCCAGGGATGAAGCCCACTTGATCATGGTGGATAAGCTTTTTGATGTGCTGCTGGATTTGGTTTGCCAGTATTTTATTAAGGATTTTTGCATCGATGTTCATCAGGGATATTGGTCTAAAATTCTCTTTTTTGGTTGTGTCTTTGCCAGGCTTTGGTATCAGGATGATGCTGGCCTCATAAAATGAGTTAGGGAGGACTCCCTTTTTTTCTATTGATTGGAATAGTTTCAGAAGGAATGGTACCAGTTCCTCCTTGTACCTCTGGTAGAATTTGGCTGTGAATCCATCTGGTCCTGGACTCTTTTTGGTTGGTAAGCTATTGATTATTGCCACAATTTCAGATCCTGTTATTGGTCTATTCAGAGATTCAACTTCTTCCTGGTTTAGTCTTGGGAGAGTGTATGTGTCAAGGAATTTATCCATTTCTTCTAGATTTTCTAGTTTATTTGCGTAGAGGTGTTTGTAGTATTCTCTGATGGTAGTTTGTATTTCTGTGGGATCGGTGGTGATATCCGCTTTATCATTTTTTATTGCATCTGTTTGATTCTTCTCTCTTTTTTTCTTTATTGGTCTTGCTAGCGTTCTATCAATCTACAGAACTCTCCACCCCAAATCAACAGAATATACATTTTTTTCAGCACCACACCACACCTATTCCAAATTGACCACATAGTTGGAAGTAAAGCTGTCCTCAGCAAATGTGAAAGAACAGAAATTATAACAAACTGTCTCTCAGACCACAATGCAATCAAACTAGAACTCAGGATTAAGAAACTCACTCAAAACTGCTCAACTACATGGAAACTGAACAACCTGCTCCTGAATGACTACTGGGTACGTAACGAAATGAAGGCAGAAATAAAGATGTTCTTTGAAACCAACGAGAACAAAGACACAACATACCAGAATCTCTGGGACACATTCAAAGCAGTGTGTAGAGGGAAATTTATAGCACTAAATGCCCACAAGAGAAAGCAGGAAAGATCCAAAATTGACAACCTAACATCACAATTAGAAGAACTAGAAAAGCAAGAGCAAACACATTCAAAAGCTAGCAGAAGGCAAGAAATAACTAAAATCAGAGCAGAACTGAAGGAAATAGACAAAAAAAAAAACCCTTCAAAAAATTAATGAATCCAGGAGCTGGTTTTTTGAAAGGATTGTTCCCAATTATTAAGGGAATATTGTGGCTGGTTTGATCTTCTAGCCAGACCACTAAAACTCTCTCCAATCAGCAATAAGGCTGTTCCACTTTCTTATCATGCATGTATTCACTGGAATAGCACATTTAATTTCCTTCAAGAACTTTTTCCTCATATTCTCAACGTGGCTGTTTGGCACACAAGGGCTACGCTTTGGCCTCTCTTAGCTTTCTACATGCCTTCCTTACTGAGCTTAATCATTTCTAGCTTTTGATTTAAAGTGAGAGATATGTGACTCTTCCTTTCACTTGAATGCTTATAGGCCATTGAAGGGTTATTAATTGGCCTAATTCCAATACTGTGTCTAGAATAGGGAGTCCCCAGGAGAGGAAGACAGATAGGGAAATGGCTCTTTAGTGGTACACTGAGAATATACTCATATTTATTGGTTAAGTTTGATATCTTACATGGGTACAGTTGTTGGCTCCCCAAAACAATCACGACAGTAACATGAAAGATCAATGATTACAATCGCCATCACAGAGATAATCACAACGAAGTGCATTTTGACATGGAGCAAATACTCATAATTTTGGAAAAAATAAATAATCGTATATCACAAAGAAATAGATTGTTATAAGGGAATACTAGAATCTAAATAGCTGATATTAAAAATTTAATAGAGAATATTAGGTGAATTGCCCAAACTTCAGCTCTTATAATTTGTGTGACTTGAGCATCTTTTACTTTTCAGAAAAAAAATCACCAGTAAGATATAAATGAAGTTTCTTTGTTTTGATATGTTAGTTTGTAGTGTTCCACCTCTCAGAGTTAATGATTTCTAACATGTGTTTAGTCATTCAACTAGTATTTATTATGCTCTGATCTTGTGCCAGGTACTGGGAATACATAAGTGGAAACACCTGACAGATATCTCGGACTTCATCATCCTTAAAATCTATGAAATAGATAGACAATAAACAAGACAGAAAAGTAAAATATGTGGAATTTTAGATACTGATATGTGCTAAGAAATAAAAACAATGTAGGAAGGAGAACTGAAATTTTCGGCAAGGAAGCCAGTGAAGTCCTAGATGACAAAGTGCCTTTTATAAAGAACTAATCTGATTTAGGATAAGAGGGAGAAACAAGAAGGGAGGGAGGGAGGGGAAGGGAGGGGAGGGGAGGGGAGGGAAGGATTTAGTGTCTGGCTTGTTTGATAAACTGAAAGATGTTACCTATGGTTAAGAAAAGTACTTGACGGAGGCAGTACAAGATGAGATCTCAGAAGTAATGGAAGAGGTCAGATCTTGTAGGTACTTTAAGGCCTATATATATATATATATATATATATATATATATATATATTCTGATTTTCCTTTGAGTGATGTGGGAAGACATTGGATGGTTTTGAGCAAAGATATAACACGAGCTGGCTTATATTTTAATAAGATCACAGTGGCTGCAATTTTGAGAGGAAATGGAAAACAAGGCAGAAGAAAGACAATAGAGACAGTTATTTCAATAACCCACATGAGAAAGATTGTTAGCTTGTTGTAAAGTGAAAGGTGGTCTAATTCTGAATTTTGAAGAGAAGCCAGAGAATTTCCTGATGGTTTTGAGAGGCAAAAGAAAGGTGAGTCAAAAATGATTCAAATATTTTTGCCTACATGACTGGAAAGGTAAAGTTGCCATTGGCTGAGATATGAACTATCGTGGGAAAAGAAAAAATTAAAAAGGAATATTAGAGGCTCAGTTTTGGATATGTTACATTTTGGATAATTATATACATCTAAGTACATGTAATAAGTAAAGAGTTGAATAAATGGGTTTGAAGTAAAAAGAAGTATAATAGAAACTTAAATTTAGAATTCATCAGGATGTAAATGGATTTTAAAACCAGAAGATAAGTTGAAATTATCCAAGGCGTGAGTATATGTATTTAAGATGAGATTCAAAGAGCATGGCCAAAATAAACTTAAAATATAGAAGCTGGAGAGATGGACAGCAAGTACCAACTGTAAGGTTAATGGAAAACAGGTGAGTGAGGTGCCCTGGAAGCTCAGTGGAGAAATTTTTTTAAGGGAGAAGAGTGATCACTTGAATCAAAGGATGCTCATAGGTCAAGTAAGATAAGGACTGAGAAATAGTGATTGGATTTAGAATCTATTACTTTAGGTCTTTGGTAACTTTAGTAAGAGCATTTTCTTGGTAGTGATGTAAAAAAAAAAGAAAAACCTGACTGGAATGGTTCATGAGAAAAGGAATTGAAAGTGGCAAGTAGAAACAATACTTTCAAGGACATTCATAGCACAAAGAATAAGAAAAATGGGATTGTAGCTGAAAAGGAAAATAGGTTAAGATAAAATTCATTATTATTATTATTATTTTTAATTTAATTTTGAGACTTGCTCTGTTGCCCAGGCTGGAGTGCAGTGGCATGATCTCGGCTCACTGCAAGCTCCACCTCCCGAGTTCACGCCATTTTCCTGCCTCAGCCTCTGGAGTAGCTGGGACTACAGGCGCCCACCACCACACCCAGCTAATTTTTTTGTATTTTTAGTAGAGACGGGGTTTCACCGTGTTAGCCAGGATGGTCTGGATCTCCTGACCTCGTGATCCTCCTGCCTCAGCCTCCCAAAGTGCTGGGATTATAGGCGTGAGCCACAGCGCCCAGCCAGAAACTTGATTTCGTAAGGGAACTTGGGAGTATAAATCATGCTGAAGAGTAACCCTGACTAAAGGAAAGTTAGCTGAACAACAACATGCATCAGTGGTTCTTTGTTTTCCCTAGTGACAAATCCCTAGTACGTCTGATGCAAAACTCTCCATTAATCGGAGACAGCTCTCTGAACAAAAGCCCTAGGTGCTGGCCACCTGAAGTGAAAGCACGCTGAAACCAAGGGCCAAGCAACAAGCAAACAAACAAACAAACAAACAAAAAGAAACAGAAGGTGTCTCAGAGGAGCATGATGCACTATTCAATACAATCACTGGCTGAGAATGAACTTAAGAGAGAAGACATTGGAAATTTGAAAAGCGAAGAGAAAGAATAAAAGAATTGTCTAAGATGGTAGGAGTCTAGCTAAGAGTCCAAACGAAAATGGACTTGGCTAATAGATTGAAACTGCTGCGAGAACTAAGAAGCTACTACATTTAAAACGAGATGAATCACTAGGAGTGAGTTTTCCTCTAGCCACATTCATCATAGAGCAGGAAGAAAGATAGATTTAACCAAGATTGTTGTTTTGCTAAAAGACTATGACAAAAAGACAAGGGCCAGTGGACTGAAGGGTATATGAAAGAAACAAGAACGGTTTACCATGTGATTTAAGTTGGGTAAGACAGGAAAAGAAGACATGGAGAGTGAGGGACCAAGCATAATTTAGTCAGATTAATGGAAGTGGGTTGAGAGATTGTTCAAATTGGGGTATTTGTAGAAAATAGCTAGAAACATAGGAAATGGCAGTAGGAGAGCTAGGCATTTTCTGATTAGAAAGGGAATAAAGTTGTGGTAATGATAAAATCAAAGTAGGATCACAGAAAGGAATGGATAAGATAGAATGGAGGAAAAGATAATTGAAAGAGAGAAAGTTAGAACCCCAAGATGCCAACATGTTGACAGGAACATGAGTGTAGATATTGATGTTATGAAAAATTATGACAGAAATAGTGTCGAGCTACTAAAGAAAATATGCGCTAAAAATTATTACCCTGGGGCTAAAATCTTCAAGGAATAAGGGGAAGTAACTTAATTGGTAAATGACTGCAATTCAAGGAACTGTGATGGGAGGTGTAATCTGATTATTTGAATGTCAAAGCAGAAGGAACAGAGAAGGGCAATATTCTAAGTGCCATAATGAACAACAGTCACTGTACCTCCAAATCCAGTATGATGAGGACTCTGGAAAAGTCCTATCTTGAAATGGCTTCAGGAGAAGCAGTACCATCAGAGGCAGACAAAGAAATTCAAGAAGTTAATTCAGGAAGAAAAAGAAAAGATGGAGGAGAAAAGAGGAGCATATTGGCAATTTACATTGAGTTTCAGAGGATATAGTGAAGAATTTTTAGATGAGAAGAGAGTTGTACAAAAACAGTAGAATTAGGGGTTTGGAAATGAGGCGTGATCTGGGATTTGGGACTTTTTATTGGACTGCTATGAACAAGGAAGAAGGGCATGATGGCATTGGTTCAAAAGGACATAAGTCAGCGTTAAAGGAAGTATGAGTGCTGAGTTGGAAAAGGGTCTTACCAGGATAAAGAAGGGATCTTAGGCTCCCACTGGAATAGGCTTTGGTCAATACAAAAGTAGACAGAAGAGTGAAGGGAAAGTTGTGTTTTGCAGAGGGGTGATCCGAATCTTAATGTGAGGGCTCCCTTCTGGTGCATCCTTATGATGGTCTGCAGAGGGCTCTTACTCTAAACACTGCCTCTCTCTTGGCCTTAGACATCCATCTGTAATTTGAAAAGACTAAAACAGGTTAAATTTGAGAAACTTTTTGCCCCCAAGAGAATGGCACCTGTTTTAATATGCTGTGATAAAAAGGTGCTTAACTTTTATTCTTGCTAACCATTTTATATTAAATTACATATGTGTGTATATGTACTTGACATGCCCTAAATTATTTTTGGCTTTTTCCCATTTTAATTAATTGGGTATTTTTTAAATTTGCCATACAATTGATTGTACCTACTGACTTTTTCAAATCCTAATCTGGGGTTTTTCTTCTATAACTACAACATTACATAATGGCATTAATTTACCTAAGTGCTGTAATTAGAAAAATTATCATCTTTTCTGCTTGCTCTATTAATTTTGATTCTTCGTGTTAGTCCTTTTGGTCAAGTTGTTCTGCAGTGTTGGCTATCAAATGTACTTATTTTCCTACATGAGATATCTGTTAGGTTGCCTTTAGGATCCTTTGCCCAGCCTACTTGTGATTAAAGACTTGGCTGGAGGTTCTACAACTTTTGTTTGCTCCTTACTAGAGGAGCAGTAGAAAGGCAGGGAAGGCAGTGGGCACAGTGCTTTAGAAGCAAATCTTCTGCTTATGGGCATCACATTCTACCCGAGTATCGTCCACTGTCTGGGGCATTGCCCTGTTTCTCTACACCAAATTCCTGAACTTTGTGCTTTTGCCTGCAGGCATATGCCTCAGTGGCTATTGCCTGATACAACTTAGCAGCATACAGAGGAAACATTTCCTGGCTGCCTCTTCAGGTTAATCAAAGAAATAACCTTTTAGGATAACACTGCCTCCCTTCCCTCCTTTTCAGTTGTTTTTCTCCATGAGCCCGTAATGACAGAAATACACTCTGGCATATATCTTAGATATAGATTCCTTCTTCAAACGAATTTTGTCTGTTTTCTATGTTTGAAGAATTCTGCACAGTTTATGAGACTCAGACTTTTCTCTTTCTTGTTTTCTAGCGCAATCATGTATTTTTGAATTTTTTTTGTCTCCAGAAATTTGATGTTGGGCAGGCAAGCTTAACATGTGCTTGTTTAGTCTTTGAGTCGAGTGAGAGATTGTCTCTCAATGAAAAGGTAGGGATTTTTGAACCTAAGGAAAGAGCAAGATTGTATATCACATGGAGACATCCTAGAACTAATATGTACAACTTGATCTACCCTTCAGAGAGATTTGGGAGAACTGCTATCAAAACTAGTTATAAGCAAAGTTTTGTAAACTTATGTATCAGCCATTCTCATGTCTGTACCAATGTTCTGTTTAGTGTAATTTAGCAGTATTTTATCTTCTCACAAACATTTATTAAACAATTGTGGGATAGATAAGAAAGAAGGTGTTTGTGATTGTTTCCAGTTACTAGTATGTAAATTTCTGGGGCCACATTGGAGAAAAGAAAACTGAGTTCTGTATTTGAAGTAGTTATTTTAAAAATATAATTAATAGAAGAAAAATATTAAATTACAGATTCAACCCTTTGTTTCTGGACCAGTATAGAGCAGACATGAAAAGCAATTAGGCTGCTCACCTGTCTGAAGCATTGTATATTATATATAATCTAAGGAAGTAATTTCATTACCTAATAAGCCACATTGGGAGTATATTTCTAGTGCCTGTTACCACTCTAGAAACAACACCACTAAAATAAGTCAAAGAAATAATTGTGTTTAGAGAGTACTAATACAGAATAGATTTTTTAAAATAGTAAACTTTCCTTAAAATAAAGCTGATTTGGGAAAACAATATTCTATTTTTTCCCCACTATTTTCAGTGTTTTCAGAACTTCAGACCCATATCTCCAGACCTCATGTCCCAGGGAAGATAATAAATGCTGGGTTGAAAATGTCAAGTTCATGTTGGGACAGTCAGAACCAAGAGGAAAGGTTCTAAGTTAGAGGAGAAAGAAAGGGATAAAAGAAGAGGAAAAAAGATCTATTGAGCACTTGTTTTGTGTCATAGCATTTGCATATATTATCTCATGTAATTCACACAGCACCTCTGAATAACAGGCACAAAAACTATGATGAGTGTTTCTTTCCATCAATATCTCTCATTTGGTAGGCCACCTCTTGGTGTTGCAAACAGCTTTTGCTTTATGAAAAAAAAGGTATAGGGCTTTTGAAAGATTCTATGACAAGGAGAAAACTTGTCTATTTTAAAGCTATCTACATGTTGAGCTGGTTGGCTTTGCAGGACAGAAAATTTCCTCTTAGAATATTTCCTTTGCCTAAGAAAAACAATGTTTCTTTTTAATTTACCAAGGCATGGTTGTAAGAACAGTGTATAGATGGGAGAAGTTTAAGAAAAAATAAGAGTTAAATTACTTTGCAAAATGTAGTTACATAAGTTTTGGAAGTGGCTACTAGTGTTGAAGAAAGTGTGAAGAGAAATAAAAAAACCCAGATGCTGGAAACCTGATGGGGGACCAGGGCTCATGCAGAACTTAGCTAGTGAAGCTCCATATTGTCTAGAGAGACATAACACATAGAAGAGTGTTATGTAATATTCAATGTTCTCTTGTTTCATGTATTGTCCATGATTACTCAGTAACACAAACTAGCTAGATGTTTAACAATCTTACTTTTTCCTTCCTGGGCACACATGAAAACTACTTTTTCCAGCCTTCCTTAGAATTAATATGGGATAGGTCACTGATTCCAGAATGTGTGTGATGTGTATGTGCATGTATACATATAAAGTTTGCAAACCATTTTAAAATAAGTCATTTCAAAATTTATAGCTAATATTATAAACATTTCCTGGGTGGATGGAAGTGAAATACACTTATTCTTACCTTGGCTGTAACATGTTTTATATCATTTTCTATGTTTGCTTTGCTTTTGGGGCAATGAATTCAGAGGATTCCCTGAATGATGTGGTATATGATGATGGGAAGTGGTGGGCAACAGGGAAAGAAAAAGCAGCCATGTAAATCGAGCCTGGCTTGCAGAATTACTTATAGGTAGAGAGCCACTCGGAAGACTCACCACCTCAAAACTGTGTAGACAACTGTGACTTGTTATGTAAAACTGCTGAAATTTGGGGGTTTTCATAAAAGCTGGAGTTAGCATCATAACTCTAGTTATAATACATTTTCCAGTACCTTAAATCTTCAGTAAAACATATTTTCCCCCAAATCCCTATTTTAGTGGTATTATGGCACTATGGGGGCTGGCAAAGAAAACTGACAGCCTGGGAATTCTATGCAGTTACTTTCAGGAAACAACAAACAAAAACAGGTGTGTATGGTGGTGCTGGGATCATATAGTTAAAAAACAAACTAAAAGAAAAACAAAAACCTAGGATTTGTAATGATCCAGAAAAAGAGAACAACACTTTGTTTCAAACTGTACTGAAAGAAGATAACCTTTGGAGGATGACAGTAAATGGAGGTAGGGCAGGAAGTTTGTTCATGCTTTCAGATGGGATGAGGGCATCTATTTTACATGAGTTTTTTCAATCAAAATGTGACTCAGGAATTCTGGTGACTAAGATGAGAAGACACTGTGGTTAAAATAAGGGTTCTTCTACAGTTTTGAGATTTTGATATGAAGAGGCAGTGACATCTCACTGAGTAGTGGAAAGATTAATTTAAAAACATATTAAATGTACTTGGCACAAGATAGAAGGTCAACAAATTTTATATACTATTCAAATAGTCGTTTTCTGCATTTTTGTGTTTTTACTCTCAATTATAGACATGTTCTAAAATTATTAGAGTGCAGTTTTTTAACATTAAGCAGGAAGTATTTCAGAAGGCATAGTTTTCTTGCAGCCCAACATTTAATGAGTGTGTTTCAAGGTGTTGCCCTAAGTAAAATGCAGGAAATGTTATATAACATTAGGTACCAATTAAAAAATGTCTGCTGTGTTCCAAGCAATGTTAGCAAACATTATATGTCTATGCATATATACATATATATATACTTTAATTTTTCTTTAGTTTATTTTTTAAATTGGCAAGGAAAAGTATGTATTTGCCATGTACAACATGATACTTTGAAATATGTTTTCACTGTGGAATGGATAAATGGAATTAACATGTGCATCACCTTACATATCTATCATTTTTTTGTGGTAAGAACACTTAAAATGTAATCTCTTAGTGGTTTTCAATTATACTTTACCTTGTTATTAACTACAGCCACCATGTTGTAAAATAGATCTCTTTACCTTGTTTTTCCTGTCCAGTTGAAATTTTGTATCCTTTGACCAACAATTTCCCCAGCCCTACCCCAGCCTCTGACAACCACTATTTTACTTTCCGTTTTTATGAGTTCAACTGTTTTGGTCTCCACATATAAGTAAGATCATACAGTGTTTGTCTTACTGTGCTTGACTGGTTTCACTTAACATAATGTTCCCCAGGTTCATTTACGTTGTTGTAAATGACAAGATTACATTCTTTTTTAAGACAGTAAAATTCCATTGTGTATATACACTACATTTAAAAAAATCATTCATCCATTGATAAACATTTTCACAGCTTGCCTGCTGTAAATAGTGAAAATGCTGCAATAAACATGGGAGTGCAGATTTATCTTCACCATCCTGATTTCATTTCCTTTGGATGTATACCCAGTAGTGGGATTGCTGGATCATAGAGTCATTCTATTTTTAACTTTTTGAGGAAACTCCATACTTTTTTCCATAATGGCTATACTAATTTACGTTCTCATCAACACTGTGAAAGCATTCCCTTTTCTTCATATTCTCACCAGTACTTGTTGTTTTTCATCTTTTGATAACAGCCTTTCTAACAGCTGTGAGGTGATATTTCATTGTAATTTTAATTTGCATTTTCTTGATGATTAGTGACATTGAGCTTTTTTAAAAAATACTGTGAATGACCTCCTTTGAGAATTGTCTATTGTGATCCTTTGCCCAATTTTAAATCAGTTATTTCTTTTTTAGGTACTATTTGAGTTATTTATGTATTTTTTGGATATTGATCTCTTACAAGATGTGTGGTTTGCAAATATTTTTTCCTATTCCTTCGATTATCTCTCTCCTTTTTGAATGTTGGGTTTTCTTTTCTTTACAGAAGCATTTTAGTTTGAAGTATTTCCATTTGTCTATCTTTGCTGTTGCTGACTGTGCGTTTGAATTCATATTTAAAATATAATTGCCCAGACCAATGTTATGAAGCTTTTTTCCTATGTTTTCTTTTAGTAGTCTTAAACTTTAAAGACTCATGTTTAAGTCTTTAATCTATTTTGAGTTGACTTCTCTATGTGGCACAAGATAAGATTTTAATTTTGTTCTTCTACATGTGGATATCCAATTTTCCCAACACTGTTTAATAAAGGGACTGTTCTTTCCTTATTGTGTGTTCTTGGCATCTGTATTTGAAATCCATTGATGGTAAATATGTGGATTTATTTCTGGGATCTTTATTCTGTTCCATTGGTCAATACATCTGTTTCCATGCTAGTACTATGTTATTGTGATTATAGCATTGTAGTATATTTTGAAGGCAGGTTATGAGGTTTGTTTTAATTTCACTTTTGGGAAGTTAAGAAAACCTAGGATTAGATGAGTTAGAAAACTTTCTTTAAAATAAGACATAACGTAAATTGATAAACTAGGAGTCTCTAAATCTAAACCTTAATTTTATTCTACTTTCCATATTAATTCACTTTGATATGGTCATGGATATAATTTGCTGGGTATATACCCAAAGGAAAATAGAAAATAGATTATGCCAAAAAGACACATGCACTCATATTCACTGCCATGCTATCTGCAACATGGAATCAACTTGGGTGCCCATCAATGGTGGCTTGGATAAAGAAAATGTGGTACATATACGCCATGAAATGCTACACAGCCATAAAAAAGAATAAAATTATATTCTTTGCAGCAACATGGCTGGATCTGGAGGCCATAATCCTAAATGGATTAATGCAGAAACAGAAATCCAAAAATAGTATGTTCTCACTTATAAGTGGGAGCTAAAAATTGAGCACACCTGGGTATAAACATGGGAACCATAGGCACTATGGACTAGTAGAGGGTGGAGGAACGGAGGATGGTGCAGGTCGAAAAACCACCTATTGGGTACTATGCTCAGTACCTTGGTACAATGTATCCATGTAACAAACCTGCACATGTACTCCCTGTATCTAAAATAAAAGTTGAAAAATATATATATCATGAAACTGCAAATCTCTAGTGAAAATAAACACATTGCCAGGCGCGGTGGCTCATGTCTATAATCCCAGCACTTTGGGAGGCGGAGGCGGGCGGATCACAAGGTCAGGAAATCGAGACCATCCTGGCTAACATGGTGAAACCCTGTCTCTACTAAAAAAAAAAATACAAAAAATTGGCCGGGCGTGATGGTGGGTGCCTGTAGTCCCAGCTACTCAGGAGCCTGAGGCAGGAGAATGGCGTGAACCCATGAGGCAGAGCTTGCAGTGAGCTGAGATCTCGTCACTGCACTCCAGCCTGTGCAACAGAACTACACTCCATCTCAAAAAAAAAAAAATTGCCCAAATAATGTAGCATTAATCTGGTGTCTTGAGACATAATAGTGTAAGATACCACTACTAAGCCAAGTCTTTTGTTTATTGAATAAGAGAAACAGCACTGGTATCTCCTATGTGAGACTAGATGAGCAGTGTCACCCAGGACAGTGTTTCGTGACATATTTTCTCTTAGCTGGTTCCATGCCTATGTTGGTGTATTATTTGTTTTACACAGTTTGTTTATTACATATATGAGCAATAGCATATCCAATAAAACTAATGTCTCATGAGTGTTAAATAACTGCCCTAGTCTCTTGCAATAAAATTATATTCCTGATCAGAAATAGAATTTTGTGGAACAGTGTGTCAGAAAATAAAGCATTTAGTAAGTTTGTGGACGGTGTGACGGACAAACATAATAAGTAGGGAGGAGGAATTCTCATTCAATAACGTTTTATATTTCAAAGATGGCAAGTTACTGCTCCTTATGATGGATTCTGGTGGGTATACCCAACTATGTGACTTGAAAAAAATCAGGTAAAACCCAATTCATAATGGCCATTTAGGTGATATATTCACTTTTTTTTCCCACACGAATAGGTGTTCAGTCATTAAAAGGGCTGAGTACTCAGGACATATTACTTAAAAGATTAAGTCTATCCGCCACAAACTCTATAAGCGCCAGAGGCTACTCTATCACAAGGAACGAAAGGCAGAGTTGCATTTGTTGCAACCAGAACTACCTGGACTGCTGTTTCTGGGATCAAGTCAAATCTGTCAGCCTTACAGCCTTACACATTACTTGGTAAATTGTATACTAAAGAATCCTATAGCTGGCATACGTTGCCTCCAGAACCTAAAAGACCTAACAAATATAACGTTTCTTCACTTGTTCTTTTCTTCAATTTTAAAGATATAGTTACGTCATATACCACATTCCATTTGATTCATAGAAATTTCACTAAGACTCCTAAAACTTATTTAAGGTTGACCTTTGCACAAGGCATGTGGGACACCATCAATTTCCTGCTTGTACAGTGTTATAATCAGGACACCACCTACCTGTATTGGACCATACTGATGTACTATGAAATTGTGTCCGGAATTGGCGGGTTCTCAGTCTCAATGGCTTCCAGAATGAAGCCGCGGACCCTCGCGGTGACTGCTACAGTTCTTAAAGAGTGGCTGGGCACGGTGGTTCACGCCTGTAATCCCCGCACTTTGGGAGGCCCAGGCGGGCAGATGAGAAGATCGAGACCATCCTGGCTAACACCGTGAGACCCCGTCTCCACTAAAAATACAAAAAAATTCAGCCGGGCGTGGCAGCGGGCGCCTGTAGTCCCAGCTGCTCTGGAGGCTGAGGCAGGAGAATGGCATGAACCCGAGAGGCAGAGCTTGCAGTGAGTCGAGATTGCACTACACTCCAGCCTGGGCGACAGAGAAAAACACTGTCTCAAAAAAAAAAAAAAAAGGCGTGTCCGGAGTCCATTCCTTCTAATGTTCGGACGTGTTCAGAGATTTTGTCTTCTGGTGGGTTCGTGATCTCGCTGGCTTCAGGAGCGAAGCCGCAGACGTTCACTGTGCTACAGCTCTGAGGGCGGCACATCTGCAGTTGTTCGTTCCTCCCATCCAAAGTTGCTCATTCCTCCCAGTGGGTTTCTGGTCTCGCTGGCCTCAGAAGTGAAGCTGCAGACCTTCACAGTGAGTGTTACACATCATAAATGCAGTGCAGACCCAAAGAGTGAGCAGCAGCAAAATTTATTGCGAAGAACAAACCTTCCACAGCGTGGAACAAGACCCAAAGGGGTTGCCGCTGGGGCTTCCGGCAGCCTGCTTTTATTCCCTTATCTGGCCCCACCCACATCCTGCTGATTGGTCCATATTACAGAGAGCTGATTGGTCTGTTTTACAGAGAGCTGATTGGCCCATTTTGACAGGGTGCTGACTGGTGCGTTTACAATCCCTGAGCTAGACACAAAAGTTCTCCAAGTCCCCACTAGATTAGCTAGACACAGAGCACTGACTGGTGCATTCACAAACCTTGAGCTAGACACAGGGCACTGATTGGTGTGTTCACAAACCTCAAGCTGGACACAGAGTGCTGATTGGTGCATTTACAATCCCTTAGCTAGGCATAAAGGTTCTCCAAGTCCCCACCAGATTAGCTAGATACAGAGTGCTGATTGGTGCATTCATAAACCCCGAGCTAGACACAGAGTGCTGATTGGTGTATTTACAATCCCTTAGCTAGACATAAAGGTTCTCCAAGTCCCCACTAGACTCAGGATCCCAGCTGGCTTCACCCAGTGGATTCTGCACTGGAGCCGCAGATGGAGCTGCCTGCCAGTCCTGCGCTGTGCACCCGCACTCCTAAGCCCCTGGGAGTCCTGGTGAGAAATCGAGCGCGGTGCCGGTGGGCCGGCACTGCTGGGGGACTCGGTGCACCCTCTGCAGCTGCTGGCCCGGGTGCTAAGCCCCTCACTGCCCTGGGCCGACTCCGAGTGTGGGACCCGCCAAGCCCACGCCCACACTCACGCTGGCCCTCAAACACCGCGCGCGCAGCCCCCGGTTCCCCCCCCGCCGCGCCTCTCCCTCCAAACCTCCTGGCAAGCTGAGGGAGCCTGCTCCGGCCTCTGCAGCCGAGGGAGGGGCTCCCACAGTGCAGTGGCGGGCTGAAGGGCTCCTCAAGCGCAGCCAGAGTGGGCGCTGAGGCTGAGGAGGCGCGGAGAGCGAGCGACGGCTGTGAGGGCTGCCAGCATGCTGTCACCTCTCAAAACGATAGGTGTTCAAGTTCTTGGCAGAATAACTTACATTGCAGTGTCAGAGACCAAACATAGCCCCCAAAACATGGTAAAGATGTACTACTAAACTTGCCAGGTGAAAGCAAATGTCTTTTGATGCACTGCCTTTTAGAATAAAGAAAGTAGAACCTGTTACATGAATAACATTCTTGGTTCTTGGCACTCTGTGGTCTTGCTCCAAAAAACAAATCACATCTGTAATAGTAGCTTCAGATGGAGTCACCAATGATCAAGCTTATGATAATTCATTGTCATTTTTCTGTATCCAGTGCAAGCAAAGTTAAATAGATTGTGATAAGAAACAGCACTGCTATTTATTCCAGATCTTCAATGGCGACGCAAACTGTAATCATTTTCTCAAAGTTATTGCACTGCTCTTAGTTTACTGTTTGGTATGGAAAAGTACTGCTCTTAGTTTACTGTTTGGTATGGAAAAGTAAATCTACTTTTTTTTAACCTTACTAGTTTTCACCCATGTGTCGATGAAGTTTAAGTGAGAATTTTTCCCAGGTTAAAGTATATATATATTCTAACTATATATTTAAAAATAGGAGAGAAGTAAAACTATATTTTTCATAGACCCTGTGAGACTGAGTTAGCAACCTGACACCAATAAGCCCCTTATTTTGTCCAAAAGATGAACATAAGCATTCGTGGCCTTGAGTAAGGTTAACTCAGAACCCATGTTCAATAATAATGTGGCAGGGTTCTGAATGTTTTCTCTTCCCAATGCACAGAAACTCCAAGCATTCTTTGGAGAAAACAGGAAGTGAAATTCTTTGGAGAAAACAGAAAGTGAAATTTACAACATATCTTTGAGATGTTATTAGTGGGAAATTCTTCAAGACACCTCTGTCTTAACTTCATTCAATATACTCTTTGTGTTTGTACTGACGTGACTCGAATATTGCTGCTGGGTAGATCCATGACTCTGTATTGATATGGGTCATAGAAGGCTTTTATTTTCTGTCCTAGAATTTTTTAATTAAAATAAATTATTAATAGAATGCCCATGTCTTTTTGTTCTAGAGATTCTATGATCAATTAGCTACTATCAAAGATCTCTCTGCAACCAACTGTCCCAAATAACTGACTATGCTGCTAATGGTGCTTCTGGTACTTAAGTACTACTTTCTTGACCACTGTAAATTCAAAATACCACCAAAAACAATAAAATCGACGAGACCATTTTAATGGCAATATTTTTCATCTTTATCTTTTTTATATAGAACAGGCAGTTTAACAAACAGTTAAAACTATTCCCAAATGATTTAGCTAATACACGAAATCCAGAACTATTAATAAATATGCCCATATCAATGAATTTATCTGGATCTATTCATACCCATATGACTTATTCCTACACATTTTCATGTTTTTGACAATACAAATAAGAAAGTGTGTGTGTGTGTGTGTGTGTGTGTGTGTGTGTGTACATATATAGATCATATACATTTGAGGGGTGAAGTAAGCCTACCCCTGGGGAAAACTTTGAAAAGAGACAGATGCTTGGGCCGCCACTCAGAATCTGATTTAATTGGTCAAGGCAGCAGAATATTTTAAAGTTCCCAGATAATTCAAATGTGCACCCAGGTAGGGTCTGGAGGCAATGTAGAGTGGTATGAAGTTGGACATGAGGAAAACTGACATCCCTTTGTGAAATAATTAATTATCCTCCGGTGTGGTTACTACACAGTTTTCAGCAAAATAATCATTCAATGTGGGGAAAAGGGTTGTTTTCACTAGGAAGGGAGTCTCAATGAAGTCCGTGCATTTGGGGTATTTAGAGATTAAATACCTCTAGTACACTTCTTAATTTCCCACTCTTCTTAAACAATGTCCCAGTTTTTATACAAAAAATGATGAAAATGCTCTGAATATATCTTATATTTCAGTACCACCATGTTCAGGCTCCACATCTGATATTTACCTACTTGAACTATACTGTTACATGAAAAAAATCTAGTGGTTCTCTGACCATGTGTTTGTTCAACAACTTAATTGAGTAATTTTCTTTAAGCTCTCCATCAAATTTAGAAGCAGCTAGCTCACATTGCAGACTTTCAAATGCATGCATTGCAACAGCCACTTGAAGTTTTGCCTCAATGGGCATTTTATTCCAAGTATCCACGGTTAATAATTTAAATAATGTTCCACCACTGTGTGCCAGAGATTACCAGTGCTTTTTCAAATGATGGTAACCAAATCCTCATTGCCTTCAAACTCTGCGTCAGGATGTCAGGAATACACTCTAATTTCTCATTTATTTTAGTTTGTTCTCCCCGCTTGCCCCCTCAACGCACAACCATTTCTTTAACAAAATAGCATATCGGGCACTGTTTTTGGTTGCAGACAACAAAATTTTCTTACGCTAAATTTTTAAGAAAAGTAATAGGCAGCTTAAAGAATTTCTAGAAGTACTTAGAATTTGAATGATGCAAAGGATAATATACTTAGATTACATGCCTTATCATAACATAGAATTATTCCTGTTGGCCAAGAAAAGAATTTGACATTCCTTTGCAAGGAATCTTCTCATTTTTACTGTTGTCTGTGTATATGCTTTTGCACCTGTGTTCCTAGGAAGTTGGTAGTCGATTGTTTCATTGATGTTCTGTAATTTTCTGAACTTAAATAAGCATATATTAATATATTTTCATAAACACTTCAAAAAACAGGAAAGGGATATTGAAATAGCCTGTGCACACTTCCTCTCTGTATGTTAAAATTTTTTAATGGCAACCGACAGAAACTGAGTTATACTAACTTTAGCAAAAGTCGATTTAGTGGAAAGATGATTAGGAACCTCACTGAATTGAAGGCAGTGATGAAAAACCCTGAAGAATAGAAAAAGTATCGTTATTGCACTTGACAGTTCCCTTAGCTAATACTTATGCCCTTTAAAAATACATCTACTTTAACTCTATGAAATGTCTGAATTATCCACGTGGCAGCTTAACTTTGCCATTCAATGAAACTATGAAATTATGTTTTGGTATTTCCGGTGGAAGACATTTCTTTCAATACTAAAATGTTTTAGAGCAACAGAGCTGAGATTCAGGAGAACAGAATGCAAACGATTTGGGAGTGGGTCTTTGTGACAACGCTGGGTCTTTTTGCTATCAAATCTTGCCCTTCAAAAACTCTTATATCAAGTGGGGTTGATCTTGTAGGCATAGTTTCCAAGGCTCTTCCTGGCTCATTGTGTTTCTGGCTTGAATCAGAAAATGAAATAAACAGAGAATAACTTAAAGGTAGGATTTTTTATTTTTTACATTTTAACTTCTTTTAAATTCTGACATAAAGTTGCTTGGACACAAGAAATTTTGTGTGGGAAACACTTTTTTATGTAATTGTTTACTTAATAAGGGATATTGGTGTTTTCAGCGGAGGTATAGGCAGGGAAAGCAAATTAAACATGTAATACACGTCTACTCTAGAAAAAAACAATTTGCTACCCCAACTATGACCGAAGTGTTCAAAGTAGCAACTGGCCACAAGAAAGCTGGCTGATCTCCTCAGGTTATGGTTAATTGCCGTTGGTAAACTGGACATTCAGCAATGCATGTCAGCTTCAATAAGTTGACTGCGATGAGATAGCCATTACTGTCTTTATAATTGATGCTATAGCCACCACTTTATTCATGATGCCATTGAGCAAGCTCTGGATAGCCTGCTGGAAAATAACTAAAATCCACACACAAAAAACTCTTCTTCCTGCCTGACTTTGAAAATTACTTTTCCAGTGATATTATCTGGTAAGCATACATTTAGTACTCATATTTCTAGGTAATTAGGCTCAAGTGATCTGCCTTCCTCAGCCTCCTAAAGTGCTGAGATTACAGGTGAGCCTATAAAAACTATGAAAGTGCTGTGAATATATCCTGTATACCCTGAATATAGTTTGTAATCTCAGCACTTTGGGAGGCCGAGATAGGCAGATCGCTTGAGCCCAGGAGTTCGAGACTAGCCTGGGCAACATGGTGAAACCCCGTCCCTACCAAAAAAACAAAAACAAAAAAACAGAATTTCTACGAAACCTCTTTGAAGCCTCTAATCATTCAACTCATTGGCCTTTTCCCCAGATTTTATATATATTCTCACTATAGGCCGTTCCTCCTTGAAGATAAATGGATAATATAAATCTGTCAACTGGGAGTTTTTGTTTGTTTGTTTTTCTGGCTCCATTACTGATCAGAAAATTTGTTTTAAGAAACATGGTAGACCGGGCACAGTGGCCCACACCTGTAATCCCAGCACTTTGGGAGGCTGAGGCGGGTGGATCACCTGAGGTCAGGAGTTCGAGACCAGCCTGACCAACATGGTGAAACTCTGTCTCCACTTAAAATACAAAATTAGTGGGGCATGGTGGGGGGCACCTGTAATCCCAGCTAGTCAGGAGGCTGAGGCAGGAGGATTGCTTAAACCCAGGAGGCAGAGGTTCCAGTGAGCCAAGATCACACCATTGCACTCCAGCCTGGGCAACAGAAGAGAAACTCTGTCTCAAAAACAAAAAAAAAAAACAAACAAAAAAAACATGGTGGCACAGATGTCCATTTCAGTTAATATTGGCATACAACAAAAAGCCATCTGTAAATCAGGATCAATCTTTTCATCCTTGGTTAACTCATAGTAGGTTGTTTAATAAAAGCATCAGCCTGGTGAAAACGAGCACTCTAAATCTGTGTGTAAACACATGTAGGATCAGTTTAGGTCTGTTTCCATGTAGGGGATCTCTCTTTAATGATGGAAAGCTTCCAGACAAACCTGATTTTGTGGCTAGGTGTAGGAGACAGCTGTTATGATCACCTATTGTTGTAGGACTAGCTGCTAAGATTAGTGCTCTGTGGTCAGGCTTATGTTTTCACCAGACCACAGTATCAGGTCACAGTTTATCCAGAAATAGTAATAACAATAACAGTAACAAGAACAATAGTTAATTGCCCAAGATGCCATGACAACACTTCAAAGTCCTGGTGTCTCAACTGTAACTGTGACGAAAGACCTTACCTCTTTTTGTATGCCTTTTATAATATAAATCCCTTAAATATTTCCTTTACTTACATTAAAAAAATCTCAGTATAATTTGTTTGTTTCAAATGTCAAACATCTAGATTACTCTAAAATAGAAAACAATTCTACTGCATTTATTCATATTATTGCTTTCTATGTTTTTATCTATTTCCTGTGGTTCCAAGATGTTTTTCTTCACAGCCTGTCTAGTGAGATGACATCATTTAGGCATTATTTTAGGGTAGCTCTTCTGTTCATAAATTTCCCTTGTTTTCCTTCATCTGAGAATGTTTGGTTTTGAGTTTTCTTTATTTATGAATATTTTTGGTGTGTATAGAATTATAGTTCCTTTCTTGTGGTAGTTGAAAAATGTTCCATTTCCTTTTTAGCTCCATGATTTCTGATAAGAAATCACCTGTCATTCAAATTATTTTTCCCTTATATAAGTGCTGTTTCTTACTCATAGATTCCAAAAAATATGTTTCTAAACTTTGACTATCATATATTGGTATGTATTTCTTTGTATTTATTTTGTATGAGATTCGCTCAAATTCTTGACTCTGTAAATGTGTGTCTTTTGTCAAAATAATTGGGGTGTTTCAGCCATTATATCTCAAAGATGTCTTAGGTCTGCTCTTCTTTTTCTCTTTTTCAGGGACAATAGTGGTATGGATGTCAGATATTTTGGTTTACTCCCACAGATCCCTGAGGCTCTGTCCTTTCTTTTTTCTTTTACTTAATTTTGCTCAGATTGAGTAATTTATATTGTTCCAGCTTCAAGTTTGCTGGCTGTGTCTTCTCGGCCCACCTATCTTCTGTTAATCCCCGCCATCAAGCTCTGCATTTCAGTTATAGTATTTTTCAGTCCTAAAACTTACATTTGATTTTTCTTTATATCTTCTTTGTTGAGGCTCCTAATTTTTTCATTGATTTTAAGCCTATTCATAATTTCTTGCTGAAACATTTTTATGATGTTTACTTTAAAATCTTTGTCAGATAATTCTCACATCACTGTCATAACATTTTTCCATCCATTTTTTCATATTCTTTCAATGATGAGTGATCTTTAATTGAAACGTGAACATTTTGTATGTATTATAAGACTTCTAAAAATTGTAAATATATTTGTTAATATACAGGAAGACATAGAGAATAAAAGAATAAAACTTCACTTACCACTGAGAATAAGCACCTTAACATTTTGGGGTTTTGCTTCATATATATAATTTTGGTCAAAATGTATATATATGTGTATATATATATAAAACCATCTATATATGTACACATCATATAAATGGTTAAAATGGTAAGTTATATGTATATACACACATATATGTGTGTATATATACACATATATATAAATATATATGTGTGTAACACATAACACACAACATATATATACACACACATATATATAATATGTGTGTATATACATATAATTTACCATTTTAATCTTTTGTAGGAGTAGACTTCACTGGGATAAATCCATTTACATTGTTGTATGTTATGAGACTCTTGGTCTTATTTCAACACTTTGTCTTGACCAACTTCATATGGCACCACCTCATTATTGTGAAGTAGGAGTAGAATTTCAGGTTCATCATTTGGCCTCTGGTGACTATTGGGATAAGTATTCTAATTACTTCTGAGTGGGGTGAAAGTCTTGGCCCTGCATTAAGCTTCTCCTAATACTGCATGGGTTGTGTGGGATAAAAGGATCCCATTAGTGCTCTCCACGTGGCCATCAGTGACACCATGGGAGGAATATGGCCTAATTAATGCTGAGTGATGTTGAAAGTCCTGATTGTCTAATTGGCCTCTTCTGACATCACATCAGCGTATATGGGAAGGGATGCCTCCTTACTGGTAGGTAGGGATAGAAGTCTGGCTTTCCCGTGCAGTCTCCATCATACCTTGTGAAGTATGGAGGGAGCATATGACCATCTGGATTAGATGAATATTTCTTGGTTCTCTACTCAACCCTCTTTGATACTACCCTAGACATGTTGGGGTATCTCCTTATAGCCTATCAAGGTTGGAATTATAAACTTTCCATTAGGCTTTTGTGAAGGAGAATGAGGTCACAGATTTTTTTCTGTGTCATTGGTGGCAACAGAGGACTTCTTGTTTGAAAGTCTCCTGTCTTTTCAAGCTGCTTATTTCCACAAGAGAATAGAATTTGAATAGAATGGCGTTTTTGTTTATTTGCTTGCTTGCTTCCATTGGTATCCTGTGTTGCCCTCTTGTTCATTGTCCAGTCTGGAGTATATGAGGTAAAAAGAAAAGAATGGAAATTCACCCTTGTTATATTTCTCTGATACCAACATCCCTCGCTGAGCTGCCATCTTCTCTTTATGTTTCAGAGCCTGCTTTTATTTGTTTTATATATAACGTCCAGGATTTTAGTTTTACTTAGCAAGAGAAATAAGGAAAATTATGTTTTATCCACCTTCTCAGAAGCTGAAATAATTTGTATTTATATTTTTTATCATTTAAATCAGTCTGGCTTTGGGGAGATAGGTGAATAAGTTAATGATTTTGTGGAGGTTTATCATTATATAGAGAGTTATATGTACTGAACCCTTATTTAAAAGAATATTTTTCTATACCTATTATTTATTAGCTCACTTACACTTCCCACACAACAAAATTGTGGTTCAAAGACGTTAACCTACTTGCCCAAAATTACACTGCTACTAAGTGTCAAAAGCAGGATATAAATCTGGAGAATTTGCCTCCAGAGCTGTTTTAATTGCTTCTCTCTACTGTCTCCCCTAGTGTGGGATGAATTGCTACAAGTCTTACACTGGTCAGGTGCCCTGCCATGGACTGATAAGTGTCTCTTAAAAAGCAACATCAGTTACATAAAAAAGAGAAAGGAGTGTTGCTAGGAAACCAAACACAAGAAACTCTACACACAGATCCATGTTTAATTGATGCCATGGTTGGATCACAAAACTTCATATTCCTAATCTGTGATTCAACTATTGACTAATATATTCCTTAGAGCACATTTTCTCCTATAATTTACTATCCTTTGTATAATTTCCACTTCAATTTATTAATGCATACGCTTGTAACACAAAGTTTTAAAATCCCAACAAACTATGTATGTTACCACTAAACTGTTCTAGATTAAATGTGGCTATATCTATAATTCTATACTACCATATTGGTTTAGTTTTTAGAAAGAACATTTGAAAATTAGGAAGGCTACTTTGACTTTTACCAAAGATGACATTATTCTGTTATAGCCAGTTATTTATGGAACCTCTGTGACTGTTTCAATAGTTCCTTTTAGGTTTTGCACAGCATTATTTGTAACAAATAACAAATACTAAATACTTAATACAATTTACAGGTAATTGACATTGCTTTTTCATAATTGTTTCTGAATTTAATTTTATGGGTGCTTTTAATCCAAATTATTTGTTACCTTTTTTAGTAATTATGCTTACATTAACTTTAAAATTTATTTGATGATCCAAAAATAACAATTATTAATGCCCTTACCTTGAGTATCTGCTAAATCAACTACTCTGTTGGGTTGTAGGAGAATGGAAAAAAAGACATATTTCCTTAAGGTAAGCTGTTCATTTATTTTATTATTACACAATCATGTATAAAAATAAATTAATAAATTCTTACAGTGCTAGCTTGCCATAGGATATAAATGAACATATATGTATTTTTATATCCAAGAATAAGTGTGTATCAATACACATACAAGTATACACATATCTATAATGTTCTTTAAATATACATGCACATAATATATATAATTTATATAATTATAGGTATCAATATAGATATTGACATACATGAAGTAAAATAAGTAATTTGGATATTGTTACTGCATGTATATGTGTGTGTATAAATATATATATATATATATCTCCAAGTAATAGAGCACAAAGTTTACATCATCTGTTTGTTGGACATAAACATTATGATATAGTAAAATATAATATGATTAAAAATAATATATGCATATCATATTATGCATACTATATGACAAAAATCATAATAGGAATAGTTTTAGATTGCCATGAGCATACATGTACACAAACACACACACCTATATATTAAACAAAAGAACAGACAGTTTTTTATTTTCCTCTGAGGGTGTTTGATACTTTTTTTGGACAGAATAAGCTAGAACTTTCTGAACACTTATGTATGGTAATGAATTGATAAGACATGTCTTAAAGAATACCTTTGCGTCTTTCTCACACCTTTCATTTTTTAGCTCAAAACACTCTGTGAGTTATATCTTCCCCTGATATAGAACTTTGAGAGTTGGTAATAGGTCTTAAAATCATTTAAGTATATTTGAGTGAAAACAAAAGAAAATCTAATAGTGATATGGATAATTAGGGCAGTTTTGCTTATGTCACAAAATATCTAAAGTAAACAATTCTACCTTTTAGTCAGTGCCTCAAAAATGTTGTCAAGGACACATACTTTTTTTTTTTTTTTTTTACAACTTGCAGCAACTTGTTCCTATTTACTTTTTATCATCATAGAAGCAGGATGGCTCTTAAAGCTCCACAGCCATGTTTTTATACCAACATTCCAAGCTGGAAGGAAGTGAGCAGGCAGAAAACAGGAGGTCTGGTTTCTATGAGTTAAAAAAAAATTCTCCATATGCCTTCAAACATTTTTTCTTTATATTTGAAATGCACATTTCCTTTTGAGCATATCCAATTCTCTTCGATGAATTAAGTTTGTAGTTTTAAGACATAGGCAAAACTATTTAAAGTCGTTTCATTATAGATAAGTAACCAGTAAGCAAAGAGTTTGTTAGACTTCGGCAGAATTCATAGGATGTGTTACTTATAAGATAAGTAGTTAATAAGTAGGATAGGTGTGTGTCAAACACAGATATACATGGATGAAAGGACCAAGAGATATTTAATCTTTATGAAGCACCTGTGTACTAAATATTTATGATATACCAAATATACACGTGATTCAATATATGAGTCTCAAAATATTTGGGCACTTAATATTCACGGGGTCTTATTTGGCCACACATAGATAACACACATTCTGGTCCCATGTTTTCTCTGCCAAAGAAACACAAATACATCCCATAGCTGTTCATCAAGATGTTTGCCAAGCTTATACTTTGGTCTGTGTCCCTGTGTCTCTCCAGTGGATCAAATGTTCCTGGCACAGAACACCTTTTGTCTAATGGCACAGTTGCTAGAAATCTCAGCTCTGGTCATCATAACTACATAATCAACAGGAAAAATTGATGTGGCAGGGAAAAAGACAAGATGTGTGAACACCCCATGCACTCAAGATTCAGGTAACATGGTCCTTCTATCTTGCTTACATCCTATTCTGTGTTAGCTTATCCCACCTATTTCCCCTTTCTTCTCACTGTGTTTTACTCTGATTTTTATAATCTCTGTGATTTGGGGCACTTTAATTTGGTTTGTGAGCCTTTCTGTTCCACAGCCTTTTGTATAGCATGCCTTCTCGTATATGTGGAGGCTACTATTGTATCAAGAATATTTTTCACATAACAAAACACATAACTGACCAGAGACATATCCCAGAACCTCCCCCAGTGACACGAGAGACTGGGAAAGGAGAGATCTGGCAAAGGAAACCCATTTGCCAAGACTGGCTTATATTCAGTGAAGACATCCTCTGCAATGGGTTAAATGTTATAGAACAAAATTGGAAATCTATTAACAGGAAATTAGAGTGTTAATTAATGGCTGGCAATCAGTTTTTGCTTCTGCCATAAAACTGTCAACTTCATTTCTAAATTTATGCTATATTTTATATGTAATTTTTTCATATAGGAATGAAAGGAAAATTTGAGTAATAATTCCATGCTTTTGTAGATGAGGAAATATGAGCAAGAAATTGTATAAAGAACTGAAGCACACAATAATTATTACCAAATTAACACAAACACAACTATTTTTGGAGTTAGCTCTGTTCCTTTATATATATTTTTATTTTTTCATAGTTTTCTGAAGTGTGATACCTTCATTGTCCTTGAATGTGATAGGGACAGGGCAAAGCAAGTAGAATAGACATAGACATCTTCTCTGCCTTCATAGAGTTTATTGTTTCAATAAGTTAGAAAATTTGAAAGCAAATATGTAAAAGCATAATCATCCATGAGATGCTGGATTTGTTCATAAGGTCTGAAGTTTAAAATAGGGATAAAAATAGCTTACAGTCTTATTTTAAGAGTTGATAAAATACCTAGCATCTACCCCATATTTGGGGCAAAATCAATGGGTAGTTATTATCATCATTATTAATGCTGCTGCTATTGGTCTTAATAAATTTCAATATCCTGGAAAGTGTGCAATTTACCAAGAAACACAAGCTTACCCTACTATAAGAAACCTTAAACTTACTAAATGTCATTTCAGGTATATTTATTAGTCATTTATAAAAAAATTACTTTAGCATTCTTTTCAAATAAGCTACCCTGGTGCATTTAACAAAATATTAATTTGCAAAGCTGATGAGCAAGAGCAAATGATTTGGGTAGTAAAACTGTAAAAGAAGTGTGTGGACATTTAGTAATTGTGCTGAGGGATGAAGGCAATTATAGAAAAAAATCAGGCTAAAACTGCTATTGAAGAGGATTTTTTTAATGATTATTATTCAGATGACTCATCTAAAATGGATAACTGCTCTGACTGATTATTGCTCAAGACTGTTTAATTTCTTTAAATGACTTAATCATGGACAACTTCATATAGAAGTTTGGATTTCAGGTAATTATTGAAGGAGAAAGGAAAGTTGCTTGGCAGAAGATCTCAGTTTGAAATTAGAAATAAAATGAGAACAATAAAGCATGCACCATGAAATCTCTCTCAAGGTTAATGATAATTTAGCTTTAGGAACTATGTATTCAGACATGACCAGCTCTTTGCATGTAAAGTAAGTGAAGATTCATCTTGGGTGCGTTCAGTTACTATTTATTAGTCTTGTTTTACTTTGTGGAAATCCTCACACACTCTTGCTCATCCACCTCCATTTCTAGTTACTAGTGGCAGTCTTCCCACTATGACCTGCTTGCTCTTAGGATGTTTAAACAAATTGATGAGCTATCTGGTTTAGCAATGAGTCCTAAGCTCCAATAGTGAAATGGACGTCCATATTTTCATCAAATGTATTTTAAGGTGAGGAAGGAACATGTTTCGTTTGTTTTGTATTTCATGAGGAGAAAGTGAGAGGGAAATGGCAAGAATTTCCAGAGCTTTGAAATTAAAACTTCTAGGTGGGGTGACCATATGTCCTAGTTTGCCCAGAAGAGTCCTAGTTTACGTTCGTTGTTCTGACATAATTATTAATTGTGTCCTATTTCACATTCAAAAATGTCATTGTTTGGATGATAAATTACATGGGCAACTAATTATAGAAACATAATATATTTTGTGCTTAAAATTAATGAATCATTTGGGCAAAAAAACATTTTACACAAATATTTTTAAATAACATCTAAAATATATACACATATATATTGCATATATATGTAAATACACATGCATATATATGTAAAGCTAATATATCATTTTATATATCATTCTTCCCAGGTATGTTTATAGATCTTTCCCTTACATCTTTTTCTCATGTAGCAAGATTTACATATAAGAATAACTTTCCTAATTTCTCACTTTACAAAGAAAAGTAAATCACCCAATTTCAGGTGTTTTCCATTGAGCTATAGATTTTTGTATGTGTACGTTTAATTTTAATTGCATTATGGCATTATATAGGAGATATATAGATATATTCAATAAATAAATATTATAGCTACAAAACCAAAAAATAATTCCCCAAATTTTAGGGTGTAACATAATAGAGGTTCATCCTCCATTCAAGAAAACCCCACAGCAAGTTAGTAACCTCTCTAGGACAGCTCCTTATATGTGGGAATTCAAGAATCTTATCTCTATCTGTCTTATGCCTTCACAATCTGAACATGAGAGTTCCAGGATTGTCTCAGGAGAGGAAGAGACAGTAAGAAACATTGTGCAGGATATTTTTATTGTTCCTGCCCAGAAGCGACACTCGCCTCCTCCACCCATGGTCCACTGTCCAAAGCTAGGCACAATTCTGGTATCAAAAATATCTTGATTACATTATTACCATGACAGAAAATACTTACCCACTCCCCATGGGAGTCAACTCCAAGTTCTCTCAGTTTCTGCATCCAGCTCAGGAGGCCAGAATCTCTGGTGACACACTGTGGTCTCTACGTCAAGTTAGATGTAGCTCCATCAAATTATCTGCCTCCATATAACAAGCATTCAGCACTGAAATAAGAATAGAATAATTTCTGTGAACACTTCCATTCAGAAGGAGAACAGGAAACACTCCATCATCATTGATTCACAGCAATTCTTAAATACCTTTGGACAGTATTATAAACGGTCTCTGATACGGAGATGATGAAGTCACTTTGATTAATCCTTGATTCTGCTTTCAAACCACTATTTGAGCCACAGGTCTAAAGCCACACTTCTAAATCTCTTTATCAATTGCTTATCAAATCTGACATCTTGATCCCTTTTGTTGGTCTCCTATATGTCTTATTTCCACTCAGTTCTGAGAATAAAATAAATATTAATTATTCATTATTTATTTTCCAAAATCTCACATAGTTGTTTCCTATTATATTATAAAAATATTAAATTTTACTCATGCAACTAATAAACATGGTTTTGTAAATTATGTCTCCTCAAAGCTGGTTAAATTATTGTGAAACTCTTCTTTCTTAATAGAAATCTTTTGACAGGTAGGAATTTTCTAATGTTGCAGTAGATTAGGCTCATTACTTTCATTATACACAAGGGGTATTTAAAAAGTAATTTTTATGCATGTTAAAGTAATTATTCTGTACATTTCCAATAAATAATTGTTATTTAATATAATTCTAACTAAAAAATCTATATGTGTGTAGGTTTTAAATTTGGGAAGAAATAACACTTAAAACTAAATTTAAAGAAATTAACATATAAACATCATGTAGTGTCCTTTTTGTTTTATAAGTTTTACTGGTCCTAATCTAGTATTTCAGTTAATTTCTAACATACAATATTTTTGAGTCTCTTTCTAGTAGCCATCCAGGACTAATAACTTATTTAGCCAATGAGTAACACTTTTGCCTCTTAGTTCTTCATCGATGATGTAAACTGGTTTTTGGTGTCAACATTCTGCCAATTTCATGACTGTTAATAATTGTAATTCCTATGTTGAAACCATCTTTGTCAAAATTATAACTGAAAAAATTATTGCAGTGAAAGGAATCTGACCTAGCCAACTCCATCTTGCTTCTAACCCCCAAACAATCCTTGATCATTCCTGGGATACTGCTAAAAAAACTCCAGGAGGTTGCCTGTTCACGCTGATGGTAGTTTCTTTTGCTGTGCAGAAGTTCTTTAGTTTAATTAGATCCCGTTTGTCAATTTTGGCTTTTGTTGCCATTGCTTTTGGTGTTTTAGACATGAAGTCCTTGCCCATGCCTATGTCCTGAGTGGTAATGCCTAGGTTTTCTTCTAGGGTTTTTATGGTTTTAGGTCTAACGTTTAAGTCTTTAATCCATCTTGAATTAATTTTTGTATAAGGTGTAAGGAAGGGATCCAGTTTCAGCTTTCTACGTATGGCTAACTAGTTTTCCCAACACCATTTATTAAATAGGGAATCCTTTCCCCATTTCTTGTTTTTGTCAGGTTTGTCAAAGATCAGATAGTTGTAGATATGCGGCATTATTTCTGAGGGCTCTGTTCTGTTCCATTGGTCTATATCTCTGTTTTGGTACCAGTACCATGCTGTTTTGGTTGCTGTAGCCTTGTAGTATAGTTTGAAGTCAGGTAGCGTGATGCCTCCAGCTTTGTTCTTTTGGCTTAGGATTGACTTGGCCATGCGGGCTCTTTTTTGGTTCCATATGAACTTTAAAGTAGTTTTTTCCAATTCTGTGAAGAAAGTCATTGGTAGCTTGATGGGGATGGCATTGAATCTATAAATTACCTTGGGCAGTATGGCCATTTTTCACGATATTGATTCTTCCTACCCATGAGCATGGAATGTTCTTCCATTTGTTTGTATCCTCTTTTATTTCCTTGAGCAGTGGTTTGTAGTTCTCCTTGAAGAGGTCCTTCACGTCCCTTGTAAGTTGGATTCCTAGGTATTTTATTCTCTTTGAAGCAATTGTGAATGGGAGTTCACCTACAGAATGGGAGAAAAATTTTGCAATCTACTCATCTGACAAAGGGCTAATATCCAGAATCTACAATGAACTCAAACAAATTTACAAGAAAAAGACAAACAACCCCATCAAAAAGTGGGCGAAGGATATGAACAGACACTTCTCAAAAGAAGACATTTGTGCAGCCAAAACACACATGACAAAATGCTCATCATCACTGGCCATCAGAGAAATGCAAATCAAAACCACAATGAGATACCATCTCACACCAGTTAGAATGGCGATCATTAAAAAGTCAGGAAACAACAGGTGCTGGAGAGGATGTGGAGAAATAGGAACACTTTTACACTGTTGGTGGGACTGTAAACTAGTTCAACCATTGTGGAAGACAGTGTGGCGATTCCTCAGGGATCTAGAACTAGAAATACCATTTGACCCAGCCATCCCATTACTGGGTATATACCCAAAGGATTATAAATCATGCTGCTATAAAGACACATGCACACGTATGTTTATAGTGGCACTATTCACAATAGCAAAGACTTGGAACCAACCCAAATGTCCAACAACGATAGACTGGATTAAGAAAATGTGGCACATATACACCATGGAATACTATGCAGCCATAAAAAATGATGAGTTCATGTTCTTTGTAGGGACATGGATGAAACTGGAAACCATCATTCTCAGCAAACTATCTCAAGGACAAAAATCCAAACACCGCATGTTCTCACTCATAGGTGGGAATTGAACAGTGAGAACACATGGACACAGGAAGGGGAACATCACACTCTGGGGACTGTTGTGGGGTGGCGGGAGTGGGGAGGGATAGCATTAGGAGATATACCTAATGCTAAATGACCAGTTAATGGGTGCAGCACACCAACATGGCACATGTATACATATGTAACAAACCTGCATGTTGTGCACAGGTACCCTAAAACTTAAAATATAATAATAATAAAATTAATAAAAAAAAAAAGAAACTCCGGGAGGAACTTAGTTTGTAGTTTAGCGTTGAAACAAAGATGATAACAGCCCTCTCCTAAAACAAACCCCTTTCTTGCCTGGGGACCAGAATTGCTTTTACAGGGGTAACAAATTTGCCACAAGATTTGAAAATATGGTTTAGGAGTTATGCAGCTGGAGGCTGAAAGGCTCTGAACCTCCCCAATTTGCTATTGTAAAACCTATTCACTAATGTAAAATCTATTCACTATTGTAAAACCTAAGATTAGTGCTTGGGCTATTTTGCAGACCCTGTACTCATGGATCAGTCGGTATTACACAGATCAGTAAACTGGCTCACCTGGTCTTGTGGCCCCCAACCAGGAACTCACTCAGTGCAAGAGAACAGCTTCAACTCCCTATGATTTCATTTCCAACCCAACCAATCAGCACTCTGCACTTTCCAACCCCCTACCCACCAAATACTTAAAAACCCAATCCCCAAGTTTTCAGGGAGACTGATTTGAGTAATAATAAAACTCCAGTCTCCTGTACAGCCAGTACTGCATGAATTAAACTCTTTCTCTATTACAATTCCATTGCCTTGATAAATTGGCTCCATCTAGGCAGGGGCAAAGGAGAACCCACTGAGTGGCTACAATGTTATCGTTCCCTTTTTTTTTCTGGTTTATATCATTAATGAGAATTATAGTTTTGTTTTTCCTTTTAATAGTATTTTTCTCCAGTAAAGTGTTACTGAAACACTAGGGGTTTGGTCTAGGTCCTGCTGCTCACCACACAGGAAGCCAGTCACTGAGATAACAAGTATTGCTAAGGAAGAAGGTTTTAATCAGGTGCTGCAGCCAAGGAGATGGGAGCTCAGGCTCAAATCCACCTCCATGACTGACTAAAACTAGGAGTTTATATAGCAGAGAAGAAATGAAAACAGGAGCCAGGGAGGGGCAAGGAAGCAATCGTGATGAATGAGGGGTCCAGCATCTCATTGTCTGGATGTGATGATCTCGTGAGTTTCAGTTATTTGATTCTTTTGTTTTGAGAGGCCGGAGGAGCCTTTCCTAAGGAAGAAACTCAGATAAAACAAATGTAAGTTTCAAGCTTTAAGAACACAAGGGTCAATTTTTATGTTTATTCCAAAAAACTATCTATGGGACTATAGGGTTGGCTTTAAAAGGAAAACTTAATCTCAGCGACTTAAATTTGAGTAGCTTCTGGTCTTGTTTAATTAATTCTGCTTTTAAACATAGTTTGTCATGAATATTTCAGTAACACTGAAGATACTGTCTATACAAATGAATCATACATGAACATATTCTTAAATACTTGCTGAATATCAGACCAAACCTGTAATTTATTTTAACTTTTCTAAGGATGTCTTAAGATATACTTCTCTGGGTTATTTTTTAAGTAATATTTTAAGAATCTCTCAGGTAGGAAGAAAACGAAGAGCTATGTAACTGTCTTCACAGTTGATACTAAAGAGATTTTTGATAGTAAATAGTAGTAATGGCTTGCATTCATTCAGTGCCTTCTCTAGAGTGATGACAGGGCAACTGTGCTGAGACTTTAAAATAGATTATAACATTGAATCACGACAACCACTCAAAAAGTTGGACAGCATAACTTTATAGGTAAAGAATCGAATACATAAGGATGCTCTGTAATTTGGACAAACAGAATAGAGCTAAAAGCCAGAGACAGGATTCTATTGCAGTTTTTTTCTGAGTCCGAATTCATTCTTCTTAAATTTTACATATAAAAGTTTGTGTTGTATAGATCCATTGGACTAAGCAAAGTGCTCAGTGCATGCTGTGGGCTTAATAAATGGAGTTTGGTTTACTAGAACTGAGCAAATCATATATACCAATGATTGTAAGTTCCAACCTAGAATTTAGCAAATATAGACTAACTTGTCTTCTAATTTATATTAAAAATCAATGATAAATTTGCAAAAGTCTTTAGAATGAAAAGAACTTTATAATAAAAGTTAATAATCTTCTGTGTTCTCTAATGTCCTTCCTGTAACAGTCAAGGGAATAACTGCTTTTACAGAGCTACTGTTCTAAGGCTGTTCTGTGCCTATAGACAGGCTTCAACAGATGATTGCAGGTATTTGCCTGGGGGAAGCTATTGAATGTCAATGCAAATCAGGGCAGTTTCCTCAACTGTAGAAAGTTACTGGCAGGAACCTTGCAGGCATAGGTATATTTTAAGACAAGGGAGCTGCACATTGTGCCTATAAGTTTATATTACCAAATAACTAAATTTGACCTTGATGTCAGTTTTTTTATAATTTCTTTATAATGCACTTTGGTTAAAGCATA
Organism: Homo sapiens; assembly: GCF_000001405.40. Taxonomy (NCBI): domain Eukaryota; kingdom Metazoa; phylum Chordata; class Mammalia; order Primates; family Hominidae; genus Homo; species Homo sapiens. Next base: position 65,990,678 of record NC_000013.11, on the reverse strand, counting down.
TTAATAGGAAACTGAAAATGTCAGAGATTGTGAATATAGTTTCAAACATACTTGTATGATTTAAAAACATAAACTTTACTTGGCTGGCATTATATTATTTGACCAATGTGAATACAGAAGAGTTAATATAATAGTTATAATAATAATGACGGTGTGCTAAATGATTGAATACTAAATTTAGACAACACTTTTTAAAAATTATATTTTATAAGTGCATTTTTTGATTAGTTAAAAAAAAAACAGAAACAAAATCCTAAACTGCTATCACTTACATTTTTTTAATCTGTTACCTTTGATCTTCAGCAGATATGGTACACATTTCTGCTGACTTGAGACCCAGCCACTTGCCACTCTAAAGAGTGTTTTCTTCTTCACAAGTAACATGATATGCTAATTAACTGTTAAAATTTGGGGTAGAGGACTAAAAAAATTAAACAGTAATGTGTCATAGTTAAAAAAAAAAAAAGCACAAACAACATTTTTCTATTTTGATGCGGATACATGCAGTTTACTATTCCTGGTGTGACAAAAATTGGTGAAATTGTTGTGCCAAGAAAAAACAAATCACCTTTTAAATTATAATATAGATGAAGATCTATTAAACAAAGGCAGAGTTTCACTGAAATAGACTTTATTGTTTTGGGACAATATAAATATTGGTGCCAAATGCATAACATTAAAAATAATTAATTTTATTATACATCAAGTATAATAGAGATATTTAGATTTAAACCTAGAATTTCAGTTGAAAATAGTTCCTTAGCTTTCAGATTTAATCTTTTCATGCTAAGAAGTTATCAAGACATAGAAAGAATAGAACAACATTGGAAACTTAGACTGGTCAACAACCCATTGACAGAACATGAGCTATATTTTGGCTTATATGATTGCACATGTTTGAAATCACTCATGAGACATAGACCAAGGGAAAGATTAGCCGTAGAGCATTCTGTTTCCTTGCAGACATAAAATGATGCAAACAGTTTGGTTACAATTTCTCAGGCCCGAGATATTACAAGGATGTATAGATTTCACAAGAGATGCTTTGATAGAAATGGAGGCTTTGACAGGAGAAATGCATTTTCTATAAAATGCATTGTTTTCTTTAGCAGTTTTTCAAATTATCACAGAACCATCTTGAGATTAGAGCATAAGAAACTTAATCTGTATTAATCGTTGCTAAATGTTGCAGGTTATGCCAACAGAACTATGTGCAGACAGGCTTTCCAGATATAGATATGTTTAAGAGAATTCAATCAGAAATTCCATGGGCAATAACACTACAAGAGCAGTCTCCATAACTTGTTTCAGTTAACAAAAGGTATACCTGAATATAACTCTCTTTGTTTAAGATTTATTAGCAATAAAAATCAATCTCTGGCATGTAAAAAGTTTGCAAAATTAAGAAAAGACAATCTCATAGTAAAAACTCAAAGGAAAAATATACCTTTCAAAAAAGAATAACAAAGATTTGTAAATTTTACCACGACAGTTTAGAATTCTTAAAAGACCTAGTTCCTAAAAGCAGGAATGGAATGTTACCACAAAATAAAGGATTGACACAGAATATGAGTTTATTCAGAAATAGATAATAAATAATTTAAAAACACAAATTAAAAATAAAAATTTCCAATGGAGGCAGAAAAAATGAAGTCATTTATTGGGTCACGGTATCATTATTATAAAATACAAATTTGAAAAAGATTTACAGTACAGTACAGGAAAAAAGAGATTAAAATTCTGAGAGAACTTAATCATAATGGGAGACAGAGAATAGAAATTCAATTTACATGTTCCAGAAACTTTTAAAGGACAAAAATCAATACCCATAATATTTAAGTCAAGAACATTTTTGGGAATTAAAAAAACCCTAATAAATGTTTTTACTGTGAATCAGGAATAATTAATCATATTCTCACTCTAGGTGAATGATGTAAACATTTTTTATTATAAGCATAAAGCATAAGCAATCAACATACACATATATGTAAAGGATTACACATACATGTCACATATGTAAAGGATTAAATGTGACATGTTAATATAATATGTATATTTACAAATATACATATATGTAAATAGAAATATATATTGTGATGGTTAATATTAAGAGTTAACTGGATTGAAGGATGCGAAGTATTGTTCCTGTGTGTGTCTGTGAGTGTAGCCAAAGTAGATTAACATTTGAGTCAGTGGAGTGGGAGAGGCAGACCCACCCTTATTGTGGGTGGGCACCATCTAATCAACTGACAGGGAGACTAGAATAAAGTAGACTTACTGAGTCTTCCGGCCATCATCTTCCTCTGATGCTGGATGCTTCCTGCTCTCAAACATCAGACTCCAAGTTCTTCAGCTTTTGGACTCTTGGACTTACACCAGTGATTTGCCAGGGGCTCTCTGGCCTTCAGCCACAGACTGAAGGCTGCACTGTTAGCTTCCCTACTTTTGAAGTCTTGGGACTCAACTGGCTTCTTTGCTCTTCAGCTTGAAGATGGCCTCTTGTGGGACTTCAACTTCTGATCCTGTGATCCTTAATAAATTCCCCTTCATACATACATCTATCCTATTAGTTCTGCCCTTCTAGAGAACCCTAATACAGATATATTTATATTAGACAAATATATATATTTAAAAATACATATTTGTATAAAAATATGCATATGTTTTATATTTGTATATTTAAATTTACATAAATTTATATATTTATATTTATATGCATATATATTAATATATGTAATTATATCTAAAGTATGAAATATATTTATATTTATATAAATGAATATTTAAACATTTATAAAAATATAAGATTTGTATGTGTAGTTCATTCATATATAAATATACATATATTAAAATAGATATATTTTTATACAAATATATATTTTAATTAAACATATTATTTTATTTATTTTATTTTAATAAAATAAATGGGCTGGGTGCAGTGGCTCAAGCCTGTAATCCTATCACTTTGGGAGGCAAAGGTGGTTGGATCACTTGAGGCCAGGAGTTTGAGACCAGCCTGGCCAACATGGTGAAACCTTGTTTCTATTAAAAATACAAAAGTTAGCCGGGCATAGTGGCAGGTGCCTGTAATCCCAGCTACTTGGGAGGCTGAGGCAGAAGAATTGCTTGAGCCTGGGAGGTGGAGGTTGCAGTGAGCTGGCACCACACAACTGCACTCTAGCCTGGATGACAGAGTGAGACCCCATCTCAAAAAAATTAAAAATTAAAAATTTAAAAATTTATATAAAGTTTTACTAAATAAAATAATATTTATTAAATATATATAATTATAAATATATAGCATTATATATTATAATATTAATGTATAATCTATAACAATGTTCTATGTGATATATATTATATAATGTTATATATGTTATAATGAATATGTATTGTGTTACATATAATTAATATAAGGTTATATGTTATATATAAACTGAAAGATATATAACCTTATATAGTTAATATATTACATAAAATATATATAACATTGTAGTTAATATATATTACATATAACGTTATAGTTAATATTATCTATGATAATATATATTATATTATACATTGTAACATTATAATATAAAATATTAAGCTATATATTTATAATTATATATTTCATAAAGTGTATTTGATTATATTTTAAGTATATTTTATACTTTAATTATATATGATATGTAATATTAATTGTAATGTCATATATAACATATATAACATATATTCATTTATAATCACATATTATATATTTATATTATATGAATATATGTCATCTCCATGTAAATATATAGACATAATTACATGTATGTAATCCTTTAACTGTATATTATGGATTACATTTTATATTGGCTGAAGGACTCTGAAACACTAGATGCTATAAGAGAAAAAATTACTTTTGATGTCAAAAAAACGATTTCATAATTTTACATTCATGTAAAATTAATTGATATTTAAGACTTCATATTGATATTCTGGAACATATAAGGTTTCAGAACTATATTACATGATTATCTTCCTTAAAAAGATATTTGAGTATGTATTGTAGTCCTCTGTAATATAAATTAACATTAAGAATTAAAAAATTGGGTAACTGGTTTATAAAGGGCTTACATAAAGTGGGGACAGTAGTGAGCTGCTTTAAATTATTTTCTTAAATGTAAGTATGGTTAAAAAACAATAAAATCTCAATATAATTACTTCAGTATTGGGTAATTCAAAAATAAACAATTGTCATAAAATTAGGGATACATAAGAATAATTTAAAATGAACAAAAGGCTAATAAAATGAATCTTAGGCAATACAGGGACATAAAATCATGCTAAATTACTAATCTGAGAAGTTATGGTATGCTTGTGGGAGACCTAGATGTAATAACATAAAAATTATTTGTATTAATATGTACAAATAAATTTTAAAATCTCAATAAGACAGGCAGTATCCTGGGGGGTGGATGTTAATTCAAAAGGAAAGACATAACTTAATTAGGCAAACAATTATAGAGTAATTGGGAAAAAAATTAAAGAATAACTTACCAAAATATTTCAGAAGCAGACAAGTTTCAAACATTTAATTAAAAAAGTAATTTGCAAGCAAGAAGTTTCATAGTGCAAATAAAGATGGAAAACCATCACATTTATTATTTATTTCTAAGAAGCGCAAGTGTTATATTATTGCTGAACAAAGATTGCAACTATAACGTATATCTCAAAGTTTCTTTTGTAGGCAGTCTGATATGGTCTTCTGTTATTGCCATTTCCTGGTATTCATTCCCTTTTTTTTTTTAAAAGGAGTTTTTCTCTTGTAACCAAGGTTGGAGTGTGCAGTGGCGCCACCTGGGCTCACTGCAATCTCCGCCTGCCAGGTTCAAGCGATTCTCCCGCGTCAGCCTCCAGAGTAGCTGGAATTACAGGCTCCCGCCACCACGCCCAGCTAATATTTGTGTTTTTAGAAGAGACAAGGTTTCACAATGTTGGTCAGGCTGGTCTCTTCCAAAGTGCTGAGATTACAGGTGTGAGCCACCACGCCCGGCCTCATTCCCTTTTTAATCTTTTTGAATGTGGGCTGAATTAGAGAATTAGTGACTCACTTCTAATGAATATGATATAGCAGAAGAGATAGAATGTCACTAATGAGATTAGATTACAAAAAACTGTAGCCTCTCCTCCCTCGGTCCCAGCAGCTTCTCTCTGCCCTCAGCCTGCACTCTGGAGAAAACATGCAAACCTGTGGTGAAGCCCAGCTAGTGAGAAGCTGCTATCCTTAGTCAACAGCCAGGAAGTTCCTGAGTTCCACTGACAACCACATGAGAGAGCGGGGAAATAAATTCTCCATTTGAGCTTTCTTCTCTATTTGAGCTTTGCCATCATTGCGTCCCCAAGTGATTTCCTTGGGGAAAGGTGATACCTGGATTTCAGCCTCCTAATAAACCCTGAGCCAGAGGCATCTGGCTAAGCTGCTCCTGGATTGCAGACCTACATACACAGTGACTAAATAAATAAATACAATATTTTGTTTATTTTAGCTACTATACTTTGGGTGAAACTTAGAAAATACTAGGTAAAACTATAAGCATCACATCACTAAATAAAATAGTATGTTTTTAAAAATCCATGTTATAAACTGGGGTCACAACTCGAGGAAAAAAAGCAAAAAATATATAAAATACAAGAAGTATACAAAAATTCAAAACATGGATAATTTGTATCCTTGGAGTGGTAAGAGAATAAAGCCACAAAAAGGAAAGAAAAAGCAATAAAATAAGTATTCATTAAATCAATAATATTGAATATGAATATATGTAATATATACAATATATGTATATATGCATATACCTTATATGTATATCATATATTTATATATGCTTCTATTTATTTTGTGTTTGTTCATGTGTATGTGTCTTTGTATATATCTGGAGAATTAAATATGTTATATCTGTAAGAGGTATATTTATATGAAATGGAGGATTGACAACTAAGGTTGAAACAACATCCCAGAGACAACTAAAATATAAAGGAATTAATATCAGGAGATAAAATATAAAATATAAAATAGGAGATAAAAGAGAAAAGATCAGCCCGGAAGGCCCAATTTCTAAATAAAAAGAGTTGCAACAAGGGCAAACTGAGAAAATGGAAGGGAGAAAATTATCAAAGGAATGCTTCAAAGAAGCTTCCCAGAATTGAAGAACATGTATTACCAGATTAAAAATAATAAAAAATGAACACACTATTACTGAGATCTCAGTAAAATAAATTAAGAAGATTCTAAAGCACTTGAGAAAACATAACAACATAACTTATAAAGAGGAAAAATACCAGGAGAGAGAGCTAAAATGTTATTAGACCTCTCAATAACAGCCCTGAACACTGAAGACCTTGAATATTTGTGGAAATGTGATTTACAAATTAGAAATTCATAATTAGCTAAACTAAAAATTAGACATGAGGGTAGAATAAAGACATTTTTAGATGCAAAAATTTCAGAACAATTCCATGTCATGCTCCACACTTTGTGGGTTGTTTCAGCTGTCGACAAACTTTTTCTGTAAAAGCACAGTTAATAAATATTACAGACTTTGTGGACAATACAATTCTTGTTGCAGCCACTCAGTTCTGCCCTTGTAGTGTAAAAGCAGCTACAAACAATATAAAGGAATGGGTATACCTATATTCCAAATGAGTGTTATTTGTGAACACTTAAATTTGAATTTCGTGTAACGATCACATGTCATAAAATATTCCTCTTTCTCCAGCCACTTAAAAATGTAAATATCATTCTTAGCTTGTGAGTTTTACAAAAATAGATGGAGAGCCAGATTTATCCTGCAGGCCCATAGTTTGCTGACCACTGAGCTACTGGAAGATGAGTTCCTTCCGGATAGAATTAACTTTGAAAGAGGGAGTTATAAAATCAAGGACACAGAGAATCCAATACAGGTAGGAGGCAAAGGGAATCCCCAGGAGGAAGATGAAGGGAAATTCTAAGAAAACAGTGATGTAGTTGGCCTCAAGATCCACTAGTCAAGGTTGGAACAGGAGGATGGACATTCCAGGATGGTGTCTCTGGGACACTTGTTTCAGCCTTAATTGTCAATCCTCCATTCCATGTATATCTGGAGGACGTAACATATTCAACATATCCTCCAGATATAATATATTTCACCGTCCAGATATATGCCCCAGAGACATGTCACCAAAGAAAACAATGAAACAAAGCCAAACAAAACAAAATAGAAATTACAGATTTCTCAATGTGTTGATCTTGAGAAGAATTATAAGGTTTGTTGGAGTCTTGGAGAGAAGGAATCATAATGAGTATGGGTGCTCCTTGACTTACGAGTACAGCCCCTCCTTGATGGGGCTATGTTCTGATAAACCCACTGTAAATTGAAAATACTGTATGTTGAAAGTGTGTCTTTGATTTAACAATATTTTCAACTTAGGATGAGTTTATCCAGATGTAGCCCCATTGTAAGTTGAGGAACAAACTGAATGTGTATTGCTTTTGTACCATTGCTAAGTCAAAAAATCATTAAGTCAAAACATCTGAGTCTGCCTAGGAAAAAATGAACAGGAAAATAAATAATTATTAACTGTTTAAAACAAAATCAGAAAAGTCATTCAAGAAAAAAATTAAACATCATAACTAAGTTGTACAGATCTGAATACTTGCTTAGTTATAGTAATGTAATCACAGAATATTGATTTAATACAAATCATAATATAATTGTATTGGGAACACTATCAGAAGTAAGTATGTATAGAGGATGGTGATGGGAGAAGGTTCTTAAGTATCTAAAACTGAAAATTCACTAAATGGTAGCCTAAGCATAGTATTTAGAAATATGGATGGAACCATCTGAAGACATAGGCAACAATAGTAAGTTTTTACTTGTGGGGTGCCTGAATTGGGAGTAGGGAGAGCTAGACAAGGCCTCTATTTTTGCTTACATGTCAATGGGTATCTATTTTAAATAGTGTTCTAGTACCAATAAAAATTGAATGAGAAGTAGAAAAAATCAATTTCTCTTCTACAAACAGCAGTAACCTAGATGGTACAATAATATTAATGATACTAATTACAGGAATTTATTTTACTTTTCATACCAAAAAATATAAAATACATCAAAATAACTCTGCAAGGTAGGATTAGAGTCCATCTAAATAAGAAAAACCTGAAAGGCTGTTACATTAAATAAAAAAGGTTCAACTAGTTGGTTCCCTTTGCCTGGAGCACTCTTCCTTCAGATATTAGACTGGCTAGTGGTGTCCCCAGCATCAGGCCCCGGCTAAGATATTCCTTTCTCAGTGAGCTATTTCCTCAACATCCCACAGGCACATATAATCTTTATCCTCCTTCCGTCTTCTGCTTTCTTACATAGGTTTCATAAAGCTGTGATATAAGTTTTACTTTTAGTTGTTTGTTTTTCATTGTCTTTGTGTTCCGTTTAGAATATAAACCATATGAAGGCAGGGTTTTTTCATCTGTTATATCACTGCTATATTCCCAAAACTTAAGAGTAGCATCTGGAACACAGTGACTCAATAGATACACTCCATAGATACACCATATGTTTGAATAAACGAAAAGTGCCTTTTAATAAATTAAGAGATGGAAGAAAAACAGAATAGTGTAAGCATTTATGTTTTCTCAAATTAATTTATAGATGTAAAAAGACATATAACACCTCTTCACAGGGATTTTTATTAGAGCTTGGCAAAATAATTTTTAAATTCAATGTAATCAGGAAGCATTGTAGTACAGGTAGTAGGGGTATCAGAGTGTAGCGGCTATTATCATTAAATTATTCAAATAAAGATACTTTGAAAAATACAAAAATGTAATTTTCCTACAAGATTTTAAAATATGTTGTAAAATAGAATAATGTAAAAAGTTAGTTTGCATAAAATTTAATAGGTAGGTAAACAGAACAGACTATTCAGTCTTGAAACTGAGTTCATTATATGCCCTACTGATGGGAGAGTTACACAATGGTGTGGGAAATAGAGGTTACTTGGGAATTTTTAAGTTGGTGTATTTCCTTATCATATATACCCAAATAAATTCCACAGGTTTAAAGAAGTCAAATAATAACTTTTATGTAAAACAATATGATAAAATATACTATAAATGCATTGGTAAATACCCCCTACAAAAATAAGTAATGCGAATAATGTTTTACCTGGTATTTCAAAGTTGATAAATTCAAAGCCATGACAAATAAACCAATAGATAAATGATTAGCGGAAATATTTTGAATGTATATTTTAATAAAATATGTGAAGCAATTTCCCAAACATAAGTAAAATGGCATTCCAATGTTTAAAAGGCAAAGAAATAAAATGAGAAAAATGTTCACTTTCATCGATAATTTTAAAAATGCAAATTAAAAGAACAATAGGATATTTTTATCTTTCTAACTAGCTAAGCCTAAAACTAGTAATTAATACTATACTTCTAGTACAAATAAAAACTGGCTGAAGCTTTTTGGAGGGAAATTTGTTCTTTTAATTGGTAGTTTTACCAATAAAAATAATCAAGAATCAAACTGTGTTTTATGTTCTAGATAGTTCTTCAAAATATTAATTAAAATTAAAAGATAATAGAAACAACCTAATATTCAGCAACAGAGAAATGTTAAACACATTAAATAATCTTGGCTGTGCACGATGGCTCACATCTGTAATCCCAGCATTTTGGGAGGCTGAGGCAGATGTATAGCTTGAGGCCAGGAGTTTGAGATCAGCCTGGGCAACATAGCAAGACCTCATCTTTACGAATAATTTAAAAAAAAAATTAGCCTGTGTGGTGGCACATGCCTGTAGACCCAGCTACACTGGAAGCTGAAGTGAGAGAATCACTTGAGCCCAGGAGGTCGAGGCTGCAGTGAGCCATGATTGTGTCACTGCACTCCAGGCTGGGTGACAGAGTGAGATCTCATCTCAATAAATAAATAAATAAATAAATAGAGTTTAGGTTAAGAAAAAGATGGTGTCTGTATATAAAAACATTTCTGCAGCCTTTAAAAATCATGCTACAAGCATATCCAAAGACATGAAAAAGTCCTCATGATATAGTATTAATGAATGCCAAATAAATGATACCAACATTGGTTTTTAGAATGATTCAAATTTCTTTGTCTCCTATTTATATAACATGTAGGAATTCTGCCTATCTGTCTAATTGTGATAAATATATTGTGAAGTGTGAAAATTAGTTGTCTCTGGCGCATGTGTGTAGTATACACATAATATTTTTTAAATGGTTGTGTCTGCTTATTGGATTGCAGATGACTTTTAATTCTATTCACTCGTTTGCATTTTGAATTTTACATTTTGTACAATGAATATAAAGAACTTCTATTATTCGATAAAAGAGTTGAACTGAAGTACCTATAAGCTTTTTCAGAAGCCTATCGAAATATCGTCACTAAGTCTTACAATTTAAATGCTGGCATTTTCATGACTGTCTCAAATAAGGGAATCAGAAAATAGAATGTGGCAGCTAAGGGTTGGATGTTACTGCTTTCCTTTGCTGAAAAGCTCTTCCTTCATAGCCATTCACTGTTTATAAATGACAGCACAAAAGAATAATTGGGAACAGTTGCTTGATATAAAAGAAAAGGTAAAAGTCTCTGAAAGTCCCCTGCCAGAGAGTTATTTTTGGAGGTCTTTAGTTGACAAGGCTTGAGCTATCACATACATTTGTGTCTCAAAAAGACTACAATAGCCATCATCCAACAACAACAACAAAAAATCCCAAAACACACATAAGATATACATATGTTTACAGTGCAATGATTTTATTTTTAAAATGCTGTAATTTACCACTATCCTTGAAAGGTTGGAGAATTTAAGCAGTGTTTGAAGGAAAAATGTCTGTAGTAACCCAAAAGTGCAGGATTTAAGCAAAGGTCATTTGAGGTGTACAGTTTTAAGTCCTTATCTACTTTCTTTCATTTTCTTTTTTCTGCAGAACCTGTCTACTCTTTTCCATTTTTGTCACCTCTTGTGATATGATATACATATAGTGGCTACTGTTAAAATGTGTCCCTAGATATAATTAACTATAACAGATTTGTGAGACAAACCTGTGTCAGAGTAAAAAATAAACTATAGAACATTTACTATAGGTCAAGCATTATTCTTTGTACCTTAAATACACCTTCACAACAGCCCTGTGATATACTGTTGATATCCCTTTTGTTCTCAGATTAACATATCAAGGCATAGAGAAGGTAGGTGTCTTGCCCAAGGTTACACGGTGAATAAATAATGAACTGAGACATAGGCCAGGGAGCCTGGCTCTTAAACACACTGGTAAATTTCCTGACATTATTTCAATTACCTATTGAGCTTCTGTAGGAAAAACAACCACAAATGTATGGACTGTAGTTTTGCTTTGAAATGAATGTATACTCCTATTGCAAATCATACTGGAAAATAGTTTCTCCTGAGGCAAAGAAAACCGACTTGAAACTTAGAAGAGAGGTGCTGCCTTCCCTCTTGAAATTCACATTCTGAAGAATGAGGAATTTCAGAGTAGGTTTAGGGGGTGATGATGAGCTGTCCCAGGCCACATAGAGTCAGTATAAGAACCAGTGGTTCCATCAAACATTTTTTTTTGGCAGTTGCAGTATGCAGTTGCAGTAGTGGCAATGTTTCTAATCAATTGCATAGAAAAGCACTGAATCTGGGGAAGGTAACATGCAGTTACACTTTGTATTAGTCTGTTTTCACACTTCTGATAAAGACATACCCAAGACTGGGCAATTTACAAAAGAAATAGGCTTATTCGACTTATAGTTCCATGTGGCTGGGAAGGCCTCACAATCATGGTAGAAGGTGAAAGGCACATCTCGCATGGTGGCAGAAAAAAGCAGAGAGCTTGTGCAGGGAAACTCTCTTTTTAAAACCATCAGATCTCATGAGACTTATTCATTATTACAAGAATAGCACGAGAAAGACCAGCCCCCATGATTCAATTACCTCCCACTGGGTCCCTCCCATGACATGGGAATTGGAGGAGTTACAATTCTAGATAAGATTTGGGTAGAGACAAGCCGAACCATATCATTCTTCCTCTGGCTCCTCCCAAATCTCATGTCCTCACATTTCAAAACCAATTATGACTTCTCAACAGTCCTCCAAAGTCTTAAGTTATTTCAGCATTAACTCTAAAGTCCACAATCCAACATCTCAGCTGAGACAAGGCAAGTACCTTCTGCCTATGAACCTGTAAAATCAAAAGCAAGTTAGTTACTTCCTAGATACAATTGGAGTACAGGTATTGGGTAAATACAACCATTCCAAATGGGAGAAATTGGCCAAAACAAGGGAGCTACAGGCCCCATGCAAGTACAAAACCCAGCAGGAAAATCAAATCTTATAGCTCCAAAATGATATCTTTTGACTCCATGTCTTACATCTAGGTCATGCTGATGCAAGAGGTGAGTTCCCATGGTCTTGGGCAGCTCTGTCCCTGTGGCTTTGCAGGGTATAGCCCCTCTCCTGACTGCTTTCACAGGCTGGAGAGTGCCTGTGGCTTTTCCAGGTGCACAGTGCAAGCTTTTAATGGAGCTACCATTCTGGGGTCTGGAGGATGGTGGCCCTCTTCTCACAGCTTCACTAGGCAGTGCCCCAGTAGGGAATCTATATGGGGGCTCTGACCCCACATTTCCCTTTTGCACTGCCCTAGCAGAGGTTCTCTATGAGGGCCCCACTGTTGCAGCAAACTTCTGTCTGGGATTCCAGGTATTTCCATACATCCTCTGAAATCTAGGCAGAGGTTCCCAAACCCCAGTTCTTGACCCTGTGCACCCACTGGCTCAACACCACGTGGAAGCTGCCAAGTCTTGGGGCTTACACCCTCTGAAGCCATGACCCAAACTTTACATTGGCCCCTTTCAGCCCTGGCTGGAGCAGCTAGGACATAGGGCACCAAGTCCCTAGGCTGCACACAGCCCAAGGACCCTGGGCCTGGCTCATGAAACCATTTTTTCCTCCTAAACCTCCTGGCATGTGATGAGAGGGGTTGCCTCAAAGGTCTCTGACATGCACTGGAGACATTTTTTTCCATTGTCTTTGTGACTAACATTAGGCTCTTCCTTATTTATGCAAATTTCTGCAGCCAGCTTTAATTTTTCCTCAGAAAATGGGATTTTCTTTTTTATTGCATTGTCAGGCTGCAAATTTTCCAAACTCTTATGCCTGTTTCCCTTTTAAAACCAAATGCCTTTAACAGCACCCAAGTTACATCTTGAATGCTTTGCTGCTTAGAAATTTCCTGTGCCAGATACTCTAAATCATCTCTCTCAAGTTCAAAGTTCCACAAATCTCTAGGGCAGAGGCAAAATGCCACCAGTCTCTTTGCTAAAAAAATAACAGAGTCACCTTTTCCTCCAGTTCTCAACAAGTTCCTTGTCTCCATCTGAGACCACCTCCGCCTGGACTTTATTGTCCATATTGCTATCAGCATTTTGGACAAAGCTATTAAACAAGTCTCTAGGAAGTTCCAACCTTTCCCACATTTTCCTGTCCTTTTCTGTGCACTCCAAACTGTTCCAACCTCTGCCTGTTACCCAGTTCCAAAATCACTTCCACATTTTCAGGTATCTTTTCAGCAGCACCCCACTCTACTGGTACCAATTTACCATTTTCATGCTGCTGATAAAAACATACCTGGGACTGGGCAATTTACCAAAGAAAGAAGTTTATTGGACTTACAGTTCCACGTAGCTGGGGAAGCCTCACAATCATGGTGGAAGGTGAAAGGTATATCTCACATGGTGGCAGACAAGAGAAGAGAGCTTGTGCAGGGAAACTCCTCTTTTTAAAACCATCAGATCTCGTGAGACTTATTCACTATTATGAGAATACACCTCAAAACATGCATGTGAGTTTTAGACCCACTGGCAAGAAGTAAGATAAATTCTTTCTGACATTTTGAATGTAAGAAAATCATTGCAAATTTACTGAGATCTGAAGTGATAATAGATCCTGGGCACAATATGCAGTCCACTTTTTCTCTGTTATCTCCCCTTCCCCTGTACACCAGTGCTCTGCCTTTGGGAAAATGGCTGTGTGTAAATTCTAAGATGCATTTGCTGCAACTCGGCCTCTTTGTGGTCTTAAAGCCTGTACTCAGGAGTTTCCCAAACTAGGCTCAATACTGAAGGTTTACCAGCTCTTTGGTGAAGTAGAGTCACCCAGGCTTGGGTGCATTAGCAGAAACTGCATTGCTGTTTGTGGAAGTACTAAACAAAAGGAGACTGCTGGAGTTGCTATCACAGCACTTTTTTCATTTTGGTTCAAGATTAAAGCTTACCTCCATATTACTAATGGTACCAAGGGTGGTATGGACACAGCCTCACCAGTGGGCTTCCAGAGGGCAGCATTTACAACATTGGTTGCAAGTGCTGATGTCTGAGTTTCTGCTTTTTTAGCATAGCAATACAAATGGTTTCATGAGCAAATGTAAACATCCCCAGGAATTCTTCAGAGTGTGTGGGGAGACAGATCTAGTAATAAATTGGTTTTGTTGCTCATCAGTCATTATGATTTGAATATCTTTCTGTTGTAACTGTGATCATATTATAAGACTTCAGACTGACGATATCTGAATTGAAAATGAGAGCCACACATTGGGCTTTGCACAGTGGGTGTCCCTATTGCAAAGTCATCACGTACATTTTTATATAAAACTCCTAATGCCCTGAGGGACATGATCTCCCAGCTTTTGCTGCTATGATTGTGATCTCTCTTTTTAAGAGCTGCTGATTGATGAGTTTTGCTTGCTGATTTTCACTGTTGAATTTACTTTCCTAATTACCACTGGTAGAGACCACGTTCAATGACAAAACTGATGATTGACATGCTAGCAAATAGTCTGCTGACAGAGAGGGAAGAATAGGGAATAGTCTCTGTAGTCAGGCAATGCACCTTACCAAGTCAAATCCACCCAAAAGTAAGATAAATCTTGGATGATGTTAGGCCAGCTTGAGATCCACCTGTAGTTTTCATTTTTGAGAAGTATGTAAAATCAATTGCTCTGCCTATCTGTATTTTCCCTTGCTAATCTTTATACAATGGTATTCCACAAATAACATTTGATAGTGGGTGGCAAGTAAAGTTATAGCTTTAGCACTGTACTAATTTGCTTTTACTTAAAATCTGTTTCATGGAATGCTACTGACTCCCACAAGGACTTTAAGCAAAAATACCCAAAAGAAAGGAATTATTCCTCCTCCTCCTCTTATCTGTTAAAGAAATGAGGATTTCTGGAATATTAACATGTTATTTGCACAGCAGTGGGCAAGGCACTTTCATATATATGTTAACCCTCAACAAAAAGTTTAAGGAAAAAATTATAATGAATATTCAAATAGAAGCAGCAACTCACCTAAATTCACTCCTGTTTCTGAGAGACACAGAGCTAAAGCCTGAACCCAGTTCTTCTGATTCTTAAATCCAGAGGTTTATATATTTTTTGTTCTTCTTTGTTGTTTGTACATCAACTATCCTTAGCTATAAAAATAGATATAAAAATCCAAATAATATTAAAGTATTTAAAATGAAAAGTTTATTTCTCCCAAACCCATGACACATGGATAACTAGACATTATAATAAAATATTTCCACTTCCATAATTTTTTAGTGCAGAAATATATAGGAACACTTACCTGCCTAAGTATATCCGTATATATCTTATTCTTAAAATTTGGTATGTACTAAATATATGGGTTTATAATTTGCTTTTCTCATCTAGTAATATCTCAAGGCTTTCAAGTTGCATGTGTAAAGCACCTGACTGTCGTTGATAGATGCATAGGGTTCATCAAAGTACTACATATCTATATGTAAACGTGATACAAATTTGCGTGTTATTTATATTACATATGTGTTTACCTATATAGGTGTATTTTTTAAATAAAAGAATAATTAAAGGATTGTAAGATATAAACTGCATGATTGCTAAATCAGACTCACAAATCACATTTGCTAATAATTTGTGAAAACACAGGTAATGGTGAGATAGACGAAATATGAAATCTTACTCCAAAGTGACAGACTACAAACAAAACAGACAAATAGGACTATATTACACTAAAAGCTTCTGCACAGTGAAAGAATCAACAGAGTTAAGAGACAACATGGAGAATAGGGGAAAATACTTGCAAACTATTCATCCAACAAGGGACTAATAACAACTCAAGAGCAAATAATAATAATACCGTTAAAATAGGAAAAAGATCTGAATAAAGATTCCTCAAAATAAGACATATAACTGGCCAATAAATATACAAAAAATTCTCAACAGCACTAATCATCAGGGAAATGCAAATTAAAACCATTATAAAATATTATGTCACCCCAATTAGAATGGCTATCATAAAAAAGACAAAAACAGATGCTGAAAAGGATGTGAAAAAAATGGAGCCCTTATATACTGTTGGTGGGAATGTTTTTTAGTACAGCCATTATGAAAAATAGTGTGGAGGTTTCTGAATAAACTAAAAATAGAACTACCACATGATCCAGCAATCCCACTACTGGATATTTATCCAAAGTTTATTGGAGCACTGTTCACAATAGTTAAGATATGGCATTAACCTAAACGTCCATCAACAGGTGAATGGCTAGAAGTTGTGGTATGCAAACACAATGGAATACTATTCAGTCATTAAAAAGAATGAAATTCTGTCATTTGCAATAACATAGGTGAAACTGGATGACATCATATTAAGCAAAATAGTTCAGGCACAAAAAATAAATACTGAATGTCTCACTCATATATGAGAGCTAATATTAAACACACACACACACACACACACACACACAAAAACACAAAAAACTTGAGCCCATGGAAGTGGAGAGTAGAGTTGTGGCTCTTAAAGGCTGGGAATTGTAGGGGAGGGGAAGATGGTAAGCAGTAGAGTAATGAGTGTAGGGAATACAAGAGGAATGAGTTCTGGTGATCTGCAGCACTGTAGGGTGAATATGGTTAACTATAATTTATTGTATATTTTCAAAAAGCTAAAAGAGAATATTTCAAATGTTCACAACACAAAGAAATGAGAAATGTTTGATGTGATGGATATGTTAATTACCCTGATTTGATCATCATACATTGTATAGAGATAATGAAATTTCACTCTGTATCCCTTAATAATGTACAATTAAAAAAAGAAATATGAAGTCTGAGATACACATTTCTCTACACTTTCCCCATTATATTAGAACATATTATAGTGCTGATGCAACAAACATGCTGTTTACATGGCTTCATTTCCATTTACCTCCTAATACACACATTTATCCTTCAGATACATCCTTTCCACACTTTATTCCAACAAACATGTTCTTCGATTCAACAATTGTATTTTTTAGTTTAATATTTCGCTTATGTTTATACTTTTCTTTTTATTCTGTATCTTTCTTATCCCTTTTTGTATTATTATTAGGCTTGTTTTGAAACTTTTGACTCCTTCAATGAAATAATTCTACCTATGAGCAAATCAGTCATACAGTATATTGTCTCTCATTTGAAATAATGCCACAATGCCTAGCTATTTTATGAGACTGTTCCCCACACTTGTTGTTATGTGATTGTCTACTTCTCTGTCAGAAAATACACAAAGGGCAATACCAGGCCCTAAGCAAGTTCAGTTCCAATGAGCTCAAAATGTAGCAGAGTGGTTTGTGCTTCATCAGTTTGTTTAGATCAAATTGACATTCCACAACCTCCCTGGTCTTTATGGTTCTAGGTTAGAATATTTCAAAAGAGGAATTTACAGAAGCAAAAGAGCAACTATCACTCTCTGGAGGCCATTATAGTGAGAAGCAATGAGAGACGGCCATGATGTAACCAACCAGGGGTTCCAGTGTGCCTTTGCTCTCCCCAGATCTTCTCAGCTTTGTGCTCACATCTTCTTCCAAAATGCTGGTCTTGCTGAGCAACAACAGCTCTGGGCCCATCACTAAACATGTGGCTGAGGAGCCTCGGAGTCAACAGTTTCCATATATCCCTGTGCCAACTTCCTTTTTTGTAGTCCCACTTCAGTGTTTTGCTGCTCAGGGTGACCAGGCCAGTCACTCATTGATTCTCCAGTTCCTCCTTGGAGACCTTAATTTCTTTTCCCAGATCTTTCCAAAATAGTTCAAGGTATCACTCCTATAATAATTTCCTGGTGCCGTAACATGCTTTCTCCTTTCCTAGTTGTACCCTGAATAATAAGATGTAGAATGAGTACACTGAAACATAGAAAGCAACAACAGCAAAAAATCATAGTTAATCCTGTCTTAGCTCCTCAGCTCAGGAAGCCATCCCTAGCTAAGCAAAAAGAGATACAAAAGTGAGAGGGAGAACTTTGTCCTCTTGTTCTCCAGGCTTAGAGGAGTATAGAGAAGAGTTGGGGAAACACCTGTCCAAGGCACATTAAACCTTCAAAACCTGCTTTTCTCTGCCGAGTGCTATGGCTCACGCCTGTAAATAAATCCCAGCACTTTGGGAAGCCGAGGCTAGTGGATCACCTGAGGTCAGGGTTTGAGACCAGCCTGGCCAACGTGGTGAAACCCCGTCTACTAAAAATACAAAAATTAGCTGGACGTGGTGGTGAGTGCCTGTAATCCTAGCTACTCGGGAGGCTGAGGCACGAGAACTGCTTGAACCCAGGAGGCGGGGGTTGCAGTGAGCCAAGATCATGCCACTGCACTCCAGCCAACAGAATGAGATTTTGTCTCAAAGAAAAAAAAAAAAAACCTGTTTTTCTCAAGTCCTCATCTACCCATGGTTTTTGTGTTGCTGTGATTTTACTCTAGAGAAAACCTGCACCAGAAATGTGTGTCACTGCTGGTGTGGAGGCTGGCGTTGTCGGTCCCATGCAGAGTGGGAGGAGGCAGGAACAAAAATTCCAACAAGTTCTTTCCTATTTTTATTCTTTCACCACAAGGCAGGGCTGCTTTCTGCCCCCCTCACATCCCTCCTCCCTTGTACACACACCTTTTCAAAACAGCCTCCTCCAGGATTCTCACAGCTCTTTCAATGTCTTGCTGGTTTCTGTCATTGTTCCCTGGGGTGTCACCTTTCGTATGTAGCCAGCACTTGTGCTTGCCTGCATCTAGTTGTAACATTTTCTCTCTCTTTTTTTTTTCTTTTGAAAATGCATCCATTTTATTGAAAGGAATTTGAGGCAAATATATGTTTTTAATCTGGTATATTTAACTTTAAATAACTTTTACTTTCTTTCACACTTTATCTTAGCTAAGGCTGCCATACAAAATGCCATAACAGGGTGACTTAAACAACAGAAATTTATTTTCTCACAGTTCTGTAGGCTGGAAATTTGAGACCAAGATGACAGCATAGTTGAATTCTAGTGAGAGTCCACTTTCAGAGTTGCAGATGGCTGCCTTCTTGCTGTGTCCTCACATGGCAGAGAAAGCGAGCCACACTTTCTGTTATCTTTTCTTATGAGGACACTCACCCTACAGAATCAGGGCCCTAGCTTATGACTTCATTTAACTTAGATTACTTCTGTAAAAGCCCTATATTTAAATAGGGTCATAATGGGGGATTGGGATTCAGCACATGAATTTTGGGCAGACACAATTTAGTCCATAGCATAATTCTAATTTTCATTTTACTCCCCTTCTTCAACTCAGAAACTCGGTATCTTCCTGCTTCATCAAAGCTGCTCATTTTGTTCTCAGTCTTTTCTGCTTTGCTTAGTTTTACTCCCTGCCCGCCAACATACAACCTCCTAGAAATTTCCTTTCTGTGTATCTTCTAATTTTCATGAACAATTAGCTACCCTTTTTTTTTTTTAGTACCCTTGGCTAGGGAGGGTATATTAGTGTGCAAGTATTAATCATCTAGCCAATAATGACCAAATCTAGTTGAAATGCATGTGCACATTAAAAACACTTAAGGAGAAGTCTATCAACAAATCTGTATAGGCTAAGTGCTACATGACAAGTAGTATGCAAGAACTGGGAAAATAAAAATAAGAAAACTAAGACTGCAGCTCACAATAAATTTATACTAATGAAGGGATTTGATGCTCTTCAGTAGTAAAATCTGGGATTAAACACTCATTAAATTACATCACATAGTCAGAGACTCCTTAGTTTTTGGCAAGCAGGCCATGTATTTTCCAATTACAATAAAGACTCTGAGCTCAAATTGTGTGTTGTTGAGTGTGGATTTGATCTTCATATCTGGAGCAGATAATAAAGACATCAAATACTTTTACTTATTAAAAAATGTCTAGTAAACCTGTTATATTGTTTGAGTAGGCAAGCTTAATTGAATAACTATGTTCTTGAGGTATGAACCATAAACACAAAAATCATCATTTTTTCCCACAGAATTATGTATATTTCCAGTAAGTATTCATGCAAAATGACCTAATATTTTTGCCAAAAATATTGACATGGAAATATTTCTGAGTGTTTATTTTTCATCTAACATTTTTCATTGAGTCTAGCTTGGAAAGTGAAGGATAGAACAGATGATATTTTCATGCCT
Source organism: Homo sapiens (assembly GCF_000001405.40). Lineage (NCBI taxonomy): Eukaryota > Metazoa > Chordata > Mammalia > Primates > Hominidae > Homo > Homo sapiens. Next base: position 65,970,160 of record NC_000013.11, on the reverse strand, counting down.
GTCCATTTAAAGATATTAAATATATCTTTTTATTACATGTTACTTCTAGAAACAAACATTATTAAACATGCATGAAAAATTAAAGTTATTTTTAGGAAAAAAGATAATTATTTATTGCTCAGTTTTTATTAACAGGCCGACATATATCTGCATAGTGCATCACCATATTTTCTGCCTTTCATTCAGAACTAGGCAAAGAGCAGATTAATGAATGAATGTCTTAGAGACAGGCATGGACCACAGCATCCCTCTACCCCTCCCCAAAAAACTAATAATTATTATAATGTTTCTCTCTTAGTATGACATAAAATTATTTTCTTTTAGGGAGGTTTCTATTAACATTTTTCTCATTACATGAAAATATAAATTGCAGATGATAACCTTTGTGAATTTACTTTATGCAAATATAGAATTATACAGTATATACTTATTGATAACCTGCTCCTTTTTACTCTCAGTATATTTTGTCTATCTTTTCTGGTCATTTAAGTTTCTTCCACAATCTCATTTCCTATTGGCTCTGGTTTAGGGCTGGTAAATAATTTATTTAAGAGTTACTTATAATTATGAATAATACTGTAAAGATTCCTTCATGTTTAAATAGTTTAAAAATATTTTGGCATGAGTGGAATTAAAAAGGAAAGTTAACACTAGTTTAGCTTTTAGTAAAATTTTAAAGAAAGAGGTATATTATGAAAAAGATAAGAGAGCTTCAATTCACTGTATTTAAATGTCACAAAATGTTTATCTAAAATGTCTAGGGTTTCTTGTTTTTCATTTGTATAAATTTAAGGGGTGCAAGTATAATTTTGTAACATGAATATATTGCATAGTGGTGAAGTTATGGCTTTTAGTGCATACACCACTCAAATACTGTACATTGTACCCATTAGGTAATTTCTCATCACTCATCCTCTCCCATCCTCGCCGCCCTTCCAAGTTTCAATTATCTATCATTTCACATTCTATGCCTACGTGTACACATTATTTGGCTCCAACTTATAAGTGAGAGCATGTGGTATTTGCCCATTTCTGAGTTGTTTCGCATAAAATAATGACGTCCAGTCCCACTCATGTTGCTGCAAAAGACATGATTTCATTTTTTTAATATCTGAGTAGTATTCCATAGTGTACCTATACTACATTTTCTTCATCTGATCTTCTGCTAATGGACAGTTAGGTTGATTCCATATCTTTTCTTTTGTGAATAGTGCTGCCATAAACATACAAGTGAGGGTATCTTTTGCTATCATGATTTATTTTCCTTTGGGTAGATACTCAGTAATGGGATTGCTGGATCAAATGGTAGTTCTAGTTTTAGTTCTCTGAGGATCCTCTATATTATTTTCCATAGAAGTGGTACTAGTTTACAGTCTCAGTAAGAGTGTATAAATGTTCCCTTTTCTGTGCATCCTCATCAACATTTGTTATTTTCTGTCTTTTTTGTGATAACTATTCTGACTGGTATAATACGGTATCTCATTGTGCTTTTAATTTGCATTTGTCTGATGATTTGTTACACTAAGTTTTTTTTCATATGTCTCTTGGTCATTTGTACGTCTTCTGCTGAAAAATGTGTATTCCTGTCCTTTGACTATTTTTAATGGAATTATTTATTTATTTATTGCTTTGTGTGAATTCCTTGTAAATTCTAAATATTAATCCATGTAGGATGCATAATTTGCAAATATTTTCTCCTATGCTGCAGGTTGTCTGTTCACTATTGGTTATTTCTTTTGCTGTACAGAAGCCAACTGATCTTTGACAAAGTTGACAAACTCATACACTGGGGAAGGGACACCCTTTTCAATAAATGGTGTTCGGAAAAATTGGATTGCTTGCTATATGCAGAAACATCAAACTGATCCCCTATTTCTTACCATACAAAAATTCACTCAAGATGGATTAAACACATGCAGGACCTAAAATGACTAAAATACTAGAAGAAAGCCTAGAAAAACTCTTTGGGACATTTGTCTAGGCAAAAAATAATAATAATAATAATCATGACCAAGACCTTAAAATATAAGCAACAAAAAATTCATAAATGGGAATTAATTAAACTAAATTGCTAGTTTTTGAAAAAGCTGTAAGACCAGACTGTTTTTCTAATGGAGTTTGATGAAGTAAGTCTTGAAAGATTAGTTGGAACCTGATGTTAGGGGGTCTTGGACACTGAGTTTACTTTGGTTTATAGGAAATTTTTCTCTGATATGAAACTATCAAAATTTTTTGAGAAGGTGATTAATATGAGTAAATATTTGTTTTTTTGGAATAATTTGCTCACAAAGTTGATTCAGTCATGTGATAATGTTTCAAACTCATATATGAAATCAGATAGGAGTCTAACACAGAAGGTCTATATTAGTAAGAAATTAAATTTAGTAGAAAACAAATCTCAAATATTGCAAGGTCTCTGAAAGCGGACGACAAAATACCATGGATTATTGGTTGCCAATATAGATTGAAGTGTACATTATTTTTCTAAAATATTTCTGGAAACAAAATAATGTGTATCTATCCATAAATGGAATCACCATACTTACTGTAACATAAGGACACATTAAGAAAGAGTTAACTTCAAAGACTAATGGATTTCAGTGGATAGAAATCAACAGATTTCTACTGAGCAGGACCATTTTCTCATTTTTCCTTTGCCAAGTTCTACAAGACTGAATAATTTAAGGAACTAGATGAGATAGGGAGTTAAGCAACCTGAGTTTTTGGTTGTTTCAAAACAAGCAAAAATGTCATTGCACACTGCCAAGAGGTGTTTCTAAAATGAGAGCCATGAGAGAAAGCAGATCATATGGATGTAAGAAAATAGAAAATAGAGGAAGTTGCGTAAATTGTCATGAGAGAATTGACTTAACAACCACTCCACTTTTATTTCCATTTTAGTTATGTACTTCTTAAGAAGCACATCTGATTTTTCGGTCTTGCTAGACATCATGAGAAAAGCTGTATGAACTCCTGCATCTCCACACAGTTCACCCAGGGGGCGTTCTAAGAGAGAATTTATCCTCCATTTGCTTCTCATCTCCTCCCTCCATTTCATCAAAGTTTCCCTCAATGGGAAATGACTCTCTGTACAGGCTCCCTCATCTGGCCTCTTCAACAACTGCTCTGGGACAGATTCTTTTTTTTTCCTGGAGAACTCAGGCTTTTCATTGTTGAATACTAAAAATTTCAAAGGCTTTTGTATTATTTCTATATTGATATCAAGAGATGCTACAAGCCACTAAGCAGTGTGAAGCCTGATATGTCTGCCTCTCTTCTAAGAATTTGACTTATGTATTTATTCAAGAACAAAGTTGAAGAGCAATTCCCAGGAGTTTGTTTACATTATTTCTGTTAAAATAAAAATCTAAATGTAAGTATGTCAATTAGAAATTAATGTGTGCAAATATCACATTTTTTATTTATTTAAATCAATCTTTATTTGTATCTGATAGTAAACCCACAGAAATTATGGAAAATTATATTTCTATTGTAATCAAAAAGTTTTTCTAAATTATGTCAAGTTTCTAGAATCCTACAGAGAATTAGAACAATTTGCTTTAGGAAATCCCCCTGATCCTTCAGTGTGGGCGCACATTGATTGCCACTGGAATACACAAGGTACAAGCCAGCATGACTGTTTCAGATCCTATGCATCTGGTTTTCTTTTTCTTTGCTTTGAGAATGATAATCTTTTAGAAGATGTCATGCTTCAGTGGTAAACCCCATAGATGCCAAATATTAGGTTGGCACAAAAGTAATTGTGGCTTTTGCCATTAAAAGTAATGGTAAAAACTGCAATTACTTTCGTGCCAACCTAATATTTGTGTGAGGTCTTACAAATTTCCTAAGGTAAGGTCAGAGAACAACGAACAAATCCCATCCTCTCTTTCTGCAGCCCAAGGATCTGCCATTTCTCAGCATGAGTAAACATTTGATTCTTTTTATCTCCATTCTCAAATCGCTTTTCTACATATCTTCTTTATATGAAATACTAGCATTATCTCTTCAAAGAACTTAGGAAAGTTAGAAAAAGCCTTCAACATGAACATTTGCTAAAATCTTCCCACAAACTAAAAAAAAAAAAATTTACACTTGAGATTTAGCAGATGTAAAAGGAGTACATCATTCCAAGATCATAAAATTCATCCAAAGATATGAAAATGTATATTATTCTATGAAAACAGTGCAACGTTATCTGACACTAGAAAAGGATAGTTTGACAAATGAAAATTATAGGCGAGTCTGATTTATGAATATTGATTCTTATTGACTCTCACTCTATCACTTAGATAGGTCAGGTAATGCTGTGGTATAAAAAGCTCCCAAATCTCATATGTTTAACAGAAAAAAAAAGTTTATTTTCCCTTATGCCCATTTTCTGGTTGTCGAAAGAACTCTATTCAATGAGTCATTCAGTGAACTAGAAGCTCACAAGCTCTATTGCAACATGTGCTTCCAAGATCTCTTTGGAAGGAGGAAGATCGTTCTGGACAGTTCAGACTTGTAATTAAATATTGCAGCCCAGAAGTGACACACAGGTCTTCCATTCACCATGAATTGGCTATGCCTAATTAAAGTTAGGGAAGAAAGAAGAGAAGAAACAAATATCAGTGAGTAGCACTAATGACTACCACATTTAGCAAGCAATGTCTACAAAAGTGATGACCTCAATTTCATCTACTGCATTCATTTCAAGAATACAGATAGGGCAACATTAGAAAAAATTATCAAGCAATTAATAACATTAAAAGATTAAAAGATGATTAGAAGATAAACAAAATTTTTAAATAATCCTACTTGGTGAAGTAAGAGTTAGATAGAATTCAATAGCCATTCATGATTTAAAAATATGCAAATGAAGAAAAACACAAATGAGACAGAATAAGAATTAAAAGAAACCTTGTTAATAAATTAAAAAGAAATATACATCAATACTATCATATCATAAGACATAAATCCTGAAAATATACTAATAATTAAAGTTATAAATAGTATCTAAGTAAATGAAGTATATTATATTCCAAAATTGAAGATGTCAATATGTCAAAGTTTTTTATTCATCTAAAAAGATATGCAGTTTAAATATAATCTCAATTAAAATCACATTTTTTAAAGACGAAAATCTGAATTTAATATTAAATGTGAAAATGTGAAGGTCAATGGGGTAGAGAGGGGCCTTTTCCTCACCAGTTATCAAAACTCACTACACAGCTACAGTGACTAAGACACTGTGGTATTGATACAGTGACACATAGATTGACATGTGGATTACACTACACAGTACAGAACCAGGCACACTTGGGCATGGAAACTTAGGCATGATGGAAGTGGTATTATATCCTTGGGGGAAATAATGAGAGTTTTGACATTTCAAAAAATGTCTATCCTTAGGGGGAAAATGAACAAGTACTTCACACAATTAAAGCAGACATACAGTTAAACAGAAGAAATAAGACATGGTGTTTGACAGATAAGGAGGATGATTAATCAATGACTGATTCATCATCGACTGAACATTTCAAAATAACTAAAAAAGAATAATTCAAATGTCTCTAGCACAAAGAAAAAATAAATATTTAAGATGATATCAAATTATCCTGATTTGGTTATGTGAATGTATCGAATTATCACATGTACCCAGAAAACATGCACATTTTTTACGTATCAATGAAAACTACAAAATGTTGATAAAGTTAAAATAACTCATTTCCTGGTAGATAAACCACCTAAATTTTATAGGCAAAATTTAAAACTTTAAAAGACAATGTAGATTATGTATAAATACCTTCAGGTAAGAAAAGATTTTTTTAAAGTACATAATGCTAAATTAAGTATTGATAAAATATTTAAAATTTAGAAGTTCTGCTCATCAAAAAATACAAAGAAAGAAGAGAGGCCACAAATGGGTAGTTGATATTTGAAATATAAATAACCAATAAAAAGCACTTCTCTAAATTATTATAAAAATTAATAATAAATTACAAAGCAGTCAAAAAGTAGGAGTAGGCATTTTACCAAATAAGCACATTTGAGGAATATATATTTGAAAAGATGATCAATTTTGTTATTCATGAAGGAAATGCAATGAAATATATTTTACCCCCACTGTAGATTATAAAAAATTAAGGTGTTGGAGAATACCAAATGTTAAAAGAGGCTGTGTATTTTTTAAAAAAATACTTATACATTGCTGTTTGAAATGTAAATTGGTATAACAACTTAAGAAAATAATATGATCTTATTTTATAAAGTTGACTTGTCACTCATCCTACATTACAGAGATTTACATGTACACCAGAACCCATACACAAGAATATTTGTAGCATCATCATTTTTGTAATAGCAAAAATACACACACAAACAAACAAAAAAAGGAAACAACTAAATGTCTATGGACAAAGAATGGATGGATAAATAAATTGCACTATAGTCAATCTTACAAGAGTGGGTTACACTACAGCACATGGGATGCATAAAGCACAGCTAAAGGAGTATATGTGTTAATTGTTGAAACATAACATTTTTTGAAAAAAATCTTATCTCAGAAGACTACATAAAGTTTTACATATCTCTATTACTTTCTTATTTCTGTTATAATAAGTTAACTCAATCATACGGTCTTAAAACAATGAAAATTTGTTATCTGACAGTTCTGGAGGCCAGAAGTTTGAAATAGGTTTAAACTGGGCTAAAATCAAGATAGCTACTGGGCTGTGTTCTTTTCTGAAGTCTCCAAGGGAAGAACCCCATTTTCTTGCCTTTTCTGACTTGTTGAGGCTGTCTGCGCTCCTTGGCTCTTGGCCCCCTCCCATCTTCAAAGTCAGCAATCACAACACTGACTTCTGCTTCTGTGGTCACATCTCCTCCTCTGACTCTCACTGACTCTCTATTTTATCTTTAAGGACCATTCTGATCACACTGGGCTCACCCAAATAAACCACAATCATCTCCCTGTTTTAAGGTCCGCTGATCATCTGCTTTAATTCCAACTGCTTTCTTGGTTTCCCTTTGCCCTGAAACATAACACATTCTTAGATTCCAGGGGTTAGTTTTTTTTGGGGGGGGGGATGGGGTGCTTTATTTTTATAAAACTTCAAAACAAAGAAAACTAGAAATATATAGTTCAGGAATAAATAGTCATATGATACAAGTATGGCAAAAGAAGGAGATGTTAATCCTAATGTTTAGAATAGGTGTTACCTTTGGGTTTAGAAAGGGTGATGGGATATGGAAAGAATACCTAAGTTATTGGCCATGTTCAACTTGATGGGTGGTTGGTTAATGGAAATTGATTAAAGAATCATGCACAACAACTCTTATAAATATTATGTATACTTTGGAATGTATAGAAGCTAGAATGAAAAAAGGAATTAAAAGACACCTGGAGAACAATTCATATGAATATCTAAGAAATAAATGCTCCATGATAAGGGGACAGCAAGTACAAATGCCTTCAAAAGAACTTTGAATATTCAAGAAACCCATTTAGTACAACATACATTATTCAATTGTATACAGTAATTATTTGTATATTACATATAATATATTCAATATTTTAATAAAGACTATATGCTAAATATATATACAAATAAAAATAATTAAAAGAATAAGTCAATAGTACTATGTTGTTATTCTTGTTTTACTCGTAAGGTAAATCTTGGATAATATTTTTGTATCCCTTATTTTGGGTTCCTTATCTACCATGTACATCATAAATAATAAATGGCACTTAAATTGCCAACAGAGGCCGGGTGTGGTGGCTCACGTCTGTAATCCCAGCACTTTGGGAGGCCAAGGCGGGTGGATCACGAGGTCAGATGTTCGAGACCAGTCTGGCGAACATAGTGAAACCCCGTCTCTACTAAAAATACAAAAAATTAGCCAGGTGTGGTGGCAGGCACTGGTAATCGCAGCTACTCCAGAGGCCAAGGCAGGAGAATTGCTTGAACCTGGGAGGCAGAGGTTGCAGTGAGCCGGGATTGCGCCACTGCACTCCAGCCTGGGTGACAGTGTGAGACTCTGTCACAAAAAAAAAAAAAAATGCAAACAGAAACATACAATCAGTTTTATGTTCCATCAGTTCTAATTTCCCATCACAATTGCATGAGGGAATAGCTTAGAATAACAGCTGGGGGTTGTCTAATTCAACTTTTTCTTTAAATTTAGTACTGTTATCTACTTAGACTCATGCTAAACACTGTAGAGAATCGAAGAGATATGAGTAAATATAAAAAATAAAAGAACTTTTTCATAGAAAAAATTTTTCTTTACATTTAATAGTTTTATGGTATGCTGTGGATAAAATCAATATTGGATAAGTTATTATTTAAACACTGATCAGTGGCAGATAACATTATATTTTAGATTTTCATAATTTATTATTTACCAAAGTAACCAACATTTGACTTTCACAAAATAGTAAATCTATTCATTTTCTATGTTTTACCCTCCAGATATGAAAATGATTTTATTAGTTATTTTAAGCAATTCTACGAAAAATACTGCCAGGATTTTGCTTTTACAAATATTTATTAAGTTGTAAATTTGTTAAACTCCTTGTTGCAATAGTGAAGCCTGAAGGCCTTTTGTCTCAATGACAAATTCCAATATTTAATTGGGTCCTATGGTGATTTCTCATCTGTTTATACACTTGAGAAAAAGTGTTTCCAAAAAACAGAATTTAATTTTTTCCTATATTGTGCCATTGTAAGACAAATATACAACTATATAAAAATGTTAAAAGTTATTTACCCATATGAATTTAAAAATTCATCAGAATACATTTAATATCTTCATTTAAAATATTAGCAAGATTTCTAGTACTGAAAGCAAAAACAACTATTTTTGCCAAAATTTGGGGTCTAAAATAAAGAAAAAGAAAAGAAATAGTGAAAGAACAAGAAAAAAATAATAGAGAAAACAGACATTTAAAAATAAAGTTATATATGTAGGAAAGTAAAGTAATCCTCAAAATATTATGTAATAGCAAATTGTAAGTGTATTCATGGCACAAATTTTTGCCATACCCTTCCCAAATTCAAATCACTTTCCTAAGAAAATTTTAGACCTGGAAACAAGAATATTTACTTTTCTAGATTTTCAAAATCTTGCCAATGAAATTCTATATGAATCTTTTTCTCAGTGTGATTTATTTGTATCTCTGTTTTAACATATCACATGTAGTTCAAATTAACTGTTTGCTTATTGGTCTCTTCTAATTTGTCAACTTTCAGAAAGAGAAAATATTTTTTTATTTTTCTCTATCCAGCATATTGAAGTACATGGTTGATACTCGATAAATTATAAATCACTGAATTATTTACAATGCATACTGCAACATATAAGACAAGTAGTATGATTAAAATGTAATCAGTGACAGTTTTTATATTTAAAAATGGATACTGGCTTCAGGTATCATATAACCCAGTTACCTCAATTTTTCATACTAACATGTCCAAGGAGGTGAAATATTACATCCATATTATTCTCACAGCTAGGTGAAGAACTAGGTGAAGTATGAAACTAGAAATAACATGACCTCTTTAAAGAAAGAATTGAAGAATTTGAAGCATTTCAATAGAAATGTTTGCCAAAATATTATCAATTAGCTAAATAAGCAACACTTATTCAAGGATAGTATTTATTCCTAGAGAGATCACGATATTAATTTCAAGGCAATTATTATTACACTGTACCGGAATCAGAGTTCTATAGTAAATATGCAAACTAGATGTAAAATTTAAGAACCACTGATTTACATAAAGTGATACTCAATTTGAAGTTCCAGTTTGTAAAAAGATAAAAGCTCTATCCATTGTGGAAATATCACATCTTTGACTTTTCTATTTCTATATTTACCTCAAATAATCACACCTATTTGACATACTCAGAATTTATTTTCGTTGTTGTTTGTTTATGATATAATACAAATATTCTCTACTCTTTAAAGCATTTTCTTCACAACTCTTTTTCCATAATTTTTTGTACATTTATCACTGGTCTTTATCATCATCTTCATAGTTGTCTTGTATAACTAGTTGAGTAATTTTCAGTTGTTTATATTTTATTTACACAATGCATTTTTAGTTCCCTCATGCATATTATTTTAAATATTTTAATAGTATTTTATGTTTTGTCAATAGACTAAAGCTAGTGCCTTGAAAACAGTAAGCATTTTTTCTCATGATGGGTGATAAAAGGCGTACGGTGTTTGAATAATGTTAGGGTATCTTTCCTAACAAATATCAACAAGCCACAGAAAGCTTCTATCTTTTTCTGTTGGTTCTAGAACTTAGTTGAATAACTAGAAATATGAAAATATGTATTTCTGAGACTGATTTTCAGTTAGAATTGATATTTTGATAACCATTGAAAAGGAATAATGATATAACTCAATTCCACTGAGAAATTAAAATTTAAATAGAAACTTCTAGCTTCTTGCCATGACAGAGCAGCTGCTATTGGAATTGCTCTCTTGCTGCAAACAACTATAAAACTAGATAAAATATAGGAAGCATTCACTGGGCAATGGAGAGCACAGGGCTGTGATATCTGTAAGCAGGAAAGCATGTGAGCTGAGTATTACATTTATTTAGCTTTCTGCCTGAGGCCAATTTCCGAACCGTCATCATGACCAAGTCCATTTTAATAGAAAGAGGTATCTTGTTAATCAGAAAATAGAGCCTTGGCTGAGTAAACTGAGATTGGAGTTTAGCTTTGTTAAGGCAATTGGAATTTGCAGGGCAGGATATCAGACTCTTTGGTGAATAATAAGCAGCCCATGCACAGAGTGCAATTCCATAAGCCTTGTGAAAAACAGCTGCTTAGGGCTGAGAGTGAGGCAAAGATTTCAGCAACTTCAGAGATATGTTTGGAAAGATTTCTATTGGTGAACAACCCAGGAATTCAGTCAAAATCTTAGAAAGGCCACATTTGTGCCCTAGAACTATGGTAAAAAACAAAATAACTCCCTCTAACCAAGACCCCAAATTATAAAAATAAAATAAAATAAAAAATAATCCCCCAGCAGTAAGTTCCTACCACATTAAAGCTCTATACTCTTCAAAGGAAGATAACACAAACCAAATCTTTTATAACATACTTTGTAATAATTTCCTGCATATGTTTAAAGCAAAACAAAATGAAATATGAGAAAAAGCAAAAACAAAATATATAATCAAGGGAAGGAACAGTCAATACAAGCATTTCCCACAATTAATCTGTATGGTGATATCTGTAGACAAGGGTATTAAATATGTCTTATGAATACATTTTAAAAATTTGCAGAAATAGTGAACAAAATGAATGAAAACAGAAAATTTTGGCAAGAAAATTGCAAAACTGGAGAAGAACCGACAAACTTTTATAGCTAAAAACATCAATATCTTAAATAAAAATTCATTGATACTGCTTAAAAGAAGACAAGACAAAGAAAAAATATTCATATTTAAAATCACAGAAATTAAGACATGTAGAGAAAAAGATAATTAAAACTAACAGAAAGTCTAAGTCTTGTGGGATAGAATCAAACAATCTACTATATATTAAATATATCATTAGAATTTTAGAAAGGGATGGAAGAGTAAGGTACAAAAATTAACCTAATATAAATGGCTATTTTTTTCCAAATTGATAGAAAAACAACTCATATCTTCTAAAGGTTCAGAATATCCAAGACACTCATACATAGGCATTTATAGTCAAACTGCTAAAACCAAAGGGAAGAGAAAAAATTATAAAAGCAGTGGGAAGGAAATTAATGTCTATTATATTTAATATACAACAATAAAGATGACTGCCTTCTCTTCCAAAAAATGTAGTAGAGTACATGATGGAATAACATTTTCAAAATGCCTTGAGGAAAAGAAAAATCCCTGTCAAATGGAAATTCTAGATCCACTTAAAGTATGTCCTTAAAGCTAGAGGCAGAATAACGATATTTTCAATATACAAAAGCTGAGATTTGTGTCACCAGTAGATGTTCACAACAAGGAGTAGAACATTTCTTCTGGCTAAAGTGGAATAATCACAGATAAAAGCCTAAATCTCCATAAAGGAAAAAGGATTACTCAAAATGATGAATATATGAGTAAATATTTTGTAAAACCTCAGAAATTATTAGAAAATGATTGACTATTTAAATAAAATATAATATGCATAGTAGGCTTTATAACATAATAGTAGTAAAATATAAATAATGATAGTACAGGGGATGGGGATCAATTAAATTATACCTAAACTTATTTTATTTTATGTGAAGTAGTATAATAATAATTTGAAATAGACTCTAATAATTTAACCATGTATATTTTAACTCTTAAAGTAGCAATAATAATAATAATAATACAAAAGAGGTATATTCAAGCCAATAGTGGAGAACACTTGAATGACAAAAATAAAAATTGATTTAAATTAACTCAATTAGGAACAAGGAAATAAATATCAAATGGCAAATAAATGTAAAATAGTACACTTATACCCAACTATATCATAGATTACATTAAATATAAACAGACCTAATAGTCCAGTCAAAAGATAGAGGTTCAGCAGATAAAAACAAAACAAAAAAACAGTTTACAATAGATCCAATTTAAATATAAGGATACAATCAGGTTAGAAATAAAATGTTGAAAAATATATAGTAGGCAAATGTTAAACATAAGAAATTGTGTTGGGTTCCAGTTTAAGATGGCTGACTGGAAGCAGCTAATGTGAATCTCACTTGAGGAGAGGAAAGAAAGAAGCAAGTAAATACTAACCTGGCAAGTAGATTGTCTAAGAGATCACACTGGGATTCACCAGGGAAGAAATGAGACCCATGGAGAGCAAAGAGGAGTGAAGCAGCAAAGGTACACCCAGTGAAGCAGCTGCCCACCCAGACCATTGCAATGCCTGGGGAAGCTCCATAGTGCAGAGAAAGGGTGCAAGAGTGAGAAATCACTGGGGATTCACTCTTCTGTCAAAGAATTTTGCAATCTTGACCATGAGAGACAACCCCTGGCCTCCCCAGGATTCCAGACTAACAGAGAGAACTGCCTGGAGTCTGTGTACAGGCACCACTCAAGCCCACATGGAACCCCATGGGCCTTTGATCCCTGAATATCCCAGCACCAGCTGCCACTGCCTTGCCAAGAAGGAAGACAAAGTACTTTTGAACGTCACCGGAATAGACGCCACAGCCATGGTACTGAAGAGCAAGCAGATTGCATACTGTGTGACCACTGCCCCTACTGCTTCTCACTCACAGACCCTATAAAGCAACTATGCAATCAAAACTCCAAAATGACTAGCTAACAACACTATGTAGAGAACAAAATCTCACATATCAATATTAATCTTGAACCTAAACGACCTGAATATCCCACTTGAAAGAGTGGCAAATTGAATACAAAAGTAGATCCAAACATATTCTGTCTACAAGAGACCCACCTACTGATCAAAGGCACATTCAGACTCAAAATAAAAGGACAGAAAAAGATATGTCACACAAATGGAAAATAAAATAAAATAAAAGTAGTCATTCTCATATTAGATAAGAGTTTAAACAAACAGAAGTTAAAAAAAGATAAAGAATAGCATTATGTAATGATAAGGGGTTCAGTAAAACAAGAAGATATAACTATTCCAAAAATACATGCATGCAACACTGGAACACCTAAATTCATACAACAAATTCTACTAGACCTAAGGAAACAGACTGATAGCAATATAATAATAGTGGGAGACATCAGGACCCTACTGACATCACTAAACAGATCATCAAAGCAGAAAAGCAACAAACAAACTAGACTATATTTTCTATAAACAGACTAAACCAGACTATAGAGCAAATGGATCTAATAGACAACTATAAAATATTCTACTCAACAACTACACAATATACAGTCTTCTCTTCTGTGTGTGGAATATTTTCTAAAATCAACTGTATGCTCAGCCATAAGGCAAGTCTCAATAATTTCAAAAAAATTTGAAATCCTCCCGAGTGTCTTCTTGGACCACAGTGAAATAAAATCGGAAATCAATACCAAGAGAAGCTCTCAAAGCTATACAAGTACATGGAAACTAAACAACTGTTTCTGAACGACTTTTGGGTAATCAATAAAATTAAGGCAGAAATGAAAAAATTATTTAAAAGAGTGAAAATAGACATACAATATACCCAAACCTCTGGAATACTGCCAAAACAATGCTAATAGGGAAGTTTATAACATTAAATGGTTACATCAAAAATATAGAAAGTTCTCAAATTAACAACCTAGTTTTGTACCTCAAAGAACTAGAAAAACAAGAACAAACCGAACTTTAAGTTATTAGAAGAAAAGAATTGTAAAAAGATCAGAGCAGAACTAAATGAGATTGACACACATAAAAAAATGTTACAAAGGATTAATGAAACAAAAACTTTTTCTTCAGGAGGATGAACAAAATTGATAGACTGTGAGCTGGGCTAACTAGGAAAAAAAATAGAGAAGATTCAAATAAGTACCATCAGAAATGATAAAAGTGGCATTACAACAAATACCAGAAAAAATTCAAAAGATTATCAGAGACTACTATGAACACCTCTTTTCACACAAACAAGAAAGCCTAGGAGAAATGGATCAATTCTTAGAAACATGCAATCTTCCAAGTTTGAACCAGGAAGAAAAAAAACCCTGAACAGATCAACAACAAGCAATGAAATTGAATTAATAGTTAAAAAGTCTCCCAACAACAACAACAAAAAGCCCAAGAAAAGACAGATTCACAGCCAAATTTTACTAGACATGCAAAGAAGAGCTGATACCAATCTTATTGAAATTATTCAAAAAAATTGAGGAGGAGGGATCCCTTCCTAACTTATTCCATGAATCCAATATCATCCTGATACCAATATCAGGCAAGCACACAATAAAAAACAAAAACAAAAGCAAAACTGTAGGCCAATATTCTTTATGGGCATAAATGCAAAAATTCTCAATAAATGCTAGCAAATTGAATCCAACAACGTATCAAAAGATAATTCGTCATGATCAAGTGGGCTATATTTTAGGGATTAAAGATGGTTCAGCATATGCAAATGAATAAACATGGGCCACCATATAAACTGATTTTAGAACAAAAACCATATGATAACCTCAATAGATGCAGAAAAAGAATTCAACAAAATCTAACATCTCTCTATGAGAAAATTCTTAACAAACTAGGCAAGATGGAACATACTTCAAAATAATAACAGCCATGTATGACAAACCCACAGTCAACATCATATTAAGTGGGTAAAAGTTGAAAGCATTTCCCCTACACACTGGAAGAAGACAAGGATACCCACTCTCTCCACTTTTCTTCTGATTGGAAGTCCTAGCCAGAGCTATCAGACAAGAGAAAATAAAAGACATCTAAAGTGAAAAATAGGACGTCAAATTATCTCTGTTCACTGATTACATGATAATATACCTACAACATCCTAAAGATTGCTCTATAGGACTCCTAGACCAGATTAGCAACTTAAGTCTAATACAAAATCAATGTCTGAAAATTAGTAGCATTTCTATATAACAATAACATTCAAGCTGAGAACCAAATTAAGATCTCAATCCCATTTAAAGTAGCCACAAGTACAAAAATAAAATACCTAGGAATACATTTAAGCAAGGAGGTGAACTACTTCTACAAGGAGAACTACAAAACACTGATGAAAACAATGGTAGATGACACAAGTAAATGGAGAAATATCCCATACTTGTGGATTGGAATAATCAATATTGTTAAAATTGTCACACTACTCAAAGCAATATGTAGATTCAATGCAATTCCTATCAAAGTACTGTCAGTTTTCACAGAATTAGAAAAAAAATTCTAAAGTTCATCTGGAACCAAAAACAAAAAGCTCAAATAGCCACAGCACTCCTGACCAAAATATCCAAATCCAGGGCCATCACACTGCCTGACTTCCAATTATACCATAAGGGTACAGTAACTAAAACAGCATGGCACTGGTATAAAAATAGACACATTGATCAACAAAATGAATAGAGAACCCAGAAATAGAGCCATATACTTAAAACAAACTGATCTTCAATAAAGTTGACAAAAATTAACCATGAGGAAAGGATTCCCTATTCAATAAATGGTGCTGGAAAAAATGACTAGTCATATACAGAAAAAATGACACTGGACCCTACTTCTCACCCTATATAAAAACTAACTCAAGATGGTTTAAATATCTAAACATAAGACCTGAAAGTATAAAAATCCTAGAAGAAAACCTAGGTAGTTCTTCTGGACATTGACCTAAGCAAATAATTTATGACAAAGACTCCAAAAGCAACTGCAACAAAAATAAAAATAGACAAATGTGATGTAATCAAACTAAAAAGCTTCTGCCCAAACACATGAAGAAATGAACATCACTAATCACCAGAGAAATGCAAATTAAAGCCTCACTGAGATACTATTTTACACCAGTCAGAATTGCTTTTATTAAAAAGTCAAAAAACCACAGATGTTGATGTAGATGCAGAGAATAGGGAACATTCATACACTGTTCATGAGGATGTAAATTAGTTTAACCTCTATGAAAAACAGTATGGATTTGTTTCAAAGAATAAAAAATAGAACTACCATTCAACCCATCAATCCCACTACTAATCATCTATCCAAAGGAAAATAAATTATTATATCAAAAAGACATCTGCACTCATATATTTATTGCAGCACTCTTTACAATAGCAAAGTCATGGAACCAGCCCAAGTGTCTACCAACAGTTGATTGGATAAAGAAAATGTGGTATATATACGCCATGGAATACTACATAGCCATAAAAAGAATGACATCTTCTCCTTTGCAGCAACATGGATGGAGCTGGAGGCCATTATCCTAAGTGAACTAAAAGAAGCAGAAAATGAAATGCTGTATGTTCTTACAATAAGAAGTTATAAGAAGTGAGAGTTTTATGTCCATGTAAGGCACACATGGACATAAAAGTGGGGAAAATAGGCTCTGGAGACTCCAAAGAGGAAAGGGCTAGGAGGGAGGGTTGAAAAATTACCCACTGGATATAATGTCTATTATTTGAGTGATGGGTACACTAGAAGGCTAACCCCCACCACTGCATGTGTAATACCCACAAAATAAACAAGCACATGTACCCCTGAATCTAAAATAAAATATGTTATTAAAATGTGTGTTCATATTAATGTCAGAAAAATAAAAATAGAATTTAAAAATATATATACTATTAGAGACAAAGAGGGAGGTTTCATAATGATAAAGTGATTAATTCCTCAGAAAAATATAATAATTTAAAACATATATTTATCCAATTACATCACTTCAAAATACATACAGCAAGTATTCACAACATTTTTAAAAAGCATGACTGTCACATGAGCTTCCTTTAGCTTCTTCCCATAAGATATAAATGCCTACATATCCCATTTTGTTAAAATATTGACTTCTTGGAGAAAAACTTTTGCTATCAATTTCCAGCAATATTTCAATAGTAAATGTTAATTTCAGTTACTCAGTTTCCTTTTTGAAAGAATAGATATTCTTCTAGCAAGCCAGTATTAACATAGGCCTCTAAGATTTAAACATTAGAAATTTATTTTAGGAAGACAAAAAATGTAAAGGGGTTCTGTATTATTCCTGTGCTTTTTATAAAATAGGAAAATGACCATAAGCTTCATTACCCCCAGAGACCATTTGGCTCTAATTTCTTAGTATATTCCTAGGGCTGATGGAGTACTCAGCACATGGTAGAAAAATTAATAAATAATTATTGAATAAGGGAATAAATTTCTTAATCAATGCACTAGTTTCATAAGCTTGTTAACTTCTCAAGCAATCTAATCTTTTTTTTTAGTGTGTAAGTGTAGCTATAAATGTACAATATGCAAATGTAACAAATCACAAGAATATAAATTATCTACTAAAGGCAATAGACAAAAGTGTATTTCTAGCCTGAAGTTATTCTGAAAAAGAAACTTAATAACTTGACAGAAAAAAATAGAATAGTTAATGGAATACATGTAAAACCAATGCATAATTGAGTTGTATTCCATAGAGAGTTATATACTTTAAATTTAGCTCTGAAAAAGATGAAGTGCTTACTAAGTAATTATTTTGCTGCTATTTACACCATGATATTTAAGTTTGTGGCAGCACTAAAATAATATATATGAATATATTCATGTATATTTGTCAATCATATATGTCTTTAAATGAGGCTGCCAACATAAAATTGTTTCAAACTTTACAATGCCATTGCTGTCAAGAGTTTATCTCCAGTAAGAGAGAATTGAAAAATTTTAAAGTTGAGACAAAATAAAAAAATAAAGATGAATAGGTGATATTTTTCTACTTCTTTTTGCTAAAGAGAGAGAGATTTTCCAACATCTTATTTTTATTTTTCTCCCACGTCTGATTAAAATATTTTGCAGAAAACATACCAACCACGAATAAAAAAATCAAGAATGCCTTGCTTTTATCTGTCTTCCATACTTACTACCTCCAGAATAGGACAGAAAACCAAACACTGCATGTCCTCACTCATAAGTGAGAGTTGAACAATGAGAACACATGGACACAGGGAGGGGAACATCACACACTGGGGTCTGTCAGGGGGTTGGGGGCTAGTGGAGGGATAGCATAGGAGAAATACCTAATGTAGATGACGGGTTGATGGGTGCAGCAAACCACCATGGCACGTGTATACCTCTGTAACAAACCTGCACGTTCTGCACATGTACCCCAGAACTTAAAGTGTAACAATAATAAAAAAAATCACCTTTGGTAATTGAAACAAACAAACAAAAAGTATTGGAACTCTTTAGTAAAATATTTAAATATTTTTCCTAAGATGTTCAGTAAAGCTTAAAGAAATAGAAATGGTTGGACAAAATCAAAGAAAATTAGAAATGTGGATTTTACAGGATAGATGAAGAACTTCAGTAGTCAAGAAAAAAAGACACTAGATAATGTTTAATGATAGAATGTATCACACTCAGCTATTGAGGCCCTTATATGGTGTCATTTTAGGTAATTAATAAAATATCAGAAGTGGGAAAATGAACTATTAAACCAGATTGCAATGTTTCAAACCCTGGCTCCTTCGTTAATTAGCTTGTTGACCTTGGGAAACTCACACAATATACATGTAACTCACTCACGGTATGTGATATGGTTTGGCTGTGTCCCCACCCAAATCTCTTCTTAAATTGTGGTTCCCATAATCCCCATGTGTTGTGAGAGGAACCCAATGGGAGGTAATTGAATCATGGTGGTGGTTATCTCCATGCTGTTCTCCTGATGCTGAGTTCTCACAAGATCTGATTTGTTTTTTTTCTTTTTCATAAAGGGCTTCCCACCCTCTCCCGTTTGCTCTGCACTTCTCCTTGCTGTGGCCATGTGAGGAAGGACATGTTTGATTCCCCTTCTGCCGTGCTTATAGGTATCCTGAGGGCTCCCCGGCCATGTGGAACTGTGAGTCAATTAAACCTCTTTCCTTTATAAATTACCCAGTCTCGGATATTTCTTCATGGCAGTGTGAGAACAGACTAATAGAGCACACAACTCATGTGTTCATTTTGATAGTTAAATGCGTGAGTACAGATTCAAATCACTTTTCTGAAACCCTAAGGCCCAAAGCTGTTTTAGATTTAAAAGTTTTCCAGTTTTAGAAAGGTGAAATGCTATTTACACTGAAGAATTCCCAATGGGTTACAAGGCACCTTGATATTTTCATAGTGAGAGCTGACTATATTCATATAAAGTGGGATAAATAAAGTCTATGAATTTCCAACTTATGATTCAAATCAGGTTTTGCAGCAAACAAGTTTGCATCAAACATTAAAGAAACGCTTTCAGTTTTTAAAGTTTTATGGATTAGAGAATGACAGAAAATGGTTCTGTAGATGGAAGGCTCATGGAACCATGCCTAGGGAATGTGTTAGCTCTTATTAATACAAAGAAATGTGTTTAATCCTACTGGACTATAGACGGATCAAGTCATTTTTGGAATATTTTATCTAGTTCTAGATACTTCATTTTCTGTACAGCATGATATATTAGCACATGTCACATGGGATATTTTTATAATAACCAGAGATCAGTCAAACAGGAGAAAGTTCAGGTGAGTTCACTCTAACAATTTCTTTGAACTAGGCTAACTCATTTTTTATTGTTACCTGACTATCTAATAAAAATAAGTCAAAAATGTGTGTTCAATTCTGTGGGCATTTGTTTGAGAACTTGCTTTCTACCTTTGATCCAGATTTTCTTGGACTTGCTTTCTTTTTCCTTTTTTTTTTTTTGTTTTTTTGTTTTTTGTTTTTTTTTGAGACGGAGTCTTGCTCTGTCACACAGGCTGGAGTGCAGTGGCATGATCTTGGCTCACTATAACCTCTGCCTCCTGGGTTCAAGCAGTTCTCCTGTCTTCTGAGTAGCTGGGATTACAGGCACGCACCACCACTCCTGGCTACTAATTTTTTGTATTCTTAGTAGAGATGGGGTTTCATCATATTGGCCAGGCTGGTCTTGAACTCCTGACCTCAAGTTATCCGCTTGCCTTGGCCTCCCAAAGTGCTGGGATTACAGGCGTGAGCCATCATGCCCAACCTCTTGGACTTGCTTTCTATGTAACTGCAAACCTGTCTCTGCTCTGGATACCACTTTGCTACCTCAATCTGGCATTCCTTGAATTAGTATTGCCCTGATCCCTTTACTGCCTTGTTTTTAACTTTGCCTCATACTATAGCATGAGTTTTCATATTGGCAAAGGCAAAGAGTCCCTTGAACCCCTCCTCACCTTCTTCCTGTGTCTCTCAGTAAGGGTTGTGTCTTGGAACGTGGAGTAGCTCAAACAGTGTGCTCTTCGAAGGTATAACCAGCACAGAGGTGAAGTAATAGTAACGAACCATGTAGATTTTAATTAATATAAGTAAGAATGTAATTCTGTTAACCACATAATCAACCATCTTACCAATTGGTGTGCTTCTTTCAGTAGCTGAATATCCATCAAAGATTTTGATTTTTGTCAAGTTGCTTGGTTATTGGAAAACAATTTAGCTCTCAGATATGATCCACTGTGACAATTCTATAGTAATTGTAATTAACTACTATATTACATAATTTATTTTTAATTAACAATCTGATATATTTCATTGAAAAACGTACATATCTACAGTTAAAATGTGTACATTTTTTATATTTGCATAAAAACAAAAGCAATTTCAGTCAATTTATAAAACTGTGACTAAACCTAGTTTTTTCACTTGTTTGAGAAGAGAAAAGAACAAGTGTAGATTAATGGTTGTTCTAAGACACGGGATGGTGTTGTTTTGGCATAACTTCTCTACATGTTCAGCTATTTGGGGCCAGTATTGATTTATTACAGCAATAAATACCTGAAACAATTATTTTCACCCTGCTGAGAATATTAAAGTTCCTGAGAAATGTAAATGCTAAACTTCTAGTGCGATCTCTGTGGGAAAAATAAAGTGGCTTTCCTTCAATGAAGTAAGGCACTGCTGGGAACTTCTTTTCTGTCAACTTGGCTAAATGTGTTAAGCAAAATTTAGTCAATAAGGTACAAAAAAATAGTAAGTGGTAGAAAATTGATGCAAATAATGAATCACATTTAATACTTGAAACATGTTAAGGTAATTAAAGTAAATTGTGTTCATATTTGTAACCATTCAAAAGTGAGATTCTTGCCAAATATAGTTTGCCTTTTCCACTGCTGAAGACAGTTCAGAAAATAAAGCAGAAAATCCTTAAAGAGCAGCCTAGATTCATGTTAATTTTCTATAACATAGGATTCTTACCTACAAAGAGATTGCTCATTCTGCCTATCACTAAATTTTGTGCCTAATTATTTGAAACTTGTTGTTGAGAGAGGGGGTCAGTTGTATTTTTTTGTTATTATTTCTCAAAAGAACAGTGAGACATATCTTATTTTTTCCTTTACTCACCAGAAAACAAGAAACCAGTATATACACATTATTAGAAAAGCCTGTGAAAGCTCTTCTAAATGAGGGTCTGGAGCAGTTTACACTACTTCAAGCCAGGTCTTGCAGCACAATCCCTCAAAACATAACATCTTGTTTTCGCTAAAATTTATAGTCAGATTCAAGGCATGTCACTCACTATTCATTTCTTATCTCATGAAGGGAGAAAATAAAAGAAATTGAATAGTTGGTGTAAAATGTAGATTTAGAGAAAAAATATTGCTGAACATTTGAATCTTATAGAGTGCTTGACGATCAGCACACGTGTTCTTCACAAAGAATTTGAAAGGTGGAGGAAAGAATAGGGAATAAACCCTTTCTACAGTAAAGGGGCAACAGTTTATTTTCATTGGGCAAGATATATATATATATTACTTCTTTCCAAAACAATTAAAATCATGAAATCATGAAATATAGTGGCATCTCTTGGTAGCTGCTATTTTAAAAAGAAAAACAGAAATGATTCTGAAAAGAGAATGATACATGAACCTAAAAAGATTCATGTAATTTGGTTTTAAAAGTAATTTAACTATTAAAAGAAGTAAACTACATGTACACACATACATTTAATATTGTTAATTATGACAATATCAGTACTCATTGATTTTTCCAAAGTAAACATTAAAAGTATAATAAATTACATATTATGGAGAGACATAATTTAAAACTCATTGTGTGTGTCTGTTAACAAAGTCAACATTGGCAAAAGCCGTATCCGTCTTTATCCCATTTTTACAATAAAGAAACATTGTCAGTTGTATGAGTTCAGGAATAATTTTTGATTTCAGTTTCCTCAAGTCTAGTATAGTATTATATGTGGAATGGCTATTACTAACAAAGCTACCTCATCCTTGTGACTTTTTCTTGCTTTTTAATTTAAAGGTAAATTAGGAGTATTTTTATAATCAAGTGATACTCTATTTGCTGCAAACACCTAGTTTTAAAAAGCAATTGGTGGTCTTTCTCTATGCATGTGTGATGCTACACGGCTAGTTCTCTGCAAAGCTCAGTAAGTTTCACTAATATTGAAGGGAGAGCTAGAATAAAAGATTATTCAGCTTATGCTGATCAACTCTGCGTTAACTAATATTGTGTGGCTAAAAATTTTATTGCCAAGAGAGTTGACCTTGTTATTAAGAGTCAATTCTAGGAATCTCAATGCTTGTATATACTTGGAAAAAACACAGTTTGGGGTCAAACTTAACCTTTGAATAAGTCAATAAAACATTGGATTTTATAACTTTATTATGATCTCCATAATAAAATTATGCTAAATATTGACTATAAAATTAGGCTAAATATTGACTATAAAAAATGAGAATAGTTATCAGTCAAGCACTTACATTCTCATTCCTATTCTCTTTTTCTCTTCCCAATTATTATTTCACTCAAGAGTATTCATGACTCGATAGATATTTGGGGAACAATTACGCTTTTCTTTCTCCTATTTACCAGATGACCAAATAAGAGTAGCTGAACTCATACAGTTGACAATATTGCAATTTCCGTTTTCCTTAAACTTTATGTTACTCATTTTATGGCATTGTTTATAGTCAGCCACACCTTTATTTGTTTATTTTTCCTGCAATACTTATTCACTCATCATCACTCATGACAAACATGTCACCTCCAGGAAGCCTGTTTTGAAAGCCAAGTTGAGTTGAAGGATAATGCTTGCACATCACACTATACATGCATCAATCCGATCACAATCTTTCTAAAATGGCATTATCTCTTTGGAAGTGTCTTAAGAGAAAGGACCATATTTTCTTCTTGTTTGAGACCTGTGTACTCAGCAGCACTTGAACATAGCTTAATATATACTGAATTCACTGGTTTTGATCCCAATCACTTGTAATTTAAACTTATTTATTTAAAACTTTTTTGTTAGATTTTGAATTCCCTGTGTTCTTCTTTCATCAAAAGTAATTTAGTTTTCAATTATAAAACTTCAATCATGTATTTTTGAAAGTTTTAGAAGCTCTGTTTTGATGCTAATGAATTTATAAATCATTAAAAATGACTCCAGAACAATGATAAAGGTTGAAATCACTAATAACCACAGAAAGTGGAAAACTAGAAGCAGAGAAAAGATTAATATAAATGGCATTTAGATTATTATGATACTTTTGGAAAAAAAAGAATCAATGATGATTCATTCTCTGCACAGAAATAAATTCCAGATAAATTAAGTACTTTTTGGTTAAATAGAAATGTATTAATAACAGAAGAAATTATGGATGAATTTTACTGTATATATGAAAAGGACATTTCCATACATGAATTATATAAAGTAATGAAGAATCAAGATGGAAAGATTTGCCTATATAAACTACAGTATATCCCAAATCATCATAGATGATATTAAAAAGCAAATAATTTGGAATTAAATATATGCATCACACATAAAAGGATTGCTGCTTATTTTATCAAATTCTTACAAAAAAACAAAAAATGTATAAACATCCTAAAAAAGAGAACATATAAATGAACAAACCACCTAAGATAGACATCCTATTACCAATAAAAAGAGATTGGTTAAATCATAAGTTCTACCCAATTGATAGAAGTGTATGCAAACATCAAAAGACATGTTACTAATTTAAAAATTTTTTTTTGATAAAACAAGCATGTAAAGAGAACACTGAATGATTTTATCCATCTTTGGAACCTAAAAATGTTAATTTCATGGAAGTAGAGGTTAGAATAGTGGTTACCAGAGGTCAGGCATAAAATGGTTGGGGGGACCAGGAAAGATTGGTCAATGGTTACAAAGTCATAGTTAGACAGAAAATGTAAGTTTTGGTGTTCTATTACATAGCAGGGTGACTATAGCAAATAACAATGTAATGTACATTTCAAGATAGCTAGAAGAGGAGATTTGGAATGTTGTCGTCATAGGGAAATGATAAATATTTAAAGTGATGGATATGGTAATTACACCAATTTGATCATTATCTAATGTATGCATGCATTGAAACATCACACTGCACCCCATATAATGTGTCAATTACAAATAAAAATTATGAATATTAATTTTAAAAATTTGAGTAAGTTATGTCAAAAAAATTTAATGTTTATAATAAAATAAAAGACCAGATAGCAAAAGAAAATGCATAGGGTAATTTTAATTTGTGTCTGTAGGCTTTTTAGCTCTTACACAACTAAACTGATGATAATTAATTACATAGAGTTAGAGAAGATTTTAATTTTCAATTTTTTTCTTCTTTTTTCTGAGACAGGTTCTCACTGTGTTACCCAAGTGGGAGTGCAGTGGCACTATCAGGGCTCACTGAAGCCTGGACCTCCTGGCCTCAAGTGATCCTCCCACCTCAGCGCCCCCCAATTCCACAGTCCCACCCAACAGCTGGGACCAAAGGCATGCACCACCATGCCTGGCTAATTTTTGTATTCTTTGTAGAGATGGGGTTCACCATGTTGCCCAGGCCAGTCTTGAAATCCTGAGCTCAAGCATTCTGCTCAGCTCGCCTCCCAAAATGCTAGGATTACAGGCCTGAGCCACTGCACTGGCCTTTTCTTCATGCTGAAGCTACATGCAATAAACACATACAATAAGAAAAAATGAAGAAGTAAGACAACATTTCAAAATATAAAAGTTCTTATACTCTCTAAAACCTTATTTCTATCTAGATGCCATTAGATACTTAATGAATACATTGAAATTTAGCTTCTGGAGACAATGACCATTAGTGTTGTATGCTATTTTAAGCAATTGATAATCCAATCTTATAAAAATATTTTCTTCTGTGTCTAACTCATTGTTTACATATTTTAATATGATTTTCTGTTAATGCAACACACAAAAGCTAAAACCTTCTCAAAATGAAGAAAATAATATCTCCAGAACAAGAAAGATCATATCCGGGCCTCATCATTTCACGTCAGGAGTGAATAGCATATAGAGTCAAAGATAAAATGCCTAACACAAAAATGTGAAGTGTAGTTTTGGTAAACAAGGTATCCTTCAGTTTGTTTTTAAATTCAGCATTAGCTACATTACACTCTTGCTAGTGTGACATTTTTAATGTCCTCTTTTACTAACCATTTTTTGAAAAACTTGTTTCAACAATGTTCAGCTAGATAATAGGTCCCTTAGCAAGCAAAAACGAAGTAGTACAAACACTAAAAGCATTCTGTGCCCTTTGAAAATATTATGAAAGTTACTGCACAGATGGGCTGAAAGTTTAATTACCTCTAAAGAAGAGTGTCAGAGTCATCATCGCTCTTGCAACAACTGGAAATTTACCAACCAAAATATCCATCAGGAAATTACTCCAAACCTATTTATCAAATGCACTGAAGAAACAGATGCCATTTCATTTATGTCAGCCAGATATGAGCATTGCAGAGATTGAAGTAACACAGAGATGGCACATTGGCTTTTTCTAAATTTTATATTTTCTACGCATTTTGCAACAGAGCCAAACTGAGAAATGTATGGAGCAGAGTAACATGCACCAAATAAAATAGCACAAATTTGGTTTTATGTATTTTGAGTTCATACTTTTGCATAAAAGTTACAGTGCTATTACAAAAAGTAGGATTTTATTTTGGGTATAAGTTTATTATACAGGTAGAATAATTCATATTATTTATCTAAAATTACCAAGCTTTCTGTAACTGAAAATATAATGCTGTTTAGATTTTTATAAATAATCTCAAATAATGGTGCATACTCTTACATACCATACATGGTGAGATGAAATCCTATTTCAGGATCATAGCCGTATGGCCAGATGTAAGAAAGTATGAGAACAAACTACTCAACAAAGATTAAATTTTCAGAGTAAACATTCATTCCTCTGCCTCACAGGAGAGTAAGTGCCTAAAGAAATAGTAAGCACATTTTAAAACTGCTTTTCAAAAAAATTTACTACAGGTTCTACAGCTGACTGTGGCATCTTGCCATTCTCTATTTCTGGAAAGGTTCTGGCTGGAGTTCTTTGAGTCTGACTTATTATTACAGATAATAGTAAACTATGTACTTAAGAAAGCACAATGTGTGCTTTCAAAAGCTATAAAAATGATGTGTGCACATTTATATTTGGCAGAGTAAATTTTAAAAGTATAAGAAACAATACCCAATATTCTGGAAAACATTAAGAATTCATGGCATAATAAAAATATATTTATTATTAATATCAGGTTCTGAGAATCATTATAATTTGTAGTTTCTCAAGCCAAAATATACTGAGTTTCAAGTGAACAATTTATAATCCATTTCAACCTCCCAAATATGTGTTTAAGATAACTAACTCAAATCTTACCTGAGGTCTTGAGAAACAATAATACACCTGAGAACGTTGTAACATCTACAGTAGCAGCTAATAAACAATTTGAATTTTCTTTTAATTTAGGCACATAAATGGGCCCCTATGATCAAGAAGTTTCCAAAACTTTATGCACAAGAGGATATGCAGAAAATCATAAACCATTTTAAAGGCAATTAAAGACCTTAAAATTTATAATTATGAATTTCTTGATATAATTATGTCTTAAAACTTTATCATGATGTAATGAAATATCATCCCAATGGGTGAAGAGACTTAGATTTTAGAGAGTCATAAATAAAGCAGTGCAAGGTCAAGCGTGGTGGTTCACACCTGTAATCCCAGCACTGTGGGAGGCCAAGTTGGGAGGATCCCTTGAAGCCAGGAGTTTAAGGCTACAGTGAACTATGATCACACCACTGCACTCCAGCCTGGATTACAGAATTAAACCCTGTCTCTGAAAACAAACAAACAAACAACAACAATAACAACAGTGCAGATTACATATCAGTCACCAAGTAAATAATACACATATATTTCTTCGTGTGTATATGTTCGACTGCTGTCTTCTATTTGAGTTACGAATAAACATGTCAGAGATCGTATCTCACTTCTTGATCTCTTGATTATTATCTATAAGGAATGGTTCTTGGACAAATCTGATACATGGTTCAAACACAGTAGAACCTAGAGGTTGTGATTTAATTATTTTATGATGGTTTGGGGATAAAGACATTATGTTTAGTAATCATTAACTCTGCATCCTGCAATGAGCTATGTGCTTCCTATACACTATTTCATTTAAAACCCCTGAACAACTTTTTGATATACTGCAATTCTCATTTTACAGAAAAGAAAATAGAGGCTCAAAGAGGTAACATAATGGAAGCAGGGGATTAATATTTGTCCATTTGTTTCTGTCCTTAGTGCCTAGCAGAATGTTTTAAACTTAGTAATTATATTTAATACATTCTATAAGCAAATCTTAAGAATTGCTTTATGTTAAGACAAAAAGGAGTATGTTCATAGAAATTTGGAGACTGAAGGAAGATATAGGAGATAAATCATTGCAACAGGCTAAACTCTTAAAGTGTGATTGATTCTAAGTTAGGATTTGGGGAATATTTCAAAGTAAAGCAAAAACCACAAATAACAAGCCTAGCCAGTATCAGTTAAACCTGAACAGAAAATGTCAGCATTGCTTAATTTGTAACGGGAAGAGGACAACTGAAGACATTTTCCTCAGAACAGAAAGACTTTTTTGGCTTTCAATAGTAAGTACAATGTTAAGTCTGTTATATACCTGATATCTGAAACCATATACAATTCATACCTGAAAATTTAAGCAATAAAATGAAAACAAAGAATATTTTCACCACTTTATTCTTAAATTATTTTGAAAAGTTTTATAGTTCTGTTATATTTTGCTGTTTGCTTATTTCAAAATGTTTAATATTTTATAATATTAATACTAAAAGGCAATATTTTCTTTAAAGACCTGAGAAGATAAAATTATTTCTTCATTTCCAAATGATAAAGAGCAATGATAAGTGACACCTGTTTTCACTGTGCTTTCGATTGCTTTTTCTGATAGTGTTAACAATTTAAGTTTTGTTATTTGAAGGTTTACATTCATTGAAATACAGTTTTAAGTAAAAACCATTCTAAATGTACCTTTCCAGAGTTCACCTTCTCGAAACAATCTATTCTGCAGCCATGCAGCAACGTAGACACCAACTTTCTGCCTTACGTATTGTCAGTGAGAGGAGAAAAAAAGTGTCTTGAACAAATGTCTCTCCTCAAATGGGAGAAAGTGACATTGCCAGTGAATAGAGGTGCTGCCTCTTATCTGTGCTTAATAACCTCTCTCGCTGGCACCCATTCAGCTGCCATTTAGCACAAAGACACGTCTGCATGTCATTTAACAGGCCAGCATTAATACACCTAACCAATCAATGGCTGCTACCCATTCCACAAGGACACCACTCTGTTACCGTTACTAGACACTGTCAACAGAAAATGACACCAGAGTCACAAAAGGCAAAATGATGTCAGTTTAATCAGAGAGCAGACAAAAAGGCAAACAATGCTACCCAGGATAGAAGTATAACAAGGAGACTCAGAGGTTGGCATAAGCCACTCTTGGCAGGTCCCAGTGAAACTGGTTTGAAATTCAATGATATGAAATCCAATAGAATGACATAGACAATCAGAACTGTTTTCCCCCATTCAATTAAAATTGGTTACTGCTGTTGGCAGAGGGAAAATCTGTATGAAAATATTGGAAGAGGGTGCAACATGAATAGATGTTATAGGAAATCAAACCATGTTTTATCTATTCTAATAAAAGCATCAGCATCCTAAATTACATTATTTTAAAATTTGTTCAATCCGTTACTTCAGTTTTCTTTCTATGAAAAATTAAACAGACATTTTTTAAAGTCTCATTATATTAAGCCAACAGCTTTGAATCAGTATATGTATACACTGACAAGATAGCTGTTCACATTAAGTAGTGATAATAATGATGGATTTGTACAATTATGGATGTGGAATAGGCCTCAGAGATTATCTGGCCCAACCTGCTCATTTTACAGATGAGAGAACTGAATCTAAGAAAGAATAAGTGAAATGCCCAGGAGCACAATGGCAAAGCCAGGGTCCTGGCTCTCAGTCCAGCTCTTTTTCTAGAATACTGTTTAAGATTCATCTTTTGCAGTAATAATGACAATTTCTGTCTAGCCAAAAGATAGCATTTCATTAATTTTCCATACATGTAGTGCATGTTATCGTGGAACAGGGAAAAGGGAATTATTTTAATTAAGTTACTTCAAATAGAACATTTATAAACAATGAAGCATAATTTTACTGACCTTGTAAACCTCATAAGACTCCTCTTTCCTCTCCAAATATTTGAGGATGTGCAGTGCCTTTCAAATCCTCTAGAGATGGGCTGGGCACGATGACTCACACCAGTAATCTCAGCACTTTGGGAGGCTGAGGTGGGTGGATCACCTGAGGTCAGGAGTTCGAGACCAGCCTGACCAACATGGTGAAACCCCGTCTCTACTAAAAATATAAAAATTAGCTGGGCGTGGTGGTGGGTGCCTGTAATCCCAGCTACTCAGGAGGCTGAGGCAGGAGAATCACTTGAGCCCAGGAGGCAGAAGTTGCAGTGAGAAGAGATCACGCCATTGCACTCCAGACTGGGCGACAGAGCAAGACTTCGTCTTAAAAAAAAAAAAAAAAAAAAAAAGTTCCTCGAGAGATAAGCATGACAACCAGGCCAATAAGAGCTGGCTGAGAGCAGCAAATACTTTGGCAAAGTTTCAGAGATGCCATATCCTGATTCTCTACTGTACTATTCTGAGATATCTAGCTGGTTTATAATTCAGTTTTCACTGGATTGACTATTTTGTTCTCACCTCTAGCATTGTTATCTGTACCTCTTTATGTAGAAGCTTGGTGCTGCCTATGCTGCCTACTTGAGACACCACTTTTAGTCAAGTTGAACTCATCCCTTCTTCCAACCCAGTTTCCCCCAGCTCAATTTCTGCTAAGTCCTGTAGCTCTGGGATGTGTTATACATGTGAAGAGCCAGGTGGACAGGCCTTTTTCCCTGGATACATTCCACCTCCCTGCCCTGGCCTGACAGCTTTTACTGGTTGCTAAAATTAAAATTTGGTTTCAGTATTTACTCCACCTTTATTCTCTAAAGAAGTCTATCTGAACATTTTAAAATCCATGTTCTCTGTAAATAAAAAAAGAAATCTCTTTTTAAGGATAAAAATTTGGATTTTATTTTCACTCATATTATTTGGCTTTAATACATACATGTATATTCAGAGAAATTTTTGAATCAGTGATTACTTATGAATGAAAAGAAAGGTTAAATATAAAATAAATGATACTTTCAGGTCAATAGCTAACACTAACCATGAGTATTAAGATCCAAATGCCTAGGATTACACTAGATTTGTAAACCAAATCATGGATAATCGACAAATATTAACAATATGGAGGTTTTCTATCCCAGAACACAGTATATTTTCCATTTATTTAGTAGTTCTCAGACTATAAGTATTGTGTGTGTACACATATATATATGTATATATGTATATGTACGTACATATACATACGTACGTACATATACATACGTACATACATATACATACATATATGTATATATAGTCAAATTCATCCCTGAGTATTTCAAGGTTTTAATGCTACTATAAATAGTAACATTTAAAATTTGTAATTTGTAATTGTTTATTGCTAGTATATAGAAACAAACTTTTTGTTTTACATACTGACCTTGTATTCTTCAACCTAACTAAACTCACATATTAGTTCTAGTAGTGTTTTTGTAAATTCCTTAGTATTTTCTACATGTACAATCATATCCTTACAACTTTTACTTTTTTATGTCAAGGATTCCCTGCCTCTGCCTCCGATTCTGTTGCAAGCATTTAAGGGGTATTCGTGGGACTAATTTAGAATTAGTGTTTCTGTTACCCATCAGGACTACCCATTAAGAATGTGTTGATATCTGGGGCTCTGTCACAGAAATATATTTCTTTATATTTAAAAAAAATGTGAAATATCAAATGTGTATATTCAAGCTACATGTACCTTCTCCTAAGATTCTAATATGGGCCGCCCTGTTTCCTTCTCCCCGTGCCTCCACATTGGTATTCCTGCTTTCCAGGGGAAATGTGTACACAAAACAGTGCTATAACCTTCTCTTCCTTCTCCTTAGCTCTTCTTTCTACCTCTCCCAGCTCATGTAATTTCACCTTGAAGCAATTTCTTTTTTAAATTCTCATATATATTCTTTCTTTCAATTTCCTCATCAATACTCACCCTTTGCACCTTTATTCCAGGAGAGTCTGTCTGTTATTTATCCTCTCAATTTTATGATTAAACACACATGCACACACACACACACACACACACACACACACTGAGAGAGAGAGAGAGAGAGAATTATAATTATTATGGCTATCTAGTATAAGAATAGCTCTAGTAAGAAATATATATGTGTACACATACATATTTTTCTCTATAGGGAAATTTTTTAAATTTCAAAAACAATGTAGAAATTTGGCAAATCAAGATACATATTGTAAAACTATCAGCTATGAAGAGTCATAAGTCAACTTTTCATTAGTAAATAATAAAATCAGCTAAAATGGTGACTTTCCAATATATATAAGGAAAGGATAGCAGCTACGAGTGAGGATCTAAAATCAGACTGATTTCAAAACTTGGTTCTACTATGAACTCTCATGAACAAATAGCTTACTTTTTCTCTCCCCCTCTTTTTGAATCCGTAAAATAGAGACAATGATAATACCACTCTCCTAGGGTTGTTAGAAAGGATAAATGAGGTAATAAATATTAAGCATTTGGAACCATGCCTGGCCTCCACTAAGGGTTAGTAACTATAATTATAGTAATAAATACAGACACTCTCTTGCTTCTGAAGGGCTGTTCTGATTTCAGTGATGTCTCCTACTTCTTCTGCACTCCTGATGCCATTCTACACCAGGAAATAAAGGTAACCATTCAATTCCTGATATACCAAAACAAATGTATTGGTCACCTGATTCTTTTACTGGATCAGAGAACAATACTTTCAACTCCAGCAGATGATTATAGCCTTTTCAAATCAGTTACATATTTGAGTCTAAAAGGATATATACTTACCAGAGAGTATGTAGTAAATTACATCTATCAAGACCTCATTAATAATTTAAATCTTCCAGGCTTAGTTTTGGCAGTTCTGCTTATCTCTGAATCCTGCTGTAATCTCAACTCATTCATCTGTAATAGTGTATCATATTCATGTTTCAAAATCATACAATAACTAATGGTCACAGTACAACAGTATTCTTTTACAAATACAGCAATATTTAATTTTATAGCTATAAAGCACATTGGATTTTGTCTACAGCAGTGCTTTTCAAAATTTAATGTGCTTGTTGAATGATCTGGCTTTCTTATTGATATGCATATTCTTCTGGCTCAGTCTATCCTGGGTGGGGCCCAAGTCTCCATTTCTAATAAGCTCCCAGATGATACTAATTCTGCTCATCAGTGTCACCACACTTTGTTCCACATAAAGATCTGTAAAACATTACTGTGATTTTGAATAAACTAAATTAAAATATGTAATTTCAATTTTTAGTGTCTACATTTTGAGACTGGGAATTTTAATTTAAATTCTAGTTTGCAGTTATATGATGCCACCAGAATTTAAGTTAATGTTGCATTTGTCTACATGTATATTGAACCATTCACATACTTACATTTTTAGTCTGATAATTCTCATGCTTTGCTTGAATTTATCAATCTAGAAGACATTTTGCAAAAGAGAACGAGAGAAATGATGTGACAATGAAATCCAAACATGGATTTTCAACCAGTGTCACTAAGTGTTGTCTTTCTATGACAAGTGTTAAGATATAAAGTATGGCAAGGTTTTTAAAATACCTTTGGTTCATCTAGGAGTATACACTGCAGTTCAGGAGCCGTCAAACTATTACTTCACTGCAATTCTTTTCCTTTAAATAGCACTGGTATACAGGCTGGAAAAAAGCATGCAATATTAAAAATATGACAAGAAGAGAAGAGCGGAGAGGAAAGAGAAATGTCAAATTGTGAAAATGTAAATGGAAATGAAACATGTTCAGGAATAAGAGTACATCATGTTGGACTCATATACTGTAACACAGATGAATAAGGTATGAGGAAGAAAGATCCTGCTCATAATTAATTCAGCTTATGAACTCCTGTTTTTTTTCTGATTCAGCACATTGATATATTTTTAAAATATAAAAGTCATAAAGTAGGAAAAACGTAGATATCATCATTATTTCTATCTGCCATTCTAAACAAAATATAAGCAAGTGTGTCTTATAAGATTCCATTAGATATGGCAGCGGGGGGATTAAGTTATTACCACTCGTCTTTAAAATTTTTTATTTTGAAATAATTTTAGATGTTTAGATTTGCAAGGATAGTATAGGGAGTTTTTCTACATTTTTACTGATGTTTACCCTAAAGTTAACCTCTTACATAGCCATGATGTGTTTATCAAAATTAAGAAACTAACATTGGTACAATACTGTGAACTAAACTACAAACATTATTGAGTATTCACTAGTTTTTTCAATAAAGTTATTTTTCTGTTCCAGAATCCAATCTAGTTTACCACATTGCATTTATTCATTATGTTTCCTTAGTCTCCTCCAATCTGTGACAGTTGCTCAAGTCTTTCTTTTTAATGTCATTGAAAATTTTGAAGAGTATTGGTGAAATATTAATAGAATGGTCATCAGTTTGGGTTTTCACATTGTTAGCTTGAGGTTAAGATTTTAAAAAAAATAGCACTTAGGCGAATTTACCTTCTTGTTGCAGTTTATCAGGGAACATGATATCAACACAACTTACTACTGGTGATATTAAACTTGATCATTTGGTTTTAAAAAAGATGGCCTCTGCCTGTTTCTCTATGAAGTTATTAGTTTACCTTGCCTACGTTAATTAACACAAATGAGTTATTGAATCCAGGCCACCCTTAAAGATTAATTGGCTCAGTTGGGGTTTCTCTTTCCTCTTCCAGCTATAGAAAGTTTCTACCAGAACCTTCAGGCTACAGTTTTTATTTTCCTTGTAAGTGTTTTTCCTTCTTTCTTTTTTTCTTCTCTCACCTTCTTTCTCTCTTTCTTCTTTCTCTTTCTTTCTGTCTCTTCCTTTCTCTCTCCCACATCCCTCCCACTTTCTTCTCTCTCTTCCTCTCTTAGGGTTCTCTCTAAGTTTCTCATTTGGCAACTGGTGGTGTCCCAGGGAGAAAAAGCCTGCAAGGAGATGGGAACCCCCACCTACGTCTGTGGCCATCAGTACAGTTTTCCATCTCCTTTTGGTGTTTTTACACTGAGGGTGCTTTTACACTCTCATAAAATCCCACACTTGGGAGGTTAGCAAGTTTTAAGAATTTCTCACTGAATTTTCTTCCCAACTTAGATGAATCCAGATGCATCCAGTAGCATCATCTCATTTAAGCAAGTGCCTGGGTTTGTTTCTACCTGCTGGCAGCCTCTCCAGATTCCGGGTTAGGTTACTCTGCTCTGTAACCTCAGTTTTTTGATAGGATTCAGAAAATCATTAATTTGAAGTTTGCCCAGGATTTCACTTATTGTAAAAATAGGAGGGATACTTTTTTTCAGTTCTTTACATCTGTGAACTAAAATCACAAGTGGATTATCTCTTTTTCCATTAAAGAAAGCGTTTGTTTCCAAGTGTTATTTGATATTGTTTGATCATTTTGTAGTACATCTTGGTAGTGGCATGATTTCAAAAGTCAAGCACACATCAGGAATGATCTTCTCCAAACCTCCCCAGGTCCTGCTTCATGGGACAGGAGGATGCTAATAAGTATTGTTTAAAAAATACAAGAGATTGATTTGTTAAATGCATTTGGAAAAAATGCCTGCTTTAACTCTAGTATACAGCTTTTCTTACTGTGACTTTCCAAAGTTTTTAATATATAAATGAGCCTGGCAAATTAACAAGAATGTATTTTTCTAACTTATTTTAATACCAACTGCTTCTCTTTCCTCTAGAAATTTCTGGAAAGTTATTTGTAGGCACAAATCATTTTGTAAAACCTGACTAATTGAATTAAGTGATATGCAAAGTACTCTTGACTCTCCTGTTTTCACATTGTGAATATTCATATCCACTTCTGCTTTGATGGGCCTTCCTCCTCTGACTGGACACCTGAGATTCCAGGACTGACAACCTGTGACACCTGGCACAGCATCTCTTTGAATTGGGCTAAGGGTGGAGAACTTTCCTATTGTCCAGTGGATAGACAATATTACTTTCTCTGGTTATTCCTAAAGTTGACCGTGAAGAGAATGGCCAAGTTATTGTGTGCCATGTGAGAAACGGGTAGAAAAATATGGCAATAAAAATGGAAAGGGAGAGGTTTTTCTGCCTCACATTGAGCTGTTTCATTTTCCCGGTCAGAGCATCTGGGAATATGGCTTCCTTTTGGCGAAACCCAGTAATGTATGTTTTTATATTGACCATTTTCCTTAACCTTTTTAAGCCACTTAGTTGCTGTGAAGTCAATTCTTCCTAACTTTTGATATTTGGAATATGAAAAGAAACAATTTTTTTGTAGGGATATAGGTCAGAAACACCTTCATTTCACTTTCATAAGAAATTCACAGGTAAAATTGGATTTAAAAGCTGGTCAACGACTGTTAAGAAACATACCAATGTTATGATAGTTTAAAAAAATCATTTCAAAAGGCAGGCCTGTGTGTGTGTGTATATGTGTAAGTGTGTGTGTGTGTGTGTGTGTGTGTGTATGTTGAAATAGCTTATAGTCAGGTTTCTATAACAGAGATATGGGGAGATGCTTAACCAATGGTTAAGTGCTAGTTGTTCATAGTTAGAAGTTGTCCTTTTAGACTCATCAATTTATTTCAAAGTGGATTCCTACAAATGTCAGTTAAATTAGCTGGCCAGGACAAAGAAAATCAAATCCAAATGGTTGGATTCTCTTTATTTTATTAAAATAGCTGTTTTCTATAGAAAAAAAAAATCATACATTGTATTTTATGGTCACTCCCGAAGCATTTTGGAGATGTCACATATACATGATCTCAGGAGAATTTCCTTCCTGGTTCAGGCAACCTCTGTAGTTGGCTGTGCCGTCTTATATTACTTTAAGGCTGTAACTTTTGAGTCAGAGGTGCCTATGGCATGAAAAGCCTGGGTTGCCCTCAGGGGATTTGTCACACTTTATTTAGCTCAAGCATGGACTCAGAAACCTGGAAAATGTACTCTACTTGGCAGCCCAGCACTTTTTACAAGTAGTAAAGTTCAAGCTATCAAAGAACTTTTCAAGCTGACAATTATATAACACAATATGTGACCTTTACAACAAGATTTAGGCTCAGAAATTTGTGCTGAGGGGTTTCCAGCCTGCTGGTATGTACCTTGCCTGTTCTCTGCCTCCTCTCTTAAGCACATAGTTTGCACGGAAAACAGTCTGGTTATATATCAACCACTTATTCTATGACATACTAGCATAGCAAATGGTTTTAACACTACAAAGATAGTAAAACACATGTTACCTTCCTGCTACTCTGCCTGATAACTTGAAATAAGTACAGCTTCTAACGACTTCCCTTCTGGTTGGTAAGAAATTATAGTGTGCAAAGATATACTTAAAAAAAGGCTTTTGAAAGGATTAGACTGACACTTATTATAATTCAGTGTCCGTAAGCTGACTTGACCTATAAAATACGTGAATCTTAGATGAAATGAAAGGAAGGGAGTGGCTATTTAATGGCTGAGGTGAGTTGGGGGAATAATAGTCCATGATTAAGCGGAATTGAGTAAATGCTTTGTAGACTTTTTTCCCCAGTGGGATTTCATAAATTTAAATTAAATATATCAAATAGTAGAAAAGTATTTCACAATGCAACAGTGGGGAAAAATAAAAGGTAAAAATTCCTTTACCTTCTCTTTTCTCTTGTCCTTTTTAGGTAGTATTATATACCAGTTTGTTTTTATTCTTTTAGTGAAACTCACAGAAATTTCACACATTTGCCAAGAAACCACAGCAGAATCTGCGAACTACCACCAGTAGAGGCAAGATAGAAAGGAGAGGCCACACGAGTTGACAGTAGTGTAAAGGGAGTTATATGGAGTGCTTCTAGAGCTCCTTTCTTCAGTGCAGTCAAAGGTGACCCCAGGAAGTGGAAAGGGAAAAGCTAAAGAGAGTTACTTTTTGTTAAATAAGCCCAGGGGTCTGTGGTTCAATCCTACAATCTGAGGTCCATTTGTATTGCATGCAGTAGTATTTTACAGTATCAGGGGTTAGAACAGAGTCATCTCACAACACAAAACACTGTATTTCTGAAGAAAGTACAATTTTTTTCTCTTTTCTCTTCTTTATATTTTTTTATTTCTCTATCAACTAGCATAGCTCCTTTTCTTGCAGTGACATTTTGATTTTGTTTTACCATAAAACAAAACTGGAAAACAAAGAACAACCAAAACATAGCAAAACTACTCATAAGAACTGAATGAAATTTAATAAATTGAATGGAGATCCTATTTGAAAAAATTAAATGGAATTTCTATTTTAATTTTTGACATAACTATGTCATTAAAAATTAACAAGCCAAGAGGCACATTGAAAGTTGTGATATGACAGCCTATTTAATTGAATTATTATACTGATATATTTTCATTCTACTTTTAACAAAATAGAGGCACCCATCCCTGCCTTCCATGTGTCAACTGTTCAGAATTTATATTTTTCACTATGAATCAACATCTTACAAAAACTGTTTTTTTTTCCTTGTTTCTAATATAAATGTCTGCTCCCTAGCTCAGCTTTACAACTTGTGGTATTTCTTAAATGATAAATGCCAACGAGCTCTTGTGTATGGAGTTCATAATGAAATCTAATTAAGATACCTCTTGAAAGAATAAAGAATCTGACATTGTATCAGTCTGAGAAAAAGTTCTATATTAATACATGTAATAAGTGTAAAATTAAAGGAAAGTATTTTAGTATTAATATTTTTAAAGCACGAGGGGAGCAATTTTCATCATCACATCCTGATAAAGTACAAAATGTGTCCACTGTAGATTAGTTTATTAAATATCTGAACATTTAGTCAGGCCACACAGGCTCCCTTTTCTTGGAAATTCATTGATCTGCTGAAGACTTCAAGGTTTAGTACCTTGAAGAATATACATCTTATAAATTAGTGTACCTCTTCACAGCCCCGGAAATCTGGGATATGTTAGGGAATGAGTGTGTTTCTAAGATTTGAGATTATGACATTTAGGTATATACACCTGAGATAATTTGTCCTGAGCCCATGCAACAATTCAACTAAAATCAGTGTATCAAAAATGATGATAATTTTTCTTAAGATCTGCCTTTGCTACTCTTAATTGGCTTTAGGTGTGTTACTATAAGAACATGTCAGAGTTGTATGAGTACAGGAATAACAGTCCCTGCTAAGAGAAAATGGCCTATATCATTAAAAAATTGCAGGTTTTGGACAAGAAGCATCAATGAGAATCATGAGAATGTGTGTGAGAGTGGATTTTATCATATCATAATAAATTAATCATATAAAGGTACTTATCTTTACACAAGATTCACTGTTTTTGCCAGTGGCTCTAATAAATTTTTCTGTTTGCTTTTATTGCCATTTAAGTGATTATGAATTTATAGCAATATGATATAGTGGTTGGGACTTCTTTAGTATTTTATTTAAGAAAAGATTAGGCCGAGCACGGTGGCTCACACCTGTAGTCCCAGTACTTTGGGAGGCCTAGGTGGGCAGATCACGAGGTCAGGAGATCGAGACCATCCTGGTTAACACGGTGAAACCCCATCTCTACTAAAAATACAAAAAGTTAGCTGGGCATGGTGGTGGGCACCTGTAGTCCCAGCTACTTGGGAGGCTGAGGCAGGAGAATGGCGTGAACCCGGGAGGCAGAGCTTGCAGTGAGCCGAGATCCCGCCACTGCATGACAGAGCAAGACTCCGTCTCAAAAAACAACAACAACAACAACAAAATCACAAGAGTAACAAAGATGGAGATAGCAAAGTACATTAATTCATGAGACCTGAGAATCCATAATTTGCCTATATGCTGCTAAGGGGCCCAAAAGATTATTCCATCTATAGGGCAATAGGAAATATAGGGGTGAGAAAAACACCAGTCTCTTCATGTGATAAAATTCATCCAGTCTCCTGGAAATGACATGACACTGAGTCATGTCTCCTGGGTTCAACCAATTCTCCTGCCTCAGCCTCCTGAATAGCTGGGACTACAGGCGGATGCCACCAAACCTGGCTAATTTTTGTATTTGCAGTAGAGACGGGGTTTCACCATGTTGGTCAGACTGGTGTCGAACTCCTGACCTCAGGTGATCCACCTGCCTTGGCCTCCCAAAGTGGTGGGATGACAGGCGTGAGCCACTGCGCCCGGCCTAATCCCTGTTTTCATTTAAGCCTTCTGGGTTTGGTTTCATGCTCCCCCTGTGTTTCTGGAAGTCTTCTGAGATAACTGCAGGGTTTATGTAAATATAGATGTTACTCACCACGTGTTTCTTTCTGGAAGTCTTCTGAGATAATTGCAGAGTTTATTTAAATACAGACGTTAGTCAGCACTGGAAGGTATAGTGGGTTGAAGAGTATTTCTCCCAAATTCACATCCACCCAGAACCTCAGGATGAGACCTTATTTGGAAATAGGGTCATAGCTGATGGAATTAGTTGAGATGAGATCATCTTGGGTTAGAATGGGTCCTGAATGCAGCAGTATCCTCCCCTAGAGTCTCCAGAGGGAACTGAATACTATTGTAATGGACTGAATGGCGACCCCCAAAATACGTTGATGTCCTGTTCTCCAGAACCTGTGAATGGAACCATATTTGGAAATAAGGTCTTTGCAGATGCAATTAGTTAAGGATCTGGAGATTTTTGTACATTGATTTTGTATCCTGAAACTTTGCTGAAGTTGTTTATCAGCTGGAGGAGATTTTGGGCTGAGACCATGGGGTTTTCTAGGTACAGATTAATGTCATCTGCAAAAAGAGATAGTTTGACTTTTTCTCTTCCTATTTAGATGCTTTTATTTCTTTCTTCTGCCTGATTGCTCTGGATGGGACTTTCAATACTATGTTGAAGGTGAGAGGGAGCATTCTTGTTTTGTGCCAGTTTTCAAGGGGAACGCTGCCAGCTTTTGCCCATTCAGTATAATGTGGGCTGTGGGTTTGTCATAGATGGCCCTTATTATTTTCAGTTATGTTCCTTCAACACCTGGTTATTGAGAG
The DNA here is from genome assembly GCF_000001405.40 of Homo sapiens. Classification (NCBI taxonomy): domain Eukaryota; kingdom Metazoa; phylum Chordata; class Mammalia; order Primates; family Hominidae; genus Homo; species Homo sapiens. Next base: position 65,928,987 of record NC_000013.11, on the reverse strand, counting down.
TTTTTAGCATGAAGGGATGTTGAATTTTATCAAAAGCCTTTTCAGAATCTATTGAGATAATCCTGTGTTTTTTTGTCTTTAGTTCTGTTCATATAATGAATACTTAACTTTGAATATCATGTAATTGGACTACAAATCACCTACCGTTCCTCATTGTTTTGTCCAGCTTCCTGTGTTATTCCTCCTCATTTCCCCATTTGTTAGTTCCTGGTTTACTGTAACTCTCTTCATTACTCCTGTTTATTTTAATCCTGTTTATTATACTATATACATAGATACTTCTCTGAAAACATTGAATTCTCAATTTCTTAAATTCTCCTTCTTTCCTCTATCTCAGTCACTCACCCTCATGGTCATGCCTTGGACCTTGCTTCACTGCAATTTCTCTATAATTTCAGTTTTATGCATCACATTCCATGATAACTACTTCCTATCTATGCATCTCACTCCCATAGGTTTTTGACTCTAAAAATCTTTTAGCACTATTAGGATCTCCAATTTACTTATTTTACTGGTTTTAGTAATCTTTTGCTTCTTTGAAGTTTTTATTTATCTCCTAATCTGGCTTAAATTTCATAGTTAATAATCACTTTAAATCCCTTTCAATATGTCTAGCTTCCTTGTTGTTTTCTTAGTTTGTGGTACTCACTTGGAAAATTAATCCTGATATGTCTGATTTTCTCAATATTCTATACCTGGACCCAAAGCAACAGACCATGTATGGAAAAAGAAATATCATCTTGGTGGTCTGACTTTAATTTCATGACTGCAAACCTCATGTGAGCTTTTAATGCTGACTAGAAATCATATTTCCTTAGTTCATTAATTTCCCCTTCTCTTAACACCTTTTACAATTTTCTTCCCTCCTCATTCAACTTCTCTTCCACAGATGAACTATGTATTCCTAAGGCCTTCTTAGGTTCCATCTCTTCTTCTCTACTCAGGAACATTCCTTCAATTCTTTTCCTGCCTATATCACTACTCCTTTCCCCTCATTGAATTATTTCCATCTGTACAAATTTATTGCTATATTGTCAGTCTTCAAAACATTGCTTTCTTTCTACTGCTTTATTCTTCTGCTCTCCTTTGAAGCAAAACTCCTTGAAAGAGTTGTCAATACTAATTGTGTCTAATTCTTCTATTTTCACTCCCTGTTAAGCCCACTGTTGCTCCTATTACTTCATCAAAATTTTTCTTTCCGTGAACACTATTGATCTTTATATTGGTAAACTCTAATGTCAATTCTCCCTCCCCGTATACATAAACTGTCAGTAGAATTTGACCTTTCAGTAGCAGTTGGACACTCTCTTTTCTTCAATATATTTTATTCATTTGGTTTCCAGGACATGAGGCTGAGAAATTCTAGGCAGAAAAGTGCAGGTTCCCAGCGAAACCCCACTCTTAAACCCAAAAGCCTGAAACCCACTGCCCAAAGTGAGAAATTCTATCCCTGTTTTCCTGCTCCAGTGTTGCCTTTTCCTAAACTACCCATGACCCCTCCACCCTGCATCCTGTCCCTATAAAAACCTCAGACTAAGCCGGCAGAGAGGAGAAGCAGGTGGACGTCAGAGACTACAGCTGGACATTGTAGAGAAGCGGCTTGACTTCAGAGGGACAGCTTGATGTCATAACTTTGAGAAGAATCCTGCCAGAGATGGCCACACTCCAGGGAAATGTTACCTTTCCACCCTGTCCCCTTTCAGCTCCACTTCCTGCTGAGAGTAACCTTCATTGGCAATAAAATCCCCTACATTTACTATCCTTCAATTCGTTACTGCGACCTCACTTTTCCTGGATGCCAGGCAAGATCTCGGGAACCACAAGTGTGGACACAAAAGGCTGTCACGCTGGCCCTTTGCCCTTGTTGCTGGAGGGCAGCCACCTCATGTGAAAAGGCAGAGGTTTCACTGAGAGGTAAATATATAAGCCATCCATGGACTGCAGAGCTAAAAGAGCACTGTAACATATCCTCTGGGGCTTCAGAGGTTGCAGGCGCCCCCACCTGGACGCTGCTAGGGGGCCTGCATAGAGTTTGCTCCTGAAGGTGCCCAAAACTGCTAGCTCCAGTTCCTGCACCTGCTCACCTGCATGCTCCCTCCCATGAGGAGTGAAACGCAGTAGTTCTGAGTAGTGGAGTTTGATCCCACCGCGCCAAAGCAGCTGGCTGGTTCCAGCCCTCCTGCACTCTAGTTCCTGCCTTGTTCACTCGCACACTCCCTCCTGCAAGGAGTTGAGAGCGCTAGGCTTAATAAACGAGGCACACGCACGCCTGTCACGAGTCCCGCGAAGGGATCGGGGAAATATCCTGCTTCATCACTATTGATTTGGTGTATGTGTTTTTTTTTTACACTAACTGGAATTGACAAATACTCTAGTTACGAGTTTGCATTCCCTTCCTGTAGTACTTCAGACTACAGCCCATCCATCCAAAAGTTTTTAAAACACTGTTTTTTTCCCTGAAGTTATCTGATATTATCACTGTTTTCAAACCAGACTTCTATACTCACTAGTACAGAAAAATAAAGAGTGAGAAACGTAAAAACGCTTCTTTGGCATAGCTCCTTTTGAACTTAAAGTTGACACCCAATTAGGTGTTGAGAACAATTATATTAGCACATCAATTACCAAAATTGTCTGATAATAAGACTTAGGTGAGGAACGTGTAAAATCATAGAATCCAAAGCCCTTCACCTGAATGTTGATATTTATTTAGTTAAGTGGCATGAAGCTATGGATTTTGTCTCTGTTACTGACCCAAGGTTGATTATAACATCAGATCAATTCGAAGATAGTACATCAAACTATAATATTAAAGCAGCCTCAACAATAAATTTAGAGCATTCACTTCAGAATTTAAAAAGGGAACTGATATTTTGATGAAAGAAGTGTTTGATTGTGATATTTATTGCATTGCCTTTCTGTTCCCTTTGTTTTCGTGTTTACGCTTCTTTTTTATAATTATGCTGCGAGGTCATTTTGTGTTTTACTTCTCAGCAATTAAACACTTTCCTATAAAAATTTGAATGACATATGTCTGTTTATTTCTAAACTCTAACATGTGCTATGCAAATAATAGAAAATTGCCATCAAATGACTCACCCAGCTAAAGGTAGGATATGAATGGTAAATACTTTTGTTTAGATATTTGAAATAATATTTCATCCTTGCTTAACAGGAACCAGGGAAATAGTCACCTTAAAAACTGGAAAATATTGTTGACCTGTAACACTCCGTTTCTTATAGTTCAAAGTGAAATGAAAGGAATAGATATAGTCCTTCTTACACTGCTATTTTCAAAACAGAAAATAATTTCTATGGGCACACGGAAACTATCAGGGTAGTTAGCACTAAATTTCAATGTGATGAACCAAATATATTGCTATGCTATGAAGTAATATATTGTGTCATATAAAAACAGGGAAAAATAGACATTGAATGATCATTTGACTGTCTTTTGGATGAGCATCTGCAGAGCATTCTGGCTCTTGAGAATAAGGTATATTTTCATACAGATTTAAATCTATGTATTTTTAGCACTATTTCTTTTTTGGTGTGTAAGTTAATATCTCCTGTTGATTCAAAAGATATGAGACACTATAATACACAGATTTTCAACCTGGCAAGGTATCCTTTCTATTCAGTAGTATTAGTGCAGAAATAGATTTATATGGTTAGGCATGGTGGCTCAGGCCTGAAATCCTAGCAATTTGGGAGGCTGAGGTGGGCAGATCACTTGACCACAGGAGTTCAAGACTAGCCTAGGCAACATGGCAATACCCTGTTTCTACAACAAATACAAAAAAAAAACATTAGCCAGGAGTGATATCACATACCTATAGTCTAAGCTACTCAGGAGGTTGAGGTGGGAAGATTACTTGAGCTTGGGGAGGGCAAGACTGCAGTGACTCAAGATAATGCCACTGCACTGCAACCTGGATAACAGAGTGACATTCCATCTTAAAAAAAAAAAAAGTATGTGTGTATATATTTTGTAAGTTGTAAATTTTATATAAAGTATCATTGTTAAAACAGAAGTTAAGAAATTATTTGAACAAAGTTAATAACTATCCAAAAACAGCTAAATATTATTTACTACTTTATGTGCTAATCAAAGAATTTCTTAAAACTCTATTTCTAGAATTTATTATTTATATGAGTAAAAATGTCATTACTGCACTCCATCATGTGAATTTCGAACCAAGCAAATTTTGCTCATTACCTGGCAAAAAGATTGCATGTTGCACACCTCGTATCTCTTCAATAAAGTTTCCTCTAGAAAATTAAGAAAAGTTAATTATGTTCAGATTAAATAATCTTAACATGAGTCCTTTAATATCTGAACATAAAATATTTAATATTGTTTATTTATTAAATTACAATTTGGACAACGTTAAGTGTTCAGGGTTATAGATCCTCATGGTGAGCCCCCACAGTCCTCTAAACAAATGTAAACATCCTCTTTCAATAGATTTGTGTAACTAAACAGACCCTGAATATGTTTTATTTAAAAAAATTCACAACTCTGATTATTTTTAAATGTTACTTTTCCAACTCTTCCTATTTCTTGCATATTATTTTCCACTTCTGTGGTATTACCTGCTTTGAGGTAAAAAGAAGCCACTGTTTTATATTTAAAGGATTCGTAATTCTAAAAAATCCATAAATACTTGAGAATCTTTCATCATATCTTAAAGGGATTTTTGGTATATAGAAGTAAAAAACTGGTTATTCAAGCTGAAAAAGATAAAACTGAATCCCTACCTCAGATCATACGCAGCTCTAGATAGGCAGCAGACTAAATGTCAAAATACAAAACTTTAGGTTTCTCAGTAAAAAAAATTTTTTTAAGTTGAAATATCCCTTAGATCTTGTGGGGGAAATATTAGGTTGGTGAAAAGTAACGGCAGGTTAAATATTTGTTGAAAAAGATACAAATTTTGTTGACTATAAAAAGCTTAACAAATTTGACTCTATTAAAATTAAGAAATTCTGTTTTTTTAAAAAGACACATTAAAAGAATGTGAAAAGGCATCCTATACACAGATAGAATACATATATTTATATAATTTATATCAAAACTATGCCAGGTGCAGTGGTGTGCACCTATAGTCTCAGCTACTTCGGAGGCTGAAGTGGGAAAATTGCTTGACCGCAGGAATTTGAGACCAGCCTAGGTAACATAGGATGACTTTATCTCAAAAACAAAACAAAACAAAACCCAAAGAAACAAACAAACTATACATATAGAACATATAGGGCTTCCTTCGTTCCTTCGTTCCTTCGTTCCTTCCTTCCTTCTTTCCTTCCCTCCCTCCCTCCCTTTCTTCCTCTCTCTCTCTCTTTTTTTTTTTTTCTTTGACAGAGTCTAGCTCTGTCGCCCAGGCTGGAGTGCAATGGCACGCAATCTCAGCTCACTGCATCCTCCGCCTCCCGGGTTCAAGCGATTCTCCTGCCTCAGTCACCCGAATAGCTGGGATTTCAGGCACGTGCCACCATGCCCGGCTAATTTTTTGTATTTTCTATTTTTATTAGAGACAGGGTTTCACCGTCTTAGGCAGGATGGTCTCCATCTCCTGACCTCATGATCCACCCACCTTGGCCTCCCAAAGTGCTGGGATTACAGGCATGAGCCACCGCACACAGCCGGCCTTCCTTCCTTCCTTCCTTCCTTCCTTCCTTCCTTCTCTCTTTTTCCCTTTCTTCTTTTCCTTTTTTTTTTTTTTCAGGTCTCACTCTGTCACCCACGCTGGAGTGCAGTGGGATCTCTACTTGCTGCCACCTCCGCCTCCTGGATTCAAGCAATTCTCCTGCCTCAGCCTCCCCAGTAGTTGGGGCTACAGGCCCACACCACTGCGCCTGGTATTTTATTTTGTTTTATTTTATTTTATTTTATTTTATTTATTTTATTTATTTTATTTTATTTTATTTTATTTATTTTATTTTATTTATTTTATTTTATTTTATTTATTTTATTATTTTATTTTATTTTATTTTATTTTTTAATTTTAATTTTATTTTTATCCTTTTTGTCCTTTTTGTAGAAGTGGGGCTTCACCATATTGCTCAGGTGGGTCTCAAACTCCTGAGCTCAGATGATCCACCCGCCTCAGCCTCCAAACTGTGGGAATAAGATGAGCCACCATGCCCAGTTCCTAAGGTTTTCCGTGTGTGTGTGTGTGTGTTTGCAAATGGAAAAAATAATGAGAAATGCACAGAAAAGTAACAGAAACAAATGGACAAAAATCATGAACAGGCATTTTACATAGGTCACCACACAAAAAAAGATATTTATTAATAACTTCATTGTAATCAGTGACATCAACATCAAAACCACTGTAATTTTCTGTCTAATTCTTGTTACATTGGCAACATTAAGATTTTACAATACCAAGTGTTAGACGTAGTGGAAATCTGTAGAATCTCTTATATATTACCAATTGGAGAGTTAGTTATCTATCACTGAAACAGTTTGGCATTATTTTTTAAGTTGATTATTCTCATGTTTTATGACACAGAAAATTTATTTCTAGGAATGTCTAGGAGAGTCTCTTGCACTTATACAATCAAACACAGGTTCGGAAATGTTGTATCACTAATTTTCACTTAACAAAAGCTTGGAAACAACTCAAATGTTCATCAGTGGATCCAACATCCATGGAATATATTGTAACAGTATGTTCAGACAGTGCCGTATTACCCAACAGTTAAAGATGAATCCAAGACTATGGTTGATGTCTGCAACATAATACAAATGAAAAACTTAGTTTCAAAATATTACATATGCCTGACACCCCTTGTTAAGTGAAAGAAAACTAAAAATAAGGCATTCCTTGGAGATATTGTGGTTTCATTTCCAGACCATCACAATAAAGCAAATATTGCAATAAAGTGAGTCACAAGAGTTTTCTCGTCTCCCAGTACATATAGTTTTTCTTTTAAATGGTTATATTGCTTCCTATTCACTGCACTAAAATCTTCTGTGTTCCACCTATTCATCCCTCTTTCTCTCTTAATCCCTGGCAACCACTGATCTTTTTATTCTCTTCACAGTTTTTCCTTTTCTAGAATATAGTTGGAACCATCTAGTGTTTAGCCTTTTCAGGTTGGCTTTCTTCACTTAGTGATGTGAATCTAAGGTTACTCCATATCTATCATGGCTTGATAACTTAAATCATTTTAGTACTGAATACTATTCCATTGTCTGGAGGTACCTGAGTTTGTTTATCTCTTCACCTCCTAAAGGACATCTTGTTTGTTTGCAAGTTCATACAATTATGAATAAATGTGCTATACATGGGTGTGCAGGTTTTTGTGTGGGCATATGCTTTCAACGCATTTAGGTAAATAATAAGCAATCCATGACTACTGGATCTTGCGGAAACAGTATATTTAGTTTCTTTACAAACTTTCAAAATGTATTCCAAAGTAGCTAAACAATTTTGTATTCCCACCAGCAGTGAATGAGAATTCCTATTGTTCCACATTTTCACCAACATGTGATGTCGTTACAGCTCCAGGTTTTGGGCATTCAAATAGGTGTATAGTGATATCTCATTGTTGTTTTAATTTGCATTTCCCTGATGACATATGATGCTGAGCATCTTTTTATAGTGATATGCCATCTGTATATCTTCTTTGGTGAGATATCTGTTTAGATCTTTTATACATTTTTAAATTTTGGATTGTTCTTTTTCTACTTGAGTTTTATGAGTTTTTTATATATTTTAGATAACAGTCCTTTAACAGGTATATTGTTTGCAGATATTTTTCTCCCAATTCTGTGGCTTTGCTTCATATTCTGTTTACCATGTCTTTTACAAAGCAGAAGTTGTTAATTTTTATGAATTCTGGCTAAACAATTATTTATTTCATGGATTGTGCCTTTGGTGCTATATCTAAAAAGGCATTGCCAAACCCAAGGTTATCTAGATTTTCCTGATGTTATCTTCTAGGAGTTTTATAATTCTGCATTTTACAACTAGGTCTATGAATCATGTTTAGTTGATTTGTGAAGAGTGTAACATCTCTATCTAGATTCACTTTTGTTTTTTGTATATGGATGTCTAGTTGTTCCAACATCGTTTGTTGGAAAGAGTATCTTTCTCCATTGTATTACCATTGTTCCTTTGTCATGGATCAGGTGACTATATTTGTGTGGGTTGGTGTACCATTTTTTAATTGGTTTCTATACTATTTCTAATATTCCTTCTAATAATTTTAAGACCAAACCACTCTCCTTGGCAGCTGTAGCCCTTTGGTATCCTGGGGTCACCTACAGAACTCAGAACCTAATTTTCAGAGAATGTTACTGATGCCAGGAGGAACTCATGGGCACTATGAGAAGAAAGCTATGGAAATCTCCCTTCTAAACTGTGAATTGAAAAGATCTTTTCCCATGGCAACTTTTTACACTTCTTTCTCATAACACTAAGAAATACTTGACTCTGACCTTTTTCATACTTCTGAAATGTTTTGTTATTGGAACATCTTGTGAGTGCTTTGCTTCCTATGACTTTCTGCTCACATCTTTGCGCTTGGTTCCTCTCATATTTTCATCAGAAAGAGATCAAACCAGAACCTAGATGATATGAGTGCTACCAAACAACTCAGGAAGAGTAAAAGAGGGACTTGGAGTCAACTTGAAATTGTTCAGTTTAATTGACAAAGATATATCAAATGATGTAGGAAATAAATTTCCTGATCTTAAAAAATAAGATGAAATTGACATTAACTAGAGATAATTAACTTGAGGTAAACCTGAATATAGCTCCCACAATTGTTATTTAGGCTACCCTCAACCTCAATCAATATTGTTACTCTAGAAAATGGGAAAGATTATTTATAAATAATATTTATATTCATTATAAATCATCATGAATATTTCTTATAGGTTTTAAAGAACACAGCTAAAAAAATGGTGAAGGCATTGTTTTCCTTTACCCTCTCTTTGTTGTCATTATTCTTTATATTCTAAGTGCATCTGTTTTTCTCAGGGTTCTTTTGCCTGGAAAGTAATCTGATATTAATTCCTACTAATGTGCCCATGTCTCAATTATTCATTTATTGTAAAAATAGGACTCTTGTCTTAAAGGTAGATTTGGAATGATTTTCTTGGAATCTAATCTAAAGACTCCTATTCAAGAAGAGAGATCTGAGGTAAGCCGCCTAGGTTTTCTGTCTTTTTTGTTTTTGTTGTTGTTTGTTTGTTTGTTTTTAAATTGAGACAGGTTCTAGTTCTGCCACCCAAGCTGGAGTGTAGTGGTATAATCACAGCTCACTGCAGCCTTGACCTTTCTTGACCCCCCCAAACTCAAGAGATTCTCCCACCTCAGCCTCCTAAGTAGCTGGGACTACAGTCACATGCCACCATGCCCAGCTAATTTTTGTATTTATTGTAGAGATGAGGTTTGGCCATGTTGCCCAGGCTGGTTTTGAAGTCCTGGACTCAAGTGATCCTTCGACCTCTGCCTCCCAAAGTGCCCACCTAGCTTTTCTGAGCCTTAATTATCTTTCTTGAAAACTGCTCACGCCTTTTAACCCAAACTTTAGGATTGTAATATGAGTCAAAATGTCAAAAAGTTGGGATATTAGACAAAATTATTCATGTGCTACATGTGCAATGTATTATTCTGATCATCGTCATCATTATTAATCTCGTAGTATTGGCAGGATTATTGCAATGGTACATATAAAGGACTTAAGGTACTGTCTAGCACTCAGGAAGTCCTTAAAAGTGCAGATCTTATGAAAACCTATTTACTATAACAGGGTTGAATGTTTAATCTTCTCCTTTCACTTATTACGTGTTTCTTAACATGATTTAGGTCAAACTATTCTTCTTTTTAGAATAGGGTTTTCTGTAACTCCTGTACGGAGTCTTAATTTTAATGTTAATCGTACCTCCAAAAGATCCTTTCTTCTATTTATCTGAATTCCTACTGCTAGCATCCTAGTTGGTTTAAGCTAGAAACTTATTTTTTCCTGAATTGCTATAACACTGTTAGGTTTGATTTACTTCTTTCCACACCTTGCTCTTTCGAAAGCGTGATCTTGAAGCAGACGATTGGATCATGTTGGTAACTGCTATGTACCATTGTGCAGTTGAAACACTGAAATAAATATACCGTCTCTGATGGTAGCATGGCTGAAATCCAGCTTGCTTCCGTCTGACCAATCCATATGCCTTCCACCTCCCTCAGGAGAGTATCTCTTCCCATACAGAGAGAGGCCATGTGGTCCCAAGCCTTCTTGCCCATAGGACAGTGTCCCACCAAAATTTGAAACTTAAACATTTTCACAAAATCCCAACCAGGGTTGTGGTTCTGCATGTAGCTTTTTGTGGAGCACCTACCATTGCTATCCATTATACTTAACATGGAACTTGAGGAATTAGCAGAGCCAGCAAGGCCATGCACAGATTGTCTCTAAGACCCACCTTCATCTCAGACCACTTTCTCCCTCATACTCTCAGCTCCAACCATGTTTACTCACTTTCTTTCAGCTCCCTCAAAAGCTCAGTCATTATGCAAAACCTTTGTGTATATACTTTCCTCTAATTATAACGCTTATCCCTATGCCCTATTATATCATCTAACTCCCATGCATCCTTTAGGTCACAGGTTAAATGTCACTCCCAACAGCTTTCCCTATACACCACTCCTTCTCCAGGAAGAATTAGATCTCCCTGTTCAGATTCTGTGTTTTTGAACACTTATGACTGTACCAATATATGTCTCTCTGTCATCTTGTCTGTCTTTCTCACCAAATCATATGCTGTAAAAGGAAGAGAGTGCTTGTCTTCAACTCATAACTACATCTTCATCACCTTGTAAATTAATAAATAAAACATGAAGGGATGGAATGAATGAACTTCATAATACTTTTTAACTCATATTGAAATTCATGATTTTGCTAGTTTGCTATTTTAGGAGTCTGGTCATAAATCTAAATATTAAAAATGACATTAAAATTGTATTGCTGCCAGCAACATTGATACTTGGTTCTTTACCAATATTGCTTTTACAGACCACTAAGGCCTTCAGGCATTTCAGAGAGAGATTTATAAGAGCCTTTAATCATTACCTCCTGGGCTTCTTGGCAGGCAAATGTGTGCTGCCAGGACTGCTTCCCCAGACTGTCTGTGATATCCGAAGAGCGCAAGCAAGGCAGCTACAAGTGTTATAAACAATACTTGGTCCCTGAAGCCCGCCTGTGGTATTGCTGTCTCTTTACTGGCCTTCATAACAATGTCAAACCAAAGCTTTGTGCTGGAGGATTTGTCTTCCGTAACACCATTGGGTAGGTAGGATAAAATAATAAATAATAATAATAGTTACTGAAAATAATCAACAAGATAGAGCAAGTAAAGGGCTCAGTGGCTATATGAAGCACAATCACTAACATACCCCAGGATTCTATCTAGGAAAATGAATGCATGTTAGATGTGTTATGCTTTCATAGGGTATTTTTTTTCTTTTCTTATCCTCTTCTCTTTTTCCTTCATTTTCCTTTTTTTCCTTTCTACTCCCCTAGCAGTTTTCTTTCCTTTCCTTCCTGATATTTTTTCCACTCATTCTCCAAGTTATTATTTCATTTTTTGTCTTGCTATTGTTAAACAGCACCTCACATACAAATCCAAACACATGAGAGAAAAGATCAGAGCTGTGTTGGTCAAAGAGAGGTAGGGTACTAGAATTGCTCAATATCCACATTTTTTTTATGTGGACCTTGGGTAAAGTCTATTGAACTCTAAGAAATGTAAATAATGCAATTTAAAAACAATATCCAGGACCAAAGAAATGTTTGTTTGTTTGTTTGTTTGTTTCTTCAATCTGGCACACAATACATGGGTGAAATGAATAGATAGAAGTGGACTTGTGTAATAGGCTTACTCATGGTAGTAGGGACCATATTCCCATACACTGGCTTTTAGATTATTTGGCTGTCTTTTTAAATGTTAGCCTTTTTGAAGTTCTTGGCAGAAAGAAGATAACTTTTCAAAATGCCTTTTAAATCAAAACAACACTTGGGAATTTTATTTTTAATATAAATTTATTATTTCATCTCTTCTCTTGTGTTAGGACTTACTCCTTATTTGTTTTAAACTTTAGCTTTTATATTTTGCACTATTTCTAGGTACCTAAGTTAGTCTTACATTTGATTATTTTACAGTTAATTTGTGTTTAGTTTGTGTTTTGCATTTGGGCAGTTTTAGAAAATAATGAGACAAAACATAACAAAATTAACATATTGCCACATAATGAGCTAAGAGAGAAAAATTATATATAGCCAAACAGTTTCAATAATTCACACTTGCCAAAATTATACAGGTTTCTAGGACTTAGTTTTCATATTCTCCAGTTGCATAAAATTCAATTAGAAAATAAAAACTAATTCAAGTAAACCCAAAGTAGGTAGTAAAATGATAGCAAAGCCTCAAATGATAAATTAAACTAACTGGTAGAAAGTAGAATTAATATATATTATTTTAAATGGTTATACTGTTTATTATTCCCCTAATATGCTAGCACTTTTGTTTGCATTTTGCATTCATTTCTGTTTTTCTTTAAGCCTAAAGTGCCTTTACTGTGTGTGTGTTTTTTTTGTTGGCAGTCTTTTTGTCTTAGAACAGTTTTAGGTTCATAGCAAAAGTTGAGTGGAAGGTAAAGAGATTTCTCAGATATTCCTGCCCCAACAGACGTACAGCCTCCATGACCATCAGTATTCACACCAGAGTTGTACATTTGTTATAATCTATATACCTATATTGGCATACCATTATCATCTCCATAGTTTGCATTAGGGCTCATGTTGCACATTCTACAGATATTGACAGACATTCGCACCATTTGTTGGCAGTCTTAACGTGTGCTTCTTAAAGTCATCTGGATTCTACCAGAAAAGTTACTCACTCAACTCCCTTAATTTATACAATATTATCCCATGGTTTTGATAGTCTTTTGTTATAGGTTTTTCTTCTCTAGTAGGATGTCAGTAAATTAGGAAGGGGGCTATTCCTTGTACCTTTTCATAGGCCCAGCATTTATCAAAGTGTCTTGAAAATAATATAAACTTTAATAATGTTACTGAATGAATGTAACCTGGAAACACAATGCATATTATGCACCCCGCCCCCCACCCTTTTATGGACCATTTTATCGGAGTCCCTTGATGAATGTTGTTTAAACAACAAACAAACAAATAACTTCAGGCCAGGACAGGGTGTGTCATCCTTAACAATTTCTTGTTTTTAATATAAACAAATGATTTATCTCATAACAGTGCAATGAGGACACCAATATGGAAGGACCATGACTTGAAGGAAAAAAAAATATCCTAGATGAGTGTTAAAATTACTGAGAACAACCTGTTCCAGCAACCATAGGATAGTAGGTGAAAAGGGACAGAAGAAGGCAACATAAAAATATGTACTGAAAAGACTTTCCAGTGATTTCTCATGAGAGTCTATCTTGAGAGCAGACAGGCTTATTGCAATCAGGAACTGAGGGGTTTTCAGGCTGGAGGATTCTGGCCTAAGGTGATACCAAGTAACAGAATTGCAAACAGTGACAAGCTCTGCAAATAGCAGCTGCAAATCAAAGAACAATCTCCATGTGTGCACAGTGTGGAAGGGACTGGAGGTTACAGATTGGTCTTTTCCTCTTCACCCACACACACAAATAGCAATCACTGACAGTAATGTCATCTTTGAATAGGAAGGGCGCAGAGAAGATTCATTCATTTGTGTATTTATGTATTTATTTTTATCTTGTGTACTTACTGTGAGGCAGTTTTATCAAGAATGATCCAATGTAATAAATTTCATACATAAAAGTCTAAATAAGATTATTTATTTGGTTAGAATAAATTTCTGTAGCTGATTTTGACCTCTAATAAAGACATTTTAATCTGATCCCTTTCGAAGTGGTAAACTGCCACCAGAATATATGCCCAATAGCATATTAAAATTATATTGCTATATTTTTGAAACAGTAGGATGTTGAATCAAAATCATCATCTCTGGGGAATGCTCCTGACATGTAACTTGTGTTATGCATTGCCTCCTCTGAGAGTGTGAGGAAAACTAATTCAATTCCTGGAAGGATAGACTGACTCAGATGCAATTCACATTCAGAGTGCCTCTAAAAAGAAGATAATGAAACTATCTGTATGATATCCAAGCATTTTCAGTGCCTGAAAAATAAAAGTAATTAGATATTCTTAATAAGTTGGTACTCTCCATTCTTTTTGCAAATATTAGAGGAAAAAAAGTAAAAGATCAATTTCAGGAAAGTGATTATTCAGAACTGAAATTATTTTTACTCAGATTCAGTACAAAGTCTCTATTAGGGACTTCTCACTTGTGAGGAAGCTGGAAAGGAGAAAACAGTACAACTCACTTCAAATTTGTTTTTGGCTTCCATCTCTGGGCACGTGAATTGAATAGTTAAATATTTTATTTCTTATAATCAGAATATGTAACAAGAAACAATTCATTTAGTCATCAGACACTATGTACTATTTTTATTATTATTTTTTAAACAGGGTGTATTAGTCAGGGTTCTCTTAGAGGCACAGAATTAATAAGATATGTATATATATTAAATTTATTAAGTATTAAATTACACAATCACAAGGTCCCACAATAGGCTGTCTGCAAGCTGAGGAGCAAGGAGGGCCTATCCAAGTCCCAAAACTGAAGAACTTGGAGTCCGAGATTCAAGGGGAGGGAGCATCCAGCGTGGAGAAAGATGTAGGCTGGGAGGCTAGTCCCATCTCTCCTTTTCATTTTCTGCCTGCTTTATATTCACTGGAAGCTGATTAGACAGTGCAAACTAGATTAAGGGTGGATCTGCCTTCCCCAGCCCACTGACTCAAATGTTAATCTCTTTTGGCAAAACCCACACAGACACACCCAGGATTAATACTTTGTATCCCTCAATCCAATCAAGTTGACACTCAGTATTAACCATCACACAGGATCTTACTCTTTGATTCAGATTGGAGTGCAGTGGCGTGATCTTGGCTCATTGCAACCTCTGCATCTCATGCTCAAGCAATCCTCCTGCCTCAGCCTCCTGAGTAGCTGGGATCACAGATGCACACCATCACACCTGGCTATTTTTTTTGTATTTTTTTGTAGAGATGGGGTTTTGCAGTGTTTCTTGGGCTGGTCTCAAACTCCTGAGCTCATGCTATCCACCTGCTTCAGCCTCACAAAGTGCTGAGATTACAGGCCTGAGCCAATGCACCTGGCCGACTATATACTATTCACTTTGGTAGTCACTAAAGAAAAAGAGACATGAATAAACCGACAACCTTGTCCTTGCAGAGATCACAGCCTCTCTTATCTGCAGCGGTCACAGAAAACTGATGTATTAACAAATAAGTACAGTGAATTGAGAAATACTGTCATAAACAAATGTCCTGTGTTCCAGGGCCACAGAATAAGCATCCAATATTTTGTGTAGTTGGGAAAATATAAAGTTTGAATAAATAAGGCTTCACAGAGGAAGCAATATTAGACACCACTTGAAAGATGAATAGGAATTTTCGTGGCTGAAAAGGAGGCCAAGAGGAAGGGCATTGGGGATATGACTCAAAAGCGAAAAGGAACATTACTCATGCTGAATGTATTTCCTAAAGTCTAAAGCTTAGATCATAAGAATGAACTTTGCCAGTAAATGGATTCTTAAGACAAATGAAATTTTTGTTTTTAAATAATATATTGCCCCCTCAGGGTTTTGAAAATATAACCTTCCTTACTCTTTGCACATAGAGGCATAATGAATAGTGGAAACAGCATCAGCTCTGAGGTTTGGTAAACTGAAGTTGAGATGCTACCTCAACTAATTATGAGCTAATTTACCTTTGACATGCACCTGAACTCTGAGCCTGAATTTCTGCAGGTATAAAGCGGTCATCAAAGCACTACTTCACAAGGTTTAGTAAGGAGCAAAGAAGATATTAATCTCAGACTTAGGGACACAGAACACAGGTAGAAAGATACATTGGAATATGACCTCTTGCTTTTCTCCATCTGTGTCCTAACTTCTACAAACTTTCACTGTGGTTACATATTTTTTTACTTTAAAGATGTAAGTCTATTTAAAATGTGATTTTGATTTTTTAATCAAAGGTAACGCTTTTAATAATCAGTCATTTTAGTTTCAATCTAAATATATTATATAGTCATACTTGAAATCAAGCTTACATGAGAAAAATTCAGTAGAACACATAGGAACTAAAACTAAACGCTGATTTTTTGACCAGTGGCAAGGTCTTCCTGTTTTTCAACTGCATCTGTCTTATTGTAGATTGAGTAGTTTTGGCTACCACATGTTATTCTTTTTTCTGAATCCACGTTATTTGTAGATGCTTTTTGAAGGACTTTGTCAGCAAGGCAATAAAATTTGGTAAATTGGCCCATACTTGCTGTAGTTTACCTACATCCCCAATTATTAATTTAGAGGGTAAGGAATAAAAGAATCAATGAAATAATTGTCACTCATCCTAGCAAATGTGCATGTACCTAGTTGATATTTTCATTGATCTAAAAACTTAAGGTAAATATTGATGTGGTGAAAGGAAATTCTTTAAGAGGAGCTTCCTGAATAGAAGATGGAGAAATTTTGTGGCATTTAAAAACTTAATGTCCTCTGAAATATGTTTTACTTGATTAAAACTTGGGAACTTTGGTTGCTTTACTTCCCATTTAACTGAAAGAAATGACAGCAGTGATATTAGCAGCAGTAGCAATCATTGAGTACCTATTTTGTGTTATATTATCACACTTAATCATGACAAAAAACTGTCATGTTAGCTGTCAATATCCGTATTTTGCAAATAAGAAACTGAAAGGTGAGTTAGTGAGATCACAGATGGCATAAGTGAGGGAGCCAATGTTAGAATGCAGACTTGTCTGATGCCAGTCCAGAGAATGTCCTTAATGCTACAGCACCTATTAATATTCCTGGTTTGCTATTACAATGAAACAATGCTCCCAAATTCCTTTTTTCTAGTACTCAATATTGTGCAATACAAACACGATGATCTTCCTAGTAGCTCTATTTTCATTTCTTCTGAGAGTCTTATTGCATGTTTCCCAGACACTAAGTTTCTGTGCCTCCTCTTGGCCATAAACTTTTCTTTTATTGTGCTCTTTCTCTTTTCTCCTTCCCCCAATCTAAGTTGACATGCTCTAGACCCATCTGTGCTCCAGTGGTTACTCTAGACTAGTGGACACTGTGACCTTATTTAGCCAATGTTGAGCACTAAAATTGGCCTTGTATTCTGATGTTCTTTCCAGATTCAACTCACTAGAACTTTGCTTTACAACGTTTCTTCCTCTCTGAGTAACTGACTTGGGTTTATTGGAAGAATATTCCAGATAAGTTGAGGGATTCCACATCATTTCACTCTCAAGAACATTTGTCATAAAAATCCTTTAATCTTGGACTAAGTTCAGAATAAGTTCTCATTCAGCTGAGTAAATTTCTTCTCTGACCTAGTCCCTTTCAGCTTGGACATTTCTTTTCTTTTTCTTCTTTTTTCATTTTACTTTAAGTTCTGGGATACATGTGCAGAGCATGCAGGTTTATTAAATAGGTATACATGTGCCACGGTGATTTGCTGCACCTATAAACCCACCACCTAGGTTTTAAGCCCAGCATGCATTAGGTATTTGTCCTAATCCTCTCCCTACCCTTGCTGCCATCCCCTGACAGGCCCTGGTGTGTGTGTCATGTTCCCCTCCCTGTGTCTATGTGTTCTCATCATTCAACTCCCACTTATGAATGAAAACACATGATGTTTGGTTTTCTGTTCTTATGTTAGTTTGCTGAGAATGATGGCTTCCAGCTTTATCTATGTCTCTGAAAATGACATGAACTCATTCTTTTTTATGGCTGCATAGTATTCCATGGTATATATGTGCCACATTTTCTTTATCCACTATACCATTGATGGGAGTTTCAGTTGATTCCAAGTCTTTGCTATTGTAAATAGTGCTGCAATAGACACATGTGTCTTTATAGTAGAATGATTTATAATCCTTTGGGTGTATACCCAGTAATGGGATTGCACCATTTTATAAACCAGGTATTTTAGGTTTGGGCCTTATAGGCTGATTGCTAATCTCAATGCAGTCTTTTGTTGCTAATTTTTTGGAATCAAAGCATAAATGAGATTGGAACCCCAATCATATATACTCCTGATAATTCAGTTTATGGTCTATGAACAGGAGTCTTCTTATAAAAATTATACCACATTTTCTTCTTAGGAGACCCTAATGGAAGGATTGGGACTTGGATCATTTTATCTACAAAAGATTACCTACAGAAATTCACAGTTTTATAAAACTATTAGACAACTTAAAGTTGCTTTAATCTAATTAACATTTTTTATAAACAAGGCATCTGATGCTAAGACCACTTAAGAGAATAATCCAAAATGATACAGAAAATTAGTAAGAGAAAATTGATTACTCCATTTAGGCATGTTTTCTTCTTAAACTTAAAGAATTGTGGATTTTGAGATTGGGTTCAAGATGGCTGCCTAGAAGAAGCAGCTATAATGCACCAGTCTTGCATGGAGAGAAAACAAAGTGGTGACTAGATACTCACTCTTCTCGTGGTTGTCTCTGATACCATGTTGGGATTCACCAAGAAAGTGAGGGACTCCACAGAGAACAGAGAGGGGTGAAGCTGGATAACTACCCACAGGGGACCAGTGCAATAATGGGAGAAGCTCCCTGACGTGAGGAAAGGATAAGTGACTGAGAATCCCCAGTAAATCCACACTTCCACTACAGACCTTTGTAATCCTGGGCATAGGAGAACCCCCCTGACCATTCCAACACACATACTCCCCAGCCTCAAGACCAATGCAGAGAGCCAACTAGGGTTTTTGCAGAGACCCCACTCAGGCCCACTTGGAGCCTCACAGGCTTTGGATTTCTGAGCACCCAAATGTCATGATCCAAATAGAGGCTGCAACTACAGTGCCAAGGAGCAGCCAGACTGTCTCACTCCTCCTCAGGCAAGGCTCGGCTCAGGCTTCCAGTGCACTGATCTCGCTGCCTGAACATTGCCAGTGGGCATAGCTCTGCATTCCCCTAGGAGCCCCCCAGATTGTAGGCCTTGCAACTACCCCCAGCCACCAGCCCCCACCCCCACCCCTGCTGTTTCTAGCCAGGCAAGGTTCACTGGTTTGGACTTCCAGCACAATGGCCCTGCCCTCACCTGAACTCTGCCAGCACTGGCAGCTCTGCATTCCTCTGGGGCAAAACTCCCAGAGTAAACAGATGATGCTTGGCATTTTTTCATGTCCCCACCAGGAAAGTTCAGCATCACTTGGATGGGAGAGAAGCATGAGGATGCCATGTGCCCCACAGCTGCCAGTCTCCATTGTTCCAGCTGAAGGGTCCTGCCCTTCCCACTGAAAGACCCATAGCACAGTCACACCGAACCTGACTGAACATTTCCCTGCAACCCAACCATTGAAGGCCTGTGATATTCCCTCCATCTAAGCATTCTGCCTGCCCCTACCTAAGAGTTCAGCCAGTGACCCAAGGACCAGCCTGCCACCCCAATCATAGCCAGCCCCTGAACTCTGAACTAGCCAAACTCTAAGCCAGGCCCTTCAGAACTCATACAAAATGTCTAGCAGCCATCTAGGGGCCTACAAACTAAGAACTACCTACTCCATTCTAACTTGCTGGTACCTGTCCACTTCCCTCAGGGCCTGAGGTCAGGCAGACCCAACCACCCAACACCACTACAACCAACACCCACTTTCATATGCTCAAGGATGGAGCTCCCATCCAGCATTGACAAGAAGCAGTAGTATTGCCGCATCGGAGAACAGATGAGCCATAAAGTTATCTATATGAGGGTATGCCCTGAAAGCACTCCTACTGTCATAAAACAGGCATTCCCCATGGCTCTCAGCCACATATTGTGGTACAGAGGTAGACTACAGTGTGCATCTAAACTAAGAGTCATGAGACCTGGAACAGGAGTGTGATAGGAAAACAAATCACATTCTTGCCTAGGTCAGTGAGCCAGTGAAACTTTCTCACTCCCCTGAAGAGACCTCAGCACATTTCACCAGGAACTCCTCTCAGTCAGCTTTCTGAGGGCTAGTGCCTGTGATCACCATCAGGGTATGCATGGGCAAGTCAGGGGCTCAAGCTCTGCCCAGCTGTGTCCCCCAACTACATGGAAGAGGAAGCTCAGAGCACCAAGCAGCCCACTCTGCAGCCCTTCACCTGAAACAAGAGCACACCTCACAGTAAATAAATATCAAGTCTACATCCACCAGCTTGTGCGGTACCTGACTCCTACCTGCAAATGCCATCAACTGGTCAGTAGGATGAAACACACAGCCCAGTAGAAAACCTACTGACAGAAGTGCATAGGAGTATACAAGTAAAGCCAAAATTACCCTACCCAACAAAATTTATTGCAGATGAGAAGGAAGCGACATAAGAAGTCTGCCCACACAAAAAAATTTGAACGTTGTGATCCCACGAAAACATCACTCTAGCTCTCAGCAATGGTCCCAAATCAAGTTGGAAATTCAGGAATGATAGATAAAGAATTCAAAGCATGGATTGCAAGGGAGCTCAAGGAGATCCAGGACGAGATTGAAAATAAACACAGTGAAAATTCTGAAGCAATTCAGGAAATGAAGTAAGAGATAAAAATCTTGAAAAGAAGTCAATCACATTTTCTGGAACTGAAAAACTCACTTAAGGAATTTGAAAACACTGTTGAAAGCTTCTTCAGTAGATGGACCAGGCAGAAGAAAGAATTTTACAGCTTGAAAATGAGCCTTTCAAATTAACCCAATCAGAAAAAAAAAATGTTTGAAACATTTT